>NC_000003.12:17510000-18760000 GCF_000001405.40 Homo sapiens | reverse complement strand
TTGTCTCCTTCCCAAGGCAGTAACATAGTAGGAACTGACTCCTGCCATGCTGTCTATCCTCCTTACCTGGGTTCTTTAGTTTTCACACATCGCCATTTAATATACTGTGCATTTAACTTTCATTTGTTGTCTATCTTCTGACCTTAAAGATGGAATTTTTTTTGTCTGTTCCCTCCACCTGCCAACCACTGATGAATCTCCAGACCCTCACACAGAAAATGTTTTTGCTAATCAACTTCCTTCTCTTGAGCAAGTAGGAAATCAACATTTTCCAGAACCCTCTGGCATTTAGAGTGGAGTTGTGTCTGACTTCTGGTCAATGGAATGTGTGTATAAAATTCATAAATAAGCTACCTCCAGCTTTGGTGCATAAAAAGCTTTCGTGAATGATGCTGTCTCTCCTTCTGCTCAGCATACTTGAAGGCCATTTGTTAAAGACGGTAGCATCTTATGGTAGAAGGAGCATGGTCCCAAATGATCGGCAGTGAGCTAAGGCACAAGTGAGAAACAAATCCTCACCTCAAGCTGCTGATATTTTTAGAATTTTTTAATGAATTAACATATCCCAAATAATATGGCACTCAATAAATATTTATGAATAAATTTAGAATTCTATATTATTTCTAATCTAACTCTCCATATAAGGTATAACATTGTTCCCTAATGTAGTAAACAAAATATAATGAATACATTTTAACCATTAGCTTTTATGTCTTTCTAAGTAGTCAGACCTACAAAGACTTTTGCGATGTATGCTCCTTTGTGCCCTTTGTACTTTTCAGAAACCATTCTCTTCGTCGTGGTTTATTTTCTTTTCTCTTTTCTAGTGTTGTTTTTCTTTGCTCAGTACTGCATTGACTTTTTGATGCTTCACTGTTGGTTCCCATATCTGATCTTATATATGAAAATCTTCACTTCTACCCATTTTTAATTTGCTCTTCTCATTTTTTCTTATTATTTGTTGTATAACCTACACTTCATAGCTGATAATGACAAACCTTGGGGATGATTTAACTGTTACCACAGAATGAGG
The DNA here is from genome assembly GCF_000001405.40 of Homo sapiens. Lineage (NCBI taxonomy): Eukaryota > Metazoa > Chordata > Mammalia > Primates > Hominidae > Homo > Homo sapiens. The sequence goes on along the minus strand of NC_000003.12, from coordinate 18,758,967 downwards.
ATATTTTCTGATTTGTAAATTATCTATCATACAATATCTTCTTTTGTAGGTCCTTGGCTTGTCTCAACTCTTTTCATGAATATGCACAATAATAAGCTTTTCAAATTATTTTAGAATTTGAATCTGTTAGATATATAATCACCAAATAAAGGTAATGGAATAATGCAAATAAATTTTCTGTAATTCCTTATTCCCAAAATTTTCTGTGGATTTATCGTATCTGGTGTTGCTATTTATAAGAACTACTGTTATTTGTTTTTAGTATTCCCATATTTAATGGTGGGCTCACACAACCCTTTGAAGACTAGAGGAAATGGTATCCCTTGTGGTAACACTTAGGATTATTTTCAAATAAAACCTTTTTAAAACAAGTTTGATGTAGTCAGAATGTAGAGATAGCCTGGAATTAAAATGTGCGAGGAGTAGGTTTCTTAATGGTTTATTTCAATGGGATGTGAAGTTAGAATTGTTAAGAAATGCAGAATGCTAATTAACCAGAGTTAGAAAACTGGGGATGACAGAAAATATCCTGAAGTGAACTCCTGATTAACCTTCCTTATTGAAAGTTCACAGAGGCAGGTGATCAGATGGTACAAAGCTGTCAGGAGATCATGGCCATTTAGATTCCTGGGGGGTTGTTCCATTTAGTTATTCCACCAACCAGTAGGGGGAGACACAGAATACTCCTTTGCAATCTAAGCTCTAACTAACTCCGTTTCCTGGACCTCATCAGACCTTTCTTTGTCTGTAACAGGTAGAACAAGTTCGTCCAGTCTGACAAAGCTCACTTCTTTTATTGTTTTTGGTTTCTTGAATTACAGTTGATTTTGCATTCAAGTGACTCATTAAAAGGAGGGACTTGTGCGTATTTGGTGGTTTTACAGATACTAGATTTTATCTTTTTTTTGAAATAAATAAATGTGGCCTAAAATTTCTTGGTGAACCTGATTGAAGTTCAGCCATGTAAAGAATTAAACTTCACCCTATCTCCTAATCACTATCTCCAATAATCTTAGCCCAACAGTCAACTTTATAGACGTTACAAAAATAATTCTTACAGACCTAACAGCAATCTATTTTGAAATTTTAAAATGTCTATGATAGGTAAATTCACACCGGTTAGAAGGTCCAAGCTTTGTGTTTTATCTCCCAGGAATCATAGAATTTTGCTTTTATCTATTCATCAGTTCAGTTCTACAGATATCTGGGATCCCTTCTATATGCCAGCCCCAAAGTTAGGTAGTAGGGATAAAGATAGGTCCCAGCACTTGACCTTTGGATAGACAAACATTTAACACACAGTTTCTGAACAGTGTGACCCATGCAACACAAGAAATGTGGAAGAAATGTTGAAGTAACTTAGATAAGGTGAAATTAACTTCACCGGAAGTAGGGCATTGAGGTAGGCTTATAAAAAAGGCTAATACTTAAGCACGGCTTTAAAGAATAAATAAGAAAGAAAGGAAGGATTTCAGTAAAAATGGAAAGAGATGTGAAAAGGCATAAGATGAATAATGTATTTGGGTAATTCTCCTTTGTGTTGCTGGAAGATAGTGTGAAAGGGGGGTTTATGAGATAAAACTGAAGGGGCAGGTATAGGACAAGGGTAGTAGAGAATCATGGACCAGGGTGTGGGGATAGACAACAGAGCGAATCAGGAGGACAGGGCTCTCTTTGTCCAAGTGCTTGTTCAAACTTTGATGCTTATTCAGGCTCTACACTTGACACACCTGCTGACAAGTGTGTCATAAAGGAGACTATGGAAATATAGGTGAAATAAAAAAATCTGTGATCCCATTCCTTCAGAAAGGTTATCTTCACCTATTAGCAGAAGAGTTGTAGATATGAACTACTAGGTAGCACATTTCTCAAATATTAAACGGCATATTCAAAGATCATTTCAACTTCAAATTTATCTTGACACCCAACAATAGTTTTTCTTTCTTCAAGCTTTAATTTTAAAGATTAATTGGTTTATAGAAAGGCCTCAAAAGAATTTCTTGACAAGCAGATCTGTGGGTTCTTTAGATAAAAACAAAGGCAAAACAACCGTGAACGAACACCTATTTTGCTTTTCTCATTTTGATTTCTTTGATTAATAATTTTATCTAATCTTCTAATTTTATAGAACATTGAGTAGAGATGATGACTTTGGGTAACGGAATTCTTACTTGTGTTACATAAAACATATGTGGGTTGTTGCTTTTTAATAAGTCATTTGAAAAAATAAAGATTGGATGTGCCAAAATCCCCAACCAAATCGTACTTAACAGCCCTTTCTAAAAAGAAAATAAAACTCTTAAATGTTTACACAAAACCTAATTACCAGTTTGCAAGCATTTCAGGTGGTTGAAAAAGCATAGGCTTGACTAGGAAGAAGTAGAATAAGTAGACATACTATTTCCAGTAAACAAAGCAGAGGTCAGCAACTTCTGAGGTCATAGTCAAGATAAAGAATGCTTATATATGCTTTGCATAGGTCTCAGGTTTGCTTGTAGAAAAAGGGACAAAACAATAAAAATAAGGGGAATGAAGAAAAGAGGAGAAAGAACAGAGGAAACTGAGGCTAAGAAATAATGAGAAAAAGTAAAGTCATTTGGACCAAAAGGGTTGAGAACCCTGGGGCAAGGGGAAAAAGGACAGGGTAACCTTGAAGGACTAAAGCAAGTCCAGAGTGGCTGGAGCATGGTGAACAGGTACCTTCAGTTTTTTTGCACCTGAAGAAGGTAAGAATTGAGCCACTCAATCTGTTCTTTTCATTTGATTATTTCTTTCTCTATTTACCAAGTAACTCTTAACAATAAAAACAGTACCAATAAAATTGTTTTTGTTTTTCAGTGGAGACATCCTAATCTCAGGTCACATTTACTAATTTCTCCCTAGTTAAAAAAGATGTAAAAGTGACAAGTGAGACAATTCTAAAACATATGCTATTCTAGATGCTAGACTCAGATACTTGATGGAAATATGGGTAGTTTTCATTTGTTCATACCATGTAAGTGGAAGTGGAGAGATTTCCTGGCTCTGAGTGAAGACCACCCTTCTAAGTATCATGTTCTCATCTCTTTTTACTAGCTGTCTGCAGCTCATGCAAAATGTGATAGAAGATTAAAAAACTAGCCCACATATTCCTACAGAAGATAGCTACCGTGAAAATGAAGAAATTGTCCACCCTCTGCAGGATAATTATTAAGGAGACATCATCCAATGAAAAGAAACCCCAACCACCTCTCCACATTCAAGCAATTCCTTTAGAGCCTTTTGTTTTATTCCTGCACATTTTCTCACTCGATCTGAATTCTAGAGCCAACGTGTTTTTTATTCTTTAGTTTTGCTCTTAGTTTGATTTCCACTTCGATGCTTTGGAGTTCCTTACTATTTTGATAAATTTCCAATGGATACTGTCACCTGTGATACCCCTACTGAGTTGAGGCAATTGGCCAAAATCTTTCCAACAGGAGGTGTTTCTCTTTTGGCCATGTCACTCTGTCAATAACTGCTGATGCTCTTGGTCAATGGCTATGGTTAGGAAAGAAGTATAAATCATTTTAGTATTCTATTTGATCTTCTGATCATCCTCAAATTCCTTGCATTACAGTCGTCAGTGCAGAAAAACAAGGCTGGGAGGAATGAAACGAAAAACTTCCTCTCAGAGGAATGTGATGAAGATAACAAGTAAATTTTAAATGATCAGATTAAGGAATTCTATGAGTCTAGAATTGGCAAGCTTAGTTCTTTAAAGGGCCAGATAGCAAGTATTTTCAGCTTTATAGGTCATGCATACAGTCTCTGTTGCAACTACTCAACTCTGCCCTCATCCCATAAAGCATTCATGGACAATACATAAATGAATGAACATCATTGTCTTTCAATAAAACTTTATTTACAAAAACAGGCAGTAGGCCATATTTGGCCTGTGGTCCTGTAGTTTACCAACCCCTACTAAAGTACAAGATACTATTATATTAAATATATTTGACCTGAGGTATCATGAACATGCACTTACAAATTTCGCATTCCAGCAGCCTACAGAAGCAATTTCTGTTGCTCTTGTATACTGCATTGCTCATATTGACTTCATAGAAACCCTAAGGATAGAATGGGCTCATTCTGCAGATAAATCCACAGAGTGGGCTTTTACAATTAGAGAAAAACATTTGTAAAATAGAGAATCAACTAGAACTACTTTTTCTAATCAAATGATGATAATTGTGATTTAAGCTTTATTTAGCCCAAATTTTAGTCTGACTAATTCCCATTGATACCCACGTTGGCATTGAGACCATATGTCACTTATCCAATAACTTCGAAGGAACAATTGTGTCTTTTCATGTAAATCTTGCAAAGCTCATGGATCACTGACCTGCTTTAGTTGATGTGTGGCATATCAATTCATCCTCAAATACACACAATAAACCTACCCATCTCATTTTCTTCTGAGATTTTATTTATAAAGGAATTCATTAACATACACTCACTAATTTTGAACCAAGGTAGCTTGACCATTTTGATTTTTTTTTTTTTGGCCTGTCAAGATGCCAAAAGCATTTAGAGCACTTTACTAATTTCCCACTTGCCAAATTTCCATTTTAACTTCAAAGCAGTAGGAACCCAGAGACAAAACACAAAGCCCTCTTAGCTACCCAACTCCTATTGTCCTGCTTTACACTGGTTAAAAAAAATAAGTAAATGAAGGGCGAAACAGATTGTTTTTGAAACTGATAACACAATTTGTTCTCCTGCTTCATATGTTAGATTTCTGCCTGCAGCAAATATTTACAGCAGAGTTTTAACCCTCTCAAAATCAGCTTGATTATGTAAGGGCTGCAATTGTCTTTCAGAGAATACCCTTGACAATATGGCTTTACAAAAGAAAAAGTAGTGACCTCGGACACTGTCCTATGTGCATGGTCAATGTTTAGTTACAAGAAGACATGCAGACAGAAAACAGTCAAAAACTTGTTGTCAATTATTTAGCATTCCCATAAACCATTAGGCGGTCAAAAATATCTTTAATTGATTCCATCGCTACCTATGCTACTTATTATTTATTACTATAACAAACTTCTCCATGGGAACAGCTAATTGTACCTCCCTGGTGGCCACTTCAAGTGGAATAAGCCCTGCACAGTGCAGCCTAAGATATGCTGAAAGGTCTTCAGCTTTGGGGATTTGATTAAAACTGTATTACATGAACACATCAGCAACCATTGCCAAAACAAAACACTAATTTAAAAAATCCTTCTGCTTTACTGCTTAACACAATTGAAAGGAGCTTTGTGTGCATGTGTGCATGCATTTGTGTGTATGTGTATGTGGGTATGTGTGCGTGTGTGAGACAGAGAGACATGGGGAGTGGGAGCAGGAGGAGGGGTTGCATATGTTGTCTCGTTTGAAGACAATCATATTTAATGGAAATAATGTGGCATTCTGTGGCATAATAAGGCAAAAGAAAAGGGCAATACTGCCAGCTGCATTGTGGGTATAGGCAAAATCCCTGACCTGGTGATAAGACTGCAAACTATTGCGCCAGAAAGAAAATTGTACAAGAAGTAAATTATCTTGCCCAACCCTCCCTACACACACACACACACACACACACACACACACACACACACACACCCCTACCTTTAAAAGAAGCATAATTGTTAATCTGCTCTTTAGTAGAAAAGACAGATGTTATGGAAATAGTAAGCCACACTCTGCTAAGAGTGTTCTGTGGAAAGAGATTCCATAGGCAGCACTCTACACGGGAAGATTTAGGCAATTAAGCAACCGTTGTGAGGCATGCAGATGAATAACACATGCTAAATTAAATCAATACCAAACACTGTGTTGGAAATAGGTTAATTGTTTATTTTAAACTTCATGGAAGGAAAAAAAAAAAAGGAAGCAACAGTGGAATTTGTCAACTACTTGGAGCAGTATACTGGCCTGGATTAACCACAGCAGCCCAAAGCACAGTGTGCCCCATAAAGTCCTGTGTATGGGCCTTTTAAAACATTGTTTCTACACTTAAACAATAATTCCAAATTTATTTTAAAGAAGGTGGTGGGTGCATGTGGGATTTGTATAAATTTAAATATCAAGATGTTGAAATATTGCCCAGTAATTATGGATATTCAGGCTGCGTCTAAGCCCTGAAATTTGTGCTAGTTTACCACATTTATCCGCGTAGACTTAGAGAAGAAGAACAGAGGGGCTTTCCCATTTGTCATCTAAACTGATTGATAAGTAAGAGTCTGCAACATTATGTGAGTGAGTCAAAGGCAACAGCTGTCAAGAGATATCTTTATGTCATTTCAAAGAGTTAGGAATTTTAAATATTGTGAGGTACAAAAGGGCTGGTAGCTGATGAATTTCTTTAGTGGAATGTTTACATGTGCAGAATAAACAAATGCATGCTCTGCTGTTAAAACAACAGAGAGAGCAACAAGGGGATAGCCTATAGGTTTTAGTATGTATCCCATAACCCCAAATGCTCATTTTTGCATTTGGAAGATGCAGAAAACAAGTAAGAGAAGAAGGCTCTCTTACTGAGTGTTTGAAGGCTGCTACCATGCTACATAGTTGTACCCAGTCATTATGCTTAATTCTCTTCATGAGTTTGTGAGAAGTGACGTATTAGTCTCATTTTTTACCACTGAGAAGACCAAAGCTCAATAAAGTTAAATGACCTAACCAAGATCACATGCTTGTCAATAGTGAAGTTAGGCCATGAAACCTGTGTCGGACCAACTCCTAAGCCCAGGATCTTTTCATTACTCCAGCAAGCTGCTGAAAACAATCTCAGGAAATGTTTGTAATTACAGCTCTGAGCCTGTATCATGATCATCCATATGCTGTGTGACCTTGTATTAACTATAGGAAGACAGTTCTTCTCTAAGATAATCCCAGGGTAAGTGAATATGTGTCTCATATACCCTTCTCATCACTTCATTACCAAGATAATTTGGCCAAATTGAAATAATGATATTAGATTCATTAAGCATATATGTGTTAATTTTGATTCCTTTCTATATATTTTTAGAACATCAATTAATGCAGCAGACTCATTGACAGGTAATTAGTAACAATTACAAAATGATCATAAATAAAATAAGACTATTCAGATTAAAGATATAAGTACTACTGGGCACCTAAGGTGACCTGCTTACAGAATTAGGGCCTTGAGTGCCCTAGCAGTAAAGTGGAAAAGGGAAATATGTTGTGTTACTGCTAGAGTTCCACATCATTGACCATAATGAAAAGAGCCACCTGCAGGTTCAGTTTCACCCTGGCTCTCGGCCAGTGATAACTGAGTTTGAAGATAATTATGTATGTCTTCACCACCAGCAAATGTTGGGAGAAAGGGCCTTGTGGAGTTACTATGTCCTTTTTCAGATTCCTCATTAGTGGCATAAATCATGGTGTTAGTCTGGGGTTCCCATGTTAGGTCTCCAGACACCAGGGTATCTTTATGGGTATCATTCATCATATGTCTCCTTTGTTCTTGCTGAAGCAGGAGATGGGGTGGAGGAGTGGGTAAGTAGAAGAGGATTTGTTTCTTTTACCTCCACTCTGTGATGTCCTGGCCTTGTTTCTATCCTCTCCTTTCTACATCAGAAGTTCTCCCAGGATAACACTCAACTAGGGCACGGCACTTGTAGTTAGTATGAAAAATACACATTTTTTTTTTTTTTTTGCTGGCAGAGATAAACTTTTCTTAGAACTCAGGAAAGTATTTATCACATGAATTCCTGAAAATAGGTATTTTATTTAATAGTAGACAATATATTCAACCTGGATTTGGGCCACCAAAAAAAAAAAACCTAAAAAATAGTACAAAAATAAATGGCACTTCTGTTCCTTAAAATGACTAAGGATTTCATTCATCATTACAGGTTTCAATATAAAATTCCATACACAGGACATTAAAGCTGGATCATTTTAGTTCTTTACTAGTTTCATTCTGTCATAGCTTATATGTATCCTCTGTCTATTTAAAAGTGAAGGTAACGAATTTTGGAACTGTGGAAGCTTAGAGCTAGAGAAGAATTCAAAGGTCATTTCATCCAGCCTTGTGACTGACCAGTGAGACAATGAGAAATAACAAACAAACAAAAACAAAAAACCCTGCAGCACTAAGAGTGTGAGGGGGCCAGAATGAGAACAAGGAAACCTTCCTAACCCCACAGGTGCACCTGTGAATATACTCTTTTAGCACCATGCTGTCAGGGGGCAGTGCCAAAGATTACATTAATGAATGAGTAGACTTGGAAAGAGATTGCTACTGTGTATCAGAAAAAATATGTTTGCTGAGTATTCTTTTTATTTTATTAAGCCTTTCCAAGAGTGCCTGACACATATAAGAATCAAATATTATTGTTACCTTCCACCCATTGTAACTATTGCTATTTTACCACAGGCTGTGTGATCCCTTGACAGGGATATGCCAAGGAGATTTAAGCATCAAGATAAGTAATTGGAATCAATACCATGCCAGCGAAGAAATGTTCTGTGGTGATGGTGTCACACAGTACCAGTGACATCTTGCTGATTTGCACAAGCATCTTACTTGTAGAATGACATCAAAATATTCTTTCAGAGATTCTGCTGTTCCCGTGTGTGTGTGTGTGTGTGTTTGTGTGTGTATATATATATGATTAAATTTCTCAATTATTAATATGAGGGAAGCTTTTAAGCTGTTTTCTTTCTTTGTATTCAACTCCTTTGTTGTCCCTCCCTCCCAATTCTGCCTCCCAACACCCAGGATTTTCCATGTCAGTCAGTGACAACAGTGATTATCCAATTTCTCACACCAGAAATTTGGAAATTAATCTGGATTGCTAATTTTGTCTTTCTGGCATTTTCAGTCCATCAACAAGTCCTACTGATTATACCTCCAAAATTTATCTTTCATCTTCTAGTTCCTCTTCATTTCCACTGCCACTGCCTAACCACCAGCATGTCTTACCTGGGCTATCAGGACTGTCTCTCCATTATGCAATAGTATTCCAGCTTTTTTTCTTGCTCTGCCTTCTATTGCAGCAGCCAAAACTATATTCTTAAAAATAAAATTAGATCATGTCTCTTTTCTGTGTAGAAAAACTCCTAGTTCATTTCTGCCTCAAGGTCTTTATGCTCTGCTATTTTACTAAAATGATTTTACACTCTTCACATGGCTAGTTACTTCTCAGCTTCCAGATTCCAGAATCAATGTCACCTCCTCAAAGGTCTTTACTACCCATCCCTTCTGCAGTTGGTCCCTTTGTTATTCTCTCTATATTTGTTTCTTTTATAGTGTTTGTCACAGTTGGTAATTGTTTTGTTTCTTTGTTTTTAATCTGTCTATTCTACCAGAAAAAAATAAGATACATGAAAGGGAAGGACTGTGTTTTTTTATTCATCACTTTATCCCCATAGCATATAATGAGGGTCCATAAATATTTACTGAACGAATGACTGAATGAATAAATGAATGAAGTGGGTCAGTGGCCATAAGCACTTGGAGCTACTTTTAAAAAGATGGCGATGAGACAAAATGGAAACTGAGAAACATCCTGTGAAATAATATTGAAGGTTTCTGCTTTCTTGTGTTGAGGAACAATGACTTATTCATTTATTGTTCCAGTACTTAGCTTAGTGCCTAAACAGCACACAGACTTCAGAAACATCTACTCCATGAATGAATGAAGTAACAAATGATGGGAACTTAAAGTTAAAGGAATGGTGTACATCTTGCCCTTTGGATGAACGGTTATGTGCAAAAACATGGCAGTTGTTTTGCAATTAAGGGTATTGTTGAATATGTCATTATGCAGGCAATGATTAAGAGTTCTTTTATTAGAATTCATTGTTTAATACATAGAAAGCAGGAGTCAGGCTTCTGTTCATCCATTTCTAACCTAGTTATGCCAGTGTCTTCTTTCATAATTACGAGCAGCTCATTGAACTCCTTGGAATCTCAGTTCTTTCCCTTTTTAAAAAGTTTGGGCATTCATGCTACAATCTGATTAATAACAAGGTTAATATCAGTAGCACAAACACTACTACTATTACTATTTCTAATATTAACACTAGCAAACTAATACTGAAAACTTACCATATAGATATGGTTTTCTGATATTATTATATTTAATTATCTTTACAATTGTAGAAATAAGACCACAAACTCATAAACATAGATTTTTTTTTTGTTTACATGAACTCCTAATTGAGGAAGAAATGAGGAAGACTGCCCACCCACCAAAAGCAGAGGCCATCACTTCTCATATCTTAATATATTAACTTTTAGGGATTCTTTCTTATATGAGTAAATCCCGAAATTTCTAAAACATAGCTCTTCCAGAATTTATTTGGGGAGCCACTAGAAAGGGAGATTTTTGTACTTGCTAGGAAACTGACATCAAAGGTTGATGATAAACATCTAGAAAGCAATTCTTACATATTTTGAATAAAGGAACATCTCCACAAACAAGGCAAAAATATACATCCGCAAAAGATTCAAGCACACATTTAGGAAAAAACGGAAGTCACAGTTTTCATTCAGAAGAACAAAAGGAAACTCTTTTAATGAGGAAATAAAACATTAAGAATATTTTTTATTCGTTGAGTTTTTTAACTTTCTAAATGTGTGGCATAGTTGCCATGAAGCTATGATTGTACCACTGCACTCCAGCCTGGTGACAGAGTGAGACCCTGTCTCAAAACATATAATGTAATATAATATAATATAATATAATATAATATAATATAATATAATATAATATAATATAATATAATGCCAACTATCTCATCACTAACAAATGTAAGAACCAGCAATCTTTATTACAATAGGTTACACAACAGTAACTAATATTCTGCAATTTAGACAAAACGGTTTTTTAACTTCTGCTCCATACCTAGTGATATAATCCTGGACATATTTTTACAACCAATCTGAGAACTCAGTTTTTTCGTCTGAAAAGGGAGAGAGTAATAGTATCTCCCTCAGGGATTATTATGAAGGTTAAAAACCATGATCCATGTAAGTTACCACAGAGCCTCAGTAATGCTCAAAGCATTTGTTATTATAATTAACAGGGATTTTTTTCCAAGACTTTTCTGACTCAAGGGCCCAAGCTTTTAACCACAAAGAGTTATCAGGGTAGGCTGAGGGAGAAATAATTGCACAGGAAATCTGGAAATATCTCCAGCCATGATTATGATCTTTTTCAGACGTTCGATCTGATCATATCCCTTTCTGAAAAGCCTTCAGTAGCTCCATAAAATATCTAATATCCAAATATAACCTTCTGTTCCCTGTGGGAGTCTTCATGACTCAGATACAATAAAGAGTTTGAACTCTGAACTGTCTAGGTTTGAATCCTAGCTTTAACACTTACCGACTGTGTGACCTTGGGCAAGTTGCCTAACCTCACTGTGCATCAAGTTCCTCATTTATAATATGGAAATGAAAGTAGTAAACAGCTCATGAGGCTGCTATGAGGACAAAAAAAGTCAATTCATGCAAAAGAGCTAGGATAATGTCTGGTATATTATAAACACTATGCTTTACATTTTATTATAATTTATAATAAATTAGTGAGGAAATACAATTTACATTATCTAATTGATGCTGGATATTGGGTTGACTTGATCAGGAATTAGCATTGATCAAGCTACTTATGTTTGAGTGGCCTTGGGTTTTCTATTATCTATAGCATAGGTGAAACAGGATAAAATGAATGAGCCCTGGGCTGATGAGGTAGAAAGAGAAACACCATCAGTAGAGATTAGAAGCTCATTAGAATCAAACAGAGGAAACACCAAGTATATAAGACATGGGGTTTCATCGCTGCAAGGCTGTAGAAACCACCTGGGCAATCTGCACATTTCTGTTGCAGTCTGTAGTTTCTGGTCTGTTCACATGATCCCAAGTTGTCCTAGTCCTACTGTTGTTACATTTAGTGCCAATCTGTGGTAGGTTAAATATCAATGGATATGTTTTTATATCCCAGGGTTACCTGAAACATTCAGAAGAGCAACAGATTCCAGGAATCTTCTGAGTAGCAAATGCCAATTTCACCATCCCACTCTGGAAAAAATGGGCTAAGAGGAGTGAGAACTCCCCGGAGCCTACATTCTGCCTCTGTACTTCCCAAGATGGATCTTCCTGGCTGCTCTTTGCCTCCCACCCAAGAATCACCCTCCACCTCCATCCATGCCCCACTGTTCTCCATTTGAGAACAGGCAATGGAATGAGAATGGAAGCCAATCACCAGTGGTGCTACATTTGAATTTTCTTTATGACCAGGGCTGTTACTATAGTGTTGTACTAACTACATTTTCTCAGCAATTTTTAAGTTTTGTTATATATATTTAGGGTCATATTTGTTGCTGGAATTCTCAGTCCTTATAAACCTGAAAACCATCCAGCCTCAAAACCATAATACCTTTCATTAGAACAATTATTATATCACAATTTTTGATAATGCATAGAAATTGGATTATTGATAATGCAACATTTCTTGGGATTAAAATTATGACTTGTATTAGAGTATTACATAACATGGTTTAATGTTGCTATGGTACAAAGTGTGTGTGTGGCAGTGAGGATTTGGGGATGGGAAAGGAGTTCAGAACAGTAAGAATATTCTAGGCATAGGGAAATATTACACTTCACTGTATTTCTTTGCTTACTTGGCTCTTTTCTTTGTAAGATTATAAGCTTGTTGGTGGTGGGACATCATACCATTTAATTTTTTTTTTATTCCTTGAGTGTAGTTGAGTGTTTCACACATAGTGTACTCTCAGAAAAATGGTTAAAGGAATACATTATGACAAAACAGAACATACAACAATGTGTAAGGGAGTGGAATGCAAACAGCTGTCCGAGAAGAGAATATGAGTGATAGAGAAGCTCCATTTACTCACCAGTTGCTTGGGGTTTGTGTCTTATGATGTTTATTGTTTTATTTCTCTCAAAAAATTAACTCCAAGGGCAATATCCTCAGGATGATCAGTTTTATCCTGCTCGGGTTGGATATTTTTCTAAAAAAGAAGAGAGAATTGTATCAGTAGACAGCCAAAGTCTTGCCTGAAAACGAAGGTTAATGCCTAGCCAGTCATATTATGGTTCATGCACCAGCAACATGGCCACAACCTGGGAGCTTATTAGAAATGCAGACTGTCGGGCCCATCCAAGACCTCCAGAATCAAAATCTGCATTCGTATAAGATCTTTAGGTCATTCACGTGTGCTGCATTAAATTCCGAGAAGTGGTCATTTAAGGACACTGTTGGGACATTAGGTATGACATATAGCATCATGATGAGGTCAGAGAAGGCTGTGGTTTCCAGTCTGGCTGAACGGAAGAAGGATGGTTACATTAACTAAGATACGGAAGGGAAGATGAGGAACTTTTTTGAAGTGGGATGAGAGAGAAGCAGAAAGATATTAGGGATTGGAAAAGAGGAACTATGTTGCTCACACTTTTTGCCAATCAAATCAATAACAATGAAATGTAGTTCACTTCCAATATCAAGAGTTTGCAAATGTCTAGAGAAACTGCAAGAGGGGAAAAACGAAGAAAATATTTTAGGTTGAATTACATGTAAAAGGCAATCTCTTCTTGTTTAAAGATATTTGAACTGCTAAAAGCCCAGAGAGGAAGTAATTGTTACACCTTCCCTCCACACTGTGTGGCTAGGTCATTTCTCTGAGCTGAGTTCCATCAGCCAACTCTCTCTTTTTCATTCTTGTTCTTCGCACACTTAATACCTTGAAAAACAATCCTTTTAATATCCTCTAAAACCCATTTTGGATACCTACACTGTGTAAAATGAGTGTAAAAAGCCTCTTAACACAATTGTTTTCAAATGACACTGTCAATGTATTTTTCCTCATTTTTGTAATCATTATTACTGACTGTTGCTTATAATAACCCCACACAAGCTTAGAACAGAAATCTGTTTTCTTACGGATTTTTACAAGACTTTAACCTTCATAGTATGCCACTGCTACTCTTTTTATTTTTTATGGTTTTGTCAGATTCTGGAGAAACATCACAGCATTAATTTTTTAAAAATAAAACAGCCCGGAGTCATTTACATGAACTTTGCAAAAATATGCATATGATAGGAGTATAGATTATCTGTTGGGGGTAAGGAGACAAGGAGAGAAGCAAACACTACTTAGTGTAATGCACCTTTTATCATCAGATCTCAAAGTGCTCCACAAATATTAATATATCACATTACTTCCCTGGGAAACAAGTCAATATGATTAAACGCATTTCACAGATGAGAAAACTGAAAGCACAGATTGGCAAAGTGATCTGCCTAAAGCCATATCAAAGGTCACAGTGGAGTGGGGCCAGAACTTAGTGTCCTGATACTGGTAATTCATATCACTAGTCATTAGTTACTTGGCTCTTACTTTTGTTTCTAAAGGGGGGAAAAAGCTTCTAGTCCATCAACCCAGCATTGAGTGTTTGTTGCAAGGTGTGGTTTTTTTCCTTGCTCTTCCCACAGCCCCAACTCTCTATCATTTTCTGCTAACCAGACTCTTTAGCCCCAATCACTTGCTGCCTCTTCCCCTCAAAATGGAGTGGAATAAATGTAGTTTCACTTGAGAGAAAGTAAAATAATTATTATGGCTGTGTGAGTGTGAGTGTGTGTCTGTGTGTGCGTTTATGAGAGAGGGAAAGAGAGTATGTGTGTATTCATTCAATATCTAAAAGGATAGTTGACATTTCTAAATTTTTCAGGTAAGAAGGCCAATTTTAGAATTATTGTTATTTGGGCTAAATATCATTACGAAGACAGAAATGCTGTTCTAAATTTTATTAAAGGCAAAGGACAAACCCCAAATGAATTTTGAAGTTCTTGTGCTTAGAGAAAGGCTAGCAGGCCTCCAGATGAGAGACTAGAGGTTAATTTTGCTTTAGCCTTGCCCTGACTAAACCTGTCCCAAAATGCAGCTTGGTGAAAGTAAAAGCAGCTTAGCTTGGGCTTCCCTTCTCACAACGTCCTCTGCAGCCTGCCCCTGTCATCTCCTCCCAACACTGTGCCATGCCTCTGGGGAACTAATATATGTTTAGGTCACTTGGAAATTATGGTAAAACTGTTCTTAATGAGTTTTGAGATTCAGGCTGGAAGAGACAGCACGCAGAGGGGTAGAGGAAAGTTTGCATCTGCAAAGATGGCCAATGAGGACTAGAATAACAGTAGACAACTTCCACTGAAAATAATCTATAAGAGATTTTCATCATTCTTTGTAGACTGTGTTTTTCCCCCTTATAATTTTGTTTAATCCCTACCTGAGTTTTCACCTATTATCACCAACATTTCAAGGAATGTCCCGAATCTATCTTGATTTTTCACCTTCTGGTGAAAACACACGTTCATGGTCAAGAAGGTCTCTCTTCTGAAGTCACTGAAGGACCAGGCCCAAAACTGTCTGCTCTACTGATGTCTTTCCAAGATGTTGAGCAAGTGTAACCATGCTAGACCAGCTGTCCATTCCATTTTCAGGTGCAGTTTGGCACAATGACCACAGTGATATACACACTGAGCCTCAGATTCAGTCCAAATCTTATTGTCTGCCCTGCATTGTTAATAATTACAGCTATCATTACAGCTGATTATAACAATAACTCTGAATCTTGCTAATGATGATTATGAAAATACAAAGAATTCTAAACTAAAATAACAACATAATTTCAGGTTTTAATCCTCACAGGCTGGAAATTAAATGTGGGCCCAGAAGTCAGAGGCATAGTCTACATAATGGTCCCCAAAACATTATTTCTTTCTCATGCTGGAAATTAAGTGGCAAACAGATTCAAGATTGCTATTGTGACTGGAATTTGGTGATATGAAAGGTTTTTTTTATTTTATTAGAAGCAATTTTCAGAGGATTCAATTCATTGAAAGGCTACAAAAAGTGCTACAGTTTCTTATTATGGCATGGAAAATAGTAAGTGTACTAAAATCATCGAAGAGTGTCAAGCATAAGGTACACTTTAACAATAGATGTTTCTTTGCATACATTTAAAAAGTGTTCTATACTTTTATGTGGTCTTCTTTAAAATAAACAAATAAATTTAATATAGTAAATAACATTGAGGTCTGAAAAATAATTCCAGTTATTTTTCACTTCCCAACATATGATAATATACAAATAACAAATTAAACAATGTCAGATGGCATTGAAAAGGTCAAGATAGATACATTTAAACAATGTTAAATTGCTTTTAAGAGCATATTACACTCCTTAGTTTCACCTATTTTCCCTCTTTGTTTCCCTTCTTTTCTTTTAACAGAGGTGTTAGACTAAATGAAAAAAATAAAATCTGAGAAAAGAGGGATACATTAGCTAAATAAAGAGCATGGATAAAGGACAAAATATAGAAATAACTTGTGTACCTAAAAATAATTTTGCAATATAATTTTTTTCCTCCTCAAAAAATCTATTTTCCAAAGTGTCTCCTTATGCTACCTTACTGTCATTTCTCTCCGTCTCTATTTGTAAGTTGCATATAGGTCTCTCTTTCCTTTAAATTTTTAACATTCACCCCCACACAGACAAGAGTCAGTCAAGAAACAGGCGAAAATGTAGATTTCAGTCTCCCCCTTGCCAAGAGTTTCTGATTTAGTAAGCTTGGGATTAGGCACAGAAATATGCATTTCTTAATGAGCACATCTGGAGACCTATGAGGCAGGTGGTCCAGGAACTCCAACTTTAAGAAACACAGTGCCCTAAAATCAAAACAAAGACATTTATGATCTTCAACAGGCCACCAGTCAATAGAGACAAACTTCAGTAAAGAGTAGAGAATAAACCAATTCGCAACTCAAAATATGTCACATACGACATATTTTGATTATGCTTTCCGATTAAATGCTTCATTGAAACTGTTACATAACAAAACAAAACAAAACAAAGCACACCAACACTCTGTTAATGGAGGGGATACAGGGTTTACAGCATCAGGGTTAAAAAGTGATAGACATGATTATGTAATGAGGTGGGTGGGCTTGGGGATATCAATTTTTTAAAAATATTTTTCAAAGTCTGAGAACTATAAATTCTAAAAGATTTTTCACCAATTATTCATCAAGTCCTATGCTATGGAATTATTTCAGCAAGTAATAATAATCATGTAATTTCATCATGTAATAAATACATCTGAGAAGAGCAATTTAATGCCAAAACCACTATTCTTCAGTCCATTTAAGGCCTTCCTCTTAAAAACAAGAAACGGCTTTCTCCTATGAAGATAAGCATGGTTCAAAGGGTTCACATTTAGCCTCAATTTAAAACTCACAACGGCAAAATGTAGTACCCAAGGAAGGAAAGGAAATTTACATCTCTAAGAGCTAGTGTTTAACGTCTTCTTGAAATTATTTGACTGATGCACACTCATATTATTCTATAAAGACTCTTTAATGAGGCATTTCCCAAGAAATTTTGATGATAATCTGTGGTGGACTGATTGGTAGTATTTACGTACTTCTGAGGGACCACAAAGTTACATTTGTGTGAATGAGTTACTTCCTATTAAATGACTCTTCTTTCACATGTTTAATAATACTTAGACTTCGCTTTTTTCCTTCTGCTCTCCCAGAGAAGTTTCTGTCTCTCCCGTCATTTGTTGTTGTGGTGGTGAAGTTATTTTTCTTGACAAGTTCCACCCACTCACGTTTAACCTGAAGGTCTTTTCCACTGTAGACACGCTGTGAACGCGCAAAGAGGAAGCTTGTTATCGCAAGATCAGCAACTCAAATTTCAGCGTGATCAGAAGTGACATCACTATGTGGTTTCATTAATGATATTAGAAGAGAACAAACTATTTTCAGTCATTTTCTTAGTGTTGAAAAACTATATGCATCTTCTTCACTTCATTGTGTATCTGTTCCCCTCCCTGAAGTGCATCAGGGGTTTCTTCTCAGGATCACTTTTTCTTCTTTATTCCCAGTCTACCATGAAAATGTTTATCTCCTCGTGTTTTGCCCATGTAGAACAGAGCAAAAACAAAACAAAACAAAGCACATTAACACTACTGACCTGATAACTTTCTTTTCCCAGAATAAGATCTGAAAAGAATTCAAGAAAACCACAGATACTAGAACTGCTGAAGTCTACTTCCTGTGAATCTGTGTGGTTTGCTCATCAAGTCATGCCCCTTTTTCTATTCTTATTCTTTATTCTGTAGTCACAGTATTTCTGCAGTTACCTGTGGACTTCACTGAGCACAAAGCCATGATTATTACCCATGGGAACCTTGGCCCGGTTCTAGTCCTACGGCAACAAAGACCTGTACATTGGTCTGCCTTTTCACCCAGGCTTCTGTTTGGGCTAACTGTGTAATAGAATTGGTTGGTTTGAAACAGATATGCCCAGGAAAAATAATTTGCCTTTGCTTCTTTGGTGAACTCTCTCTGCATTACTTTTCCATGATGGAATTGTGTGCACATATGTGTGTTTTGGTGAGCTGGGGACAACGGGGTGAAAGCTGATATGTGGAGAAAATAGAGATTCTATACACTGAGAGTAGAGGGATTTGGAATGCCGAGAAAGGAGTCTGAATACTAGGCTGTCTTCTCTCTGCTGGGATTGTTTAGGATGTCATGATAGATCAAATGCAGCAAGAAATTAATGTTATCAAATCCTACAACCATAGACAAGTCATTTAAGCCTCTCTAAGCTTCAGTTTCCTTAAGTCTAAAATAGAGTTTTTTTTAAACCTCATCACTATTGGCTTTCTGGGATGGATTATTTCTTGCTGTAGGGGACTATCCTATGGTCTGTAGAATATTTAGTAGCATCCTTGGCCTCTACTCACTAGAAGCCAGTAGCACCTACCACCGGTTGTGATAGTTTCCATTGTTCTGTAAGGAAGAAGCTGAGGGCACCGTCACCCTCAACTGAGAACCACTGATTTAAAATTAAGCAGTTAAAATTTGTGATAGAATTTATGACAGATAAAGTTTCTGTTCTAAAATTCCATAGACATAACATTCTGTGACTAGATTTACAGGCAATTTGTTGATACAAGAGACCTCTTTTTTTCAACTCTTAACTCATGCCAGTAAGGAAAAGGAGATAGAAAGTGAAATTTTTCTCACTTGCTATTAAAAACATTATTAAAAAGTTAACAGCAAAAGAAGTTTCATCATTAGGATGATGAAATTGAGATTTCATCAATTAAGATTTAGCCCCAAATATTTGTTGACAGCCTATCTCGTGAAATAATGGCAGTAGGTAGAATTTGTTGAACACTTACTATGCTAAATGCTTTGAGTGACGTATCTCACTTAATGGATGAAGGTTAAAAGTGGCATAATTATTAGCTTCAACTTACAGAGAAGGAAAACTAAGGTTTAAGGACAATGGACATTTACAATTTAGGATTACGCTGCTAGTAAATGGAAAAATAAAAACTCAGAGTCAGATATATCTTCCACAAAATAGTGTTTTGATAAGTACTTTACACTGCTTTTTAGGATGTTGTGCCAGATATTGTTTTCAGCTTTTAATATCAACAGATTTATTCCTTGTCTCATGGTGCCTATGAGGTAAGTACAATTATAATCCTCGTTTTTTAATATGTGGGCAGAAAGGGCTTATGGACAGAAAGAAATTAGTCTACTTCCCCTAGGTCACATACTAGTAGGTGGCAAAACTGAGATTTCAACTCAATCCATGATCTCAGCCACTACTCTCTGTTGCTTTTCAACATAAAAATCTTCGGTATCAGTCCTTGGCACCCTCTGAGTCAATGCAAATGAGTATTCTTTTGGGGTTGCTCAATATGTGGTGAGAATTTTTAAATGGCAAAGGGTGTCATCGGTCTTTTTTCTGTAAAGGAGTTGATGCTATGGAATAAGAATAACACTGAAATTATAGCTGTTATAGTAAAAGAGATTCTGTCTGTATTTCTACATTAAAAAAAAAAAAAGATTTGACCTGCATTTCTCCCACTCAGTCAAAGGTGTTCTGTGGAACACCCTCACTGGCAGTGCTATCTAAGGTCTGGCCATAGCCATCCAGGTACTTCCTCATCATAACTTACCACTCACTCTGTCCTAGGCACTGTGCCACTTGTGGGAATGCAGCCACAACTAATCTTGATTCCTGAAAAGCTCAAACATTAGTAGTAAGAGAAACGCACAATAAGACATTTATAAAGGGCTGGAAGAATCACAAATAAGAGAGCAAATAACTCTAACTTTGAGAAAGCCTGGCCAGGACAAATTTCTAAAGGAAGGAGACACTTGTGAGATTGTAACAGATCATCAACTATCCCAGTTGAAGAAACAAGTATGAGGTGTGAAAAGAGGTTGCAATGTCAGAAAGACATTGTTCAGTTATGGCTGGAGAAAATGTACTGCAGAGGGTGAAAGGTAGCTAGAAAAATAGATTACAGTAAGAAAGAGAAAAGTTTTGGGCTTTATTCTAAGAAGACTGGGCCTTTTTCTAGGCAACACAGGTTTACCAGAGAGTTTTAAGCAAGAGAGTAGCAGAACCAGACTAGTATTTTAGAAAGAAAGACTGCTCCTTGCTCACCTATGTGGAAGGTAAATGAAGTTGACATGTACAAAAACATGACTTTATCATTGGGTAGCCCCATTTTTTTCATGGAGTTTATAGTTGGTCAGATAAACATGATGGCCTAAGATAGAGCAAAGTACCAGTTTGGCCCCAATTTTTCTGCCACTGTTCTACCTTAGGGCTAATTAAACTGCCCTTCAGGAATCTTCCTGGGACAAATTTCCTTAAGCAATAGGGTCTAGAAAATGCAGTTACAGCTTAACCTTCTTGTTCCTCAAAAGAAGTCTCCTGCGTATAAATGGAAAAGCAAACATCATATATTCTCACTCATAAGTGGGAGCTAAGCTATGAGGATACAAAGGCATAAGAATGACACAATGAACTTTGGGGACTTAGGAGGAAAGGGTAAGAAGGGGGTGAGGGATAAAAGACTACAAATCGGGTTCAGTGTATACTGTTCGGGAGATGGGTGCACCAAAATCTCACAAATCACCACTAAAGAACTTACTCATGTAACCAAATACCACCTGTTCCCCAAAAACCTATGGAAATAAAAAGTTTTTAAAAATCAACAAATAAATAAAAGAAAGAAAAAAGAAGTCTCCTGAGTTTAGTGCTCTAAAAAGTCTTGGTGTTGGCGAAGGTAAAAGAAAGCAGTGCCAACAGCATTAATATTACACCATGAAGCAGCTTTGTAGCCAGAGTTCTCAAAGCATTAATTAGCATGCAGTTTTAAAATCCTTCTTCCTATGTGGCGAAAACACAGAAACCTGGAGATAATGATTGAACTTGCCATAGTCTCACAGTTATGTGAACAGAATCTGGAAGTGAGCCCCTCTCTTTCTCTTGTGCTGCCCATTAGGCTGAAGAAGAGTTCAAATCGGTGGAGTTGGACTTCTGACTAGAGAAGTTGAATTTTTCAAGAGAAATATCCTACACGCATAGGTCTTTATAGTCTCACCATTAATTCACTAACAATATTGAAACATTTTTCCATCATAGATGGCTCAAGAGACAAAAAGAAACCAGAAAATTCACATAAATTAATGAAGTCAGTCCAAAAAAGCCATCCCAAGAGGAGAAGGAGCTCTACGGTTTCCTCATCCGAGTATCTTCTCACCTTGCAGTAACCACCAAAGCAGAAAGGAGAGGCTAGGTGGATGCACACTTGGTTTCTTACACTCACCAGGGTCATATCAGCAGTCAAGGAAGAATATGTTCAGTCCTCAAGAAATTCCAGTGTATGCAGAATTAATACAAGTTCTTTCATTGATAACTCAAGTAGATCTTCCCACTGTCAACTGCAAGGAACTCTCCCAAACTCTTAAACTCAAACTCATGGTGGAGCTAGTATGCTGCTCCATCCATAACGATGGTTTAATTGATGTATGGCCTTTTGTCTGTACAACTTCTTTCACCTGAGGAGAGGCCCTGTAGCTATGTCAATGGGAATGGGTCCTGGCAGTTCAGTCACAACTGTATCCTCTACTTTATTGGACTATTTTGTGGTTCTAGGAATGTATACAGTCTGCATTTCCTTCCTCACATCTTGTCTGTTTCTCCTGAGTCCTCCAGAAACCCTCTGAATTCTCTGACTTAACATGTTCAGTGTCTACTAGGTATACTAATACTGTATTATGAATCATTTTCTAATCAACAAAACACAATGCACTATACCAGGAAAGAGGAACTTAAATGAGAAGACCCAGTCTCACTCTCAGCTGCCATTTCATTGAGATCAATGGGTAGAATTTCTTCACATGTCCAAGATTCCTAGAGTATTGGTTCACTGAAGCCATTCTCTCAAGTTTCCATGGCCTTTAGCCATGCAAGGAGTCCTGTCTCCCACCCCTGTTCTTTGCCTGGGAATAATGGGGTAGAGAATAAGAAAACCATGGGAAAAGTTTTATTTTCTGCTGGGATAGCAACATTTTGTTGCTATAGAACTGCATTTCCATTCTGTGTTTTAGGATGCTCATATCAATATGACATTTGGTTAAACTATGGTTATCATTTCAAGTGGAACCCCCAAGAGGTAAGTGAAATCCACTGAAATTTAAACAGAGCTCTATCAGTAAACAGATGAGTGATTTTTGAACAAAGTACTCATGTCCGTTTTTGGGCTTGGATTTTCTCAGTTATGAAATAAGGGGGTTCAACCGTGAAATGAGCCATAGGGCAAAAAGTCATGATTACTTCCATCTCTAATGCTCTACTGTTTTTAACATTTGGGGGATCATTGAGTTCCTTTGAGAATCTAATGAAAGCTAAGGAACAAATGATAATGTTTCCAAATTTGAGACAAAATTTAGGCATTCACAGACATTTTCTTCTGCCCTGATTCTAACCCCCCTCCCTAATCCTGAAACCCCTCCCCTGTTATTCTATAAGAAGGGGAAATTTTTCAAAGTGCCAAGGATGAGCACACAATAGGTACCCCAAAATGCTCCTTGAGTGAGCAAATGAATTGCATCTATCACATCATGTACATATTCTGTCTTCACAAATGCAATCATGTCACCATAAATAATTTATAAATATCCACTTGCATTTATTGTTAAGTTATATGCGAAGTATATAGCATTATTAATTCTAAGGACTGATTCATGCTCTACAGAAAGTAGATCAAGGATGCACAGAAGTGAGAATGATCTGGAATGTCAATCACTTCACTGATCACCCGGCTTTCTTCAGCTATTCAGGCTGGCATGTACTCACTCATGAAATTCTCTATTAATTCAAAGAGTATGCTCTCTCCCGAAGGAGTAGAGCCCTTCTTACTCATGGATATCTGAGCAGATTCCCTCAAGAACCCCAATTGAAGCCACTACTTCGGTAGTTTCCCAGAAGGCATTATGACGATACCTAACTCATTCAAATTAATTAGCTCTTTTTAAGACATTAGGCCATTTTCCTAGTTATCTTTCTATTTTCTTATCATTTTTATTACCTTGAACACCATATAACCTTAATAGAATCCAGTATCATTTGAGGGGAAATAAAGGGTAAAACTCCTAAAGTAGTGCAACTGATAAGGAATGAGGGGTTTTTGCCCATGGATTAAAAATTGGCTGTCCCTGTAGCATTTGATTGTAGTTATGATCCTGTTTATTGTCAGGTGGTTTGGGTGGGAGGCTTTTTTTTAGCTGTAACAATAATACCAACCAAATGCCAACTTGGTTTCTCATTACTAAAGTCTGGCTTTTGTCTCAGACATTAGCACTAAAGTCTCAGAAAAATCTGGCATAAATTGTGTATTATACAACTGCACTCCAAACTCTGACTGCCTTGTATAAGCTAATCCAAAACATCTGTCCTGCACTTTGTGCTCAAAATCCCTAAAAGAGGATATAAGATAACGGGAAATAGAAGGTCTGCCTTCTGCGCTTTACTTATTCAAAACCTAGGGCCTTAAACAAACATTCAGAAACAAATTTGTCTTCTATAATCAATTCCAAGCACATGTTGAAATAAATAAATAAGGGTGCATAGCCCTTCTCCAATACCCACCGAGCTGGAAGCAGTCAATCAATGTGCCTTCCAGAATCACCAAATTCTTTTTATTCAGAAGATATTGCTCGTGGCTGACTGGTGCACTGGTAACCCCCAACAAGCAAGCCTCCTGGTATTCATGTCCTTGTATATGCATGCTCCTTAACCCTTGACACTAGGCTTGGGTATGTGACTTGCTTTGGCCAAGGGAGCCTGTTCTTAGCAAGCCTGATACAAACAGAAGCTTCATAAGTGTTCTTTCTATCCTCTTAGAATGTTCCATCTTGGAAGCCAATTGCTATACCAAAAGAAGTTCAGTTTGACTACTGAGTGATGAGAGTTGTGGAGGGAGGCCCTGGAAGAGGGGAGAATGTCTTGGAAATCTCTGTCCCCCAGCAAAGCTCCAGGCTGAATGCAATGAAAGGGGTGACGTCAGCTAATCCAGGTGGGATAGAAAACTGCCAGTTCAACTTAGCCAACCCACAGAATGAAGAGTAATAACAGAGTATCATTGTTTCAAATCTCTAGGTAAAGTGACAGAAATTAAATATTAGTTATATAGGTTTAACTTCGTTTTTCAGTTCATAAAAAATGAATGTATCTCATGTGTCATATACCACAACATATAATATAATATGTATAAACAATTTGGCATGAATGTCATTTCTTGTTTTTTCTTATTCCCAAAAGTCCAATCTCTAATGTCCATAGTAGGGAAAAAAAACTGTCAAGTGTAAATTGCACTTTGACTCCATGTTTGTAGTCAAAATAAAAGCAGCAACTAAGAATGCTTAAATTATAAAGTATTGACAGATTGGCTGGGAGTGGTGGCTCATGCCTGTAATCCCAGCACTTAGGGAGGCCAAGGTGGGCAGATCAATTGAGGTCAGAAGTCTAAGACCAGCTTGGCCAACACGCTGAAACCCCGTCTCTACTAAAAAAATACAAAAATTAGCTGGGTGTGGTGGCACATGCCTGTAGTCCCATCTACTCAGGAGGCTGAGTCAGGGGAATCGCTAAAACTCAGGAGGCAGAGGTTGCAGTGAGCAGAGATCGCACGACTGCACTCCAGCCTGGGCGACAGAGCGAGACTCCATCTCAAAAATTAATAATAATAATAATAATATTAATAAATAAAAGTATTGACAGATGAATGGACATTTTTGTTTATTGGTTGGCTGTACTCAAGACTAAAGACATTAAATATACAAATGTGTTTCAAAACTGAAGTGTAAACCTAAATACATTTCACTACCTTGAAAACTGTGTTTCCTAATGAAAGACTGTAGGACTAAACATTTTCTTTAGCCTCCACCAAACCAATGAGTTTAGGTGATAAATCAGGTAATTTTTTCTACTTTGGTTCAGATTCAAATATAAACTAACAGTAAATTTTATCTAGTATTGTTACAATAATAATAAGTACCATTTACTGAGTGATTGTTAAGTACTAGGAAGTCTACTCACGGCTTTGCATTTGCTAACTCATCATCACAGCTTAGAAGGTGGATATAGTTATTCTTGCTCCATTTTGAGGGAAAAAATCAAGATCAGAAGGAAATTTTCCAAGGTCACAAAGCATATACGTGACAGAGGCACTTCTAAGTACTTGTCTTGGAACCCTCTGTTCCCACAGTTCTCTAAGCTGGGATTCAGAAAATTTTTCTGAAAAAAAGGTAGAGATAGTAAATATTTTTAGCTTTGTGGGGTCATACAGTCTCTGTTGCAACAACTCAACACTGCCACTGTAACACAAAGGCCGCCATAGGCAATAAGAAAATGAATGGGTGTGACTGTTTATCAACATCAGTTTATTTATAAAAACAGGTGGTGCTGAGGTCAGGAGTTTGAGACCAGCCCGGCCAACGTGGTGAAACCCCATCTCTACTAAAAATACAAAAATTAGCCGGGTATGGTGGCGCATGCCTGTAATCCCAGCTACTGGAGAGGCATAGGCAGGAGAATTGCTGGAACCCGGGAGCTGGAGGTTGCAGTGAGCCAAGATTGCTCCACTGCACTCCAGCCTGGGTGATAGAGCAAGACTCCATCTTAAAAAAAAAAAAAAATCCAAAAAACAACAACAACAACAACAAAAACAGGTGTTGGGTTGCTTTTAGCTTACAGCTGTAGTTTGTGAACTGCCCTCACCTCCACAACTTCAGAGAATGATTCTCGGACTTGAGCATGAATTAGCATCAACTGGAGGACTTGTTAAAACAGATTGTTGGGCCCTCCTCCAGAGTTTCTGATTCAGTAGGTCTGGGATGAGGCCAAGAATTTACATTCATCACAAGTTCCCAAGTGATGCTGATGCTGCTGAAACCAGGGCCCACACTTTGAGTACCACTGCTCTATGCATACAGGACATAAGTTGCTGACTATAAGGTAGAACACCACTCTAAAGACCAACATTTATTTTGCCACATTTTTAATGAACTAAAGCATCCTGGGATGAGAATTTTTACTGGATGAGAATTTTTATTAATATTATTTAGACAGGATCTCACTCTGTTGCCCAGGCTGGAGTGCAGTAGCACAATCTCGGCTCACTTCAACCTCAGCCTCCCAGGCTCAAGTGATCCTCCCACCTCACCCTCCAGAGTACCTGGAACTACAGGCACGTACCACCACACCTGGCTAAGTTTTGTGGGTATTTTTTTTTGTAGAGACAGGGTTTCCCAATGTTTCCCAGACTGGCCTCAAACTCCTGAGCTCAACCAATCCACCCACCTCAGCCCCGGCAAAGTGCTGGGATTACAGGCATGAGCCACTGTGCCCCACAGAGAGTTTCAATTGAAGTCTAATTTTTATTCTTGTTTCCTCTGTCTTACTTTGGATCATGCTTGGAGGCAGTTGTGAGGGTCAGGAACAAAGGGAGGGGGAGACGTGATTAGGAGTGCTAGAGTGAGTTCTGAACACAGATTTAGAATTCCTGTCTCCACTCTGTAGGGTAAACGCCCCTGGCTGCAATAACTTAAGCATACCCTCAGAATGTCCTTGTTTTGTATGGCAGACAGATCTGAATGTGTGTTCGGAGCTGGGGAATCCAGTGTGGCTAACTGGGAGGTTTGTCCCTCTTCTGTAAGAAACATCTGAGCCCCCGTTCCATGGAAAACAGACAGTACAGGGGTTTGAGACCCTGAGTTTTGGGTTAAATAAAGGTTGCTAGGTGGAGGTCTTTAAGGGGAAAGTGAAAATGCTACATAAACTTCATGCTCTTTGCGAGTGGTTGCAGTTTTCCTGCCAAGCCTGCCGCCACTGTACCATTTCTGTAGGTAAGCCAGTTCTCCTGTCCAGTTTGCTGCCACTGGACTCTATCCCCTGTATGTGTCTCCTTGTCTGGCTCCAGGTCTCTTCTGTCTCTTGAAAACTGGTGCCTTTGCTATGGAGGTTAATAGGTGTTCAGTACAATACACTCCTTACTCCGTCCCTTCGTGACTGTTCCTTCTTCATTCTCGACGATACATTACTTATGACAAGCTTTAACCTCATCTTAGACAAGATTTACACATATTCATACCTAAACACATATTTGTGTATGATATTTAATGTGAACTTTGAAGGTTATGGGCTTAGGATAACATAATCTTACAGAATAACCAACTAAGCTTTCTACAGAAGCAACAAAATGCCCTAAGTCTCAATGTTGGAGTGAACCAAGAGGCAGATGAAACAGCGATTATATACCTGAGTGTCCAAATCAAAGAAAAATGACACACTGAGTATACACTATCTCAGAGCCAAGTTCTAAACTACTAAGGATATAGCAGAAGTGATTTCTTTATTTTTCATAATAACCCTGTAGCCTGAAAAACATCATCGCAGGTAGTTAAAAGCAAGGACTCCTGAGTCATCACATACATGAGTGAATTCCAGGTGTTCCCTTACTATGTCTGTGACCTTGGGCATAATTTTTGCCCTCTCCTCTCTTCATTCATAAAACAGGATGTTGATTACGTCTCTCTTGGAGGGTTATATCAGGATAAAATGAGTTAATACATGGACAGGAACTGAGTATATGGTAAATACTTATCAAAATGGTGCATACAGCTGACTACATATGGTAATTGAAGAGACTGAGTGTAAGAAAGATTGAATGATTCATTCTAAGCTATTTTATATACATAGGAATCAACCAAGCAAGAGTTGAGCCTGTCTATGGCTGATTCCAAAGCTTCAGAGCCTAAGGGAGTAAAAACACAAGCCAAAGAAAAGGAGCATCCAGTCTCTTTTAGCAGGACAACAGGCTTAAGAACACACACCAAGAGATAATCCCGTATCAAAAATACAGGAATTATGCAGGAATGTTGGTTCAAAGGAGAATAGGCTTTTGTGAGTGTGGGCCAAAGAAAAGAGTCCAGGTGGAGCCATATCTGTGTGAGGCGAGGAGAGGGCACTGGTACAAAACAAAGCTCAACTGCCCTGGGTATAAATGATGTTGCTGGAACTGGGAGAATATTCCTGTGGCATAACGAAGACCACAGACTCAGGACGACCCACCCCAAAAACATACCCATAGCACAGATAAAAATTAAAAAGAAGGAAAATCCCTAAATCTAAAAAGAATGCTTTTAAATGATTTATTTAAAAATTGAGTAGAAAGTGTTATTAAAATGATTTGCTACCCATCAATAATAATAAAAGATAAATGGGGGAAAATCATTATTCCTTTGTCATTGCTTCTCTCAGACTCCAGTTATTTAGCTAAGTAGGGCAGAGGGGAAGGAGTGCCTGAGGTAGCTGGGAAAATATTAAGGGAAAAAATTTGTGAAAATAATTTTACAAGCCCTTCTGTTTTCCAACAAGGGGCATATCTGTCCCGGGAGCCTTGCAGCTGTGCCTTGAATAGAGCAAGCTATTAGGTTTACAGCTCCCCGAAAATAGTTTCACACAGCTCTGATTGCATAGGGCCCTCTGAGGTCCTGCTGCAGGTTTGGTTTGGTTTCATGGTGATTTTATATTTCCTGTTCAAGTTTTTATTAGTTTTATATAGATACATAAGCATGAAGGGTCAAGGGGAAGGGAGAAACACAATAAGACCAAATGGAGTTTTTCAGTTAGTAATAGGAATTTAAGGAAACAGGATGTTGCTCAACTCATGGGAGGTTGATGCTGGAGTCTGGAGAGCCAGGCCCATGTTTAATCAAGGATCTGATGTCAAATAACTATGCAGAGTGAACCTATTGCATCGCTCAACTTGTATTCCCCTCCCATTCTTCTATGTTCTTCTATGTATGAAGACTGTCTTGCCAAAGCTATTTCATTGTTGTAGACATTAGGAACAGAGAAAAAAAATACACTTGTGGACCAAGGTAATTCTAAATCTATTTCAGTTGGTGTTTAAAGGCATGGGCCCAGAAGCCATACTGCCTGGGTGTAAGTCCTAGCTTCTCCACATTCTAGCCATGGGATCTAGAACACCAGTATCCTCATGCCTCACCTGTGAAATGGGGACAATAGAACTTACCTCATATGGCTGTGTATATGTGGAAAGTCTCATTTAAAAATAAATGAGAACCAAGGTAAAACTTATAATAAATTCTTCTATATATCCACATGCATATAAACTTAGAAAACTACTAGGCATACAATGACTGAAATAATATATGTTAAATATTTAGGACAGTATCTGTCTCATAGAAACTGCTCAATACATTTATCTCTTATGTTTATTATTATTATTGCTGCTGTTACATGTTTAATGAAGTATTAATTTACACAACCAATTATCTCATCTCAGTTTCCTGAGACGCTGCTATATATACTCCTGGTCTTCTAGTACCCTTGGGTCATGGTGGAACCATGCATGTGATTTGGTTGCATGAAGAATCAGGCCAGTGGACATACATTTACCTGTGGTAATCCACTGAATACTTGTGGAAGTGAAAAAGTACCCTCTAGAACCATGCTTGTCAAATGTTAGTGTGCATGGGAATTGTCTCGGAATTGCATTATGGAAATGCAGCTTCTGATTTAGTAGGTCTTGGTTAGGCCTATGTCTTTGCATTACTGCTAGTCTACAGACCATACTTTCAGTCACCAGAGAATCTAGGAATGAGCAGACAACCTAGGCTCCAGGCCCACCTCTCCTGCTGAATTCAAATGGTATTTTTCACAATTCACTTATTTCCTTCACCCTGTCAGCCAGCCAAATAAGCACTGGGAGTGTATAAGAACTGCAAGAAATGTTTTGAGGAACGCAAAGGTGACTGTGGCATGCTCATTCCTGCTTTTAAAGGATTTACCACCTAATGGTACAGAAACACACACACACACACACACACACACACACACACACACACACAAAGGAATGCCATCCAAGACTGCAAGGAGGAGCCAAAAGTGTCCAGGAGAGGGAGGATCATACTGGCAACCTAAAGAAATCAGGGTAACACATTTAATGTTGTTTTGCCTTAATTTGCCCCTCTACAAAATGGAACTAATTTTTTTGTCACTTGGCTCTTAAGACTATACTGAGGGCAAAATGAATTCATCAAGTTTAGAGTATTTTTGCAAGCAGTATCCTATGTAATTGTTGTTAATATCAGCAGTAATATCAATATTCCAGTTATAAATAGATAACTCACTTGGAGTGATTCTACTTATTATTGTACATAATTCTAAGTATCACTTTTGTATTAGGAAACGGCTCTCTTTGCTGACTTCATGACTGTAGGGCAAACGCTGTGTTTTTGACATGGGACAGGAGGAGTACCCTGCATGGGGACTCTGCATTCAGCTCATAAGTAACATGGTGGGGTTGTGGAGAAGGCAGTTCCATTTCTGTCTCACAGCCCAGGATCCTGGGTTATTAACTGGGGGCTGTGAGGAGTATGGAGTTTGCAGAGGGAATATTCTAAAGAGGTGTGGTCAAGTTGTTCAGAGAAGAGCAAGCATCTGAAACAGAATAATAGAAATTATTCCATTCTTCCGATTATGGCAACACATAGGAACCCTACCCATCCCTTTTCCCACTTCAAGATGAACTGGTTACTATTTTTAGGGTTCTTTCTTTTGTTCTAAACACAATGAATTTTAAGTTGCCGGCTACCCAAGATACAGAGCTCTCTGTGGGTTAGGGTGAGACATTTGTAGGGCCTACATCACAGCTCAACTTCTGCCTCTGCCCAGTCTACTTTCCCCTCCTGCACATCCACAGATGTTGATCCTGAGGGCACTCCTTAATAAATACTCTGCTTGCTAATCCTCCCTTAGAGTCTGCTTCCTAGGGAACAGAACCTGTGACCTCTTTGACCATTCCTCTTTTTACCTTGTGGCACATCTAAACAAAATTGACTACTCTCAGCTCCTTGAATAAGCCACAAACTCTAACCTCTATGTTCATTTGCACATATTCCATGTCCATCACATAATAAAATACCCAGCACATTGCAAATATGCATTAGTTATTGTTGAAAAAACATGTGTCCTTGTATCTGGCCCTTCTTCCTCTAATCTCCCTTTCTTGAGTAACTACTTCATCCTCATCTTTTCAGATAATTCAGCCTAAATGTCACTTCCTCTACCAAGCATTTTCTGATTTTCCTTGTCCTTTTTCCTTTCTTGGAATTGCTATTGTTCTCTTCGCTCTATAAGAAATTTTGTTAAACTGTATCACAGCAGCTTATTTGCCTATTTCCCTTCATCCTATGCAAACCGTGAGTTGTTTTTGAACACCTTGAAGTCATGGCTGTTTTTTTCACCTCTGTTTATACAGCAATAGTTTTCTTTTTTTTTTTAACCTTTGTTCATCCAGGCTCAAGAGGTGTTTAAAAATGAAACTTAGATCTGTGATCTCCTAATACAGATCTGCATTAGAATCACCTGGAGAAATGTTAGAAATGTAAATTCTCATTCTTGACCTCTGACTCAATAACTCCAGGATTAGGGCCCATTTCTGCCACCTTTGGGAACTGCTGACGAAAATCTCAGCTTGACTATCCACCATTTCTACTGAGAAGAGATCCATTTAGTTATATTTTTAGTTTTTTGACATTACAGTTGATCCTTGAACAACATGGGTTTGAACTTCTGGGGTCTACTTACATGTGGATAATTTTCAAACAAATGCAGATGGAAAATACAGCATTCATATGATGCGAAACCTGCCTGCATGGACAGCCAACTTTCAGCATTTGCAGGTTCTGCAAGCCTGAATGAGGGACTTGAGTAAGTGCAGATTTTGGTATACATGGGGGTCCTGGAACCAATCCCTCACACATACCAAGGGGTCACTGTAGCTTGATCATTTACTTTTAAGCATAGCTAAGCTCTTGGTCAGGAATACACCACCCAATTATTTCTCTGCTCCTATGGAAAATGACACTGTGCCTTCCAGAGGTCCAGTTTGGTAACAGCATGAGAGCACCAGAGACAGGTTGCCTGGGTTGACCCCTGGTCCCAACCCTTTGCTGACAGTACAACCTTAGACAAATTACATATTTCTTTGTGCCTCAGTGTTCTCACCTGCAAAATGAGGACAATAATAATTTGTACCTCATGCATTGGTTGTAAGAATCAAATAAGTGAATGCATGGGGAGTGTTTAGAACTGAACTTGACACATAGGGAAATCTCAATAAATGTTACTTATTTCTATTTCTATAATGATTACTGTTTTTTATTATGATCTTAGGAAATTACTGTCTAGAAAAATATGTAACTATAAGGGACATATTGACTAACTGTGAATGTCTAAAAGTTTGGCAGAGGAATGTATAACAAAATTCACAATTTGAGATTCTAGTCCCATGACATACGTTATCTTCCCATTGTTAGTTGCTTTTCCATGATCTCCTTGTTCCTGGTGCCTGAAGATTTTTCTCACATCTTGTTGTTCTGGCAGGGCTTTCCAAGCTTAAACAATATGCTCTATAGTTCAACATTCTACAAGAGACTTGGGTGAAGGATGTTTTTTATATCTCGGAAGTTTAAAATTGCGCAATCCTTCAGGCATAGTGTTTCAACTGAGAGTGGCCTGTTTTCTGAAAGCAGTCTTCCGTACAGACAGTAGTATATCAATTTGTCACCAACTTGGAGATCCCGGCAGAAAACTGTGAAAATTACATACCTGTAATTTGGTTTTCTCATTATAGGGACCTTGACCAGTCTGGATGCTATAGAGTAAGGTCATTGACACTTAAAAGAGAGCAGCTGGACTTAAGAATTTGATGGCAAAACTCAGCAACCCCTCCTTTCCCCTCCGCCTCCACATCCCCCTCTGGCAGGAAATTACACCCAAACCACAGAAAACATTGCACATGCTTTCATCCAAAGAGAAATAATAAAGTTGATCAGCTTAAATTAAAAGGCTGTAACCTATTTTTTACTTTGTGTAAATAAGTCAGGTGTAACAATCTATTTTACTTGCCTATGAAAGTGTTCATCCACCTGAAGGCAACAGAAAGCTGAGATTTCACAGAATCAATTTAGGGTGAACTTGAGAAAAGGTTTTCACATAAAAACTCCCAAAAATATTACTATGAAAGTCTGTGAACTTTTTTCTCATTGAAAAAAATAATTGCCTCTCAGGGCCCCCAATTCTAGATAAAGACACAAAGGATGCTTGACCTGTAAAAGATTAGAACTATATGATAGATTTGAAATCTGTCTTGTAAAAGATAAATTCTTTTTTTATTATTCCCCAGTGTAGAACTAAGGCAAATGAATAGAAAGATATTAAGGCAGTGACTTTGGGTCAACATGAGTTTAGGATGTAGAAATGTCAT
This sequence comes from Homo sapiens, assembly GCF_000001405.40. Lineage (NCBI taxonomy): Eukaryota > Metazoa > Chordata > Mammalia > Primates > Hominidae > Homo > Homo sapiens. The sequence continues at coordinate 18,725,228 of NC_000003.12, read as the reverse complement.
TATATTAACAGCTGGCAGCCTATTTACTCCTAAAAAGGGAAGAACATTTGCTTACAGATATACCCTGACAATGTCTTAAAGAAGATGAGTATTATGCTGAATTAGGTTTGTAGAGTATGTTCTTTGTATAGTGACATATTCTTTGACCCCTCAAATTTTCAGTAAAATAAGTAAACCAGCACAAAGCTAATTTCTAGAGGATCTTTCATGAACTGGTGGAGGGATTCAATGTTGCCTCCAGGACAATGTAGGATGAAAACAAGGACTAACACGACAGCTGGAACGTTGATGGACAGATGCATAAGGAAGCAAACTATCAGGAATTTGCGAAAATTATGAAGCGGGGCTCTGAATTTCCAGAGAAGTTCACAGTGAACTGACAAATCCCTGAGAGGCAGGGAAGCCCTGGCTGACAGCTCATTTTCAACAGAAAGAACTTTCCTATAATGCTCACCTAGCTAGTAAAGTGACTCCCTAGCTCCTATACTTACTTCCTCCCTCAGGGCTAACAAGCCCTACCGTGGCATCCTCACAGGGCTGGACTCTGATCCCCCTGGTCAAGGAGAGAGTCCATTGAGGGAGATGAATTAATTAAGAGATTTACAGCTCAGAAGGCATAATGGAAGATGCAGCCCTGTTTATTGTGCTTCATGAACCCAGAGAAGAAGTCCCAAACTCAGTTTTGGAGTAAGACGGTATTAGAGAAAGTTTCTCAAAAGAGGTGACAGTGGGTTGGGGCAGGAGTAAATTTAAACAAACAGTAAGTTCAAAATGTAAAATTGTTTGATATTTTGAGGGAACGGCAAGCCCTTGAGTGTGGCTAGCTCACAGCGGCTAACGTGGGAGATTCGGGGCTGCCTTTCAAAACAAGCATAGGAAGGTAGCCAAAGACCACATCTAAAAGGTTCCTAAGTCAATCTAAAGAGCTTGGATTTTTATCCTGAAGACAATAGGAAGCCACTGACAGTTTTTAAGTAAAGAAGCACTGTGATTACATTTGGTGATTGAGAAAAATATGTTGAGGGTCTCTAGACAGCTGTTTTGTGGAGTTTAGATATTTGCTTGTCCAATGCCATCCTCCTAGCCTGAGGACCTATGTGTCCTTCCAGACATACCTCCCCTATGAAAAATTATCTGATAATATCAACCCCCTCCTTTGATCTTTGTCACATTTGTTTTTCGCTCCTGTATCACTTACCTCCTTGCACATTTTTTAAAATGAAGCATTCTTCAAGTGTCATTTCACATCTAAATCTTTGAAAATTATTCAGGACAGACACTCACAAGCCTACAGGACACAATCAGATAAGTGAGTAAAGCAAACCAGGAATAAGAGGCATTTGTCTGCATGGTGCTGTGGGTTGAATGTGTCCCCCCAAAAGTTTATATGGTGAAAGTTTTATTCCTTAATGCAGCAATGTTGGGAGGTGGGACCTGGTGGGAGGTGGGAGGTTTTTGAGTTATGGGGGCCTAGGCCTCAGGAAGGGATTAGTGCACTTCCCTCAGGATAGGGATAGTTCTCACAAGAGCAGTGTTACAGAGCAGATAACCCCACTTTGTTTCTTTTCCTTTTGCTTGTGCTCACTTGTACTTCTGCTTTTCTCTCATGCTGTGAAGCAGCACAAAGCCCTCACCTAATGTAGCCACCTGATCTTGGACTTCCCAGCATCTAGTACTATGACCTAAATACATTTTTCTTTAAAAATTACCCAGTCCCAGGTAATTTGTCATGGCAACAGAAAATGGATTAAGACACATGGGAAACATGTAGTAATGCTCTTTACTTCCACAAAAAAAGAGGTTGAAAAAAACACACACATTTATGTAACATAAGAAAAGCAACAGCACAAGGGCAGTGCTAATAGAGATGTGTAATTAACCACAGTATTCATGAAGCAATAGGGAGTGATGAGATCTGTAGTCAATCAGAGAGATCATTCACTTTTGTAAGAAAGGTAGTCGCTACTTGTCCCAAGTAATTGTTGACATGCAGAGTTAGAGAAACAGAGTGTAAGATGTCTTGATTAAAAAGGGGGAAAAAATCAAACTCCAAATTTTTATATGAAATATCCTTATACCTAAAAATTGGTTGAAAACTTTTCTGAATATTACAGACCAATATCAGCATATCAGTGGCCCAGATATATCCCACATACCCTACAAATTACAACTTGCGTAATACATTTTTATGTGACCATGAAGTCTAGAAACTTGCTTAATAAATATAATTTGAAAACAAGGTGCTTTTGTTTCTGTGACTTTTGACACCCTCATCTTTATCATTCATTGAGCTCTGACTTTGTGTTGACTTTCATTGCTATTTATTTTTCATGTTTATTTTTAATCTTTTCAAAGAGATGAGACCTCCCGAATATCATAAATCATCACTTCAGCATCTTTCTTTCCCCAGCCCATAACATGGTTATTTTTCCTTTGTTTAGGCGCTGTAATAATTATAAAAACTAAAATTTATTAATTGTTTACTACAGGTAAACAATTCATATTATCTCATTTGTTTCCTAAAACAATATTATAAAATAGCTACTGATATTTTGATTCTTACTTACAGATGAAGAATTCAAAGATTGGAAAGATTAAACAAAGTGTCCAGGCTTATGTAGTTAGGAAGTTATGGAGCTGGGACTCAAACATGGCAGGCTGGCCCCAGGAGGTACTATTTTACTGCTAAAAATGCCAGATGATGGTAGAAGTGATGTTGATGATGTCAGAGAATTTGAAGCAGGTATTTCTTCTGGCTTACTCAAGCTCTATGATTCCTCAAGGCTATTCCTTGAATGTAAGTCATTTCAAATAACTTTCAATGCATAATGTCCCATACAAAAAAAGAAACTGGGGTAATCTTTTGATTTTATGATGATATTTGTCATGTGGTGATTTATAAACCTTGGAAAAGTACTTTGGAGCCATGGATTCACAAAGATGTGTCCTGATTCCCTTCATATTTGATTTGAATATAATGGCTTTCATATGCATTCAAATATTTCTAAAACATTAATTTAAAAAAAAAGCCAGGTGCGGTGGCTTACGCCTGTAATCCCAGCACTTTGGGAGGCCAAGGCAGGCAGATCACGAAGTCAGGAGTTCGAGACCAGCCTGGCCAACATGATGAAACCCCATCTCTACTAAAAATACAAAAATTAGCCGGATGTGGTGGCAAGCGCCTGTAGGCCCAGCTCCTCAGGAGAGTGAGGCAGAAGAATCGCTTGAACCCAGGAGGCAGAGGTTGCAGTGAGCTGAGACAGCGCCATTGCACTCCAGCCTGGGTGACAGAGTGAGACTCCATCTCAAAAACAAAAAATAAAAAAAAAACCCAGCAAATTCAAGTGGCAATTCAACCCATTAGCAATCTCCAGTGTGCTAACTAGTAGTATCACTAACCATTTAATAAATACATATATATTTCAACATGAAGTGCATTTATACTAATAAAATACCACTTTTCTCTGCTTTGCATATTGGAGTTCTATGTCAGATTTTGTTTGCATAATGCATTCTGCTCTGTAAAAAAGTTGGAAAGCCTCTTCCCTAAATATAGCTTCTTACTAAGTCAGTCCTCACTCTCCCACCTAATTACACATGCTTGAGCAGTCAGTAGAGGCTGATTAGCATTGTATTATATTTATGGAGTCTAAGACGCAATGAATTGTAAGATGCACTATTATTTTATGTACCAAAAAGAGAGAAAAACACTCCCAATAAAAATATGGTATCCCATCAATTCAGAGATATTAAATTTTTAAAAAATAAGTTCTTGAATAAATAGAATACAGTAATTAAGAGCTTGAACTTTGAGCTCAGATTACCTAAATTTGAATTCCAGGGCATCTTATATTCTGTGACCTTTGGAAAACCATTAAGTACCTTCAGCTGCAAAATAGGAATATTATTACAATCTAACTTAGAGAGCTATTGTGAGAATTAAATAAAAAAGTAAGTGTAAGGTCAGAGGTTTGGGGTATAGTAGGTTCTTCATAAATATTTGCTATTTTCATTATTATGAACCTTAAGAAAGCCCTTGCTGTTGGGTTTTGTGTTCCTGCCAAGATTTATATGCTGAAACCTAATAATCCCCAACGTGATAATACTTGGAGAGGGAGTCTTTGGGAGGTGATTGGTCATGAAGATGGAGCTCTCATATATGGGATTAATGCCCTTATAAAACAGGCCCCAGCCTTGCCTCTTCCAGCCTGTGAGGACATGGTGAGGAGGTGTCATCTATGATCCAGAAAGTAAGTCCTCACCAGATACTCAATCTGCTTGTGCCTTGATCTTGGAATCCCAGCCTCCAGAACTGTGAGAAATAAATTTATGTTGTTTATAAGGCACCCCGTTTATGGAATTTTGTCATAAGCCAAGAAATTCCTTGATCCTGTGACTTGACTGTATGAAGACTGTTATAGACTAAGAAATCCCTTAATCCTATGACCTGACTGTATAACGTTTTTCCCATTAGGGGCAGGGGCGGAGTGATCAGACTTGTGTGATACCCAAATAAATGCCGCCAGGAATCTATGCCTCTCCTTTTAATCTCCTTTTCAGAAGCTCTTTTCTCTTAGTCAGAAGGGTGAACACATATCTGATTGAACGGGCTTTTATCACTAGAGGAGGAGGTTTGCCTGATGATATAAAGCTCTGTTCAGATGCCAATTTAATCTTTTCTGATGGAGAGGTTTTAGAAGCTTTTAGCCCTCCTTGGTGACCTCCACATCACACAAATAGATTTATCCTGATCTTACGTCCTACCATCCCAGAGTTGTAAGGATGGAGTAGATTTTCCTTCTAAAGTTTTGGTCTGGAGTGCAGTGGTGGGGCAGTTTATTTAAATAAATGATGAAATAATGGATATGTTAATTAACTTGATTGTGGTAATCATTTCAGAATATATTCTTACATCAAACCTTCACATTGTATACCTTAAATATATACATTATTTTTATTTATCAAGTATACCTCAATAAAGCTGGGGGTAAAAAAAAATAAAAGTAAAATAGTAAAGGTTTTTTAGAATATTTTTTAAAAGAATTCTAGTTTTGGAGCTAATTTCAGATGCAGTTTTTATTCAAAGTAAAAAAAAAAGTTGTTGGTCCCTTTGAATTGTGTATACTAATTATTTATGTATGGAATTCTTATGTGGATAAATTTGGTGACAGCTCTAGTCTTTTTTTTTTTTTTTTTTGAGGCAGGAGGTTTCTCTTTTGCCCAGGCTGGAACACACTGGCGTGATCTCGGCTCACTGCAACCTCGACCTCCCAATCAAGGGTCAACCCAACTTAGCCTCTCGAGTTGCTTGGACTACAGTCATGCACCCCCATGCCCGGCTAATTTTTGTACTTTTTGTAGAGACGGGGTTTTACCATGTTGCCCAGGTTGGTCTTGAACTCCTGGACTCAAGCGATCTGCCCACCTTGACCTCCCAAAGAGCTGGGATTACCATTGTGAGCCACCGTGCCTGGCCTGACAACTCTAGTCTTAACATATTCCTGAGCTTCAACATGCCTTTCCAACTGCCTGATAGGTACTGCTAATGCCTCAGACTGTGGTTTCATCAACTCATCACACTGGAAACCAAATTCATAGACTTCTCCCAAAACAAGTGTATGAGCTAGGCTATGCTTTAGTAACAAATAAGACCAAAACCTCATGTCACAGTCCAATGGATTATCTGGGCTGCTTCCATTGTGTGGCTACCCCATCTGGTAAGATTTCCAAGGTCATTTCAGAAGGGAAAAGAGGACTTGGAGGTTACCAATCATGTTTAAAAGACCAAGACCATCCATGGTTTATCTCATTTCTATCCACATTACATTGGCCAGAACTGAGTCATCAGAAACCCCAAACCTGTTAATTCTATCTCAATGGCAACTAAATTTTTTTTCTCTTTTCCACCCCCATTGATATTGTTCTTTTTCAGATATTTTTAATATTATATCTGTACCACCAAAGTAGTTCCTGCAGAGGTATTCTTGCCTAATGTCTTCTTTCTTCCCACACCTGTGGATATATCCTCTATGCTGCTCCCAACTTACCTTTCACAGATCTTATTTATTCTTGTGATTGAAAAGGGTTTTCTGGGAAAGCCTGTGGGGTAGGGCTGTGTTCCTTGCATGATGTTCAGGTGCTGTCAGGTGCCAGTGCACCCCCTCATATATAACACTATTCAGCCTAACCAGATCTCTTGTTTTCCTAGAAATTTCCTTTTTCTATGCATGGTCTAACTAGTCAATATTTTTCTATTTTTTGAAAGCCTACCAATTATGCAAGACTCGACCTAGGTGTATTCCTTTCTCTTTCAAGTATGTCTTCATTTACCTGGTTGGAACGAAATGATAACTTCAAAGGGGTCCTTAAGCACATTTTAAGAACTCTTTTTTTCAGATTTTTTTTTTCCCATTCTGATGGAGACTTAAAGTGAATGACTTATGAACCATCTCCCTGATTTGACTGCTTGCTCCTTATAGGACTGCAATAGATACTAATCTTCTTATATTTACAGCATTAACCTCAATGCATTAAATATCATAAATACTAAATAAATATTTAGTATATTAACTAACTTTCCAACACTTTTAGCAATTACTAGGACTAAAAGATACTACAAAATTTCAAGTATACGATTATTTGTTTTATTTTCTTCTATGACATGACACATTTTTGAAAGAGGAGTTTTGCTGCATTAATGTTTAAATTATGTTCTTTATATTAGATAACTTATGCAAGTATGCTCAAGATGGAAAATAATGTAGGTCTTTGTCATTTCCTTTAAAGTCTGAAAGCCCTAATGACTGATGATATCTGGGGCTTTAGGTAAAAAAACATACCAATAGCTTTCACACACAGCGTTTAATCCTGCACCACTCTCTTCATCTACCTCTGCTCTGCTCAATACGTTTTCTCTATTCTCTGTTTCTTACCAAAGAAAAACTCTGGTTTTCAAACCTGTTGGTTACTTTTGGCTCCATTTATCTTTCTCCATTCTCCCAAACTCGTGGCCTTCTCCTTGAGTCCTTAGCAAGATACTTTCTTGTATTTGTCTACCAACCATCTGGCTGTATTTCCTTAATAACTTACTTTTTATTTGGATGCAAATATGTTTTTTGGAACAAAATGAGAGAGAAATCATGGAATAAAGGTGTATCAGAATGTTTTGGCCTGCAACCAGCAGCAAGCTGTAGCTCAGACTGATATAAATAATATGGGGATTTATGAACTCTCATAATAAAAGTCCAAAGGTTAGGATAAGCTCTATAACTGCTTATTAGCAATTATCTTCGCTCAGTTCTTCTCTGTGTTTGCTTGTTTCTTGGGCCAGTAAGAAAATGGATGTGGTAATTCTAGGCATCAAACTAAGCAGAAGGAAACTGTTCTTGTGTTTTCTTTTCAAAGAAAGAAAACCTCTCACAGAAAGTCCCTATAAGACTTTAGTCATGGTTCATTGGCAGGATTGGGTCATATGCTATTTATAAAACCAACCATTGGCAAGGGAAATTGATTACCCTAATTGACTAAAACAAATCATTTGGAATCGGAAGAATTATGAGGGGTTAGCCTCAACAAGTACTGCAAAAAGAGAAGGCAAGAAGCAGGGAGAAAAGGAAGGAAAGAGGAAGGAAGGAAGGGAGGAAAGAAGGAAAAGGGAAGGGAAGGGAAGGGAGGGGCAAACCAGAATTAAAACTAGAATTAGTCTTCTCATTTTACAAGCTCACCATTTGTAAATAATTGTAGTATTTCAAAGATTTCTGTTAGGTCTCTAGATTTCAGTGGATCTTAGTTGCAAAACTTAACTTCTAGGCCCTTCATCAGAGGGGATTATATCTCTGGAGGTTCATCTGACACTTGAATGCACCAGTCTGTAAGGCATTCATGTCCTCTCTGCTCACAAGCCGTTGACCAGAGCTAGTCATAGGGCTCAACTTAACCATGGATATCAGATGGCAAGACGTTCAAATCTACCACATGCATGGAAGTCAGAAAGCTAAAAATATTTGATGAACAGCATTAATGACTACCATAGTCCACTAAATATTCAGCCCATTCAAACAATCCAAAAATCTTAGTGACTTATCACAACACAAGTTTATTTCTTACTCCAACTGAATGTCCATCATAAGTTGGCAGCAGAATTTTCCTCCTCTGAGTCATTCAAAGGCCAAGCTAACTGAGGCATGTATCACAACACAATTTTTCACGATCATGATAGCTGTCGGAAGAGAATGTGGCAAACTGTGCACTAGCTTTTAATGCTTCTGTCTGGAATGACTCTTGTCACTTCCACCCACATTTTATTGGCAAAGAAAGCCATATGATTATGCCAAAAGAAGGAGCGGAAGTGAAATTCTTCTCTGTGCCCAGAAAGCAGAGAACTGAACTCCAAACTCCACCTAGCTTAAAATCTCAGCACATACTCAGTTGTGTCCTGTGCTGGATTTGGAAGACTTCCAGGAGTATGCATATAACAAGGGACGGGGGCATGATTAGCTTTTTCTCTTTCTGGATAAATTTCCACTTCCACTCATTACTGAGTCATTCTTTGAACAAGTAGCTATTAAGCACCTATTCTACCAGACACTGATCTAGATGCTTGGGATACAGCAACAAACAAAATAGACAAGGGTTTCTATCTTCACTGAGCTTGCATTCTACTAGATAGATAAATGAAATATATCAGAGAGATAAGCTCTAGAGTAAAGAACATAGTAGGAAAAATGGATGGAAAATATCAAAGAGGTGCTATTTAGGTAGGGGTGTCCGGAGAAGGTAACAGTTAAGTAGAAATGGAGGTAAAGGAGTGGACAAATGGAGGAAGAGGTTCCAGGCCAGAGAATAATAAAAGTAAAAGCTCTAGAGCAGGATGTGGCCTGGCTTATTGAAAAACAGTAATGAGGACAGTTTGGTTAGACAAGAGTGATAGGGGTGGAGTAGGGGGAAGAGAGTAGAAAGACATGAGGCCAAAGAGAAAAGGAAGAGCTAAGATCTAGTGTGGGTTTATCAAGATTTACTGCGAGGCAAAGCACTACAGATTATTCTCTTTAAGCTCCACTCACTTTGAAGTGAAAAGGGAGCATGACTCTTCCCTATTAGTTGGGGGAAAAAGAAACTTGTAGCACATTGACAATTTCATGAAAAAACGATTCTCCCTACTAACCTCTTCAAATTCTAGTTTATTCCTTGCCTTCTCTTATGCAGGCTGGAAGAGAGTGATGTGTTCATTCTGGAAGAACCCAAAGCTACTCCCGCAGAAATATTTCACTACTTAGCTTTGTGAGACAGACCACTCATCACTTATAACCAGAAACTCCAGGTATTCAGAAAAGTTGGATTCCATAACTTCTTATCATTGCAAGCACAAAGCTGGATCTCGAATAAAGTAAGTGAGGCACCTGGGGCACAAAATTTAAGGAGGCATTCACTTTCAGAGATGTGCAAGCCCAAGTTTGAAACTTCATGACAAAATAGTAAATAATGAGTGCTTTCTCAAATTTTGTGCCTATGTGTTTCAGTCTAGTCCCAATCTTGAAAAGAAAACATAAACCAATGAAAGTTAACTTAAGCAGAAAAGGTATTTGTTAAAAAAGAAAATAAAAAACATTTGTTTGCATAACCCATAGAATCACAAAGAGTGCTAAGAAAACAGGATTGGATAATACACAATGAGGAATAGGCCCTCATTCATGCCACAGATCCAGTGATTGCATCCCATTTGCCACTGTTGAACAGACATATCCAGCCTTGAGCTTCTCACCACATTAGAGCTGGACAGTGTACCAATTTCATCATAACCACAGGCTCTGCAGTTTCTGAAAAATGGATTTAACTGCTGTTGCTGCTGCTGCCACCTCTCTCACCAAAATTCATAACAACACTAGCTTCTAAGTCAAAGTTGGGGAAAAATGATCTGAATGGTATGATCTAGGTCATGTGTCCAAGATGCAGAAGACTCTGAGAAAGTCAGTATTTGCACTTGTGACTTCCATGTTGAGGATAGGCTTAGATTCATTATATAGGAGAATCTCTAAATATATGGGAATTTAGATCTTGGATGGTCAAAAACTAATGGCAAGTGGCAATCGATACTATAAAATAATTGGAAGCTGTGATAAGTTCTGTGAAAAAATAAGGATTAATAAAGAATAAAAGAAGAGGAATCCACTTGAAATACAGTGGTCAGCAAGAGATGTAAGCTGTGACCTAAGAAAGGGAAGGATCTAGCTATGCAAAGTCTGGTTACAAGTAGAGGAAAGAACAGAGTAAAAGTCCGTAGGATGGGAAGGAGCTTGGTGTGTTCCTGTAACTAATAAGAGCTGGAGCATAAGTGAGGCAATATGGACAGGAGTTAGATCATACTGGGTCTTGTAGGCTGTGGTTAGATATTTGTATTTTACCCCGAACACAATGGGAAGTCATTGTAAGCTTTTAGCAAGAAATAAAATTATCTAATTTCAATTTTTTAAAGAAAATCACTTTGCCAATGTCTAGAGAAGGAATTGGTATGGAAAGAGTCAAATCAGAGATATTAGCTGGGAGGCTGTTGTGGTATTCTGGGGAGAGAAGATGGTCTGAAATAAGAAGGTGACAGGCCGGGCGCGGTGGCTCACGCCTGTAATCCCAGCACTTTGGGAGGCCGAGGCGGGCGGATCACGAGGTCAGGAGATCGAGACCATCCCGGCTAAAACGGTGAAACCCCGTCTCTACTAAAAATACAAAAAATTAGCCGGGCGTAGTGGCGGGCGCCTGTAGTCCCAGCTACTTGGGAGGCTGAGGCAGGAGAATGGCGTGAACCCGGGAGGCGGAGCTTGCAGTGAGCCGAGATCCCGCCACTGCACTCCAGCCTGGGCGACAGAGCGAGACTCCGTCTCAAAAAAAAAAAAAAAAAAGAAGGTGACAGCAGAGATCAGTATAAAATTTTGGATCAGATGCATATGTTTGGAGGCAGAATCAATGACTTGAATTTGGTAAGTTGGGGGAAAAGAGGAATCATGGACAATTGCTAGATTTCTGGCTTAAGTAATTGAATGAATAGTTGAAACTTTTACTGAAATGGAGAAGTGGAAACCAGGTATGGTAGTAAAAGTTCAAGAGTTCTATTTGGGACATGTTCAGTTGGTAACGTTAGTATGTCATCAAATAGGCAAGGCTTCCACTCAAGCTGTGAAAGTACCTCAAGACTTGTAACAAACCAATTTACAAATATTTCAAGTAAAACTAATATTAAACATTCCATGACTCTTGGAGTCCAGAAATATTATGTTGGTTTTTCTCTGTTTTTTTTCTTTATTTTTTAAAAAATAACCAAATGTTCAGACATACAGAAAAGTACAGGAATAAAAACTTGCAAGACACCTGTATATCCACCAACCGGATTTAACAAATGTTAACATTTTACTATATTCGCTTCAGATCTTTTTCTAAATACATAATACAGTACACACACTCTACTCCCTCATCCCATTTCTCTTAACAGTATGATGTCATTTATATAAAATTCCAAAATACTCAAAACAATTCTATGTATTTTTAATGGACCACTGCACATCTAGTAAAATTATAAAAACAAGCATGTCAGGACATGCCAACAGCAAAATATAGTTTTTGTTTTTCTAATTTACATTAAATGTAGTGCATTACCCACACATAGGGGTTCTGAGAAATCACACCTCAGTCATTTTGGAGTGTGGCTTTTCCCCTCACTTGAAATCTTACAGGAAATCTACTGCTATGGCAACCCAGGGACATTGGAGGGAACCTCTAGCTTGCAGTTCATTGGAGTCACATCTGAAATGCTCTTTGCCTGAATTGACAAAGACCCTTTGGGAGCGGAAAGGCTGAATCTTTGCAGTATCTGCTCCCTTATGCCAAATGTGCCTCCAGAGCCTGTCACAGCTCTCAGTGCCACCACCACTTGTGTTAAGGCCCAGCATCCACAGCGCCTCCTCATCAGAAGTCCCAGACCTTGGCACACACAATCTCCAACCTCCCAGTTCCAGGAAATGTAATTCTTCCTAAAGGTAGACCTCCCCTTTGCTCCTTCAACATTGCCAACCTCTAGCTTTGGAGCAATACAGTCAGTCCTCAGTCACCAGCTTAACAAACTAAAGGCGTCTTATTTCCGCTAGGGTAAGGGAAGCCAGCACTCAGAACAGTAAGCTCTGTCAACCTTCAAAGAAAAATGCAAAACGATCTCTCTTTTTTTTTTTTTTCCCAACGAGCTTATAAGCCACACTTATGGCAAATGCCATTCACTTCTCAGACAGTTTATTTTCTCCCACTGAATGCACTTTCCCTTTTGCACATGGCCCTGCTGACCACACTCTCCAATGGAGCTTACCTAGAGTGTTCCCAGCACTCACTTCAGTAGGTTCTTTTCTCTACTACTGTTCTTTTGCCCCCTTAGGAGATGGCATGCAAACACTGGACATTTGACTATTTTCATCACTTACTACTCTGACTTCCTCCATAGTTTCTTTCTTTCATCTTGATCTCTTAATTCCAATCATTTCCTATTCTTCTCAGAGAGGCTTTCTCTTTTTTCTTCATTTTTCTGCCTTTTATTTCATTGGTAAACCAAAAATATTACTTGATAAATAAAAGGGTATTTCTACCAACATAACAGAATAAAGGAAAACAAAATACATTTAAGGTAGGAATCCTATTGTCCACTGAATACGAAACAAACAAATGCTCTTATCTACTCAAGCCAGTAACAGGGCTGAAAAATCCATTTCCAAATTTCTGCTGAATTCATATGCACCTATATCCTCATATACTTCCTAATTAAACTTGCTTTTCTCAAGTGACTATTCACAAGTAACAGTTAAGTAAAACACACACACACACACACACGCAAACACACACACACAGTGTTTTTTATTTAACTTAAAAACATATCCATTTTGTGGGAAAAAAAAGTACTTAATACATTAAAAAGCTGTATTGCAGGATTTTGTGGAATAGATTAGAGACCTATACTACCACTAACAACATTGTTTCTCAGACACAATGAGCTCCAAGTTCCACTTAGAAATTTTAGCAAAGTAACCCATTGGTGACTCTGTACACACACAGTCAGACAATGAAAATAATTCCTACTTTCAGTATGGAAATATTTAATTTTTCTACAAATATTTTATTCATTTCAGCACAACTGTTTTATTTCAATTATTAGAGAATTATCTAAATGTCTTTCTTTCCCATAAGGTTTTTAAGTATAGGACAAATACTTATTAAGGGCATACTAAGGGTGTCCAGAACTAAGTGAACAAGATAGGCAAAACTTCAGTTTTTTATAAACGGTGTATTTTCCTTCATTCTTATTTTCAGGTACAAAGTTGCTAAATAATAAAAGTAGGGTATTTAATTACTCCTACACTGAGTTCATAAACTACTGAAATTCTTACATATCTGAAAGCTTTCAAAAAATAGGATAAAATCATTTTTGTACCTCTCATGCTGAAAATATATATGGCACACAATAGGCTTGCAATAAATAATTGAAAATGGAAAATTATCTATCTAGAATGCTATTAGATATAGCCCTGCCCAAAGGGGAAAGAAGATAATTCACAATCTCTTTGAATCCTTAGATTGTATTTTCTCAGCATCATGGTGGTATTCCATGTTCCCTTCTTCTCACACTCTCCCAACCCTAAATCCCTAAATGGCTGAATTCAGGGAAGCAGGACTGGACAAATCAAATGCCTCATTAAAGATGCCTGCAGAAATATGCCTAAAGATGAAATTATAGCTCTTAGACCAGCACTCAAAACCGTGGAATAAAAGAAAGGAGAGGAGGAGGGGTGGGGGCAAAATGATGCGATTTGACCGTGGTTACTTATCCAGCAAATGTTTCTGAAAGCTACTAACTACTAATTGTGGTAAAGGTTTTTAAGCCTGGAAATGGTGAGTCTCTCTCTCTTTCCCTGACGCTCTGTAATTCATGTGCAGTTTGGGAATGGCATTATGTCTTAAATACAATAATATTTTAGAAAAATTTGAACACTCTTAAGTTAATAGGTATACCAATTTGGAGCCATAAAAGAGATGCAACTCCAGAGATTTCAAATAATTTAATAAGGCGTTACCATTTTTCTAAAGTTCTGTAGTACTTTTTTTTCACCAGCCTAGAAAGCTCTACCATGTGGCCTAATTCAAGGCTGCAAGCAGGAAAAATTACTGACTTCATTATGCCTGCCAGGCGCTCTCCAGTAAAAGTGTTAGGCATCAGGCGTTGCCATTCTAGGAGGCTCTGTAGAAAGCTTTTGCCCTGACAGATCTCCACTGGCTTCTTATGAAAACCAGTGGAGAGAAGGAGGTTATGTTCTATTGTGTACCAAGCTTAGAGGTTTTTGCCCCCCACCCCACAACTCCTTTGCCTTAGAAAAGGCCACAGCGGGGCCTAGTCACACTGGAGTCATAATAGCCCTTAGGCCACTGAGCGACATTTAGGGCCTGCTGAAGAGAGATTTATGTTTATTATTATTACCATTAATGGTATTACTGTTATTGTTGTTATTATCCATTGCTTATTGGAAATGAGCATTCTGTGGTCTTTTGAAACATTCCACTGCTTTCCCTGCAGTGCATAGAACAGCCAGTTGCTTATCTACCAGGGAACAAAGAGTCAAAGTAAAGCCATCGTTTTTCACTGTACTTCTTTTGGTGCCCCTGGACTTACATTTTTCATTGCTAAGAAGAATAAGAAGGCAGGAAAAAATGCTGTATTAGCTAAGGTGAAGCTAGGTATTTCTAGGAAGCAGACAACAGTCTTCCAAGCACTAACCAACAGACTCAAGCGCCTTCCATCTTGAAGCTACCAAGTCCAACTTGGTGACTGACTCCATTCCAGCCAGCTTAATGGAGGAAAGGCCATGCATGGGAGGTCTTAAAGTTGCACAGACTACTTCTACTCACATTAACTGGCCAAACTTAACCATACGGAATCTGGAAAATGCAATATAGTAAGCAGTGAAGACAGGATTGGAACCTGAACAACTAGACTTCAGAGACTTGGTTTTCAAGTGTTGGAGTGTTGGGTCAAAACACATGGGGGGCCTCTAGGTACCATTTCCCTGAGAAAGTGACATTTATGTGTAGACAGAGAGCACAGTGCAAGCAAATCAAACAGCTCCTTGCAAGTTGGACCATACAGGGAGGATTGAGTTTTGTTTTTTCTTTTGGTGCTCCTTACTGTTTCAGGAAAGTCAGTATGAGCTCTCTTAAAGCAGCTTTTGAGTTTCTGGTAGTGAATCATAAAATGCTAGATGCAGAACAGGCAAGCAGATGCAAATATCTTTTATCTGGGACTATTGAGTTTAAAAAGCTCCAGTATCCAACCTAGAGATAAACAGCTGGCTACCTGGGATCTGCTTGCTCTAGTGGGAGGTAGGGAGGTTAGCTCTTCCAAATAGAGATTTTCATCCAATTTTCTCCTGTTTTTTCCTTTTTGTTGTTGTTTGTTTGTTTGTTTGTTTGAGACAGGGTCTTTCTCCTCTATTGCCCAGGCTGGAGTGCAGAATGCAGTGATACAATCATGGCCTACTGCAGCCTTGCACTCCAAGGATCAAGTGATTTACCCACCTTAGCCTCCCAAGTAGCTGGAACTACAGGCACACATTACCTTCCCAGGCCAGTTTCTGCCTTGTATCCATTGCTTATTGGAAATGAGCATTCTGTGGTCTTTTGAAACATTCCACTGCTTTCTCTGCAGTGCATAGAACAGCCAGTTGCTTATCTACCAGGGAAAAAAGAGTCAAAGCAAAGCCATCGTTTTTCATGGTACTTCTTTTGGTGCCACTGGACTTATGTTTTTCATTGCTAAGATGAATAAGAAGACAGGAAAAAATGCTGTATTAGCTAAGGTGAAGCTAGGTATCAGCAGACAAGGTCTCACTATGTTGCCCAGGCTGGTCTCGAATTCCTGAACTCAAGTGACCCTCCTGCCTTGGCCTCCCGAAGTGGTGTAGTTACAGGTGTGAGCCACCATGCCCAGCCCATTTCTTCCTGTTTGTAGTCCCACAACTTGCTCTTGCTTGCCCACCTTATTGATGCATCTGAGCTTATAGTGAACTTCTTCTTCCTTCATTTCTGTATCCCCTACTACAAAAAACACTAAGCTGTGTCTTACTCCACTTTACCTTACCAATTCCCACACTTCTATATGTTTTCTATCCAGATAATTTTTCTGTGTAAAGAATTAGCATCTTTTCAAGTACAATGGAATATTTTTCAGGATAGACTATATTCCAGGCCACACACAAGCTTCAATAAATTTTAAATGATTGAAATCATACAAATTATTTCCCCCAATCTCAATGTAATAACATGGAAATTAATAACATAAATAAATATAGGAAAATCACAAATACGTGGAAATGAAACATACTACTAAAAAATGGGTCAGGAAAGAAATCACAAAGGACATTAGAAAATACTTTGAGATGAATGAAAAATTAAGTTACAATATACTAAAACTTAAGGAATACCACTAAGGCAGTGCTTAGAGGAAAATTAATAGCTGTAAATGTTGTATTTAAAAAGAGGAAAAAATTATTTTATATTTTTATTCTTTTTATTTTTAATTTTTATGGGTACATAGTAGGCATATAAATTTATGGGGCAAATAGTAGGTATATAAATTTATAGGGTTCATGAGATGTTTTGATACAGGCATGCAATGTATAATAATCACATCATGGAGAATGGGGTATCCATCCCCTCAAGCATTTATCCTTTGTATTAAAAGCAATCCAATTATACTCTGAGTTATTTTGAAATGTACAATTAAGTGATTATTAACTATAGTCACCCTGTTGTGTTATCAAGTAGTAGTTCTTATTCATTCTTTCTAACTATTTTTTTGTACCCTTTAACCATCCTCCCCTCCCCTCCAGCACCCCACTACCCCTTCTCAGCCTCTGGTAAGCATCCTTCTATTCTCTGTCTCCATGATTTTAACTGTTTTGATTTTTAGATCCCAAAAGTAAGTCAGAATATGTGATGTTTGTACTTCTGTCCCTGACTTATTTCACTTAACATAATGATCTTCAGTTCCATCCATGTTGTTGCAAATGACAGAATCTTATTCTTTTTTATGGTTGAATAATACTCCATTGTGTATAGGTATCAGTTAATCTGATGATAGGCCCTTATGGTGCTTCCAAATCTTAGGTATTGTTAACAGTGCTGCAACAGACATGGGAGTGCAGGTATCTCTTCAATATACTGATTTCCTTTCTTTTGGGTATATACCCAGCAGCAGTGGGATTTCTGGATCATATGGTAGCTCTATTTTTAGTTTTTTTCAGGAACCTCCAAACTGTTCTCCACAGTGGCTGTACTAATTTACATTCCCACCAACACGGTACCATGGTTTCCTTTTTTCCAGATCCTTGCCAGCATTTGTTATTACCTATCTTTTGGATAAAAGCCATTTTAGCTGGGGTGAGATGATATCTCATTGCAGTTTGATGCTCTTTTCTCTGATTATCGGTGGTGTTGAGCACCTTTTCATATTTTTCATATGCCTGTTTGCCATTTGTATGTCTTCTTTAGAGAAGTATCTATTCAAATAGTTTTCCTATTTTTAATCTGATTATTACCTTGTTTTCCTATAGAGTTGTTTGAGCTCTTTGTATTCTGGTTATAAATGCATTGTCAGATGAATAGTTTGCAAATATTTCCCCCCATTTTGTGGTTTCTGTCTTCACTTTGTTGATTGTTTCTTTGCTATGCAAAAGCTTTTTAACTTGATGTGATCCCATTTGTCCATTTTTGCTTTGGTTGCCTATGCTTGCTTTGGTTGCCTATGCTTGTGGAGTGTTGTTCAAGACATTCTTGCCCAGACCAATATCCTGGAGAGTTTCCCCAAAGTTTTCCCGTAGTAGTTTTATAGTTTGAGGTCTTAGATTTAAATCTTTCATCCATTTTGATTTGATTTTTGTATGTGGCAAGAGATGGGGCCTAGTTTCATTCTTCTGCATATGGATATCCAGTTTTCCCAGTACCATTTATTGAAGATACTGTCTTTTCCCCAGTGTGTGTTCTTGGCACCTTTGTTGCAAATTAGTTCACTGTAGGTGTGTGGATTTGTTTCTGGGTTCTAGATTCTGTTCCTTGGTCTATGTGTCTGTTCTTATGCCAGTGCCACGCTGTTTTGGTTACTATAGCTCTGTAGTATAATTTGAAGTCAGGTAATGTGGTTCTTTTTGCTTAGAATAGCTTTGGCTGTTTTGGGTCTTTTGTGGTTTCATATAAATTTTAGGATTTTTTTTTGTATTTATGTGAGGGACTTCATTAAAATTTTGATAAGGATTGCATTGAATCTGTAGATTGTTTGGGGGAGTATGGGCATTTTAATAATATTGATTCATCCAGTTCATGAACAGGGATACTTTTGCATTTTTTGGTGTCCTCTTTAATTTCTTTTCTCAGTGTTTTATAGTTTTTCTTATAGAACTCTTTCACTTCTTTGGTTAAGTCAGTTCCTAGATATTTAACTTTATTTATGTCTACTGTAAATAGGATTACTTTTTAAATTTCTTTTTCAGATTGTTCACTCTCAGCATATGAAAATGCTACTGATTTTTATATGTTGATTTTTGTATCCTGAAACTACTGAACTTGTGTATCTAATAGTTTTTTGTGGAGTCTTTAGGTTTTTCCAAACATGATATCATCTACAAACAAGGATAATTTGACTTCTTCCATTCCAGTTTAGATGGTCTCTATTTCTTCTTTTTGTCTGATTGTTCTAGGTAGGACTTGCAGTACTGTGTTGAATAACAGGGTAAAAATGGACATCCTTGTCTTGTTCCAGATCTTAGAGGGAAGGCTTTCAGTTTTTCCCCATTCAGTATGATACTATATGTGGTTCTGTCCTATATGGCTTTTATTATGTTGACTAAATCTGATGTTTCCTTGTTGATTTTCTGTCTGGAAGATCTGTCCAAGGCTGAAAATGAGTTGCTAAAGTTTCCAGGTATTATTGCATGAGGGTTGATCTCTGCTTTTAGCTCTAATAATATTTGCTTTATATATCTGGGTACTCCAGGTTTAGATGCATATTTAAAATGTAAACAATTTAAAATTGTTATATCCTCTTGTCGAATTGACCACTTTGTGATATATAGTGACTTTATTTGTCTCTTCTTATAGTTTTTGTCTTGAAATCTATTTTGTCTGTACTTTCTACTGCTCTCTTTTGGTTTCCATTAGCATGGGATATCTTTTTCCATTCTTTTATTTTCAGTCAATGTGTGTCTTTATAGGTGAAGTGTGTTTCTTGTAGGGAACAGATCAATGGGTCTTGTTTTTTCATCCATTCAGCCACTCTATGTTTTTGGAATGGAGAGTTTAGTCTGATCAATATTACTATTCATAAGTAAGGACTTATTCCTGCCATTTTGTTATTTGTCTTCTGGTTGTTTTGTGGTCTTCTCTTCCTTCTTTCTTTCCTTCCTGTCTTCCTTTACTGTTCCCTGGTGATATGACTTAGTTTCTTGCTTTGTATTTTTGTCTATCCATTGTATATTTTTTGGTTTGAGGTTACCATGATGCTTGCAAATACTATTCTGTAACCCATTATTTTAACCTGATAACCACATAACATCGTTTGCATAAACAAACAAACAAGCAAAAAGAAAACTAATAAAAACTCTACACCTTAACTTTGTCTCCCTGGTTTTTAACTTTTTATTGTTTCTATTTATATCTTATTGTACTGTCTATGGCTTGAAAAGTTGTTGTTATTATTTTTCACTGGTCATCATTTATCCTTCATACTTAGGATAAGATTAGTTTACACATCACAGTTACAATGTTATCATACAATGTTTTTCTGTATATTTACTATTACCAGTGAGTTTTGTAGCTTCAGGTCATTACTTATTACTTATTAATGTCCTTTTTTTCTCATTGAAATACTCCCTTTAGCATTGCTTATAGGAAAGCTCTGGTGGTAATGAAATCCCTCAGCTTTTGTTTGTTTGGAAAAGCCTTTATTTCTCCTTCATGTTTGAAGGATATTTTCACCAGATATACTATTCTTAGGTAAAAGTTTTTTCCTTTCATCCCTTTAAATATGTCATGCCATTCTCTCCTGGCCTGTAAGGTTCCCACTGAAAAACCTGTTGCCAGACATATTGGAGCGCCACTGTATGTTATTTGTTTCTTTTTTCTTGCTGCTTTTAGGATCCTTTCTTTATCGTTGATCTTTGGGAGCTCGATTATTAAATGCCTTGAGGTAGTCTTTTTGTGTTAAATCTGCTTGATGTTCTATAACCTTCTTCTACTTGGATGTTAATATCTTTCTCTAGGTTTGGGAAGTTCTCTGTTATTATCCCTTTCCATAAACTTTCTACCCCATCTCTTCATCTACCTACTCCAATAACTCAGATTTGCCCTTTTAAGGCTATTTTTTAGATCCTATAGGTGTGTTTCATTGTTTTTTATTATTTACCTTTTGTCTCCTCTGACTGTATATTTTCAAATACCCTGTCTTCAAGCTTACTAATTCTTTCTTCTGCTTGGTCAGTTCTGCTATTAGAAGACTCTGGTGCATTATTCAATATAACAGTTGCATTTTTCAGCTCTAGAATTTCCACTTGATTCTTTTTAATTATTTCAATCTCTTCATTTAATTTACTAATTTATTTAATTTAATCATTCAGATATAATTTCATTTAATAATACATTTAATTTAATAATTCAGATATAATTCTGAATTATTTCTTTATGCTATCTTGAATTTCATAGATTTTTCTCAACACAGCTATTTTAAATTCTTTGTCTGAAAGGTAACATGTCTGTTTCTCCAGCATTGGTCTCTGGTGCCTTTTTTAGTTCATTTGGTGAGGTCATATTTTCCTGGATGTTCTTGGTGTCTGGGCATTGAAGAATTAGCTATTTAATGTGGTCTTCACTCTCTGGAGTTATTTGCACCTATCATTCTTGAGAAGGCTTTCCACATATTTGAAAAGGCTTGGGTGTTGTGATCTATGCTGTATTTGCTTTAGGGGGCACCCCAAGCTCAGTAACACTGTGGTTCTTGCAGACTCACAGAGGTAACAATTTGATGGTCTTGGACAAGATCTGGTAGAATTCTCTGGATTACCAGGCAGAGACTCTTGCTCTCTTACCTTACTTTCTCTCAAACAAATGGAGTCTCTATCTGTTCTGAGCCACTCAAAGCTGGGGCTGGAGTGACACATGCACTGCTGTAGCCACCACCACCACTATGACTGAACTGGATCAGATCTGAAATGAATACAACATGGGGTCTTACCCAAGGTCTACTGTAACAACTCCCTTGTTGCTGCCTACATTCACTCAATGCCCTGGGGATCTACAATCAGCAAGTGGCAAAGTCAGCCAGGCCTGTGTCCTTCCCTTTAGGGCTGTGAGGTTCCCCAGTCCCTGGGTGGGCCCAGAGGTGCCATCAGGACTAAGGTCAAAAACCTTAGAAGTCTATGTGGTATGTTATTGTACTGCAGCTGATCTGGCACTCAAACCACAGATACAGTCCTTCCCACTCTTCCCTCCACTTTCCAAAGGCAGAGGAGCCTCGCCCCACAGCTACCATTACCAACAGGCCATGGGGAGTACCGCCAGACTACTGCTGATGTTCTCTTAAGGCCCAAGGACTCTTAGGTCATCTTGTGGTGAATGCTACCTGTCCTGGGAATTATCCTTCAGGGCAGTGGGCTCCCTTCTGGTCCAGGGCAGGTCTAGAGATGTCATTCAAGAGTCAAGTCCTGGAATCAGGGACCCCAAGAGCCCACTTAGTAGTCTATCCCTCTGTGGCCATTCTGTACATAAGATACAGGATAAAGTCCCCTTTACTTTTCCCTCTGCTTTTCTCAAGCAGTAGAAGTTTTGCCCCACAGCCACCACAGCTAGTAATAGGCTGAGTCTCACCCAAAGCTGGCAAATCTCAGAGGCTCACTCACAGCCCTCAATATAGTACCTGAGTATTTCTGCTGGTTATTCAGGGCTCAAGCGCTCTTCAGGTAGCAGGTGATGAATGATGCCAGGACTAGATCCTTCCCTTCAAGGAACTGGGTTTCCTTCTCACCAAGGGTGTATGTAGAAATGTCATCCAGGTGCTAGGGCCTGGAACAGGAGCCTGTTGACTCTGACTGGTGCCCTATCCTGCTGTGGCTGAGCTGGTATCCAAGTTGCAAGATAAAATCTTCCATATTCTTCCCTCTCCTCTCCTCAAATGGAAGAAAGGGGTCTCTTTTGGAGACATGAGCTGTACAGCCTGGGGAGAGGTGATGCCAGCACTTTTAGCTGCCCTAGCTGGTGTCTTAATAGGTTGCATGCTTCCCAAGTCCACTGTCTCTGGGCTTAGTTCAGCACTAGTACTCACATATGAGTTGCAGTCCTTATGGCCTAGATTGCCTTTCAAGTTTACTTACAGACTCAGAGAACTTTAGCTTATAATGACAAGGTTTGGAGGAATTTAAATTTGGGACTGGAGATTCCCCTCCAGCTAGAGCTGGTTTAAATGCTACCTCCGTGGGCAGGCATCAGCTGAGTTTGGTCCAGTTTTCCTTTTTGCCCTAATAGAACATCACTGAGTTTCATGCCTCACAATTGACAGGTTCTTCCACACCCAGGGCCGAGCAATGCTTTCCACACCATGCAGCCACCACTGCTGGATGTGGGGGAAGGGTGACATCAACGATTCAAGACAGTTTTTTCTATCTCTTCTGTGCCTTTTTCAGTGACGCCGAGTTAAAACGAGGTACTACAGGGATTACCTGATTACTTTATTCCTATGAAGGAGTGTTTTATGTGTAGATTGGTGTTAAACTGGTGTGCTGGTGGTGGGGAGACAACTGGTGGAAACTTCTATTCCACCATCTTGCTGGCCAAGATATTCCTTATTCCCTAATGAATCACCATAGTCCTGATAGAATCAGAGGAAAGTTTTAAATCACAACCCAACCTCTCACTTTAAGGCACTAGTAAAAGAAAAGGAAAGTAAACTTAACGCAAGGATACGAAATGAAATAATAAAGATTCAAGTGGAAATTAATGAAATAGAGAATAGAAAAAAGTAGAAAATCAATGAAACAAAAAATTGGCAGTTTGAAGAAAATCAACAAAATTGACAAAACTTTAGCTACAAGTCTGAAAGTAAACGAGCAAAGATTTAAATTATTAAAAGCAGGAATGAAAGAGAGGACATCACTACTCACCTTACATAAATAATAAAGATGATAAAGGTATGCTGTAAATAATTGTATGGAAAAAATAGATTATGATAAAATAGGAAAATTCCTAAAAAGACAGAAACTGCTAAAACTGATTCAAGATGACATAGAATATCTGAATAGGTTAATAACAAATAAAGAGGTAGAATTAGTAATAAAAATTGCCACAAAGAAAAGCACAGGCCCACATTGTTTCACTAGTGAATTATACCAAATGTTTGAAGAAAAGTTTGATAACAGTATTAATGTTATTTTTCCTGAACAACAATAAGGTTATGTAAGAGAATGTTTTTTGTTCATGGGATATACACACTGAAGTATTTAAGGGTAAAGAGACATAATATAATACTCTGAAATGGTTCCCAAAACTGTGTGTGTGTGTGTGTGTGTGTGTGTGTGTGTGTGTGTGTGTGTGAGACAGAGAGAGAGAGTTGGTTTGTGTGGGTAAACAACTTTATATGTGTGTGTACAGAAAGAAAGAGAGACAGAAATAAACAGAAACAGAGAGAATGATACAAGAATGCAGCAAAATCTTAACAAATTGAAAAGCTTAATTAGAAGTAGAAAGATGTTTTGCACACTATTTTTTACAACAATAAAAAGTAAATTCGAAGTTATTTTCTGATAAAAAGGATATTTAAAAAAAAACAAACAAACCAATACATATGACCAAGTGAGAATTTCATTCTAGGAATACAAGGATTGTCAAATATTAGGAAATCTCTAAAATAATGTATTACAGTAATAGAATTGAGGAAAGCAATTTTATGATCATATTCACATGTGGAAAGGCATTTGACAAAATTTAAGTCAATCTTGCTTAAAGGTTTACTGAAATAAGAGCCAATGGATATTTCTTTAACAATAAAGAAGCAATATAGGACTACCAGCTCTGCCAGATATTAAAACCTAAAAGTAAATTTTTAAACATCTATATTTAAAACAGCATAGTAAATATTGTTGCATCAATATATAGAAAGACAAATAGAGAAAAAGATACAAATAATAGTGGGAATGAAGTGTTTTCTAAAAATGTCAACATAAATCAGTGCAAGAAAGATGGAAATGTTTATAAATAATATTAGGTTAACTGAGTAGTCATTTTGAAAATAAACAAATATAAAGTAGATGTTATCTCAAATACACATAATGCATATATTCAGACTACAGTACTAAACATAAATTTTGAAACTGTACCAACAATAGAAGAGAATTTTATCATTTAGGAATGGGGAAATTCTTTCTATGACTCAAATCTATAAATAACTGAAGATAGGTAAATTTTATTACATAAAATGTTTCTAAAGGCAAAAAATAAAAACAGCAAATATAAAAAACAAAAAGCACTAAAGAAAATTTAGTATGCCATGGACTCCTAAAACACGAGGAAGGGAATGAACAACTTAATAAATAAATGAGGAAAGACATGAGAGACAGCTTACAGAATAAGAAGTAAAATCACCTCCTCAAACATATGAAAAGATACTCAACCTCACCTATTCACGGAAGTTAAAATAAAACTACATGAGGTTCTCCTTCTCACCTACCAGACCGACAAAAAACAATAATAATAATAATAATAATTGACAACTTACTCCCCTTAGAAAGCTGTGCAAAAATAGCAGGTTTTTATCTTGTTGATGGGAATATAAAATGGTAAAAGCCCAATGGAGGGAAAAAAATTACATATAAATTACCTTTCTGATCTTGTAACTCCACTTCTAAAAATCTATCCCTAAGGTAAGCTGGCAAAAACAAGCCTATTTACGCACAAAGTCATTCCTTACAGAACATTTTATACTAGCAAAAGATTGTAAACAACCCAGATGTCCATCTTTAGGAGACATCTATGCAATAAAGTACTAGGCAGCCTTTAAAAAGAATGAGAAAAATAACTATACATTGAATGATCTTCAGGACATATTTTTAGACTAAAAAATATTAAATATTCCACTTTTGATGTAAAAAATTAGGCTATATGAATATAACAAATAGAACAAATATAATAAGGAAGAACTGACATCTTTATCATACAAATGGAAGGTAAGATGTGACTTCCAGTTAAATCAAAAGTATGTAAAACATAAATACATACATAGACATATATTTTCAGGTGGTCCCCCAATGGCTTGACTTATAGTTTTTTGACTTTACAATGGTGCAAAAGTGATAGGCATTCAGTATGTTCCTCAACTTGTATTGAAGTTACGTTCCAACAAAACCATCGTAAGTTGACAATATTGTAAGTTATTTGGTTTTATTGGGATGTAACCGTATCATAAGTAAAGAAACATCTGAAAGAGACAGAGAAGAAACGGAGAGAGACTTAAGGCATTGGCTCATACACCTGTGGAAGCTGGAGGATATTCTGGCAGGCTGGAGACTCACAAATGAACCAAGGTTGCAGTTTGAGTCTGAAGGCAGTCTACTGGCAGAATTCCTTCCTGAGGGAAGGTCAGTCTTTTTTCTTAAGGCCTTTAACTTCTTGGATGAGGCCCATGTACTTTACAGAGTGCAATCTACTTAACTCAAAGCCTGCTAACTTAAATATTAATCTTCTAAAAATACTTTCACAGAAACCTCAGAAACCCAGAAAACGTTTCTGGGTACCATGGCCTGGACAAGTTGACAAAATTAACCATAACAATATTTATTTCTGCTCCCTCCAAATAAGTACCACATAAAATAATAGTAAAGGAGAAAAATAAAATCTATAAACTCCAAGTAACAAAAAAATCTTAAAAGAAAGCAACAATAAATAGAGACGGCACCACATAGAAACAACCAATGGAAAGTACATGGGAGGAGTTGTGTATTAGTCTGCTCGGGCTGATATAACAAAATATTATCCACTGTAATATAGTTTGGATATTTGTCCCCTCTAAATCTCATGTTGAAATTTGATCCCCAATGTTGAAGATGGGGCCTGGTGGGAAGTATTTGGGTCACGGGGGTGAATCCTTCATGAATGGCTTGGTGTCCTCCCTTGAGGTAGTGAGTGAGTTCTTGCTCTATTCATTCACAAGAGTTGGTTAAGAGTGTGATACCCCTCCTCCTCACTCTTGCTTTCTTTCTTGCCATGTGACATGCCTGCTGCCCCTTCCCTTTCCACCATGATTGAAAGCTTACTGAAGTTCTCGCCAGAACAATATGCCAGTGTCATGCTTCTTGTACAGCCTGCCGAACCATGAGCCAAA
Organism: Homo sapiens; assembly: GCF_000001405.40. NCBI lineage: Eukaryota > Metazoa > Chordata > Mammalia > Primates > Hominidae > Homo > Homo sapiens. The sequence goes on along the minus strand of NC_000003.12, from coordinate 18,698,800 downwards.
TAAACCTCCTTTATTTATAAATTACCCAGTTTCAGGTATCCCTTTTTAGCAATGCACAATGGACTAAAACAGACTGGGTGGCTTAAACAACAGAAATTTATTTTCTCACATTTCAGGAGGCTAGAAGTCCAAGATTAAGGTTCTAGGAGATTTGGTTTCTGGTAAGGGCTCTCTTCCTAACTTATAGGTAGGGGTTTTCTCACTGCATCCTTACATGGTTTTTCCTAAGTGTGTGTGCTCTCTAGTGTCTCCTCTTACAAGGACACCAATTCTACTGGATTAACCCTGTGATTTCTTCTAATTTTAATTACTTCCTTAGAGGCTATATCTTCAAATAAATTTTGGGGGTGTACAGATAGTCAACAGCAAGTTGTTATTAATTTAGCAGAGAAAAGAAAAATGAATCCTTCAGGTATAGGAGAATACCAAAGAGGAGCAAACAGTTTTACCTTGCAGAATCCAAGAAAACTCAGATTTGGAGGTATAGGTGAAAGGAAGGTGAAGTACAAAACTGAAAATAAGAGAACTGATCCAAAGTCTCAATACTATTCAGTGAGATCCCTGGTCCCTCTCTCCCCACGTCATATAACCAGATGAACACTGTGCAGGAGACCAGAAATTTACTCTGTGAAAAAATTGAGACTGAGAATTTCCAGATTCAAAAACCTGTGGGGTGAAGCTTAAGAATAAAAATAAGGAGATTGAGATAAACCATAGGCACAAAATCCATCCACTAGCTCCCTTCTCCTACCAGGCACCAGAGTAAAAACACCTACCCACTACCCAATGCAATGAACGAAAAGTGATCCAAAGCAAGGTACTCACCATAAGGTTCTAGAAAGAACAAGTCACATATCAAAGACTGAAAGTCATGATGATTCTGGACTTCTTATTAACAATACTGGAAGGAGAAAGACAGTGAAACAATACCTTTAAAAATCTGGAGAATAATAACCTAACATAAATTTTGTGCTCTGTCAATCATCAATCATGTCTCAGAGTAGAATAAGCATGTCATCAGAAATAGAAAAAGTTGTAAAAAATAAACTTTCTATATTTCCTTTATACTTCCTCTATTTTCTTCTCCATCAAAACCAAGAGAACGCTTGAAAATAGTGCTACATCTAAAACAGAGCGTCACACTCAAGAGAGAAAAAAATTTTCATTGGATGAGAGTGAAGGGAAGTCCCAGGATAAGTGTGTTTGTCCTAAAGAAAAACATATCAGAATTAGAGAAACATGATGAAAGGTTCCCAGAGAGAGCCAAATACTATACAAACACAGTAAGAAAATTTTTAAAAAATTAAAAATAGATACAAACACCTGATTCATTTAACTAATGGAAAAAAGTACTGAGAGTAGTTGTACATTTTCATTGGCATGTTGAAAAAGAATTACTGATAGGTACAAGCAAAGCAAGAATGCAAGCATATTATACAATTATTTGCTTGAGAAAATAAACCTGATGAAAGAAAATTGAATTATGTGATACCTTTTGATCTTGTAGTGAAGAATATTTAGAAAAACACTAAAATGTAAATAATGATGAACATTGATTTGATACCTCTATAAGGGAGAAAGGAAGTACAGGACATAAATCCTCATCTATCACAGTATAAACTCAGTAAAAAATGTCTAAAATTGAAAAATCAGTAAATATATGTATAAACATGTTATCTGAAAATATGGAATTAAATGTAAAATAATGATTAAGGGGTGAAAGTAGTTGCCTTTGAGAGCAGGTGTATGGGTAGAGATGAGATAAAAGACTGTTGGCTTTTGTTATGAGCTTTATGGTTTATCTTTAAAAATTATATGTAAATGTAACAAAGAAAATTTGAGCAGCAATTTAAAAACTGCCACCTGATTCAGTGGCCTCAATGCTGACTATGAGGAAACTACACTAAGAGGTTCTTTTCTGCTTGCAGTGACAAGAAATCGAGTCTGAGAAAGCTAGGAACATAAGAAATTGCTCCCTTGAATGGAACCACTTTGAAAATATTTAGTGCAGGAGTGGGATTGTCATCAGGTCTTTGAAAAGGGCATATCCAGCATGACTTAGAGAAGAGGAGAGTGAAGCAAGATCAAGACAGAGCCATGAGTCCACTGGATTTAGGAACACCATTTGGTGGCCTTGGTGGCAGAGGACTTTAATGTGGTGGTAGAGGTGGGAAGCTGATCACTGTGGATAGACATGCAAATAAGAAGTAAGACAATAAGGATATACTCATTTAAAATAAATTGTAGGAAAGATCAAGCATGAAATAGAAGAGAATTTAAGGTCAAGTGACATAGTTTTGCTTGTTTGTTTGCTTATATATCTTTAATATGGAAGAGGCTTGAGCTTATTTCAATGCTGAGAGGGAGGAAAGATAAAAGGAGATTCTGGAGAGAAGATAACAGAAGGGGCTATTTTACAAGGTAAGAAGTGGTAAATTCCAGAACTGGGGGAAACAATTCCTTTTTAAGTAGTTTATAGCCATGGAAGGGTCTGATTACCTCTCTCTCACACACATTTTTTTCTCTCTCTCTCTCATATTTTCTCCTTTAATTTTGATTGTATCTTCAGTTTCCTAATCTGAATTTACCAATAATTTCTGTATCAGTATTGAATAGACTCAGCTAACAAAAGTGTCTATTCATACTAGTTATAAAGACTTTTGCTTCTGTCCTACCACAATGGAAAAATCTTAATTTAAAAAAAAATCTTTTTGCTAATGTTGAAATAAGGATAAGTCCTGTATTTTCTTTGCTATGCAATCAGCAAAGATTCTGAAACAATTCCAGACCTATGTTAGGTACTGACTAATATTATTAGATTATGAGAAGGTTGTTAGTAACACAGCCATTTAAAAACAGAAAAGTCTCATCAGAAACAGGAGCTCTATTTGTACTGAGATCTCCAGATGACAAGCCATTTGATTTTGAAATGTGATGAATCAATTTTTGACAAAGATAAGGTAGACATATCCTGGTAGAATACTGGTTGATTTCTACTGTAGAGTAATCAAGTTGACAACACCTAAGTCAATGACACTCAAACTTTTCCTTTTCTGATTGCCCACTACCATCACCATCATTTTCCTGTAAGTCTTTCCTTAGCCTTTCTCCCAATCACAGTTAATGGCATCTCCCAAAAATGCAACCATACAAAAATTTTACTAGATATTACCTCCAAAAGTCCATGGATAACTTCAAAATCCTTATCTATTTTTCATAGCAGATCTTAAGAACTGAAAAGAAGAAAATATAGAGGACAAATGGAATCAAATTGTACTATCCACGCATGGTACCATCTAAAACATTATGTGGCTGCTTTACCCTTGATCTTATGGCCCGCTGAAATTCCCTAATAGGCTCCTTAATTTTTTCCCTTTAATTTTTAAATCTATTCAAATACTAAAACCTTGCAAGCTTCAAAAAAATGTGTCAGGAAGACTCTGCTACTCACTGAGTCTGGAACTCAGAATCAAGAACAACATAGGAACAGTCCAATGACTATTCTCTGAAAGGTTCAAAAGAATCAGGAATTGGGTTGTGGATGAACAAAACACAGCATATATACCACTTCGATCCTCACTTTCCACATTAGCCCAGTCCAACACATCACAAAAAAAAAGTATAGCATTCTTATTCCCTGAGTCTGAACAAGGAGTCAGAACCCTTCTCAACTAAAGACTGTAGTCAACTTCTTCCAATTAACTGGAGTTAGTACTTAGGATAAAACTTATTTGCCATCACTCGTCTAGAATTCAAAAAGAAATGATTTATTATTTCCATTTTCAGGTACAGAGAAAACTGGGAAAAAGGACTGGCGCATCTGCTGAAAACAACTAAAGTATGATGAATGAAGTATGGAAAAGCATCCATGATCTAGCAAAAGCGTGAACATTCCTGGCTTAAAACTGACAGAAGGGAGACCCTAGAGAGGTAAGAAAGGCACCAAAACCAATTTTCTCTTCAAAACCAAACCAGACACACTTAACCATTGGCTTTTCACAAGGTAGGATGACTTCAGGGGGAGAAAACGAAGCCTAGAGCCTACCCAGGATGAGGAGTCCACAAAAAGATACCCATACTGATTCCACCGAGGCTTAAACACTTAATGTAATAAAATCCCATCCACTTCAAAGCATCTAAAATATTGCCTGTCTTAAATCTTGGTGCTAAGCAGAAAGGGAAAATATATTTCCTGAGAATTCATAATCACAAGTCAGCTGCTAAAAGTTTATAGCCTAAATTCTTACTAACTGGGTAATCTGAACATTTTCAACTGAAGATTCAGCTTAAAGTGGTCCTGGACTGGTAATGGCTTCAAGCACCTAACAAAAATAAATACAAGCTCTTTACGTAAGATACTATTTTCATCCGAGACCTCAAAACATTTCCGAAGATAAAGTTCCAGGGGAAATGAGCAACTTTCAGTCAAAATTTACTAACCCTGCAAGGAAACCAGGCCCATAGCATTAGAGTAATAAAAAAGCTAAACAAGGGAGGGAGGAGCCAAAATGGCGGAATAGGAACAGCTCCGGTCTACAGCTCCCAGCCTGAGCAACGCAGAAGATGGGTGATTTCTGCATTTCCATCTGAGGTACCGGGTTCATCTCACTAGGGAGTGCCACACAGTGGGTGCAGGTCAGTGGTGCGCGCACCGTGCGCGAGTGGAAGCAGGGCGAGGCATTGCCTCACTCGGGAAGCGCAAGGGGTCAGGGAGTTCCCTTTCCTAATCAAAGAAAGGGGTGACGGACGGCACCTGGAAAATCGGGAAAATCATGTCACTCCCACCCGAATACTGCGCTTTTCCGACGGGCTTAAAAAACGGCGCACCACGAGATTATATTCCCCACCTGGCTCGGAGGGTCCTACGCCCACGGAGTCTCGCTGATTGCTAGCACAGCAGTCTGAGATCAAACTGCAAGGCGGCAGCGAGGCTGGGGGAGGGGCTCCCGCCATTGCCCAGGCTTGCTTAGGTAAACAAAGCAGCCTGGACGCTCGAACTGGGTGGAGCCCACCACAGCCCAAGGAGGCCTACCTGCCTCTGTAGGCTCCACCTCTGGGGGCAGGGCACAGACAAACAAAAAGACAAAAGTAACCTCTGCAGACTTAAATGTCCCTGTCTGACAGCTTTGAAGAGAGCAGTGGTTCTCCCAGTACGCAGCTGGAGATCTGAGAACCGGCAGACTGCCTCCTCAAGTGGGTCCCTGACCCCTGACCCCCGAGCAGCCTAACTGGGAGGGACCCTCCAGCAGGGGCACACTGACACCTCACACGGCAGGGTACTCCAACAGACCTGCAGCTGAGGGTCCTGTCTGTTAGAAGGAAAACTAACAAACAGAAAGGACATCCACACCAAAAACCCATCTGTACATCACCATCATCAAAGACCAAAAGTAGATAAAACCACAAAGATGGGGAAAAAACAGGACAGAAAAACTGGAAACTCTAAAAATCAGAGTGCCTCTCCTCCTCCAAAGGAACACAGCTCCTCATCAGCAACGGAACAAAGTTGGACGGAGAATGACTTTGACGAGCTGAGAGAAGAAGGCTTCAGACGATCAAATTACTCTGAGCTACGGGAGGACATTCAAACCAAAGGCAAAGAAGTTGAAAACTTTGAAAAAAAATTAGAAGAATGTATAACTAGAATAACCAATACAGAGAAGTGCTTAAAGGAGCTGATGGAGCTGAAAACCAAGGCTCGAGAACTACGTGAAGAATGCAGAAGCCTCAGGAGCTGATGTGATCAACTGAAAGAAAGGGTATCAGCAATGGAAGATGAAATGAATGAAATGAAGCGAGAAGGGAAGTTTAGAGAAAAAAGAATAAAAAGAAATGAGCAAAGCCTCCAAGAAATATGGGACTATGTGGAAAGACCAAATCTACGTCTGATTGGTGTACCTGAAAGTGATGGGGAGAATGGAACCAAGTTGGAAAACACTCTGCAGGATATTATCCAGGAGAATTTCCCCAATCTAGCAAGGCAGGCCAACGTTCAGATTCAGGAAATACAGAGAACGCCACAAAGATACTCCTCGAGAAGAGCAACTCCAAGACACATAATCGTCAGATTCACCAAAGTGGAAATGAAGGAAAAAATGTTAAGGGCAGCCAGAGAGAAAGGTCGGGTTACCCTCAAAGGGAAGCCCATCAGACTAACAGCAGATCTCTCGGCAGAAACCCTACAAGCCAGAAGAGAGTGGGGGCCAATATTCAACATTCTTAAAGAAGCCTAGACACATACATTCCTTGACACATACACTCTCCCAAGACTAAACCAGGAAGAAGTTGAATCTCTGAATAGACCAATAACAGGAGCTGAAATTGTGGCAATAATCAATAGCTTACCAACCAAAAAGAGTCCAGGAACAGACGGATTCACAGCCGAATTCTACCAGAGGTACAAGGAGGAACTGGTACCATTCCTTCTGAAACTATTCCAATCAATAGAAAAAGAGGGAATCCTCCCTAACTCATTTTATGAGGCCAGCATCATTCTGATACCAAAGCCGGGCAGAGACACAACCAAAAAAGAGAATTTTAGACCAATATCCTTGATGAACATTGATGCAAAAATCCTCAGTAAAATACTGGCAAACTGAATCCAGCAGCACATCAAAAAGCTTATCCACCATGATCAAGTGGGCTTCATCCCTGGGATGCAAGGCTGGTTCAATATACACAAATCAATAAACGTAATCCAGCATATAAACAGAACCAAAGACAAAAACCACGTGATTATCTCAATAGATGCAGAAAAGGCCTTTGACAAAATTCAACAACTCTTCATGCTAAAAACTCTCAATAAATTAGGTATTGATGGGACATATTTCAAAATAATAAGAGCTATCTATGACAAACCCACAGCCAATATCATACTGAATGGGCAAAAACTGGAAGCATTCCCTTTGAAAACTGGCACAAGACAGGGATGCCCTCTCTCACTACTCCTATTCAACATAGTGTTGGAAGTTCTGGCCAGGGCAATTAGGCAGGAGAAGGAAATAAAGGGTATTCAATTAGGAAAAGAGGAAGTCAAATTGTCCCTGTTTGCAGATGACATAATTGTATATCTAGAAAACCCCATTGTCTCAGCCCAAAATCTCCTTAAGCTGATAAGCAACTTCAGCAAAGTCTCAGGATACAAAATCAATGTGCAAAAATCACAAGCATTCCTATACACCAAAAACAGACAAACAGAGAGCCAAATCATGAGTGAACTCCCATTCAAAATTGCTTCAAAGAGAATAAAATACCTAGCAATCCAACTTACAAGGGATGTGAAGGACCTCTTCAAGGAGAACTACAAACCACTGCTCAAGGAAATAAAAGAGGATACAAACAAATGGAAGAACCCATGCTCATGGGTAGGAAGAATCAATATCGTGAAAATGGCCATACTGCCCAAGGTAATTTACAGATTCAATGCCATCCCCATCAAGCTACCAATGCCTTTCTTCACACAATTGGAAAAAACTACTTTAAAGTTCATATGGAACCAAAAAAGAGCCTGCATTGCCAAGTCAATCCTAAGCCAAAAGAACAAAGCTGGAGGCATCACACTACCTGACTTCAAACTATACTACAAGGCTACAGTAACCAAAACAGCATGGTACTGGCACCAAAACAGAGATATAGATCAATGGAACAGAACAGAGCCCTCAGAAATAATGCTGCCTATCTACAACTATCTGATCTTTGACAAACCTGAGAAAAACAAGCAATGGAGAAAGGATTCCCTATTTAATAAATGGTGCTGGGAAAACTGGCTAGCCATATGTAGAAAGCTGAAACTGGATCCCTTCTTTACACCTTATACAAAAATCAATTCAAGATGGATTAAAGACTTAAACATTAGACCTAAAACCATAAAGACCCTAGAAGAAAACCTAGGCATTACCATTCAGGACATAGGCATGGGCAAGGACTTCATGTCTACAACACCAAAAGCAATGGCAACAAAAGACAAAATTGACAAATGGGATCTAATTACACTAAAGAGCTTCTGCACAGCAAAAGAAACTACCATCAGAGTGAACAGGCAACCTACAAAATGGGAGAAAAATTTCACAACCTACTCATCTGACAAAGGGCTAATATCCAGAATCTACAATGAACTCAAACAAATTTACAAGAAAAAAACAAACAACCCCATCAAAAAGTGGGCGAAGGACATGAACAGACACTTCTCAAAAGAAGACATTTATGCAGCCAAAAAACACATGAAAAAATGCTCACCATCACTGGCCATCAGAGAAATGCAAATCAAAACCACAATGAGGTACCATCTCACACCAGTTACAATGGCAATCATTAAAAAGTCAGGAAACAACAGGTGCTGGAGAGGATGTGGAGAAATAGGAACACTTTTACACTGTTGGTGGGACTGTAAACTAGTTCAACCATTGTGGAAGTCAGTGTGGCGATTCCTCAGGGATCTAGAATTAGAAATACCATTTGACCCAGCCATCCCATTACTGGGTATATACCCAAAGGACTATAAATCATGCCGCTATAAAGACACATGCCCATGTATGTTTATTGCGGCATTATTCACAATAGCAAAGACTTGGAACCAACCCAAATGTCCAACAATGATAGACTGGATGAAGAAAATGTGGCACATATATACCATGGAATACTATGCAGCCATAAAAAATGATGAGTTAATGTCCTTTGTAGGGACATGGATAAAATTGGAAACCATCATTCTCAGTAAACTATCGCAAGGACAAAAAACCAAACACCGCATATTCTCACTCATAGGTGGGAACTGAACAATGAGATCACATGGACACAGGAAGGGGAACATCACACTCTGGTGACTGTTGTGGGGTGGGGGGAGGGGGGAGGGATAGCTTTGGGAGATATACCTAATGCTAGATGATGAGTTAGTGGGTGCAGTACACCAGCATGGCACATGTATACATATGTAAGTAACCTGCACAATGTGCACATGTACCCTAAAACTTAAAGTATAAAAATAAAAAATAAAATAAAAATAAAAAAAGCTAAACAATTTTAGAAATACAGAAGCTATAGAAGTATAGCATTAGACATAAAATATACAATAAATATATTTAATAAGGTTCAAAATAAAAGGAGGCTTATAATATAATAACAATATAATAGGAAGTTGATTTGTAAAGAGCCAAATAGAACTTCAATAAACTGAAAATAAAATTGAAATTATATTTTTAATGGATACATTTAATAGTAGAACCAATAGATCCTGCAGGTGTGTCAAGAGACAAAAACTAAAAGATAAGGCAAAATATATTATCCAGAATGCAAACCAGAGAGAAAAATATGCAGAAAAAAATGCAAACCAGAGAGAAAAATATGGAGGAAAAAAAAGATATTGGCATAAGTGGAAAATAGAGTAATTAATTACATTAATATCAGATGAAATAGACTTCAAAGTAAAAAGTATTACTAGATATAAAAAGGGTCAGATCATAATATTAAAAAGTTTCATTTCACCAAGGCATAGGATGTTAAATCTGGAAGGATTTAATACATCACTTAAATAAAAAATTTATAGAGAAGTAAATCCACCCTCATAGAGAGATATTTCTATACTCCCCTCAGTAAATATAAAGCCATACAAGCAAAAAAGTAGTAATTTTGATGAAATAAACATATATTAAGCTCTGCAACCAGCATATGTACTGACTACATCATTTTTTACCCTATATGACATTTATAAAATTTGATCATATACTGAACCATAAAGCAGGTATAAACATAGTTCAAAGGACTGAAATAAAACAGAATATATTCTCTCACCAATATGCAATTCATCTAGATATCAATAATCAAAAGATAACTATGAAAATTCCATAAGTTGAAATGTTAAGGAGCAAACTTCTAAGTAAACCAAGAATCAAAGAATAAATTATGGTATACATTATAAATTCTTAGAAAGAAAGAATTTTAAAATACTACCTAATAAAAATTGTGAGATGCAGCAAAAGCAGCATTTAGAGGGACTTGTATGGTCTTAAATGCTTATGTTAGAAAATAAGAAAAGTTACAAATTCGCAAGATAAGATTTATTTCAAGAAGTTGACAAACACAAAGAAATTAAAAGAAAAAAGATAAGGTGGAAAATAACAAATCAGAAAACAAGTGAATTCTAGAATGGAATGGATCAAAGCAACCAAAAAAGTAGTTATATATAAATCTTAATACAATGTGAAAATCTCTTTTTAGATTTATTAATAAGGCACAAATAAACACTCAGAAATGAAAAGGAACACATAACTATGTATTCCGCAAATATTACATAATTTATGTCAAAAAGTTAAAAAATAGGCCAAATTCCTAGAAAAAAAATTAAAGAATTTAAAAGCCTGAATATTCCCATGATTAGAAATATTAAATTAGTAGTTAAAAAATATGCCTGTAAAGTAACCCCAGTCCCGGGGTTGTTTTTTATTGGATTTATTAAGATATAATTTGTATAGAGTAAAATCCATACTTTCTCAGTATGAGCTCAATATGTTTTGGCATGCACAGGCAGTCATGTAACTATTACCACAATCGAAATACAAATATTTCCATCATCCCCCAAAAGTTCCCTTACATGCCTTTGTAGTACACTCCCTTCTCCCTACTCCAGCTCCTGGTAACTACTGACTTGATTTCTGAACCTATAACTTTGTCTTTTTCAGAATTTCATACAAATGGAATCAGACAACATGTAGCCATTAGAATGGCTTTTTGTCATTTAGCATAAAGGTTTGGAGATTCTTCCATGTCATTGTGTTTATCACTGGTTCATTCCTTTTTAATGCTGAATATGCCACTGTAGGGATGCACAATTTGTTTATGCACCAGTGGATGGACAATTGGATTGTTTCCAGTTTTTTGGCAATTATGAATAAAGTTCAATAAACATTCTTATACAGCTCTTTGTGTGAACATATGTTTCCATTTCTCTTGGGTAAATACTTAGAAGTGGGATTCCTGGGTTACATGGGAAGTGTAAGTTTAACTTTGTAAGAAATTGCCAAAGTGTTCCTCCAAGTGGCTGTGTCAGTTTGAACCCCTGCTAGCAGTCCCGTTGCTCCACATTCTTGTCAGTGCTTAGCATGTCATTTTGTCAAAAAAAAAAAAAAAAAGTTATACCTATTCTAATAGGTATGTAGTGGTACGATTTTATTGGTGAATTCTACCAAACAGTCAAGGAACAAGTAATTTCAACAATAAACAAAATCTTCTAGAGAAGCAGTAAATGAAGACACACTCTTCATTTTATGAAGCTAACATGATCTTGATGCCCAAACATGACGAGCACAGAACAAGGAAGGAAAATTGCATAACAAACTTTCTCATGATGTTAAACGAAACTACTCTATACCAAATATTAGCAAACTAAATCCAGCAGTACATAAAAGGATAAAACAGATGACGAAGTTACATTTATCTCAAGCTTATAAAGGTGATTTGATATTAGAAAATAAGCTCACATAAATTAATACAATAACCCAATTTTTAAAAAATAAATTCTGGAAAAACCTTGCTAAAATTAACATTAATTCATATTTAAAAAAGAAACTTGGCAAACTAAGTATAGAAACAATTTTTTTTTTAACCAGATAAAAGGTTGTACAAACAAGGTACATTGAACATCACACTTAATGGTGAGTCATTATAGGCAATCTCTTTAAGATTTGGAACAAGAAAAGGTGAGCTATCATTATTTCTGTTTGACATTTTACTGGGGTCCTAGTTATTAAAGAGAAGAAAAGGAAAAAAATAAGGATCAGGAAAGAAAAGTGATAATTCTTAATTATCACTTAAATAGTAAATTTTAATTGATTCATTAGTGTGCAAATGGAATGCTTAATCTCTCGCCGTCCAAGATTTTGCACAAAAAGAATGTGTACTCATGTATGCTTCTGACACTAGCAGTTGTACCATGATGAAATACTGATAAGTGATGAATACTACTAGGTTGTGGGATTCTCTGTTCTCTTTTATTCCCTGTAACCATTGCAGCCTGACTTTGCTGCACCATTATTTATTATGAGGCATTCAACAGGTTGCTGGAGGAAATTCACAAATCAGACCATAAAAGTAACATAATAAAGACAAAAGAGGAAATCTTGCATGTAAAAGGTTAACAGAGGAGGTTTTCTTGTTGTTGTTGGCTGTTACAGGTTGAGAATCCCTTATCTGAAATGCTTGGGACCAAGAAGTGTTTCAGTTTTCAGATTTTTTTGGATTACTGGTTGAGCACCCCCAATCCAAATATCCGAAATTAAAAATGATCCTATGAGCATTTCCTTTGAGCATCATGTCAGTACTCAAAAAGTCTAAAATTCTGGAGTGCATTTCAGGTTTGGGATACTCAACCTGTATTTGTTTGCTTGTTTGCTGTACTTGGGAATTCTTGAATGTTTTAGAAAATATTAAAGTACAAGGAAGCTTATAAAATCTTTAAAAATCATCAATTATTTAATAAACCACAGAAATTGCCTCTTTGCTAATCTGCCCAATTTCAATATCCATGTTAGGATGTTAGGAAGATTCTCAACCTCTAAAATGACTATAGTTTCCAGCCAGAATTCAGGTTTCCAGGGTCTAACAAATAAAAAATTGGCTATAAGTACAACCAACTACCCAGCCTTTCATATTTTCTGAATGTGTAGCCATGATTATTTTAACATATACGGTTTTCAGTATCCAAATCTATTCACTTGTTTATTCAACAAATATACACTGAATGCTTCCTATGTAGTAGAAACATAGGTGTGAATAAAACAGACAAAAATCCTTGTCGTCATAGAGCTTACTTCTTGATTAGGGAGACAGAGAGTAACAAAATAAAAGAACAACATAGAAAATGTCCGCTGCAAACAAGTTCTATGAATGAAAATGAAATGGGGAGTAGAGAGGACTGAGGATGGTTTGGAATTTAAAATTCTGAAGATGTTTTTGGAAAAAGTTTCACTAACAAGATCAAATTTGAGCAAAGACCTAAAGAAGACTTTAAGTCATGCATTTCAGAAACCAGTCAAAATCAGAGAAACTAGACACCAATCAGTCACGCAAAGTTAACAATGTAACTGTGCTTTTGACACACCTGTAATTCAATAATTTGTGCCTCTAAAGTATTTAAATTGAAATTACTCTACCCACTGGCCCTCTCAGCCATAAGGGCTGTAGCACAGATCAAGGGGAAGGTCTTGGGACCAGCAACGGGACATGGGGTGAGACTGGTAGAGTGTGTAGTACAATCGGGGTTGGGGGGTAGGTAAGGTGTGCTGAAATTGAAACTATACTCATTATTAGATCTTGTCTTGGATTGAAGATGCTTTATGCATCTCCTTCAGCTTTTTGACAGCAAACTGCTATTAGAAATATATGAAAGAAAATTATTTAAGAGACCAAAAAGACAGAAGCTAATACTGAAGTCTTAATGTCTATGCATGGACACACCTGTGTACGTGTTTTCATTCACTGGCTTGACTCATTCAGGTTCTTTCTATGAAGCAAACTCTATTAGTTCGGATTTTCCTTCAGAAGATATTGAGACATGGATTCAAGTCCAAATAATTTATTAGGGCGATGATTCCAGGAAAGTACAGAAGGGAAACGGGGAAAGAGACAAAAGTTAGGTAGCCAATAGAGGGTTATGGAACAAGTTCCTGCTGGGTCAGTTGGAGCTTAATTCCACTGGGGAAGTCTGGGAGCCAATGTGGGACATATCCTCAGAGTTACCCACCAACCTTTGTTGAAGGATGCTCTGAAGGGCATTAATTTCCAAGCACCCGACACTCAAGAGGTATGATCTCAACTAAAGAAAGAAAGTACAGAAGAACAAAAATCTCATGTCCTTCTCACATTTCAAAACCAATCATAATTTCCCAACAGTCCCCCAAAGTCTTAACTTATTACGGCATTAACTCAAAAGTCCAAGTCCAAAGTCTCATCTGAGACAAGGTAACTCCCTTCTGCCTATTACCTGTAAAATCAAAAACATGTTAGTTATATCCAAGATGCAATGGGGGTACAGGCATTGGATAAATGCTTCCATTCTAAAATGGAGCAATCAGCCAACAGAAAGGGGCTAAAGGCCCCATGCAAGTCCAAAACCCAGCTGGGTAGTCATTAAATCTTAAAGTACCAAAACAATCTCCTTTGACTCCATGTCTCATATCCAGGGCATTCTGATGCAAGGAGTGGGATTCCTAGGCCTTGGGCAGCTCTGCCCCTGTGACTCTGCAGGGTAGAGACCCCTTGGCTGCTTTCATGGGCTAGCATTCAGTGCCTGTGGATTATTTATGAACGTGGTGCAAGCTGTTTGTGAATCTACTATTCTGGGGCCTGAAGGATGGTGGCCCTCTTCTCACAGCTCCACTAGCTGGGGCCTTAGTGGGGACTATGTGTGTGGGCTCCAACCCCACCTTTCCCCTGCATACTACCACAGTAGAAGTTCTCCATGAGGCTCTGCCCCTGCAGCAGACTTTTGCCTGGACATTCAGGCAATTCTATTCATCCTCTGAAATCTAGGCAGAGCACTTCCCAAACCTCAAATCTTGCCTTCTGCACACCTGCAGGCCCAACACCATATGGAAGCTACCAAGGCTTGGTGCTTGCCCCCTCTGAAGTCATGGCCTGAGACATACCTTGGCCTCTTTTAGTCACAGCTGGAGCTGGTGCAGCTGGGATGCAAGGTGCCATGTCCTAAAGCTTCACAGAGCAGCTGAGCCCTGGGCCTGGCCCATGAAACCATTTTTCCCTCCTAGGCCTCTGGGCATGTGGTGGGAGGGGCTACTATGAAGGTCTCTGAAATGCTCTGGAAACAATTTTCTCATTGTCTTGGCTATTAACATTTGGCTCCTCTTCATTTATGCAAATTTCTGCAGCAGGCTTGACTTTCTCCCCAGAAAATGGGTTTTTCTTTTCTACCACATGGCTGAGCTGCAAATTTTCCAAGCTTTTATGCTGTTTCTTTTTAAAATGTAAATTCTAGTTTCAGATAATCTGTTTGTTCACACATATAAGCATATACTTTCAGAAACAGCTAGGTCACATGCTGCTTAGAAATTTCTTCTATCAGATACCCTAAATCATCTCTCTCAAGTTCAAAGTTCCATAGATCTGTAGGGCAGGTGCACAGTGCCACCAATCTCTTTGCTAAAGTGTAGCAAGAGTGACCTTTACTCCAGTTCCCAATAAGTTATTCATCCCCATCAGAGACCACCTCAGCCTGAACTTCATTGTCCATATCACTATCAGCATTTTGGTCAAAACCATTCAACAAGTCTCTAGGAAGTTCCAAACTTTCCCACATCTTTCTGTCTTTTGAGCTGTCCAAACTGTTGCAACCTCCTCCAGTTACCCAGTTTCAAAGTCACTTCCACATTTTCAGGTGTCTCTATAGCAGTGCCCCACTTTCCTGGTACCAATTTTCTGTACTACTCTATTTTCATACTGCTATGAAGAACTACCTGAGACTGGGTAATTCATGAAGAAAAGAGATTTAATTCTCCACAGGCCATATAGGAAGCATGGCTGGGAGGCCTCAGGAAACTAACAATCATGATGGAAAGCAAAGGGGAAGCAGGCACGTTTTACCATGATGGAGAAGGATAGAGAGAAAAGCGTGGGGGAAAGGGCCACATATCTTTAAACCATCACATTTCATGAGACCTCACTATCATAAGAGAACAGCATGGGAGAAATCTGCCCCCACTATCCAGCCATCTCCCACCAGTTCCCTCCCTCAACACTGGGAATTACAATTCAACGTGAGATTTGGGTAGGAACACAGAGCCAGACTATATCTGAAGTGGAGCCTGAAGATGTGGCTGAATTGCTGCAATCTCATGATAAAACTTGAACAGATGAAGAGTCACTTCTTATGGATGAACAAATAAAGTGGTTTCTTGAGATGAAATCTACTCCTGGTGAAGATGTTGTGTACATTGTTGAAATGACAGCAAAGGAGTTAGAATGCTACAAAAACTTAATAGATAAAGCAGCAGGAGGGTTTGAGAAGACTGACTCCAATTTTGAAAGAAGTTGTACTGTGAGTAAAAACCTATCAAACAGCACCACATGCTACAGAGAAGTCTTGCATAAAAGGAAGAGTCAATCGATGTGACACATTTTATTATTGTCTTATTTTAAGGAATTGCAACAGCCAAGCCAAGCTTCAGCTACTACCATCCTCATCATTCAGCAGCCATCAACATTGAGGCAAGACCCTTCACCAGCAAAAAGATTACAACTTGCTGAAGGCTCAGATGTTTGTCAGCAATTTTTAGCTGCTAAGTGTTTTTTAATTAAGATACATACATTGTTTCTGTAGGTATAATGCTATGGTAAACATAATGGATTACAGGATAATTTAAATATAATTTTGTATGCACTGGGAAGCAAAAAATTCATGTGATTTGATTCATTTCAATATTCATTTTATTGTGGTGGTCTTGAACCAAACCCTCTATTTCTCTGAGGTGCATGCCTGTAGTTCCAAACATGGGTTCAAAACTTTAACCAATAGAAATTTGGAGCTGGGAATTTGGTATGTCACAAAGTTATATAGAATTGAGTATTAGCATTATTATATAATTGCTGTTGTTATGCTTTGGACGTCTACACAGTTCTTGGTGATGAATGAAATGTCTAGAAAGGTGTGATATCTGATTACAAAGAACTACCATTCTAAAAAGCCACAGACCAAATAAGAAGGGAAACAGAAGAAAAAAATATTATTTTCACTGTTCATTTTCTCATTTCCTTTTATCCTTTCTTATTATGAAGAACAGAGGTGGTGGGCAAAGAGCGGGTAACTGGCATGTGCACACACAAATCCAAAGTGTCAATGATTCTTCAGCATCTATTGAGATTTGCATCCATCTAAAATGGTACCTCCAAATATGATGAAAACAGATAATATATCCTGTTCAGAAATGCAATTGAACTGAGAAAAATCTCAACAGAGACGTTCATTTGAGAAATTTTGCTACAGCAAAAATTACCAGTAGTCAGAATGATTCCTCTAGGTCATTGTCTAAACAATGCCTAAAAGCTAGTGAGAAAAATACAAAAACAGTACTATTGTTTTTCTCCTTCCAATCTTTGGGCTTCCTTTTTGAAAAAACTCAAAGATTCAGAATTGATTTTTAATTGCAAATTTAATAAAGGAGAAACTTTAAAAAATATATCTAGTGAACTTAGGTAGTATAGAGTTGAATGCCTGGGGATTGTAGGTTCACATGAGGATGTGAGTTTTGGTTTTACTAAGAAACACAGGCACAAATAAAAGAGAGAGAATAAAGCATCATAATATGGAGTAATTTATAGTGTTTGTGAAACATACATTTATCTATAAACTATAATGTCAAATTCCATACCATTAGAGTAAAGAAGAATGGCTAAACATGATGGAAGGTAGAGGGATAACATTTGTTCTTTTTCTAATTTTTAAAAATAAGCCATGAAGAAGAAATATTATATCCCAGGAACAATTAGTGTAGCTGAACAGGCATTGAATTTTGTTCCTAGGTTTATCAAGAATTAGTTGGAAGGACTTTCCCTGAGGCCTTATTTTCTTCAACCTAGAATTTGGGGGAAGGGCGGTGAGGGGGTGGACCAGATGATCTTTAAGATCGCTTACTGTGCCAGAATCAAATGTATTCTAAATCTATCATAAGTTCCATTTTATACACATACGAACACACAAAAGAGATAAAAATGCCAGTTGTTATCTTTTTCCCAAGGCTTTGGTTTTGTTTCAGACCTTATTTTGGAAGGGGAAAAAATCACAGATGAATCACTGCAAATTATGATACCAGTCATGGATCTTATCAAAATTGACGACTCATCCATTTTCAGCAGTTTTGCTAGCCATAGGAAAAATGCAGTTTTTTTCTCTTCCTCCTCCAAAGGCCAAAGGAACATGATTGCATCTTTTCTCTAATCTGTAAAAAAACGGCTATGATCATTTTTTAAATTGTTTTGTACACTTCAGTGTTTAATTCACAGAAAGCAAATTGTTTAAGTTCATTTTGAAGCCAGTCTTTTCAAAAGACTAATGTTAATGTTTTGATTTTCTGGCTTGTAGTCATAATATTTAATATAATGATTATTAATATTTATTCTAATTTGTTATCATTATTCATTTAAAGTTGTTTGATTTTAGTTTATAAGTCCTAATATTATGTAATAGTAAGAGCATGTAATTTGAGTCAAGGGCATATATATTTGTGTATATCTTTTCTACTTATAGAGTTGTGACCTTTTAGGTTTTTTTATTTACTCATTTATTCTTAATTTCCTCACTGGTAAAATGAAGAAACTGATAAAAACATGTCAAATTTACTATCTGAGGATATTGAAAAATCAAGTAAAATAATTATGTGAAACCATTTAAAAATTGCTGAGCATGATGCAACTAATATTTATCCTAATTATTATTCTCCTACTTATTTTTGTACTCTACACAGTAATGGAATTCTACACATATTTCAAGTTGGGATTCACAATTAATTTTATAATTTCTATGTACTTTTGAATTTATGGTTGTCCAGTTCTGCATACATAAATTCTTAAAAAATCAAAACATGTCTGGCTAATCCAGAACCACTATTAACATAAAATGTGAAGAAGTAGTCCAACTGGCTCAGACAGCATGCTGATAGCTCCAGTGTATTCAGCACAACTAAATGTTCACGACTGGTGGTTTGTTCAAATATACAATATGGAAATATCCTCATAGATTAAAATCTTACCCAGCCAGAAGTACTACAACTGTGATGGCAAAATTTAAAGACAGGGCAAATTTTCAAATGTAACCTTTCACTCAATTCTGTCCAAAATGTAATTCATTTCCATTCAGCAAAGTGACTATTTTTGCAGTTTTCCTGGGCTTCCACAATGGAAGGAGTTTTTGATTATTGAGGTCACTATCAGGAAAATAAACTAAGAGTTGTGATTGCCGTACACAGACCTATGGAGATCCTGAGAGTTCATAAAGATGGAAGATACTATAAAGTGTCCATTCTATGTGCAGAAACATGGTGAGAAGGTTTATTTTGGATTTCTCAAAGAAAATCATTATAGCAACCTGGAAATTTAGTGTGGTTCCTTGAATTTAAGCAGTCTGGGGAATTATTGGTTTTGAATTACTGGCAATAGTGAAGAGGGCTAAATACAGTTTCAGAATGAAAATTAGTATTATGTTGTCAGGAAGTGAATGAGCAAAAAGGTGCAAAGGCAAAAAAAAAAAAAAAAGAGAGAGAGAGAAAGAGAGAAGATCACTGGGGCTGATACCAAAAAGTGCAACATAAATTCAGAGATGACAGAGCAGGTGAAGATTTTCAGTGTGGCCACGACAATGTCACCTACAGCTGAGAATCAGAGAAAGAAAGAGAGAGATAAGCAAGGAAGCCGCAGTGCAAATGTGAAGCAAGTTCACTTTACTACGTTACCACTTGAGGTCTAAATGAGATCTGATATTTTCTCTCCCATCCCCTTTAATGCCGTCATTAGAAATAGTTGAAAGCTTTAGAAGCTACAAAATTTCTGGAGAAAACATAGCTGCAGTTCAGTTTTTTAACAAAAAGAATTAACTCCACACTGCCTTGCCTGCAACATTGAAGCTTGGCTCTCAAACAACAAATTGCAACATAACTTTTTTGATTTTGTTTTTTATTAAGCTTATGTCCACCCTCCAGCCAGGGCTCACATTTTTCCTTCTGGCTCAATAGAAGCTTCAGGGAGAAGGCTTTACATTTTTCATTCCTTGAAGTATTTCTCTTTCCTTGCAATTCAGGTATCTCGTCCCACAATTTTATTTTACAAGTTCATATATTGGAAATGTCCCATGATAGAGTGTTGGAATCAAAAGCCTGAACTCAAAATGCTGTGCCATTAATAGAGTGGCATTACACAGGTCATTTAATTGTTTAAGTTCTTTGAACTTCAGATTTTTATCTGCAAATAGGAATAAGCTCATAATTTGAAGAGATATTTTGGGGATTAACTGAGATATAATAATTAAATTTAAGAAAAGATACTAGACTAAATGTTGGCTAGCTTCACCTCTGCCTACTCCTTCTTAAACAATCCTTGGAGAGAACTACATCAAAAAGTGAGTAAAAGAAAATCTTTCTGAATAAAAGCAAGGACTTTAGAGATATATAAACCTGTTTAGAATCCCAGTTCCACACTTACTAGCTCTGTGAACTTTCTTGATTCTTAATCTCTCCGAATCTAAGTCTCCTCTTTTTTAAAAGGAGGATAGTACTTCATGTCCACTAGGATTTCTTTAAGTTGAAATCATGTATTCGATGTATTTGTTTTATTCATGCAAAGAAATATTTTTGGATAGTCCCAGGCACTGTTCTAGGCACATGGGAATACATTAGTGAGCAAAACAAATAGAAATCTCTGCCCCATGGAGGTTGAGTTGTGGTGGGAGAAGACAAATGATACATAATAAATAAAATAAATAATTTGAATGGCACACTAAATGGTTATAAATGCTATAGCAAAAAAGAAAAAGAAAGGGGTTTGAAAGTTTGGCAGGAAGTTTTTTGAGTTGAAAGGAAGGCAGACCATGCTTCAGTGTGCAATGTGATGATCAGGGTGGGGCTCACTGAGACATGAGATTAGTGCAAAATCCTGAGGAGGGTCTGTAAGTCAGTCAAGTGGGAATAGGAGGGGAAGAGCATTACAAGCATCAGGATCAGATAAGTAAAAACTCTAACAGCAAGGAGGCCAGTGTGGCTGGAAATAAGTATTGAAGAAACTAGTAGGGAAAAGGTGAGAAGGGCGATAGGAACCAGATAACATAGGGCCTTAAAGGCCATTGTGAGGACTTTGATTCTGAAGGAAACAGAGACCCTTTTGTAGAGTTTTAAGAAGGCAGTGATGTAATCCAATTGATGCTTTTGGAAAATCCTTTGACTGCTGTATTGAAATTTTTTCAACTGGGAGGACACAGGATAGTAGTGGAACAACTGGTTTAGAGGCAGAATATGGAAGAGGAGTAAAGCAACCAAAAAACGGTAGAATGATGAGAAGTTGTAAAAATGTAGATCTAAGTTAAAAGTAAAGCTCATAAGATTTCCTGATGTATTGAATATTACATGTAAAAGATAGGGGAGAGAATGAAGATCTCTAGATTTTGTGGCTGGGCAACTGGAAGAATGGAATTGCCATTAGCTTGAATGAAGAAGACTATGGGTTGAGCAAGTTTCAGGGCAGCGAGATTAGGAACTAAGTTAGGCAAAACCAGTTTCAGAGGTCTATTAAACACTCAAGAAAAGATGTCCAATGTACAATTGGATCTATGAGACTAGGGCTCAAAAAAGATATCTGAATTGGGTATTTCAACTCTGGAGTCATCAGCATTCAGAAATATCTAAAGCCATGGGACTGGATAAAATCAACAGGCAAGTGAGTAGAGCTAGAGAGAGAAGATGACCACAGATCAGGAGAACAGATAAGTAACCAGTGAAGGAGGAAAGAATTCAAGGGAACACCCCTGGAAGCCAAATCAAGAAAGCATATCTATAAGAAAGGAGGGAGCAGTGACTACAAATGCTGCCAGTAGGTTGTATAGGAAGAAAAGGACTGAGAACTGATTTGGATACATAAAGATCATTGTTAATTTGATAAGAGCAGTTTTGCTGGAATGGTGATGGGGGTGGAGGATGCCTAACTATGCCAAGTTTAAAAAACAATAATAAGAGAAATTTTTGAGAAAATAAGAATAGATGCCTTTATCAAGAAGTTTTGCTGAAAATGAAAAAAAAAGGAATGATAAATTCTGTGAAAAGTAGAGTCAAATGAAGGCTTTTTGAGGTGGATGAAATTAAAGCATGATTCAGTGTTGACATTATATATGTTAAGCCCCTGTAAAAAGGCTTGCCCCATGGCAGCTAGCGTTATCTATATTCCCTATGTACCAGTTCCTTTTTTTTTTTTTTTAGACAGAGTTTCTGTCTGTCACCCAGGCTGTAGTGCAGTGGTGCTATCTCAGCTTACTGCAAGCTCTGCCTCCTGGGTTCACGCCATTCTCCTGCCTCAGCCTCCTGATTAGCTGGGACTACAGGCACCCGCCACCACACCTGGCTACTTTTTTTTTTTTTTTGTATTTTTTAGTAGAGACGGGGTTTCACCGTGTTAGCCAGGATGGTCTTGATCTCCTGACCTCGTAATCTGCCCGCCTCGGCCTCCCAAAAAGCTGGGATTACAGGCATGAGCCACCTCAGCCGGCCTGTACCAGTTCTTAAACTGAATAACCCTGGCTATCAAAAAGTATTTATGTATTGATACTTTCCAACATACAAGTACCTGTGAATATAAGTGACAAGATTGGCCTATGCCTGAAAGGGATGGGAAAACTCAACTGGAAAGAAAAGTCTTTCCCTGATTTGGAAATCTCTACACTACATTCAAGACAATCACACTATTTAAAGGAAAAATACTAAGAAGATTACCATGTTTTTTTGTAACCTCTTTGGAGCTATCACTTTTGCATCAAGAGACACATGATCTTCCTGAAACAACTCATTCTGTTATTTATAAAACAAAACATATTTTCTCAGAGATATAATGTCATAGTGATGCTTATATCCTTAGCTTAAGACTTCTAGCACTCTTCAAATCTATTCAATTCACAGTACAATTGGAACACTATGGAATGAAGAAGAAGGGAAAGACTAGAAGAAAGGTTAGATCAAGAGGAAAAATAATGTGATTAAGTAAGGAGAAGAGTTCCATACAGGTGACAGTAGGTGATTCAGCTAAATGGGAAGGACCAAGTAATTTCCATTACAATTATTGAAGTTTATATAGAATTTGGTGGTGTTTGTTTTGTCCAATCTCAGTTTTTTGATAGTTGCACCTTGATTTTTCCCTTGAAAACTATCTTTCCATTATCGCCAACAGATTTGGTGGAATGTAGATCTAGTTGCCGTGCCCTCTCCTTGACAAGCTGTAAGCAAAAACCCAAGCTGAAATAATGAACTCTTCATCTTAAAGGAAGTGGCAACAGGAAAGAAGAGTTGTCACTGTCTCCTTTCCATGAGAATTCCCTTAAGAGATAGTCTACTGGGTCCAACTTCCCAAATGCAGGGCTCATCTTGAGTCAATATACTCTGCTATGACTGTACTCATTTTTCACATAGGTATCCATTCCATTTGGTCAGTATCTGCACTGTACCTGTTGTTAAGTATTTTGTGTATAACATCTACATTGCCCTGGCCTCTGTCAATTTCAAGGCTCAGTTCTTCAGCTCTTCCTTTATATCTGTGAGTTATCACACATCTTAAAAATGAATTTCCTTCCACTCCTTTTTTCCTTTTGAAGTCAGGTACAGCTACTTGCAACCAAAGAATGCTAGAAATAGAGTGAACTAGTCTGGAAACCTGACTGTTACTGAAGACTTTCAAAATGACCTATTTTTAACATACCCTTTCCTAGGCTGAGACCTGTCCTTGTGTGCAACTTTACTCCTTTCACTACTTTTACACACTGACTTCATAAGATCTCTCACTATTTGATAACACTGGAATTTCTGCTTCTCCTACTCACCAAGTCCTCAATGGCACAAGAACAGATTAATGCTTAAAACTCTGTTCCCTTATTTTCACTTGGAATCAAGTAATTATAAAATAAATAAAACTGAAACAGCTAATGTGAACATAGAAGAATTCTTGAAATCATTTGTGTATTCTAGACCACCATTTTGGGAAAAAGCAAGATCCTATGTCTATTAAAAATTCTTTTAAATATATAAAATGAAAATTAGTTATCTAATTTCATTAGATGCCACTCTCAAAAGCCTTTTGCTCCTGGCTATGAAACCTTCATTTGAAAGCCTTTTCCTTTGAATTCTCTGGCACAGTTTTATGGGATGCTCAATGTAAACAGATGCCTCATATAAATTTCATTTTTATCGGTAGCTAATATACTAATATCCTACATGGATAATTTAAACTCCCAGGTGTCCAGGTTTTAACTAGGCTATAAAGAGAATTTAGCCAAGGACAACAGGACAAACCACCTAAGCTGGAAATGTCATGGCTCTTTCACAAGGCATAAGGATTTTAGCAAACTTTAAAATAATGTCACACAAAGAACAATCTGGATAGGGAAGAGACTCATTAACTGAGGTGAATCAAATTTAGAGATTTTGTTGGAGCCATTTAGAAGCATGAAATCCTTGTATATATTATTTATATACATAGTTCCACATTGGAACTTGGAGTAGTAAAATGTCTCATAATGAGATGGCATCAAAACATCAACTCTCCCTACCAGGCTGACTATTCGGTGATGATAGAAAAGGATCTATGCTATTGGAGATTGTAAAATGCAAAAATATAAAGTAGATCAATAATATTCATCACATATATACTTATGTGTCTGCATGGAGTAAAGTTCCTGTTGAGATGAAATTTAAACCTCTGCAGGCATAGCTACCAGTCAAGCTTTGTATCGAGAAGTTAGCTGGAAGCAGATCTTTGTCTTTTCCCTAAATACAAAAGTGGTCTTTGTTATTACTCAAATATAAGTTTGGGAGTCATTCTTTGCCCTGTTGTAACATCCTTTTGTAGCTTCCTCCTCAATGACATGGAATACTGAGTTCAGAACTGGAAAGGAAGCTGGTACTCTGGCTTGAAGGGCAAGAAGCTTATTGGAGGAAAGCAATCCCTTCCCTTTGAAGAGTAGATATTCTAGAAGCTCTGGAAATTGTTAGCTTAGTAACAGCTGAGTTTTACAGAAAGAAAAGTAATGGAAATGGGATGCTGAACTAAGGGCCAACATAATACCTGGGATTTGCTGGTCCATGGGGTTTCATGCAGCATCTGTCCAGAGCCGCAGATTCCTTAGGCATAAAAGTGATGCCTTTGGGCAATGGTCCAGTATAAGAGTATGAATGAACTAAAAGAGCTGTAATGCTAGTATGCAAGCATAACACAATCATGCTACCTGTGCAGCAGCTGGACGTCTGCACTGCAGTGGGGAGCCAGTGAGTAAGAAGTGTTCAACCAGCTGACCAAAAGGCTGCAACAGAATGAGCAGCTGCTTAAAAGTGGACTGGATAAGTCCAACAGTCCTCTCCAGTATCCTCAAAGGTGCACTTGGGAAGCAAGATGAATTCTTTCAGGAATGGAAATCCCTGGAGGTCTTGACAATTTGGGGGTAGAGTTGTCCTGAACAAACAATTGCTGAATTTTCTCCCAATCTAATATGATGGTTAATTTTAGGTGTCAACTTGGCTAGACTATAGTGCCCAGTTGTTTGGTCAAACACCAGTGTAGGTGTTGCTATAAAGTTATTTTGTAGTTGTGATTAACATGCATAATCAGTTGACTTTAAGTAAATGAGATTATCCTCAATAATATGTGTGTGGTCTCCTCCAATTAGTTGAAGGCCTTAGGGAAAAAAATGGGTTTGAAGAAGAAAAAATATTGCCTCAAGACTGTAACATGGTACTCCTGCCTGAGTTTCCAGGATACCAGCCTATGGATTTCGGACTTGCAAGTCCCCACTATTGCATGAGCTGATTCCTTAAAATAAATTCTTTCTTTCTCCCCCAACCCCTATAGACAGACATACAGATGATACATACATACATACATATATTTTTATATATGCATATATACTTATATAAATATACATGCATTTATAATATGTGTATATTCATATGTGCATGCACACACACATATATATATCTGGAAAAGTGAGTGTTTGAATCATTATTTGGAAAAATGCAAAATATATGACTTTGGGTGTACCTCCAGGCTGGTAAGGCAGTCTATTTTGTTTACATACATATACACAGTTTATAAACATAGATTTATATTGTTCTATCGCTATAATGCTCAAACCCTCAGATGGAGTTAAAATGATTTATTTAGAGTTGCACATTTTGCCAATATAAAAATCACTCCTCTTTTGAAACATCCTTCATCTCTTCCTTTTAAAGTACATTTTCTGTAAATTATCTTTCTAACATTATACTCTACTCGAAACGAAACTACAAGAAAGGGGAATCCCAGGCAGGCTCTTTTTGTACCATAAATTCAAATAACCCCAGAGCTTTGGCAGAATTCCTAAATTCTCTTTAGGTTTCAGAGACAGATAGGCAGAGACTGAACAAATTCTGGGGAAGAAGAGACTTACTGCAGAAACTGAGAACACTAAGACCAAAAGAGAAAAGACAGAGGGCCATTCACCTGAAGAAAGGGAAAAGCCAAAGTTCAAACCTAAATAGAGCAGAGACCTTAACTCAAATTCATTCATTCATTTACTCATTCATTCATAATGTATTAATCAGTTACTATAAACAAGACTATATGCTTGGTATTATGGAGCGGTTGGGGGAAGGATAGTACATGGGCTATACCCTCGAGGGCTGTAAAGTCTGCATTCTGTTCCCAGTTTATACGTGAAGAAACTGAGTATGAGAAAGTTGAAGAAATTTGGTCTTCCTAGAATGTATCCTTTAAAGTAAGACAAATGTAACAATAACTGTAATACAAGATAGAAGCTATGAGGTCTCATTGGTGCAGAAGGGAGGGAGTTGATGAGAGTCTATAGAGAAGCAATAATAAGGTGCACTAGGATCGCAAGTTGTAATGATGCCTTGCAAACAGAAGGTGGGTATCCAGAATTCAGAGCCAGGTTAAGATCTTTAGAGGCCCTAATCACCAAAGAGATTTATGGTGTTACCTATCTTCCTTCATCACCACCACATGTAATTCTAAACAAAATAGTACTTAATGATTTTTAAATTAAAGAAATCCAGCCATGTCCAGATTTTTTCTCCAAGGTGATCACTTTATTGCTTTTCTTTCAATAACACATTCTTGCAAAAAAAAAATTTGGGGGTGCTTCTATTTTGCTGTTCAACAAATTCATTCTTAGTCTGTCGATACCAGGATGCATAAAGTTTTATTGCTACACAGTCATGCCCATTAATTTATGTATTATCTATGGCTGCTTTCCCACTATAATTGCAGAGTTGAGTAGTTGCAACAGAGACTGATGACCTGCAAAGCCTTAAGTGTTGACCATTTACCATCTGGACATGTACAGAAAAAGTTTGCCAACTCTTTTGATTCATAGAGTAATTCAACACAGGTAGAAATGCAAAAAGGTATGCAAGTAGTATTTGTTTACCTGGGAAAATAGGCTAGCAACCTTATAAGAAGCCTCACAGGATGGTAATTAGGTAGTTAGTTAGGGAGGTAGTTTACCTTTATGGACAGAACCTCCCAATTCAGTCTACTCCTGGTAGTAGATCACCCAAGGTTGGACTGAAAATTGATTAAACATCATGAAATTAATGTGTATGCAAAGTACATCACATTTATCAGACCATCGTGACCACATGACTATCCCATCCTGACTTTACCCCGATAAAGGCAATCAAAGTCAAACTCACATTCAGAAGATCACTTGATCACCACAGATTCAGAGGGAAGGGCCGAACTGAATTGTAATGGAGCCACAATTCCAGAGCCCACAGGTTCCTCCACAGTGTGTGGATAGGCATTGCTAGGGTTTGCCTTTGTAATCTTCCTTTTACTATGTTGTCATCCTCCCTTACTGTGAACACAATCTTTCTTTGGAAATCTAAGTCTATTTAATAAGGCCGTATTCGAGTCTTGCAAGCCTAGTCTCCAGTCCATTCAATCCCTTTAGGCCAAGATTTGCTCTCATCTATTGCTTTTCTTTCTTAATTTTCAAGGGCACCTCAATGTAGACATGAAGTTCAACTCAGAGGAACTGATGGTTTTGTTTTCTTCATTCACACAAGTTTAGAGGCGATTCAGCCATTCTCATTGTCATGCACCTCACTACGTGAGTAATTACTTCCTCAGCAACTCATTTGATGCCACAAGCATGTGTTCACCTATTCAAGAATGTAGACAAAGAGCTCATTTAAGACCCTAAAACCTTATCAAATCCTGATTTATACAGGTAACTACATCAATAAACACATCAAAATCCTGCTGGGTAAGTGACAGCCGCTAAATAAAACTGAATGTGTCTTTCCTGACTCTGATTCCAAAGATACAGTTCTCTCTCTCTCTCCAACCCCTTGTGGACTGTAGCACCTCTGCACTGATGGAAAAGTCCTGCTGACCACACTGTTCTACTCTGTAAGGCATATGACACCAGGGCTATTTGGAGTTTTTAGTCATTTCATTGTCCATGTGGTCAATAACTTAGGATAACACTTAATTATCATTTATCAATTGCCTACTTTTAATTATGTTGACATGGAGTGGTCTAGACTAACAGTTGCTCATTGAAGAAATGTTTGAAAGGAAAAAATGTTAACCTTCTTTAACCCTTTGAAAGATGGAGAAAAAAAATGACATTTTAAAAGTCATTCTCTGTGTTAGATAATTTCCACATAAAGTATTTACTTCAAAGCTCAAATCATATACCCATTTCATAGACTAAATTTGAGGGTCAGATAAATTAAGTAACTCACCCAAGTTCTTATCACTAGTAAGTGGTAAATCCAGGAATACAAACCAAAATTTTGCTTCAAGGTCTAACCTCACTCCATCGATGTGCTGCCTTTTTCCAACATCAATTAGTTGGTAGAATTGGTAGCTCTTGAAGCCACCAATGCACTGTTATGAAAAGCATCTGGTTTAGAACTCATTCTTGGTTTTACATTTCACAAGCTTACCATCACACTCACAGCTCTGTCAATTACTTTCTGGAATAAGGTGGAGATCAATGACATAAATAAAATGATATTTGCATTATCTTCCCACAATATGAACTTCCTAATAGTCACCAAGGAACATCAGCTACCATCAATAGTCATTTAAATAGCTCAGCAGATATTTATCTAGTACCTACTGTGGACCAGCCACTTGTACAGAGCTTTGAAACAGATGCTTGCCACAGATAGACCTAACGGCTGAACATAAAAACTAAAGAAAGGACAAGGAGTCCCATATAGGCTTGAACAAACTAGAGTTCTGAAGATGTTGAAAAAGAAACATGTTTTTAAATCACTGAGATCTTTTAAATGTATAGAAACAGCAGCAAGGTACCAGGGTATGATTAAAAGTCTGTTAACTGCACAGTTCATCTGCCCCAAAACTTTGTTAACTGCACAGTTAATCTGCCCTTTACTCAGAGCAGCTGACACCAAACCTGCCCATTCAAGAGATTCTGTTTGGTAGTGAATGTTCATGTTTACTAAATCACAGTCAACCATTTCCAGTCAAAAGAGTCAAGCAGACCCTGGCAATGACATCAGCACTTGATGATATCTCAGCGGCCCTTCTTGGAAGCTTGCTTTCTGTCTTCTGACATGCTTGGGGTGTGGTAGCTAGTACCACCTACAACATACCAGAATATTAAACAAATTAGATATGAAAGCAGGTGGAGGGGGGGCATGCACTGACTAGGAAGAAGCTAGAAAGTTATTTGCTCTTTGAACCTCACTATGTTCTTCAATAAAATGAGATGGTACCCTTGTCTCACAAGGGCATTGAAACATAATAAAATAATGTTTATTCATTTAATAAAAAATATCCAGACACTTACTATATACTAAATACTGTGCCAGGCACTGGGGATACAAGAGGAAACAAAACAGACACTGCTATGTGCTCATAGGTTTTTGTGTGTAGACAGACATTAAACGAGTAGCCACAGAATGAGCTAAGTAACATTTATCAAATAGTATAAAGAATATAAAGTTCAGAATGCTATAGAAGTATATAATAAACTCACCCTATAATAGACTGAATAACAGCCACCCCAAAAATATCCATGCCCTAATCCCCAGAACCTGTGAATGTGTTACCTTATGTGGCAAAAGAGACTTCGCAGATGTGATCAGGTCAAGGATCTAGAGATGGGAAGGTTAGCCTGGATATCTAGGTGAACTCAGTATAATTACAAGAGTCCTGAAAAGTGGAAGAGGAAGGCAGAAGGAGATTTGACTACAGGAAGAAGAGGTTGGAGGGATGATATAAGGAGGACTCAACCTACCGTTGCTGATTTTGAAGATGAGGGGAGAGGGCTACAAGCCAAGAAATGCAGGTGGCTTCTAGAAGCTGAAAAAAGAAAGAAAATGCTCCACTAGAGCCTCCAGAAAGGAAAGCAGACTGCAGACACTTTGATTTTAGCCCAGTGAAACCCACATCTGATTTCTGACCTACAGAACTGTAAGATAATAGATTTCTGTTATTTTAAGGTACTCAGTTTGTGATAATTAATAATATGGCAGCCTTAGAAAACTCACACAGTCCTAAACTTAGTGGGGCAAGAAGAGGAGAGGGACAGAAAAAGCCTCTGAGGAATTTAACTGAAACTTAACAGGTGAGTTGGAGTTAGTCAGAGTGCCATACCCATGAATTCCCGTCCCTCCCTCCTCACTTGATACCCCACAGCCCAGCACCAAGGTCCATGGCTTCCTCACTGATGGCTGCTGTAGATTTTCCTGAAATAGCTGGTCCAGGAGGTCATATTCCTGACAGTGTCCATGCGGCTAGGTAGTTCTGAGACTGAGACAACTTGCCACCATACTCCCACAGTATATGCCAGTATACGCTTTATTCTTTCAACAGGTTATTTATTGAGCACCTACTCTGTGCCAATATCTGTGTAGATGCTGGGGGTATAGCAGTGAACAAAAGAAAAAGTTAATGTTCCTGTTGGTGAAATATAACTGAAGTTCATCTGCATGCAAAAGATTAACTAGATTTGATCATAATTTTTTTGAAAAGCAGAACCACACATGGAAAAATTGATGTAATCTTAGAAAGTGCTATAGTTTGGAAAGTGCCAAGATAAAATAAGTTTAGTTCAATAGAGACCCCATGAAAAAAATGCAAGCCCTGGTAATTTAGTCTTGACAGCCAGAAGAATCAATTGACTTCGCTGTTTCCCAGTTGTTACCTGATTGTTTGAGCGATGTGAACTGCAGCAAGCCACAACTCTGGCTCTTGGAAGTGCCAACGTTTACACAGGATCAGTCTCTGGATTTACAATTGGAGTAGGCTCCTCCTGAAATCCTAGTGGTAAGACTTAAGAATAGGTTTTATCTTAAATCTTCAAAGTGTGAAACTCACAGTTAGTTGAAGAGATAACAGAAACAAATGGCACCACACAAATGAGCTTGGCATAAACACTATTAAGGTTCTGTGCAAACACCTACAAGAATTTTTTTGGGGGGGATGGAGTCTTGCTCTGTCACCCAGGCTGGAGTGCAGTGGCGTGATCTCAGCTCACTGCAACCTCTGCCTTCCGGGTTCAAGTGATTCTCCTGCCTCAGCTCCTGAGTAGCTGAGACTATAGCTGCAGGCCACCACGACTGGCTAATTTTTGTATTTTTAGTAGAGACGGGGTTTCATCATGTTGTTCAGGCTGGTCTCTAACTCCTGACCTCATGATCCACCCGCCTTGACCTCCCAGAGTGCTGGGATTACTGGCGTGAACCACCGCACCCGGCCAAGAATTTTTTAATTCAATTATTTTGTAGCCAAAAAAATCACAGGAATTTTCAATACCTAACAATATAGAAGGGCAAGGTTGTTTTGATTTTTATTAACTTGTTTTGTGTTTAAATCATTAACATAACACTGGTCTAGCATAGTTATGTGTCCTGTGAAATGGACCCCCCAAATGCCTACACAAAATTGAAGAGAGCATCCCACCCCAGTCCAGAAAACCGAGGAAACTGACTGAGATCTTGGTGAAGCGTGTCCTCGTCAGACAGTTTAAAGCATGTTGCAATCATGCATAATGAAAGAAAATTCTGAAGTAGCTTCAACTGCCTACTGGTTTGAGAAGGTGACCTGACAGTCCCTGGATACTTGGGTGGGAGACATTAATCAAGCATTCCTTTGTCAGTGTTCGTTAAATATAGTTAAATGATCCTATCTACCTGGGCTGTTTAGACCTGTCAGAAGTAATCTGCCCCTTCCTGAGGACTGCCAAACAGGTTTTCATCCCAAGTGACTCAGTCATTTATTCCTGTTTAAATACAAATGATACTTACCTCTGTAAGTCCTGGCTCACCATTAAAAATGCCACATGTGCTTTATATGCCACACCGTATAAAGTGGCTAGAATTGTTACAGATTCTTCTCATTTCTTTGAATACTACAAAGAATGTGGCCAAATTTTTCTCCAGGGATTGGGGAAAAGTAGAAAGTAAATTGGGGGCAAACCACAGAGGCAGTAAATGGGGATTCTCAAGCATGACTTGGAAGGATGAACTTGAATGATTTTATCCTTGTTGACCCAGAACCTAGATCAGGAAAGCAGGTGCTATCCAAGCAATGCACAAATAACAGGTAAAAAAGCATAGTTAGGAAATTTCTGTTTGTACCACATGATGAAGATTTACAATATGAAAGAAAAAAATGAAATTCTTCTTCACTGGGACAAGTACTCTTAATATTGGAACAATGAACGGAGAGATGTTCCCTTCATTCTTACAAGGGTACTGCTTTGTTTTGTTAAAGCCACCAAAGAGGTTTATATTTCTTCCTCTTTGGAGCCAGGATAGTTGCACAATGGTGCTGCAGCAAGAGACATCATGGTTCAAGAAGCAGGCATTGACAATTCTCTACCCAGAACTGGCTTCTGGATATAAGAGCCTTAGCAAAGTTTATATCCTTTCACCTCATAATTCCTCTTCTAGGAATCTCTTCTAATGGACTGTTTGGCAATACATAGAAAAATTTATGTGCAAAGATGTTCATCTTAGTTTTATATGTAATTGAAAGAAAAACAAAATATAAAATAAAAGGACATACCTACATAATTAACAAAAAGTTATTGGTTTAATTATGCAGCGTCCAAAGAAGAGGAATATTCTGTAGACATCAAAAAATGTTTATAAGAAGTTTTAGAAAGAGAAAATCAATTCGTTTTTACCCATTCACATGTTTCTGTACTTCCTTCCAATTTTTCTATAAAGATCATGATTGGTCCTGGTTAACAGGAGACAGAAAACATGAAGATAACTGTGAGAGTTCTGATGTATAACACGATGGACAATTCTGAAAAAGGCTTCTCTTAAAAGCAGTTATGTGCAAGACTCAGTATTTATTCTTAGCCAACCAATTCTTGTTTTTTTTTGTTTGTTTTTTTTTTTTTTTTTTGGCAGGGATCTCTCTCTGTCGCATAGGCTGGAATGCAGTGTCGTGATCTCAGCCCACTGCAACCTCTGCCTCCCAGTTTCAAGTGATCCTCCAGCCTCAGCCTCCCAAGTAGCTGGGATTACAAGCATGCACCACCATGCCTGGCTAATTTTTGTATTTTTAGTAGAGATGGGGTTTCACCACATTGGCCAAGCTGGTCTCGAACTCCTGGCCTTAAGTGATCTGCCCACCTTGGCCTCCCAAAGTGCTGGGATTACTGGCGTGAGCCACTGTATCTAGCCAAGCGAACCAATTCTTAATCGCTCAATCATCTTTTATATGTGGCCGTATGTAAGAGCCACCAACTGGTTTTTCCTCTGCCATTCTTCTACTTGTTTTGTGTTGGAAAAGGCTGATTGACAATTTATGTTATCCTCTTGGGGAAAAAAAAGTTGAAGGTATGATCTTCCATAATTATTTTGTTAAACAAGCCCTTTACTTCATGTGATACAATTTAAGAGGTCTTTTTATTAGTTGCTACTTAAATAAAAGGAAAATTTGCATTTATACACCCACAAGAGTGGACTGAACTGAGAATCTTCAGATAAATAGACTTTCTCTTTACTATAGTGGTTTTCATGCCTTTCTTAGTAGATTATAAACTTATATTTGAACTGCTCATATTGCAGAACAAGATTTTGAATTCTTATGTTTCAACAAATTCTGCTAAACAAATAAATGAAGCCCCTATATCAGTGGGCATCCATATTTTGGGGGGCTTCAAAAGGCATTGTTTAAATTGTATGCCAAATTCTCAATATTGTGTGTAAGTCAAAGAGAAATTCAAGTGATTGAAGTGGAGGTGGGGGAGGACAGAAACTGAGGGTGACCCTACAACTTATCATGCAAGCTAGGATACTCTTGGGAAGCAATATAAACAATTGCTTTGGGGCAACATATTTACAAATCATTCCTTTGTGCTCTAGGAAGACCACAAGTTGAAATTGACCAGAAGTAGTAGTGGAAATAATTGAGAATTGGCTACATAAAATAAACATCTCAATGTTGGGGGCAGAGGATGAGCAGAGATACTGTAATTGAACTGCAGAACCAAACAAGAAATTGAACAAAAGTTATACTTGCAATACAGAGATAGAAGGCTAATTTGGTCAATTTAGAAAGTGCTTGAACAAAACAATGGGGAAAAAAATGAACTGCCCCAAAATTAGCAAAGGATAGCTGCATAGGCAGCTTATAGGGGAGGAAAATACAAACGGCAATGGTCAATAAAAACACAAAAAGATGTGTAATTTTACTCATAATTAAAGAAATCTAAATCAAAACAAGAAATTATTTTTCACCTAAATAGATGGGCAAATGTTAAAGTGTGAAGATATCTGATATTAGTTAGCCTGCAGAAAAGCAGTCTTTCTTAACACTGATGATAAGAATATCCACAAGTTTAAATTTTTAGATGGCCATTAGGCAACAGGTATTAAAATAAAAACATATTGTCTTTGACCTCACATTAACACAGCTAGAAATTGACCTGATAGATACATGTGTAAAAGCAAATATATGTATACAAGAAATACGAACCATAGTTTTTCATAGCAGAAAGAAACATGGAAACGACCTAAATGGTTACTATTTGGGGAAGGATTAAATATATTATAGAATAGAATGTCCATATGGTAAAATAATATGCAGCCAATAAAATAAAAACTGAGGAAGTTTTGTATGTGCTGGCATGGAAAAATCTCAGACATCAGTAAGACAAAAACAAAACAAAACAAATAAACAAAAAAAAGCAGGGTCAGAATATTGTGTTTACCATGGTTTTTATTCTGTGTATTATTAAGAAGGTACTAGCAAGTATTATGTATGGGTTTTTAAGATCACACCAGAAAGCATTACCAGTGGTTGTCTTTGTCAGAGGGATTGGGTGAAGGAGTCGGGGAACTGGGGGTGGGGGAGAATTTTACTCTCTGTTTTGTACCTTTCTGCCTTGTTTGAATTTTCTAAATATGTTCACGTGCTCCTATCATAAATTTTTAAAATGTCAACAAAGGTTATCTGTGCAGTGGGATTACTGTAATAAATATTATAAAAGGTGGAGAAAGCTATGTGTGGAGAAAACAAAATGCTAAGCCCAAGTCAAGACAAATTCCATACTTTGAAAACCATACTGCCTCCATTAACTATGAAAGAGTTTGAAACATAAATCCCTTCCTTTGCCAAGTATTTAGCACTTGAGCCATCCATTGGCCCAAATGTTTATTACAATACTGAAGTTACAAAGATGCCATTTGTTGCCCTTTACTGAAAGAATGACAGAGATATGTGTAAGGGGTTGTGGAAGCAGAGAACATTCCATGATGGATGTCAACATATTCAAAAAAGAGCCTGGAATATCCATTCCATCTCTATCTTTAGACCTGGCCCTCAGTAAACAGGAGAGGCCCCTATTTCTATGGAGCCTTTCCTAGTGTCATTCCTTTAAAGCATAAAAGCCACAGTTATGCATAAGACCAAATTATTTGATCTATAGTACCTTTCTGAAAAGGTGGCTGCGAGAGGTTGAAGTTAGAACTGGCAAATAGAGGCCTTCCCCAGTGACACAGTGAAGATCTTCTAGAAACCTACTGAAAGGATAGCTCTCTCACAGAAGCCAGCCAGTGTAAATCACCAGCAGAACTAAGGATATTCTGTTCTTAACTAGGTCAAGAATCGAAAGTGGGAGTGAGGGGAGGTCTAAATATGTTCACTTTTCCTTTGGTGAGAGAAGGGCATCTCCTCCTCTCTAGCTCCAACCCTTCATACTGGGCTGGGGCTACAAAGGAGGAGATACCCCAAGCGCTAAAGGGTAAAAATAAAGGGACTGTACCTTTTTAGATCTCCAGTTCTCCTTCATCTACCACAGGAGACGTATGACTTCTGACACCCTTCCATTTAATTTTTTTTCAACCTAACATTCCTATCAGAAGCAAAATACTTGTATTTATGATATTTTTCTACAAGGCTTATTCCCAATTCAGTATTTTTCAACAAACAGTTCCTCAGCAGTCCAGTGATGAGGCTTTGACATTCCATGAAATGAATGTTTAAAATAATAATCTTTGGTCATCTACTATTACCCAGCACTGTGACAAGTGCTTTACATAAAATCACCCTGCATGCTCATGGATAGGAAGAATAAATATTGAGAAAATGGCCATACTGCCCAAAGTAATTTATTGATTCAATGCCATCCACATCAAGCTATCACTGTCTTTCTTCACAGAATTAGAAAAACTACTTTAAATTTTATATAGAACCAAAAAAGAGCCCATATAGCCAAGACAATCCTAAGCAAAAAGAACAAAGCTGGAGGCATCACACTACCTGATTTCAAACTATACTACGAGGTTGCAGTAACCAAAACAGCATGGTACTGGTACCAAAACAGATATATAGACCAATGGAACAGAATAGAGGTCTCAGAAATAACACCACACATCTACAGCCATCTGATCTTTGACAAACCTGACAAAAACAAGCAATGAAGAAAGGGTTCCCTATTTAATAAGTGGTGTTGGGAAAACTGGCTAGCCATATGCAGAAAACTGAAACTGGACCCCTTCCTTACACGTTATACAAAAATTAACTCAAGATGGATTAAAGACTTAAACGTAAAACCTAAAACCGTAAAGACCCTATAAGAAAACCTAGGCAATACCATTCAGGACGTAGGCATGGGCAAAGACTTCATGACTAAAACACCAAAAGCAATGGCAACAAAAGCCAAAATTGACAAGTGGAATCTAATTAAACTAAAAGAGCTTCTTCACAGCAAAAGAAACTGTCATCAGAATGAACAAGCAACCTACAGGATGGGGGAACATTTTTGCAACCTATCTATCTGACAAAGGGCTCATAACCAGAATCTACAAAGACCTTAAACAAATTTACAAGAAAAAAAAACATAAAAAGTGGACAAAGGATATGAACAGACACTTCTCAAAAGAAGACATTTATGCAGCCAACAAACATGAAAAAAAGCTCATCATCACTGTTCATTAGAGAAATGCAAATCAAAACCACAATGAGATACCATCTCACGCCAGTTAGAATGACGATCATTAAAAAGTCAGGAAACAACAGATGCTGGAGAGGATGTGGAGAAATAGGGACGCTTTTACACTGTTGGTAGGAGTGTAAATTAGTTCAGCCATTGTGGGAGACAGTGTGGCGATTCCTCAAGGATCCAGAACCAGAAATACCGTTTGCCCCACCAATCCCATTACATATACCCAAAGGATTATAAATCATTCTACTATAAAGACACATGCACATGTATATTTACTGAGGCACTGTTCACAATAGCAAAGACTTGGAACCAACCAAAACGCCCAACAATGACAGACTGGATAAAGAAAATGTGGCACATATACACTATGGAATACTATGCAGGCATAAAAAAGGATGAGTTCATGTCCTTTGCAGGGACATGGATGAAGCTGGAAACTATCATTCTCAGCAAACTAACACAAGAACAGAAAACCAAACACAACATGTTCTCACTCATAGGTGAGAGTTGAACAATTGGAACACATGGACAGGGGGAGAGGCAGGTCACACACCAAGGCTTGTTGTGGAGTGGGAGATTAGGGGAGAGATAACATTAGAAGAAATACCTAATGTAGATGACAGGTTGATGGGTGCAGCAAACCACCATGGCACGTGTATACCTATGTAACAAACCTGCACGTTCTGCACATGTATCCCAGAAGTTAAAGTATAATAATAATATAAAAAAACACGCTGCAGAATAGGTACTATTACACCTATTTTACTGGTAGAAAAACTGAGGCTCAGAAGGGCTGAACCATTTGCACAAGATTTTACAGCTAGTAAGCAGCTGAGTGTCTAGTTAAATGCCTTATGGATGTGACAGAATGTCTCTAAAATTAAACTGAATAAAGATGAATTTTCCATAAGAGTCTGGCTTCCCTTGTCATACATAAACAAAAGACTGGACATTGCACAACCAAGCAAATGTGAAAATCTAAGAAAAGAGATGTTTCAGGTTCATTCAGCACATAGGATTTTCTGCATTAATCTAAATGTTCTACATCTGTGCTGTCCAATAAAATAACCATTAGTCACATGTGGCTACTGAGCACTTGATATGTGACTAGTATGATTTAAAAACTGAATTTTTGATTTAATTTAATTTTAATTTTATTTAACTTTAAATAAACAAATGGCTATCATTCATATTAGACTATGCAGTTCTAACCAAAGTCATTCAAGAAGCATTTATTTTTGGTGAAATGGAATCAAAAGAAGAGGAAGTAGAGGGAGAAGTAATCATATAAAATCACAAAGTATTTAGAGCTGGAAAAAACCTTTATGAGACCATCTCATCCAGCCCACTCATTTACACAGATGAGTAAACTGAGACTCAGCAAGATTACACAATTTGGTAAGGTCACTCAAGTTAGTAAAGAGCCAGTTATAAATCCTGCCTTTTAATGAATTTTAAGCTATGCTGTCAAATTTCCAGCCATGGTGTTAATTGCATAGGATTGAGTTAAACTAAAAAAAAAAATGATAAAAGGATTTTCTCTTTACTCTTTTTGAAGTTTTTATGAAGTAAGGAACACATGATAAACAGAGTCTTGGGCAGAATGGCTTTCCTTGCCTCTTGCCAAATCGGTATCAGTAAAAAATAATTTAAGGTAAAATTCCCACAAGGCAGGGAAGCATAAGTGAGTATAAAACTAACCTGCTGCCTAATTCCATGGCCTTCTGTGAGGGAAACACCAAGCACTTTGGAATTGTATTTTGATGCCCCACTTCTGTTACAAAAAATTGGACTTCAAATTATAATATTCCCTAAACCATGCCCTCCTTCCACCCTCTACCCACAAATGGGTAGAGTCCTGCGTATCTTTCTCACTGAGAAGCTCTTCTATTTAATTAGGTTAATAGGTTATAGATAGGTTAATTGGGTTAAATCCTGGGCAGAGCAAAAGTGCTTTCTAATTACTGCTGCCATTCCATTACCTGGAACTGAGATGGATCTTTAGCATATACTAGTCTATATTCCACTCACAGGAGGCCTATTTAAGCACAGTACATGGTGGAGACTTACAGGGCAGTATCACTCCCCTAAACTCCTGGCAAAGGCATTTTGAAAAGAGTGCTTTCTGCCTAATAAATTATTTCTTCCAGGTTTCCAGTGAAACAAGTCATTAATTTTTTTTTTTGACAAATGAAAGGGGGAAAAATGCCTTTTCAAATCCAGGGCACTTGAAAGTTTCATTTTCCTGTTTTAATTTGCTTTAGTGTTTCAAGGGAATAATAATAGTTTTTTAATGCCAAAGGTGGCTTTCATCACTCAAAGCCCTCTAATTTCCTCCCTTATTGCAAGTAATGTGTTAATAGTTCCAAAATGAAATATTACCTAAAACACAACTTGGTAATTTTCCTCACAGTTCAAAGTTATTTGAAAAAGAAGCATCACCTTTTACAAATATTTACTTTGCGACAACGGGAGACGCTGCAAATTATCTGCAATAGCTCCTATTCTCTTCTTTTTTTGTGCTGTCTTTGAATCTTTTGTTGGGAAGAAAGAAAGAAATGGGAAAAAGGAAAAGAAAATCTCTCCCTTCCCTTTCATGTTCTAATACCAGGTTCTACCTAAGGACCTGAATTCTACCTTTACAATTAAATAATGTGTATATGTATGTGTGTGTGTGTGTGTGTGTGTGTGTGTGTGTATGTGTATATATATATTTATTTATATGAGAGAAAAGCTTGGTATTCATGGTCTCATTATAGAATATGCACACCAAAGAAAGGATGTACATAGAGGCCATAGAGAATTTAAAAGATTTATTTATGATGTATTACTGTAATTTTTAATTTAGACATGCAAATTTTTTAATTTGCACCGACTGCTTTGCCTTAATGGTTTTGATTAATACTTGGAGGTAGTGTTTGTGAAAGAGATTTATACTGTGATTCATCTGCAAAATAATCAAATCATTACCAGCTAATGACAAAGCTGTGAAAAATGATATAGATATTGTGTAACTTCCAGCTATGGCTGAGCACGTGGAGATACCCAATCCTTCCAGCAAATGTGGACTTGTGTTAATAACTGCTGGGAAGTTCGCTCTAGGTCCACTCTAATTTGGCAACAAAAAACATTGATCTTAATAAAGCTGTCTGATAAAAGGAGCAGTGATTAACATCCCAAACCCTCCATTCTGCTACTCATGCCAAGGTCCCTTTTTTTTTTTCCAGGAATGAAATTCCACTGCACTTCCTGCTTATCGCTTCATCTCACCTCAGCCTTCTCTGACTCTCCAGATAAGGCTGCAGACAGCCCAAGGAGGGGGTGGGGAGTAGGGAGTACCAGTGGGAGCCCACACTGGTGGCTGCAGGTGGCAGTTGCTGAGAAAGAAAAGCACAGCACAGTGAATTCCCAGAGTCTGAACCCCTTCCAAAGCCAACACCCATTCCTTCCAGAACTCAGAGGCATCTCTTCTTTTAGTGGGTCTTGAAAGACTGAGTGACTCTTGCTAATCCTGACAGCATCATCAAAGGTGTGGAGGAAGCTCCAGAGCATGCTCAAAGTCAGCAGAACCACTCTCAAATGGTATCAGGAAGCAGAAGAGGGCAGGAAGCAGAAACCCACAGATAATCCCCAAATCTCATGACAGCCGCTCCTTGTGACAAGCTGCTCCACCACATCTCTCATCCAAGCGACTAACAAGCAAATGGGCAGATTGGGATTTTACCTGCCTTCTGTCTTCCTCTGCACCACTACCACCAAATGATAAAAATTAGCATTTCTTGAGGTACTTTTTTAAAATGACGATTAAAAATTGTATATGTTTTTCATGTACAACAAGTTATTTTAAAGTATGTGTACGTTGTAGAATGGCTAAAGCAAGCTATCTTGAGGTCTTACTATGTGCCAGACATTAGCGCACTTCATAGCTACTTTTTCGTTAATCCTCACCACAAAGCTATGAACTAGGTATCATTATTCCCATTTTACAGTTAAATAGTTCTCTTAATGTTAAATTTAAAAATTGCAATATGATGGAGGCAAGACTGATTTCTGGTACATTCTAGCATCATATACCCTGCCCATTCAAACCATGTCATTATCTGTCTGAAGCTCTTAGTAAAGAATAAAAATACCCAAAATGAGGGCACTCAGAAGAGAGACAGAATGAGGTAGAATAAGAGGGGGAAAAAAAGGCATGTTTCAGCCACAGTTAATACTGAAGCAATCATGTTTTAACTCATTATCAAGAAATCTAGCTCCTTTTTTATTTCAGTCTTCACAAAGGAAAGCCCCAGTAAGTGGATAATCATTAATATTTCATTGAATACCAATCCATATTTTCCACAATCGTGACATGGACATTCCACTTCATCAGGAAGCCATTTTACAAAATTAGAAAAAGCAAGGCACCGTTCTGGAAAGCACAAGGCGAGACTACTTATCATTATTATTTATTACTTACTGGGTGCCAACTGGGTCCCTACTGTAGAGAAAAAGTTATAAAAGCCTCATGCAGAGGCAAGTGGTCCCCGTTCACTAGGTTCACAATTCAATTCTGATTTCATGACTACGACGGGCCCTGTGTCTTTAATTACTGGTAACTGTGACTGCCCTGGAACCACAAAAGGAAGATCAAAACTTTCTATCACTTTCTAGACATAAAGATAAATGAGAAGGGAAGCAATAAGTATAATTAATTTTAACCAGAGCTGGGAGAGGAAAACTTTCAGCTGTGGTACCATACATAGCATTTTATCAGAAGAGCCACTCTCCTAGCAGAGTCCCTACCACTGATTCCCAGATATGAAATAGACTGCCATTTCAAAAAGAACCAGGAGTGGAAAACCAATGTCACATGGTTTTCATGGCATTAGTTCAGCTCCAAGTGTCAGAAATAAGCATGTGATTTAACTGTACATGTGGCCCAGGAAAAGCAGGAGGAGTAAAGCTAGCAAGTTCAAAGCAAAGTTCAAATTGAAGCCATTCAGAGTGAGGCCACATCATAAGCCTTTGGACAGATGAGCATCTTGTGGGATTCAAGCAGAAGATGTGGTGTAAGTAATGAGACTGAAGTGATGAAGGAAGGGGAAATACACTCTCAGAGGTAAACTTGCCGTCAAGTCGTTGGGACTTAGCTGAATAATTCCCCCTAATGCTTAGACAAATAATGCTGCTAAATTCTTGGGAATCAGACCACCATGTCTCCACCCCTCAGCTTCCAGGAGCTTCTAAAAACCGGACTGAGCTAGCTGTAGGAAAAAATTAAATCCAAAATACATTCTTCATGATCATTTCAGAGAAGGGAGATACTCCCTAACTGTCAATACTGTGAGAAAAGGGGCTATACTTGACTCAGTTTTCCAAATCTGGACGGCAATCTCAGATGTTTTGAAGGAAGGCCAGAGATCTTCCTTGTGAAAAGGTTTTACTGGCTTTGCTTCTGCCACCAACTAACAGCAAATATTCTGAAATCCAGTCCCTATCCTGGTTCCTCAGCCACCCTCCTCCAATATCATCAGCAGTTGGAGCCTTTGCCATTGCCAAGAATTTCAGCTGTCTTTTATGTAATGTTTTCTACTTCTACCAACTCTTATGCAAGATTCTGCAAATCCTCAGCTTTAGCTAAAGAGTGCTGTCCAGCAGGACTTTTTGTGATGATGGAAATGCTCTACATCAGCACTGTCCTATATGGTAGCCACCTGCCACATGGGGCGAGTGCTATGGGATAAATAATGTGTTAAGTTTATTCAATTTTTAATGAATTTAAATTTAAATTGCCACATGTGACTATTGACTGCTATACTGTGCAGTACAGTTCTAAAGACACAATGTGGATTTTACCAAAGATGTAATAGCATAAATGGAAGAAGTTTATATTGCACATACCACAGAATTCTCTTCCCCAAGCTCCCTTGCTGCTAGTTGTGTCCATACAACACAATTCTGTCCAATACAAAGAGAGCCGAGAGTTACTGGGAGAGTTTATTTCTTATATGGAACCCAATTTCTTATTCACCCCTTTTGCTTTTCTTCTTTGTGTGTGTGTACATGATAATCTGCACATGTAGCAACCACATTGAATGCTAATGCCATACATCAAGATTGGCAGGGCAGAAAGTTGGTAAAAGGGCTAGCACACCTGGAACCATTGCACTAATCCTGGACTGCTAACCTGTGAATTTATGTGCCATGGGACGAATAAAGCTATTACTCATTTAAACTACTCTTTGCCTGTTTCTCTGTACTTGTAGAAAAATGCACTAATCCTACTGGATATAACTAGGTCCTGGTATAAAGGTTTGCTACATAATGCCTTGATGTCTACAGAACTGGTATAAAGTTAAACTATAATAGCTGTCTTATCCACTGCACCTACTCAATATCCTCACTGCTCTCTTTAAGGCCAGCCCAGGGGAAGCACTGTGAAGTAATGGAGCAGATTTTACCAAATTGCCCACCCCTCACTAGGCTTCCCTCCCTTGTGCTCTGCTTCTCTCCTGTGTTTCTCTTCTTAACTAATTCTTTGTATTTTTCCTCTCTCCTTCCAGTGGTGAGTTTACTATTATTCATTACTCTTGTGATACCTCCCTAAAATTGGGGCATGGACGGAGGACAAGATAAGCTTGGTCAGAGACTAAAGGCATTTTAGTCACAGGAGGGCAGGGAGAAAAGGGTATTTGGATATTAGGAAGGCGTTCCTTTCCATTAAAAGTACTTTCATGGCTGGGCGTGGTGGCTCACACCTGTAATCCCAGCACTTTGGGAGGCTGAGGTGGGCAGATCACCTGAGGTCGGGAGTTCAAGACCAGCCTGACCAACATGGAGAAACCCTGTCTCTACTAAAAATACAAAATTAGCCAGGCGTGGTGGCACATGCCTGTAATCCCAGCTACTCGGGATGCTGAGGCAGGAGAATCGCTTGAACCCAGGAAGCGGAAGTTGTGGTGAGCCAAGGTCATGCCATTGCACTCCAGCCTGGGCAACAAGAGTGAAACTCCATCTATATATATATATATATCACATT
This sequence comes from Homo sapiens, assembly GCF_000001405.40. Classification (NCBI taxonomy): domain Eukaryota; kingdom Metazoa; phylum Chordata; class Mammalia; order Primates; family Hominidae; genus Homo; species Homo sapiens. Next base: position 18,654,596 of record NC_000003.12, on the reverse strand, counting down.
TATTGATTTTTTTAAACCTTTCTTACATCCCTGGGATGAATCCTACTTGATCACAGTGAATGATCTATTTAATTGCTGTTGAATTCAGTTTGCTAGTTTTTGTTGAGAATTTTTGCAATTATGTCGATCAGAAATATTGACCTCTAGTTTTATTTTTTGGTTATATTCATGCCTGGTTTTGGCTATTCACTTCTGGGTACCTATCCGAATAAAATGAAGTCAGTATGTTGAAGAGACATATGTGTTCCCATGTTTATTGCAGCATTATTCACAATAGCCAAGATATGAAATCAACCTAAGTGTCCATCAGTGGATGTACAGATAATGAAAATATGGATAAAGAATAAAGAAGATATATAGACAATGGAATACTATTCAGCCATAAAAATATGAAATCCTGCCATTTGCAGCACATGAATGAACCTGGAAGGCATTATGCTAAGTAAAGTAAACCAAAGCACAGGAAGATAAATACCACATGATCTCATTCACTTCTGGAATCTAAAAAAGTTTATCTCATAGAAGTACACAGTAGGATAGTTGTTATCAGAGGCTGGGAAGGGTAGGAGGAAGGGGATAATGAGGAGAAATCGGTCAAAGAGTAAAAAATTACAGTTAGAGAGGAGGAATAAGTCTTAGTGTTCTATAGCACAGTAGCATGACTATAGTAAACAATATTATAGTGTACATTTCAAAATAACTAGAAGAGGGGATTCTAAATGTCCTCTCTACAAGGAAATGTTAAATATTTGAGGTGATACGCTCAATACCCTGATTTGATCATTACATGATGTATGCATGTACTGAAACATCACACAGTATCCCATAAATTTGCACAATAATTGTTTCAAATAAAATTAAAAATTAAAAACATTTTAAAACTATTTTTAGTAAGTAATTTTCCACCATGTGCCTAGGAAAAGGCTTCCTTGGTCTCACTTCTGAGATCTTGTTCACTCATCTTTTTTTCCGACCGATGACTCTTAGTTGGGTACCTAGCATGTACCAAGACTCTGCTTGGCCTTACATCTATATTATTTCTTTTTAATCCCCAGAACAATCCCAAGAAGTGAACCTGCAGAAGAACTTGGGGACAGGGTAGATTTTTGAGGGTTTTTCAAGTCCGCACTCTGTGGATACACACACTGTGGATAGCCTTTCATCTAATTTCTTCACAATTCTTCCTCTCGTGTGTATGCCAATTGCATCTATTGATCCAGTTTATAGATGAGGGAAGCAAGGTTCAGAAAACAAAAGTACTTCATAATAAGTCAGAGTGCCAGGATTTGAACCTGGCATTTCTGACTGCAAATCCAGGGCTTTTCCACAGGAAGGAATAGGAGACTTGAGGTTTATTTTTTCATGTGAACTTTTCTATGCCAGCCACTGAAGGCAAGGGGTGAGCTTCCCTTCTTAGAGGAGATATGTTGGAGGAGAAGAGAATGGGAATGCTAGGGTGAGGCCCTGAATGATTAGAGAAGTCAGGAAGCCAGCTCTGTGCCCTGCCAGAAGGGCACTAAGCCTCTGTGTCCTCCAGGATGTCAAAGGTGTTAATAAGCTTCCTAACCTCACAGGGAAGTTGTGAGGATTAACCTTGTTTAATTTGCAATCCAGTGATGAAAGATGTTCTTAGTGTGTTTTTTGGCCCTTCTCATTCCTCCTCCCTGAATCATGACTCACGAAAAGTAATGGAACAATACGTAAGGTGCAGGGAACAATGGAGACCGGTAACTGACATCAAGTTAAAAGCAGAATAGGACAGAATAAAAAGAGCAGTGTCAGTGGTTCTAAAATTCATAGACTGACCAGGAACCACTAGAAGAATATGCTCAACTAATCCCCCTTTTCAATAATGGAACAAATATGCTCAGCTAGCCCTGGACGCTCAAAAGTGCAACAAGGGTATCTTTCACCCTTTATATCATCCCATCCCAAAGAAGGAAATCCGGTGTCAACTTTTGAGAAGTGTTTTTTAGGGGCAAAGTTTAGGTAATGTCCTGACTTCTATTTTTTTTCAGTTCTTTGCCCATTGGTAGATCTTGCCTGATGAAAATGAAAAAAGACAGGTCATTCAATTCTTGGTCATTTGGTCACTTGGGCTTAGGTGTGTCCCAAAGGCTAAAACATCTTCTTTAAAAGCTTTCAGAAAGTTGGAGCCTTCTCTACATTTTTCCCACCTTCTCTCTGTCTACCATGGCATCTGATTTTCTCTTTTTCTAATTTAAAAGGATGAGGGTGGAAATATAAGGGCAAATTCTTTTCAGGGTCAACTCAGCATAAAAGTATCTCAAACTCATGTCTAATGAAGGGATTCAAGAATAGAACTCCAGAGAGAGAAAGACCTTTAGGAACAAAGTGGCCTTTGAGGGCTTTTCAAATCCACATACTGTATCTATGAATAGCCCTTCACTAAATTTGTTGAAAATTCAACCTCTTGTGTTTGTACCAATAGAAAATTGTTACCTTGCAGCCATAGACTATGAAACGAATATATCTACCCTCCCAGACACTAGGGAAATGTGAACAGGATGGAAGGAAAAAAAAAGGTTGCTTTCCTTCTGCCCACAAAATGACAAACATCATCTCTAGGACCTAAAGTGGACTGTATTCATTCTTGCTGTGATCTTTCAGTCCACATGAGCAAGATAAATACACAATTAATCATTCAACAGACATTTATCAAAGACATTCTATGTGCTAGTATACATGAGATGCCCAATAAATACAAATTAAGAACAGAGGAGCAGAGAAAAAATATTTTGTTTTAGGATCAAGGTACCCTTGACCAATTTGTGGGGAAAAGACAACTAACTCAGAGGCTAAAGCTTTAAGAGAGAGAGATCAAGATGCCCAAAGTAGAGGCACTGTTCTTATTTGGGCAAGGAAAGGGCACTCCTAGCTTGACTAACGTATCCTGTGTCTTGTTCCTCAGTGTGTGCACTGTCCTGAGAGACTGGCTGGTACCGAGATTCTGCCTGCTCTGGGATTTTGCCAGAGAGCCTATGGGGCACACCTGCCCAGAGATGACAACTTTTACTCATTCACACAATGACATAGTATATGGTGTTGGCTTGTTTTTCTAACTAAAAAGAAAATGCCCCTGCTACAGGTTCACTCTTCATATACAGTAATGATCACGTATGGACCAGAAGAAAAGAAAGTTGCTGCAGTACATTTCTCAATTGGTGGATTAAGCAAAATGTTATATCACTGATTTCTGAGCACTATACAATCCAGAGATGTTGCCGGTGTCTATTTAATGGAACTGCCAAAAGACATTTAATTTTTTCATGTGAAACACACCCAGAAAATTGAGCAAATTTCATCAAAATGCTTAAGCACTAGAAATGATTCTAATCTAATAAAGCATTAAGGCCTTGCTTTGTCTGTATTGCACATGTGGCAGACCCTCCATAAACAACACGGTTGGAACCTAGTTTTTAATTATTTTATATAAAATGGCCAATTTAGGTTCTGCTGGGAAACCTTTTGGAAGGGTCTCTTTGTAAATAAAGCAACCAATTTCTTAAAATAAAGTTGGCTGGTAGTACGGTTTCTTTGGGGTCTGAGTGGAATCTTTGCTGATCAAATGCTGAGGCAGGCCTGTACAATCAGCTGTTGTAACAGAATCTGTTGGTGTCTGTCGGCGCTCTGAGTGACAGCAGTGTATAATCAAAGAGACACGCAGATACACATCAGACGGCAAGAACACAGAAATAAGCAGTGGGATGGGAATATTTTGGAACCTAAATGGACCTTGGCACAAAATACTTTGAAACTGCCATTTTGCACAGTCTGATAATTTTGGTTTCTTGCACTTGGAATCTAGAAAGGGAAGGGAAAGGAAGAGGGGGAAGAAGGGCTAATTTTTATGGAGCACATCCTACACTCCAGGTGCAGAGGACTTTGCTTATTTCATGGGATCTAATCCTCATACTCACAATATCATGTTAGTTGCTTTATTCCTATTTACGGATAGGAAAGCCAAATCTTAAAAAGTGAAATAGCCTGCCTAAGGCAACACTGCTAATAAGTGAGGGAACCAGAATGCCAATCCTGGTCTGTTAGACTGCTAAGTCCATACTTTTCCACTTCCTTTATTTCCACATGGTGGTACAAATCAGGGAGAAAACACTTCCTTTATCCGGATTTTAGAGTCTCTCTGCATCTGGTGCTTTCTAAGTATTCAAGTGGAGCTGTCCTTCAGCAAGTGCCCTTCACCTTGTCTGCCCTACCATACAAGGAGGAGAATGCATATTATTCAAAAAGTAGACTCCAGTGAAAAGCTGGGCTCAGTTCAATTGGACAATGATCAAACAGTTTCTCTAATCAACTTTTGTGGAGAGTGGAGGCAGAACACTATGATATGAAGTTCAAGAGTGTGACCAGTCCGTCCCCTGCTCTGGGCAGTTCTCTCAGCATCATCTTCTCTACATTTACATAAGAGGAGAGATTGAAACAAAGTTCTAGCATGCACAACACCTGCAGGCCCTAAAAGTATAAATCATTCGTGAAAGCCAGGTTCCCCCTCTCTGAGCCAAAGAGAAGATTTACAAGAAAGCCAGTGATGTTCTTTGAGGGGAGTCAACCCACTTTATGTAAACCTGAAAGATCAGTTAGAGTTCCCAGAATTCACCCCCAGAGTGTGCTCCTGAAGTCACCAAGTGAGGGACTGTGAGAAAAAGTGTAAATGGACTCAAAACAAAACAAGACTCACCTGATTACAAGTTTCATTATGAACCTCGGGTTTTTTAGAGCTGGTGATGTCACATTGCTTTGAAAGGTTGAAAAGGATGGGGGCTGGTGTCCATGCTCAATGTTCACGTGAACTTGGCATGTCTTACAGGCTTCTCCACTGACATCACAGAAAACCTCATCCTCATTCAAAGCCTCATTAGCCTTCTAGGCCACTCTTGCCCTTCTACCCCTTAAGAGGTGGTCAAAAATCAGGGGTGGACTTTGTTATTTCAAAGGCAGCTTCCATTACCATCTGATAGCATAATCATCCTCAGTGAATGCTCTGACTGTGAGCAGTGGAAAGGAAGTTCCAAAACCCATACCAGTCTCCATCCCCAACACACAATTTGTATTTCAGGTTATATGAGTTTTGCTGCTCAAAGCATGGACATGGATAAGCAGAACTGTCCTCAACTGGGAGCTTCTAAAAAATGCAGAATCTCAAGCTCCATTTCAGATCCAGTGGATCAGAATCTGCATTTTTGTAAGATGACCATGTGATTCATATGTATATCAAAGTTAGAAAAGTGCTGAGATAGACCAGTGGTTCTCAAAATGTGTCTCCAGGACCAGCATCTGCATCACCAGCAAGTGTGTTAAAAACACAGAATCTTAGGTCTACCCAATCAGAATTTTTTTTTTTTTTTGGAGGCAGAGTCTCACTTTGTTGCCCAGACTGGAGTGCAGTGGCACGATCTTGGCTCCCTGCAACCTCTGCCTCCAGAGTTTAAGCAATTCTCATGCCTCAGCTTCCCAAGTAGCTGGGACTACAGGCAGGCAGCACCACACCTGGCTAGTTTTTTGTATTTTAGTAGAGACAGTGTTTCACCATGTTGCCCAGGCTGGTCTCAAACTCCTGAGCTCAGGCAATCCACCCACCTCAGCCTCCCCAAATGCTAGGATTACAGATGTGAGCCACTGTGCCTGGCCCAGAATTTTCATCTTAATGAATCCCCAGGTGTTCTGTACCCACATTAAACTTGGAAAAGCACTATTTTAGTTTCAGGCAGACCTGACTTACAGTCTTGGCATCACCTCTTACTAGGGGGAATGATCTTAGGCAAAGTACATAACTTCTTGGAGTTTCAATTTCTTTAACAGTAAAACAAGGCTAATAGAACCTTCTCTCAAAAAATTCAAAAGGATTAAATTAGGTAAAGCTCTTAGCACAAGGCTAATGCATATTAAGAGCTTCGTAAATAGTTGTTTTTAGCTTTTGCTGTTTTTTCCTTTTCCTTTTTTCTGTCGTTCTCTACCCTAGAAATATTTCCATGAGGCCTTCTTGGGTCCCTTCCAGCTTCAACATGGTCTGATTTAACAATTAGTTCTTTTTAAAAAAAAAAACAAAAAAAAAAAACTGCTGAGTAGCCACTAAACCAAATCCTGTAACTGTAATAGATACAAAACTGGATTAAGAATTAGTTCCTCATCTATGTACAACTTTCTTTTCTTGCTGAGTTCAGTTTTCTCCAGTGTAGAATGGAAGCAGCAGGAGAACAGAGACCACAGCATGCGTGTTAAGCAGTTACCACACACGAAGCACTCAGATAATCATACAAGAGGGAACAGAGCAGTCATGGCCCCTACTCTTGTGGATTTTCCCTATTTTACCATGGAACTCAACAAACAAACATAATTGCAATTGGAGTAAGTATTGTGAATCAGGACTATATGAGCCAGGCTAGATGGATATTAAAACTTAGATGGTGAAGGCAAAGTGAAGTGGGTGGAACAGGAGACATACCCTCTTGGAGGGAATATATGTGAGCTGAGAGTAAGAGATAATTAGGGGAGAGAAAACTACAGGCATAAGTGACTAGAAGTGCAATGAGCCTGAGTCAGAAGGTACTTTGGAAAGTCAAAGAGCCCAAGAGAAGGTGGGTTTGACTGGAGCCATTCAGTGAGGGGATTGCTTCCTAAAGAGGCTGGGAAGGTAGATGGATCCAGATTTTGGCTCTTAGCAAAGTAGTTGTGTTATAACTTAGAGAGGAAAGGGCAGGACACTGCAGCAGCAAGCTCATGAACATAGGTGGCTGAAACAAATCTCACTACTAACTGCATTTATGAACGAGCTCCTAGCACCTAGTAGGAGCTGAATAATATTTGTGAATGAGGAAAAATGAATAAATGGGTGAGATATACAATTCAGGAGGGCCAATGATATAATTTAGGCAAATGTTAAAATGCAGGAAAATTGTTTTGGGAAAGAACACAAGCATTGCTCCTTTAAATGTTCCTACTTTCTCCTGCATTTTAAATGTTTCTTGCTCTGCTGGATTTTCTTATCCACCTACAAATTGTTGTCATATCTCATGTCTTTAAAAATAACCTTGTATGACTTCCACATTGCACTCCAATTACTGCCCATTTCTCTTGTATCCTTTACAGAAAAATGTTGAGTTGGTGATTCTCACTATCTCCACTTTCTCTCTTCCTTTTTCTCTCATAGAGAAGCCACATAATATTAGTACACAGAGCAATATATGTGATATATAGGTATATCATTAACCTTGATGATAAAAGTGGACACCCTGTAAGTGTTCCGCCTAAGTATTAAAGCCTTACCAATTCCAATGAAATGACTTGTATATCACTCTCCATCCCACTCCCTGCCTCCATTCACCAAAGCAGTCACCCGAATTTTGTATTCATCATTCCCTTTCTTTTATACATAGTTTTGTCACAGATGTTTGTATCCCCAAACAACATGTACTTAGTTTTACCCGACATTTTGTACTTTATAAAAATGAAAACCCAATCACACAAAATCAATTCTAACTGGAATTGCCAATGGCAAAATCTTCAAATTTTGAGGTGAAAATAAAGGACAGTACCTTTACAACTTCCAATTAGAAAAGGATGTTTTAAACAAGACACCCAAATCACTAATGATTAGAAGAAAAAATAAAAACTCCTTTTCTCATGCATGAACAATGTATTCTCCCATTCTCTCTGAGATGTTACACTGCCAAGCAATTGAACCATTGGTAGCTCATTATTTTTAGTTAAACTTAACCCTAACACTATGAGATTCTTTTAAAACACAAGTGTCCTCTAGAAATTGATAATATATTAAGTCTCCGCTATACATTGGAGCAGTCTCTAAGACAAAGATTAGCATAGAGAAATTATGTTTTGTTTGTTTGTTTGTGTGTGTGTTTTTTTAAAGGAGGATCTTGAAATCAACAACTATGGAGGAATGCCACTGGCAGGAAGGAAAGGAAATAGGATTAGACAGGGAGAAGTTGAGCTGTGATGCAGTCTCAATGGAGGCCTCACCCTATGCCACAGGTAGTTCAGAAGCTGGAATGGCCCCTCAGAAATTTTCCAAGTTGAAGCACAGAGGCCCTTATCTCCTCATCTACCAGGCATTGGAGGCAGTCGACCATGGGCAAGAAGGCTTTCTTCAGCCAAGCCAGGTCCTTTAGGGGTTGGGTACTGGGTGACGTTTGCTGTCGGTACTTCCAGAAGCTGGGGGTGTATGTTATTCCTGAAAGTAAATCTGGGTGGCATATCACAGCATTCACCATAGTTCCTCACTCCTTAGACTAGTTGAGTATATCAAATATCTTCTTGAGCCCAGAGAGATCTAATGGCAAGAGAACACCAGGAATGGGTGGATTGATAAGGGAATGAGAGAGAAGAAAGCAGCTCTGAAAGCAACTTGGTACATGTTGAGAAGGGAACATTTGCTGGGTCATTGGTATTAAGTCAGGATTATGCAGCATACCAGCTTCAAAATATTTCCTGGGATCCACCTTGATCCTTGCCTCTAATTAATACTGAATTACCCAACAAGCAGACAAGTATATTCTTAGAGAACCAGCCCCACAGGAAAAACTATGCACCTCACATACCCTCATTCATCTTAAAACGTCCACTTTGACAAACTTACCTAGAATTTTGCAATCAGAAAATCTAGAAAGTAGCTATTTTCATTTCAGCATGAACAAAAGTGTTGAATCATTTCAAAACATAAAATTTTGTACTTTGAATTATCAGGTGGGAGAGTGGCACTGAGCCAAGGGAGTAACCTAACCTTTCTAGCACTTTGACTCCTTAGTCTCTTAATCAGAACCATGCCTCAAATGGAAACCCTGAGCTGCAGGTAACAGGGGGCAAGAGCAGCTCAATGAGGTAGATGCAGGCTTACAGCAGAAGCCATAATAGAATCCAGAGCCCTCTCGACAGATAGCATTGCAATTATCAACTTCCACAGAACTCTACTTTACAATTTTTGAGAAAGTAAGAAGATTCTCCGCAACTTTTAAAGACTGACCCAAAAAAGAGAGCGAGACAAAGCCATCAAGAAATAGCCAGTCCGCCCTTTATGCTTATTTGATGTTGCTTCATTCAGGCTGAACAGGTAGAAACAATTGCAACTGAACGTGAACATGAAGAGGGTAACATGAAATTGTAATTGTTCTCCAGGATGTTAGTGTTCAACAAACAGCATTTTTGCAAGATAGTAATAGGTTTCTTACTTAAAGCTGGGGGAAGATCTTCCAAATGCATTTGGGAAATTCTGTGTATTGTATCTCTCTTCTGCATAGTCACAGTGCACATTAGCTTATTGAAAGATCTGAGAAGTTCTGCAGCAAATAACCTTTTTCCATCTTGTTGGAGTGTGTGGTCCTCAAGAGTTAAGCCCAGAACTCACTTTCCCTGGAACACTCATCAACATCCTGCCAAACTAACATATGAAGCACTCATTTGGGAAAATGCTGTTCTAACCTACCAAATCTATTTATAGAAAAGAAGCCTGAGGATTGGAGAGGAAAGGGGTCCTTTCCAAGGTCAAGGTTCTCTTTCCACTAACTACTGGGGAAGAAACTCATATTTGCTATTTTATAGTATGGCTATTGATTTAAGGTTGACCTAAGATGGCTGCAAGGATTCATTTTAAACAGAAAACGTTTTCCTTTTTTTTTGGTTACTATGGGTTTTTTTATTCTTAAGAGTACTTTCAACCCTGGTCTGGGAGAGAAAGAGACAAAGAAGGTATAAACATACTTAGCTTGATAAGGGGAAAGAATGTCTTACCTAGGCCGTTGAGGTCTATGTATGTCTTTAAGGAATTTTCAGATTTCCTCTGGGAGGATGAATGACCCAGTTGAGGTTTAGAGAGGTGGGACCTAGAATGGAGGAAGATGAAAATAGAAGAAAGCAATGGGCCCCCAGTGAAGTGGCTGCAGAACAGGCTCCTGGGAGAGAAACCACCATGAGAAGCCTCCCTGTGATGGACACTAGGAAGGGAATGCCTGCTTCCCAGTTTGATGTGGCCTCCTGTGGGGCAGTGCCCCTCTTTGATATGCTCCCCACTCCCAAGGTCCCTAAGTGAAGGGCAATACGTAGCACAGATAAGTGCAAGCCCTGGAAAATGCTACCTTCATGAATGTAATGCAGGTTGGACCCATATTTGCAGTGCAAAGCATAAAAAAGAAGGCTGAAGCCCCAGAGACAGTGGGGTCCTGGAAGCCACAGGTAGTCAAAGGAGATCCTGGAGTAAGAGTTGGGAGCAGGAGTTGGCAGGAAGCAACTGCATCTGTAAGCATTTGCCTCCCAACCAAGGAGTCCCCAGATACATTAGAGAAAGAGGTGAATGTCTTTATTCAAAGCAGGATAGAGCTCCAGATAAATTTATTTCAATATTTAGGTAAAAGGTGAGCCAGAAGGCTAAATGGGACATTTAAGGTACGCAATGAGATAGGCACAAAAAATATCTTATGAGAAAATCTCTCAACATGGCTCCTAATTTGTTCAATTGGAATGATCACTACTAGCTTCCTGTCACCACTGACCCAAGAGGCTTCAACCGCCTTTGCTGTATTTCATTGTTCAATATGGATCCAGCCCCACTACAGCCACTAAAGCAACAAGCAAACACTGGGCCAGTCCTACGTACTCCTTAATCAAATATCTCTAGGATTAAGTAGCAAGATCAGTGGGGAATGGGCATGGAGGAGACTAAGAAAATGTACACATTCAATTTTTAAGACTGAAATGCTACCGAGATTTCAAAATTAAAAGTCTTTAAAATCCTAAGGTGTCATGTCACAATCTTCTAATTGGCCTGATACTACACACTGCTGGCATAACAGTTCTGACTTAAGTTTTAATTCCAAATAGCTCTAGAATACCTTAAATCACAACATGGTTCTCTACTTTTTTCCTAAAAATTTAGTGAACTCATAACAAGTTGTTAAGTTAGATGTTTCCTGGTTGTGACCCACAACTTCCTTCCTGGTGGTGACACACATTTAAATCCTTTTTTCCACTGACAAGGTAGGCTTGGCTCACCTGCAAGTGACAGAGCCAATTTTCTCCTCACTATCAAAATTCAATACCCTTGAATGCAGTTTCTGGAGCTGCCTGGTATTCAGATGTTTCCTTTCTCACAATGAAATGAGAAACCTGAGCATCGTTTTCGAAAATACCACTTTTGTTTTGTTCAAGTGGTATGTGCCTCCTCCCACAAGAAGCTTACATGAGCCAGTCAGTTGGAACCCAAGGTGGATGAAGTTTCAGAGTTATGTTCGTTGCTCTTAACAGGCTTCAGAAGTTCCTGCTTGGGATAATTTTGATGGTTATTCCAGCCTATCCCTTTCTAAGCAGCAAGACTTAGAACCCTTCTCCACAGCATTTGCCCAAGCCAATGCCCTTCCAGAAAGTAAGTCCAAATGGTATCTTCAAAATCAGATATTAATGCCCCATGCATTCCAACAAGACAGCCCATCTGCAATTAGTTTTGTTTCTACTCCCTCCATAAGCAAAGCTTTTTCAGAATGCATATCATCGTGTTTAGCCAGGAAGCCAGATGCTTAAATCAGTATTTCCTGTTCCAAGGGCCACTTGTCCACCACCAGTAAGGCTGGAGGATTTTAACAGATAATGACATTGCTGTCCTCAACCATCCTTTGTGGAAGGATGTCTTCTTTTCAAAGAAACAATTCTGAAACATTTGTAGCATGTACATTTTAAATGAGAAAGGTTAACGCAGTTAACCAGATTAAACACACTCAAAATTTTGAGACCAGAGAGTTGAAATGAGTTGATGATTTCATATTTTAAGTAAATGTAGGTGTCAGATTTTTTTTTATTATTACTAAGGAATGGATGTGAGGAGAAGTTTCTAGGTGGCACAGCTGAAGGGTGTGTCTGTCAAGGAGTATCCTAATTTAGCCATGTTGAGTAACATGGCATGTTGTTTCTTCTTTCTAGTTAGAAAAGCAAGGACGATATGCAAAGCTATAGGTCTGGGAGGATCATCTGGGATTAAATGTTGAGAACAATGCAATAGAAATATGGTAGCTATCAGAAACAAAGTCCTGTAGTTGCAAAAAGATAATCTTTCTCTTAGAAAGTGAGGGAAGAAGTTGCATAGGGAAATGATGGAAGCTATAAAGACTAAAACTTGTTCCCATTCTGCAGTAATTTTTTATTCATGTCCTAATTAGTCCTTTACTATTAGAGAAAAACATTTCCAGAAAAGTAAGTCATAAATCTACTAGACAAGAGCTTGACAAACTCTTTTGTAAAGGATCAGATAGTAAATTTTTAAGCTTTGTTGTAATCTGTACTAACTGCTCAACTCTACCATTGTAGAGGGAAAGAACCACAGACAGTGAATGAAGTTGGCTGTGTTCCATTAAAACTTTATTTACAAAGGCAGAAAAAAAGCTGCATTTGTCCAACAGGTGTTTTTTTGTTGACCTCTGCCTTAGACTATAAGTTTTATGAAGGAGAGAGCCTGTATTCCCAAGGCCTAGGACAAACATACCTAATTTTATTGTGCTTCACTTTACTGCACTTTGCAGATATTCTGTTTTTTTACAAATTGAAGGTTTGTGGTAACACGAGTCAAGCAAGTCTACCGGCGCCATTTTTCCTACAGCATATGCTCACTTCCTGTCTCTATGTCACATTTTTGTAATTCTCACAATATCTCAAACTTTTAAATGATTATTAAATTTGGTATGGTGATCTGTGATCAGTGATCTTTGATGTTACTACTGTAATTGTTTCAGGGTGCCATGAACTGTGTCCATATGCAATGGCAAACAAACTATATATGTTGTGTGTGTTCTGACTGCTCCACCATCCAGCTGTTCTACCATCTCTTTCCCTCTCCTTGGGCCTCCCTATTCACTGAGACACAACAATATTGAAATTAGGCAAATCAATAATCCTATAATGGCCTTTAAGTGTTAAAGTAAAAGGAAGAGTTACCCATCTTCCACTTTAAGTCAAAAGCTAAAAATGATCAAGCTTAGTGAGGAAAGTATGTTGAAATCCAAGAGAGGCCAAAAGCTGGGTCTCTTGTGCCACAAGGTTAACTAAGTTGTGAATGTAAGGAAAAAATTCTTGAAGAAAATTAAAAGTGCTATACCAGTGAACACAAGAATGATAAGAAGCAAAACAGCCTTACTGCTGATCTGGAGAATATTTTAGTGATATGGATAGAAGATCAAGCCAGCCACGTTTCCTTAATGGCCAAAGCCTAATCCAAAGCAGTATTCAAACTCTCTTTATTTCTATTAAGGATGAGGGAGATGGGAAAGCTACAGAAGAGTTTAAAGCTGACAGAGGTTGGTTCATAAAGTTTAAGGAAAGAGGCCATCTCTATAACATAAAAGTACAAGATGGAGCAGCAAGTGCTGATGGAGAAGCTGCAGCATGTTATCCAAAAGATGTAGCTAAGATAATTAATGAAGACGGCTGCATTAGACAACAGATTTTCAAAGCAGATGAAACAGCCTTCTATCAGAAGTTGCCATCTAGGACTTTCATAGCTTAAGAGGAGAATTTAATGCCTGGCTTCGAAGTTTCAGAAGACAGGCTAGCTCTCTTGTTAGGGCCTAATGCAACTGGTGATTTTAAGTTGAAGCAAATGCTCATTTACCATTCCTAAAATCATAAGGCACTTAAGAAATATGCTAAACAGGCTCACCTGTGCTCTATAAATGGAACAACAAAGCCTCTATGATAGCACATTGGTTTACAGCATGGTTTACTGAATATTTTAAGCCCACTGTTGGGAACTACTGGTCAGAAAAAGGAAGATTCTTTTCAAAATAGTACTGCTCATTGACAATGCAGCTAGTCACCCAGGAGCTCTGGTGAAGATGTAGAAGGATTTTAATGTGGTTTCCATGCCTACTAACATAACTTCCATTCTGCAGGCCATGGATCAAAAAGTAATTTCAATTTTCAAGTCTTATTATTGAAGAAACACATTTTGTAGGGTTCCTTGGGGTGGTTGTTGCAATTTCTTAAAATAAGACAATAATAAAGTTTAAATAGGTCCCAAAGACAATGTTCACCTGATCCATCTGAGCAAAATAAATTAAAAACTTCTGGAAAGGACTCACCATTCTAGGTACTACTAAGAACATTTGTGATTCAGGAGAAGCAGTCAAAATATCAACATTCACAGGAGTTTGAAAAAGTTTATTTCAGTCCTCATGGATGACTTGGAGGGGTTCAAGACCAAGACTTCAGTGGAAAAAATAACTGCATGCAAATGGTGTGGAAATTGCAAGAGAACTAGAATTAGAAGTGGAGCCTGAAGATGTGACTGAATTGCTGCAATCTCATGATAAAACTTAAATAGATGAGGAGATGCTTCTTATGGATGAGAAAACAAAGTGGTTTCTTGAGATGGGATCTACTCCTGGTGAAGATCCTGTGAAGATTGTTGAAATGAAAGCAAAGGATTTAAAATATTATGTAAACTTAGTAGATAAAGCAGCAGCATGGTTTAAGAGGATTGACTCTAATTTTGAAAGAAATTCTACTGTAGGTTAAATGCTATCAAACAGCATTGCATGCTACAGAGAAATCTTTTATGAAAGGAAGAGTCAATTGATGCAGCACATTTTATTGTTCTCTTATTTTAAGAAATTGTGACAGTCACCCAAACTCCAGCTAACACCACCCTGATTAGTCAGAAGCCATCAACACTAAGGCAAGACCCTCCATAAGCAAAACGATTACAACTTGCTGAAGGATAAGATGATCATTAGCATTTTTTAACAATAAAGTACTTTAAATTAAGGAATGTACATTGATTTTTTAGACATAATGGTATTGCACACTTAACAGACTACAATACAGAGTAAACATAACTTTTATATGTATGGGAAGCCAAAAAACTTGTGTGACTTAATGGCAATATTCATTTTATTTCTGTGGTCTAAAACTGAACCTACAATATTTCTGAGGTATGCCTGTACATTGTAGACACTCAGTAAATATTTGTGAACGACATCAAAATGTTGGAATATGACCCTGGCTCTATCATTGTGTGATGTTGACCATTTAATCTTTTACAGCCTCAACTTTTGAAAATATAAAATGGAAAAAGCAATGTTTATGCTACCTGTTTTAAGGAATATCTCATAATAACATAAGACAACAAAAAAACACCACATTTACTGAGCTGTTAATAAGTACCATATTAAGCTAAGTGCTTTATGTCCTACTCTTCATTTAATCCTCACAAACCTACATTATTTCCCTTTTGTCAGATAAGGAAACCAAGCACCTAGAGAGCTTAAATAGCTTAGGTCCCATGGTAAAAGACAGAAGCAAGATTCAAACTCCAGAGCCTGCTTAGTTAATCACTACATATGGCTTAATTTTCCCCAAGCTTGGAAATTGAAATGAGCTGCTGCAAAATTTGTTTGTCTTTTATAAATCATGGGATAACTTGTTCTATATGACCAACAACTTCTTTGTACTTAGCTGTCCAATCCTCTGAACCTTCAGCCACCATCATTGGGGAACAGGAAGACATGGATGATAAATCACATAAGGTCTTTTGGGTAGTGGGTAATTGCTGGTGAGCTAATGTAAAGAAGGGGAAATACTTATTAGAAAAGTACTAGATTGTTCCTAGAACTAAGGAAGAGTTAAATAATGCCTTGGGATGAAAGCAGACCTGTGCAACAGGACATTCACAATGAAACAATAGCTCCAAAGCATCTTCCTCTAAGTAGCTCAACTAATACTTTAAATTTCTTGGAAAGAGAATACCTTTTCTCCTCTTGCAGCAGGCATTTCTGCCTTTATATTTAAAATCTATGGCCATGGAACAAAACTAGTGGCAATTGTACAATCACAGATGAAATTAAACCATAAAGCAGGTAGCCACTTCAGTGGATCTACATAAGTGGAATGCTTCATTTCCAAGCCATGTTCTGTCTCCAACTGACTCTACCTGACACACATTGCATTTTGTGTTTATGACATTTATGACATTTTGGCTTTAAAATAAGAAAATTCGATATTTAGTGTTTCTTCTAATCCTCTATTACAGCCCTCTAAACACACAAATAAGGGCACTGTTAAAAGTTCCAAATGCCTCTACTACCCTCCTACATTCAACTCCATACCCCTTCTACCTATTTCCCTAATACACTGTCTTTTTTTATTTAACCTTTAAGTTAAGGGGTGTGTGTGCAAGTTTCTTATCTAGGTAAACTTGCCCCATAGAGGTTTGTTGTATAGATTATGTCATCACCAAGGTATTAAGCCTAGTAGCCATTAGTTATTTTTCCTAATCCTCTCCTTCCTTCCACCTTCCACCCTCCAATAGGCCCCAGTGTGTGTTGTTCCCCTCTATGTGTCCATGTGTTCTCATCATTTAGCTCCCACTTAAAATGAGAACATGTGGTATTTGGTTTTCTGCTCCTGTGTTTGGTGAGGATAATGGCCTCCAGCTCCAACCATGTCCCTGCAAAGGACATGATCTCATTCTTTTTCATGTCTGCATAATATTCCATTGTGTATATGTACATTTTCTTTATCCAGTCTACCACTGATGGGCATTTAGGTTGATTCCATGTCTTTTCTATTGGAAATAGAATACACTGTCTTTGCCACCCATCTTTAATCTTTTGATCGCGTGACCTATTTATGCTCATAATCTTTGATCAGCCCTGCCCACTCCACCTATAATTGCACATAAATATGTTGATAGCAAAATTATCACGCTTGTTTGTAGGTTAGCCATAGTAATAAAATTCATTCTCATGACTCCAATTTTGTATGTATCTGTTTTACAATTTCCATGACTAAAAATATAGCTTTAGTGTCATGACTCAATTTTAATGCAAAATGGATAATTATTCTTATTAGTTTTTGTTTTATAAATATATTCTTAATATTATTTCCACAATAATTTTTAGGATGTGAGCACTAATTTCTGGTCAGCACAATAACAGAATGCCTGATAAACTTTACCTTCTTGGTTACAGTGTGCTTTCTGTTCTCATCACATTGGGAGTCAGAAACTTTGGGAAAGTGTTTGGATGTATATGAACTATGGAAGATTGGAAATGTGAGACTCCACTTTTCTGTTTTCCTTAATTTGTGGTTGCATTTCTGCCCCTCTGTACTTCTACTCCTCAGCCCAGAACAACCTGTTTCTTTCCACAAGCCAAGAACTTCCACATTATACCAGAAGACGGGGCCCAGAATCCAGAGAGATCATAGAGCTTTCTGCCACAGAATATCTGGAAGGAGTTTGAAAGAGTCTGGGGCATTTTAATCCATAGTGTTCTGTACAGTTCAGTTTTTGTGGGTATTTTCTTCTTCAGATCTTTAAGTTATTGTGCCAAAAATAAAAACATTCCTAGCTAGTAATAATCACTTCAATTTATTATCCTTAACTAATTTCCAGGTACTTTGTTGAGAACTTGAAAAGCACTATTTACTGAATTCTTACTAAATTCCAAAATCCATGTTATAGATGAAGACATCAAGACTTACAGAGGTTAAGCAGATAGATCGGCCACACAGCTGTGAAGAGGAAGCCGTAGAATTTGGATCCAGGTGTCCTGATTCCAATTTCTGAGCTCTAAATCCCTTACAGTTTTTTCATTCTTACCTTGCGACTTGCTTTGACCATTATGCTACTGTTATTATATAATCACATTATATAATTATAAAAACATATTATAATCTACTATTATAAAATGTTATTTTGTTAAATGACTTGTAATAGTTTTCTATCTTTTCTGTCATTAAATTATTATGATTGATTCTATAGCCTCCAGACAGAAATCATATCTCTAATTTCATCATGGAAATTAATAAATCGTAAAATTCATTCATTCATTCAATTTGTATATTTTGCTTATTATGTGGGAGACCCTTTGCTAGGCTCTATGATAGAGCTAGAAATTAGTAGTCCCTTGTTCATGGAGTTTGGAGAGCAAGACACTAGAAAAAAGAGATGAGACAATGAGAGAGAAAGAAAAAGAAAATGAGAAAAAGAATTGGCAAAAAATTACAAATATTAACTACACAATAGGTCAATAGGTAAAATTTAATCAAAATTTACACCTTTTCAAGATTTATTCTAGTCTATACAACTATTTACAACTTTTCAAGATTTATTCTAGTCTATAAATTTTATTCTGTAAGTATGGAAATATCTGACATTCCTATGATTAAGGCCTGTCTGAGCCACTGGATTCTGCAGAGAAATTTAGGGTTCTTTTCTATAAAATATCATAGCACATTCTCTGTAACTAATTCATTACTATTAGCCAACTACGAACTGCCTCCATTGTTATAAATTTTTGGAAATCGTGATGAATAAAGGAATGGAATTGATTTATAGACAAAGAAAATGTATAGATCATTAAGTACTGAAGCAAATGAATTTTGTCTTCAAGACTGGGCTTACATGCGGGAAATCGCAGTAATGTTAATCTAAGAAGAAATATCACCTCCTTATCCTCAGAAATATAGACTAGTTTAATACTAACAGAGGGTCAAATTTAATTAACAGCAAACACCACAGTAAAATTTTCAGAATTTTACTTTTTTCTTTTATTGTTTTTCATTTTCCAACAATAACAGTACAATACAATTCTGCTAACAGAATCTAGAACAGAAGTCAGTCCCCTGTATTTTAACCTACGTGATGGAGGAGCAAAATGAGTAAGAAAATAAGAAAATTTTACTTTTTCTCTTAGACTTATTATTGACCAAAATAATCATACAAAATGACCAAGACTAAGTCTACTTGAATTTTTAAGCTTTCTCTCAGAGTTAATTTTAGTTAAAATGATTTTTGAGGTTCCAAATGGGGACTTTTTCCCTCTTGTTTACTTGATTTTTGTTTTGTTTTCTTAAAATTTATTTTCCCTTTGCACATTCCACTTATGCCAGGTTTGGGAGGGGAAAAGCTTTGATAATTCTGCAAGATGGTTGATTGCTGTGTTTTGGTTGATTAGGATGAGGTTCCAATAAAGCATCAAAACGTATTGGCGTGCCTCTCAGTTAAACCTTCAAATCCTTGGAGGTATTTCTCATCACTAAAACAACAGACCATAAAGTTTGCTTTATGCAAGTAGATTTATTCCTTTATTTGTACTCACACACAACCATAAAGGTTTATCTTCTGATCAGAGAAAGAAGATAAACAAAGCGACAAAGGTCTTCACAAAAGTAACAGAGCCAAATGAACAAGTTCTTTGTTCTTTCCAGGTTAACAAGAAATAGGAAGAAGGCAAAAAGTAGAACTAGAACAGAATTCAGGCTCCATGCTTTTTTATGTTACTTTGATTCATGTTAAGCAAACTTCAGTGTGTGTTTAAAATCTTGGGGATTTATATTATTAACCAAACAAGAATTTTTACAATCAGGGAACATTTGTCTGGCTTCCCCCTCGCCTCCTCCCTCCCCACCCATCCCCCCAACCAGCACACACAATTTTTGTAGAATATTTTGTTGGCTATAATTAAACTATGTGTGTTAATTAGGATTAGATTTTAAATGCACTGCTTGGGAAGTTGAAAAATACAGGATCTGAATGAGCCCAAATTGAGATGACACTTGAATTTTCGCAGATGTTTCCATAATCCTAATTTCAAATTGATTGTACTTCCTGAACAGTGAGAAGCCATTTTCAGTTATTTATTCAGACGTGTGCACTAGTTTTCCCTCTGTCAGTGGGTAAAAAATATCTAGTACTTTCGTTAACTCCTTCAAATAAACTGATTTTTTGAGGCAGGTTTTATTGGGAAGGGTGCCAAATTAGTCCCACCTGCTCCCAGGGTCACCCGAGAGCCCATATATAGGCCCAAGAAAAAATCTGGACACCAGCAATTTCTCTTTTGCCTCCCACTCATGATGGGTTCAGCTGGCCTTTGACTATCATTGCTCAACAGCCCAGGGAAAAAGCAAAGAGAGGGTAAAAGAACTTCCCAAATTGTTGGCCAGCAACAGCCCATAACACGTGGCACTTGATTCAGCTGCAAAGATGTGCAGCATGCTATGCTACGTAAGCCCAGGATTTGGACCCCACAGCAGAGCCACCTGTAAAACCCATTCCCAAATAAATGGCCCGTAAAAAAGATAAGCCCCCGCCAAATATGAGCGTGTCAGTACCAAGCAGCATTTCAGCTAATGCTGGAAGTCCAACACCAGACTTTGTGCCTGAAAAAAAGGGTGGTCTTCTCTTATGTGTATGTAGGTTTGTTGCAATTTCTCTCTACGTTTTATTTTATGCTCAACCCAGAATCCAGAGAGTCTTCAGAAATTCTGTCTTGGAAGCAACCCCATTCCCCTGACAAGTCTCCTATTTGATTGTAATTCCTTGCAGCTTTCCTGTTAGGCGGGGGCCTCTGCTGAATTAGCGGCATCGTGCCTTCTTCCACCTGTAACGATTTCCCACTCAACTGTAAGACAATGGCCATGATTGATCTAATGAGGGACTGGAAAAGCCAGCTGATTGCTATAAATAGTTGAAAGCAAAAACTTGTGCTTGGCTTCCCAAAGAATTTCTCATCAACTCTTGTACCCTAACCTAAATAGGTAAGCAGCCGCATGGAGAATTAGGTGAAACATTTAAGCTTTTTCTTGGTGGGAGTTCGTATAGAGGGCAAAGCAGAATTCAGGGAGCAAGAGATAATTGATGGAATATTCATGTCTTAAAGTAACAATCACACGTAATTCTACATGTCCCATGAAGGCAGAATTCCCTTTTTTAACAGAAAGCAGTTTGGATATTTTACGGCTGTTTTTAAAAATATTTGAAGTTCAGTGGAAATAGCTTTTGTGCATTCATTTGTCAAAGAAAATCGCAAGCTACAATGGTACATAAAAGCAATTCACATAATGTCACAGAAAATCATACAATTTTTTTCCTCATTGCATCTTTTAGCATATAATTCATACAATATAAACATATAATTCATAATTTATATGTTTCTTAACCCTGGCTGCACATTAGAATCACCTGATGATGACCAAACTCCTGATCAATTACATCAAAGTATCTGGGCTTAGAATTCAGGAATCAAGAGTTTTAAGCTCCACAGGTGATTCCAATGGGCAGTCAAGATTGAGAATCAGTTATTGTATTAGGAGGTCTCCAATAATAAGACGGAGAATTCTTTCTCCAGTCCTATATGCGGAAGGAAAAGACGCAAGTAAAATGGTCCCTGACTCCCTTGCCCGGTGATTTATCTGAGGATTAACATTTCATCTCAGGTATGCCTGCACTTGCTCCCGATCTCACCCAGAGCCTCCTCCTCTGGGAATCATAGCGACCTCTTGGATTTTGCAGCGTAGTTAAGTAACTTGCTAGGGCCACCTGCTGTAAAGCGGAAAAACTAGATATCAAATCAAACCAGTGTTGGCTCCAGTTCATGATTTTTACCATTACAAAGGCAAAGATTAAATACTGTGTACCCATGAGCCAAACCCAGCCCAAGACTTGTTTTGTTTGGCTCGCACAGAAGTATAAAAATATTTAAATTTGCGTGTCCATATGCTGGGTGTGGGATCTCCAGTTTACCTAAATGCCAATCATTCCCTGTTGTCTTGACATTGAGCACATTTCAATCATTTACATTAATAATAGCTTGGCTTCTGTAGACATTTGAATTCACATCCCTGTGCTAAGGCAAGAAAGCCCCTTATAAGTATGGGGAAGTCACAAAAGTGTAAATTCTGTCACATATTTATATCCATTACACATTAATAAAGACTAAAATTGACCCTGCCTACTCATCTGATGGTAACACTTCTCCTATGAGGAAAGTTAAGAAGGAAAGTTCAGATCTAAGGGTGGGAGAAACAATTATATGTGAAGATGTGAGTTCCTAAACACAAGTTATTTTTTACACTTTTATCTTATTTTATAATTTCAACTTTTATTTTAGATTCAGGTGGTACATATGCAAGTTTGTTACATGGTTATATTGTATGATGCTGAGGTTGGGGGTACAACTGGTTCCTGTTATCCAGGTAGTGAGCATAGTACCCAATAGGAAATTTTTTCAGCCCTTGACCCCTTCCCTCATTCCCCACTCTATTAGTTCCTTGTGTCTATTGTTATTATCTCCATGCATGTGCAGTGTTTGGCTCCCACTTATAAGTGAGAACATGCAGTATTTTCTTTCCTGATCCTGCATTAATTCACTTGGGATAATGCAAAGGACATGGTTTCATTCTTTATGGCTGCATAATATTCCATGTATATATGTACTACTTTCTCTTTATCCGATTCACCATTGACGGGCACCTAGGTTGATTCCATGTCTTTGCTGTTATCAATAGTGCTGCAATGAGCATATGAGTGCAGGTGTCTTTTGTAGAATTATTAATTTTCTTGTGGATATATCTCCAGTAATGGCATTGATGGGTTGAATGATAGTTCTAAGTTCTTTGAGAAATCTCCAAATGATAGTTCTAAGTTCTTTGAGAAATCTCCAAATTGCTTTCCATGGTGGCTGAACTAATTTACATTCCCACCAGCAGTGTATAAGCATTCTCTTTTCTCTGCAGCCTCACCAGCATCTGGTTTTGGGTTTTGGGGTTTTTTTGTTTTGTTTTTTGTTTTGTAATAGCCATTCTGACTGGAGTGAGATGATTTCTTATTGTGGTTTGATTTGCATTTCTTTGATTAGTGATGCTGAGCATTTTTTCACATGTTTATTAGTTGCTTGTATGTCTTCTTTTGAGAAGTGTCTGTTCATGTCTTTTTCCCACTTTTTCATGGAGTTGCTTGGTTTTTGCTTGTTAAAATATTTAAGTTCCTTATAGATTCTGGATATTAGGGCTTTGTCAGATGCATAGTTTGCAAATATTTTCTCCCATTCTGTAGAACGGAAGAAGGACGAGTCATTCCCACATTCTTGTCTGTTTATTCTGCTGATAGTTTCTTTTGTTGTGCAGAAGCTCTTTAGTTTAATTAGATTCCACTTGTCAATTTTTCTTTTTATTGCAATTGCTTTTGAGGACTTAGTCATAAATTATTTCCCAAAGCTGATGTCCAGAATTGTGTTTCTAGGTTTTCTCATAAGACTTTTATAGGTTTTTCTGGTTTTGTTTTTTGTTTGTTTTTGATTTTGCTTTTGTTTTTGTTTGAGACAGCTTCTCCCTGTGTCGCCCAGGCTAGAGTGTAGTGGCATAATCATTGTTCACTGCAGCCTCTACCTTCCAGGCTCCAGTCATCCTCCCACCTCAGACTCCCAAGTAGCTGGGGCTACAGGCACATGCCACCACACTAGGCTGTTTTTTGTTTGTTTGTTTGTTTGGTAGAGACAGGATTTCACTGTGTTACCCAGGCTAGTCTCAAACTTCTGGGCTCAAGTGATCCTCCTGCTTCAGCCTCCCAGAGTGCTGGGATTACAGCATGAGCCACTGCACCCCACTGTATTCTTATAGTTTGAGGTCTTATATTTAAATCTTTAATTCATTTTGAGTTAATTTTTGTATATGGTGAAAGGTAGGAATTCAGTTTCATCCTTCTGCATATGGTTAGCCAGCTATCCCGGGATCATTTATTGAATAGGGTGTACTTTCTCCATTTCTTATTTTTCTCTACTTTGTCAAAGATCAGATGGCTAGAGGTGTACAGCCTCATTTCTAGATTCTCTATTCCACTGAACACAATTTATAACAAGCATATTCATTTGAAACTGATGCTTTTTACTAATTTCATTCATTCACTCATTTATTCATTCATTCATTTAGTACTTACCTGCTAGATAGAAGGCACTTTAAAGACAAGAGAGAATTCCAAAGGATAAAAATTAACCTGTGAGTTCCATTAAGTGCCAAGCATTTTGGTAGGCTTTTTGTAGACTTTTTTTTCAGTTAATACTTAAGACATTCAACAACCTACCTACAAGTATGAATATTTTACTAATACAGTAAACTGTGAGTAAAAGGAGTATAAGGGACATTCTCATTCATTCGTTTAATAAATATGAATGAGCAACCACCACATGCCAAGTGCTTTTCTAGTGTTGATGACCCAGGAGTTTAAACAAGAGTGACAAGTTACCCACCCTCCATCAGCGATGTGTTGGAGCCATTTTGCTGATTATTGAAATTTCAGAAATTTTGCAAGCCTGTTGCGAAATCACTGGCAACTTGAAATTTGTCATGTCAAGAGTATTTACGTCATGGAAATCAGCAGAAAGTATAAATTAGGGCTTTGTTTTTTGTTGTTGTTGTTGTTTTGGAGAGTCAATTTACAGCACACCACTATTTGTATGTGTACTGATAATTTGTCTAAGTTAACTTATGAAGTCTTAGAATTCTAATTCATGTCTGTCTGTCTCTGAAACCAGAGTCATGTCTACTCTGTCACTGAATAAGAAAGTCTTTACCCTCAAGAAGTCTATAATATAGGCAGAGAGAAATACATCAACACATAAGAGGATGGATTCTAATATAGAGACCTGGATTTAATTCCACCTGCTACTCGCCATCCATATGACCTTGAGGATGTAACTTAACATCTCTTTGCCTCAGTTCCGCCTCTGTAAAGTGGAAGGATAATAAGACTTACCTTATTGGATTGTTGTGAAGATAATTAATCAATACTATGTAACAGTTTTAAAACGGTATCTGGCACTTAGTAATGACTATGTACGTGTTAGTTATTATTATTAAAAAGAATAAGCAAAGAAAATGAATGTGTGTGTCTACAAACGTCTGTACCATAGAGTAGATATTTTGAGTGTATATATTAGACAATTATGCCTCTGATTCCCTTCCATTTTGCCGAATTGTATAAATGCTCTTGCAATTGTTCCAAGGTTGTAGGAACCAACTGATTTAACAGTAACTATTTTCATCATAGTGGAAGAAGAAAATTGCTGGAGATTCATTTGAATTCAAAAGAAGATTATTCAGTCTATATCACTATATCCAATCATAGGCTCACCAAAATTCTCAAAGATTTAAAGTAATAGAGAAGCTTGCGCCCTCACTGTGTCTACTGGACTGCCTATACAAATCAGTGCACAGCCAAGTTATATTCCATTTTTCTGTGATTCTTTAAAAGCAGGTAGCTTGAGTGTTTAAAAATGTTTAAAAGCATGTAATCAAGATTAGTTGGGTTTTTTTCCTTTTTTGGTTATTTGTATTGATTGATTACACCAGCACCTTTTTTAAAGGTGTTAAATTCCCAGTGAAATATATAAGCATTGTTATTTGAAGCTACTCATCTGATGGGAACAATTCTGATATAATGAAAGTTAAGAAGGGGAGAGAGGATCCAAGGATAGGAGAGACATTTAATCATCTATCAAGAGGTGTGTCCCTGAACACAACTTATAACAAGAATGATTATGCTTCAAAGAAAATTAAACAAGAAATGAACTTTTACTTTAAAAATTAGATACAGTTATTGTCAGTTAGTAAGAATAACTAAGATTTGAGCAATCTATCTAGAAGTGGCCATGCAATTTGTAAGCTGAAGGTTGAAAGTTTCCTGATTGTTTATTAAAGTTATTCAAAGATCTACAAAGAACAGTAAAAATGGAAATTTGGACTGTTCCAGAATTTAAGTCCATAAAGGGCAAGTGTGTCATATTTAGTGTTGCTTATTTTGTCAGATATCAGATTAAGCAGTCATTAGTTCAATCAAATTACTTAATACTATTACTTCATGTAAAATGTTCCATAACTTTTCTGTACATATCAAAGTGTATAATTTATACCAAAATCATTACTTGCCAATTGCCAATATTTGGGGAGCTTAGTAGGAAATGCCGTCTAGTCTAGCCAGCTAGAATGAAATTTCTTTTCTTCCTTCTGTAGGGATTCCTCTTCCTCAGCCACTGTCATAAACTTTGTCAAACTTTTAGACTAAATAGATATACAATATATACTAATGGTCTGGAATAAATTACTCTGAATGTTGTAATATTCAAATGCCCAACTGCTCTGAAACTTACTGCCTAGACACATAATGATAAGTTTCAACATAATGTTGAAAAGATGAAAGAAAAGTTAGCAAAATGATGTACAAAAGAAAATTAAACTAAAAGTTGAAGAAAGCAACAGAGAATAAGGTAAATTCTTGAAATAATGAAAAAGCTTGATGGTAACTTTCAAAGAAAGCTGGCAGTCACTGTTTGGGGGCGCTCACTCTGTCTCTCTCTCTTCCCATTTTCTTACTTTCTACCATTTGAAATTTTGAGGATTTTTGAGGATTGACATTTTGAGGATTTGTTTTACTTATTTTTTAACCTTATGAACAGCCTCATGACAAACAAAATTTTGTGTGGTTCCTACCTTCTCCAGAAACATCATCTAAATTTAAGTCAATGAACAGTATAGAATGTCTAGACTCTGTGCAATGTTGTAAGGGTCTGGGTCTCCAGAAGATTCTGACAGGTAGACACATACACCATATACTGAGAAATAGTTCACATCAATGAATTAGATAAAGGGCATTGAGAATAACCCAATTAAAAACTCAATAACAGCTTTTATTACATTTTTATATTCTTTTTTTCTGGTGATAATTAATTGTAAAAAAGTTGGAAAATTCAGAAAAGCCCTCCAAAGACAAGAAAAGTCCCCTAGAGAAAATCATTATTACCACCATTTTTATAGATAGACTGCTAGCCTCAAAGACAAATAAAAAAGAGTAAGTGTTAGAACTGTTAAAGGTAGGACTGAAAAGTTTTGACACATGATTAAATGTAGTGAAAGGAAAGTCATGAAGAATAACCATAATTTTCAAAACTAAACAACTTGGTACACAGTGCTACAGTAAACTAGATAAGGAGCATGAGACAAACAGTTGACTTAGTGGGAAAACACAGATCCTAATTTAAATATCCAAGCTACAGGTCAACAGCAATAAAGCCACATGGAAATTCTATATATGGATGGTTAGGCCAAGGAGAAACTACCAGTGATACTCTTAAGATATCCATATTTAAGTTGGGTACTTAAGTTTATTTTTTTCTAGTTTTTTATTTTGTTAAAATACACATAAAATGTAACATCTTAACCATTATTAACTGTACAACTCAATACTATAGAATTTTTTCATAATGTGTAACCATTACCACTATCCATCTCAATAATTATTTTCATCTCATATAACTGAAACTGTATACCCATTAAACAATAACTCCTCATTTCCCCTGCCACTTCCTCTGGCAACCTCCATTCTACTGTCTGTCTCTATAATTCTGACTACTGTAAGCACTTTACGTAAGTGGAATCATACACTATTTGTCTTTATGTGCCTGGCTTATTTCACTTAACATAGTGTCATTGAGGTTCATCCTTTTTGTAGGATATGTCATAATTTCCCTCCTTTTTAAGGCTAAATAATACTCCATTCTATTTCTATACTACATTTTGCTAATTTATTCATCCATCAATGAACAATTTGTTGCTTCCACATTTTAGCTATTGCAAATAATGCTGCTATGAGCAAGGATGTACAAATATCTCTTCAGGACTCTGTTTTCATTTCTTTGGGGTATATATTCAGAAGTGGAATTGCTGGATCATATGGTAATTACATATTTAATTGAGGATCCATCATACTCTTTCACACAGAGGGTATACCATTTTACCTCCCAACCAACAGTACACAAGAGTTCTAATTTCTCCACATCCTCACCAACACTTGTGTGTGTGTGTGTGTCTGTGTTTTAGTATAGCCATTCTAATGGGTGTGAGAGGTGGTATCTTTTGGTTTTGATATGCATTTCCCTAAGGATTAGTGACATCGTATTCTTGTGCCTCTTGGCTATTTGTATATCTTCTTTGGAGGAATTTCTATTAAAGTCTGCCCAGATCTGAATCAGGTGGTTTGGGGTTTCTTGTTGCTCGGTTTTAAGAGTTCTGTATATATTCAGAAAATTCATTCATTATCAGGTATACGATTTGCAAATATGTTCTCCCATTCTGCAGATTGTCTTTTCACTCTACTTATATTGTATTTGATGCACAAATTTTTTAACTTTATTTTTTAAAAATAATTTTAAACTATGTATCACAAGTTCTGAGTTGTGATGAGAGTTAACGAAACAGACTATATTTGGATCCTGAGCCTCAGCTTATGAGAATGTGTTAAATGTATGTATATTTTTTATAAAGCACACCTTCCAGGATCTTTAATATAGCTAAAGTCAAAGAGATAGGCACTTAAAGTCAAGAAATTGATTCACAAAACTCTTCCATCAATGTTCACCAATAACTTCTAATCTCAAATACTTACAAAAATGACAATTTATTAAAACTCCTGTGTCACAAACTTTGTTCCATTCTAAAAATGAGACAACAATGTCACCAAGAGTTCAATTGTTAATAACAATAAAAATAAGCCACATAGTTAGGACTGAGAATGAGAAGCTTGGAGCCTTGACCACCCAGACATTGCTCACTGGGCCACTGTGGTTGCTACCAGTCCGAACACAAGTGACAGACCCATCTTTTCCTTCCCTATTTTTACAGACACTTAAGGGTCTTCCCTCGGTAGACTTAGCCCACTCAGATCATGAGCAAATAAGTAAGTAGTAGATACTATTGGTTATCTACCCAATTTTTATTTCCCCTTTATTTTTTGCTAGAAAATTCCCTATTCTGTTCACGCTGGTCATGATCCTAGACCTGGACAATTACTTTGATTATTCTAAGACAACAATGAGACTTCCTTTCCCCTTTCCTAGCTGTTAGTCTAGGAACATGTGGCCAATGAGATATAAGAGAAATGCTGATTGCGGGTTCCAGAAGATTTGCCTCTTTAATGAAAGAGCAAGCAATGGGAGTAGAAAGCCCTTTTGCCTCCCCCGTACCCCTACCTTCCATGATATATTATGAGCTTCCGCAGCCATTTCTAATCATATAAAAACATGAAAAACATGCTTAGGATAGCAGTATAACAAAAATTGGAAACTCATGGATCTTTCATGACATCTCTGGAGTGCTATATCAATACTGCACTCCTTACTTCAAAAGTGTCTGTTATATTTAATCATTAATTGACTCATAACTTGCAGTTAAAAGCAATCCTAATACAGTTTATAAGATGCCTAGCATATACTAGGCACTCTTCATATTTTAATTTTAGAATAAATTATTAGGCCTCAGATGCCCGTTATAAAGCCTAAATTTAACCTAGCTGAAAAGTGTGCTTGGGTTGGATACCTACGTCCCAAAGTCCTGTGTACTTCACTTAACAGTAGCTTTTCTCACTATCCATATCTGGGTGTCAGCTTGGTTTCTTTATTTGCTGCCCAAAGTGGCCTTCTTGACTTATGTGCCTTGACACCCAGGCTGCTGAGTTTCTGCAACATCCTGCTTCCTACCTCCCAACACTGCAGGGCTAGACACTCTTCATCAGACCACTTTTAACTCTTCTGGGCATTGCTGTGAACCACTGGTCACAATATCTTCTTTTCTTGCTTCTTCTAATGCCCTTGAGAACAGCCAGGTTGGAATGGAATGAACAGGTGCCTGGCAGGGTAAGAGAAATGGAAAAGGAACACAGGCCTGAATAATCCATCAGCTGGCTAATCCATCTCTGAATAATTCATAAACTGACTAATCCAACCCTATCATCCTGCCTATACATCTAGGAAAACAAAAAGGAGCCTTCAGGCAGCTAGCCTTTTAGCTTCTTCCAAAGAGCTCCAATATCTCAGGGCAAAGCCAAGAATTTTTCCTGCCACCACCACATCCATGGGGCTTGCAAGGGACAGCCATTCAGTTATATGTTCTCTGTGGTTTTACTAGCACTGCAGTAAAATACTTCAGGCAGAGAAAACAAAACATCAAAGAATTCAAAGGAACTGAGAACATCAGAATCAAGTCTCCAGTGTTCCCAGGAAGATCATCTTAATGGTTAAGTAAAAACGACACGAAAACAGCACAGTTGAAAATCTGATTCTACATCTCTCTTCCTTCTTAAGGACAAAAGTACACACTTCTCCAACCCCTTTATGAACTCACTTGATAAAGATCCCAGATCATTCAAAAGGGAAGTCAGACTTTACCTCTTTATTAACCTGGCATGGGGGAATAGGTAAATACCAGTGTTTTCCATTATCAATATACTACCAATCTTTGACATAGGGAGTCCACGCTTTAGGGGAGAAATTGTTTAATCCACAGAATATTCCCCAGAAGCTATTATGGGACAGCTGTGTTATAGACAGATTTTTTTAAGAAGTTGATGAAATTGGGAATCGGGTAGCCAATGTCTACATCTGAACTTTGGTGAGGAAGATTGCTGTCATTACACGTCACTATTTGTTGAGTTATAAAAATCCAGAAATGTTTTCCCCCCTTGAGTGAAAAGGAAAACTACACTGGAATGAAAGCAGATAACTGCCATTAGTTAGCTTGGTAATGGTAGAGTCTTTCATTCTCCACACCTTCTATCTTTTGCTGAGTTCACCTCTATGCTGGAGCTGTTCTATGCATAGGGACTCATAGGAGAAACAGGCAAAGCCACTGTCCACGAGAGTTCACAGATTCAGCTACAGAATCATTCATCTAGAAACCTTGAATTAATCGTACTGGATACTAACTAACATACTGGATTTGCCTTAGTGTAACTACATAGAATTCCATACACTGTTGCAGCCAGAGGAAACCTTAGGGGCTGCCAGGAAAGGGGAAGAGATAATGGAAAGTTCAAAAGTCTCATCAACCAATTTGTTCCTCTCTGAATAATTAAGAAACTGGCTACTCCAATGTAGCACCTCCAAACTAGAACCTGGCACATAGTAGAGATGCTCAATAACATTCGTTAAATGGATAAATGAACACCTTATACATACAAATATATAAAAAGGCAAATCCATCTCTGAGAGGTGAGAAATCAGATGCAGATATGAAGTGTCCCAATCTCTAGTTCATTACTTTGCCATGCAACATGCCATACAAACGAAAATAAAATCTTTTATGATTGATCTAGGCCTTCTTTGTCATTCACACTTTAAGGTTCCTGCTATCACACTTTGACCTGCTTCATAAATTTTAATAGAGTATTTTTTAAAGTAAATATTTTGTTGACATATAGCACGCAGACAGAAAAGTGCAAAAACTATAAGGGTGCAGCTCAAAGTGTTTTTACCATGTAATCATACCTGGTTAACCACCATCAAGATTAAGAAATAGAGATTACTAGCGCTCAGGTGCCTCCCTATGCCTCTCCTTTTACCCACCGCCATACCGTGCACACACAAAGCGCTATTCAGACTTTTATCACTATAGATTACTTTGGCCTGTTTTTAAAATTTTATTTAGGTAAATTATTAACTGTGTTTCTTGCATCTGGTTTCTTTTACTTCAATTTCTATTTATGAGATTCATTCCTGTGATTGCGTATATTTGTTACTGTAGAGTATTCCATCATATACAAACACACACTTTCACATGCATACATACATCACAATTTATTCATTCATTTTACCACTGAGGGACAATTGAGTTTGCTGCTAAAAATATTCTAGTTCATATCTCTAGGTGCAGACATGTACCCATTTCTCCTTGATGTATATACCAGGAAGTAAAAATGTTGGCCATAAGTGAATGTTAAACTTGATTAAAAATTGCCAGTTTTCCAAAGTGGTTTCACTAATTTACATATCCATTAGCAGTGAATGAGAGTTCTAATTGTCCTTGCGAACATTTTCATTGTCAGTTCTTGTTTTGTTTTGTTTTGTTTTTATCCATTTGGATGGACATGTGGTATCTCACTGTAGTTTTAATTTGCTTTACCTGATGACAAATTAATGTTGAGCACCCGACCATTTAGATAATTTTTTATAAAATATGTTCAAATCTTTTGTCATTTTAAAATTAGGTTATGTTACCTTTTTATTGGATTTATAGGATTTTAAATATATTTGGTTATGATTCTTTGCCATATTTTGCATTGCAATTTTGCATTACCTTTGACCTTCTTAGTATGTCTTCTAATGAGCAGAAATTCTTCATTTAAAGAAGTCCAGTGTATCAGTCTTTTTCTTTATGTTAGTCCTCTTTGCAACCTGTTTAAGAAAGCTTTGTTTACCCTAATTTCATGAACATACTGTCCTACATTATCTTCTAGAACTGTGCCATTCACTAGTGTTGCCAGTAGCCACATGTGACTATTTAAATTTAGGTTAATAAAAATTAAATAAAATTAAAATCTAACTTTTTCAGTTGCACAAGCCATATTTCAAGTGGTCCATAGCAGTATGTGGCCAGTGGCTGCTGACAGTAATGTTTCCACCAGTGCAACTAAATCCATTTGACAACACTGGTTCTAGAAGCTTTCTTGTTTTAACTATCACATTGGTATCCACAATCCACCTGCATCTAATTTTTTGTATGATATGAAGCGGGCCATTAAGTCTTTTGTTGGGCCCATGGATAAGATATTTGACAATCAGGAACATTTGCATCAGACTCCACTGGAACAAAAAATTAATAAACTTTCACTGTGTTATACCACTGAAATGTTGGTGTCTGTTTAAGCAGCTAGCGTTGCATATCATAATGAATAAAGTCTATAATGTCACTATTCTATCCGTTCTGGCTTTTCTTAACCTTCAGTTTCAATACATGCTTTCTTTTGGGCTAGGACTTCTAATTCTTATCCTACTTGTCCTTCCTTTTGAGCAATTCAATTTAGATTGCCTTTGGAACCCCATTTGCAGGCTTCCCTCCCATCTCTGAAGCTTTAAAAATTGCTTCATTTATATTCACACACATAGGATAGGCTATACTTTACTGAGAATATGCTATGTGCAGACTGCAGTCAGTCCTCCATATCCACAGGTTCTGAATCTGTAGATTCAACCAAATACGATCAAAAATATTTGGGGGGAAAAAAAGCATCTCTACTGAACATGCTGAACATGTACAGACTTCTTTTTTCTTTTTGTTATTTCCTTAACAGTATGACAACTATTTACATAGCATTTATATTGCATTAGTTATAATAAGTAATCTAGAGATTAAAATCTACAGGAGGACACATACAGGTTATATAATATTATGCCATTTTATATAAGAGACTTGAGCATGTGTGGATTTTGGTAGTGGAGCAAATCTTGGAACCAATCCCCTGAGGACACTCGGTGACAACTGTTCTCTTAACAAATGTCTAACTCTCTGTCACCAGATTTTACAAGAATATTATCTCAAACTTCCCTAATCTGATGGGTTCCACAAAATATAACCCAATTATTGTAACATGTTCATGCTTTCTACAGAGGTTACAAGTTTAAAAACAACAATTCCAACACATGTCTTTCACAGATACCTCTTTAATTATAAGCTGCCATGAACTAAATAGACACTATCCAGGATTTATAAATGTGGGACTGTATAGAAAGAGAAGCTCTATTTCTCTTTAAGTGGAGCCAGGTCAAATACATCAGGTAATTAGAGACTGGCCATCACAGCTTATGCTAGAGTAGAGTCCTAGGGGCTCTTTGAGATTGGATTATTACATGAAGTTGACACAAGCAGTTGGAACATAAAGGTGAGATAAAGAAGTACCATTGATCAAATATGGAAACCTAAATTTGTATTTGTGTGTCTTGGGTCAACTTTCATGAAGGGGACCTTGAGATGAGGATCTGCATACAAGGGATTTATTAAGAAAATGTTCCAGGGAAGCTTTAGAAAGAAGCAGCAGCCAATCAAAGTGACAGTTTCAAGAAGAGTACCATCTTTAGTCTCATCTCACAGGGGAGTTCTAGAGTATAAATTAACCAATTCATGGCAAGCAAACTGGGCTTTTATGTTCCTATCCTGGTTGGTCATTGTTGGTGGAGTGGAAGCAACCAAGCGCCAGTGCAAGACAAACTCCTATATGCACAGCCAGCAGTCTGTTCATGTAGGCAAAATGCAGTAGCCTGCAGACAAGCCTCCAATGTGAGTCACTCCCAGGTACAGGTCATTAGAGGGAAAACACACACAGAAGCTGAGGAAGGGGCATCTAGAAATCTGGAAAATATCCATGGGCTCTGAGAAGAGTAATTTAGTGTCTGTATGTCAGCTTCAAGGGGCAAGTAGAAGGCTAATGGTAGGAGACAAAGCCAGAGGTCAGGGTGCAGGTGAATTCAGAAATAGCCCACGATCGGGCCAGATAGTCTAGCCTTCCTTTTTACTGGTTGAGCCTGCTGAGCATGATTGAGTTTGTCTATGCCACAGGTACAAAACCAGAACAAACTAATTAGGTGGCTTGAACTAATTGACTTTATTACATAAATTCCCAAGTAATTTTCCTTCTGCATAAGAGTTCTGCAATTCAATAACTGCATCATTCATACTTTCATTCGCAAATATTGTTGAATTTTACCATGCGTTAGACACTGCCTGAGGAATAAAATGAACAGGACCAACATGGCCCCTGCCCCATGAAGCTTATAATCTAATAGGAAGAAGCTAAAGTGCAGAGAGGTAAAGGAAATTGTCCTACATGAGAAAGCTAGGAAGAGGCAGACCCATCATCTCAACCTGTATCTCCAGGCCCTGTACCTAGTACTCTGTATCCAGTTGCCTCCCTGAAAGAAGTAAACAATCAAGTCACCCATAGCAATATGGAAGGAATAACTACAGTTTCCTTCCTCCCAAAAAAGGCTCTTGTGATGGGGGTAGGGGAAGGAGAAAGATCAAATGAGTTTTATTATCTTATTAACAATTTTGAGAGAGGTGTTGATTTTCATTAAAAAGACAATTACAAAAACTGTGCGAAAATTAAAAATCAAATTCAATTTTTGTGTAGACAGCACAGAGCTAAAAAAAAACTATCCTTTCTCTTTTATAAACACCTTTCCCAAGTTGTGAAAAGACTCGGTGATAGGTATATAATTTTACTGATCCTTTAGAAGCAGCTGAAATGTGGAAAAACCAGAGAGCTGGCTTAGATTAGATCCCCTGCCTTAGCTTCAGCTGCCTAAATGTGGTCATTTCAAGACAGATTCCCAAAGTTAATTATGTTTTCCTGTAAAATGTAGCATTAATTGTAAGTGTAGAGTATTAAAATGGAATGTATAATACACTATTCAGATGGTTTGTTGTATTTTTTTCCCAAATAAGTGTACCGCACATGATGTGCCTGTAATGGTATTAATTATTTATCACTCTATGTGGAGAAAATATCAATTATAATAAAGTGTAAAAGGGTTATTAGCTTTTCTGAACAATAAATAAAGTGGAAGTTGTGAGATCAATATGATGAATATATTAAGTTAAAATTCTCTTTTGCCATCACAGTTGATAGGATTTTATGTACCAGTCTCATGAAAGTGTTATAAACATTTAAAAATGAAGTATTTTAAATAAAAATAAAATCTATTAAGGAAGGTAATTTTAAATATTTAATGATATAATTAAGTCTTATTAATGTAACATTCTTTATTTTTCAGATTAAAAATTCACAGGATTGTCATCCTTTTCATCTTAATCAGACACCGTGTTTGTGGTAATTATTTGTTATGTATTTTCATTAACATTTGATGAATATTAACTATTTGAAATAGAACAGTATTTTTTCCTTGTCTGTGATGACTAACATGGGCTACTTCACAGCTACCAGATGGAGAGCCAGAAACAACATAGAGAGATATTACCCCCACTCTACTATTCCAAGGGCAGAGAGCAATTCAAGGTTCTTAAAGTTTAACCTCCTACTTCCAACTGTGAAGAACCCATGGCTTTGTCATGCCTGAAAAGGCCCAGCTTAGCATCCTATGGGAAGCACAGGGTTTACAGTGATTTAAAACTGGTTTCAACTCACTTCTTGTACTTTTCTCTTTAGTTTTGGAAAATTTGCTAGACCTCCTGAGCCTCTGTTTTTTAATCTATAAAGTGGGAGTCACAAGAAATTGTTTGCAGAGTAGCTGCTGAGTTAGAGTAAATATATAAAGCTTGGCTCAAAATGGATCCTCAATAAAGAAAAAAAAACTTAGTATACATCCTCAAGTATTTTAAATGATGGTGTGAAAAGCAGCAGAGTAGTTTCTGATTCACATTTGCTGGAGAAATAACAAAGGACAGTGATACTGTATATCCAATAACACAGTTCTTTTCAAAGACCATGTATTAAAAATCAGTGAGAACCGTTATGCTTCAAGGGACACCATTAGGAAAATTAAAAGGCAAGCCACAGGATGAAATAAAATATTTTCAAATTATATCTCTGATAAAATACTTGTATTCAGAATATGTAAAGAACTCTTCCAACTCAATAAGAAGACAAAACTCAGATTTTAAAAATGGGCAAATTATTTGAATACAGGTTTCCACCAAGAAAATATACAAATGGCCAATATGCATGTAAAAACATGCACAACATAATTAGTCATTAGGCAAATGCTAATTAAAAGCATAATGAATTATTTACATTCCCACTACTCATCAACTAAAATAGTATAATCAAAAAGAAACAATGCCAGGTATTGGTGAGGATGTGGAGAAATTGGAAACCTCAGATATTGATGGAGGAAATGTAAAATGGGGCAGCCACTTTGGAAAACAATTTGGCAATTTATTACAAGGTTAAACATAAACTAACCATATGACACAGCAATTCCACTCTGAGGATTCTACTCAAGAGAATGCTGTTTACCTCTCCTTTACAATGCCAGCACCTGTCATCCTACCATTAATGTTTTCCACATCTATTCACTCCTAGTTTCCTGTAGCCCCAGAGAAAGAAGTTAAAGGAAATGTGTGAAGGTACATGCTAATCACAAATAAGAAGGCTTCAGTGAAAAGCTAAGACTCATAGTTTCACCCATCAGCAAATTTATTTCCAATTTATTCTCTTTTCATATGTCAAATATATTTAAGGATTAAATATCAAAATTTTTCTTTTTTACATCTAGGATGTACAATCAATGTCTCATATCTAAGAGAGTACACAGTGAGCTGACTCAACAACATTTATAGAACACCATGACACTATACAGAAACAAATTAAGCATGGGCCATACCCTTAAGGACAGCCTAAAGCCATGGACTGGCACTCGAGCTAGCTGCATGTTTAACTTTTGGCAAACTTGACATTTAAACCACAATGGTTTAGTGCCATAGACTTTCATAAGTACCTTAACCTTCATAATTTCATACTAAGAAAAATTGTATAAGTAAAGCTGTTTAGTTGCCTTGCACTTTAGTTTACTTGTAGGAAAAACACATGCCAGAAACTTCAGTGTTCAACCAAGTGGCCTTGATTGTTTCAGGTTTGTCATCAGAACTTGTCTAAGTTCCATTAATGAGTTAATGTGTGTAAGAAAAATATGCATGCACGTATACAAATGCAATCTTCTTTTTGGGGGGAGAGGAAAGATAGGTGTAGTCTTAACATCAACACCCTTGCACTACATTTATCACAGCTTTCCAAGAAATTTTGCACTGAATGAAATTTACAGCAGAGCCCTAAAATGAAAACTTGGTTCAGGCAATTTATGAGAGAATGAGAGAATGACAGAGTAGCTAATACTTCCTGATACCAATAAAGATGGTGTACCAAGGGAGTACAGAAGGTGATAAATGCTATCTAGATAAAAAAGAAAGAAATGTTAAGATTGCCCGTATCATCTTTGAAATGTTGCAATGGTATGATTCTCTATGTGTAATTAGAATTCTACTAGTAACTCTACTAATAGCCTCTGTATCACAAGATATTTCTACCCCCTGTGATGCTGTAAAAGACTTCATGGGAGGAAAGCATAACGATGGGGCGAGGGAGAGAAAGAAATAGCAATCAACAGTAAAAGTAGACAAACAAACTACATCCAACCAATACCGTTTACACAAAACACAGTGGCATTGGGTCGTTTTTTTTTTTTTTTTTTTTGAAGACTTGGTTTTGTCTCCTTTTTAATTATGAAGGATAAAATAAAATTGAGTGACTGAGAGGAATAAATAGATAATGAAGTATCAAGGGTTTTTATATAGAAGCTCCTTATTAAAATGACTGTCTCCTTCAACTGTTTAATCTAATTTCTGCAAGGCAGGTTTTCACTTGTTCTGCTCATATAAATGCACAGGTATTAGAGGTATTATTAAGACACTGTGTAGTTCACACCCAGAGCTTGAAGAACTACTTTAACCCCTTAAATGCTCAATGAAGCAACTCATTCACTACTGGCCTTCTACTCTTTTTCTGTTCCCTCCCCTCCATGGATGCTTATAATATCAACTGACTTCTGGAATGTATTTTAACACCATACATGTTCAAACTTATGTGCAATATCCACCATGTACTATAAAATTCCAACCAATAACATATCTTTATTTATCACTTCTATCCAGTGTCTTCATCTAGGTATTAGAAAATACATGAAAGTTAATTCAAAGTCTATCCTCAGGATGCTTGGAGCCATAGATCTATAACAAGAAAACTTATCTCACCCACTTACTTAGTAGCTCAAGTTACCGTACAATTTAATGTACCAGGACATTTCTGAGAATAAAAGGAGGCACTATTAATCATACAAGGACAACAAGCATAAACTAGGAACCTAGTCAAACCTGGGTAAATGATCATCCTATTTATGGGTGTACAAACCATAAAAGCTATAAAGGTTTAGAGAACAGAAACTTTACCATTTTCTCATAGGAAGCCCCATTTCCAATCTTGATGTCTTTTTTACATATGACTGCTGAAACATAAGGTATTCAGATGGAGTCACCTTTTCAATGCACATGGATTGCAAGTGTGGTTATACATTTTGTACAGGACCATAGTATGAGGACCAGGTACACAGGTGT
The DNA here is from genome assembly GCF_000001405.40 of Homo sapiens. NCBI lineage: Eukaryota > Metazoa > Chordata > Mammalia > Primates > Hominidae > Homo > Homo sapiens. The sequence continues at coordinate 18,615,845 of NC_000003.12, read as the reverse complement.
AGTCTGGAGCTCAAACAATTTTTACTGTCTTCCATGAGTACTCTGTTTTTCCTCACCTCATCTTGCTCCTATTCCAGCCATATCTATCCTTGACTTTTTCTTCAAGGCCCAAATCAGATCATTCCTCTTACACAAGCATCTACGTATTAGGTAGAATCACCTTCCCCACACACACTGCTGGATCTGTATCTTCATTTGTTGGTTTCATCCATTTCCATCTTTGAGTACATATAGACATATCACTCATCCTAAACTTCTGGTTTGATGATATAGTAGCCAGCCTCCAATAAGTCTTCACTGATTTTCATCTTCTGATATGAATAACTTTAATGTAGTTTTATCCTTCCCTTACCCTACCAGATACACAATAATAGGGCTAACTAATGTTTATAACCAATGAAGTGTTGTCAAAATGACAGTGTGATTTTTTTTTTTTTTTTTTGAGACAGAGTCTCACTCTGTCGCCCAGGCTGGAGTTCAGTGGCGCAATCTCAGCTCACTGCAACCTCCACCTCCCAGGCTCAAGCAATTCTCCTGCCTCAGCCTCCGGAGTGGCTGGGACTACAGGCATGGGCTACCATGCCCGGCTGATTTATTATATTTTTAGTAGAGATGGGGTTTCACCATGTTGGCCAGGTTGGTCTCGAATTCCTGACCTCAGGTGATCTGCCTGCCTTGGCCTCCCAAAGTGCTGGATTACAGGTGTGAGCCACTGCGCCCAGCCCAGAGTGTGATTTCTGATGCTACTTCATACGGGGCATTGAGGCTCCCTTCCTGCTCTCTGTTGGCTCTGGGAGAAGCCAGTTTCCCTATCATGAGAACAATTAAGCACCCCTGTTCAGAGATCATGTGGGGCATAAATGAGGCTTCTGGCCAATAAACAGCACTAATTTCTCAGGAATACCAGTGAACCACCTTAGAAGTGGGTCTTCTAGCCTCAGTTGAGCCTACAGATGACTGTAGAAAGTCTGACCAAAAACTCGTGAGCCCCTGAGTCAGAAGTACCAACAGCAATGTGGATCCTGAATTTCTGACCTACTGACCCACAGAAACTGTAAGATAATAAATGCATATTTGAGCCACTGAGTTTTGGGATAACTAATTATGCAGCAATAGATAATATGATAAAAGCCAAAAATGTTTAGATATTTTCCCAGTACTTAGCATGGTCTCCAGCACAGAACAAGAACTCTATAAATATTTGTTGGATTGAAATGAGTTAAATTGAATTATGCCCTAAGGCTGGGCACTGAGTTTACACATGACAATGCCTCTTAGGAGAGTGGGTACATTTCTGACCTGACAGGCCCTGAGTGAGCTTTCAGGAACAATTCGCTCATATAGGAATACGTAAGAGTAATTAATAATATCTAAGATTTTTTGAACAGTTGTGCAAAGCATTATGCTTCCAAGGTATAATCTCACTTTATCTGCATGAAATCCCTTTGAGTTAGATATTATTGTTTTCATTTGATAGACAAGGGCACTGAGACAAAATAAGTTAGGCGCCTTACTGTGACCACCTAGCCTAGCAAATAATGGGACTAAGAGTTGAACAACTTGATTCGAAGGATTATCCTCTTTATGATTACATAATCTCACCTATCAAAAAAAAAAAAAGTCAGACATTCAGAGTGTCCTTAGTGACAATCTCAGAATAGTCTCTTTTTTTTTATTTCAGTAGTTTTCAGGGAGCAGGTGGTGTTTAGTCGTGTGGATAAGTTCTTTACAGTGATTTCTGAGATTTTGGTGCACTCATCACCCAAGCAGTGTATACTGTACCCGATGTAATCTTTCATCTCCCACTCCCTTCCCACCCTTCCCCCTGAGTCCCAAAAGTCCATTATATTATTCTTATGCCTTTGCATCCTCATAGCTTAGCTCTCACTTATGAGTGAGAACATACAATGTTTGGTTTTCCATTCCTGAGTTACTTCACTTAGAATAATGGTCTCCAACTCCATCCAGGTTGCTGCCAATGCCATTATTTCATTCCTATGCTGAGTAGTATTCGATGGTATATATAGATCACATTTTCTTTGTCCACTCATGATTGATGGGCATTTGGGCTGATTCCATATTTTTGCATGAATTATGCTGCTATAAACATGCATGTGTAAGTGTCTTTTTCATATAATGACTTATTTTTCTCTGTGTAGATACTCAGTAGTGGGATTGCTGGATCAAATGGTGGTTCTATTTTTAGCTCTTTAAGGAATCTCCACACTGTTTTCCATAGCGGTTGTACTAGTTTACATTCCCACCAGCAGTGTAAAAGTATTCCCTTTTCACTGTGCCAGCAACTGTTTTTTTATTATTTATTTTTAAATTATGGCTATACTTGCAGGAGTAATGTGGTATCACGTTGCAGTTTTGATTTGCATTTCCCTAATAATTAGTGATATTGAGCATTTTTTCATGTTTGACCATCTGTATATCTTCTTTTAAGAATTGTCTATTCATGTCCTTAGCCAACTTTTTGATGGAATTCTTTGTTTTTCTCTTCCTGATTTGTTTGAGTTCCTTGTAGATTCTGCATATTACTCCTTTGTTGGATGTACAGTTTCTGAAAACTTTCTCCCACTCTGTGGGTTGTCTGTTTACTCTTCTGATGATTTGTTTTTCTATGCAGAAGCTTTTTAGTTTAATTAAATCCCTTCTATTTATCTTTGCTTTTGTTGCACTTCTTTTTGGGTTCTTGGTCATGAACGCTTTGCCTAAGCCATTGTCTAGAAGAGTTTTTCCAATGTTATCTCCTAGAATTATTATGGTTTCAGGTACTAGATTTAAGTCCTTGATCCATCTTGAGTTGATTTTTGTATAAAGTGAGAGTTGTTTCATTCTTCTTCATGTGGCTCACCAATTATCCCAGCACCATTTGTTGAATAGGGTGTCCTTTCCCCACTTTTATGTTTTTGTTTGCTTTGTCAAAGATTGGTTGGCTGTAAGTATTTGGCTTTATTTCTGGGTTCTTTATTCTTTTCCATTGGTCTATGTGCCTATTTTTACACCAGTGCCATGCTGTTTTGGTGACTATCACTTTGTGGTATAGTTTGAAGTTGAGTAGTGTAATGCCTCCAGATTTGTTCTTCTTGCTTAGTCTTGCTTTGGCTATGTGGGCTCTTTTTTGGTTTCATATGATTTTAGGATTATTTTTTCTAGTTCTGCAGAGAATGATGATGGTATTTTAATGGGAGTTGCATTGAATTTGTAGATTGCTTTTCAAGTAGGGCTATTTTCTCAATATTGATTCTACCCATTCATGAACACGGGATGTGTTTCCATTTGTTTGTGTCACCTATGATTTCTTTCAGCAGTGTTTTGTAGTTTTTCTTGTAGAGGTCTTTCATTTTCTTGGTTAGGTGTATTCCTAAGTATTTTATTTTATTTTTATTTATCTGAAGCTATTGTAAAAGGGGTTGAGTTCTTGATTTCATTCTCAGCTTAGCTATTGTTGGTATATAGCAGTGCTACTGATCTGTGTACATTGATTTCGTATCCAGAAACTTTACTGATTTTATTTATCAGATCTAGGAGCTTTTCAGATTAGTCTTTAGGGTTTTCTAGATATACATTCATATCATCAGTGAACAGCAACAGTTTAACATCCTCTTTACCAATTAGAATGCCCTTTATTTCTTTCAATTGTCTGATTGCTAAGGCTAGGACTTTCAGTACTATGTTGAATAGAAGTGGTGAAAGTGGTCATCCTTGCAAGTTCCAGTTCTCAAGTAAAATGCTTTCAACTTTTCCCCACTTAACTGTTTATTTGTCATAGATGGCTTCTATTTGTCACAGATGGCTTTTATAACCTTAAGTTATGTCTCTTCTATGTGATTTTGCTGAGGGTTTTAATCATAAAAGTTTGCTAGATTTTGTCAAATGCTTTTTCTGTGTCTAATAAGATGATCATGTGATGTTTGTTTTTAATTCTGTTTATGTGGTGTATCACATTTATTAACTTGTATATGTTAAACCATCCCTGCATCCCTGGTATGAAACCCACTTGATCATGGTAGATTATCTTCTTGATATGCTGTTGGATTCAGTTCACTAGTATTTTGATGAGGGTTTTTGCATCTATGTTCATCAGGGATTATTGGTCTGTAGTTTTCTTTCTCAGAATAGTCTTTCTTAACTTTTTGAGAGTTGTAAATATTCTCAAGTGTGGCCCCGCAACATCAGCATTATCTAGTTCTTGGAGGTGCACTCAAGCCCATCCCAGACCTACTGAATCAGACTTACTGAGGAAGCCCAGCAATCTGTGATTTAGCCAGATCTCCATGTGACTCATACAGGCTCAAGTTTGAGAATCACTGGTCTAGACCGCCTGCATTTCAAGGGCGGTTTGACCAGTAATAGATAGGGAACAGATATACAGCCGCTAAGCCTGACTCTAAATTCCAACTTTGGCCCTTCCCCAACTAGATACCACCTCCCTAAGTCATTTAACCCTTAACAAGCTGAGTAACTGAGCTGCTAAACATGTGGGCAACTTCCAAAAGTTGGGAGGATACCACTGAGAAAGGTATGCAAATAGGGGGTTTGTGCAGGCTTTGATAACACTTTCAATATTCCTTCTTGAATTAGCAAAGTCTTTGAGTAGGTAAGGCACTGTACCCAGCCCTGAGAATTCCCTAGTGAGAGATAGGATCCTTGGAAAATCCAAATCTTAGTCTGATGGAGTTCCTGAAGAGTTTATTCTCAAAGGTTTAGTCCAAAGAAGACTCAACCTACAAACAGAGACATACATGCATGTACATGTGTGCATACATACACCCCACTAAAATCCAACCCTTTTATTATAGAAATTCTAACACACCTCTGACTTCACAGGGAAATTGCTCTTTTTATTTGTATAATAATAGTAATTAATATAATAATAACAAGTATACTTAACTTAATGGATTGTCACCTGAAACTCTTGGTTTGAATTATGTTTGTAACATGGAAAATTATTACTTTTGAATACTTAATAAAGTCATGGTTAAATTAGGTAAGCTTTGTATCTCTTTCCACACTTTCACATAGCTATGGTTTTGTGTTTTTCTTCTCAGGTTATTATGAATAGCACACTCTCCTGCCTTATTTTTTAATGTGTAAAAGAATAAAAATGGGAAACATTTCCATATGAATTTAAAGGCTAGAAATTATCAACACAAATTTCAGAAAATACAAGGTTTCGCCTACACTGCGCACACATTATTCTTTTGTTACTGTTTGAATACTTAAGAGTAGAGTATAAGCCTAAAATACTTAAACATTATGACAATATTTCAGTAACAAACACACCATCATGCTTCACTAAGAAATTTCAGCAAAAAGCCCAGTGTTATTTGTTTTGCTTTTATTTACACTTAGCAAAATCAGAAAAGATGAAACTCAAGTCACGTTGGAAATCTGGTGACAATTCATTAAGAAATATCATCTCACCTAGAAAAGAGAATGAAGCTACTTCTAAGGCTGACTCTTAAGAGTCACTGGTGTTGGCATTGTAAAAGTGCACTCAGAAATATACTTTAACTGGGTGCTTCTAGGCCTTTAAGGAACATAGGAATTGCCTGGGATCTTGTTAAAATGCAGATCTTCATTCAGTAGATTTGGGGCAGGGCCTGAGATTTTGCACTGCTAACCAGCTCCCAGGTGATGCTGATGATCCTGGGCCCCAGACCATGCTTTGAGTAGCAGGACTGAACTCTATCTCTCCAACGGCAGACTTTTCCCCAGAACAAACCTGACAATGAGAAGGACCACTGCCAAAGTTACGTCCTGATTGTTGTAAGCCAAAGTAAGACGATCATTCCATTGTATTAATCACTATTATTTAAAAAGTTGATGTAATGTCTTCCTTTCCTGAGGTAAGATCCCCTGGAAGTGCACCTGAGTTTATTTTCTGTGTAATCATGGATAAGATTCTCAGCTCTTTGAGCCTCATCCATTTAACTAATATTTAGTGGAATCTTCCCAGGTCCCAGGCACTGCACTATACCCTAGAGATAAAATGGTGGACTCACAATCTGGAGAAGACGCACATGGAAACGGGTGATTTCAGAGACTCTGATAAGGGCTATAAGAGTAATAGGGCCAGGCGCATTGGCTCACGCCTGTAATCCCAGCATTTTGGGAGGCCCAGGTGGGTGGATCACCTGAGGTGAGGAGTTTGAGACCAGCATGGCCAACATGGTGAAACCCCATCTCTACTAAAATTACAAAAATTAGCCAGGCATGGTGGTGTGTACCCGTAATCCCAGTTACTCTGGAGGCTGAGGCAGGAGGATCACTTGAACCCGGGAGGGGGAGGTTGAGGTGAGCTGGGATTACACCATTGCACTCCAGCCTGGGCGACAGAGCAAGACTAGTTCTCAAAAGTAAAAAATAAAAAAGAGGAATAGGCCCAGGAGATCACGGGATCCCAGAAGGAAGTGGCAAACAAACTGACAGCCATATGACAAATATGAATTAGCCAAGTGAAGGGAAACGTTTCTGGTATGGCTACTGTTTTAATAGTGGCCCTCAATACAGGATGAATCTCTGTGTCCATAGCCTTTTGCAATGTGATGTTCTGATCTTCCTAGCATGCAATACATCTACTTCTCCTTTGACTCTCAGCTGCCTTTGTGACTTGCTCTGATGAATAGAAAGTAGAAGAAGTGACACCTGGAAATTCTAGAGCCTAGGCCTTAAACGCCTTGTAGCCTCCATTCCCACCTTCTTAGAATAAATTGTCATGTAAAGAAGCTTGCGCTTGATGCCTGAATGATGAGAAACCACATGGAGAGAGATGTCCCAGCTTTCTAGCCATCTTTGCCAAGACCCCAGATGTGGGTGAGGCCATATTAAAACCTCCATCTCCAGCTGGTCCACCAGACAAATGCATCTATGTGAGCGTTCCCAGGCAAGACAGGCCCTGCTCCCATCTTCTTCTTTCCCCATTCTTCATGTCCCTTACTAACTGTGTCTGCCACCCTAGCTTATCCAGACTTTGCTGGAGGCGGTAACATCTCTAGCAAGGAAGAGATGATGTTTGTAATAGCAAGAAAAATGTGGAAGTGTCAAAGCAGTAGATTTTGAAGGTTCCAGCAGTGTACATGCCACTGGCATATTTTTTTTTTCTTTTCATTTCTCATGAGATGAATTTCCTGGAAGAAAAGACCATGACCTGAAGGATCTCTTAAATCTTTACCCTCCATGATATATCCCAGGTTTGTCAATTAATAAATTTACCACTGTGGGCAGTGACTGTGTTCTGGAGGATTTAAACTACCTCTTTGGAAAGGAAAAATGTTTCCAGTTCTCCATGAATGCCTGGGGAGGTGTTGCAGCGTTGAAGACAGTGTAACTGAGCTCTGCAAAGTTTGGGAGTTGCTTTTCTGAGAAACTTTGCAAAAATAAACGTTATTTTAAAATGTCTTCAAGAGTTGAGGAAGGTATGAATATCAGTGGAACCAAAAGCTAGATTCCCTTATCCCATCCTTGACTTAGGAGACCATTTAGCCCCTATCCATAAGATACAATGTAAGACACATACTGTTGGCTTTTGCTGATCAGCATAATCCCATCACTGTCTATCAGAAGAATCTGACTCACTCTGGAAACAATTTTTACCAGGGCACAAATACCTCAAGTCTCATGCCTGACCCTCAGAGCAGCTTTCCTTGTCCCAGCACAGCTGCTAACCTGGAAAATGTCACCAAGAGAAAGTGACCTCAGAGCAGGTTCTCTGTATTCTCCTGAGGCTGCATAAAATGCAGCTGATGGGTTTAACTAAAATTATCTCAGAGAAAAATCTCACTTTCCCTGCCAACAAGAAATATTATGTGAGACCAGTGGTATTACAATCTGAAGCTCAAGAGGAGAATCCTTTGCAGTCTGGAACATTCTACATGGATAAGCTTCCACTTTGGGGGTAATGCTTGGCCTGGAGCCTCCTGGGGACTTGACAAGCCTCCTCCATGTCACATTTATAAGTAAGAGCTATATGGCCAAAATGAAAACAGGGAGAGACTTATGAGAGAAAATTATGTAATGAAAAAATAGTTTCAAAGATTTTGTGGAGGAAGGCATGGTTTGGGTTATGGAGAAGAGTAAAGTGTGTGTTAGGGAGTGTAGTTTTTTACAGGCCGAATTTATGCACATGGGTATGAAGTTTCTTTCTAATGAACTAAAACGACCATCCACTTTTTCCTGAGTAGATTTCTATTCAAGCCCACGCTTGGTAAGAAAGTGCTAACCTCATTGTCCTGGCATACTGATATGTTGCATGACTGTGAGGTATGTCTCAAGTAATTTTCTACTGATGCTAAAGTATGAAAATATGAGGTTGGGTGATTTTTAATACATATATATTAAACAGATTTAAGGTAATTCTACGAATTAAGTCCAGGTAGAATTATATGTAAGGATTGGGATTAAGGACAGTGTAGAACACAAACAAGGGAGTATATCACTATTCCTGAGCCACACATCCTGTATATCACATAAGGAAAGGATTAGAAACTCTTGGCCTAGTTCTAATTTATGCCACCTACCTTTCTCCAGATCCCCAACCTTAAGTGCAAATCAACTGATTCTCTTCCTACTATAGGAGCACATTGATTCACTTTCAACGATCCCTGGAGATCAGTGTGTCACAAGCCACTACATAATTAACACAAATAACTGAGAGTAAAGCAGTGAAAAACTTTAATAATAACAGTAACTATAATAAATAAACCACACAAATCTCAAAACTTGTTTTTCATTCACACAACAGTCCAAGGCTGGTATTCATTCAGCCTGTCTTCTACTCTGATTCAGGGCTCCAAGCTCCTTTCCTCTTGGGGGTTACGCTGTCTTCAATACAAGGTCCTACAGAAGGTAAAAGAGAAAGTGAAGGAGGCACATCCATCCTTAACTACATCATTGACACACATAACTTCCATTGCCATTCTATTCAGAAAAATTAGTCACACAGCCACATCGAAACACACAGCGAGCTGGGAAATAGAGATCCTGGCCAGGAAGCCAGCAGAGGAAACAACTCTACACTACAGATGAGAAACATAAATATTTGTGAGCCCTACTCCATCTCTACTACATGGGAAGGGAAGTCACCAGGCAATCTTTTTTCCAGCTCTCCTGAAAGTAATAGCACCATGGTGAAATTTAAGCCAATTAGATGAACCCAACCAGTATTTTGAATCTGGAGGTGGCAGATTAAGGAAGAAGGAAGGAGGGAGAATTATTTCCACCTACAGTGAAAGTGGCATCAACATACACAATGCCAATGTCTGCAGCCAGGATCCATTGCCGATGCTATCAAAAGCAGGTGCTGTGGTAACACACGCTTAGCTGTGTTTTCATAACGCTGTGTCAAGGGAATTATTTGGGCAATCCTTCTGATTCCAGATGCCCTTAGAATCTACTTGTTTAAAAAGCCTAGTTTTCCACCCTTCCCAGAAATTCTATGAGCTATCCTGTTTTCAATCAGGAAATTCCTTGTCTATTTATATCAATAAGTGTCAGTTTCTGTTGCTTGCAGCTAAAAATCCTGACTGATATAAAAATGAATGATGCCATTCTGAGCAGTGGTGGTATAGAAAGAATATTAAAATAGTGATATTGGTTTATTAGGCATCTCTTAAGTGACGTGAGTGAAAATCCAATTAAAATAAGCTCCAAAAACTTTTCAAGAAATTTGCAGCATTGTTAGAACAAGTGCCAAGTCTTCCAAGGTGACTGTATTGAAGGAGATGATGTTGCTTGGATTAACATGTAAAAGGTGACACTTTGTGATGATTTTTTAAACAATTTGTAGCACATAATGATGGATGATTTAACCTATACGAATGAGGCATATTACACTAATGGTTTAAGAATTCTCAGCAATGTAACCAGTATATCAGTATATGTATATATCGCTTTATAGATATTCAGGTTTTTATGTTATTACCTTTTCCTATACTTTGTATCTTGCCTTTATAGATAAGTAAGACTATGTGACTGCAAGAAGTACATATCACTCATGGAATATTTCCAAATGGTTTTCATTTTCACCTCTATGTAGTAGATAATTTATCTGCTGACAATGAAGATAAAGCGTCCTCTCTTCCATGAAGGTTTTTTGTTTTGTTTTGTTTTTTGCTTAAAACATCACTGACATATTATTTTTGCTAAACCTATAGTTAATGGTTAGAAGGTTCAAACCTGTTTTTAAAATCCATCTCTACCCTCACACACAGTGGTGTGACCTTGGGCAAGTCATTTGTCCTTTCCAGCTTCAGATTTCACCCCAGTGAAGACGGGTTAGTGGGAGAGGGGAGAATTAGATGTAAGCTATTATCAAGGTTTAGCTTTGTTTTGTTTGAAACTGATTAAATATTTTAAGTAATTAACCAATGATATATCTAAATTTGTTGCACAAGTATCCCTTATAAGAATGTATCATAAATTAAGGATTATGAGTCATCCAATTTTGTGCACCTTAGCCTTCTCTCCTACAAAAATACAAAGAGTAAAAACCTAACAAACCTATGAAAAATGTTGTCAAGTAACCAAGCTAAATCAGTGACCTGTCTTCCTGAAAAATACTGAAGAATCATTGGCTTAGAAAATGAATTCACTTAACAGAGTTCTCATTTTTGCTATTTATACTGATGTATAATAAACAGTCTATTTCCCACTCCAGATCTAAAGAGATCAACTAAGCACAAAGGTAGTGACTTCACATTTCTTGTTTAGTTTAGCAATGCATTGTCCATTGCAAAACAAACATTATTTGAGGCTTCAATTTACAATTTGAAGTGGAAATAGAATGGATTGTGTTAATTGAACTATCTGAGTTGACATTTTATGAATATTTTAGTTCCATTATAAATTACTCACTTGTTCAGATATGTCAGCTTTCTTCCCTCCACCCGCCCTTCCATGCCTTAAAACATCTCTACTCTAGTAAATAATTAAAGGATATCCAAAAAAAGTCAAAAGGAATTTGACATCAGGATATCTTATGATGGATAATGTTAAAGTTAGCCACAAATAACAAGTATCTCTTAATTAGCTACTGCTAAAGGAATTACCTAGCAGATCCTGTCAGTGAAGAGTCAGTCTCAATCACCTCTCCATTTGTAATATCTTAGAATGGTCAGAGCTATTACAATTCTCAGGTGACATGCAGGGTCTCTGCTATGGTTTGAATGTGTCTTCTCCAAACTTCAGTGTTGTCGATGTGATAGTAAAGGCCTTAAAAAATGATTAGGCCATATGGGCTCCTCCCTCATGAGTGGGATTAAGTACCCTTCTAAAGAGGTGTGACAGAGGTAGTTGGCCCCATCTTGTACTTCTCCTTCTGCCATGTGAGGACAAAACAAGAATGCCCTCACCAGATGCCAGCAACTTGATTTTGGAATTCCCAGCCTCCAGAAATGTGAGAAATAAGTTTCTGTTCTTCATAAATTCCCTAGTTTGGGGTATTCTTTTATACCAGCACAAATGAACTAAGACAGGCTAAATAAGGCTTTCTTTCAAAGGCTACTTGCTTAGACTGTGTGGGTCTTCTGACTTCCATCCCCAAGTCCTCAGCCTGACACCAAAAATGAGGCCACTGATGAAAATGTTCACCTATCAACACTGCTGATCCCAATTTGCCACACCAGTCTTGCCCCTCTAGGCCACCTAAGCTAAAACAAAAAGCAAAAAGTTAAATAAAGAATATTTCAGATGGCAACAAATGTAGCAAAGGGCAAAGGGAGATGGAGGAAAGAAATTCAGCCAAGTGAGAAAGAATCCTGGTGGAAAAATGAACCAACATTGAGGTAACTCAAAGTGGAAGTTCTCTAATGTTCATAATTGTATTTTGCCATTAATGAAAGCAAGTGGATGGAAGAGAATACTGTGTCATCTCTGATATACATCTCTTGTACAAAAGACAGGTTGAATTATTTTACTAAAAGATATTTCTCAATAAAATGTCTATTGGTTTGGTTGTGGTGCTATTGAAAAGTAGTGTAGGCAATAATATTAAATCAATATAATATATCAAATCTATATCAAATAAATATAAACCCACTGTTTTCCAACTCATTTAATAGCAATATGTTTTTAGTGAAATGTTACAAAAGAATACAGTGGAAAAATAGTACAGATGAGAACTTTTTGTTTATTAATAAGCAATTTAAAATGACAAACCACATAGTATCTACTGACTTGTCTCATGGAAAACTCCCTAAAAATATACGGAATCATAGTCAGAACTATTTATTCTACATGCAGCAACTACTCTCTGCAACAAATCATGGTTTAAAATTAAGAAGTCAGTTTTTCCTCATTTCAAACACATAAGCTCAGTAAAAAATTTAGAAACTGTTAGTCCATAGACAAGGTAATGTAAGGCAAACTTTAAAGCATTTTCTACCCAGCAATTTTTTAAAAGATAGGTTCTTACTGTATTGCCCAGGCAATATCAGAGCTTCGAATTCCCAGGTTCAATCAATTCCCCCCACCTTGGCCTCCCATGTAGCTGGCACTACAGGCATACACCACCATGGCTGTCCTTACCCAGACATTTTTACTTCAAGGTTTAGTATTTTTTGTAAGCAGAAGTTGTACATTGTTCAAGATTTATATGTGATTACTTCTAATGGCAATTTTAGTTGTCTCCTTAAAGTTTTTAATCTTTGTATCTTGTATTTAAAGTTCTATTTTCTACCTTCTTTTGGGATTCAGTAACTTGGGAAAGAATCTACTCAATCTTGGAAGAAGTTTAAATAATAAGAAATCTGAGTCAGCACCAACACTTGAGTGTAAATATATCAAAAGCCCTTATATCTACATCTAGTGGACTTAGCCAGGACTTATCTTTGTTCCTTATGTCTGGAAGTCAGGTTGTATGGGAGCTTTACATACTTCTGTGCTCTGTGTCACGTTCCCATTCAAAGGTGATATCAAACAGAGAGCAAATAGCATTAATGTTATTTCCCCCTGTGCTTGGTCCAATTAGGCAGCATTGCTCCAAAGAATAAATGCTCATAAAAATAAGAAACATGTTAGATAGGAAGGTTATTATTGCCCTGTGGCCTAGAAATTGGATTGGTTCACATATGTTTATAGTAGAATCTTTAATTAAGATGTCTTTCTTATCAATGCACTTCAGCAATTATTTGTATTGATGATGGACTTTACTATCACAGCAGGGTAATAGAGAACCTCACAGAGGTGTCTTAAATGGTCCCTTCTAAAATATTTTCTGCCTTTTGAATTTTTTATTTGACTCATTTACCTAAATGACCTGGCACTTATCAACTCTTTTCTCAACTGAAAATGAATTTGAATACACATTTGTATAATATTTAAGGATACATTTATTTGGGCTAGAGACTTCCACTCCCTAAGAACTCCATGGAGTAATTCACTGATTCATCAATTCAATCATTTGGCAAATACATATTAAGGGCCTATTAAGTATCAATCATGGGACTCTGATGGAGTTGATAATGAGAAAGATAATTGGTCTGCCAATTTTGTACCTCTAACAGTTTAGTTGACAAACATGAGTCTTGCATGGAACCCAGATTGAGACCAAAAATTGACAATGGGGAAGATGATTTGTCTGCCCATTTTGTACCTCTCACAATTGAGGTGAAAAACATGGGCCTGCTTGCATGGAACCCAGGCAGAGACCAAAAAAATAAAAAAAGAAAATGACAATAGAAATTCATTTTCAGTGAACCCCCTTCAGCCATGCTGATGATAAGTGGGATATTTTGGGGTTTGGCATGTCCTGTCTATTTTTATTAAGGAGTCACCCTAGGAAGATGTGCTGAGTAAGTTTCACATTAAGGGAATGCCTTCCACACATTTAACTGTTTTTTTTTTTTTTGGAGGCAGGGTCTAGCTCTGTTGCCCAGGCTGGAGTGCAGTGGCACGATCTTGGCTCAATGCAACCTCTACCTCCCCGGTTCAAGTGATTCTCTTGCTACAGCCTCCTGAGTAGTTGGGATTACAGACACCTGCCACCACACCTGTGTGTATAAATATATATATATATATATATTTTAAGTAGAGATGGGGTTTCCCCATGTTGGCCAGGCTGGTCTTGAACTCCTGACCTCATGTAATCCACCCACCTCGGCCTCCCAAAGTGCTTGGATTACAGGCATGAGCCACCACGCCTGGCCCCACACATTTAACTTTGAAGAACATTTCTCCTCATGTCTTTACCCCACCCCATTGACCTCCACCTGACTACCTCTGCTAATATTTTTTTTCATTGTACTTTACCTCTGCTATTATTAGACTCCCTTGCCTCCTGACTTTGCTGCCCCTTTCTGATTTGTACTACCCTCTTCCTTCCAATTTGATATACAATCCAGCCTCTCTCATATCTGACCTTATCTTCCCACCCATATCCTGCTTAGCATATTCCAAAAAGGCCCTAAGGAAACCCTAAAATTTCCTCTTCCCATTCACTGTCCTGTGGAACTCACCGAGCCCTATTTATCCCTGCTGTCTGAACCCCTTTCTCTATCTAGTGATGCTCGTTCTGTTTACCACCTCTTAGGGCCTTCAGCCTCTTCTTACTCTCTCTGCATTTCTTTATTTCCCAGGTTGCTCTCAGATGATAAGCTTGATTGCACACAATGGGCAGAAGGTACCATATTAGAAAAAGCCTCTTGATCTGTGCCCTTGGTGGGGAAATGTCCCTCCCATAATTTGTCCACCATTAAAACTCAAGCATGAGACTGTAGTTAGAGAAAAATATAAGGTAGAAAAAAGGCCTAGACAGATAAAAAGGGAAAATAAAAAATCATATTTCTTTAAGACATGGAATTATGTAGACAAGAAAGAGGTAGAAGTGTGGGATTAGAGAACTGTATGGCGATTGTATATCTGTAGGAGTAGGTGGTTGGGAATTAGGGGTAAGGTTGGCGTGATAAACAAAGTTGAGATGAACACAGACATCAAGGGGCCTTCATCCTAATTCACATTTAGTACCCTGGGCTGAGTCTTCTGGCTCATCAATGTGGAGTCAGCCACGTGAAAGTAGTCTTGCTGGTATAGGCTAGCTTAACCAGACGGAGAGTCAAAGTTATTTCTCCTGAGTCAAACTTGATTCTCACAGGCACGGATGGGACTCAGATGTCTCTACATGGGTCTGAGGGGCACCTGGATGTCAGTTAAGGGTCTGCTATAGCTAAAGACCACAAAGCAGATGTTTGGGCCTGATGTGTAGGAGTTGTCACTGTCTCTCAGGTGTATCCATGGCACCAGGGAGTGCCAGATGGTGTCAAATATACAAGAGTTCTGACTAATCCAAGAAAAAATGGAGACCCTAAGGACTACCAGGTGCATCCTTCAGCAGTAGATGCCAGCAGGGATGGAATTAGTTATACTTCAGAGCTCACCATTCCAGGAACAGCATAGATTACTAAACAAAGATCTGAGAATCTATTTCCTCGACACCATAAGAAGATGGTAAGTCTCTTTTCTACATTCAGCTGTTCGGTTGAGAAAAAACAATGGTTTGGGGTCCAGGTATGGGAGAAGAGTTTGAAGAAACATGATCTCCATTAGATCATGCTACTTAAAGAGAATGTCCAAATTATGGATCACATAAGGAAAAATCCAAAAGAACTGATATTGGATAGGTGGGTACTTATGAGGAGGTGAGGAGGATCTAATAATTGATAGAGAAATGTTAAAAACTGCATTTTCCTTGCATACTCAAGATGAAAATCAGTGTGAGTGATTTTTTGACCCAACTTCCTTTGCTTTTTTGGCTTAGCAATTGTAAAAGCAAATCCCCATTGCTTTGAAAATGGGTAGATAGAGGGCATCATAATGTCCCATACCTGATGCCTTTAAGATAGCCAAATAAGGGGGTTTTCCTCTGCTCAAACTCCACAACTTATTTACATTTATGTTATGCTTAAAATTTATACACGTTTCTGTATAAATTTTAAGGTTTATTTAAATTGAAGGTTTCTGCCTAGTAAAGAACCTACTAAACATGTTTTTAAATATTATCTCTTGCCCCACCAGCACCCAAGGGACTATACAAACTTTTTTTTCCTGACATTTGAAGGCATTAAAACAGCTTCAAGGCTGAAGCAAACATTTTCCCTATAATCCCTGAAAAGTTTAGTTGCTAAGGAGACAGAGGCCTTAGCGACCAGGTAACAAGGCCTCTGCAGTATATTCATATGGTTATTCAATGAAGGAGCAGAAAAGCAAGGGACCATTGGGCAGAAGAAACACTGGGGTTTCCCAGTATCTTAAACCTAAAGACTTCACTTTGTGCTTCTTGAAATAGTATTGTTTTTTGAAAAGATTGCAGTTAGGGCTCTGTGCCACCTTGATTTATTATCACCCAATTGAAAGACATATATCATCCTCAAAACAGTTGTTTTCTAGAGAAGAATGGGTCCAAGGAGCAAGTTTCAGGTAATGACAGAATAAATGACAACCACCCACCATACACTCTACTTCCAAGCAAGGCCCCAAAAAACATCCCTCTGTAGTGTAGCTAGATAGGAAGTGAAAAGAATACAATTCTAAAATAGAAAAAAAGTTGATGAATAGAAAGAGCAAAAATATAAGAGCAAGTTTTTCTAAGTACATCATACAAATCTTGCTTGTCCATACTGAGTGGCTTTTGTTCATATTCTTTTCATCATAATCACAGAGTTGGTGATATGGTTTGGCTCTGTGTCCACACCCAAATCTCATCCTGTAGCTCCCATAATTCCCATGTGTTGTGGGAGGGATCCAGTGGGAGATGGTTGAATCATGGGGCAAGTCTTTCCCATGCTGTTCTCATGATAGTGAATGGCTCTCACAAGATCTGATGGTTTTAAAAATGGAAGTATCTCTGCACAAGCCCTCTCTTTGCCTGCTGCTATCCATGTAAGATATGACTTGCTCCTCCCCAGGGATGTGGAACTGTAAGTCCAATAAACCTCTTTCTTTTGTAAATTGCCCAGTCTCAGGTATGTCTTTATCAACAATGTGAAAACGGACTAATACAGTAAATTGCTACTGGGAGTGAGGTGATGCTGTAGATGCCCACCAATATGAAAGTGACTTTGGAACTGGGTAATAGGCAGGGGTTAGAACAGTTTGGAGGACTCAGAAGTAGACAGGAAAATGTGGGAAAGTTTGGAACTTCCTAGAGACTTGTTGAATGGCTTTGCCCAAAATCCTGAGAGCAATATGGACATAAAGTCCAAGCTGAAGTGGTCTCAGATGGAAATGAGAAATTTGTTGGGAACTGGAGCAAAGGTGACTCTTGTTATGTTATGTCTGTATTTTGCCCCTGCCCTAGAGATTTGTGGAACTTTGAACTTGAGAGAGATGATTTAGGGTATCTGGCAAAAGAAATTTCTAAGCAGCAAAGCATTCAAGAGGTGACTTGGGTGCTGTTAAAGGCATTCAGTTTTATAAGGGAAGCAGAGCATAAAAGTTTGGAAAATTTGCAGCCTGACAATGTGATAGAAAAGAAAATCCCGTTTTCTGAGGAGAAATTCAAGCCAGTTGCAGAAATTTGCCTAAGTAATGAGCAGCTGAATGTTAATCCCCATGACAATGAGGAAAATGTCTCCAGGTCATGTCAGAGGTCTTCACAGCAGCCCCTCCCATCACAGGCCTAGAGGCCTAGGAGGAAAAAGTGGTTTCATGGGCTAGGCCCAGGGTCCCTGTATGAGCAGCCTAGGGACTTGGTGCCTGCGTCCTAGCCACTCTAGCCGTGGCTGAAAGGAGCCAATGTAGAGCTTGGGCCATGGCTTCAGAGGGTGCGAGCCTGAAGCCTGGGCAGCTTCCACAAGGTGTTGAGCCTGCGACTGCACAGAAGTCAAGAATCAGGGTTTGGGAACCTCAACCTAGATTTTGGAACATGTATGTAAATGCCTGGATGCCCAGGCAGAAGTTTGCTGCAGGGGTGGGGCTCTCATGGAGAACTTCTGCTAGATCAGTGCAGATGGGAAATGTGGGGTCAGAGCCCCCACACAGGGTCCCTGCTGGGACACTGCCTAATAGAACTGTGAGAAGTGGGCCATCAACCTCCAGACCCCAGAATGGTACATCCACTGACGGCTTGCACCATGCACCTAGAAAAGCCACAGACACCACTAGCTGGTGAAAGCCACCAGGAGGGAGGCTGTACCCTGCAAAGTCACAGATACTGAACTGCCCAAGGCCATGGGAACCCACCTCTTGCATCGGCGTGACCTGGACATGAGATATGGAGTCAAAGGAGATCATTTTGGAGCTTTAATATTTGACTGCCCCACTGGATTTTGGACTAGCATGGGTCCTGTAACCCCTGTGTTTTGGTCAATTTCTCCCAACTGGAATGGCTATATGTACCCAATGCTTGTACCCTCATTGTATCTAGGAAGTAACTAACTTGCTTTTGATTTTACAGGCTCAAAACCAGAAGGGACTTGCCTTGTCTCACATGAAACTTTGGATTGTGGACTTTTGAGTTAATGATGAATTGAGACTTTGGGAGACTATTGGGAAGGCATGATTGGTTTTGAAATGTGAAGATATGGTATTGCCGGGGGCAGAATGATATGGCTTGGCTCTGTTTCCCCACCAAAATCTCATCTTGTATCTCCTGCGTGTTGAGGGAAGGACCCAGTGGGAGATGACTGAATCATGGGGCGAGTCTTTCCCATGCTTTTCTGGTGATAGTGAATGGCTCTAACAAGATCTGATTGTTTTAAAAACAGGAGTATCTCTGCCCAAGCCCTCTCTTTGCCTGCTGCCATCCACGTAAGATGTGACTTGCTCCTCCTTACCTTCTGCCATGATTGTGAGGCCTCCCCAGGGATGTGGAACTGTAAGTCCAATAAACCTCTTTCTTTTGTAAATTGCCCAGTCTCAGGTATGTCTTTATCAGGAGCATGAAAATGCACTAATACAGTTGGTTAGAGTATGTGAAAGCTCATGAAATCCCCATGCCCCCAGAATGCACCACAAACTGTTCTTAGCTGTTTTCTTCTTGCGATTCAAGGAAGAAAAAGGAGAGTTAGGAAAGCGCTGAGAAAGGATGCACTATCAGGCAATATTCTCAATTAGCCTGAACTTTATGCTAATGTAAGCATAATATACATAGTATATATTATACTATAATATATAATTATATATTATACTATAATATATAATATACTATTATATATTATAGTATAATATATAATAATATACTATATTATATACTAGTATATATTATGCTCTACTATATACTAGTATATATTATGCTCTACTATATACTAGTATATATTATGCTCTACTATATACTAGTATATATTATGCTCTACTATATACTAGTATATATTATGCTCTAATATATACTAGTATATATTATGCTCTAATATATACTAGTATATATTATGCTCTAATATATACTAGCATATATTATGCTCTAATATATGCTAGTATATATTATGCTATAATATGTAATATGCTATTATATATTATGCTATAATATGTAATATGCTGTTATATATTATGCTATAATATGTAATATGCTGTTATATATTATGCTATAATATGTATTATGCTGTTATATATTATACTATAATATGTATTATGCTGTTATATATTATACTATAATATGTATTATGCTGTTATATATTATACTATAATATATAATATGCTGTTATATATTATACTATAATATATATTATAGTATAATATATTATATTATAATATATTAATATAAGATGGAATATAAGATGGAAAAGGCTGAATATTTTACCTAACACATTCTAACACATGGCAATGAAATAGATATAATTTTGCATATTCAAACAGGTTGTTTCCTATATCAACCATCAACCAGGTTCTATTGCTTCACCCCGTTCACTGAAATTAGCAAATAAAATTTTGAGAGTAGAAGCAACACTTCATCTTGTCTGGCCTGCCTGTAATGCCCTCTCTCCATAGAGCAAGTACTTTGAATTTAAGGGAACCTAAATGCCAAATCACAAGAAAGGGGAATTCTATCACCTGGCCAAAAGTTCACCTAATCAAAGGCCAGGAATAACTGTCTTCATAAAATATGACTTTTTTTACCCCTTTCTTTTCTTTTGACTCCAATTTTCTTATATGATTAGCAAAAAATTATTCTAATAAACTGGCTCATGAGGAGATTTGAGGTTAGGCAACTACATTTATCAAGAGACAAAGTACACAATTTGAACAAAGTTTATTGAATGGGCCAGGCACAGTGGCTCATGCCTGTAATCCCAGCACTTTAGGAGGCCAAGGTGGGAGGATTGCTTGAGCCCAGGAGTTTGAGACCAACCTGGGCAACATGACAAAACCCCATCTCTACAATAAAAAATACAAAAAATTAGCTGGGCGTGGTGGCACACACCTGTAGTTCCAGCTAATGGGGAGGCTGAGGAGGGAAGATTGCTTGAGCCCAGGAGGTAGAGGCTGCGATGATTATGCCACTGCACTCCAGTCTGGGAGACAATGTGAAACCCTGTCTCAAATATATATATATATACACATATATATATATATATATATATATATATATATATATATATATACACACACATATATATACACACATATATATATACACATATACATATATATACACATATATATATACACATATATATATACACATATATATAAAATACTAATTTTAGTTATTTTTAAAACAAAATTCTGTCATAATTCACAAGAACATCATTATTTTTAAGTCAAACTATTGAACAATAGAACATGTAGTTGGTATAATACATGTTTTCTTGTCTGTATTACCCCCACCACTGTTTAAGTGAGTTCTAAGTTACATGGTTTTGGGGTTCCAAGACACTATAGTTGGTTTTTGTGAAAATCTGTGCTCACAAGAGAATTATGAGTACAGTGGACACAGGGAAACCTTGCATGCATTTTTTCTAGTAATAATGGACAAACAAGCAGTAGGAAATAATATGATAAATGTAGTAGATGCTTAATACATAATTAATTAAGTAAGGAGTAATTTCTAAATGTATATAGAGACAATGCATTATTTTATGGCCATGTAATACTTAGCTTATTATTGTATATGCAACATTGTTTTGAAAACTTTAAAATGTATTAATTTTTCAAAATTTTACCCTATAACATTAGCCTGGAAATATGTCATTATGCTTTACCTGTTAAACAAGTAAGTTACTTATGGCATTCTCATAAGGATATAGGCTATGAAAACAGACACGTTTATTCCAACTTCATAAAGATTCACAGGAAGAAGGTAAAATAGCCCACAAAAGGTGATAGAATGACTAAAATAATGACAATATTTTATACTTGTACTAAGAATTAATTTGGAGTAATATTTTTCCAATAGACTAATTCCAGAATGATACTATTCAAATTAAAGTTCTGAGTAGTGGGAGAAACAATTTTAACATTTTGACTTCTGACCTGACCTTCCCACCTTTCGGAAAGCTTTTTGGTCATTGGAATTTAAACATTATTGCCCAAGATGCTGGCCCAGTATTAAGGCTCCCATAATAAGTCACTATTCCTTTTTACACAACATTCCATTTCCCTCATATAGATCAGAATTTTTCAATTAAACTCCTATTTAATTTTTCTCTTCCCTTTAGAATACTAAAAGGGATATTGTTTTCTGATTCTTCTTAATTGTTCTCCTTTTTCTGATCCAAATCAATTGAAACATCATAACAGCTTCAAAATTAATTACACGATTTCCCCTCTGCTTGGATAGATATGTACACATCTCAGAATGTGACGGCTGTGTTCATATTACTAATTACTCATGAAACCCTTTGATGGCTGTGTGTTTGCACTGACCCAAATGAAATAGCCCACCTTTAACTGGGAGTTGCTTTGTTAAAAAGAAAAAAAAGGCATGATAAAGACATTGATGATTTTGGTTTTCTGTGACTGAATAGAATCTACTCAGTCTTTTTTGCCCTACTGGCTCAATTTCTGCTTTTCTTTTTTTAATCAAGTTTACATAAAGAGGAGCCAACCATTTGACTCAAAGAGAGTAATTTATGTCTGGCGGGGAGAGCTGAACAGGTTCCATTCAATCAGAGAGACAAGACCTGCTTTTCCATAGCTCTAATAATCTATAATATGGGGAAGTCACTAGAAACTGTTTCAAAACTCTTCCTCATTGTTTCACCTTTCTCTCCATGTTAAGTACAGAATGAACTTTAAAGAGAAAACACTTTAGAGCATCTGGATTAATTTGAAATTTTTTTGGTTGATTTTTTTTAAGAGTAAGAGGGAATTTGGTTATCATATTAACAAAGAAGAAAAATTTCTAGAGAAATATATTAGAGACAAAGAGTCATTTTTTCATTGCCCCTAAAGTAAGTATCAAAGAGCTGCCTCAGAGGACTGAGTTGTTTGGGCATTAAACAACATCAGCAGGGACCTCTTACAGAGGTCCACATGCAGAAGTCACCCTGTAGGGTTGTGCAACATGGTGCCCAGATATTTGTACAAACGGGAAATGGTTGTGTGTGATCATTTAAAAATCTTTTTTCTTACATGAGGACTTTATTGTTTTAAGATAAATCAGCAATTATTTTTCCTCTCAAATGAGAAAAAAATATTATTTGTACTCTCTACAGTACCTAGTTCTTGATGGTGCTCTATAAATATTTTCTGAGAGAATAAATGAATGAGCAAAAAACTACTATATTTTTGGTTTTCCTCGCTTTAGCCTTTTTTTCTCTACTTCTGCAATCATTTTCTAATATAACAGTTGAATATACAAAGTAGTGGGAGAAAAAGCAAAATCAGAAGGCATTTTTGCAAAGTACAATGTACTATGATGGCTTTTTGTTTTGAAATTTGAATTATCCTTCTTAAGTTTAGGATGATTTGGGGGTAGAGGCGGGGAATAGTCCTTAGCAAACTGGAACAAATTGTATTGATCATTTGTTTATTAATTATAAGTTATATAATTCCCAAAGAATTGCTAAGCCAACTGGAAGGGCTATTTTAGTCTTCAGAAAAAAACCCATGACTTACAATCACCTTGTGCTTAAACCAGAAGCCCTATAAGGCTTCTTTGCTCCTAGCAGCTCACTACCATCTAATTTCCCAATAAATGTGACATCATTTTTCAATCCATAATCAAAATCAGATTTTAAATATTCTAACTATGCCTGAGAAAAGCAGCATGTTTATATTTATATTTATGCTATCTGATATCAAATTATTCCCTATGAATCTTGCATGAAAGACAGGAAGGATAAAAGTTAAGGAAATAGATGCCTGTTATGAGGGGATGGATAAAAAGAAGGAAGGAGATGGTTCAGAAAAAATGAGTCTTGAACATTAAAAATAGCCCTTCTTTGCCCACTTTCAGTCCTTGTATCTCTGAAAGAGCTCAAACCTGAAATAAGGCCATACACACCCCGGGAAAAAATTAATAAACAAGTTTAATTAGAAATGAACCATTGGTACATTGGTATTCTACTTCTCCCAAGTGTTTGGGTGGTTTCCTATAGTACACAGCTGTATCATTGCTATGAAATTACTAAGTACAGAAGGAACGCACCATTATCCAACTCACAATAATACACTCTTTTACAGTTCTCCAAAAAAATGGACACAAATATCTTTTGGGCATGACCTTCTAGTTCATCATCAAAGCTATAAATGCATTCTTCAGCCCTCCAAGTAAACATTTGTACTCACTGCAGAAATTTACTAATCAGCCAAGGGAAAGAATTAATTAAAACTTGTCCAATAGATGTACATCATTCTTAATTGTGAACTAACAATATGGTTCACAAGCCTGAGATAGAACATTTTTTTTAAACTCTAGATTTTTAAAAATTTTTTAAATTTTAATTTTAGATTTTTAATTTTTTTTAATTTTCTAATTTGAGGGGGGAACTCTAGATTTTATCAGAGGGATGGAGAACAGGGAGTAACTAAAGATGTGTGCAAGAGGGAGTAGAAAGGAACAGCTGTCAGAAATAATACAGGCAAAGACCGTGGTAGAAAATCTTCACGTCTCAAGTCCTTCAGGGTCTTTCACGTTATTAAGGTTGCGTTTTAAGGTATGGAATGTTACATTTTTTCTTAGTTTGTTTTTATTTATATAGCTTGACATGTCCCTGCTGAACTTTTGAATCTAGGAGGTGCATGATGAAGAAAGACCACAGGTGAGAGCTAAAAACCTCCTTTCGTATGGCTCTACAAAAGTTCATCACAGAGAACTGAGGAAGATAAGTCCCTAGGAAGAAACAAAAAAGTAAATGTTATGGTGCAAATTAAAATCATTTTTATCAGAATATTTGTGACACATAATAGCATTCAATTAATACCCTCTCATATCCCACTAGCCAGCAATTATGTCATACTTTCTGGAAAAAGGGGGCTAATAAAAAAAGTTTTCATCTATATTGAGTGCCTACTATATGCCCAGCACTTTACTAGGTATCTTTCTTTTTAAAAATTCTCTTTGTATGTAAGTAGTTGCCACTTTCAATATTCTTGTCTGTTGAACGTGGCTGCATTTCCTGCTGCATTCCTTCCTCCAGAATGAGGAGGTTAAGCCTCTCTGTGGGATACCTCATATGCCTGCTCCCTCAGCTTTTTCCTGATCACCACAGCTATATCCTCCATGTTTATATAATTTCTTATTCATAACACTCTCCACTTCCAGTGCTAATCGGGCGCATTAAAATAAAATAGTAAATGTGCTGAGTGAAGTGTACACTACAAAATGATACTTGTAATATCAAGCACTTTCAAAAGTGTATAATATTTGCATCCGGTCATCAAATGTATTTCCTACTGCAGGAGAGTGCTCTTGTTCTCTGCTTTCTTCTAACGTGTTCCATCTCTCACAAGTGAAAATATGTTTATCTTTACTAAGCCATTATTACACTATCTTCAACTTGCATCTGTTACTATTCACAGGAGAAAATATCATCATTCTATATGAACAGAGAGCAATCCTAAGCAAAACGTAGTATAAATGCATTTGTCTATAGCAACGTTCCCTTTAAACATGTTGGGAGTAAAAGCCCTCAAATTCCTTCATTGTTTATAAGTCCAAAGCTAGGATTCCTTCAAGAATCTGGCTGCTCAAAACCGCAAATTAAAAAGCATGCTCTGAATGTAGCTGGATATCTTCCACCATACTACTTTAAAGAATATATTAAAGAGAGGGCGAAGGCAGGTGGTACATTTTTAACTGGCAGTTGAATATTTGCTTGGCTTAAAGCCAAATGAAATAACATAATCCTAACTGACTGGTACACTTCTCCCTGATCTCTTTAAATTCCTCTTTTTCAAATTCTTTATGACATTTAAATATTCTTAGAATTCACCAATATTATAAAACAATGAGATGGTTATAAATGAAGACAGCTAGTAACAATAATCATAATAAAATGACTATCTTTTACTGAGGATTTAGAATGTTCTTAGACTTTCTGTGATCATTATATCCCATGAAAACTGTAAGAGGTATACTTCACTCCCATTTTAAAGATGAAGGCACTAAGATTAGGAAAAATTAAATAGTTTGTTCAAGGTTCTGGCAATAACTAGAGGGAAGACAAGATTCAAACTCAAATTTATTATTTGCTTGTGTATTTGTTTTGCTCCAAAGCCCATTTTTCTCTGCTATAGTCCCAATACTCAGGTTGTCTATATTCCCTTCCCTTGATTCCCTATCTTTATAAAGTGCTATCTAAAACTTTTTCAGGTTTTGTTGCTGGCTCCAGAGAGAATGCCACTGGAAAGTGACTGTTTCCAACTCTGCTGTTCACAGAATGGCTCCCACGTGGCTGGTGCTCAATCAGTGTTAAATAATAACAGCTCAACCCAGTAATGATAAAGCAGGAAGTGCCTCCCTCTTTATACTTTTAATGACTTCATAGGGTTCTTTTTTGTTAATTGTTTAATCACAAATTTCAGTTATTGCTATTTACATGCTCTTTTTCAACTTTTGAATACAGTCTTATTTCTATTTTGCCAAGCTTTCGGAAACACCAAATTAGAAACAAGCCTATTGTCTTTCACACAATTTCTGCGCTGTGAAGAATGAAAAACACCACCAGAGTGCCTGCGTGCCTAATAAGGGAAAAAGAAAGAAAGGAAAAGAAGCCATTGTAAGTTGTCTAAGGAATAATACCTTTAGGTCAAGTGCCCCAAAGGCCAAAAGTCACTCCTTCTATAATAGAAAATACACACATGCCACCTTCATAATGCTAACAGACAAACCAAAGAGGATAACTTTATACAGGTAGAAAATCGAATGGAAGTAAAGGAGTCATTGAATAAATGTAAAACAGATAGGCTTTTGTGGTGGTTTGAGTGATTGACCTCTTCTTCGAAGAAAAAAAAAATAGATTTAACACTCAGTCTTGGTGAGTGAAATTAGAGATTAAAAGAAAAAAAAATACCCTGCCTGGAGAATTAAGAAAAGGGTAAGTACATTAAGTTTGAGCCAGCATTGTTACCATTTTATGATAAGCCACCTGTACACACTATATAGCACTAAACGTTAGATGGCCTCCATGCCCTAAAACACTTGAAGTCGATGCTTATCTCAAAGAAGTGGAATTTTTAACCCCAAACTGAAAAATGTATATCCTTCTCATAAAACCTTTTTGACATTCAAATACTAAGACGACAGA
Source organism: Homo sapiens (assembly GCF_000001405.40). Classification (NCBI taxonomy): domain Eukaryota; kingdom Metazoa; phylum Chordata; class Mammalia; order Primates; family Hominidae; genus Homo; species Homo sapiens. The sequence goes on along the minus strand of NC_000003.12, from coordinate 18,589,218 downwards.
TAATTTAGACCCATTAATTACTAACTACACCAACTTTACTACTATTACATACCAACCTTGAAAATGAACAACAGCATATGTACTAGGAGAGTGAAAAGCCTTGAAAGAACGCTTGAGGAAATCCAACAGAAAGCCTTAAATACGTATTGCCAAAGGTGATTACGTTTGTTCCTGAGGAATGCCTTTTTGTTCCTAAACCTAGCAACCATCCAAGGAGTAAAGGGATTATTGGAAAAGTAAGAAAAGAGGAGAAGATATGAAATAGGTTTCAAACCGGGCAAGCCCCCTGAAAAATTCTGACTATACAGTGCTTCTTTGAATTTGTATATTTTTTACAACACACTTAAAATTTGAGTATTCTAAATAAAATCCAGATCATTAGGTTTCCTTTAGATATCAGAAGATCTGGAAAAGTGAGCATGTAATTCCACAGGGCAGTAAGCCGCTGGGCTGAGAAATGGTTACTGCCTTCCATCCCTTTCATGGGAAGGGCTTGTGCTCTTCAGTTTGCTGAACTCTCTATTACTGATACCCTGCCTTCTTACTTCACTTCCATCATCTGTATGGCACCTGCGAGCATTTTTAAGGCTTTTACCTTTGTCGTAAACATTGGAGAGGGAATACATGTGCTGTGTATTTGAACTTTTTTTTTCTAAAGTTTTTAGAATATTTATTTTTGGATGTGAATATGTGGAAACAAAAATACACTGAAAAGCTTCTATATTCATAGTTGAATGACGTGACTTTGATCCCACTTCAACCCTTAATTAGCTGAGCACTCTGAGGCAAACTATTTTAACCTCTTGGACCTGGATTTCTTTATTAGTAAAGTAAAGATGCCCTACTAAGTTACCTTTAGTGTTCCTTCCAGTTCTAGATGGCTGTGCCACTCATGTGGCTAAACCATGTGGGTTCAGGAGTCAACCTGATGTATACGTTACCTCCTGGCATGAGGGTGAGAGTGGATGGGGAAACCATCCTAATGACATCCTAATGACACCTTGTATGTGATGATAGAACGGTGATTTTAATCCCCTCTGAACAGTAAAATTCTAAGGGAAAGGAGTAGGAAATTTCCTTTTAATAGGACAGAAAATTGAGATATTTAATTTCAATTAAATACAAATAATAATTCTGTATGACAAAATCCTCCTGCTATAGGTTGAATTATATCCCCCTCCAAAAAAAATGATGTCATAAGTCCTAGCCCCTAGTATTTCAGAATATGACCCCATTTGGGAGTTGGGTATTCATAGAGATAATCAAGTTAAAATGAAGTAATTAGGGTGGGCCCTAATCCTGTAGCAGAGCTGTCCTTATATATAGGAGAACTGTAGCCACTGACAGACACATTCAGATGTAAAGACACAGGGAAGACACCATCTACAAGACAACAAATGCCAATGCTACCAGAAGCTAGAAGAGAGGCAGGAACAAATTCTCCCTCACAACCACGAAGGAACCAACCGTGATCTTGGACTTCTAGCCTCCAGAGCTGCGAGACAATAAATTTCTGTTGTTTAAGGCAACAAGCGTGTGGTACTTTGCTATGACAGCTCTACCAAACTAATATACCATCTTACATCCATTTTCTCCAGCTAACTAGAGGCATGGAATTGTTTTAGAGGGAAGGGGATAGTGAGGGTTAGTAGCAGGGTAGAAAGGAAATAATAGCCTCATGACCCCCACAGCAACATGATGCAGATCATCTTGATTTCTTCAATTGTACATTGCCAGGCTATAAACAAGGGTCAATGTTTACCGGTTCTTGCTAACTCTTCTGAATCTTGAAATCATTTCCTAAACTGAGTGCAAGACCAACTATATAATCTGCAAGACTTAGTGCTAAATGAAAATGCAGATCCCCTTGTTAAAAATTATTAAGAATTTCAAGATGTCAATAGCAGAAGGTTAAATGAACCCTGGAATGCTCTGTGACTGCACAGGTTGCATGACCATGAATCTGGCCCTGACTGGGTCCTACCAGATATTTGAGAAGGCACAATGCCTTCACACCCCATTCTTCACTGGGTAATTCTGGAATGTATCTTCTCTTTGTATCTATCTTTCTTGGCTTGTTCACAGTTGGTCGGGTCTCAGTTTTCTAGCAACTTCTCACCATCACTTTCTATAAGTGCATTTATTTGCCAAATATCTTGAATTCAATGTTCCAGTTGACTACTGAAAAAGTCTGAAATCATGTATAGGGTAGAGGTGTAAATATCTGCATGCTAAGGAAGTGTGTGAGCAGTGAAATTAAGGAGACATAAACAATGCCCTCTAGGCATTCAAAAGAAAGGCTGTACTTACAGTTAGGTTGCTCTTCGAAGAAGTAATATTGGGGTAGAACTGTAAAATGATAGATTGGGTTTTGTTAGGCATTTTTGAAGACAATCCAGATGGGAAAAATGGTATATGCAAAGACGCAGAAATGAGACACAAACAAGCACATTTTAGGAACGTAGCACTATTGTACAGGTGAAAATGCATGCCACCATTCTGGAATAAGTTGGGGCAGGAGTAGATCAGAAGGCCTTTTCCTGTCTAAGAGGGTAAGAGCACAAGAGAGCTGGCTTAATTATATTGAATAGATAAAAAAAGCAGTAAAGACAGGACTAATTTAACTTCAAATTAATTTTATGTCTGACAATAGATGGCACCATCCTTGCAGGTTCATGTAAAACTATCTTACCAAATAGTTTAACACTAATAATTATTTTATCCCCATGAGAAAAAAAAATCTTCACGGAAAATCTTTCCTGAGCAGGGAAAATCACACCCTCTTTTGGTCCTTTCAACAAACTGGTACCTACCTTGTATTGAGACATATCACACTGAATTTCAATTATTTGTTTTCAAGTTCATCTTCCCCAACAAAGGATGAGTCCTCAAAAACAGAGACTATGTCTTACAATTCTTTCTATCCCTGCATCCGGCATAATGCCTAGTTCATGGTGAGTGTTCAGTAAATATTTGTTGATGACTAAATGGATTGCTATTTTATATTATAAACACTTCCCTTCTATCAGTTCATGAATAAGGGGTATCCAATTTAAAAAAACAGAATATAAAAGGCTTCTCTTGAGCCATGGTTATTAACAATAGTGAATTTTTCTACTTTCAAGTACATTCTATTTCTGGAACCTATGGTGCTTCACCTCCCAGTCTGGTTTCATCATCCCTCAACGTCCTTGGCTTATGGTACCTGGTTGCAAAGTTATAGGGCACCACTGTTTTCTTACACTTGGCGGTGGGCTCTTTTCCTGCAGATAGGCCCTTATGGAGATGAAGGTGAGGGACCCCAAGATATATTTAGCTAAATCAATGACAGCAATGATATGGGTGTAACAGCCCCTTCCTGTGCAAAATGGCTCCCTGAAGTTCAATGCAAGGACTGAACTCTAGAAAGCAGTAAGCCTGAAAGGCAACATGCAGCAGAGGCAAACTCATCCTTACCCGTCACCTCAGGAGTTTCTTTGCCAGTCAGCTCTGAAAGGTACTTGTAATGTTTCCTCATGCCACCTTATCTTGTTTATGGTCCTTTTGTTTCTTTATAATTTCTGAGAAATCATTTGATGGCACTTTTACTTAAGGGCTTACTTCAGAGCATAAAAATAGAAAGAAAATTCCTCTGTTAGATTGCCTTTTGAAAGGAAGGCACTGTGACATAAAGAGTACTAACAGTTTGTACTGATAAAAACTGCCTGCAACACAGGCTGGTAGGTGGGGAGTTTTTAGATGGAGTCATGATGTGAAATATTATGTGAAACCCTTACCATGACATCCAGGGACCCAGTGGTGTTCCTACAGCTGCATCCTGGGTGTCATGGCACTTAAAAAGAACAATTTTAAATCACTTTGATTTCAAAGCAATTGGAATCAGGGTGAACATTAGAACACAGTTTTATCATTTTAAAAATCATATCATGGTGTAGCCCCTGAGTTTAGCAGTAGCAGCAGGAAAAGACACATCTTTGTAAAGATAGTGAGGCAGACTAGGAATTAAGAGTGAAGTCTTAAGATCTCTAGATATGGATCTTAGCAAGGTGCTTCCTGTCCAGGGTTTAGTTTCCCCATCAATAAACTGAAGACAGTGAAAATGACAACCTCTCAGACAGATTAAACAAAATAACACTCTTGAAAAATTAGTAGATTCTATAGCACATATTACTTACTCAAATTATTATTATTATTAGCATGAGTTAGGAGCTAGGCATCTTGAGTAGTTTGAATCCCATTTTGCTCAACAGCTATTTATTATGTAGCCTTCAGCATAACTTCACTTTGCCTCAGTTTCCACATCTATAACATTGGGTAGAATGTCTTCATAAGACTAGTGCAAGTATGAAATGAGAGGATATCTAAGCAAAATATTTGGCAAGGTGGCTGGTGTGTAGTAAGCACTCAACAAATGTAAACTACTGTTGTTATTATTACTCTTGATGCTAAGATTATTCAAAGGGCAGGATCAGTATTCTCCATGAAAAAGAAAATAGCTCCTTGTAGCCATCTTGATGATCTTGCTGAGGACCAAGAAACTCTTTGCTATTTGCTTCTTGGTCCTCAGAAGTGAAAAACTCCGAAGTTTAAAGCTTCAAAAACGTTGTAATCCTTTTTTAAAAAATAACTGTTTATTTTGAAATTATTTTTTATTTACAGAGGAAGGTAAGGGTGTATATAGAATTCCTATACACCTTTCACCAAGCTTCTCTTAAGGTTAACATCTTACATAACCATGATACAATGATCAAAAGTAAGAAATTAATATTGGTACAATACCATTAACTAAATTAGACTTTATTCAGATTCACTAGTAATAAGATTTGGAAGGTTCCCCACCCAAATCTTGAATTGTAGCTCCCATAATTCCCATATGTCATGGGAGGGACCCAGGGGGAGGTAATTGAATCATGGGATTGAGTCTTTCCCATGCTGTTCTTGTGATGGTGAGTAAGTCTCGCAAGATCTGATGGTTTTATAAAGGGGAGTTTCCCTGCACAAGTTCTCTCTCTTGCCATGTAAAACGTCCCTTTGCTCTTCCTTCATCTTCTGCCATGATTGTAAGGCCTCCCCAGCTATGTGGAACTGTGAGTCCACTAAACCTCTTTCCTTTATAAATTACCTAGTGTTAGGTATGTCTTTATTAGCAGTGTGAGAACAGACTAATACAACTAGTTTTCCACTAATGTCCGTTTTTCATTCTAGGGTCCAACTCAGGATTCACATAGCATTTAATTGCTGCATCTTCTTAGTTTGCTCCAATCTGGCACAGTTACTCAATTTATCATTGTTTTTCATGACCTTGAACTTTTTGAATACTGCTCAGAAAATGTGTAGAATGTACTTCAAGTTGAGTTTGTCTGATGTGTTCCCATGATTAGACTAAGATTATGAGACTTGGAGAAGAATATCACACAGGTGAGATGGCCCTCTCAGTGCATCATATCAGGAGGTATATGATATTGCTATGCTTTATTATTGGTGATATTCACCATGATGGCTTGGTTAAGATAGTTTTCTGCCAGTTTTCTCCACTGTAACGTGTTATCTTTTTTCTTTTCCTACTCTATTGATTAGAAGTGAGTCACTAGTTCCAGCCCTTACCCAAGGAAAGAAGAAATAAGCTTTCCTTCCTGGAGGAAGATGAATCAAAGAATTCATGAATGTGATGAAAACCACCATAGTAATTAATGAATATTTTGGAGAGATACTTTGGGGTGATGCAAAAGTTTCTCCTTTAACTTTTGCCCCACTCATTTTAGCATTCATTAATGTGTCTTGGCTGAGCAATTATTACTATAGTGTTCTAGTAATAATTTTCTATTTCTCTTATTCTTCCTGTATTTATTATTGGGAATTTCTGTGTAAGAAAGTTTTTATTCATTTATTTATATAAATATGCTCTCATAAATATCTATTTCCTCCTTTGGGCTATAATCCAGTACTACTGCTATTTATTTTCATTGCTCAAATTGTTGTAGCTTTGGCCATTGGGGGCTCTTTAAGGTTACTGACTGTTATATTCTTTTAAATTTTTTTTTTATCACTTTCTTAACCACAAGGTGCTCCAATCTCATGTTGTATTTTTCCTGCCTCTACTCTTTCTCCAGGAATCCCTGATTCCTTTTATTGGTGAATGGCATTTAGAAACAATGTTCTGGGCACTAAGTATGTTTCTTGCTACTAAGGTGTCACTGCTGCCTGTCCCTCTCAGGGAATATATGTATGTGCAGTAATTGATAAATAAACACACATATATATATATACATAATTATTTGTGTATTTAACTATATATATATATTAAAACAAACAAATTCATACTGATATCTCTGAATCTGATCTAGAACCACAGAGATCTTTGTAGACTTCCCCCTACTTATTTGTAAACTTCATTCGCTGGCAATGAAAAGTATAGCATTTGTTTTCCACTATATGAATTTTTTTTTGTTCAAACTTAGTATACGTGTGAACTAGTTTTAGAATTGCTAATCTATATCACTGTGGGAAGCAATTTCTCAATTAGAGTAAACAGTTTGTGTACAGCCCTTTTGCACAAAGGACTTATAGCATCCAGTTAAAGTAATGTTCTTTAAATTTCCATCATCTGCTCCTTTCTTCCTTACCACTTTTAATTCTTGTATTGTACGTTTGTTTTTACATTCTGTGTTCCTTCTTGGCTTCCCCTGGCATCCTGGTTAATTTTTTGAATTTGCATAAGTAAAATTAATTTTTTGTGATGTACGGTTCTATGGGTTTGACAAATGCATAGAGCCATATATACACCATCACAATACCATTCAGAGCATCACCCCTAAAATCTCTCATGCTACTCCTTTGTAGTTCACCTCTGTCTCTACTCTCTCAATACTGATCTGCTTTCTATGGCTATAACTTTGCCTTTTCCAGAATGTTATATAAAATGTTATATAAAAGGACTCACATAACATGTAGACTTCTATATCTAACTTCTTTTATTAAATAAAATGAATTTAACACTCATTCATGTCATTGCATGAATCCACAATTTGTTCCTTATTATTGCTGATACATATTGCATTTCAAGCATAAACTACAGTTTGCTAATCCATTCTCCTGTTGCAGGACATCTGAGCTGTTTCCAATTTTTTAGCAATTATATATAAGGCTTTTATAAACATTCACGTACATGTTTTTTCTGTAAAGTTTTCAACTGACTTCGTTAAATACCTAAGAGTAGGATTGGTAAGTCATGTGACAGGTGCATGCTTAACATCATAAGAAACTGCCAAACTGTTTTCCACAGTGACAATATCATCTTGCATTCCACTAGAACTAGAGTTCCTGTTACTCTGCATCATCATCAGCATTTGGGATTGTCAGTTTTGTTTTGTTTTGCTTTGTTTTAACTATCTTAGTGTAATGGCATCTCATTGTTATCTTATATTGCATTCTCTTGAAAACTAATGATTGTTGAGCATATTACTTTATCCTTATTTGTCTTTTATAGATCTTTTCTAATAAAGTGTTTGTTCAAATGTTTGCCCATTTTTTAAGTTGGCTGTTTGTTTTTATATTGTTGGGTTTTCAGAATTTTTTTAACATATTCTGGATGCAAGTATCCTATTAGACATGTCCAGTCTACGGGCGTATTAGTTGGGGTTCTCTAGAGGGACAGAAAAAATAGGATAGATGTATATATAAAGGGGAGTTTTTTAAGGTGTATTAACTCACACGATCACAAGGTGAGGTCGCACAATAGGCTCTCTGCAAGCTGAGGAGCAAGGAAGCCAGTTGAATCCCAAAGCTGAAGAACTTTGGAGTCCAATATTCAAGGGCAGAAAACATCCAGCATGGGAGAAAGATGTAGACCAGAAGACTAAACCAGTCTGGTCTTTCCACGTTCTGCCTGCTTTTCTTCTGGCCACACTGGCAGCTGATTAGATTGTGCCCATCCAGACTGAGGGTGTGATTCTGCTTCTCCTAGTCCATTGACTCAAATGTTAATCTCCCTTGGCAACACCCTCACAGACACACCCAGGATCAATACTTTGCCTCTTTCTATCCAGTCAAGTTGATACTCAATAGTAACCATCACAACGGGCTTTCTTTTCAATCTCTTAATGGTATTTTTCAAAGAATAAAGGTTTATAATTTTAATAAAGCTCAGTTTATCAATATATTTTTCTTGTATAGATTTTGCTTTTGGTTTCATAACTAAATATCTTTTTGCCAAACCAAAGGTTACATTAATTTTCTTCTAGAGGTTTTATGGTTTTATATTTTACATTTAAGTCAATGATCTCTTTTGGTTATTTTGTGTAAAGTTTGAGATGTATGTTGAGCCTCTTTATATTTGTTTTTTACGTGTGGATATCAAGTGTTTCCTCATCATTTGTTTTTCAACCATCTTCTCTGCCTTAAATTGCCTTTGCACATTTGCCAAAAAATATGTTGACTGTACTTAAGTGGGTCTATCTTTGAGCTTTGTATTTATTTATCTGGTCTACGTATTTGTCTTTTTGCCAATACCACACTGTCTGTGTCACATCTGAGTCTGTTTCTGATGATTGCTTTGTCTCTTCCAAGTGTGCTTTACTTGCCTTTGCATATGTCACACATATTTTTGTTGAAAGCTGCTCATCTAGTGTAAAACAGTGAATACTACGGTAACTATATTTTATGCTTGGAGATGAGCATACCTTTCCTTCTGCTGGGCCTTTAGTGCTGAAGGTTTATGTAATCTACTCAGGAGTTGGCTGGTTGCCAGGTTTGTTATTGGTATAGTTACCCTTATTGTACTTCAGACTTTAAATTCTGCTAGTCATACCATCTCTTTAGGCTGGTGCTGGCTTCTAAAAGGTCATTTCCTTGGCATTTACTTCCCAGTTGGATTTCGGTCTTCCCTTTATACTGCTCTCCAAAGACAATCTGTCTCTTGCAGCTCTCACAGGTCTATTTCACTGTGATTATTACTTGATGTTTGTCAGCCTGGTGTCGGGGTAGTGGAGGAGGGAAGGCATTTTCTGATGCTCTGATTAATCCTCAATTCTAGATAGGCATAGTGTCCCTGAGTCTGGCAAGAGTACGGGTGGGGACCTTCACAAATTCTCCTGCCCCTCTCCCAGCTGAACGCTGAGCTGTCACGCAGGCCCTCCCCTCCCCAGAAGTTGAGGTCTATTTTTTGTTTTTCCCTTCTGTTGTCTTCCCCCAGCTGCAGTGTATTTCCACCAGTATATTAAGGCAACACTTTTTCTTGCTTTATTACAGATTAAAATTTTTAGTTTTTTGAGGAGATGTTTCTAGGAGCTTCTGCGGTGGCTGCTGTTCCCCTCTGCTGCACAGCACCAGGAAGGAAGCTTTGAGCAATGGCGCAAGAACAGTGGGAAGGTTTAAAACAGAGGATCAGAGACAAGATCAAGTTTACGGTTTAAAAACATGTGGAGTCTGGTGTGAAGCAAGGCAGGATTTGAGAAGACTGGTTACAAAGCTCTCATGGCAGAGTAAAAGGAAAACCAATTGTCTTAAGAGCTGGCATGAGAATCCCTCTTAGGGAGGGAACTGTGTCTACTTAACAAAATCTCATGAGGGGCCATTTAGGTGTGAAAAGATAGACCCACAGAAGAGGAGAGAACAAAAAATCGGTTGCATTTCTCAGTGGAATAAAATGCAATAAATTGGGCTTGTTTTGCTGAGACTGATGTGAGGGAAAAAAAGGGGTAGGAAAGCAGATTAACAGTGTTCAGGCCAGGGCACTGTGTAGGAAGGTATGATCAGAGAAATATCCCAGAGTGGGGAGTATCTAAACTGCCTTTATGTATAAGGATGTCTAAACATCTAATACAAAGTGACTATGTTTCTGTGATGTAAATGTCCTCTACTGCACCAAATTTTCAATAAAATCAGCCCCATACAACAAAGAGAGTGTTCCAGGAAATTATTATCTGGGTGGAGAATGGGAAGTCTTGGAACCAAGAGTAGAGACCGAGTCCATTCTAGATCAATTAAATACACAATAGAAGTAGTGCAAGAGGTTGGGCGAGAGATGCCATTAAAATGAAAAGAGTCAGGGGAAGTAAAAATTGCATGCCTAGCACAAGAATGACACTTGAACCTCCCTCCCAAAAGAGGACACATTTCGCAAACCAGAGATTCTGGTATTTGAGACAGGGTGGTCTCAGTTAATCCTTTAGTTCGTAGTAAGAGTATGAAAACTTGGAACTCTTTGCCAGAAATAGGACAATGTTCAGGAATAGAGCATATAACTGAGGCATCTGTTGTGCACATTATCTAATTTTAACTATATATTTTTAATACAAATATATGTACTTTAATAAAGGCACAGCAGTGTGTCTAAATAAGCCATTTGGTCTCCAATTTATACCATCAAAAGAAAGCAGCAGTGTTAGATTCGCTTATTGAAACCACTTGGAATTATTAAAACATCATTTTATCTCTGGAAAAGAAAAACAGTTGAGGTTACTGTCAGAGAATATTACTCTGGGAGAAGATAATGTACACTTCATAAATTGTTATATTTAAAATTGAATCAGTCTACTCCAGAAGGAAAATTGAACATTTTTATGATGACCTGGATGAAAATAGCGGTGGGAAATGAGAAGTCTGTCCTCCAGGTGACGGGATTATGAAAGTGCCTTGAACTACTATTCTGAAAATGTGTCCTACGAAGACACTCAAGTCTCACTGCACAACATACCGTTTGCAAAAGGCAAATTGGGCATAAAATGCCAATTATTTTACACCTGAGACACAAAAGCAAGACATATTACAAACAAGTGTATTTTGGGAGATTCTTTCCAAACAGTTAATCACTAACTTTGGCTCATAGTCTGTTGTATGAACTTCAGTTACAAACAAGAGGCAGTTGGAGTTACTGTCAACAACAGAAGCACTACATAAGAAAGTCAAAATTTTTAAAGAAAACCTCCTGTACATTTATATTGTAAGAATACATCTTGTAAACAAGGCAGAAAATGTCACTAAAAACTCAAGGTATTATTCTTAGAAATATTCACATTCATGTTATCTTGTGTGTATCTGTATGTGCGTGTCTGTGTGTGTGTGTGTGTGTGTGTGTGTGTGTGTGTGTCTCCAAAATATCTCATGCCCTTTGCTGAAACTAACATGTAGAATTTATATTTCTCTAAACGTGCTTGAATTTGATCCATAATAGAGATATCACAACCGTGTCCATGTAAGTACATTTCAGAGTGAGAATTTTTAAAAATTAATCCTGATAGACTTAATACCCTTTAGTATCTGTCTTGACTTGGTTCCCAGAAGCAGATCCTGACATAAGGATTTGAGGGCAGGAAGTATATTTGGAACATGATCCCAGGAAACTGGAAAAGGAATGGGTACATGAGACAAGGAGGAGAAAAATCCCATAAGGCATGCATTATCAAGCAGATACTTGCTGCGGACAACTGAGAGTCAATCCTTCCAGGGAACTGTGGGAGATAATATAGGAAACACCTCAGAGTTATCCCAGCTGAGGAATATGGAGAGCAGGTATTTATTCGCCAGTTCCCATGTGCCTTTTGGGCACTGCTTCTAGAGTCATTCGCACTCTTCAGCCTGCCCTGTGGTTGGGCCACCCAACCTTCCAGAGAAAAAGCCTCTGGAGAGCACTGAAAGTGCTTTCATAAGCGGTTTTGGAAACATGTAGAGGCCAAAGCTAAGAGAATGTGTGCAGGGCACTCAAAGCTCCTACCACAGTGGCATTTAAGGGCCTCACAAACAACTATGGAATGAAAGGATGCCTAGCTAGTATAGGATTGAGTCTTTTCTATAGGTGGTTCTGATATCTTCTTCTTCCTGTTCAAGACCTCTTTGTTTTTGCAGTAAACACCTTCGTCTTTGGGAAGGGAGAAAAGGAAGAATTATGAGTGTATTTTCCTGGCTGAGTCTGTATAAAATTCATGTAGTTGTATCTTAGGAAATGGGGGAAGGTGTCTTATTCTATTCTGGCTGCTGTAGCAAATATCTTAGACTGGGTAATTTATGAACAACGGACATTATTTCTCCCAGTTCTGAAGGCTGGGCAGTCCAAGATCAAGGCTCCAGCAGGTTTGGTGAGTGGTCAGGGCCCATTCCTCACAGATGGCACCACCTAGGTGTCCTCATCTGACAGAAGAGATAAAAGGGCAAAAAGGGGCACTCCCTTCCACCTCTTTTATGAGGTTAGTAATCCTATTTACGACGGCTCTGCCCTTATGACTTAATCACCTCCTAAAGCCTCCATTTCTTCATAATATCACATTGGTGATTAAGTTTCAACACATGAACTTTGGGGAATGCAGAAGGAAAGAGTGGAAAAATAATGACTTCCAGTACAAAGGTCAGCAGAAACAAGAAGTAGAGAAAACAAAATTGATTATGTGGTGTCTGTTCCCCAGCCCCATCCCAAAGAATCCTGCCAGAGCTCTATGTGTCATAGGAAGAAACCAAAGAACTCTGGTAGACAACAAAGATAAGAAGTTCTAGTTGGTGGATACGTGAGAAGCTGTGACACCATGGGAAGGGGAGCTTTCTTGATTTTTCTATATGGATCACACTGTGTCCTCAAGGCTGTGAGGACCACAGGGAATTCAGCACTGCTTGATATTCTAAGGGAAGGCATGTGGATCTGAGGGCACCGGAGGCAGCACCCTCACAACAGGTAAGTATGACCTCAGGGTGGGTACTGGACACTGTGGCCCGAGTGAGACAGCCCTCTCAAATGCTTCCCAGGTAACCTACCACTGAGAGAGATAGAATTTAAGATATGGGAGACACGTTCATGAGTACCCTGAGATATTGTCAAAGACTCTTGGAAATAATGAGAAAACCCCTTGGTGAGGGAGGGGAGATTACCACTGGAGTTGGTGGAAAAACAGACATCAATAATGAAGTGAGGAACGGGATGAGGCACAGATACTGGCTGAGGAATCTGGTGGTGCACACATTCCCGGGACACACATCCTGATGGTCCAGGATAGGCCAGATCTGGAGGGAAGTGCGTGAATGAAAGAAGCAGAACAGGAGTGAGGCATTTAGTGGGGCTCTGCAATGGCTAAGAAACAAGGATCCATGTCTTCAACAAATGTTGATTGTACATCCATTATGTTTCAGGCATTATTCTCCACACTGGAGATACATCACACAAGACAGAAAGTTTCTACTCTCATGAAGCTTACAATTTATTGCAACAATAGCATTCTGTGTGCATCATACTATGCAATTTATTCTACTTTTTAATCATCTTTTTTGTTGTCAGATAATAATTTCGTAAGTGAAAATAATTCTCTTAGGATTACGCCATGCAGTTTTTGCATATAGAAATGTTCCCAGGATGAAACGTGTGTGTGTGAGCGGTGTTTTGTTTTTTTTTTTTTTTTGGTTTGTTCAAAAACTTACATGCACAATGACTCAATTAGTATAAGCATTCTTGGTAATTTGATTCATCATGCAAGAGACTGACTAAGGCAATGGCCTGTGATACAACCCTGGCTAACGAAACTTACAGGGAAGTCTCCTAAGGAGTTTCTCCCCAAAAAGTTCCTTCTCTGATAAAAAGAAACGTTTAAGGAGAACTTTCCTTTTCTCTGCCACTCCATGTGGTTGTGTGAAGACACGACACCTAGGGTCACAGCCGTTACTTTGTGTCCCTGAGGAAACAAACTGAGGGGAAATACCAACAGAGGATGAGAGAATGGATCAGGGAAAGAATCTGGGTCACTGGGATCATCTCGGGACACTGAATTAACAAGTCGTGGAAATGTCTATTTCCAGTGCTCCTGTTTTGTGACCATACAAATTATTCTTATTATTTAATTCATTTTTAAAAGTTACTTGCAGCCAAAAGCATGGTAACTGATGGACTGAGTGAGTTTACCAAAGAATCAATCAAGAACACCTTTTAACCATTTGTACCACCTGGGTTATACCACTATATACAAAAGTGTTGTTTCTCGATCTGAAGTAAATCTACTTATTTCAAAGCATTCTATAGACTGGTTTTCTTTGCTTCAGTCTCATTTTTCTTGATATAGAAGCCTTATGTTTTTGTCCATATAGCTAAAAAAGTATGCTTAGTATATTGAATATACTAAATACACCAATTGATATATCTTATTTATTTTTTTTTATTCTTTAAGTTTTAGGGTGCATGTGCACAACGTGCAGGTTTGTTATACATGAAAAAATGCTCATCATCACTGGCCATCAGAGAAATGCAAATCAAAACCACAATGAGATACCATCTCACACCAGTTAGAATGGCAGTCATTAAAAAGTCAGGAAACAACAGGTGCTGGAGAGGATGTGGAGAAATAGGAATACTTTTACACTGTTGGTGGGACTGTAAACTAGTTCAACCATTGTGGAAGTCAGTGTGGCGATTCCTCAGGGATCTAGAACTAGAAATACCATTTGACCCAGCCATCCCATTACTGGGTATATACCAACTGATATATTTTAATAGCACAGGAGTTACAATTCAAGTTCCAGTATTATGGTGAACTATTGTTAGAATTCCAGGTAGAGCCTTTGCTCTTTATAGTAACTCGTTTAGCGTCATAATCGTACACTCTTAAGGTCCAGAGAATACCCTTTGCATGGGTCTGCCATCCCTCTCCTTCAGCACTGCTCCTGTCCTGCTCCCCACCTACTCCATGGGAGGATTATCTGCCAAAGTTATTTAACGTAAGAAGAATCATGAGACAGTATGACAACTCCCTATTACATCTTGACCTTATTTCTCCTGCAATGTCGTTATGGTCCCCTAAATCAAAACAGGTAAATCTTTAACGCCACCTTTGAAAAGTCATATCAAAAAAATAAAGAAAAGAAAAGAAATAACCAGCTTCCCTCACTGTCAGATTTTACTGTCACATTGTGAAGACCTTTCAAGACTTTTCCAATATAACTACATCAGGAGGAATCTTGAAATATATCATATGATCTGAATTGTGGATGACAAATGGCTTGAATTTCCCATCATCCCAATGTTGTCAATTTGGCCTTCCTCCTCACTGACTCAGGACAGACAGTGGGACTCCAGCCTCAGGCCTGCATTAAGTATCACATCCAGTAAATGAATTTATTTCTTTTACCAATATCATTGCATTAGAGAGACTTGGGGGAACACTGGCTTGGAAGAACATTCCTGGTAGCTGCAGATAGTTCTATTGTCTTCCTGTACTCTTAATAAAGATGAAAAAAGAAGAAGATAGAAGGAGTACAACTTTATCTCAGTTTTATAATTCCCCTCCATGTGTTGACACAAATCCACCACATGATAAAATCCAAACTTGCACAAGAGTGGGACAGTCTGGAGCCAATGAGCTCTCCACCTGCTCACCCTTCTCAGAACCACAGAGTTCACAGGTGATATGATGGGAGGTGTCTCTGGTGCTGGGTGCCAAACCCCCGATCCAATTTATTCCCTTCCTGAAGGCTTCCTTCCTCATATGTGGTAATCACACCTCCTCACCTTCCTCCTCCAAGAGCTTTGTTAACTTTCCTGATTTGTTTTCCCCCTGCTTAAATAATCCAAAATCTGCTACTGTGTAGTACATTGCAGAAGAACAGATGCAGTTGGGTGCACCTGGGGACAGCTGCAGTCTGGACTCCGGGCCCCCATCAATTATCACCCCCCTTACATTCACCCTCCCCTCCATCACCATCACGTTACCACCTGTGCTTCGTGTGTTCCTGTGACTCCTTGGGAAAAAATGCAATGCATGGCGTTTCAGAGTTTCTCTGATTCCCATATTGTGTGCAGGTCTCCCTTCCATCCCTCTTTTTCAACATACTAATTGTAAATGCAGATACAAAGAAATGCCTTCAGAAAGCACAGGCTTTCAAGCTCAACCCAGACAAAGGTGTAGCAGCTGCCAGAACTCAAATACTATCTGATTTCGTCTGAGGCATGGCTTTAAAATTCCTGCAGGCTCACAATTCCCCTTGTCTTCAAGGGCAGAACTGGGCCCAACCAAGAG
Source organism: Homo sapiens (assembly GCF_000001405.40). Lineage (NCBI taxonomy): Eukaryota > Metazoa > Chordata > Mammalia > Primates > Hominidae > Homo > Homo sapiens. The sequence continues at coordinate 18,573,238 of NC_000003.12, read as the reverse complement.
GCAACCACTGTGAGTCTGAGGGCCGCCCAGCAGTGTGAGGTTTTTCAGTATATTATAATCATTAAAACACCTGTGCTAAATAACCTAATCCAGTATGAAGTGTTCCTGAATCTCTGCAATTACTCATTTCTTAACTAGCCTGTCTCATTGATTGCTTTTCAGTCAGCACTAGAAAACAGAGGTAAAGCCAGGTTCAAAACCTCTTGAAGTACTTGCTCACCTGCATTGTGAGGCATGATACATCTGCTTTGAAACTTCTTGCTCTGTTATCCTACTGCAGCTCTAGTGAAAACCAACCCAGATTTAAATGGCACTAGGAAGGCAACTATAAGCAGCCTGAAGAAGCCAGCTCAGAGATGAAAAGGTGCTGTTTATTTGGATTAAGAGTGGAGTGGAAACAGTCTTTCTTAGTAACATTTGATGCTCTGATGAAAGATAATACAGGGGTGAGTCATGCAGGAATGAGGGAAATGCAATTTTAAATGAATAAAATCCCTCCTGCTTCTCAAGATGTACTGACTGCCCATGTCATATGCTTAGTCTATTTTAAAGCAGCTGGTCACTTAAATCAAAAATCACACAGATGGATGAAAAGTTCTCACAGGATTAGAAAATGTCTTTAAAATACCCATGGCCACATGGGCTCTGTGTCCATTGGCAAGGTTGGGACTTAAGCCTCTTTGCCCGCACGCTTATAGACTCCTACCATTCAGGTAGACTTCTGGCTCTAGCAGTGTTTTGCTTTCTTCAAATGCAATTTCTTCTATGGCCAAGAGTTTCTTTCTGAAAAGGCAGGATTCAATTCAGGTATGGGTAAGTGTCATAGGGACAGATAAAAGGAAGCCATATGACATCCTTTAAAAATTTATTTTTTGTTTAATCTCTGAAATGCAATATGAAAATGTCTTGGGCCCACCTCATACCAGGGTTCTGCTGAGCCTCTGGTATGGTTTTAAGACGAGCTATAGTTGTACCCACACTTGAGCTTCTTGAGCATCTATAGACTTATATACCAGGAACTGTATTAAGGTATTTTACATAAAAGATCTCATTTATTCCTCATAGCAAACTGGTGCAGAAGATATTCTTGGTTTCTCCATTTTATAAATAAAGAAGCTGAAATACAGGGTGTGAGGCCGCAAAGCTAGTAAATACCAGAACCAAAACTGGACTCACACATCCTAATTCCAAAGTCTGTACTGTACTCTACTACACAGTTTACCAAAAAGAAAACTAAGCAGTCACAACACAAAAATTGTTTAACCCCAAGAATAATATTAGAAATGTAAAAGACAATAACAATGAGATATGCTTTTCTTTCTCAAGCTGGAAAATATTTACAATGAGAGCATCAGGCTAGTGGAATAGGATGCAAATGTTTTTAATTTATTTTTCGTGTTTCTGGATTAATAACATATTATTTGTGTAATTAAAATAGGCTTTTTTAAGGTATTGATGATTGTGACAATAAGATAAAAATGATTTTATAGATCAGCAAATCTCGATTACATTGTATAGGCAGATATAAATTTGGGATTAGTTATAAAAAATCAACATTTTCTTATCACAAGTAAAACTGCACTAAAACTGGCAAATGCTTTGTGAATTTAAAGTATTCCTTTTAATAATGCTTTTTTTCTTTCTTTTCCTTTCTTTTTTTTTTTTTTTTTACTTTATTGAGTTCCAACATGTTCTCATGAGTAGAAGAAGACAGAAGGAGCTAGAATTCCCACAAACCTGGGGAAGTGCATACCATCCACAGCTGATGCTATCCAAGAGGCAACCCATTACTCATACATCACCAGTTGGGTGGAAAGAGTTTACAGTAGGACATCTCCACCTACAAATGGATGGTTTAGGGGACGATATACAAAGATGGCATCTGGCCATGATAAGGGGAAGGCCAAAGTCTAGCTAGTATCTGCATGGGAATCACTTTTCATCATGTAGCCACTGCATGATGCAAAATAAAATTTGAGAGTAAAAGCTACAGAATACTCAGAATATTTCCAAACTAAATGTTGAAAGTCCACCACTGCCCCAAACACTTCATACTTACATGCCGAACTACTTCAATCCTTAACATTTTAGCCTATACCCACAAATTAAAGGATGCTGACTATAACTTCTTCCCTACTTCTGCCTCTTTATTCCTCCACTCTAATTTGGCTTTCCAAAATTTAGACTACAATGCTCCTGGGGCCAAGGATGTAGGTCCAAGCTCTCTGGGTAACAACCAGTGTGGCTCTGTTCCATGGACTCATGCTCTAACTCCTGCCAACCTTCTCAAAAAAAATGTGTACAGTTTGGCCGAAGAAGCCCAAAAGAAATTATTTAGCTCCTTTTTTTTTTTTTTGCCAATGTGGCAACAATCGAAGCATGTACTCTATAAAAGGTAGTTCACTGACATTTTTCTGGACTGCAAAAACAAGTATTATATGGCATTAAACCATCCTGCAACCGGCACACTTTTGCTGTGTGTTTATTTCTTCATCCAACAAATGTGTTAACTGATAGTCAGAGGCACATTGTGACAAGTTTGAATATGCTGAAAATATGAGAGCCCAAATGAGTGATCGTTTCCACCACTTACAATAGGATTAAGCATTTATCAGATAAGGAAAATATTACAATTGGATTGGGAACATAGGTTACAATTCAAATATAAAATACTTATAATATGTGTCCATATTTGACAAACACCGCAATCTATTTCCATGCTATCATATCAATTTTATCTCATAGAAGTTGCAAGCTTCTGTTTGTAAACACTATGTGCACATATAAATATTTATATGTAGGTATAAATAACTATGCACATATATGTGTACTGTGTGTGTCTCTGGGTATATATAAAGGTATATATCATAATGTGCTATAATTCATATCAAAGTTAAGACTGAAGTGATTTTGCATAACAAATCATATGTTATCACTTCAATAAAGATATTTAGTGAATGCCTTATATGTGCAAGGTCTTGTGCTAAGTGCTAGCTAGCAAGGGAAATAAAGACTAATAAAAAATTTAATATGTATGCTCTCAAGTTGCTTACAGTTTATCGGGTAGTCAAAAAGATAAGTAAACAAGCAACTGTTAAGTAAATTTAGCTAAGTGACAATGATAGAGATGTAAACAAAGTGTTATGGGTATTTCAAAAATTATACGTAGATATAAATGTAAAGATGAATATAGATCAAGGTTTGTCAAACTTTTTCCATAAAAAGCCAGTTAGTAAGTAAATTAGTCTCTGTGGGCTATACTGGACTCTACCAGTTGTAGCCAAAAGCACCCATAGACAATATGTAAATCAATGGGTATAGCTGCTTTCCAATAAAACTTTATTTATGGACATTGAATTTTTAATTTCTTATCACATGATACATTATTTTTCTTTTGATTATTTTTTCAACCATTTAAAAATACAGCAATCATCCTCAGCTGACAATTAGTACAGAAATGGGAGATAGGCTAGATTTGGCTTGAGTGCTATAGTTTGCTGATTCCTGATCTAGATATAGACATAGATAAAGAGCTAGAGATCACAACAAATTGGGGTGTGAAAAGTAAGAACTCAGAAAAAGCTTCATGGAGAAAATAGTTTTTGACGAGAACCATGAAGGGAAATGTTTTGGAAGAGGTGTAGTGTGATGGGAATGGTAATGAATGGCAAAGGAAAAAGTAATTTGAGGTTACGAGAGAGCCAGATTAAGGAGTCTAATGTTGGCATTGAGGAGTGCCAGGCTAAGAAGTCAGTAGGCCCTGAGGAATCAAGCAAATATTTTTAAATATGGGGATAAAAGGATTGCAGCTGCTACCCAGTAGTGGAAAATTGAAGGATTTGGTGAGAAAAGGGATGGAGCTGTTATAGTCATCCAGCTGAGTCATGATAAAGGCTTGATTTTCTAAAGTAGCCATGAGACTGAGAATGGGAGGTGGGATTCAAGGGACAATAATAAAACCAGCAAAATCTAATGGGCAAATGAATATGGTGCATGAGAAAAGGGAAGGAAGCAAAGATGACTATGTGGTTCCCAGTCTAGGGGACATAGAAAAGGTAATGCCATGATCAGAGATAGTTCAGGAATAGTTTCAGAGGGATTTCAGGAAGGGCAACTAAAATGTCCTGACATGCCAAGGAGATGTAAGCACACAAAAGAGCTGATGTTCCAAAGTGGTTTTGAAAATAGTCTACCAGGTATAATCTATCTTCTCTAAGCTGAAGACCATTGCTCTCATATCATGAACAGTTTGCAATGGTTTTGAATCATCATAGTACATTACCTCCCAGTAAAAGTTTTTTGGATGTTATTAAAATCTGCGTTCAAATGGTTGTCATTCATCTTATATGTCTTGGTAGAGAATGTTAAGTGTCACTGCTGCCAACTATTTCCAAACTCGAAATTTTAATATCTCATGTTAGCCAAAACAACTGAATAAGTGAATGCTGAACTTCTTTCCCACCTTACTTCTCTGCTTGCAAACTGTAAGTCTTTTCCTCAAAAGGGAGTTTGGACTTCAGATGCAATTTAGGAATCAGTAACATATAGAGCGATGCTTTCCTACAGAACACTCTGCAGTGATGAAACTATTCTGTATCAGTGCTGGCCAATATGGAGGCCATTAGCCCATGTGGCTGCTACTGAATTCTTCGAATGTGGCTAGTCTGACTGAAAAACTGAATTTTAAATTTACTTGATTTTAATTAATTTAAATTTAAATAACCATTATGTTTATGTGGCTAGTGGTTATTTTATTGAGCAGCACATATATAGATGATAATTATAGCTCAGAGAGTGGTAAAATAATTCAGTAGGTAATAGGAAAAGCACATAAAAATTCTAGAAAGAGGTGAGATTTAAGAGTGGGAGGAGGCAGAGGAGCTATAAAGGAAAGCATGAGAATAGGTGGGTAAAAAAAACTAAAAACGAAAAATAACTTAAGGAAAGCTAAGGAGGAGAAAAAATTTAGAAAGGAAGTGTGGTTAATGGTTTCAGCAGAAATGTAATAGACAAGGAAGTGTAAAGATGAGGACATTTCCATGGATGGTGGATATTGGGTGGTAGGTGTGACCTTTGATACCTACCAGAGTGTAATAGGTGAAGAATCAAATCACAATGGGTTTAGGAGTGAACTAAAATTAAAATAACAATTGCAATCACATTCATAGCATCATGCACCAGAACTATTTCAGAATGTAAATAAATAGAATACATCCTTTTCAAATTATGTGTGGTCTAATTCATAAGTTATCCAGCAAAGCAGACTAGGAAGGATATGGAAATGGTTCTATTTCCTGAATTCTAGGATGCCCCCAATTACAAGGTGTGTCATCAACGTAACAACAGTTTTCTTTGGAGGGGAAAGGGGGAAATTACCACTTACCATGCACATACCAATTCAAATAGCCAGCCCTCCTAGACTCAAGAGAATATAGTACTTACAAAAGAAAAGTGTTTTATTTAAAATGTATGGCTTTTTTTTTCTATCAAATGAGGAAACTTTGCTATATGGATAGATTCTAATCAATATTATCACAGATTCTCATAGAATTCTGGCTAAACATTCTTGTGTAGATGGGAACTATAGTAAAAGATGTATGAAAGTTGCCAGGAGAAGTAATAGTTTTAGAAGGACAAAGAGTATGAGACAAGCAGAGGGGTAGGTTGACTTGGGTTCCAAAAAAGAGTGAAGACAGTATTATACTGTCATCACTGGTCTCAAAAGAGATGTGACTAGCATAGGAACCAAAACCACTATAAGCACATTTGAAAGACCACATATGCTTAGGTTAACTTTGGTTTCATGTAAAGCCACTTTTTAGTTCTAGTGCCAAGGTACCTTTATCTAAGATGCTGCCATCATCCTTAGAACTGGCAGAGAGACAGCCAGAGGAGACACAAGGCCATTTTTATCTCTCTTCTCCCATCTCATCACAACTCCTGACTTTCCTGTGCTTCCAGCAGAGAGTCCTACAACTCAGACTTCCTTTACCTTCATCTGTGCAATGAACATCAGCATTGCATCCGGCTCATAGCTTCAGTTTTTATATATACACTGAGAAATATTCACTTGTATTAAAGAGTATAGAACCATAGAGCTAGAAAAGACATTTTAAAAACCACTCCCAATCAGGTATCTGTCTCAGACAGGTACTTTTTAACCTGTCCCCAAAAGACAACTATTTATTTCCTTCTTATAGATCCCTTGGTACAGAAAAATGACATTCTGCCTTGTTTGTTTGCTGCAGGATTTTATCCAGATGTTGCTTATGGTGAACAGAGACTCGTATCTTCATGGCAAAATGCACCAAACTTGATACAGGAGCCTTTGTTCAAATGTCTACTGTATTTGAATAAATACGTCTGGGTCACTAAGTTCTTCCCAACAAATGTTTTAACATCTTCCTGTTTATTTCTTCCATTTGTTCAATTCACTTCAAAAATAATAATCATCGTTCTTTACCCTTTTGTCCAGTTTGTTACTGTGTCTTGTATTTTTTTTTAATTAAGGAAATTTAGCGCAACATGTTATGCCTCTGATTTTAAATGTCGACAGTAAAGCTCTCCAAACTTATGATTTCCATGGCAAATGTAACTCAGTCTCATTGCCGAGTCACAGAGACACAACCATTAACATTTTATGCTATATGACAAAATACTGCACTTTTGGAAAGGGCCAGAATTAATGTTACTATGACAACTCCAAATTTCTGACTTTTATGCATGTAAAATTTCAAGGATATGGCTGCATTATAACACAAGGTTGTTTATAGAATCTCACTTAAGCACTAAGATATTTATTACCAGTTCTCACTGAGACCAGTAGAAAGTGTCATACTCCTCCGAATACCAATGCACATTCAGTGAAATAGATGGTAGTGTATATGTGGTTGCAAAATATTATGAAATCGATTAAAATCTTATTTCTTTTCGTAGCTGCTACACTTATAAACACATATATACAGTATGCAGCACTGGATATAAATACAAATAAAACATAAAGAGAAAACATATAAAACCTCATAAATATACAGTATCCTGCCTTATCAATATTCAGTTATGCATATCTCTGCACTCACGCATTAATAAAAGCACATATATTGGATTTGAATGTGTGAGGGATGGATAGCGAAGCTGTAATCGAGATATTCAAGCTCTCCTCTTCATGGAGAAGTATTACATTATCTCTCTCGGTCTATTATGTTTTCTGAAATTTCCAAATGTATGTTTTGGCCTCTTCAACTTTAGTCTTTTGCATTTAAGTAATGAGAAAGTTAAGTGCAATAAATGGATCACTCAAGGGCATTACAAAGAATGTTTTGATCTATTTAGAGCCTTTAACTTCAGAGCAAAGGCCTGGTTTAGTGTGACCTTAGTGAATTCAAACTGTTTTGTTTCACTAACAAGTAAAGCATTTATTTCAATAGAATTAATGTATGACTGGCTTCTCAAAAAGGCTCCATTTCAGGAGGGTTGGGGACCTGATTGTAAACCCTCTCAGATATATTTTTAAGAAAATGTTTTGATATAATGTCAACTGATGAAAATTTGAGAAGTACATGGTATTACAATTCCATTTTATTTGTATTAGTAATTACTTGTGAATATGTAGTTTTACTCAACAATTCAAAGCTCTGGAACCCCTTTGTGAGAAATCTGGATTTTTTTCTGAATAGACTCCTGTGTTGCTCCCCAGGGAATACATGGGTGCAGGGTTCTGCACTCTTCTTTTCACTTGGTAACTGATAATATTGGGCCAAACCTAGATCTGAGATAAGATTACTTACTGCTTTCTGACACTTCCTGTCTCTTGGGTGTCTTCCTTTTCTATGGCTTTTGTCATTCCTTTGGCAACTATGAATAATGCACCAACATCCTTAGGAAGGACCAGTTGTTTCATGGAGCCAGGATAGATAATTAGCAAATTACTTCATTACTTTCCTATTATTGAACCAATCATCAGTATAAGTAAAATGTCTATAGTTTATAAAAGATGTTTGTGCGTTTTGAGTTTTTTTCTTTCTAGAAAGAGTTTACAAAGACATTTACATGGCACTTCTCATGTCTTCTTACTGAAACAATTGGAAGAATGTAATGGGGGCCAGCGGCAGCTTAGGACAGAGAGAGCCACAGGGTCCAGCGCAGGAACTGAATCCAAGCCTCAGAAATGGAGCCTTTGACTTAGTGATAGCTCACATTTATTGAGTTCTTACCAAGAGCAAGTCACTATTCTAAGTGCTTTACAGTTACATATTTTAATCCTCATAATAACTCCATAAGGATAAGTACTTTTCTCCTCATTGCATGAATGAGGCAGTGATGCAGCGGAAGGCCAACTGGCTTGCCCAAACAGCAAGAAAATACTGAAGCCACAACTTGAACCCAGGCAGTCTTACTCCAGGCCACAATAGAGTGCTTTTATTGCCTTAATGTTATCATCCCTCTTAAGGAGATTCAGTTTTTCCAGCATGGTTTTGGATCTTCTTGAGGCCCTCCTACTACGATCTTTCATCTGAGGATGGATAGGTCTTGCATAAGAGAGAAAGCTTACAAAGCAGTTCCTCTTACTTCAGATATCTTTGCCTTCTGCATGCCTGATATTCAAAATGTATCATTGCCCTTAAATCCTCCTTGAAAGAAGAGGGGACCAAACTTAAACTTTATTATGTTTAAGTTTTAACAGTACGATTCTTCTTTACAATTTTATAAACTTTTTTCTTATTAAACTGATAATCCCTTGTTGAAAATTTGCAAAACACCAGAACAATTACTCCTAATAGTTACGCCATGTTAATTATCACTCCTAGTAGTAATGCTATGATAATTAACACTTTAACATATTGATTTTCCATCTTTTCCATGCATATTTTTCATACATTGTATATAGTCATTGCTAATGACATTTACTGCCAGTAAGCAATCATTAATATGTCAGACTATTCTAGGTTTCATAGGCAATCTTGCATATTTACCTTATATCATAAGTTTTAAGTCATTTATGTTATTTATTGCCTGTTCAATGGCTTGATATTTTATTATGTGTAATATCAAATGTGTTTACAATCGCATGTTTGTTCTTTTCCTTCTTTAACTATTATCGATAATACTGCAATGAACACTTTTGGGTGTTCCAGATTATTACTGACATGGATAGGGTACATTTCCAGACACAGAATTGCTAGGTCCATGGGCTGACCCATTTCAGGCTCTTTTTTGGTAATTAATACACATTTTCTTCCTAGAACCTACTGTAAAATTATGACTAGAAGCCTGAAACATTTAGTAAAACAACTATTGTTTGTGGAGTTTAAGTTAAGGGACATGCCATTTTTGTCATCAAGTTAAACAATCGGAAAGTTCCATGTTTGAAACTCCTTAATGTGGGCCTCTCAGAACAACTCTCTCAAAGTTGCATGTCAAGAGTATGGCTTTGGCTTTCATTGAGGACAATTAAGACCAAGTTCATGTGGAAAAAATTGTTAAAAATATTGTCCATAGTGTTGGTCAATATTCCTTTAAAAAGGGTAAAAACAAACTGTCCTATCTGATTAACTGGCATACATTCATCTTTTTTCCATAGAAAAAAACTGTAATTTTATTTTTGCTTTCACAGTCAGGAAATCCAGAGCTAAAACTTAAGTAAATAAATATCACGAAGTTTCCTACAAAATTAAATACAAACTTTTCATTGGCAAAATGAAAGATGCCTGTCATTTTGCCCCAATCATTCTGCCCCGATCTAACATTCTAATTACATCTCCTGTTATGGCCGTAAGCTAACTGTGTCCTAGACAATTTTAAGTCTCATCGTTTTGGTGATCTCAACTGTCTTCAATATCCTCCTTATATGCACAGTGCCCTCTTCTAAACACCTTATTTGAGTCTTACCTGCTAGCCTATTTCCTTTAGTTGCTTTTTTACGTCCAACTTGGTGACTCAGTTATAGGTCCCTAGAGGTCCTCTCTCATGTCAGTATCTTATAGGAAGATAGGGTCTCATATCTTAGATTTATATAGTGATCTGTATGGAGTTCATTGTGTATTCCTGAGAGAAATACAGTGAGGTAAGAAGAGCCTATTACTACCCTTTTATAACCCTTAAGGACTTGAATTTTTTTTTTATCATAATAACCTCTAATGAAGCCCTAGTCACTTAAGTTAGCAAGTCATTCACCCATACAATAGAAACATAAACTGCTAAACAAGTCCCACTTTCATTGTTAGGACTACAGTTTAGTATAAGATCTCAGCTAGAATTTACTGAGTGCTTAGCAAAAAACAAACATTGACTCAGTACTCATTGTATGTATCTAACCTCTCTCTGAAAGAAGAGGACATTTCTGAAAAGCCCCTTTTCGGTTTACTAAAAGTTTAGGAAGTTCTTACTGTAACCCTGTACCAGAAAACCTTCCTCAGTAGCACTACTTCTACTAGAATAAGTATGTTTTGCAGAAACATCTTTGAAGAGTGCTTGTGTTCTATGTAGAGCCATTATTTTTCAATATGGAAGCTCAAAAAACTAACTAGCTTGTGCCCCTCTGTATCCCCTAAAATCATTTCCTCTCAAGTTTCCAGAATCACTTGAAGAGGAGTATTCACTTTGTGAACCTTTCTTCCTTTATAACAATTTGACCTGTATGCCTCAGTCAAGAGTAGAGTTGTAAAATGTGGCTAAACAAGGCACTTGAGGAAACAAATTCAGGGTCAGTGTTCAAGTCAGCCTGGCAAAGAAAATAATTCACTGAATGAAGTCACCAGGTAATGAGTAGGTTAGAGGCAATTGAATTTCATCTCTGGAGGTCTTAAACTCTTGGGAGGGCTAGGGAAGGAAAACAGACTTGTTGATCCAACAGGCTCTTTAAATCTCTCATGCCTCAAGAGTGAAAATGTCCAAAACTGGCCATTGAGATAAGATGAGGCAGCTTTAAAACAGGCAGTGACAGTTTCCCCTAATCTAATTTTCCATCAAAAACCTGAAACAAAGAAAATGCAGAAACCATCATCCAGATCCTAAAGACCGGGAAGTAGCTAATGGAGCCATATATTCATCATATTGATTGGCCCATTGATTTTTTCCCCCTTCTTAAGCGCCTGTTTCTTGGTCCTGTGCCAGAGAAGCTTTAAAGAGCTTAAACAAAACTTATACCAAATCTTGCCAATGGCTGCCAGGGAACCTGCAAACTAACTTTCTCTGTTGTCACAAGTATAGTTGCACAGTTGAATCCTGCCAGAAGAAAATGCCGAGTTTTGTATGCAAAAACCTGCTAATCCTATCTAATTAAGAACCCAAATTGAGAAGGGAAGAAAAAAAAAGCCTAAGTAGTGAGCCTGTAATAGTTGAGTCAAGAAGGCATGAAGAAAAAGACATTTGCTCAGGTACCCCAGCTAATAAAGATTGAGGGAATGTGATCTCAGAATCAGAAATATGAATGGAGCATATTCATTTTCCCTGGACCAATCACAGAATTTTAGGTCCTATCAATTCCTTAATCCATTGGTTTCCAGATTCAACAGAGTTTAAGAATTATCTGAGGCACTGTTTAAAATGCAGATTCCTGGATCTACCTTCAGAGAGGAGCCTAATTCAACAGGGAGCAGGACTTTGGAACCTCTCCTCTGACAAGCAGATTCATAGGAAAAGGGGGTCTTTGGATCAAACTTGGAGAAACACTACAAGTGGGTTTACAGAAAAGTTTTATCTGGGGACCACTGCAGATTAACTGGAAAGGTATACAATGGAAGTTGTTAGATATTTGGATGATTGATAATTATCCCTTGATTCTTTGTTGTCCATTTATTCTTCTACACAAGTAATCTAGAAAGCCTCTTGCCAATTTTGGAATAAAAGAGATACACAAAAACTGGTGTTAGTTAAAAAACCTTTCATTGCAAGTAGCAGAAACTGACTAAATGCAAGAAAATTAACAAAATTTTTTTATGAGGCTACAGTGATGATATCCCATAGAGTTCTGCAGCCTTACAAAGACACAGAGAAGGGGAATTAGAAACTCATCACAACACTCCACCTCTCTCATCACTGCACTCCTCATGATCTCTCTTGTTATCTCTCTCTCTCTCTGTCTCTCTCTCTTCAGAACTTCTCTCCCTGCTTCTCAGTTTACAAGGCAGGAAATGGCTGTCCCAACTACCACCCCCCAACCAGCTAACACATACAAGTTCCACACACTGAGACTAAACTCCAATTCTGTCTTGGGTTGGTTGCTACCTATGATACAATCAATATGGATACATATAGGTCATCTAGAAGTCAGGGCCCATAGGAAGGATAGAAGGTAATTCTGTGTGGGGACAGTTATGAATTTAAAGTTTCAATCATATGCTTTCTAAGGTCTCCTTCTATCTCAAATCTTCTCTTCCTGATCAGAGATGTCTCACAACAAATCACGTAAAATGTAGCCTTATAGCAAGGAACTATAATGGTCCATATCTTGTTCTTTCTTAGAAGGAGAATAAAATAGTTGGACAGGATCTGGTCTCAGCACAGGGTCAGCCCAAGTCATGATTATCAAATGGATGAAAAGTATCTGATTCTCCTTAACTTCTTTCCAAGCCCTTACATCCCAGCTGGATCTATGTGCTTACCCCCATTCTTTTCAAAGAGTAGGGTTTCTATTATTAGTCATTTGTAGCCAGTATGTATGGGCTAAGTTGATCTGTCCCTGTTCCATGGGAAAAGATGACCACATTAAGCCTAAAGACACCCATTTGAATGACAGAACATTAATTTCATCTACCCTAAAGGGATCTCCCTTTCCTGAGGCATTGGATATGTGAGTTATTTCTTGTGCTAGGACTTTGGTAACTCACATTTGAACAGTAAAGCAAATAAAAATGGACAAAGTATGATCAGGAGTCCTGATCTCAAAGGCAGACATATTCTCAGATATACTTTTTGGTACTTTATGACCTATATGCCACTATCAGGAGATTTTTCTGTTTTTAAATATTTAAAAGGGGTGAAAAAGTTCATTTCTGCTTTAGCGACAGGCAAACCCCATGGTACCCTTCCACAGTCTGAACAGAATTTTCTTTCTGAAAAGATTCGTCTTCCAAAGGTTGAAGGTGGAAGTATAAGGGGTTGAGGGTGGGGGTGAGCTTGATCACAACCTAGTAAACCTTGACCTTCCTTACAAATTCTGTCATCTATTGCTCAAGGAGCTTCTCATCTGCCCAGGTGTTCTCTACGAGCAGCCAGTTTTGGCAGGGGAGAGGGGTGTGTGATGTGGGGTGTGTGTGTGTGTGTGTGTGTGTGTCTGTGTGATGTTTTTTGATTAAGCTACAAACTTCTCTGCTGGAAATTGTATAAGCTCTTCCTGGATTTGTTTTGTGCACTTGAAGAAATAATTACCAACGAGCATCTGGTCTCTTGAAGCTAAAGGTGGTTACAAAGACTCCCATTGGAAATCTGAGGTCAGTTTCAAATGAGTCTCCTTTTGAGTCCAGTAAGTACAACTTTAAGCTTTCAGCCGAGGTGTGGCTCTTTGTTCTTTAAGACAGGGATGAGTTAGTGCTAGTGAAAGTCAATCGGGCAGATAAGCTAGTGCCAGTGAAATCCAATAGGACAGGAAACAGCAATTTGTTCCCGCACCTTTTCTACCCTCTGGGAATTCACACTGAGAAGGGAGGTCACTCTACACTGAGCCACCTTGTGGCATGTGTGGAGAACAACAGCCAGAGGCAAAAGCCATTTTATTCTTGGCTGACAAAAAACAGTATTTTAAGGACACTCTCGAAGGGTGTGGTGGTGATTCTGTGAGACACCTCAAGAGAATAAGCAATTGTACAGCACAACTTGCTTCTGCTACTCCGTTTGTCTTCTATAACTGAACTCTTCAGAGAGATATTATTGTAGTGATTAAGAGAGAAAGCTTTGGAGAGCAACAGAAATGAGTCAAATCCTGACTAGTCAAATCCTGACTCTCCTTCTATCATATAAATGTAGCCTTATACTGGATACATAACCTTAAAGAAATTATTCAGCCTCTTGAGTCTCTGAAAAATGAAAATGGTAATGGTACCCAACTCCTAGGTTTGTTGTGAGAACTAAATGAGATAATGTATAAGAAGAAATTGGCATAATGTCTGGCACGAAGAATGGACTCAAAAAAATTTTTAAGTAGGTAACAAGTAAACATTGTTGTCAAACTTTGGGGATTTCTTACAATTTATTCTTTGAAGTTAGAGTCATGCTTTTTTGTATGGTTAAGGAGCTGATGGTATATTGTCTTTCAAGAAAAGGGACAGAATCCTTTTTAAAATGCTATTAAGTTAGTGTACTAGTTGTATGATTGTTAACTTAGTCGAGTAGAAGCTATTTCTAGCTTCTCACCATTTATGAAGATGATGCCCTCCTTGTGTCAAGGTAGGCTTCGAAAACTTCCCTTTTTCTTTGTCTTCACTCGGCCATTTTTGGCCAAGCTAGGTATAAAGCATTAGGAAATGTTAGCCAGAGAAAACAGATCTGTTGACCAGTTTCAGGCACCTAACGCCATGTCCATTCAGATGAACATTGTTAGTCACTCCAGATCACACAGAATGACTGCATGTAAAGCCCACCTAACCCACAACTACTGAGTCAAATATTCCTTTCCCATTTCCTGTCTTGCTTATTTCTCTTTATTTTAACTGTGAGTGAGTAATTTTAAAGTACTGATCTTCTGGATATATCTGAAAACTTTGACCCTACCACAAACCCTTTGACTCTACAATGGACAATCTGTTGAAGAAAAAAAAATACAATGGACAATCTGTTGAAGAAAAAAAAAGTTAGAGAAAAATATTATCCAAACGCAGTAATTGGCTTCAATACTGAGTGATTCCCCCACCACTCTCTGGGCAGTATCTCAATTACAAAAGTTAAGTAAACAGAATTATGTAGGTGAGGGGGCTGAAATCTCACGTCATTATTGGAAGTCATCAGATACTCAAGGAGATACTTCTCAACATACTTATCCAGTTAACTCACTGAAAAAAGATCTTAGGAAGATAGATTCAGTCATTATAATAGCCAAAGTCTCAGGTAATGGGGTAAGGTTACTTCTTTTCTTATCCACTTAGAATATAATTCAGATGGCATAGAAACCAGAGTCAAGGAATAAAATGAATAACCCAGTGTAGGGACCTCAATATTTCAAGTCTTAATGACAGAACATGTTATTTTGCCCTCTTCCTACAAAATATTCCCTCTTATTTCAATATAATATAGGTACTAGGAGTGAGGGAGAAGGTCAGTTGGTTTTCCATCTCTGTTAAGGTGCTCAGTGTATTTTGTTAATTGTATTTAATCTTGAGAGATACTACATGAATGGGAATTATGCTTAATATCATAGTAGTTTACCATTGTGTAGTACTTCACAGTTGAAAAATCTTTTTTAAGTGGGTTGCTTGGTTTGATCTTCACAACAATAAAATGTGTTTCATAAGTTCTTATTAGAATTTGCACTTGATAAATGAGATTCCAAAAGATTAAGTGACTTGTTCAAGTATACTCTGCTAGTAAATGTTCATACTTGATAAGTTTGTGGTGTTAGGGGCTTAAATGTAATGCCAAGGAAATTTATGGAACTTCCTTTCCTGAAAATCTCTTTAGAAACCAACAGTTCTCTTCTAACCCAAGGATTTAAGTGTTTTTATATGTGGTCCTGACTAAAGGCAAGCAAAGAGACCAGAAGGCCTCATAAGTATTCTGCTAGCCTTGTAATTGGGACCATTTCTTTCTCTCTAAATGGAAGCACAGTGATGATAATAATTAAGCTTTAGGCTTTCATATTTCCTTTTATCTGAGTTCTTCAGCCGGACAGGAAGGACCCACCCGCTCTGCATGATATGGCTCTTTTCAAACTCGTCCATGTTCATTAACCATCTAGACTTCCATTAACCATCTAGACTTTGTTTTTTGGTAATAGCAAACAACTTATGGAAACCTCAGGAATTTGAACCCCAAATGTGTGGTCAAATCTACTTTTTACAGAGGAAGGTATCATAGCTTTACAAAACTTTCTGAATAAATAAAGTTTGTGCTCTTATACATAATAATGAAGTTAAGGAACCATCAAAATAACTAGTCAGCAACATCTGCAAGTTTAGTGGGAAGAGTCTGAAGGCAGAGTGCAGATAGAAATGTGAACACTTCACTCTATCCCTCCTCCTCCCAGCATTCCACCTGCAATAGACTGTATTCATATCTCCCAGAGGAAATATGCTATTACTGATAATATGATCACTGAAACACTGGGAGTGGTTGGATACAGAGCTCTGGCAGTGGGTTAATAAAAGGCCTAATGAAGAACAAAAAATTCTGCCAGTCGCTGTAAAAAAATATTGCCCTCGGGAAATTATAAATCAGACACCATGGTGTGAAGTTAAATATATATACCTACACACACACACACACACACACACACAGCATTGCCTTGCTGATAAATGCTGGAGTGGGCAGACTGGTGACGAAACACATAAGTCACTGGGTGCCCTTGAAGTTTCAGTCCACCTCAGCATGATGCAGTTAAACGCCTCAGCTGTGCAAAGCCAAAACCACATTTGCTCAGCCTTGTCAGATCACACTGCACTGTGTGGTAGAAACAGGATGACTGATCCACAAATTAGTTGTACTTCCCAGAGTCTTACTTGCCTTTTCCCTTTTTATTTTTACCTTTTTTTATTTGTTTACTTGCTCAATTTTACAGCACTAATCTCAATAGACTCTCAAATACTGCTTCTGGATGCAGACCTGTATTTAGGGTTTTCTTAATGTATCCACATTGAACTTGTCTGGTGGGCAGCCTCAACAATTCCATCCACCAACATAGGAAATGTGATGAACAAAGCAGGCCAAAGGCCCTGACTAACAGTAATACCTTACTTTTTAGCTAAATTACCAGTGGTCTAGGAAAGAAAGAGTTGACCTTTCTAAGACTAGAAACAATCACACACCTTGACACATGAACATGGTGGCTGCCTGATGAATACTTAGGAGCCATGGTTCACCTCCTTGGTTTTCCACCTTCACTGAGTCATTGAGTTCCTGCGGCCTTGCTCATTTAAACCGTTGCTTTCTAACACACCGTTTTTTCCCCAGAGGGTACTTCTGCCAGCTTTTCAACTGGTTGATTGTGTACCAACTGTTGACTTTACAAGTGAGATAGGCATGGCCCCAGGGGATTTGGAGGAAAGATGGCCAAGGAGTACAGTGAGGTCAATGTCAAGGAGAACCCCTCCACCCCAACCAATGAAGCCTCCTTCACATGTTATCTGCTGAAGCTGATATCTTTCAATGTAAGCTTGAAAGAAATGAGGAGGGCTGAAATGTTTCGGGGACTCCTCTTCAGTGTTAGGGTGTGGGAATAAACTGGGATATCTAGGGAATTCCTTTCCATTTTCAGGGATCTTAAAAAGGCAATTCCAGAAATGTTGGGAAGGTCCATTAGAAAACCATCAGATTCCTTAAATAAATTGAACCACAAACCTCCAATAGATAGAACAATGAAACATCTCTACTTCTAATAAGCATCTGGACATTTATCTTAAATTCTCTTCCCTGAGATTTACATTTTCCTGGAAATCTATGAAATATTATCATAGTTACCACCACCCTGGTTTCAAAGGGTCCATTATATTTGTATTTCTTTTTTTACTGAGGTGATGAAAGAATATGTAAACCAAACTTTACCAAGGATTCAGGGATGAGAAAAAATTAGAAAAATAGACAATAAAAATAATACACAGTTTGCGAATATGAATCACACATGGCAGCTTTGTAAAGCTGTCTGATGGAGCATTGATTCCCATATGGCAGAGCAAATCCCTGATGGACTTTTCATTGGTGCACACTGCAGCAAAATGGAAAAAAAAGATACGGTGAGATTTTCATACTCAATTATAACATATATTGTAAATTATACTTATTTATTCTAAGATTATATCCTCACTTTTATTATCATAAATACTCCTCTCTTTTAATAGTAGATAATGTTTTCTCTTTTGATATCTTTATTTGGTAAAATACAAAGTTAGTCATTCTGTGTTACTCTTCCACTTTTAAAATTTTACTCATCCCAGAAATCCAAAAGTCTGGGAACCACCACAACAAACTGGTGAAGCGCTTCCTATTTCCATTCTGCCTTAACCTTTCCTCCAGAGGCTACCTTTCCTCTGTCACTATGGAGTCCATGACCTCAAGCATATCCAGAGTTCTTAAAGTACTAGCCCAAAACAACAAAGTTTCCCTTCAAAAGTATAGGAGTTCCCTTTAACTCTAACATCAAACTATCAAGTTGAAACTTTTATTCTGAGGATGGTCCTTTTAATCTAGCTTTGAGAGAAAATTGGTTTCTGGGAGGTGCTGCTAACATGGTATCGATCAAAGTTAGAAAAAAATGGCACAGTGGCTCTCTACTGTTTTGCACTGCTATATTCGTAGGCAAGCCAAAGCCCCCTTTCTCTTCTGTGTACATTTATGTACATTTAATAATAGTATTGTAATTATTTAATAATTATTATTATTACAATAATAGTATTGTAATTATCAGCTGGAGCTTTGCAACGCTGCCAAATATATGGCCCACAGACTTATTTGTAGAATAAATCCCTTGAGGGAATCCAACTATTTAGTCACTTATTTGATGAATATAAACTTATAATTAATTTTATTCAATACCAAATGAACAACCCAAGTTGGTTGATCTAATATTTAATAACTCAATAGGTTATTTGTAAATAGTTCTTGATCACATATATAAATGAAAGTTTATTAAATGACACATTGTTTACCCCTGAGAATTAAAAAAGGAATTTGTGTTTTGAGGGTCATTTTCTGCCCAAAGGAGACCCCTCATGTGTAACAGTGGGACCACAAACCGTTCTTTTTGAGCACTTTGGGAGCCCCACACTGCAGATGAATGAGCCATGCCTGTAGAACAGAATATTGGTGTGCTAAATTCTTTCTGGATGTATTTTCTTTTGTTATTCCTGAGTTTTCAGGTAAGTTTGTTTACATGTTCCCACTGTGCTGAGAGATCTTCAAGAAGAGCCTAAGTCTACATCTGAATTAAGAGTACTGAGAGATAAGTCCACCACATCTGAACTAGAAGTTAGAGAAGAGAAGGAACAGGGGCTTCTGTGTGGCATATGGTTACTGGGAAGTCTCCCAAAGGAAATAAATATGCATCTTGGGAATGGAGAGAAGTTTACAGGCACAACCGCCTCTCTCCCATTTGGAGATTCTTTGCATCAGCCAATTTTAGAGAATTGGGTCTTATTTCATTAAAGATATCACTAGATGCCGTTAGATGGTCAATAAAGATAAGGTCAGAAAATGGATCTTTGAAATTGGTACCATGAAGGTTGTTGATGGTCTTACAAAAGCAGTTTTTGTGAATTGGCAGGCGTAGATGCCATTCTAGAACTTGTTGAAGAGTGAATTCAGTAAAAATGTAAAGGTAGTTTTTGCAAGCCACTCTTGGGAAGCCAGGCTATGAAAAGGTGGGGACCATGGGGTAATAGCAGGAGTTCCAGAGTCAAGGAAGTGTGGAGATGGGAGATAATAAAGCATCTTTGTGTTATGGGAAAGATAATTTAGGAAGATAAAGATTGACGATGAAGTGGGGAGAGAGAATGAGCAACTGAGCAAAGACTTTAAGAAAGTCAAAAGTGATAAGGGTTGAGATCTGGAGTATGTGTGCAAGTACCCGCATTTGGAAGGGGAAGGGATATTTCCTTCATTTTAATAGTAAGAAAGAAAGAGATAAGTACCATTGCAGACAGCTTTGGATCACCAATTTTGGTGATGAAGAAAGTAACAAAGTCTCCATCTTATAGTTTCTATGTTCGTGATGACACTAAGTTATTAGCTAAAATGAGAAGGAAAGAAATGAGAGTAAAACAAATTTTAAAATACTGATTAATTTTTTTAATGTAGAATTATGGAGTCATGTTCAGATGCCATTTGAGGTCTGATGTTTTGGTTTATTCCTCAGCTATGAGGAACAAGCTATATCTGCTCCCTTCTTCATGAGCAGATATGGAAAGGGCAAGAAAAGTCAAACCAAGATTAGAATTTTACAAAGTTTATACAGCAGAAGGAGACAGGGCAAGAGCATTTGAATATTTGGAAGGGAGAAATTAAGTTAATGTATCACCAAATCTAAGCTAGAAAGGAAGGAAAGTGATAAGATACATGAGTTGAAGGATTATGAGTAAGAAACAGGATCAATGGATTTACTGCCATGAAGTAGGAAGCACCAGAATTATGGGAAGTTGTGGTTGGAGAGAAGAATATATGCATTTGAGATTTTGGAGTGGGTGGAGATGGAAAGGTCACTGCAAAGAGAAGTGAAGAAGCTGACAAGCCAAGTTCCCAAGAATGATGACAGGAAATAAAGATACTGAGGCCAAGCCAGGCGTGGTGGCTCATGCCTGTAATCCCGGCACTTTGGGAGGCCCAGGCAGGTGGATCATCTGACGTCAGGAGTTCGAGACGAGCCCAGCCAACATGGTGAAACCCCACCTCTACTAAAAATACAAAAATTAGCTAGGCATGGTGGCGTGCACCTGTAATCCCGGCTACTTAGAAGGCTGAGGCAGGAGAATTGCTTGAACCCGGGAGGCAGAGGTTGCAGTGAGCTGAGATCGTGCCACTGCAATCCAGCCTGGGTGACAGATTGAGACTCCATCTCAAAACTGAGACTCCACCTCAAAAAAAAAAAAAATGCTGAGGCCAAAAGTTAGTGAAAGATGGAAAGTGCCTAGGAAAAGCTCTGTAAATGATCACCATGGGAAAAAGATGACGATCTATCTAGAAGGATTGAGCCTCAAAGATGCAGTGTAGGAGGAAGAAGGGAAACTTTGATTTAAAGACAGCATAGTGTAGAGGGGGACACGATGTCTCCTCCCGGTTGTGAAGGGTAGAATGCGCTAAGAAGAAGAGAGAGCAAGAGGGTTGCCGAGTAATAAGGTCCTCAGAGGACATCCAGGTTTTAGTCCAAGTGGTTATGTTAACATTTTATTGGAGAATATGAAGGTGTAGTGCTATTTATCTCCCAAAAGAAAGGTCAAGATTTGAAAATGAGGGAAGTGGAAGGCTGTGCCAAAGTTGTGCAGGGATAAGAGTTCAAAGAATCGAGAATGAGAAAAGAACAAGTAGAATTGTGAGGTATTATGGAATTATTCCTAGGTACTGCATTTTCTATAAACACAGCCACAATCATGTCTATTATTGAGTATCCACAATGTATGGGGCATGTATTATATATGCATTATCTCATTTAAACTTCACAACAAACTGTGAGGAAAGTTGCTTCATTGTCCATTTCACAAAGGATGAAATTCAGATTTAGAGAGACCATGTAACTTGCCCCAAAATATACAGATTTTAAATGACAGAGCTTAACCACTATTTTATATTGCCCATCACTTAGTAACAGATGTATTCCTGAATGAGTTGATCACAATCTGAATTTTTGTAAACCATGCCAGAGTTGCGATTCACAACATTTCTGGGAATACTACTGTGAATCCTTTGTTAATGCAAAAATAACTGCCCCAAATGGACACCTCCTCAGTAATCTGTTTGCCCAATCTCAATATTCTTGAAGCATGATTAACTTTTATTGAAAGGTATGGTTACATAGTATTCTAGGTCAGAGATGATTAAAGCTTTTTACGGACAATAAGTTTTCTCTCTAACTAAAAAAAAAAAAAAAAAAAAAAAAAAAGAACTCAATAAGGTCAGTGGCAAAAGCAAGAACCAAGGTATTATGACACTACTCACTATAATACGTTGCAATGCCTTACTCATTAGCAGAGTTTTATTTTTCATGGGATGTATTTCAAATGAGGATATGCTATAAGTAGAAAACAATACATACGGGTTCATTAGTCTTGCTCTTTTAAAGATAAATGCTGTATGTGGGATAAATGCTGTGAGCAAGAAATTATAAGCAGGTTCCCATATGCTAGATATCTATTTCCACAGCTCCTATCATCATGGTTTCTGGGCACTTTGACAGATAGATGAGGCTAATTCAGGCAACGCAGTACATTCAGAGAGTAGGTGAAAATCCTCTTTCTCTTTTGCTCCCTGCCTCAAAAAAACAATAATTAATTGGAAAGCTAAAAGAATGAAAGGTTTCCTAGAATAGAAAACTAACAGAAAAGCCATGGAGAAGAAGCAAGTTTTAATCTTTTGGTTACAAGTAATAATGTTGACTGTATTACCCTTTGATCAAGGTGTTTGGGAATCTACCCTAAGTAAATAATCCTCAATGTGGAAAACATTGTATGCTAATCATCACAGCATTAGATAGGGGAAAAGTACAAGTGCAAACAAGAAAGAAAAGTGTTCAAAAATAGGAGATAATTGTGAATAATTTATGTTATGTATTCCCTGAATATTGTGTACAGTTAAAATCACGTAGTAAAAACTGTGCACAAACCATAAGAATTTAATTCTTTGGAAAAATCCTTAAAATATAATGTTAATTTAAGAAAGTAGACTACAATATTATATAAACAATGTGATTAAAACTGTAAAAAGAAAAATACAAAGCATAGAGAAAAAATTGGGTTTGAGTGTTGATATAGGAGTAATTTTTTTATTATTTTAATTTTCCTGTATTTTTTAAATTTCCTTTAAGAAAAATTTCTTATTTTTAAAAATAAATAATAATGTAGGAATTTGGAGATTTAAGAGCTTGAAATTCTACCAATAATCACATTTTTAAAATCCATTCATATGGATTTTTAATAAGTATCCCATTACTGGCAAACCCTGCAGTATTTTTAATAACATTTAATCACATTTTCCCAGTTTTTACATATGTTAAAGTGCATTAAAATGTGGACAGTTTGATGAATTTCAACAATTGTACACACCCATGTAACCACACCACAGTCGAGATAGAGGACATGTCCATCATTCCCAACAGTTTCTTTATGCACCTTCCCAGTCAAATCTTCCCCCACTTCTTGAACAGGAAACAACTGATCTGTTTTCTATTACTATGATTATTCACTGTTCATGTTCTAGAATTTTATGTAAGTGGAATTGTACAGTTTGTATTCTTTTCTCTCTGGCCCCATTCACTCGGCATCATGTTTTGAGGTCAATCCACCTTGTTGCATGTATCAGTAGTTTGTTCCTTTGTACTGCTGTGTATGCATATGCCACATTGTGTGTATGTACAACATATGTTGATCTATTCACTTGTTAATGGTCATTTAGGTTGTTTTCATTTGGAAAGATGTTTTGGACATTTGTGTTCAAATCTTTCTACGGATATATGTTTTCATTTCCTTTTTTAAAATTTTATTTTTCCGTAAGTTATTGGGGTACAGGTGGTATTTGGCTACCTAAGTTCTTTAGTGGTGATTTGTGAGATCCTGGTGCACCCATTACCCAAGCAGTATACACTGCACCATATATGTTGTATTTTATCCCTCGCCCCCCGCCACCCACTCTTTCCTCCAAGTCCTCAAAGTCCATTGTATCGTTCTTATGCCTTTGCATCCTCTTGGGTCCTACCAGGACCCAAGAGGTATGCCTTGCATCCTACCAGGGGAATTCCTATGCTGTATGGTAAGTGCATGTTTAACTTAAGGTTTAAATTAAAAAAAACTTCCATGTAGTTTTTTTAAGTGGTTTTAACCATAAAGCTTACAAGTGAAAATCTTTTCAACTTTAGAATAGGCGAAAATTTTTTAGAGGGGATGCAAAAAGCACAAGCCATAAAAGAAAAAAATATATATATAGGACATCATCAAAGTTAAAAATTTCTGTCCTTCTAAAGACAGCACTAAGGAAACAAAAAGACAAGCAGCAGACTGGGAGAAAATATTTACAATACATATATGTGAAAAAGAATTTGCATTTGAATACATAAATAACTTTTACGAGTCAATGATAAGAACTCAAACACCCAATGAAAACATAGGCAAAAGACTTGAACAGATATTTCTTCAAAGAAGATAAACATATGGCAAAAAAAGCATCTGAATAAATGCTCAATATCATTAGTCATCAGGGAAATGCAAATTAGAACGATGATGAAATGCCACTACACTTCTACTAAAATGTCTACAATTATAAAGATTGATAATACCAAATGCTGGTGAGTATATGGAGCAACTGGAACTCTCAGACAGTGTGTATTTTTAGTGGAATGATTCATCTCACATAGGTATCTTAAACAAGTGAAGAATTACTCCTTTAAGTCAGGGCCTGAGATTTAATTAATGTTCATATTTATTCTTTTTCTCATTATACCTTCAGATTTTGCTAATTTCCATGGCTGAATTATTGTATATAACCTAGCTAAATATCAAATGGTCTCTACATCAGGAAAGAAACAATTGTTATTGACCTGGTAAGTTATTTTAAGATATCATCTCTATAACTACCAATTCATACATTCAATACCTCATTCTATCTTTGTTCTATTTTAATTTTCATAAATCATTTTGGAGGCCATACTGTATCTCCTTCTTACCGTGTAAATCTTGTAATGCCTTTGGCCAAAAGTAATAAAATTCAAATCAAACACAATTACAATTCATGAGTTATCTTTCAGTTTATACATCAATTCCAAAAGCTGACTCAATTTATAGACTCAATTAGAATGTCAACTGTGCCAGGTTGTGGGGTTTGAACTGTGACATTGGGAAAATTCAAATATGGTTTTATTTACTCTAGAACTTTAATTTCCTGTAATCCTCTCACAATCTATAAGACAGAACAATGATCTCTTTGAAGTGAAAACAGAGAATCACTCCTGAATTTTATTTCCCTACAAGTCTTATTTGCTCTATTTTTATGTTATTGTGATTTTCCAAACCTAAAATAATGATTTAAAGTACAACTGAGAGGAAAACAATTTAATATGTATTTTTTATATTCCAGAATAATTAAATTCCCACAATATTTTAATGATTTGGGAGATAATTAAACATAACATGTGATATCTAAGTTTAGATATCACATGCATTCTGTGGTTTCCTAAATTTTCTGTGGATTTTGCTCTATATCAACTTACTGTCTCATTTTCAGTACCAATATTGATGGGCTCCACTTCATTGTTCAATCCTTCCCAAATGTATTTAAAATGTAGTCCCACATAGATTAAATCACATGTCAGAATTGTTCATGGTACACCCTGTACATTCCTAAAGAAAGATATTTAATTAATTAAGAAAAAATAGTAGCATTCTGTAGGAAAAGCAAAAAATGCAAGATCAAAACTCCAGCTAAACTCTTTAAGCCATTATGAGTGACCTCTAAACCACAAACAATGTTAAATTCTTGGGAAAACTTTGCTTAACTGGCACTCACAATGCATATTAACTCAGAAGCACAACCCTGCCAAAAATATAAACCACTCAGTGTTTATAAATGTGAAAAGAAAATTAGCACATGAGCAAAAGGAAAAACACATCTTTGGTGTCAACCTTTCTGTGAACTTCTCTATTGTGATTACAGTTGTGTTTGCTGGGTTTTGCAGAGGTGTGATGGACAGGGGGATATGTATACCTGGAGGGAATTGTGCAGCTGTCAATAGTTGCCGACTGGAACTATGGCAGGTATAATTGTGTTCATTGTTTGTATTTCCTGATTCACAGAGCCCCTTAAAGTCACTGCAAAGGGAGCAATTCTTACAGACGTTCCCAACCCTGTCAGCCTATGAGACTCACTAGAGTGTTTTCAAAAATATTCCAATGCCTGATTCTTTCTACAGGTTAATGAAATAAGAACCTCTGAGCATGGAGCCTGGATATCAGTATTTTCTAATAACAGCTGGTGATTCTGATGCATAGTTAGGTCTTTAAAAAGCTGTATTAAAGCAAACGTTAGTAGCTGTTTCCAGCCCAGGCTTCTAAGATGATAGAGAAAGTAGGGACAGGGTTGAAGGGCCCAAAGCTATTTCCAATTTATCAGAAAGTCCAAGAGAATTATACATGCAACCTACAATATCCAGGTTTTGTGTTGGTTGGTTGGATGGATGGTTGATCTGTAATTATATTGGATCACTATTGTGTCTTGAAAGACAGTTGATGAACATAAAATGAAGAAATGAATTATTACATAAGAAAATATTTTTAGTACAATAGTTTTAACCATTGACTCCATTTTGGATAAAACTAAAAAGAGGATCTCTGAGAGATAGCTGTGGCTTTTGCCTATATAACATCCATTCTCCTTCTTTTGAAAACAACACCTCAATTTTGTAATGGGGAAATATCCCTTCCCCAATGTCAGTCTGAGTCTAATTGAACGTACCATCTGATTCTGAGATGAACATGTGACTCAGACCTGGATAATGCCAATATTACAACCCTTTGGCC
Organism: Homo sapiens; assembly: GCF_000001405.40. Taxonomy (NCBI): domain Eukaryota; kingdom Metazoa; phylum Chordata; class Mammalia; order Primates; family Hominidae; genus Homo; species Homo sapiens. Next base: position 18,546,887 of record NC_000003.12, on the reverse strand, counting down.
AGAATAATGATTCAAACCCATGAAGATGAATCTGAGTCAAGCCATGAGAGTGACCAAAAGTCAGCCGTGATACTTTCTAGAGTAGTAAGAAGGAAACCTGAGCCACAAATGAGAGAAAAGTCTGTGTTACTAAAAATGCAATGAGAAGAAAAGCAGAGACTAGCAGAGAAGACAATGAAACTGGTCTTGTGCTCATGGACTTGTTAGTTATGTAACTGGGTAAATTTAATTTTGTTACATTTGTTCATTCATTCATTTATTTGAGGAAAGCAAATTTGAATCGAAATTCTGTTATCAGAAACCAAACAAGTTCTAATACATATAAGATCTTGTATTAGTGAAATTATCAGAACCATTAGGACATCTAGAGATACTTTACTATTCTATTTTTCTTTATTTGCTTGTTTGTTCAGACAAACTAAAGCTTTAATTTCAGAACTAGAACCTCAAGCAATTTTCTAGTCAATCATTCAATCCATCAACAAGTATTTAATGAACTCATCTGTGTCTATCACTCTGCTAGGCATGACAAAATGAAACTAAGTGGAAGGCCTGGTCCCCGCCTCCAGTAAGCTTACAAACTAGTCAGAAAGACATAGCAAGTATATTAGAAATAACTTGGAGAGAAGAAAGCTCACAAGTTTCACTCTAAAGGAATATTAATTAACATGCTTCAAGTGTTTTATGTGAGCCAAACATATGAAACATTTTAGAAGGATCCTAAGAAATAAATAGTACAACCACTGCCCTCAAGGAGCTTATAGTTAAAGACACAAAACACTGATGGCACAGATTATTTAAGTGCATTATAAAGCAGCATGCCATAACATAATAATAAAAACAATACCTCAGTATTAAGTTCTGAATAAGTTAGCATGGTAATTGCTAATTTACTCTAAAAGCTCAATTTCTTCCATGACTCCCAAGGGCCACCAACTTAAATTTCACGGGTTGGTGTTTACACCTAAACACTGGATCTGTAGGATTGGGGGGTGTTTTCCCAACTCTACCACAAATTCCAGCACTTTTTTGTAGAAATAGATCATCTCCTAAAAAATAAAACCAAGCAACTTTTCATAATTCTCTGATTCTCCATTATTCTACAATTTTTCCTCATTCTCCAATTCTTTGGTATCCTTTAATTTTTCTTCATTTTCTAACTCCCTACCAATTCTCTATACTGTTTACAGTTCAGTTTCCAAAGTTTTCCAAGGATAGCATAATCTAGTTTTGTGTTAAAGATATAGGAGGAAGTGAAACGATGACCACAGGAAAGTAGAATTGGATTCGTGTTGACAAAATCTGTTTCTTTCTTCTTTTTCTTCTTGTTTTCTTCTTCTCTTAAACCTCCAAATCCAGACTTTTTTGAAAACAAACTACTATTGGATGAAGACTAGCTTTTGTACTCTAAAAGAGTAGTCTCTAATTCAAATGACTCCCAAGCATATGTGCATGTGAGTTTACGTGTACCTGTATCTATGTACATGTGTGTATGTGTATGTGTATGCATCGAGGGTTAAGATTTCAGACTCTGGAGCAGGGAGGGGTACCTGGGAAGACTAGGAATGAAATTTACCAAACATGGGTCCTTATTTACTTCACGTACTCCTTCATCACTTCTTCTAGTGGGGCAGGGGAGGGGTAGATTAGATTAGTACTGCAAATACGTACCAAGAACACAAAGAATATCTCAGTAATGGAATCAGAGAAAATCCAATAATTAAATGTTCCCTAGTGTCTATTCTGCTGCCTTACTTCCTTAATTTTCCTTTTCAATTCTTATTAACCTTTCTGTTAATGCGTGGATAGGAGAACATGAGACACTGAAATGGAAATTACATGATTTGGCTACTTATAACTCTTATTTTTAAATAAAAAGTTGAAATTTAATTGAGAGATGGAATAATAAGGTTAAAATGTTAGCCAATGTGATCCCCACCCACACACCCAGAATGGTCTCTTACCATGTCTTTGGCTTACTCTCTGCTTAGTCAGCTAAGCTGTTCTCAACTGATTGTTTCAGAGAAGGGATTTGACAACATAGAACACAGGAAAAAAGTAATCACTTCTTGGGTTTTGAATTCAGAATTCTAAACAATGAGGCAAAAGAGTAGAAAGGAGTCTTCTATATAAGATTCATAATATAGCAAATAATTTAGGATAAAATATGATGAAGTGCACAGCTTTCGCTAGGTTTCCATGGCCAATTTAGAAAACAATAATCCCTGCATGTCGCTAGAAGTCAAAGCAAAAAAAAAAAAAAAAAAATTGCAACGCAAACATAGACCTCGGCGTGTCTACAAGGGAGGGGCATTGTCCATGCTTCTAGACCAAGTCCAAGGCAAGGGCCAATTGCCTGAGATGTGTGTGGAATCTAGGTTGAACCAAAGGAGGCAAAAACCTAAGAGAAAAAAAAATGACTGCTATGTGCATTTAGGCAGATAGAGCCTTCGACAATATCAGAACTTCCCTCTTCTCAGTGTGGCAGAGGAAAAGGAAGATAACTGACTTTCGTTAAGTGTGGCTCAGACATAGCAAGAGAACCACTGAACCCGAAGTGATTGTGCTTACTGGAATAAGGCATATCTCCATGGTGACCCAAGTGGACTAACAGCTGCAGTCCAGATGGGACAATGTCACAGCCATTGTGAACAGAGATCACTGTGGATAAGGTAAGGCAATGGATGTCTTCAAAGATGCCTATAAGGGCAAAAGATATTGAAGACCAGATTTGCCTACCGCCACCTCTGCCCATGCAGAGTCAACCATATGCAAAATCTGAACATTAAATAATTTATAAAGACAGACGGTGTATCTGTTAAGCTCTATAAAAAACTGACATGTATAAGTAATCAAAACCTATTATCCAGATGAATAATGTTCAAGTGACTGTTTCTAATGCATAAACTTTTCTTTCATATTGATGATCACAAATTTCTGTGAGTGATCTCTTTCAAAAATGAAGCTGATCAAAATTTTACAACTGACAAATATGATCAATAGCCAACACAAACTTTAGAGTAATAAAATCTGAAACAGTTGCACTTCAGCCTCTTAAAAACAAAGACATGACTGAAATATTTGCAAGCCAACAGGCACCAATGGCATGGCTTCAAACACGGTTCAGTAATAGTGCCATTTTCCTCACTCCCACAGCAATGAGTGGGTGGCTTAAGACCAGAGCAGAGTAAATCTCTGGGCTATTACGCTGGGAGTAAATTAAAAAGTATTTATAATGTCACTCATTTGCTACCTCCACACTTGTGTAACATTTTCATCATATTGCAGTATGCTGCTTTGAAATGCTTTGTATATTTCCAGGAGCTATGCTTAGTGCCATCAGCCAAAGCTGTTTGAGGACAGGGACTGTGTCAAATCCAATGGAAACCTCTTAATTTCATTAAACCTTTCTCCTGTATTGATATTGCTTCCATTTATTCTTCTTAGCGCTCTCTTTGCACTTTGCTCCTTGACTAGAAACATTCAATAAATAATTATTGACCACCCACTATGTGGGATTTAAGGTCCTAGGCCCTGAGAAAAATTATGTAAAGAAGAAAGACAAAGTTTTGGCTCACATTGAGTCTACAATCCAGTGCAGAAATTTAGTTTTTTAAAAATAATATATGAATTAAATAAGTTCAGATTGTGATCGGTGCTAGGAAGAAAGTAAAATAGAATGCTATACTATAATAGGATAATATGTAAAGGCTGTTTTAATTTAGGGATATCAGGAAAGTCTCCTCTGAAGAGATGTCTTGTGAGCGGAGACTTGAAGGATTATAATGAATCATATAATGATCATCTTGTAATGACCTGAAAAAAAAGAGAACTGCAAATGCAAAGGCTCAGAGATAGGATCAATCATGCTTTTTGTCAAGGAGATCAGTGTTGCCTAATCTGAGTGATCTAGAGAGGGAGTGATAGAAGCGCCTAGGAAAGCAGAGAGGGATCAGCTTTTGTTGGGCTTTGTAGGACATATTGCCACTCTCCCTGTGATTCTTCTCTTCTCTTTCTGACCATTCCATCTTCATCTCCTTCATGAACTCTTCCTGCTCTGTCTGGCTCTCAAATACTGGTGTTTTCCAGATTTCAACCTTGCCTCTATTTTTTCCCCTTCTGGTTTTTCTCAGATTATCAGCACTACCAACCATTTGCTGGAAACTCCAAAATCATTATGTCCAGTTGTGCAGTGTACTAATTATGACTTTAAAACCCCAATGACGGCCGAAGAACTATACAAATGTCAATGTATAAGAGTTTTCTGAAGCCAGGCATGGTGGTTCACACCTGTAATCCCAGAGCTTTCAGAGGCTGAAGCTAAAGGATATCATGAGGCCAGGAGTTCAAGGCCTTGGCCTTCCAAAGTTCTGGGATCACAGGTGTGAGCCACCGTGCCCAGCCCAGAGCAATACTTTTAAATGGCAGCCATATCATGTTACTTATCCAATGTTTTCTCATTTCACTTAAGTATAATCCAAATTCTTTACAATGGTTCACCATCTACCACCACGAACATCAGATTTCATCTCTCCTCTGTCCCTTCTGCTCACTCTCCTCCACCACACTAGCCTCCCTACTTCTCCTTGAGCATGCCAAGCAAGCCCTCATTCACGGCTTTGTCACAGACTGTTCTCTCTGCCTTAAAAGCTCTTCCCCTCCATATGCACATGGCTCACTCTCTAACTTCCTTCAGATTCCTTCTGTGACAATCTTACATAAAATAGAACACCCACCTCCCCCATCACTTTCTATGGCCAATACTCTGCTTTATTTTCTCTTTACTACCTTTATTTCTCTATTTTCAGCACAATTCTAAATTAAGCGGGTATTTTAAAAAATTATCTGCCTCCTCCATTAGCATATAAAATTTATGAGGACAGGGATTATTTTCTTAGTCATCTTCAGTCTTCTGCCCCTACAGCAGTACTTAGCACATAAGAGTGCTGCACTGAATATTCTTTGAATGAATTAGCAAATCTCCATGCCCCTATATAGACTATATTTTTCTGTCTGACATATTACACCTTTTCTCTTGTTTTGCTCAAATTCACTTTTCTCAGCATGGATACATCTCCTTCATAAGGACTTTCCAGAAACTTCAGTTTGGGCTAATTGTTCCTCCTCTCTATTCTCATAGCACTGAATGTGTCATCACCCAGCAATTATCTGTCTATTAAAATTACATGAATCTCTGCCTGCCACTTGCACTAGATTTTAACATCTATGATAAAAGTAAGCATGTCTTCATTCAACAATTCAATAAGCATGTAGCAGGCATACAGTGCTAGGCACTGGGAATGCAACATAGAACAGACAGGCAAGGTTCCTATACTCAGATGCATTCAGTCAAATGTCTTACTCTTGGATGGACTCTCAACACTTAACACTCTTTGGCATATTGGGAAGATTAATGAGTGTCTCTATTTGGACCTATTACATTATATCTTATACTTGCAAAATGGTCTCTCCTTATATCACCTCTCACTTTCATCAGAATAAAGCATATGAAATTTGGAGATATTAACTTAGGTTTTCCTGTGTAGATTCTGCAACTTTGCTCCTGATCACAAAAGTCAAAGGCATTCATGCATTTTTTGTTTCCCATGGGAGGACCAAAAGAGTCCAAAGAGAATAAAGAAGTAAATTGAGCTTCTAGATTATTTTAAAATCAACTCTATTGATATGTAATTAACATACACCAAATGTACCCATTTGAAGTGTACATTTTGATGAGTTTTGGCTAATTTATTAACTCATGCAACCATCATCAAATGAAGATATAGAACATTTTCATCATCCCAGAAAGCTTCCCTACCTTTTTCCGAGCCAACCCCATCAACACCTCCAGCCCCAGAGAGTCAACGGTTTGCTTTCCGTCCATGTAAATTAGACTTGTTCTTTCTAGTTTTATATAAATGGAATCATTTGGTATGTACTTTTTTTGATCTGACTACTTTTGCACAGTCTAGTGTTTTTGAGAGCCATCTATACTATTGCTTGTATCAGCATTTCATTCTTTTTTATTGCTGAGTAGTATTACATTATATAGCTATAGCATGGTTTCTTTATCCATTTATCAGTTGATATTTAGGTTATTTCAATTTGGGGGTAATTATGAATAAAGTTTCCTGAACAGTTGTAAACATGTCTTCGTTAGATAACTTTTGTTTGTCTGTTTTGTTTTAAAACTTTTACTGCAATGTAACAATGAAGTAAACAGTAATTAGACACCTACTAATTTTTTCCCAAAACAAAAAAAAATGTAAATAGGAAGATAACTCTGCCTATACTTGTACCGCTTCTCACATCACGTTAGAAGGGTCTCACATTCAATGATCAAGAAATTTTAAAATAGCAGTAATTATTTTCATTTTCAGAAAAGGTTCCCTTTCTCCCTTCCCACCCCAAGTATTTAACATGAAAGAATGGGCTTCTTTACACATTAATTTTATACTTATTTTTGAAGCGGCAACAATTAACTATCAATAAGTTGGCATTTCTGTTTACAGTCACTACAAAATTCTTTTACATTTCACAAAGTCATAATCCAGTGTTGCCATGAAACAGAAACTGTAAATTCTAGGTAGCTAAGATTCTTTCTGAAACCAATGTTAAGTCAAAGAAATATAAAGCAGGGCATTATATTAAGTTTCTGGATCTAGTACACTATAAAAACCAAGGAAACCAAGTGAAACCAAGGAAAAGTTATCTACTGTTTTACAGAAGAAATAAATACCTGCAAAAGCTGATTTTTGGTTGTATATAATATTTTACGTACTGTGTGGAGTTGCAGCATCTGCTAATTGAAGCAGATATGCACTGTATTTATCCCTGTCCTATATCCTAGATCCCTCCTTCCCCACCCCCAACCGTCTACTACCTTATACCAAGTATTGTGGATATGAGCCCAAGTCATCCCAGACAATCCAGTGAACAAGCTGGTGTAATGCACTAGTGCGAAGTGTGAGATATAAAAAACTCCCTTTCAATCTTCATCAAAGTTCTGCTGTAGAAGAAAATCGGCACCCAAATTCTTATTCTTCTCACAAGCAAAATATGCTTGTATCACAAGTCCTTCAGGAAATCCTAATGCCTTTAACCTTTCTGTAGCTTCTTTTTCCTGAGGCATTACTTGAATGTAGTTCATAAGACCATTTCCAGCTTCTGCAATTCCTCCACTGACACCTCCACCTCTTCCTCTTTGACCACCAGCTTCTCAAACTGTTTCATTTAACATCTGAATAAAATGCTCCTGGTGTTGGCTAATTTGCTGAAGTAATTGAGGATTCTCTCAATCTATCTACTGTAGTAACACTGGAAGAAGGGAAGGACTCTGTTGAATAATTTGTCTCATCTGTTGAAACTGAGGCTGATTCCATAAAAATTCAAGGGGATGTTCCAGAACTTGCTGTAGTTGTTGCTGTCGTAGTTGCTGCAGCTGCAGCCACTGTTGAAGACTGAGGAGCCCCAGTACTAGCTGCTTGGTGGGGGTCAACCACAACCTGACTTTATCTCCAGGGATTCCCATTAAAAGGTACTCCACTGCCCTGTCAGGGTTGTTGGAACTGGCTCTTGGGGCTGCAATTACTTGCTCTCGTTCATAGCCCATTGACATGATCTCAGTTACCATATTATCGTAAGACTGACCCATCACAAGTGCACTCGTTGCATCTTCAAAAAGGTTTGACCAAGAAGAATCTCCTGATGTACTATGAGTTGATGTCAGGCTAGTAGCCACTGGTGTCTCTGCTGGCTTTTCTGCAGGTTTCTCTTGTTTAGTTGCACTAGCAGTTGCAGGTTCAGAGGACACTGTCACTGATACTGGAGTGATGAATGCAGGTGTGAAAGGGGGAGCCAAAGCAGGGACAGGGGTTGGAGCCTGAGCCACAGTTGTTGTTGTGGAGGAAGTAACTGCTGTAGTGCTGGCAGGAGCTGACTGCTGAGTTGTAGCTAGTGCTGGTGTGGACACTGCTTTGGGTTCGGTCACCATAACCACCACAAAGTTTTTCTCATCAATTTTATATTCTTTGAGAGCAGTATCATCATTGAGGATTTTGCCTGCATAAATTAATGTTTGACCTGCTACCAGAGAGGCAACTTTCCCCTTTTCAGATTCCGTCTTCTCTTTCAGTGCTTTCACTGTCTCCTCGGGGTCAATGTCTATCTTGCAGGTCAAGGTCTGCGGCTGGAGGGTCTTCAGGGTGACCTGCATGGTGCCACTGTACAGCTCGGCTGCAGGGCCTGTGCCAGGTGCTGGCTGCTGGGCAGGGTCTGCGGCCTCATTAGATAACTTTTTATTTCTCTTGGAATAATACTTAGATATGCAAATGGTGAGTTGTATAATAAATCTATAGTTATTTTAACAAGAAACTGCCAAAATGTTTCCAATGGGACTGAGCCATTTTGCATTCCCACCAGGAAAGTATGAGAATTCTAGTTATTTCACATCCTTACTGACACATGGTATTATCATTCTTTCTTATTTATGCCACTCTATTTCTTATAGACTTCATGGCAGGCTAGTGTCTGGATAACTAGAGCAGAATTCAGGGACACTTTGGCCTTATAGAATAACAAGAACTGATCTGCAAATGTGTTTGCATAGCAGCTTGATGAAGTCCATATAGTCGAGCCTGGGGCAAAAGAAAGTAGCCGAGACTTTCTGTATCCCAAGAGCTGAAAGGGCACAACAAAACCAAAAGGACTTTAGGATTTAGAAGATAAGGATGCACAGGATAAAGATGCAGCCAGAGATCGTGGTTGGACCACAAGTGTTAGTAGTGAACACCAGCACAAAAATATGGAGAAGTAGTGATCTGATTAATGACTTGGGGGTGACAATATTACAGAGATCAAAAAGCCGCCTTCGGACTGATGCCATGTCCTCACAGAACTTAGATATAATCCTAAAGAGCAAAAGAAGGATAAAAACATGTTTTCCTTAAGTTGACAGAGCTTAAATTCTAAATCTACCAAGTTTATATCCTGAAGTGACTGAGTTTACTTAAGAATAGCAATATTAAGCTGTTGCCCAACAAGCAGTTTGTAGGTAAGGATGGAAATTAAAGTTGTTTACTAAAAATACATTTGACTTCTGCATACTTCTATTTTCTGTGTGAAAATTCACCCACATCATAACGACATGTATCTATGTATTCAGATGTCCTTGCTTAAAAAAACTCTCCACCTTTGAGTTTCATGTGTATTTTGGTAGTGGTCATGATATATATATTAGAAAAATGTACAATAAAATAATATTTCTGTAATCCTAGCACTTTGGGAGGCCAAGGCGGGCAGATCCCTTGAGGTCAGGAGTTTGAGACCAGCCTGGCCAACATGGTGAAACCCCATCTCTACTAAAAATACAAAAATTAGCCGAGCCCAGCAGCATGTGCCTGTAATCCCAGCTACTCTGGAGGGTGAGGCAGGAGAATCACTTAACCCAGGAGGCAGAAGTTGTAGTGAACCAAGATTGCACCATTGCACTCTGGCCTGGGAAAGAGAGGGAGACTCTATTTAAAAAACAAACAAACAAACAAAAACAGACAAACAAAAAACCAAAAAACAAGATTTCGATTAAGACTCTAAAACAACAACTTGATATAGTTTGTTGTTGGGTTTTTTTTTTTTTTTTTTTTTTGAGACAGAGTCTCACTCTGTTGCCCACGCTGGAGTGCAGTGGCGTGATCTCGGCTCACTGCAAGCTCTGCCTCCCGGGTTCACACCATTCTCCTGCCTCAGCCTCCCAAGTAGCTGGGACTACAGGTGCCCACCACCACACCTGGCTAATTTTTTGTATTTTTAGTGGAGATGGGGTTTCACTATGTTAGCCAGAATGGTCTTGATCTCCTGACCTCGTGATCCACCTGCCTCGGCCTCCCAAAGTGCTGGGATTACAGGCGTGAGCCACCATGCCTGGCCAACTTGATATAGTTTTATGGTTTAGAGAGAATTCCTCTGCAATGGAAATGTTAACAGCTTTTATAAAAGTAATGAACATAAGCCTGACATTGGTACATATATAGTGTAAAAATATACATCAGTAAAGACTTCTATTTAATATCAAGTATTTTTATGAATATATTTAAAATGAGATCATAGTTTGTGTATGTGTGTCTTTGTGTGTGTATACATATTATTGTATTAATTATAATATATGTTATATATGTATTTTTTTCTGGTAGTTATTTTCTATAAAGTCTCCATAAACACTGAGTTAGTGAATACTAAACCATTCACTAATTTCCCCGTGGGAAATACAGAGTTAGTTTCCTGTGAACCTTTGGTCATAACATTTTCATTAAGTAATCAACATATAACCTTGTTTTATGTGTGTTTCTATTTAAATAAACCTTATTTAATACATATAGTTGATTCATTAACATTGAATTCACAGCCAACAGCACTATAACTCATGCCTCATATTCATGTTAGATAAATAAAGCTTATTTAACACTTGAAATTATGTCATTTTCTTCATAAGGTACATTACAGGCTTCTTCTGCTTGGAAACACTAGATAGCACTTCAGTGCCTCAGCACTATACTTGGGGCCATTTAAAACAGAGAAATCACCAAAAGCACAAAAATGCAAAAATAAAAAGATGTGGCACTAAATAGACAATAAAAAGAATGCTTGTTTAGGGAATGAGAACTGAACAAGCAGGCAGGGTTTGTTCCTGTCCAACTTCAGCTGGGATGAGGTTGGGTGCAAGAAACTGCATGTCCTCAAATGGCAGTGAAAGTGCAACAAGTACTGATTTTGGAGTTACAGGTAAATTTTAGTGAGTAGGCAATTTCACAGATATGCAATCCACAAATAAGGCTTGACTGTACATGTGTGTGAGTGTTGTGTGTGTGTGTGTGTGTGTGTGTAGTAGATAGTGTGTTCCTTGAAGATGCAAATATTGCTGACATACCTTTAGAAAAAAAATAGTTATCTATGGATACCTTATATTAAAGAATCAGTATTTTCTAAATTCGACATTAGTAGATAAAAGGAATTTAACTAAGGCTGTTTCTCTCCAGAAGTGTGTTAATAACTTATAAATAATCATTTAACCTCAGACTTTCTCTAGACTAGATAAAGTACTTTGCATAGTTGGTGTTACCTTTGTGAAACAATTTTCTCTAAAACACGAATACCTCAGAATTCAGAAACCAGTCACCCATTGTTGTATGTCGTGTTTGCCAGGCTTAGAAAGCTTATTGCTTGGAGTTGGGTCTTTGTGGCCATTCCTTAGGGAACCTCCCAATTTAGGTCTATAAGATTCCTTGTTATATCATACTTAGCACCCTGATTTACCCTTTCACTTTCTAATTCTTCCCCCAACTCCTTCTGGAAAAAGCCAATAGAATGTCATCCATATTTTAAATGAACTTATGTAAATTTTTATCAAATATAAAACTCTTTCTATACATTTTTTTTTTGAGACAGAGTCTTGCTCTGTCACTCAGGCTGGAGTGCAATGGTGCAATCTCAGCTCACTGCAACCTCCGCCTCCTGGATTCAAGCAATTCTCCAGCTAATTTTAGGGTTTTTTTGTTTGTTTGTTTGTTTTTTGGAGTTGTTTTTTGTTGTTGTTTGTTTGTTTGTTTGTTTGTTTTTGAGATGGAGTCGCACTCTGTCACCAGGCTGGAGTGCAGTGGTGCGATCTTGGCTCACTGCAACCTCCAACTCCCTGGTTCAAGAGATTCTCCTGCCTCAGCCTCCCGAGTAGCTGGGATTACAGGCACATGCCACACTGCCCAGCTAATTTTTGTATTTTTAGTAGAGACAGGGTTTCACCATGTTGGCCAGGATGGTCTTGAACTCCTGACCTCGTGATCCGCCCACCTCAGCCTCCCAAAGTGCTGGAATTACAGGCATGAGCCACTGTGCCCAGGCCTATACTTTTAATATATTTTATTGGCTCAGGGAAGGTATATAATTGGTCATTCATTCACTTGTTTTAAAAAATCATTTAAGAAATGATGATTGAATGACTATTATGTCCTAGACCATGATCATCCTCTGTGTAGGAGTCCATTGTCAACATAAATGCCATCCAGCCAGCCCTCTGCTAGGTCTAATCATCTTGATTCATATTTCTCCAATCATCTTCAGTTTCTTCATGTTTCTCTTTTATTATCTTGTTTCTTGTTCTGAAGATCTGCTTTTGGTTCAAAAGCTCAGAACTGAATTCAGCAAACGTCTGACCTAGTGCAGATAAAACCAACGACCCACAATATAATATCTTGGTATGAAGACAAAAAAAGTATAAATTTTTCTAATTATAAAACTAATAAATTTTATCACCCTAAAATACTTGAAATGGTAAATTTACAAGGAAGAGAATAATACAAAATAATAAAAATCCCTCTAATCCCAGCACACAGAGATAATCCTCTTTATAATTTGTTGTAGTTCCCTCCTATGCATATTGTTCTAAATAGTTCCAGTAGACAACTTATGCATTTTTCTTTTCCACTATTGATAATTTAAATTTTTAATAAATATCATAATATTCTGTTTTATGACATAATTTAATTACTCATTCCCATGATGCCAAACATATTTATTGCAATTATTTAACATATATGTAGTTGATTCATTAATATTGAACTCAGAGCCAAAAGCACTATAATGCATGCCTGATATTCATGTTACATGAATGAAGCTTATTTAACACAAATAAGTTTGTCATTTTCCTCATAAGGTACATCACAGGGGCTTCTTCTGCTTGGAAACACTAGACAGCACTTAGTGCCTCAGTGCTATGCTAAATAAAATTATACTCAATAACGTTGCAAAGGATTCGCAGACTATTCAAGTAAAGCCTTAGTCATTTTTCTGGTGGTTGAATATGGCCTGTTATTTCTGATTGATATACACAGCTTTAAATGTATTCTTAGAAACTGTAATACTCTGTGTTTTTTTACTTTCATTTGTGTTTATCAAGGTTGCTTCAAATTTATTTCTATTAAATGTGTGAATTTGGCAATGGAAATTTAAATGACTATATTTATAAATAAGTGAAACTTGAACAGAAAATGTGTAGAATAACATCTCTGCTATAAACAATACAAATAAAAAATTTTTTTATAAAACAAAGAATGTTATGATAATACCAAAAATGAGCAGGAAGTTTATATATGCTGGAATTCAAATTAGCCAGTAAAGGTGACAATATTTGGCCTACTTAGGGCAGTTTATTTCACAATAAATTATATATTTTATATCATGCATGATGACTAAAAAAATTAGAGCTCTTATTACTCAGATTAACATTTTCAAATATAAGTATTTACTTTATCATTTTAATCAAGGCAAATATTCTCACCCCTTAGTATTTATTGAGCCTCCCACTCACCCTAGGGAACATGGCAGTGCTGCAGTTTGCTTTGCATTTGCTGAAAATGGCAATTAACAAGTCAAGAGAATTTTTATTTTAAACAAAATTGTTAACACACTGCTAATAGGTAAAATCATGTGTTCTGGGAAGTAATTTGTGGGCAAGTGGTTATGATACAAGCATTTTTAAATAGACTTCAAGGAAGGGACACCAAACTGGAATGTTGAAAAGTATGTAAATGTGGGTAATGTTGCATGGAAGTAAATCTCATCTATCATTCTTCAGAAAATGCATGTGGTAAGACGGCACTTCCCTACCTCCTTGAAGTGAGACATGTTCATGTGATTTGCATGGTCCAATGAAACCTAAGAGTGTACGTCACCTCCAGATGACAATTTGAAGAAACATTGCAGAATTTGCCATGACTTTTCCTTTCCAGTGTGATTGTGGATGCACATTTTGAGACAGAGACTTCATCTGCTGAGTTCTTGAGTGACTAGAATGAACAGTACTACTGCTACTTTGCTTTGGAAATGTGGCATGAAATCTCAGTGGTTTCAAACATAAGAAATACACTTTTACTTTTGAAACCACCGAGATTTTGGGCTTGTTACTATAGCATAACCCTAAAATATCCTAACTATTACTACCTCTATGAAAAAAATCTCCAGTTAAAAAAAAAAAACACATAAAATGTTACTTATTCTCTGAGTAACTCTAGCTGCAAAGGACCAGCTAGAATTGGGGGAGGTGGGTCTTGTGAACTGATTATTTTTTCAAAGCCTATGGATCTGCTAATATTGGAAATTTGCCTTTAACACACACAAAACTGCTGGATTTTCCTTATTCTATGAAGTAAAATCCTCCTCTTAATTAATTTTATGTTTTCTTTTTTCCAAACTCATTTACTCCACAAACATATATTTGTTATCTAATATGAGCAGGTGATCTGAAGAATTCAAAGATGAGATGAAACTCATCCTTGAGGTCTTTATCACCTAAGAATGGGGATAAAATATTTACATACATTAGTGTATAAAATAGGAAGTGAAGTCCCCCACCCATAACCCCATACTTAGGAACTGATTAATCTGCTGTATAGCTTTTTGGATTGTAATAAACATATAAACATCTTTTTCTTTTATATAAATGAAAATGTATTCTAAGTGATTTTTCTGGAACCTGATATTTTCTCACTCTTTTAGAGTATCTTTCCACATGAATACACATAAATAAACCTCATTATTTTTTAATGGCTGTCTTGTATTACATTTAGAAATGTCTCAGTTTATATATCCAAGCTTTCTATTGTGCATCTTTTTAAAAGTGTGATTACAAAGTGGATAGAACCTTCTTATTTACAAAATGCTTTTTACTACAAAACTACATATATTTATTCAAACTGAACATAATATTAAAATAAAGGAAAAGAACTCATCTAGATAGGTCCTAATTCAAAGTTCCCTAAGGGGAAAAATTGCTTGTTTGTTTGTTTGTTTGTTTGTTTATTGTTGTTTATTTAACTGAAATGTCCAATGATCTGTTCTGGACATATCCGCTATGCTTCTTCCTCATTGTTTTGTTTCCTCTTTCATAACATTCATAGGCTGGAGTAGTTCAAGCATACATCCTCCAGACTCACACTCAGAAGAAAAGAGTTTTCTATAGTCCCAGGGGCTCACATACAAGTCCCAAAACTCTCTCAGGTTTGACCAACTTTCAACTCATAACACCCTTGATGAGTCAATGTGGGTAGTGAAATTGGGTAGGCTCTTTTACCAGGCTTGGGTCTCATCTTGCATCTCTGGAGTTGAAGTAATGAAGCACCTTCTTCAAAGCATGTATGTGAGTGAGAAGGGTTTTTTTTATAAAGACAAGGAATGGTGAGTGAGCATCGCCAAAAAATAATTGACATCCTCTACAGCCCTGCTCTATCTCCCTGAACTATTAGCCCTCCCCAAAGGCTGCCACTCTTAACATTCTCGTATTCGCTCACAAATTGTCTATGCATCTGCAAGACACACACACGAGTGGAATCACACTATAGATTGCTTTTTGTATTTCATTTTTCATCAATATTCTATCCTAGGCTTTTTGTTTCAGCCCACAAAAGTCTATTTCAGGCTTTTCAATGGCTGTATAATACTTCGTTATAAGTATGTACTATAAATCATTCAGCTAATCTCCTATCTATGGACATTGGTGGATGGGGGTGTTATAATGACAAATAATGTTTCACTGAACATATTAGTATTAGTCTATTATTGCATTGCCATAAAGAAATACGTGAGACTGGGTAATTTATAAAGAAACGAGGTTTAATTGCCTCACAATTCTGCAGGCTGTACAGGAAGCATGGCAGCATCTCCTTCTGGGGAGGCCTCAGGGAGCTTCAAATCATGGTGTAAGGCACAGCAGTAGCTCACACATCACATAGCAAAAGCAGGAGCAAGAGAGAGTGAGGCGGGGAGGTGCTGCACACTTTAAATGACCAGATCTCAGAAGAACTCACCTCACTATGCAAGGACAGGGCCGTAGGGGATGATGTTAAACCATTCCTGAGAAATTCACCCCCATAATCCAATCACCTCACACCAGGACCCACCTCCAACACTGGGGATTACATTTCAATATGAGATTTGGGTGGGAACACACATCTAAACTATATTAATACTTATACATAAATCTAGATGCATTTGTTCAAGTTTATCTCCAGATTCAAATCTTAGACATAAGATTATTGGGTCAAGAGGACATTAGCATTTAAAATTTTAACATACATGTTTAAAAATAGAAATAAAATTAGAGGTTGAAGGTCTTTGCCCTCCCATCCACAGTATATGGGAATGCCTGAGTCTCATTGTATCTTTGCAGTTTTGCTCAAGTGATGGCTGAAAACCAGTATTTCATTTTTATTTTATTCTGAATGTCACACATTTTTTTATTCGCCAGATGAATGCCATTATCTGTGAATTGCCTATTTCCATGTTCATTTTCTTCTAGATACAAAATTTCTCTTATTGAGTTATTAGTATATTAAGAAAATTAGCACCTAATCTACTGCATTAACATATTTTTTAAAAACTTTTGACTCCTTTTATGCCATTTTTGTTACATTAAACTTTTTTAAAGCTTTATATATTTATATTTGTGAATCTGTTTTCTTATAGTTTCTGGATTTTGTATGTTACTTATAAATCACTTTTAAATTTACACTAAACTCACTATATTTTCTATTCCTTCAATGGCCACATTTTTGTTTAAGTCATTGATTCTTCTGCAATTGTTGTTAGTATTGGGGTGTGGTCATCATTAATAATTTGTTTCTCTCATCTTCTAGGTACATGGTAGATTGCAAGTACACACCCAGTGGTAGATTGGAGCCAGGTAAGTAGCTCTGGGCAATCACTTGTGAGTGGAAGTAAGCACAAGTCACTACAGGGTAGACATTTCATTGTCAATGCAAGAGCTTATTTTTCTCTCTGATGCAGCATCACGCCATGTTTGAGATGGTAGCTATTCCACCAGCCGTCAGCCTGGGTCTTTGAGTTATAGAATCCACAGAGGTCTCCTGATAACAAGAAGTGAAAAATAAACTTTTGTGGTATTAAGCCATTAATACTTGGTTGCTTTTTAACTGCAGCATAACCAGCTGTATCCCATCTTTTCTTTTGGGGACAGTTTTGTAGCAGATGCTGTCAGTGCCTCTCATATTACCTCCCTGTTAGCATCTGTTTCCCTTTGGCCCAACTTCCAACTCCTAGCACCAGTAGTTCTTTGTTAAGGGTGTCCTCTCACTGCTGAAACTCACTCTGCCACCTGTTCAACAGGTTGGAAGCTTCTGGAATTAATGTCTCTAGGAGCAGCTCTCAAGCAATATCTGAAGAGTGTTGGTGTATAAATACTTAGCTCCCTTACCCCTTGGGTAGGATAACTTTAAGGCAGAATAGCTTGTCTGGGCTTCAAGAGCTTTCCCTGTGGGATTATGCTTCAGTTGCTTCCTGGAACTGAAAGCTGTCTTGATAACATGCTCTTCCAAAATAAACTTTCTTTCATTCTTTCACTTAATCATTCTCCTACCTTTACTCTCTAACAAATTACTCAACCTTAAAAGCTTGTCTCAGTGTCTATATCTCAGGTAACCCAAGCTAAGTCAAATTTGAATAGCAACAGTTTGGGGACAGAGAATGTCAGGTAGAGAAAGCAGTATGAAAATAGAGGCAGAGGTAGAAAAACAAAGCATTTAAAGAATAGCAAGTTATTTAGTGTATGGATTAAACTGTATGCAAAGGGAGATAATATGGGATATAGTTGGGAAAATAGATTGGCAAGATCATGAAGGATCTTGAATGATAAACTAAGTGTTTGGGTGTTTAATTATGTGGATTCTTAGCACACTTTCATTTCTCATATATTCTCTCATATTCTCTTCATCTCTCTCATTATGGATCAAAAAGAAAAGGTCATGTTCCTGCTAAATACAGAAAAGTAAAGAGAAGCAGTAGGCAGTTTTCTTGATCATTTAATCACTCAATAATATCTATATAAGAATTAGACTATGGCAGCTGTGTATTTCTAACCTCCATCCTGCATCCCCTTGCCTTTCAGCTGAGAAAGTGTAAAAGACATTATTTCTTAACAGAATCATTAACAAAATTTCATCCCCCAAAAAGTCTGATTTAAGAAATTCGGAAACACAGGGTTATTACCTACTCATTAGGTTAAGCAAGCACAAACTCAAGAAGAAAAAAAAGGCCAACTAAGAATTCCTTAGTTTGGCATATCAAAAAGCTGAAATCTCTCTCTGGAGATCACAGGCCTTAAAAAGGCAGCATATGGTAATCATAAAAGCATTTGATACAATACAAAGGATGTAGGATTCTAGTTTCTGTGTGAGCTTAACCAAGTCATTTCTCCTCTTTGGGATCCAGTTTTTACATCTTTAAAATAATGGGGTAAGACTAGAAGAACACCTAAAAAATTTTACCCTAAAAAATTATAGGCTTCCAAATAATTGTATTTGGTGTATGCTTTATTAGTAAGCAGAACAAACACCTACCTTTAGCTGGTTCTGCAATTCTAAATTTTTGTGGCAGCTGTATATTTTCTGCTCTACTCTCTTAAATCATCTTCCTCCTCTATATTTGCCTTCCCTTCCTGTGCATTCTTTAAAATACGTTATGCAAATATTTTCCCTAACCACTGTATTTTAAGATTATGCTGTCCCTGACCTTGGGAGAGTAGAAGTTAATTTTTTGGTTGCTAATGATTGAGTCTTAGGGCTTAATAAGCCCTCCAAGTCCCCTAAGAATAAGCCCTCGAAGAACAAGAGGATAATAGCTTTAAGAAGAAAGCAAACACCTCTAAAGACACTCTAGGAGTGGGGTGGTACTGCATAAGTCAGGGAATTACCAGATGAAGCTTCAGGAGTGTAGAAATTGACAGGAATGCTGAGGGCCTTTTAGTCCAAGAAGAGCTGTGTAACAAGAGCTATCAAATTATTTGGGTGCATTATTTGGGTGCCCAGCAGTCCCACAGCAAGGGGAGAGGTTTTCTTGGGCAACAATTGCCAGTATCCAGGGATCACATCATTGGTTCTTCCTATCAACAGAGATGAAAACAATTCTCTTCAACCTCAAGCACTTAAGGTGTTGACCATCTGACAGGAAATGCACTTGACTACACTTTGCCATAACACTTTGCTTAGTGTTTAACTGATTATAACTTTGGTAACTCCATTCTCACAACAACCCAAGATGTCCATATTCTGAAGAAGATACAGAGGAGGAAAAATGGTGTCAGCCATTAGAACTCAATGTGAATTAAAACCTGGAAGAATTAATCTATGAAGATGGAATTGACTTCCAAAAATATAAAAAGCCATTCAATTATCCCATGCTTACTCACATTTGCTATTTATATTTAAGCTTTTTATTGTTGTTGTTAAATATATTTGAAATTCTCCAGTAACAAGGATATCTCAATTTTAAACTAAATGATTATATTTTAACAAAAAAGTACATTTATATAGAGTAAGAACAACTGGTATGTGCATGACCAGAAAATCACTTATATAATTCGGAGATAATATCGTAATTCTTGATGTGATGATGATTGAATTAAACATTTTTGAATACTTTTATTGGTGAGAAAAATCAAGTAAGAAATATTTTTAATGAAACAGAATATAGTGCTATTCAAATAATTGAATATTTATTTACTTACAGTTAATTCAAAGCTTATTTAATGTCTCCCATGAGAAGAGCATTTCAAGAATGTAGAGGTCTGGGCTGTGAAATTGATACCTTTCCATCATGAATTAATCAGCATCCTCCGACTTGAACGGGTGTTGGATGAGAAAGTTCAGGCTTTCCTGACCTACGGCAGCAGGAAACCAACAAACTAAAATTCTTGTGATCTATTCCCAGACTGCAAATTGAAAATTGAAACACTATTTCAAATTATAGTTTGTACTGTTTTATCATTAGCCAATATTACTCTGTATTAGAGAAAAGGAGGCTTGAGAAACTCAGAGAATAAAATCCACTTTGGCAGTTTACATGAGATTACAGCTGTGGAAGAAATTTTTCCACTATTGCTAAAGCCAAGAAAAAAAAATCTTTGTTTGTTTTTTTGTTTTTTGCAGAATTTGCAAAAACAATAACTTTAAATCAGCCATCCTGATCTACCACAGGCTCTGGGTAATTATCCCCAATAGGTCCCTTTAGTGAGTCAGTTCCTATTTTTTTCTCCAAAAGTAGTTTCTTTCTGACATTTTTATGTAGTCTTTCTGTTTGCTAAAATAATAGAAGTCTCCTATTACAAAAACATCAACAACTGTCAAGGATTTTGTTTCTCCAAGGCTCAGCTCTCAAGTCTTCTGACTTAGTGGCTAATATGGCAATCTGAATTGCGAATTTCATGCAAATCCTTCTTTTTTTACCAGATTAATGAAACAAATTAAGACTGGCCCACTGCTCTACGTAGTTGTCAAACACCTATGCTGCATACCTGAAGTCTCTTCATGAATTTCTGGAAGATTCTTTTATTTATTTATTTTTGTTCTGGTGTTAAAGAACCCAGTATAAGGCAAGAAGAAAAATCAGCTAAGGAGAACTTCTGCTTCCTGTCAAGATGGAGAAACAGGAACAGTTTACTCTTCCACCTGAAACAACAAAAAAATAAACAAAATATATGAACAATAGTTTTTAAGACACTGAGTCACCAGGCAATGCAGGATACTGAGCCCTCAGATATGTGAAACAAGTGATGTGGACTCTGTGATTCCTCTACCTTACTACCTTAAGGGAGTTTCCAGGCCAGAGAACAGGGAGGGGAACCCAGGTGGAGTGTAGAAGACTCTATGAGCTGAGGAAATGAAATGGAGGGTCTGAGGAGACCAAAACAGCTTGAGTTCACAGAACAGATTACCAGAAAAGAAAGAGCTGTGCAGAGAGAGAACTTCAGATTTCTACAAAATGTCCCTCATTCTGAGTATGGGTAAATGCATTCATGTAAAGATACTACCTACGACCAGAGAAAGGACCACCCAAAATGTACCTAGTGAGCACTCACTGGGGAGAATAGTGCCTGCCATCCACCAGGAAGACTGGAAAACCTCAAGATTTATGTGGCATTGAGTATGGTATTCTGAAGGGTCTTGATTCAGTAGTAATGAATAATTAACCCATGACTAACACTACTCTGGTCTACCTAGCAATGCCTAAAAACAAGGGTAGAAAAGATCAAACTGTTTCCAAGTAACTTAACTGTGTCCTATAATAAAGCTCAAGAATATTTATAGGAACACAAAAATATATAGCATCCCACAAGGCATAATTTACAATGTCTGGCATTCAAACAAAAATTTCCAGACATACAAAAGAAACAGGAAAATATGATATATAATGAGGAGATAAATCAATCAATTGAATCTGATTAAGAACTAACCACAGATGTTAGAGTTAGCAGAGAAGGATATTAAAATGGTTATTATAATTGTATTCCATATGTTCAAAAAGTTAAGTAAAAACATGAAAAGCATAAAAAGATCCAAACCAAACTTTTAATGATTAAAACTAAAATGTATAAGATGAAAAATATACTTTCTAGAATTAACAGCAGATTAGACATTGAGGAAGAAAAGATTAGTGAACTTGAAGGCATGGAAATAGAAGCAACCCAAAATGAAACATAGAAAACATAACTGTTAAAAACTGGACAGAGTGTTAGGTGTGGGACAACTCAAACAGCCTAATACATGAGTAATTGAAGTCATAATGGAGGGGAAATATTTGAAGATATTATGGATGAAAATTTTCCAAACTTGATAAAAATGACAAACCCACATATATAAGAAGCTTAGCAAACCCTAAGCAAAAGAAACATAAAAGAAAGAATACTAAGGCACAGAATAATAAAATGTATCAAAATGGGTGATAAATAGGAAATCTTATAAGCAGTAGAAGGAAAAGATATGTATACAGAAACAGAAATAAGGGTAACAGTAAATTTCTGTTACAAACAATGCAAAAGTAAAAAACAGTAGGGCAATATCTTTAAAGTATTGGGAGGGAAAAACTATTCTAGAATTCTATACCCACTGAAAAAAAAGTATTTCAAAAATGATAGCAAAATAAAGACTTTTGAGACATACAAAAGCAAAATAATATGTCAGTCTTGAGAAAATTGAGAAAATTGATGAAATTAATAAATCCCTAGCCAGACTGGTCAGAGAAAAAGAAGGAAGATACAAATTGTCAGTAGTAGGCATGAAAGAAGTGAAACCAGGGCAAATTTTACAAATATCAAAATGACACTAAGGGAATATTATATACAACCTTATTTGAATAAACTCTACAACTTAGATACAATGGACAAATTCTTTGAAAGATACAAACTACCAAAGCTAACTCAAGAAAAAAATTAGGTAATATAAATAGCCCTCCACTATTAAAGAAATTAAATCAATAGTTATACAATTTCCCACAAAGAAATGCGGAGGTCCAGGTGGCTTCACTTGATAATCCTACCAAAGATTCAAGGAAGAAACAGTGTCCATTCTACACAAATTATTGCACAAAATTGAAAAGGAGAGGACATTCTTCAACTCATTCTATAAGCCCAGAATTAAATGTCCAAAACAGATAGAGATATTACAAGAAAAGAAAACTGCAGGCCAACATCCCTCACGATCATTGTTGAAAAAGTTGTTACTGAAATTTGAGCAAATTAAATCCAACACCAGGTTAAAGGATAATACATCATGACCAAGTGTGCAAGGTTGGTTTAACAACAAAAAATCAATTAATGTACTCCATAATAATAAAGAAACAAAAGAAATGTATTAACTATATGATCATCTCAATAGATGTAGAAGAAAGTATTTGACAAATATCAATATACATTCTTTATTTGCTTTAAAAAAGGAATTTTACTGCCTTAAAAAAGGAACTTTCTCAACTTGATGAAGGGCTTCTATGAAAATATAGCTTAAAAAAAATAAGGAATAGCTAAGATCAGGAACAAAGCAAGATATCCACTCTCACCACTTCTCTTTCACATTATATTGGAATTTCTTGTCAATGCAATAAAGCAAGAAAAAGAAATAAAAGGTATCCAGATTGAAAAGAAATAAACAAAACTCTTTATTCACAAATGACATAATTATTCATGTAGAAAATCCACTGGAATCTATATTTTTGAAATAAGCTACTAGAATTATTAAATGAGTTGAAGCAATGTTGCAGGATAAAAGATCAATATATAAAAATCCATTTTATTTTATATATTAGCAATGAACCATCAGAAGTTAATATTTTGAAAACAATGCCATTAAAAATGGCCTCAAAAATATGAAATAATTAAAAATAAAAGTGTCAAAAGATGTAAAAGACCTGTGCACTGAATAACTATAAAACATTGCTGAAAGTAATTAAAGATCACCGAAATAAATGGTGAGATATACAGGTTGTGTATTCCTCATCCAAAATGCTTGGGACAAGAAGTGTTTTGGATTGTAAATTTTTTTGGATTTGGAATATTTGCATATGCATAATGAGATATCTTGGGAATGGGACCCAAGTCTAAAGACAAAATGCATTTGTTTTATATACACCTTATGTACACAGCCTAAAGGTAATTTTACACAAAATTTTTTATACTTTTGTTCAGAAAACAAAGTTTGTATATATTGAACTATAAGAAAGCAAAGGTGTCAGATGTGTAATTTTCCACTTGTGGCATCATGTCATTACCGAAAAAGTTTCAGATTTTAGAGCATTTCAAATTTCAGATTTTCAGATTAGTGATGTTCTACCTATATTGTGTTCATTAGTCAAAAGACTCAATAATGCTAAGAAAGCCACTCTTCCCAAACCAATCCATACATTTAAACCAATCCCAGTTAAAATTCTAGCAGGGTTTTTTGTAGAAATTAACTGATTCTAAAATTGATATAAAAATTCAAAGGACCCAGAATAGCCAAAACAACTCTGAAAAAAAAAGATGAACAAATTTAGAGAACTAACACTTATTATGAAGCTACAATAATCAAGACAGTTTGGTACTGGTGTAAAGATAGACAAATAGACAAATGGAACAGAAGAGAGTCCAGAAATAGACCCACACATATACAGACAAATGATTTTGACAAAGTTTCAAAGGCAATTCAGTAGAGAAAGATTAGTCTTTTCAACAAATGGTGCTGGAATAATTGGATATATATATATATGCAAGAAAAAAAAATAAACTTTGATCTATATCTTGCACCATAAAATTAACTCAACATGAATCATAGACCTAAATGTAAAACTTAAACCTATAAAACTTTTAGGAGAAAACTTCTGCAACTTTGATTAGGTAAAGATTCCTTAGATATGATACCAAAATCACAATCTGTAAAATAAAATATAGATAAATTGGACATTATCATAATTTTAAAACTTCTATTTTTTGAAACACACTGCTAGCAAAATGAAAAGACAAACCAGATACTTGGGAGAAAATATTTGCAAACCACATATCTGATTTAAGACTTATATCCAAAATATATTTATATATATATATTTAAAATTCTTAAAATTCAATAATAAGAAAACAATGGACAAAAGATTTGAACAGACACTTCACCAAAGAAAACATATAGATGGCAAATAAACCTGAAAAGATTCTCAACACCATTAAGTTAAAATCACAATGAGATAACATTATAGACCTATTAGAATGGCTAATTTAAAAAAAAATACACCGCATCTGGTTTTAGCAAGAATTTTGAGCAACTGAAACTCTCATACACTGATGATAGAAATGTAAAATGATTCAACTACTTTGGAAAACCATTTGATAGTTTCTTAAAAAGCAAAACACACACATGCATATAATCCATGCAACCTACTTCCAAGTATTTCCCCCAAGAAAATTAAAGTATCTGTCAATATAAAGATTTGTACACAAATATTCATAGCAAATTTATCTGTAACATCCTGTGTTACCCAGGGTTCTCTAGAGGGACAGAACTCATTGGATACATATAAAGGGGAGTTTATTAGGTATTAACTCACACAATCACAGGGTACCACAATAGGCCATTTGCAGGCTGAGGAACAAGAAAAGCCAGTCTGAGTTCCAAAACTGAAGAACCTGGAGTCCGACGTTCGAGGTCAGGAAGCATCCAGCACAGGAGAAAGGCTGGGAGGCTGGGCCATCTAGCCTTTTCACGTTTTTCTGCCTGCTTTATATTCGCTGGAAGCTGATTAGATGGTGCCCACCCAGGTTAAGAGTGGGTCTGCCTTTCCCAGTTCACTGACTCAAATGTTAATCTCCTTTGACAACACCCTCACAGACACCCAGGATCAATACTTTGCATCCTTCAATCCAATCAAGTTGACACTCAGTATTAACCATCACAAGTCCACCTTTTGTCAGCTTGTACCCACACACATCTCCTGAGATCATACATACTCTTCAAATAAACACATTAATAGGTCATAATTATGCTTAAGATAATACAACTATCCTTCATAGAACTATCCTTCATAAAACCAGAAATGCACCAATCCTCAACCCAGATACTATTACCTAAAGTTAACAATACTTAAATGCTGATAGGAAGTCAATAAATCTTATGTCACATAATAAAGGAAAAAGAAAATGAAGATTTTTCTTAGTACAAGTGTGTACATGCATAAACATCATTTTAACAAAATCAAGAGGAAATATTCATGACAATTACACTCCTCATTTCTGCAACTGGTCACGTAGTCGTAGCTGGTGTTGATGACTACCTTCTTCTACTACCCATTCTGTATTCTCTTTGCCTTCAGCAAGCACCTCAATAGTTCATGGTTTTTTTCCTGGTGGTGTGACCCAAATCTTCATTCCTGAAGAGTCTGGGCCATCTGTAGTCCTGCCTGGATTGGGCTGTTGTAGTTTCCCATTGACTTTAATCACAGGCATGGTAATACTAAGAGACGCCCTAATGGGTCTCCTGTGTTCCATGCATACTCTTCCTTGCCTCCATTGTGGAATAGTAGAATGATTTCATCTTGATAGTCCAGGTAAATCACCCCAGCCAACACTGTAACTCCTTTCTTAGCCTGTTGACTTAAAGGTAGGAGGAACCCAAAGTCTCCAGGTGGCAATACTAACTTCCAGTTTAATGGAACTGTTGTGTCTCCTGGTGGCAGTGTTCCTCCCTCTGGAACTAAGACCTCTAGGCCAGCAGAATGCAATGTTGTGGGGACAGGAAGCAAAACTGTTGCTAGTGGATCCCTAGGGGTGACAGTGAATGGTGATGATCAAGAGGTGCCACTTCCACTTCCACCCCTCGATTCCTGGACTTGCGAATCCTGGCTATGGGAGAAAGAGTACCATACACTGGACGCTGATTCAGAGCATATACAGCCTTCTGGAGAACTTTGCGCCAGCCCTGCAAAGTATCGTCGCCTAGTTGGCATTGTAACTGTGACTTCAAAAAGCTATTCTAACATTCTATCAATCCGTCTTCTTCAGGATGATGTGGAACATGGGAAGACCAGCGAATTCCATGAGCATGAGCCTACTGACACACTTCTTTAGCCGTAAAGTGAGTGCCTTGGTCAGAGGCAACGCTGTGTGGAATACCATGACACTTGATAAGGCATTACGTGAGTCCACAGATGGTAGTCTTGGCAGAAGCACTGCATGCAGGATAGGCAAACTTATATCTGGAGTAAGTGTATATTCCAGTAAGGACAAACTTCTGCACTTTCCATAATGGAAGAAGTCCAATATAATCAACCTGCCACCAGGTGGCTGGCTGATCACCCCTGAAGTTGCTTATCAGCTTAAGGAGATTTTGGGCTGAGACAATGGGGTTTTCTAGATATACAATCATGTCATCTAAAAACAGGGACAATTTGACTTCCTCTTTTCCTAATTGAATACCCTTTATTTCCTTCTCCTCCCTAATTGCCCTGGCCAGAACTTCCAACACTATGTTGAATAGGAGTGGTGAGAGAGGGCATCCCTGCCTTCTGCCCGTTTTCAAAGGGAATGCTTCCAGTTTTTGCCCATTCAGTATGATACTGGCTGTGGGTTTGTCATAGATAGCTCTTATTATTTTGAAATATGTCCCATCAATACCTAATTTATTGAGAGTTTTTAGCATGAAGAGTTGTTGAATTTTGTCAAAGGCCTTTTCTGCGTCTATTGAGATAATCATATGGTTTTTGTCTTTGGCTCTGTTTATATGCTGGATTACGTTTATTGATTTGTGTATATTGAACCAGCCTTGCATCCCAGGGATGAAGCCCACTTGATCATGGTGGATAAGCTTTTTGATATGGTGCTGGATTCGGTTTGCCAGTATTTTATTGAGGATTTTTGCATCAATGTTCATCAAGGATATTGGTCTAAAATTCTCTTTTTTGGTTGTGTCTCTGCCCGGCTTTGGTATCAGAATGATGCTGGCCTCATAAAATGAGTTAGGGAGGATTCCCTCTTTTTCTATTGATTGGAATAGTTTCAGAAGGAATGGTACCAGCTCCTCCTTGTACCTCTGGTAGAATTCGGCTGTGAATCCATCTGGTCCTGGACTCTTTTTGGTTGGTAAGCTATTGATTATTGCCACAGTTTCAGATCCTGTTATTGGTCTATTCAGAGATTCAACTTCTTCCTGGTTTAGTCTTGGGAGAGTGTATGTGTCAAGGAATTTATCCATTTCTTCTACATTTTCTAGTTTATTTGCGTAGAGGTGTTTGTAGTATTCTCTGATGGTAGTTTGTATTTCTGTGGGATCGGTGGTGATATCCCCTTTATCATTTTTTATTGAGTCTATTTGATTCTTCTCTCTTTTTTTCTTTATTAGTCTTGCTGGCGGTCTATCAATTTTGTTGATCCTTTCAAAAAAACCAGCTCCTGGATTCATTAATTTTTTGAAGGGTTTTCTGTGTCTCTATTTCCTTCAGTTCTGCTCTGATTTTAGTTATTTCTTGCCTTCTGCTAGCTTTTGAATGTGTTTGCTCTTGCTTCTCTAGTTCTTTTAATTGTGATGTTAGGGTGTCAATTTTGGATCTTTCCTGCTTTCTCTTGTGGGCATTTAGTGCTATAAATTTCCCTCTACACACTGCTTTGAATGCGTCCCAGAGATTCTGGTATGTTGTGTCTTTGTTCTCGTTGGTTTCAAAGAACATCTTCATTTCTGCCTTCATTTCGTTATGTACCCAGTAGTCATTCAGGAGCAGGTTTTTCAGTTTCCATGTAGTTGAGCGGTTTTGAGTGAGATTCTTAATCCTGAGTTCTAGTTTGACTGCACTGTGGTCTGAGAGATAGTTTTTTATAATTTCTGTTCTTTTACATTTGCTGAGGAGAGCTTTACTTCCAAGTATGTGGTCAATTTTGGAATAGGTGTGGTGTGGTGCTGAAAAAAATGTATATTCTGTTGATTTGGGGTGGAGAGTTCTGTAGATGTCTATTAGGTCCGCTTGGTGCAGAGCTGAGTTCAATTCCTGGGTATCCTTGTTGACTTTCTGTCTCGTTGATCTGTCTAATGTTGACAGTGGGGTGTTAAAGTCTCCCATTATTAATGTGTGGGAGTCTAAGTCTCTTTGTAGGTCACTCAGGACTTGCTTTATGAATCTGGGTGCTCCTGTATTGGGTGCATATATATTTAGGATAGTTAGCTCTTCTTGTTGAATTGATCCCTTTACCATTATGTAATGGCCTTCTTTGTCTCTTTTGATCTTTGTTGGTTTAAAGTCTGTTTTATCAGAGACTAGGATTGCAACCCCTGCCTTTTTTTGTTTTCCATTTGCTTGGTAGACCTTCCTCCATCCCTTTATTTTGAGCCTATGTGTGTCTCTGCACGTGAGATGGGTTTCCTGAATACAGCACACTGATGGGTCTTGACTCTTTATCCAATTTGCCAGTCTGTGTCTTTTAATTGGAGCATTTAGTCCATTTACATTTAAAGTTAATAGTGTTATGTGTGAATTTGATCCTGTCATTATGATGTTAGCTGGTGATTTTGCTCGTTAGTTGATGCAGTTTCTTCCTAGTCTCGATGGTCTTTACATTTTGGCATGATTTTGCAGCGGCTCGTACCGGTTGTTCCTTTCCATGTTTAGCGCTTCCTTCAGGAGCTCTTCTAGGGCAGGCCTGGTGGTGACAAAATCTCTCAGCATTTGCTTGTCTGTAAAGTATTTTATTTCTCCTTCACTTATGAAGCTTAGTTTGGCTGGATATGAAATTCTGGGTTGAAAATTCTTTTCTTTAAGAATGTTGAATATTGGTCCCCACTCTCTTCTGGCTTGTAGGGTTTCTGCCGAGAGATCCGCTGTTAGTCTGATGGGCTTCCCTTTGAGGGTAACCCGACCTTTCTCTCTGGCTGCCCTTAACATTTTTTCCTTCATTTCAACTTTGGTGAATCTGACGATTATGTGTCTTGGAGTTGCTCTTCTCGAGGAGTATCTTTGTGGCGTTCTCTGTATTTCCTGAATCTGAACGTTGGCCTGCCTTGCTAGATTGGGGAAATTCTCCTGGATAATATCCTGCAGAGTGTTTTCCAACTTGGTTCCATTCTCCCCATCACTTTCAGGTACACCAATCAGACGTAGATTTGGTCTTTTCACATAGTCCCATATTTCTTGGAGGCTTTGCTCGTTTCTTTTTATTCTTTTTTCTCTAAACTTTCCTTCTCGTTTCATTTCATTCATTTCATCTTCCATCGCTGATACCTTTTCTTCCAGTTGATCGCATCGGCTCCTGAGGCTTCTGCATTCTTCACGTAGTTCTCGAGCCTTGGTTTTCAGCTCCATCAGCTCCTTTAAGCACTTCTCTGTATTGGTTATTCTAGTTATACATTCTTCTAAATTTTTTTCAAAGTTTTCAACTTCTTTGCCTTTGGTTTGAATGTCCTCCTGTAGCTCAGAGTAATTTGATCGTCTGAAGCCTTCTTCTCTCAGCTCGTCAAAGTCATTCTCTGTCCAGCTTTGTTCTGTTGCTGGTGAGGAGCTGTGTTCCTTTGGAGGAGGAGAGGTGCTCTGCTTTTTAGAGTTTCCAGTTTTTCTGTTCTGTTTTTTCCCCATCTTTGTGGTTTTATCTACTTTTGGTCTTTGATGATGGTGATGTACAGATGGGTTTTTGGTGTGGATGTCCTTTCTGTTTGTTAGTTTTCCTTCTAACAGACAGGACCCTCAGCTGCAGGTCTGTTGGAGTACCCTGCAGTGTGAGATGTCAGTGTGCCCCTGCTGGAGGGTGCCTCCCAGTTAGGCTGCTCGGGGGTCAGGGGTCAGGGACCCACTTGAGGAGGCAGTCTGCCCATTCTCAGATCTCCAGCTGCCTACTGGGAGAACCCCTGCTCTTTTGAAAGCTGTCAGACAGGGACATTTAAGTCTGCAGAGGTTACTGCTGTCTTTTTGTTTGTCTGTGCCCTGCCCCCAGAGGTGGAGCCTACAGAGGCAGGCAGGCCTCCTTGAGCTGTGGTGGGCTCCACCCAGTTCGAGCTTCCCCGCTGCTTTGTTTACCTAAGCAAGCCTGGGCAATGGCAGGCGCCCCTCCCCCAGCCTCGCTGCCACCTTGCAGTTTGATCTCAGACTGCTGTGCTAGCAATCAGCGAGACTCCGTGGGGTAGGACCCTCCAAGCCAGGTGAGGGATATAATCTTGTGATGCGCCGTTTTTTAAGCCCATCGGAAAAGCGCAGTATTCCGGTGGGAGTGACCCGATTTTCCAGGTGCCATCCGTCACCCCTTTCTTTGATTAGGAAAGGGAACTCCCTGACCCCTTGCGCTTCTCGAGTGAGGCAATGCCTCACCCTGCTTCGGCTCGAGCACAGTGTGCGCACCCACTGACCTGCGCCCACTGTCTGTCACTCCCTAGTGAGATGAACCCGGTACCTCAGATGGAAATGCAGAAATCACCCATCTTCTGCGTCCCTCAGGCTGGGAGCTGTAGACTGGAGCTGTTCCTATTCGGCCATCTTGGCTCCTCCCTCTGTAGCTATGTATTCTTATCACATTTGGGGGAAAGACTGGAGATAACAAGGAATTATCACAATAAAGGAAAATATATTTTGCTTAATCTATGTTCATATATTTTAATGTCTCACAGGGAAATGAATGTGTACATACATTTTTCTAAATTAAGCAAATATAAATAATTTGAAAACTTTACTTACCAAACTTAGACCCCAGTTTTTATTATTCCTACTGGAATTAAAACTCCAATTAACTAGAATTATCAGAAAAAGGCATCGTTTAATTAGTTTTTTTCTGCCTACCTTAAAATCATTAACCAAAACATTCTTTGTTTTTATTCTGTATTGCTCAGAATCTTCGTAAATTTTAAGTGGGCAAGTTTTTTCACTTAGCAAGGAGAATAGCCTGAATGTAATCTTATTTGATTAATTAGGTTGCTGAATTGTTTCAGGAGTGTGATTGTGGAAGTCAAGTCTCATCATACCAGAGATTTGGAAGATGTAAATGTTTTTAATGAAGGAATAGTCCTGGGGAGTGCCTGTGTTACTTACAACTCTTTATGTTGAAATTGACACGAACCCCATAACGTGGCTCAAACTACAAGTTGTTGTTTGAGCAAATATGTTTACAATTGAGCCCAGAAGCCGCTCTTACTTCAGATAAGGGTTGACCCAGGAGTCCAAAAGTTGTTGTTTTGACCCTGGATTCCCTCTGTCTTCTGCCCCAGTGGCTTCAAACTAAGGCTCTACACAGTGGTTGCCACACCAGAAACAGGCTGTCTCCTATAGGTAAAAAAATGTTTCCACCACTTCAGAACTCACATTCTTTTGCAACACAGTTAAAGAAGGGAGCTTCTCCTTCCAAGGTGACAAGGAAATATCTCCTTCTATCTCATTGGCTCTGATTGAGCTACCTACTTATCTCTGAGCCAGGCAGTATGGGAGGGGGAAATGAGGGAGAGGAATATAATATAGTGGTTGGCCTAAGTCAATCTGGGCTCACTCCTAAGACAGGCAGTGGGGTCAATTCCATACAAACTAAATGTCTGTGATGTGGTGTGGTATGGGGGACAGGTAGTGAAGGTAAAATTTTCCAAAGGAAAATAATGGTAAGGGAGAATGGATGTCAGGCACACAACCAACAAACGTCCACCACAACATCCATGAAAAGGCTCTTGAATTTAGGGTCAGTCAGTCCAGAGTTCACAACCTGTCTTAGATTGTTTTGTGCTGCTATAACAAAATACCAGTATCTGAGTAATTTCTAAAGAGAAAAAATATTTATCACAGTTCCATAGGCTAAGTCCAAGATTGAGGAGCTGGCATCTGATTAGGGCCTTCTTGTGGCATTATCCCATGGTGGAAGGCAGAAGGGCAAGAGAGGGCAAGCGACAAAGAGGACCAAATTTGGCCTTTTATAATGATCTCACTCCTGTGAAAGCTGGATTAATCCATTCATGAGGGTGAAGCTCTCATGGCCTAATCTACCTCTTACCAGTCCTACCTCTTAATACTGTTACAATGGCAATTAAATTTTAACATTAATTTGGGAGGAGACATTCAAACCACAGCACAACCCAATTCTATCATTTATTATTTATAGGACTTCCAGCAAGCTGACTTCTTTACATCTATTTCCTCTTCTGTAGAATGGTGATAATAATATAACATCCCAAGGTTGTTATGGAGGCTACATAAGATAATATATATACAATGAATAATATAGTGTCCAATACATAGTAGGTGCTAATAATAATTGTTGCTCTTGTACAAATTCTTCAATCCTATGAAAGCCTGCTATTAAAATGGAAGGAAGGAAAATTCTCTTTCACAGAGCACAAGTCACCACTCTGGTTAAAGGAAAAGCAATTTCAGGGAACATTTGACTTTTGACAATTGGCTTTACCCAATGTGTGGAAAACCCTCTGACAAACCTCTACTGAGAGGCACATTAGGATGGAAATATTTCTGGAGTTCCAAATTCAAAATGGAATTCATTTTTTTCCAGAGAAATAGTGATCTGGTGATCGAGTTTCTCCAGTAACTCAGAACTATTAATTTAGTCTACAGTGTAGCTGGAAAATAGTAACTTCACAGGTAAATTTGGTGTGATTACAGTGATATTCTGCCCCCAAATAATGACATCTACAGCAGAATGTTGATGGGGAAAACACATTTGTAAGTGACTTCAAAATAAATTTTTAGTATACACCCCATTATAAAATAATGAGCTAGTTTAAAGTCTGGCTGCAGTACATACCATCTCAACACATCATTGAGAGTGTTTATGTATATATATCTATATGTATGTGTGTATATATATAGAGATATGTGTGTATATATGTGTGTGTGTATATATATATACATAAATCTAAATTGGTTATGCAGAAAATTTTCAGGGGCAGGGTCTATGGGTGCATAGAGGACATCAAAACAATAGATTATTCAATGATATGTGCCACTTCACAAGGTACCGTCAAAGTCCATTCCGTTTGCTATCTAAACAGTCATTGACTCTGTGCCACATTGTTGCATCACCAAATGTTATTTCTTGTACTTCTACATAAAATGCTCTTTTACATATACATAATGTCTTGGAAATGTTTGTCTTTGGGGGAGAAAGGACAAAAGTGAAAAAGAGAGTTCGCATTAAGAAGCAAACTACTAAACCAGACCAGTACATGTTTCTGCCCTAATACAACAATTAATATGATAGTTTCTAGAAGGCCATCAGGTTTCCTGGCATCCTCAGCTACAATGAAGTTCGCTGCTTTATTTTTTTAATTCACGGCTCTCCCTCTGTGGAAGGTTGCAGGTGTGAAGCAGCTGTGTTCAAGGTAACATCTCATACATTTGCACAGCATGACAGACTGTGCTCACATCTTTTCTTTTCTTTTCTTTTATTTTTCTCTTTTC
Source organism: Homo sapiens (assembly GCF_000001405.40). NCBI lineage: Eukaryota > Metazoa > Chordata > Mammalia > Primates > Hominidae > Homo > Homo sapiens. The sequence continues at coordinate 18,513,182 of NC_000003.12, read as the reverse complement.
TTTTCTGTTTTCTTTTCTTTCTAATTTGAGTTTATAGGATTTCACTCTAGTGCTCAATAGCCCTTTTGCCCAGAGAACACTTTCTTCAATCCAGCCTAAAATCCTCGTGCTATAACAGCAAATAGTTTTCTTTTTAAATTCACTATGTAGAAATTTGAGCACAGCTGGCCAATCTATTCTGTGTTAAACCCTTTCATGAACTTGAAGATCATTAGTAAGTTTCCTCAGTCTTCCCTTCTCTTGGCCATAGAATAATCCCCACTCATTTGCTATAACATTTCTTAGTTACAAACTATTTTATCATCTCTGCTTTTTTTTTTCTTCTGTTTACCCTATCCCAAGTTCTCCTATCCTTTCTGCACTTCACCTCTTACTTTGGTTAGGAGGCTGACCAGGAGGTAGTATAATAAGGAGAGAATAACGTGACTGTGGACATGGCCTTCAGACAGACCAGGATTTGAATCTTGGCTCTATTGCAGACCTTTTTTTAAACACTCTTCCAAATTACTGAACACTTTAGTTCCTTAGTATGTAAAACAGAGATAATTCTAAGGGTATTGTGAGAACTAAATAGCTTTCTACACACACTCACACACACACAGCTTTCTAGGCACCACCAAACGCTCAATAAATGCTTAAAATGATGTAGTAGTCACTGCAGTGACCCACCTAGGTTTCCCTGAATTCCTTTACTGTTTCCTGAATTTCTTCCTAGGTCCAGGACTCTTATTTCCAATGGCCTGTCCATTTGTCTGTTTTTAGAGGATTACCCTATGGCTGTGAGAGAAGTAATTGGGAGTTTACATGGCCCTTGGGTGTTCTTAGCTATGACTGATAATGCAAGTGTATGAAAACCTAAGTTCCTCCCAGTTGATTTATGGCAGACAACTCAATTTATGCTCTAAGTTTCCCTTGTAGATTTAGGCCAAAGCTCCCTACTATAAGACTTGGCCAAAAATAGCACACTTTGCTTGACTTCCCTTTTCCTCTCCTCATGCCCCCACTCACTTACTGACTTCTTCTGGGGACACTTTCTTAATGAGTCATTTATTCACAAATTCTCATCTGCTTCTGGGTAATTTTTAAGACATGTACCAATATAATTATTGTTCTCACCTCCGCATAGTGCAACTTGTTCAAATGCTTCTGTTTAAGAGACAGAATATTGATTTTTGTTCAAGTGGACAAATGTTCTGAAAAAATTCCCAACAAGGCAATTTTAACTCATCACACCACAGATGAAATGCAGAGCATAGTGAATTTAGTGAATTATGAGAAGTAAAGGAGGTTTAGTGAATTATGAGAAGTAAAGCAGGTGGCATGGGCATTTATAAGATAATTCATAATAATTCACTCTTTAGAAATTGTTTTCCTTTCCCCACCTTGTTTCTGTACTGCTGAGCCTACAAGGAATAAAACATTTTCTAGTCTGTGAACTGGATTCTGCTCAACATCAAGAAAATGTGGTTTCAGTATGTCTCATCTCCTTTCCTCTCTTCCAAGAGAGCTAGGACTAAAGACAGCATCTCGAGATGTTGCAACAAGTCCCCTTACCTGAGCCACTGTGAAAAAGGAGACATGAGAATCCAACAACTGAGAGCCAAGCACGGATACATAGTGCAGCTGGAGCGGGAAGAGAAAAGTTGAGATCCTACAGAGGCAGGTTAAGGGCAAGAACAATGAAGAACCTTCAAGAAGCATCCAGAGTAATTGCCAGCCAGTCCCTTGGGTCATGGCATATGTGGTGGCACATCAGCCTATCTCAAAAGTTCGACCACAGAGATTTTAGAGCTAAAGACGACTGAAGATGGGAGGGGGAGGTGTCTATTGAACATCAGTATCAAGCCAACCACATCACTCCCAATGGGGTCATTAAGGGACTTAAGTATATTGTTCTTCTCATGGATTATCTCTTTGTTTCTATTCTCTCCTTTGTACCCCACTCCTAGATAGGTCACAAATTAAAAAGTAAGTTTTCTGTCACTAACCTCAAAGAGGAAATCAAATAACCAACAGGAATCAGTATGTTTAATGTTCCCCTCTGCCCTGAGGGGCAGTCCCACACCTATCCTATACTACATAAGCTTCGTGACAGCCTTCTCTAAGTGGCTGCATTTCGGTTAGTTGAGACTACCAAAAATGCAATTCCAAACATGTGGAGCAGCACTATCTTTATTTTTCACCTGTATTCACCTTTCTTGTGTTTCATGGGGGGAAGTTCTATCGTTTTCCAACTTTGATCACTCCCTTCCATCTCTCTTCCCTTTTTCCAATACTAGTTTAAATCAGACGGACCTTGGGGCATTCTAAAAAAATCAAAGGGATATACTTTTCTTTAGCAAAGATTAAACTCCACTCTGTAGCAAAATTAAACTCCCTACCAAATCCACCCACACAACTGCAACACCATTCACTTTTTTTTTAAATTGGGGCTTTACGTTTAAATTGACAACTACAGAGAGGACTTTTATCCATTTACATTAGGCCAGTTTTGTTTTTTTCCAAAAGATGAGAAATCAGTTATTTATTTATCTCTACCTCTTGTTCTTGCCAAGGCCATGACATGATAAATACATTGAGAAAGCAGAGCAGAAGCACACACACAATTTTTTTACAAGGCCTCTTTTCCCTGTTGTCATGGTTTCCATTGAAGACTGTTACATATAATCTATTCAGATGATGTTCTATTTGTTTGTTTGCTTGCCTGTTTTGAATATTACATTCTTTCAATACTTTAGTGTGCAAGAAGGTGATGGTAAGGAACTTAGAACTCTCAATATCTAGCTCCCTCACTCCAGCTTGCTTTCAAACAAGTTACTTACACAGGAGCACATTGTTTTATTTAATCCATAGAGGTTGATAAGCTGTTTTGGGTTACTTCAGACTTGTGCTCAACAGATATTCTGAAGTTATTCTGAAGGTCACTGATCAACTCTATATTGTTAAATGTGGTCACTAAATTCCATTCAATGATTCCCATCTTATTTGTCCTTTCAGCGACATGTGACCTTTCAGCAATCAATCACTGTATCTGCCTTGAAACATGTTTTTCACTTTTCTTCTAGGACATGGTACTCTTTTTATTTATTTATTTATTTTTGAGATAGAGTCTCGCATTGTCGCCCAGGCTGGAGTGCAGTGGTGCAATCTCGGCTCACTTGCAACCTCTGCCTCCTGGGTTCAAGCGATTCTTCTGCCTTCGCCTCCAGAGTAGCTGGCACTACAGGCACACGCCACCACTCCCGGCTAATTTTTGTATTTTTAATAGAGACAAGGTGTCACCATATTGGCCAGGCTGGTCTCAAACTCCTGACCTCGTGATCCGCCTGCCTCGGCCTCCCAAAGTGCTAGGATTACAGATGTGAGCCACCATGCCCAGCCAGTACTCTTTTTGGCCACTCCTTCTCAGCTTCATTGGCTAGTTTCTCCTCATCTCCCTGAACTCCAAGGTTCAGTTCATAGATGCCTTCTCTCAGAGGTGTTCTAAGGGATCTCATCTAATCTCATGGCTTTAAATACCATCTATATGCTGATGATACTCAAATTTCTATCTCCAACTTTGCCTCTTTCCTCAACTACAGACTTATATATTCAAGTGCTTACTTGCTACCTCCACTTGAATATCTAATAGACATCTTACTCTTAGCATGTCCAAAATCAGTGTCTTTACATACACATGCCACAAAAAAACCTCCTCCAGTCTTCCCCACCTCAATTCATTGAATCTCAATTCTACCAGTTACTTAGATTCATATTTTGGTTGTAGCCATAACTCTACTCTTACTCTAACAGGCATCATCAAATGCTATCGTTTCTACCACAAAGATGTATCCAGAACATGACTACCTACCACCCCTGCTACCGTCACCCTGATCCTATCCTCTCTGAATAACTTCTGTAGCCTTCTAACTGATCTCCCACCATTCACCCTTGCACTCTTTTCATCTATTCTCAGTCAACATAACATTCATTATTCTGCACAAAACCCTCCAGTGTTTTGTGCACAAAAAGCTCCAATGGCTTCCTATGGGACTCAGAGCAAAAGCCAATGTTCCTTTCATGGCTTGTAAGATCCTACGTGGCCTGGTCTTCATTACCTCCGTGACATCATTTATAACTCTCTCCCTCATTTACTCTACTTCAGTAATCCCAGCCTCTTTAGCTTTCCCCACAAAAATGTCGGGCATGTCCCAGCCCCACAGCCTTTGCACTTGCTATTCTGTCTGGATTGCTAATCCACCAGATATCTGCATGGCCACTTCCCCAACTCTCTTTAGGTCTTTCATCAAAATCACCTTATCAATGAGACCACCCTTGGCTACTCTGTCTAAAACTTTCCTTCCTACCCTCCTTTCTGGACTATTAGCCCTTATCTTTTTTTTTTTTTTTTTTTTGAGACGGGATCTGGCTCTGTCACCCAGGCTGAAGTGCAGTGGCAGGATCTTAGCTCACTGCAACTTCTGCCTCCCAGCAGCAAGCAATTCTCCCACCTCAGTCGCCCAAGTTGCTGGGTCTACAGGCATGCGCCACCGTGCCCGGCTAATTTTTTTATTTTTCATAGAGATAGTGTTTCACTATGTTACCCAGGCTAGTCTGGAACTCCTGCACTCAAGCGATTCACCCACCTCAGCCTCCCAAAGTGCTGGGGTTACAAGCGTGAGCCACTAATTCATTTCATCTAATTTCATTTACTTTGTTTACGTATTTTGTTTATTATTCCTCTCACTCACTAGAGTCCAAGGTCCAGGAAGGCAGAAATTTTTTTCTGTCTTGTTCATTACTGAATTCCAGCTCCTAGTGCCTGAAGCATTATAGTATCTCAATAAATATTTGTTGAATGAATAACATTCAATACAGAGATAGTTTTATCTAACCATCGCATTTAACTCAAGCAAAAAGAAAGTAGGCAGAGTAAGAGTTGCTCTGGAAATGGATACAGGAGTGGTCACCAGGGGACCGGACCAATCATTAATGAAGCAACATGGGATATCAGATTAGAACTTGTGACCATCCAACTTAACATTGCCACCAAATGCATCAGTCATTGGATGTACATGGTTGGGAAGAAACAGATTTCACCAAAATCATCAGGCATGTTAGGCTCCTAAGAACTTATTTTGTGCTAAATTATCTGCTAAGGTTTTAACCAAGCCCTCAACTTTCTTCCATGCAGTAGGCTTAGCAAATTTACTAACCAGTAGTAATGGTTTTATTAGGACCTACATCATTGTCCTCTTCTTTGAAGTGTGTGTAAACATGAAGTTTTTGGCCTCGATATAGTGAAAAGAATAATGAGAGTTTTGTTTAAAAATTGTTTTTTCATATACTGATGATAAGATTGCTCCCATAACTTGGAGATTCAAATCTCTTTACCCAATCCTTCTACCCCTTGTTTTTATGATCTTTTACAATTCTCCTTTTTGCCAACTATTTTTGCCCTCTCTTTTGTTGTTATTATTACTATTATTTTTTAATTTGAAGATACATAGCAGGTATCCTACATGGTTCACCTGAGAGCTACAGAAAATTAGTCAAGGAGTAAAGAAGTACCTGCAACTTTATTACTCAGTATAGACCAGTTTAGACAACTTTTCAGAATTGTGACAAGTCTTCCAGTTCTGTTTGGTTGGTTGCTTGGTTGTTTCTCTGTTTTTTCTGCTTCGCTGATTTCATCACACCTAAGGCCGAGGGGAACTTCCCTTCCCATATTATATCACCTACAGGCATGAAGATACCTATAGGCATTTGTGTGTATTTTCTGTTCATTTGGGGATTTGGTATATTACTATTAGGGTGTGGAAGATTTGTTTCATACAGGGAGTTATGTAGCATCTTCAGGGGATCTGAGACCTAGAAAACAGCAGTCCTATTCAAGGAAGACCATGTTACCAGGGAGCCCAGTTATCAATCAATGTACCACAAAAATTAAACTGTCTCTTATAACAGCAGTTGAAGCACTGTGGGCAATGAATTCTTAGGGGGTGGCAAAACAGATGAAATCCAGTCATCACATTTTACAACAGATCTGCTGCTTGATAAAGTACAACTGGAGAGCAGACTGTTAGCAATAAGGCCATTTCTAAGAATAAAATGAGTTTGTAAAAGATCTGTTTGAATTATTAACTCCAAAAAGTGGCTGGAGAAGAAAATGATTGCTGATATCACTGGCTTTTCTCCTCACATGTATGATTAGAACAAAGGGAGGCACAGGAGAGCAGGGAAAAGAAGTGAAAGCAAATTTCCCTCCGACATAAGGAGGCACATTTTCACGCAGTGCCTCATCGATACATGGAGAGGCCACCTACCAGGTAAAGAAAAACACTGCGGCCATTGTAAACGCAAGCAGATGCCGGAGCAGGGGAAAACAACATTCATTTTTACCAAATATTGTTTCTTTTTGTGCTTGCAGAAGCATTTCCTTAATACCAAGTGGACACATCTAGCCTTTATTCTGCACCCTGTAGATTTCCACTCCCTACCCCCAGACACCCCAGTCCAGATTCAATTTTAAATGCGAGCCATGTTGGAGGTCACAAGGAAACAGCCAAGGTGACCATTAATATCTTTTTCTTGTTTGGAAGTTACAAACAGACAATGACTCAATATGGGAAGACAATGTTAGTGTTTTCCAATTCAATATTTTTCACCACATTAATGATGAGATTTGAAATCTCTCATCCGAAGCAAAGCGGAGAAATATGTTAAACAGGTCACAATAGTCAATGCTCTCCTTTGATTTTGTAAGCATGTGTTCTCTATGTTGTAAGAAGACAAACAAATGCATTTTGACTTCCAAATATAAGACGCTTAGTTATGGAGCCTAGTCCAGTGAAGGAAAACAAAGCCATACTATCACTGCTACTGAAGATCCTGGGGTACTTTTTAGCCTTTTCCTCTATAGAATGTTGCTCTCAGGACCCTTCCAAGTCTTGATTTTCAAATTCTTTCAGTAGAAAACCCTGAAGTCTTCTTAAAAGAATGTACAACATAACCTTTCAGAATATGTGGGGCACTTCGACCGTAAATACTGTTAATAAGCAATGTCAATGTTTGCTGTTTATTTCATTGCTAAAAATGCATTCCTTTGCTATATAAAGAAATTGAATGTTAAGATAAGTTGAATAATATTTAGGATCACTAAGGATTATGTTGCTCTTCTTTTTAAAAGAAAAAAAAAGTAGAGTTGAATTTACATCTCCAGTATTGCAGATCTGATCAGAGCACTTCAAGGAAGACATAATAAAAGACCCTAAATAAGAAAAAAAGAAAAGGTATTACAGACATGCTTCCTCTGAAAATCTGGAGAATGAGAGGCATATGATCAAAGGCTACAAAATCATAATGGATAAATAGATTCATTCACCAAATTCTGGAATAACAGAACTAGAATACTTGAAAGAAATAGCTTTAGATTGAATTATTGCTTTTTGCTTGTTGTTGTTTTTAAGAAAAATTTCCAAATAGGGTAGACATTGATTTAGAAAGCCAGAGTTTTCTATAAAATTGATATATGATCCAAAGATGATTTGGTTTCATTTTATTTGTATATATTCATAGTATGTTAGGCATTCTTCTAAAGGCTTTTTAAAAATTAGCTCATTAATCCCCACAAAACTTCAGTAAGGTAGGTACTCTTATTATCTTCATTATTCAGATGGAAACTGAGGCTTAGAGAGGGTAAGTAACATGCTTGATATCACACAGCTGGTAGGTGGAAGAGTCTAGCCCTAGGGTTTGTGTTCTTCACTACTCCATCATCTCTTCAATAAATGTTTAGTCAGCACCTACTAGGTGCAAGTGGCTGTGCTAAGGTAAATTAGATGTTTCCTTTCTTCAAAATTTTTATAGATTAAGAAAAGAATCAGACATGGACACAAATGCCTACAGCCTAAGAACACATGAGACAGAGGAAATTACCTGACAAAGATGCCAGGAATGTATGAAGCAACTCCATAATCCTTACAAGTAGTCTTAATGAATTGAGAAGTGAAGAAACAAAAGAGAAGGACTTAGGAGGAGGGACCAGCAATCATGATTATGATAATGGTGAAGTGAGCCTATAGTAATTACCATTTAAATCTTGGGAAAACAAAGTTCTTCATGGGAGAAAAATGGATTCTTACAAAATACTAGGATTGTGCCAATTTCAATGTGCTGTGGACTCAGGAAGTCTAGGTTTGTTAGAGCAAAACTTGTCTCTCTTGCCTTTTCCTCCTTTAGACAGCAAAGAAATTGACCAAACATTTCAACATTTTAAAAATACAATTCATATACTTTAAATATATACAGTAAAAGATACAATTCAGGTACTACACACACATAATAAAGCTAAATTAAAAAAAAAAAGGATTGACAATGCCAAGTATTGCCGAGAATATAGAGAAAAATAGGACTCCTATGAATTGTGGATTGGAGTGTAAGATGATAAGCCTCTCTGGAAAAAGTTTGAGAAGTTTCTTTTAAAAAAACACCCAGATACACATCTACCTTCTGATCCAGCAATTCTACTCCTAGGTTTTTTCCCAAGAGCAATGAAAACAGATGCCTACAAAAAGAGTCGTACAAGGTTGTTCATAGTACTAAAAGGTGGAATAATCTAGGTATCCATCAACAGGAAAATGGATACCTAAACAATCTCTTATACAGTGGGAGATAACTCGGCAACAAAAAGAAAATGACTAAAAAACAAAACAACACGGATGAACAGCAGAGACATTATGCTGAATGAAAATAGCACAAAAGACTGCATGCTGTATGATTCCATTGATATGCAGTTCTAGCCTTGGAAAAACATTACATTGTAGAATCAAATCAGGACAATGGTTGGCTCTGGGATGGGCAGTTCAGGGACTTAGAAGAAACATGAAGAAATTATCCCGTATTATGGTGATGTTCTATATTTTGACAAGAGTTTAGGTGACACAGACACACACATTTGTCAAAACTCACTGACTGGTAACTAAAGATTTCAACATTCCATTGCACATAAATTTTACCCCCAAAGCAAGAAAAAAAAGCGAAAAACATCGAACTCTTTCAGTTAAAGACATGCGTGGAAGAGTATTTAGGAGCAAAGCATACTCGTGTCTGCTACTTACTTTGAAATGTATCAAAAAATAAGATGGATTGATGGAAGGGTAAATAGATATGTGAGAAAGCAAAGATACTAAAATGTTAATTATAGAATCTAGCTGATAGGTCTATTAGTAGTATAAACTGTACCATTTTTTAGCTTTTCTGTGTGTTTGAAATTTTTCATAATAAAATGTTGAAAACGTATAACTCAGATATAGATATACATACATATTTAAAGGGGTTTGAAGATTGAATTGCCAACAAGTTAAAGGTACTTTGCAGTGAGGAAAGCTTAGGTTCTTATTTTTTAAACTAGCCTTCTTTATTGAAGCACAAGAGAAAATAACCAGAGAGGTGACACCACTGTACATCATAGCTAAAGGAGCCCATTTTTATGCTACTAGACATTTGTCCTATATGTGTTATAAAAATAATTTGACTATAGACTTCAAATGGGTTTTGAATTTAAAAAAAAACCGGAATAGATAAACAAAAGATGGTGGAATATAAATGTGGTCTCTGGGGGCATCGGGAATTTATTGAAAGATATTTTTTGCTTGTTGTATAGAAAATTTGGAAAAGCACTTAAGTGCACAGAGAAGGAGGAAGAAACCACCCAAAATCCCACTACCAAAAGAAAAATTCACGGTAATAATAGTGACTTAACAGTCTGAAAAACTCATTTCCAATCATTCCTCTTTTCATATTTTTAACAGTTAAAATGGTAAATGCCATACTAAAGTATAGTATAAACATGTTTCATGAGAATAAAACTTTTTTCATTGATAATCTTAAGGAAGGCCAGGCGCAGTGGCTCATGCCTGTAATTTCAGCACTTTCGGAGGCCGAGGCAGGCGGATCACGAGGTCAGGAGATCGAGGCCAACCTGGCTAACACGGTGAAACCCCGTCTCTACTAAAAATAGAAAAAATTAGCCGGGCGTGGTGGCACGTGCCTGTAGTCCCAGCCACTCAGGAGGCTGAGGCAGGAGAATTACTTGAACATGGGAGGCAGAGGCTGCAGAGAGCCAAGATCATGCCACTGCACTCCAGCCTGGGCAACGGAGTGAGATTCTGTCTTAAAAATAATAATAACAATCATAATCATCTTAAGGACTACATAATGTTATTTTTAATGAGTATGTCACATTTTACCATGGAAACATGGGCGTATAGTTCTGTTGATTGTTTGTTTTTCATTTTATTTTGCTATAAAAAGTAATATTGAAAAGAAACATCCCTGGGCAAAAAATTCTTTACATTCCTGTTATTTTTAGGACAAAGAACTTCTGGAAATGTAATTTTAACAGAGTGTTTAGTTTGCCTGTAAGTTAAGAAGAGTCTTCTTGTACTCTTAACAAAAGTACTCTTATTGCTATAGACAGCTCTATGACATTACATAAAGTTTTAAACCCCATTCCATGGTTTGTCAGTATTCCTCCAGCTCATGAAAACAACTCTGTCTACACTTGCGGTTCATGCAGACAGACTTATGAACTGGACAGGGGGAGGAATGGGAGGTAGGAGATAATGAACTAGATTTGAAAGTGTCCCTGTCTTTCCCAGCAAGGAGAGAATGAAATATTTTCTTAAGTGAGGCAGAAGCCTAGCACTGAGGAAAAGAAGGGAAGAGTTGCTCTTTTTCACAGTGTGAGGCTGTGCTTGAATCTCTCCCAGACTGAGGCCTAGTGGCCCCTGGGTGGCCTCTGTATTATAAAAAGGAGGCCCTCTTTGAAGGTAGTGGGCACAAGAAGATAAAGTGTTTTTCATACATAACTGAAAATAGCGTGAGCTGTAGAGAGACATTCAGAAATGGGGATTCATAGCAAAATAATTTAATTAAACTCAATGTATCCTGCAAGCAAGAAGACCTGGTGTAAGGTGAGAAAATAATTGTATCTTTCTCATTCTCTGTCTCAGCAGATGACTCAGATCTAGCAGTTTGCTGGAGGTGGCAGTCACCAGCTGAAAAGAGCTGACTGATAAACATTCAGGAATTTTGCAATCTGGTTTGGTAACTTTAAATTGGTCATGACACAGTATTTACAGCATGGAAACCAGCAAATACTACAAGTCACACCTTTCCAGACCCTTCCCATCCCCAGAGATCTGGTGTATCTGTTCAGCACACCTCAGATCCAAAGCTCCTTTTCTGATTTCTCTCCCAAATTCAAGACCCATTATTGACACTACATTCAGGACATCCCTATTTGTCTCAAATTCATTAGATGACTCATTATTCTCTCCCAGGTATGATCTTACTAGTGTGCTCTGTATTTCTGTTAACAATTTATCATCTTCACAAACAGCAGCAACCAAAACCTGACAGCCATATTTGACACTTTACTAAGTAATAAACAAGAAGAAGGACAAAAAGGAGGAGAATTAGTCAATAAAGTAATTTCTTATGTCAGCCCTTGTGATAAGCCTTTTACATACATTCCTATAACATCTCTTAAAGAAGGTATTATTCTAGCTGTGCAAAGGGAAAACAAGTTCAGGGAGGTTATGTTACTTACCAGACTTTGCCAGCTAATAAGTTTCAGAACTATGGTTTGAGACTCTGAGTATAACCCAATATGTAAACCAATATGCCATATTTCTAATCAATTAATTGCAAAATCTGCCCTCTAGAACTTTTTCATTGTTTTAAGGAGGTATTATTTGCATACAATGAAATGCTCAAATCTTAAATGTGCATTCCCCCAGTGTTGATGAAGATAAACTGTTGTATAACTCACACTCCTATCTATATATATAACATTTCCATTGCTCAAGCACATTTCCTCCTTGTTTGTTCCAGTCAATCCCCGCTTGTTACAGTCAGCATAACACTGCCCTAACAAAATATTACAAATTGAATGACTTATAAACAACATTTATTTCTCACAGCTTTGGAGGGTGGAAAGTCCAAGATCAAGGCACTAGCACATTCAATGTCTGGTGAGGGCCTGTTTTCTGATTTATAGATAGTGCCTTCTTGCTGTTTTTTTCACTTGGTGGAAGGAGCAAGAGAGATTTCTGGAAACTTTTAATTGGGATTAAGGGCAGTAAATCCCAATTATGAGGGCTCTGTCCTGCTGACCTAATCACCTCCCAAAGTCCCCACCTCCTAATGTCATCACACTGGTAAGTAGATTCAACATATGAATTTGAGAGAGACACAAACATTCAGACCACAGAACCACTGCTTTATTTCATCACAGGTGAGTTTTACCTATTCTGGCCCTTCATATAAATGAAATCATATAGCATATACTCTTTTGTGGAAAACTTCTTTAGCTCAGCATTTTGAGAATAATTTATATTATTTATGTATATCAGTAATTTGTATATATTTATTGCCAAGTAATATTCTATTATATGAATAAACCAAAGTTTGTTTATCTACTGTTTTATTGATGGACATTGGAGTGACTGGCTATTATGAATAAGGATGCTTTAAACATTCTTGTACAAATCTTTTTGTTGACACATGTCTTCACTTCTTTTTAGTAAAACCTAAAAGCATAAATGGTGAGTCGTAGGACAGGTGTATGTTTACATGAGAAATTGCCAGACTAATTCCTAGGTCGTTTTGTCATTTTATACTCTCATTATCAGTGTATGGTGATTCCACTTGTTTCACATCCTCAACAACACTTAGTATTGTCAGTCTTTTAGTTGTAGCCATTCTAGTGACTCTGTAGTAATAACTCATTGGTTTTAATTCACATTTCTCTAATGATTTATTATGTAGACCTAGACATCAAAGAAAACACAGGCATATATCTTAGTGACTTAAGAATAACAAAAAATTCCTTTTACAAGACACAGAAAGCACTCACTATTAAAGGAAAAGCATAAAGATATAGTAGACTTCACAGAAATTAAAATCGTAAGAAAATAGGTTTAAAAGCCACATGTATGTACATATAATATATACATGCAAAGGACTTGTACCTAGACTATGTAACAATTTCTATAATGCAATTTTTTTAATCCAGTGGAAAATTATGGGCAAGAGATTTGAACAGGCACTTCACAAAGGAATATATATATACGCACACACAAAATGACCAAAAAGCACATGAGAAAATGCCTCATAGCATTTCATCATTACCTTTTATAGAAGCCATCACTTTTTATTTTTGTACCACAGTTTGTGAAAGTATAACTCCCAACCCAAACTGTATAAACCTGAAAGTACAATGAATATTTAAGGCACCTTTGTCCTACCTCCAAGGTATATGTACATGTGGAGGAGTGAGAGACTCACAAATATTTTTAAATCATTGAGCAAATGAATTAACATTGTATATCTTAAGACATTTTAGCAGACATTAATATTGCAAACAAATGAAGCAGTAATAAGGCAGTGCCTAGAGAAGAAAAAGAAAACAGATAACAAGAGAAATAAGCCTAAGAAGTGAGGGGGCGGGGGGAAGTATTTCTCACAGACAAATGAAGTGAATTTAAAACGCTAGTGTAAAATAAAAGAGGAAATAGGGTTAGTAGAATAAAACAACAAAGATAATGTGAAGCAAACTTTCCCAAAATAAGACACCTACTCTTTTGCATGGGCAACCCATCTCTGTGTGGGTAATTTTGCATTAACAAAAGCCCAGGGGAAGCTATCAGACCAAAACAGGAAGCCGTGCATGTGTGCTCAGGTGGAAGTTGCCAAGACATGCCCCTTGTGTACTCTGATGTGCATTCTGCTTGCCAGAAAACTCAGATTCCTTGTCAGAAGTTAGACCCAGAAAATGCAGATAGCATCATTATTGCATCCACAGTAGTGTTTTCAGATTCTGGTGACATCATCTAGGAATTCTCAGCCATGATAATTTTAACTCCTATGGGGCATTCTCTTTCTGAGATAAAATTTGTCCACTGAGCCATTTGTGAATGACTTATATGAAACCCATTCATCCCCATGATTCAAAGACTACTGTTCAGTATTTATAGTAACTCTATAAGGAATTTTCTAGAACTATAGGCTTACTCGAACCATCTTTATAATTATTTCAAAATAATAAGGCACATTGTTTCAGATGATGACCTCAAGACTCAGTTATTTTCAGGCTAAATCTCTGAATATATTTCAATGATCTTATTTCTATCTCAAATTTCAAACTAATTTGTATAAATCATTTAATTTCCATGTGAAAGACTTTTTTCTCTCCTGATCAGATACTAAAATATCAGAACTTTGAAACGTGGAAATTCTGACCAATAAATGCAATTTTCATGATTTTTCTTTTTGGGATTCTCAGGAGGAAAAAAAACCTCACCTATTGAATAAGTTACATTTCATGACTAGGGCAGTAAATTAGTGGATTCGAGGTAAACTCTGGGTGAGGTGTATATGGGTTCTGGGAATAGAACCAAAAACAGAAGTTTAAAAAAAGAGAGAAGCTTGAAAAAATTTAGAGAACCCTAAAAAATGAAATTCCAGAGGGATATCTTATACTTAACTGTAAAATATGTGTGCTTGTGTGTGTGTGTGTGTGTGTTTGTGAGGGTGGGTTGGGGGTGTATGGGAGTCAGAAAATGAAAAACTTAAGTGAAAGTTATAGTTTTGTTGGGAAAACCTTCAAGGCTGAGTTTTTCTGTCATGAAATCAACACATAAAGCTATTTTATAAACAAAGGAGATGGAGACAGTTAACTTATAAATAGATCTAATTCACACACTCATTCATTCATAATTTAAATCCTGCAACAGGAAATAGAGCATATTCTAAACTTAATCTCATCCCCTTCTTCAATGCATTATGAAGCTCAAGACATAGTTTTGAAACAAATTAAAGATACTATCTTTATGTAAAGGATAAAATTTGTTATCCTAAGATATAGTAAGTGGGTTTAGCCAATGTGAATCTTGTGTCTTAGGCTCACCCAAAAGTCCTATAAATGAATCCAACCTAACCTTAGAATGCCCATAACTACATGCACACTGAATTTCTGTCTGACCACCTGGACTTCAGCCCAAACTGTCATGCTCTCCTTAGCTTCCAGGTTCCACATCTCAGCTCCTGACATTGCTTTAAGTTCTTCTGAGTTTGGTGCCCTTGTCTCAGCCCTTCATTCCCACCATGCTCTCAAGACTTCAGTATTCAGTCTCTCACACCAGATCTCCAGGTGAGAGTCACCCACATAGCAACTTGACCCAGGTTGGTGAAACCAATCAAACATTTGCTTACTCCCATCAAGATTCCTACAGGGAAAGGGTTACATTCAGTAATTCTATTTGCCATCTTTGTTGCAAGCATTCTCTTCTTTTTCTAGAAAATGTCTCCTAGAAACTAAATCAAATGCAGGAGATGGCTTGGCAGTTACCAAGAGAAGTCATTGAAATAACTCCTGCAAAGTCATAAACTGTTGAGGAAGCAGAAACTAAGGACTGGCCATTTGCTTTTTTTAAACACCAAGCTGAACAAATTTTCTAGCTGTTTCTAAGAACTAGAAATTGTAATTCATTCCATTATACCTTGATAAAGTTGGGAAATATGAAATAGTTGACACCAACTTAAAGGAATTAACATGTCTGGGAATGTTTGAAATGACATTTTGGATTTCGGAGTGAATATGCAGACACATAAATGAGCTGAGTAAAACATCAGGGTGTTATTATACTAAAGATTCATAAAACAATAGCAAACTGTACAAAAATATTGCTTTCCTTGCACACTCTGCTCAAAGAGAATTTCCCATTTTACTTTTAACATTTGGATCCAACTGTTTTTACAGCCATCTCTTTGGTGTTAAAACGGAGGATAAACATATTTATCTCTAAGCAAAACATACCCAGAAAGTAAGAACTCCTTTAAAAAATGACTATGCCTGAGATGCCACCTCAGAAGTATTATTCTCTAATTGAAGACAACCATCTAAAATACACATACAACATACACACAGATGTTGTGTGTATGCCAGATCTGAAGCCAGAGACCTAGATAAACATAAGGCAAGGAGAAGCCACCAAAACCAAATGGCAGAGTACTCTTCAACCTGGGGGATGGACATACTACCTCAAACCATTCTTGAAGCCTCCCTTATTTCTCATGTTTTCTCAATGAATAGCTAAAAGGAGAAAAAAGTGCTGTGGCCAGGATTGGGAGAAAACAAAATTAAATGGTTCAAAATTCTAGAATGACATCAAGGTAAAGGCAAATTGATTACAGTTATCATTTTCTTTGTCTTTTCCAATTTATAGTAAACGGACTCTGAGAATACATGCTTGGGGCTCTTCTGCTCTCCTTGACTGCCCTCTCTCAGGGTAATGATGGCTTAGATTTTCCAATAAAAAATCTGATATAGAATATATATACATCCTAAAAAAGATGTATGTACATCATTTTTCAGATGTTTAATATTTTTTAAATGCTCAAAGAGGGTCTCATATTTAAAGGTCTCCCCAAAATTATATATGTCTAAGTTCTAATTTTGGCATTTGGGACTATAATGTGCATCATATAAGAATAGTATTCCATTTCAGAATTAGTGAATGGGTTTGCTACACCAGAACATCAGACTTCAGCATGTTATTTTTGTATTTTGTTTTACATCACAATTCAGATCATTTTTGTGACTACCTATCCCTTTCTAATTTGAATTTTGCTGATGGTTTAAAGCTTTTTTCTTTCTATCCATTCTTTTTTCTTTCTATCCATTCTAAGTTAGCATCTTACATTTTCCCCGCAGGGTTTTATTCGTGCATAATTCTTTGGCACCCCAGGCAGCAGGCTCTGAAACAGTTCTTGAGCTTTCTGTGGCCCCCAAACCATTCCAAGGAAAATGGGCAACTTGGGAGCATCCTGAAGGATTTGGTGCCTGGGGTAACATGTACTGTTTGTTTAGTGAATTAGCACCTCAGAAAAAGATCGTAAAAGAAGGTGTTCCTAATGGCATGGAGTGCAAAAATAGGAGGCTGATGCAATCTGTTTCAGCACTATTTGGTGCTCCGTCAGCACTATCCAAATTTTAGTCTCTGGTTTAAAATTGATAACCTAGAAGATGTTTTTAGCCATGTTTACAGTATTTGAAGATACTATTTAGAAGATGTCAGCTGGAATCTGTGATCTTGGAGGCGCTTTGTATGAGAATGTGGTTTATTTGGTCACGGAGAATTCAACTGCCTATCTTGTTCTCTTGTGCCTCTTTGCTGGAATGTGGTGCAAATTTTCCAGGGATCTCAGTTCCGATGTAGATTTTTAAAAAAAAATTCTGTACTGTAGCAATAAATTTATAATAACTATCTTAAGATCTAAATATATAAAACAAGTGAAAAGGATACCTGCATTATTAGGGTAGTAACAATGATAGCTACCGTTTATGCTGTGCTAACTAGGGCACAGTTATAAGACTAAGCTATTCGCATACATCTAATCTTTATAATAATGCTACAACTTAGGTACTATTATCTATATTTTTACAGATAAAGAAACTAAGCCTTTACATTGCTAAAAAAGTGTTGCCTTAACTCCAAAGTCTAAGTTTTTGACCTTTACACTACACTGCCTCTTTCTCTAATGCATTTAAGTATACTTTGAAAATGTATAACAATCTCTACAAATGTCAGGTGGTACTCTTACCATGGCTACTAGAAAAGAGTCTTAATCTTGCACTATTCTTATTGCTACCATCTAAAGGAAGTGATACCCTAAAGTGGTAAGAATGGTACAGCTATCCTTGTGAGCCATTTAAGTGAGTGTAGTTATACCTTGGGAATTGGGTGCAGTAATACTTCAAAACCAGTGTTTTACACTTTTAAGAACTCAAGATATAGGCCAATGTCACAAGAAGCTGTTGCTATTTATTTCTGAGTGAGAGAAGGAAGAGTCTTGATAAAAAACAAAAAATAAAAAAGCAAACAAAACAACTACTTCAAGGCTGATGAAGGCCTACCTTGGATGCCTGCATTTTTCTGAGGCAGTTACAAAGAAAATGTTTGCATTAGGAGAGCACTTCAAAATCAGTTCATTTATCCGCTCCCTGGAAGATACCCATATGTTAAGTTCCCTAAGGAAAAGATCTTGTTGCTGACACCACAAGTTAAAGACGTTTATTTCCATTATTCATCACTATTATTCTGAAGAGAGATATCAATTGAAAGTCAAAGGTCAATACTCCTGAAGCAGAGAACTCAAACAATATGTTTAGTACTTCAGCAACGCTTCCTCAATTTTTGTGGATATGATGCCTCATAGTTTAAGGATTATTGTTGTCTTACATGTTTCTGTGAAAACTATATTATTTATCAGTCTTCCCTGAAGTAAAAGTAGGCATCACTATCGAGACGTGAGACTGTTTTTGCCAACAAGTCGATGACAGGGGAAGCAATAAGCAATTGCAGGTTATCAATAATTGCTTTGTTAAGCAAACAGATTTTAGCAATTTCTCTCCAGTAAAATATTGCTTTCATGACATCAACCTTTTAACTGAAAAGAGGAATTAATCTGTTGTTGAGACAACCAAAGTGATCTTAATTACAGCTATGGGTTTGGTCTCATCCACAGATTAGAATAACTGTTTTATTGATCTCAATGAATTCTTGAATTTTCAAGAATTATCTTTCTCTGTCTTTCTTTCTTGTGCTCTCTTTCTCTCAAAATTGTGCAAGAATCCTCAGGCCTGAGCTAATGTAATAAACTTCTACTGAGGAATTCAAATTATGTACCACTCTACCATTATCAGTCAACACTGCTTTGGAACGGGCACAACAACAAACAGCCTCTGTCAGTTGAGAGGGGATGTCACTACATATTGCTTGATAAGGTATGATACCTGTGATCACACACCTTCAGGAGGGAGCAGATGGGGTGTGTTAGGGTGAGAAACATGAATAACCAAACTTGGTGACCATGCAAGCCAGGAGTAACCCAAGAATTGTAATTGGAATATGGAAAAGGGCTACAATGCATAACTAGTTTCTGCCCATTTCTATTTTTAAAATTCTTATTTTAAAAACAATGAAAAAACTGTACCCAGTATCCCCTTTCAGCATTTTTATTTTTCTCTGCCCCAAGGAAATCTAATTTATTGTACACAATTCTTGTTTTGCGTTATCACCAATTTGTCCCATTTTGTTTTAAATTGCACCATGTTTTATTCTGGAGGGGAAATCTTGAAAATTTCAGCCTCTCATAACAACAATATGGTAGAGAATGTTTAACTTTTATCAGCCCATATCTAAAGATACAAGTACAAAAATCACAGGGTTCTATGTAAATTGTTATTCCTGATTTAATGAGAGACAATGGCTTTGACCAATTAATACATACTTTTCAACCTTTAAAACAATGTGGAAAAGTCCTTAAAAGATTTCTGACAAAAGTAGCTAAAACAATGTGCATGTGTGCACACACAAAGGTAAAAGCCAGAATGAGAGGTGAAAATTAAACACGCAGAGTCTCGAAAGTCTAAGTACTGTGTTCAGTTTGAATCTTAAAGAAGGGTTTGAGTGGTCATATTCTATCTAAAATGGTTTGCTCATAAATAATGAATGACAGAAAGGCAGCTTCCATAACTAGCCCCTTTCCACCCAAAAAGAAATTTATGATTCCTTCAAAATTTTAAATCATTTCAGACTGTGTAAAAAGAATACCTTTAGGTATTACTCTTGACCAAAGTTTTACTCAGGCAACTTGCTAGCATTATATTCCATATAAGGCAGGGTTACTCAACCTCAGCACAATTTGGACCAGATAACTGATTGTAACAGGGAGCTGTTCTATAAATTGTAGGATGTGTAGCACTATTCCTGGTCTCTAGCCACTAGACGCCAGTAGTAACTCCCAAGTCTCGCTGAGAATCAAAAATGCCTCCAGTCATTGCCAAATGTCCCTTGAGGAAGACAGGGACAAAACTGCACTCAACTGAGAACCACTCATATACAAAATTACTAGTAGTGTCTGTGTATTTTGGGAGGGAAGATGAGGGAGGCAGAAGGTGGAATTTCTTACTAAAGAAACCTAACTAAAAGATAATTTCTCGTTTAAGATGCAACTGTACATTGAAAGACATGGCCACAGCATTTGGCATCTCCTCTCATAAGATGTGAAATGTATTTCCCCCTCTCCTCAAATTTGGCCTTGCCTTGTGAAGAACTTTGACAAAAAGAATGTGCAGAAGTAACATTGTGTGACACCTGAAGCTAGGCCTTAAAAGGTCTCCAAGCTTCCAGTTTGTTGTATTGGGGTGCTGTCCTGAGACCAGTATAAAAGGAAGCCAGTCTAGCCTCCTAGAAGATGAGAGAGCACACAAAAGCAAAACAAGATGCCCCTGTGAACAGCAAGCACCAACTGCCAGACATATGAATGAGGCCATCTTGGACTTTGCAGATTAGCCTATCCTCCAGCCAACTCACCCTCATGAGTGAACCTGGATGAAACCAGCAGAGGAAGCACTCAGCCAACCCACAGAATCAGGATAAATAAGGAGTTGTTGTTGTTTTAAGCCTCTAAGTTTTAGGGTGGTTTGCTATACAGCAAGGACAAATGATTCCTTAGCTTGGGCTCAAAGTATGCGGCTATCAAAAGACTTATATGTGCTATGTAATGTGGTGGATCAGATCCAGAGAGCTGAATGACTTATGGCTCAAGTCATGAAGACACAGGTCCTAATGTCTTCAGAGATTTCATACAACTTCTCAATAGCATATTTGTCAATAAGGAAAAAATACATTTATCAAATAGGATATCAATAATGTAGGAAGTGTATAAAAGAAGGAGGGGGAGGCTATAGTTTTCTGCCTGTTTTAAAGCAGTTTAAAACAAAATCTTGGCTATAACTGAAAAAGAAATAAAACATGCTGCTCTAGAAAAATATAGAAGTATATGCATTAAACTCATAAAGACTCTAAAGGTTTCCTATTGATAATTTATCAAATTGGCTATGCTGGAAGAATTTTCCCAAAGTTTCCTTTCACTTACAGTTCCAGATTACAGTTGATCAAAATCGAAATTCACATGAGGTTTTTGAGTTGGAGGTAGGCCAGGTGCGGTGGCTCATACCTGTAATCCCAGCACTTTGGGAGGCCGAGAAGGGTGGATCACCTGAGGTCAGGAGTTCGAGACCAGCCTGGCCAACATGGTGAAACCCAGTCTCTACTTAAAAAAAAAAAAAGTTAGCCAGGTATGGTGGCACATGCCTGTAATCCCAGCTACTCAGGAAGCTGAGGCAGGAGAGTCACTTGAACCCGCGAGGCAGAGGTTGCAGTGAGCCAAGATCACGCCACTGCACTCCAGCCAGGAAAACTCCATCTCAAAAAAAAAAAAAAAGTTGGAGATAAAGCTGTAGTCATTATACTCTGAAGTTTGTCATGGCTAGATGCAGTGAAAGATAGATGCAGAGATGCCTATAGATTCCAGCTTGTCCTTACTTCACTTCTCTTCCATGTCCAGTTCTGCTTCTCATCTGTGGCACTGCTGATCAAATGCTACCCCAGACACACCACCTGACACAGAGGCAACAGCTTTCCATATACTTCTCTACTCTCACCCCTTCACAGTACAACTTCAGCATCTGGACATGCTTTGCTTCCCAGATTTTCCTGTAAGCTACTGGTTCTCTCATACCAGTGTGTCAAAAGGACCACTGAATGGTCCTTTTATTTGAATCTTTACCTCCTCCTTTTGGACATTTCTTCAACTTTACCCTCACATTTGTATAAGGTCTTTCTATTATGGATTCTGTATATCATAATAGTTTTGTTCCCCAATTGAACTCTGACAGAGTAACACAACTGTTCAGAAATGAGATGCTAAGGATGAGATTTTGCTCTGGCATTCTATGTGTTCACAGTTTTATTTTGAGGATCCCGTATTAGTTTGCTTTTCTAGCATGAGTGATGCTGGAAAATGTCCTTACATTATAAGGGACACACAGCTCACTCATTCTTCACCTGGCATGGAGAAACAGAAGGTAAGAAAAAACATTAAAATCATTCCTGCCCTTCACTTGCTCCAGTTATACATCCAAGAGGACTCAGAAGGTATTTTTACAGAATAGCATAGGGGATTATGATACTATCTGAAAAGATAAAGATCTCCTATGCAAAAATTGTATTGAGGAATAGTAATTGTGGACATATTTTAAAACCAGAAATACAGAAAACTAACACTAGACATTTTAGTGAGACAAGAAAATGTTTATGGCATTTGAAGGAAAATGTATGTCAGAAATAATTTAAATAGGTTTCAGTGCCCATCATAAATACGAAAATACTG
This sequence comes from Homo sapiens, assembly GCF_000001405.40. NCBI lineage: Eukaryota > Metazoa > Chordata > Mammalia > Primates > Hominidae > Homo > Homo sapiens. Next base: position 18,490,898 of record NC_000003.12, on the reverse strand, counting down.
AAAGAAGAGTCTGTAGGCAAATGTAACCTTGAGAGGTATAAATTAGTAAAGAAAAAATTTTCTGTAAGACAAAATCAAATGTGTCAGGAAGAAATAAATGCTAGGCAGTCCATGCTTCATACAATTGAGCTTTGGACTTCTGAAAGTATTAGATGCACAAAAAAGTTATGTTTGTGGTGTTTTCCATAGTGGCTAGAAGGAGTTTTGAAATTATAAAAAAGGCTACAAGACTATAATTCTGAAATGTATATATAAATATTTTTAAGTTTGATGGATCGTGTCAAACATATGCTATTGGTTTTCACTTATTTGGGGCCCTAAATACTTAACCCAGGGCCAAAGCAGTTGCAAAATGTATACCAGTGGTTCTCTAACTAGAGTGACAAGAAATCACCTGGGGACTTGCTAAAAATAAAACATATGTACTTATAGCCAGAGATTCTGATTCAATAGATCTTGAGCAGAACCAGGGAATTTGTACCTTCTCAAAATGTTCTAGGTTATTCTGACCTAGACAGTCCAAGGTCACACCCAGTTATCCGGGCCCAACAGAATTGAATTCCACTTATGTATGAAAATACATAAATGTCATTTAAAAGTTTTAAAATAAAACATAATGTCCACCATGCCACTTTGCTGAAGACGAAGAAAAGAAAACTCAACCATACCATTTGCTTTTGCCCCAAGGAAAATGCATGTAAGTTTATTATTTGTGCGTGTGTGAGTGTGTGCATCAACATCCTGTACTGATGACCTTGATGTGGTTGCAGCTGTGCCTCAGGTGTGAAAGCGTGAGGGTCTCAAGTTTGCTAGCAGGCCCAGGAAGGTGGCTCCAGACAAAAGCAAAATCTTCTTTCATTGTGTATTGCTCATTCCAAAAAATGCAACAAATCGATCATATGAATTTCCTGATGCAATGAAAATCTATATTTTCTTTCTAATAGAGTATATTTAGGAAAATCAAGGAAAACTTTGGGTCACTATAAAGTGTTTACTTTCAGCAGAAGAGGTAATGTTCAAACATTCAGTTTTCAAAAACAGCAGAGGAACGAATATTTTGTGTTTAAGGATTTCTCAATAATTCAGATGTGAAATGGGATATCAATTTTCCAAACTTGGCATCTCAATTTTGCTTATTTTCCTCTGAGTGAAAATGGCATATCTGAAATGTCATTGCATTTAACAACGACAAGTGTTTCAAATGTTCTCTCTTGCATCCCTGCTTTGTAGACTGTGTTTTCCCTGACTGAAAGGTCTTCCCTATACCTTCTTCACCTAACTAAATCCTGCTTTCCCTAGACACTCAGCTCAGAATCCATCTCCTCCAGGGGCCTTTGTCTGAAATGCCCCTCTCCCAACTGCTTCACCCCCTGAATTAGACATTTCTTTTTACATGGCCTCATAGTGGCTATAGCTTCCCTCAGTGCACTATGATACTGACTTCTGTAGCCCCTTTGACTTTGCCAATAACCTGGGAATTCACTGAGGTCAAAAGCCTTCCCCTATTTGTTTCTGTGCATTTCTGGGGCTGAGCAAATAGTACGAGTTTTTTTTAAATCTGCATAATAAGTGGAGGCTAAAAATTGAACATTATTTGCCATACATTAAATCCTAATAAAGCATAACATTAGTGTTTCAGCATTAGTGTCATATGTGTACATTTTAAAAAACAGGTCATTAGTTGTAAGATATGTAACAACATCAAGAAAAGCAAACATTATATCACACAACCACAGCAGCAAACACATACCTTATCGCATAACTAAGAAAGTAGCATCATATGTTATGTTTAACTGCTGCAAAGTTAGCATAATTAGTAGGTGTTTTCCTCATCACACTGAAAAATACACACACATACACACACACTCAAAAGCAATAAAGTTTTCTGACCCTTTTTGTTTGCTCCACATATACCACCAAGCTCTGCAAATACTGATCTTGCTATTTTCTTTGGTCTTATAATAGGAATAATCCAGAACTATTCTTTGAGTTATCCTCACCAAATTATCCTAACCAAAAATAAGAACACAAAAAAGTGCTTAATTTTCAAAGAAAAGGCATAAGATATTTTCTTTCATTGATTTAATCATTTAAAATACAACTCTACCACTTAATTAGCATTGCTTACTTGAGTACAATTTTACATTTGTTTTTACTGTCCAAAACTTTTTTTAAGTACAGATTGCTTATTTGTTTTGTATTCTTTTCTCTAACTGCAAGTTGAGCTGTGCAATGCCAAGGAAACTGTGATTAAGAAAATTAGTTTTGCTTTTAATCAATTAAATTAAAAAGTTGGCACATGAAACTCATAGTTCCTTAAAAGAATGACTAAATAAAAAAGAGGTAGTTTAATATTTAGCACAGTGAGACAATCGTCAGAAGGTAATAAAAACAGACATTTTTAAATAGATAAAAGTGACAAATCTATATAATGTATAGGGTTTACTCCAATAATCTCCAAAATTAATATCTTATGAAAGAGTGAGTGCAAATCACTGCACTTTATTCAGTGCAATCAGATTGAACCTACTGTCTCCCTATAACATTGCACAGGCATTTATATCCTCAGCAAACAATTATTGTTCAGGTAGGAAAATGAACACATATGGAAGGGCAAAACATGAATATTTCAAATGGAAAACTATTTATTGAACTCAAAAAGAATAAATACCTCAAATAGTTTTGCCCTACATTCACTCAAAAATCCCTATATCACTTTGTATCATCTTAGAAATCAAAAAGCTTTATGATTTCAAATACAGTGCAGGTTGAGATGTGAGTGAAGATGCATTTATCTTTTTAGAAGTATGATACCTGGTTTGTTTATATACATACATACATACATATATATATATATATATATATATATATATATATATATATATAATTTCTTTTTAAAAGAGGGGCACCTACATTTTGGATTCTGAGATAGGCATGAACAAATATATTGATATAAATTATTCCAAAAGAAGTAGACATTGATGTAAAATAACTTCAGTATATTTTAGGGAACAATGCTGGGGTAATGTGAATTTGGAATTTTGACTAATCAAAATAATTCAGCAATTTAAGTAAAAGATAAATGCAAATTTCCCTATGAAAACAAATTTCTTTTTTTAAGAGTGCTTAAGGCAGCACTTCATAATGCTTTTCTACTGTTTCACCTCCTTCATGTCTTCACAGAAATGTTTCTTGCTCAACGAGTCCCACCTTGAAGACCCTATTTAAAATTTAAAATTAAAATATCTCACCCACATTTCTGATCCCCTTTACCTTGGTTTCTTTTTCTTTTTCTGCTTTACTTTTTTCATTATACTTTTTACTAAGTATTTAACTTTTATAATATGTTTATTGCTCAGTCTTTCTCCCCACACAAGAAAATAAGTTCCTCAAGAAAGGGATGTTCCACTCGATTTGTTCAGTGGTGTATCCAAGTATCTAGAGTAGCGGCTGGTGCTTGAGGGACACACAGTAAATTAGGTGACTTTCAGTGAATTTTTATACTGTTTCATAAAATCAAAAATATATGGGTTTTAGTAAAAGCCACTTTATCAATATATAGAAATTGTATTTGGGTATTATTTGACATCAATTCATGGTACAAATTTCAAGCAATTTTTAAATTTTACATAATCAAAATATTTTCATATATACGTTTGTTAATATAATAAATATGCCTGAAACTTCGGTACATTAGACTATAAAACTATTTTATTTGCCAATGTATAGACTTAAAGATATGCCTCTATGGGGAAATGACTCTTTCAAGAGTAGCTTCACAAAACACAGAATTCTGAAAAAACTGAAGACACGGCTTCACTTTATACCCAAAATTTTGAACCTGAAACTCTGCCTTAAATCTGACATAAGAAAACTTTTGAAAGAAAACAATCGAAAGGCATTTTCATAATACATTGTTTTATACCCATTTCCTTGATGATCTAATCCATCTCCATTACTGATCTACTGCCTCTGTATTACTTACTTATCCATTAAATTTCAACACCTGCTCCACATCTGTCTTGCTGGAATAACCTCAATGCTTTGTTATACATAGGACTATGCGTAAAACAAGTACTTTTTAAAAAAAACTTTTATTACTACACTTCTATTAAATTTTCCCAACGCCCACTTTTCTAGTCAGAGAAATGTGACCTTATTGTAAATTCTACTAGTAAGAGAGTTATCCTTGACCTAAGAATGCCTCTGCTCTTCCAGGGAGCATTGTAATCTTCAACCATGCAATGACATTTGGAAAGAAAATTTAGTATCTGCCTTGGAGTTTAGGGATGAATTGCCTCATCCTCTCAATATCACATCTGGCTACTTGGGCTCACAATTTAGAATTACATGTGATTCCCCACTATCAATACTCAAGTACCCACACAATTCTAATACAATTTCATTTTGAAGCAGCCCATGATCTACCCTTTATGCATAAAATACATGATGTAAAATTTGCACAACATATAACAGTACTAAAATTATAAAACTTTACTGACACTACTCCTCCTGACTATAGTGTGGATAAGGAAAAAGTAACAAGCAAAATAAATTACAAAAAGGTGACCATTGTGGTTGTTGGTTAATGATGTAGCTCTTTACATGAGTTGTAATGCCAGTTTCTAATAAAAGCGCATTTAGGGAAGGTATTGGGTCAAGTATTTTATGCTCCTTTTCCAGTCTCCAGTGCCATTGCAAAAGGTTAGATGACAATGATCCTTCTAGACTACAGGAATTACCTCCTAAAAGATTTTCCCTTTCCAGTCCTGCCTTCTTTCTTTTCATCCTTCATGGTATTTTTTTTAAAAAAAAATTTCCTAAAAACTTTTCATCATGGCCAGACAGGGTAGCTCACACCCTTAATCCCAGTACTCTGGGAGGCCAAGATGGGAGGATTACTTGAGGCCAGGAGTTTGAGATCAGCCTGAGAAACATAGCAAGACCCCATATCTACAAAAATAAAATGAAAAATAATAAACCAGTGGGGTGTGGTGGGATGCACTTGTAGTCTCAGCTACTTGGGAGGCTGAGTCAGAAGGATTGCTTGACGCCTGGAATTCAAGACCAGCCCGGTTAACATAGCAAGATGCCATCTCTATCTAAAACAGATAAACACAAAATTTAACCCCTTTTCAGCTACCTACTGTGTACATAATAAAATCCAAACACCTTAAGAAAGTATACAGAATGAGAGACCCCAATTTGCTGTTCAGATCACCTCTCTCTCCACTTTCTCTCACCTTTTTCTGTGTGCCTCAGAAGAAAATGCTTTAGTGTTTGCAATGTTCATGATGTTCTATTTGATTGAGGTCTCTACGCCTGCATTGTTTATCCAGTGATTAACATGGAACCTGACACATACTAGATAGCAATCAGCAGATTCCAGATTCAAGATGGTTGGTTAAAACATTTAACCAGTACTGTCCCTTCCAAATCACAGGAAAAAAAAATGAAGGTAAAAATATGTTCACAGCAACACTTAGGAATCTGTGACCCAATATATACTCAAGAGAACGCTCTTGTAAATTTTGCTGATTTTCAGTTTTTAAGAAAAATCTGTTTGTTTTTTTTTTTGCATGAACACAATAATGAACAGATTAGCAACCTCAAAGATCAAGCAAACCATTCTGTCAGAATGCATTGAGAAGGGTAAAGGTGTAGAAAGTGTGAAGAAACAGAAAAAATAAAGTATAGATTTAAAAGTTTCAATTTCTATTTAACAGAGATTCAATAAAGACAGAATTAATAAGGAATAAGTTTGGAATAATGAAAGAATAATAATAAAAAATTCCCTGAGCTGGAAAAAACAGATGCAAACCTTTAATCTGACAGGAACATCAACTCCCAAGCAGAAATGTTCATAACCTGGTGAAAATGTAGAACTTCAAAAATAAAGAAAAAATCACAAAACCTTCACAAAATTATGAAAAGAGTTATTTTCAGCTTCAAAAGCATGAAATTAGAATGAGAATACAAAAGTATCAACTGCAATCTGGATCCTAGAAGACAATGAAAAAATGTCTTCTTGGGTTCTGAGATTACATTATTTTGAACCAAGAATTCTATGTCCAGCAAAATTATCAATCATGTGTAAGAGTAAAGGAAAACACTCATGGGCATAAAAAGACTCTGACAGCTTAAAATCCACAAACTTTTTATGCAAGAATTACTCAATTCAGTACTCAAATGAAGCAATATATATACATATATATATATATATATATACATATACGTACACATGCAATAAAGAAAAAAGCATAAGATTAAAAAAGTAGAAAAAAGAAAGCCATTAAAATCTTTATTCAATTTAAATTATCATTATTAAGTAAGACATTTAAGGCAATTGTATAATTCTTATTCTCTAGAAATAATTTTTTAACATAGCAAATATATACCCATAAAAAAGGAGAATATTATATTACATACTCCTTTATACCAATACACTAGTAAATCTAGAAATCAAGACTCCAGAATCCTGGATTCTAGGTTTCAATGGGTCCATAATCTTAGATGTTAAAATAAATTATGTCTTTATTTCCACTCATCTCTAACTCAAGTGTAGCGTGGCCTTCAATTATGAATTTAGGTAACAAACACAGAGGTATTAGCAATATTTGCGAACTTCATCAATAAAAGTCACAGAAATGTTGACAGAGGCTCCTCGACTTATGTTGGGGTTACATCCTGATAAACCCATCATAAGTTAAAAATATCTTAAAGTCGAAAATGCACTTAATAAACCCAAGCGATTGAACATCATAGCTTAGTCTAAACTGTCTTAAATGTGCTCTGAACACTTACATTAGCCTACGGTTGATCAAAATCCTCTAATATAAGGCTTATTTTATAACAAAATGTTGAATATATCATGGAGTTTATTGAATACTGTAATGAAAGTGAAAAACGGAATGATTTTATGGGTACTCTAAGTACAGTTTCTACTGAATGTATATTGTTTTCACACCATTGTAAAGTCAAAAAATCTTAAGTTGAGCCATCATAAATCGGGGACCATCTGTATGTCATTTTTCAGTTGGTACATCTATGTGAAACTATCATTCATGGCAGTCATTAGATCAGCCTATAGACTGCACATAATCTCCAAGTTTCTGTCTACAGATGCCCCTGCAAATGAGCTGACCACCCACCAGGCAAATGTGCCTACTTATCTATGTTCTCATATTGGTGACCCAGCCCCTATTTTTCCCTCTAAAATTTTTATCTACCTATATTCATCAATACATGAAAGGGGGTGAGTTTTTTGCATTACTTATTAAAGCTTTGCAGAAGAGGACAGTTGAAATGAGAATTTTTAACTCTCCATAAGGCATTACGGTATGTTATAATATAGATAACTGTTGAGCTGAAAGTATTAGCCTTGGAAGTTCAAACAAATCACATGATTGAGATAACTGCTGAAGTATTATTTAAAGTAACTTCTTATTATTCACAGATTGTGTGGTGACACAGGCCGTACATGTTGCAAGTTGCACGGGTAGTATTTTCTTTTCTTTATTTGACTTCCTCTTCAATTCCCTTTTTGTACACTGTGTTATGAGGTAAAGGAGGCAAGCACACAGAATATATTATTCAAGCAGGGTTTATACAATTTTATTCCATAAAATTACTGAGCATATTAAGATAGCATTGTGAGAAAACCATGTATGTAAACAGAAAACACACACACACACACACATTTTTGTAGGAAGGCACAGAAAGTCATGTGACTCCACTCCCAAGTAGGATTTTTTTAAATGATTCTAAGAAGAGGTCTTTATCAACTTCATCAACTTGATCAACTGCCAAAGAGTTCCACAGGGAAGAAACAAATCCCTAATCTAGATGAAGGACAAAGTAGATGTTTTCTGAAGATAAAAATTACCAAAATGAACTTAGGAAGTAGAAGAAAATTGAGATAGACCAATAATTATAGGAGAAACTAAAGAAAAGGTTAATCAAAGATTGGCATACACACAGGCACACACACACATACACTAATATCACCCTTACCACTACTCAAAGACTTGTACCAAAATGCTGCTACCAAACTTTCAAGGAACAAATTTCTTAGAGCACCGAGTAAAAGGAAAAAGCAAAGAAACAAAAGAAAGTTTCCCAAGTCATTCTACAAGTCAAGCAGAATAAACCCTGATATCAAAACTAAGAAAAGCAGTCTACATAGGAAAACTGTTAAAATAATATTACATAAAAATATGTACAAAATTCCTAAATGAAACAACAGCAAAGCAAATACATTTCTTCCATGTAAAAAGAAGGAAGAGAGAGAAAAGATACACAATTGAGAAGGTTTATAAATTGGTACATGGAAGTCAAGGCTTCAATTTTTTCTATATTATGAGACATCATCAGTCTCTGAGAGGGAAAGTTGGAGGAGATCCAGGGAAATCTGACTTTTGAGGGGAATGGAGACCGTTTGAAATAATAGTGGCAGACAGTGAGAGGGTGACCTCACCAGAGAAACTAGCAGGATTGCCGGGTAGTATTGAGTGTCTTAAAAGGTGGGACATAACTGCCCTATGGCAGGATTTTCTTCAACAGTGCTTGTCTGCTTGGTTACACAGGGAATTGAGAGTTGTGGTTTTGCAGATGGGGCAAAAAAAGAGAGCGTCAAATGAAATAATAACTATATAAGCTGGAAAAGGAGAGAAGTGAAAAGCAGAGAGGAAATGAAGAAAAAGGTCAAATCTATAAATCCTGCTGTTGGAACAGAATGGTGAGAGTAGCTGATAAGTGTGGTAAGTAGTTGATAAGAATAATCAGAGTAGTTGATAAGAAAGGGTATTACACAATCATATTATGGAATACCACATAGAAATTTAAAGAATGAAGTAGATCTACATGCACTAACACGTAAAATTCTCCAAGATAAACTGTTGAATAAAAAACCAAAACAGAAGGTAGCATGTGTATGTGTGTGTGTGTGTGTGTGTGTGCGTGTGTGTGTGTGTCCCCTACCAAATTATGCAATTAAAAGGAAAAGGGCTTACAATTTTTACTTTCCTATAGTTTGAGATTTTTACACCTACTATGCATTTTAATTTTAAGAATATTTTAAGAAGCTATTTTCATGTTGGAAAAATGGTATTCACAATTCCTTTATATACAGATTCTACTGTTAACATTCTATTTGTTTTTATCCAGTATTTTTGATGCAAATTTTTTTTCTTACAAAAGGGAATCACATTGTGCATACTGTTTTTAATCAGCTTTTTTAACCATTTCCATGGCATTAAATATTTCTCTAGTATCATTTTTAATGGCTGAATAGAGCCTGGTTGTTAAATATTTATGCTTTATCCAGTTCTTGTTTCTACCAAAAACACTTACATAAAAATCTTGTAGCTATAATTTTGCAAACATCTACGACTATTTTCTTAGCATGAATCTCCTAAAGTAAAAATGCTGGTTTAAAGGTTTTATGCAAAATTTGGAGGCATTCAACAGATATGGCCAAACTGCCTTCCAGAAAGATTTTAAAAAATTATGCTTTCAACAACAGCATACAACAGTGGCTCTTTCCATGCCATTTTGCCAACACTGAGAGTGTGATTTCTTTAAAATGTTGAAAATCTAGTTTCAGTATCAGGTCGCTAAAACTAGATTTATCTTGAAGATAAGCATTTTTTAAATTATAACTCTATATTAAATTACATTTGCAAACTCAAATACTATACTGATGACCTCAAAGCAGTCAGTTTGATTCTGTGGGATGAAGAAATCAGGGAAATATTTGTGTACCTACTGCAGACGTTTTCCTGAGCTTCTGTTCTTTGCCAAGCAGTTTCACTAAAAGATTGAGGATTAAGTTCTGAAAGTCTCATTCTAGCCTCCAATGAGTATAATTATTAAAATTTAAATATAGCTTTAAAAACTGCGCATTGGACCTTTGTGCCATTGAAGAAGGTCAAGTTCAAGCCCCTTATTTAAAAAGACCTCTCCCTAAGAGATCACAAAAGGAAGCCTATTAACATTACATTTTTCCTTTTTCTTTTCTTCTTGTTCTTTTTAAAACACAGCTAATACAGACTGAAAGCTAAAATTGCAGAAAACAGTCCTGGTTTATACTCGGTTGATGCAGCATCAAACTTGAGTGTGCTCCCCCTGAACGAACTGGACATGATTATTAGTGGAAATCCTTGTTGAATTATCCATCTAAACAAAGCCTAGCTGTTTTGTTTTCTAAACAGAGCTACTAGAAAGGACCCATGAAATATTGCCATCTTAGGCATCTGGGGAAATTCAAAGTTTGGTATGGCTAAAGTTTGGTTATTAAACATTCTGTTATTCCTGTAAAAGACAGTGGTAGGTTTTCAGATACGAATGCTGTTTGAAATGCTTTAGCACTAAACTTCAAGACTATGAAATGGTCTAATTTTTAAAAAAGTATTCTTTTGGAAAGACAAAAAGATATTTGCTTGCTATTGCTGCAGTTATGCTGTATATATGCAAATGAAAAATTAATCTACTGAGAAAAAGATGAAGATGATGGTTGCAAATGGTTTTATTGTGTAAACACAGCCATACTCTTCAAATTAATTATGACAGTGTTAACTTTTATTGTTCATTCTCATGTAAAAATTTCAAAAATACTACAATGCTGAAAAAAGAGTAGCTGAGGAAGATCAAAGAGGATCAAAAACAATTGAAACCTCTGGTGTCTTAGCAGTTATCAAAGAAAATCACAAATCTCCCAAGACATTCAATACTTATTTATTTCACTAAAAACACACAGCTGAAGCCAAGAAAAGAAAAATGATACCACAGTAAAACGCTATTTTTGCTCCGTAGTTTCACCCAGGATCTTTTCAAATGTGTAAAGACCTGCTTATCTTATTTAAAAAATTATTACAGAACCCTACAACTAAACTTTTACTTTTCCTAATTATCTATTTTTTTCATTGTTGAGCTCCAATTGTAAAAGGTCCATGTTAGCCACGTCTATTTCATTTTATTTCCAGCACAATTTTTTTGTAATAGCCCTATCAAAATATTAAGTTGTTATTCTCAGTTGAGTTACCACATAAGCGTGATGCCATGTGATAAAGGAGGTGCTAGACCATATGGAAATTTACTAAAGGGGATGTGCTGAAACCTAGTTACAAATTTCCTGGAAGCCCTCACCCACCTCAAGGATATAAAAGTGTCAGGTTTGAGAGATGAAAGAGGAATTTCTGAGGAGGACCACTTTGAAAAGAACTGCTCTTGAGTCCAGTTCCCAACAGGGAGAGGGGACACTGCTACCTCCTGCACTATGAAGTGAGATTCATTTCTTAAAATCCTGTACTTGACATGACAAAATTGCAGTGTAGAACAAAGACTGGTAAACTTCAACTGGAAATGGCCAGAAAGTGCATATTTTAGCCATTGTGCACCACAGATTTTCTATTGGAGCTACTGAACTCTGTTACAGCGTGGAAGCAGCTATAGACAATACATACGTAAGTGGACATGACTGTGTTTCAATAAACTTTATTGGACACTGAGAGGACACCAAAATTTGAATTTCATATAATTTCTAATATGCCATGAAACATTCTTCTTCTCTTTTTTTTTTCAACCACTTAAAAATGTAAACATCATTCTTAGCTTCTGGACCATACAAAAACAGTCAGTGGACAGGATTTGCTTGGCTTTCATAGTTTCCTAACTCTTGGTGTAGAATAGGGGCGTCCAATCTTTTGGCTTCCCTGGGCCACACTGGAAAAAGAATTGCCTTGGGCCACACATAAAATACACTAACACTACCGACAGCTGATGAGCTTAAAAAAAATCGCTAAAAAAAACTCATAATGTTTTAAGAAACTTTCCAAATTTGTATTGAGCTGCATTTAAAGCTGTCCTGGGCAACATGCAGCCACAGGGCCGTCGGTTGGACAAGCTTGGTGTAGATAGAACACAATTTAGTACTGAGTGGTTCAGATGCAACAATAACAGAAGTGTAAGGAAAAGAGATGCATCATTGAGATCCCTTCATAGAAAAGTCAAAACTTAGATTGGATCTGGAAGATAGTAAAATAATTTGGATGAAAGGAAAAAGGGATGTTTCCAGTCAGCAATAGCATGATGAGTTGAGTGTGGTATTTAATAAATAGTGAGATTATGCTGAGTACAGCAGACAGTCCTTATTATCCACCAGCTATTGGGTATCTGTGTGTGTATATACGCACACTATATTTGTGTGTGTGTGTGTGTGTATATATATATATATACACACACACACGACCCTATATATTACAGAACCCTAAAACTAAACTTTTACTTTTCCTACTAATTATCTATTTTTTTCATTGTTGAGCTCCAATTATAAAAGGTCCATGTTAGCCAAGTCTATTTCATTTTATTTCCAGCACAATTTTTTTGTAATAGTCCTATCGAAATATTAAGTTGTTAGTTTCAGTTGAGTTACCACATAAGAGTGATGCCATGTGATAAAGGATTTGCTAGACCATATGGAAATTTACTAAAGGGGATGTGGTGAAACCTATATATATATATATATATAGGTGTATATATATAGGTATATGTATATATATAGGTATATGTATATATAGGTATATGTATATATATAGGTATATATATGTATATGTGTGTATATAGGTATATATAGGTATATATAGGTGTATATATAGGTGTATATATAGGTATATATAGGTGTGTATATAGGCATATATAGGTGTATATATAGGTGTATATATAGATATATATAGGTATATATAGGTGTATATATAGGTATATATAGGTGTATATATAGGTATATATAGGTATATATAAATAGGTATATATATGTGTATATATATACCTGTATATATAGGTGTATATATATGTATATATATATACACACACAAATATAGTGTGCGTATATACACACACACATACATATATGTGTGTGACCATAAAGTAGATAAAATGTAAATATTGCTTCTCCATCTCTCTTCTATTCTTGTAGAATTGCTTTTAGAAAAATATTGAACCTTCACCTTCTACCCTTCATGAATCAAATTTTCTTCCAAAATTTTCTTCTCTGTACTTCTTTGATCTTTATTCTGGATGATTTCCTCAGATCTGTTTTCTAGTATCTAATTCTTGCTCTTCATTGTGTCTAATCTCGTGTGTAACACTTCCATTGAGGTTTTAATATCAACGGCTTACACGGATTATTTCTAAAATTCCATGTTTTCCAAAATCTTCATTTTCTAGTTTCATAGTCATTTTTTTCTTAAACAAATTAAACATACTTATTTCAAACTATATTTTAGATTTTTTAAATTATCTTTAGTTTTTAGAGTGTTAATTTTCTGGGTTCATTGCTGATGAGGATTTGTTTCTTTGCTTTATAATTTTTGATAGTAAACTGACATTCAGTAGCTTTTTACCTGAGAGACTCTCTTGCTCAGGCTTATGAAAACATCCCTGCAAAGTGGTTTTGCATTTGTCCCTGCCAAGCCCATAGAAGTGTTACCCATTTCATAACCATTTCTACGTTCATTTATTAGCTTCTGTGCCATATAGATAGTATGAATTTGGATCCCACAACTACAAAGAGTGCAGGTTTGAGTTTGATAATTTATGAGTGATTATTTTCCCAATTGTGGCCCCTAGCATAAGGCGCACATCTTTGACACCTCCCCGGCCAATGATCGGTCTTTCCTACACCCTGTGTTTTTGAGGATGCAGGGTCCAGTTCTAGCTCCTTACCTTATCCATGCCTGAAGCTTTCTTTCCTGTCCCAGCAATGGCATTACAACTTCAGTCCTGCCCTCAGGTCCAGGGTTTCTAATGTCTACAGACCATCGCTTTCTGTGCTGGCACCTGGGAATTTTCCCTGTTTGAGTTTACCTATACATTTTAAAAACAATATTTTATCTAGGATTTCTGTACTTGGAGGGCAAAAGGAGACTTGCCATTCACTTCCATCTGAGAAATTATCCAGAAGACCCAGTGGCTTTTGTTTTCAAGGTGACAAGATAAACACATGTGAGGACAAAGGGGGTGAAGATTTTAAATGTGGACAGGAAGAAGGCAAAGATTTTAAAAAGGCAGAAAAATAAGATCCTATCAGAGAAACAGAGGACTGAGAGGTCTCTGTAGGTAGATGTTTTGTATGTTTAACTTTTTATTTTGAAATAATTGTACATTTACAGATTTGTAAAGATAGCACTGAGCTCCCATATACCCATCACTCAGGTTCTTCTAATGTTAGCATCTTACATGACCGGGGTACAATGATCAAAAGTAAGAAATTAACATTGGTACAATATCATTACCTGAATTACAGACTTTATTCAGATTTTGCCAGTTTTCCACTAATGCCTTTTTTCTGTTCCTGGGTCCAATCCAGAATTCCACATTGTATTTAATTCTTCATCACCTTAGTCTCCTCCAATCTGAGACAATTCCTCGTTTATCATTGTCTTTCATGACACTCTTGAGAAATATCTGTCAGGTATTTTGTAAAATACTCCTCAATTTGCATTTTTTTTTTTTTGCAGTAATAGCTATTTATTTATTTATTTATTTTTAGAGGTTTACTTTGTATTTCAAATATTGGGTCTCCTAGTCTGAGTAATTCTTTTTTTTTCTATACTTTTAAGTTTTAGGGTACATGTGCACAATGTGCAGGTTAGTTACATATGTGTACATGTGCCATGTTGGTGTGCTGCACCCATTAACTCGCCATTTAACATTAGATATATCTCCTAATGCTTTCTCATGATCAAATTGAGGCTATGTATTCACAGGAAAGATACCACAGAGGTGAGGTGCTCTTCTCAGTGCATCATATTCACAGTACCTGTTGTCAGTATGTCTTATTACTGGTGATGTTGACCTTGATCATTTGGCTAATGTGGTGTTTACCATGCTTTTTAATTATTGTAAAGGTTTTTTGTTTGTTTTTGTGTTTTTTGTTGCTGTTGTTGTTGTTGTTTTTTGAGACAGAGTCTTGCTCCGTTGCCCAGGCTGGAGTGCAGTGGCACAATCTTGGCTCACTGCAGCCTCTGCCTCCTGGGTTCAAGCAATTCTCCCACCTCAGCCTCCTGAGTAGCTGGGATTACAGGCACCTGCCACCACGCCCAGCTAATTTTTTGTATTTGGAGTAGAGACGGGGTTTCACCATGTTGGCCAAGCTGGTCTTGAACTCCTGACCTGGTGATCCGCCCGCCTCAGCCTCCCAAAGTGCTAGGATTACAGGTGTAAGCCACCGCACCTGGCCCCAAATAGCCATTTTCTCTCAAAACATTGTCCATTAATTTATGCATGCATAGGCAGATCCTCCCTGCAGCAACGTTTCACCAGTGTTCTAGTGTTCTCACAACGATTTTCTATTTCCTCCTTTCCTTTTGCATCTATTATTTGGAATTATTCTGTAAGAAGTTGTCCTTTCTCTACCATTTACTTTTATTCAATCATTTATTTATATCAGTATGGACTAAATTGTGTTTATTTTATTCTGCTTCATAATTCAATATTTTATTTTGTCTGAAATTGGTCTAGCTTTGGCCATTGGTAGCTCTTTTAGGTTGGCTCCTGTGTTCTCTCAATGTGCCCCCCCGCTTTTCTTGAGTACTTACTTTTTGGTACCATGACATCCTCCAGGCTCATCTTCTTTTATCCCTCCCCAGCCCTAGACAAATCACTTTTCCAAGGAGCTCTGTAATTGTATTAAACCATAGTGGTGGATAGTTTGAACCCTCTCCTTTCATTCAGGGAATGAGAACAGAGGCAGAAGAGCAGCTAAGGAACTTCAGTTGAGTCCAACATTCAGAGACTGAGTAGAGAAGAGGTTGGGAGCCAACAAATGAAAAGAGAAGGAACCACGAAAGAAATGGGAGCAAACTTAGAGCATGGTATCAGAGAAGCTGAGAAGACATTCTCAGCTCTAACTTCAGGGTCCCCCATCATTTCCTACCTGATCCCTGCCACCTTAATCTATTCCCTCTAAAGGGAAAACAGGAATCTTCCAGGCAGATATCCTTACTGTCCTGGCCTAACCACATCTCTAACTCTGCTGGAACTGCAGTAAACATAGCCACAACCAGCAAATTCAGCCCTAAGGACTTTAGACCTTCATCTCACAAGCTGAAATGCTTTTCCCTCCTCTCTCATAACCAAGTATCACTTATCTTTCCAAAGCCAGGCAAGTCACAACTTTTCTTGAAGTTTTTCCCAAACTCTCAGCCTACATTTATCCACTGCTTTATAAATATCATGGTTCTTATCTCTTCAGTCATTTTAGTACTTGCATTATATTCTCTAAAAATGTTCTGTTTCATACAATTTATTACCCAACAATACTGTAGTTCCTTTAGGTGAGAGCCTATACTTCATGCTCTCTGGTATGCATAGCAGTTAGTAATATCTAACTAATAATAGACGTTTAGTAAATATATGTCAGCTTAACATTTATATCAACAAATCAATCACTATAGATAGTCATCAAAGAAATAGTTGAAAATTGGGAAGATTCCAGGAGCTATCTTATCTATTCAGGAATGTTAAAAACTACTCCTTACGATACAAAGTTGGAATAGCTATCAAATTCCTTTTGGCCTTGGTCACATTACAAGAAAATGTAACTCTGAGCCACAGCAATTCTTATTTCTCATCAGAAAATAATTCATCAGGATATTTATGGCTTATCTATTAATAAAATAAGTCATTATGGTATTTTACACAACCCTTTCTTGCCTTGTTTTAGAACAACTACCTAATTTTCTATTTTCAAAATCAACTACTTATTATGGAATAACTAATATATAAAGTTATTAAATTTTCAAAGGACAAATGGAAGCATATTAATGGAATTCATTTTTTAAAGGTGAATGATTATTTTCCTTATTAAAAACATAATGCTTGTTAGTTGAAGGGTCAAGAATATACATATGAGAAAAAAATGTATTTCATAATCCAACACCCCAAACCAGAGACTGTTAACATTTCATTATATAACATACTATAAGTATATATATGGGGGGGTGGTGTATGAGATGATTTTATGCAAATTATTTTGTAACTTACCTTTTTCACTTAATATTTAGTATTTTCTCACATTACTAAATATGTTTCTACATTATCTCTTTGTGGTTGTGAATAGAATGTCAGATTGGATGTATCTTCATTTACTAAACTTCCAATATATGCCATGCTGTGATAAACATTCTTATGCTAAATTGGGAACACAACCATAATTATTTCATTAGCGTAAATTTATAAAAGTAAATCTCTCTGTATGAATAGCTTTATACAGCTTAAGGGTTTTCTTGTTTTGTTTTTTAATGACCAGTGCCCACCTGCCCATCAGAAAGGTTGTGCCAATTTACCATCCCAATCATTAGTAGTTAAAGCAACTTTCAGATACTATATCATTTCATATTTCTAAAAAAACCATGCATCTTTCTGAAGAGTCTCCATAAAGATGATGAAGTAATGCTACATTTTCTTTTATCTACTATGGGAGTGCCCTTTTTCCCTTCAACTTTTATAAATTTTTAAGTATTTTGCTTCCTGATATAAAAAATGCAAAACAACACAAATTATTTAGTATGAGTAGCAAAGAAAGCACAAGATCATTGAGCAATATAGTCCAAGAGAACATGGCTGCAGCTAAGGAACAGTAATGAAATTGATTAGTCAAGCTGCTATTTATAAATCTCTTGTCAAGAAAAATTATTTTTAAGTAAGTTTTTCTGCTTTCTTTGGTATTATTAGTGTATTTGCATGAAAGATAATATTTTGCACTTTTATTTGAGATTTACCATTTTTTTTATAAAAGAGAATCAGGCTTAGCCAACACTTGCATGTGCACAAACACATCATGGAAAGATAATTGACACATTTAAAGTAAGAAATAATGATGTTTCCCAGTAGAAATGTGATCATTAGTTATTTATTTATATTTATATTCATTTATACACTCACCTTTACACAAAAAATTTTAGACTGCAAATTTATATTTTAAATAACAGAATAACAAAATAATTGGCTAAACTTATTATTTTAAACAAACCAATAATTCCAAGACAAAGGGAAATACAAATATGTCAGTATGATAGCTCTGCTTGAATTTAAAATTTGATTCCATGAATTGTCTGCTCCTATTTGAGCCACAGGTCTTCGTTGCTAAGAAACATATCAAACTTACTTAATAAAAAACATTAAAATGACAATTTAATAATTTTCAATTATTAATACTTATTGCAAGAGAAAAATGTACACAAGTACTTAAAAGAAACAAATCGTTAATATATAAACTTTTCTATTTCTCTAGATAAAAGTCAGAGGAGCAGTGTTGGACTAAGATTACTTTTGAACAACTTTTGAAACATTTGATCAGGCTGCAGTTTAAAAAACTAGCCCACTTTCCCCTTCAAAGATCTGAAAGGCAGAGGATAAAATCAACATTTTCCTTTCTACTCACCCAGCATCAATCATGGGTGACAATCTCTACAAGATTGCTTTAAGTTGAACAATCTTTTAAACTAATATTGTATTCTTAAAGAGAGATGAAGTTGGTATCTAAGAAAAAAAAGAAACACTTTATTGATCCCCAAAGAGGAGTTAAGAAAGCCAAAGATCGCATAAGCAGTCTGTTTGGCAGTGGCAACAGCACAAGGAAAAGCTATTACTAACATGACAGGGCCCACCAGGATGCAGAGATCTGCACATACAATCCCATTTTGCTGTTTGCAATATTACTTATATTTCCTACAAATTGGACAATATACATTTGGTAAGCTAAACAAAGTTACTTCTAAAACAAAGAAATACTGGGCAAAAGAACTGGTAAGTGATTAGCAAAGCCAGGTCTACTTCCATCAAGCACATACAATATTTATAAGTCATGTACTGTGTGAGATTGCTAGAGTGGCTACAGGACCGCTGAGCAAGACTCATGCTTCTCGAAAAATGCCTCCCAGTTTAAATGCTAAGAGAGTGGCTCTGTAAATGCATGTTACACTTTGGAAGCTCCCAATATTGTGGAGTAAAAACATAACACATCTGCATGCAAAATGCTTTATTCTCTCATTGTAATTTTCCAAATTTTAAAATGTATTTTTTTATTGGTATGAGTTGTCTCTATGATATGAGCAAATTACCTGTTTTTCTAGCTTATATTTTTGGAAGAGTGTTTTTTTGGTAGATTAAGAGTATGAATTGAAAAAATGAAATATTATTTTCCAGGAACCATAGTCATTACAAACTTTTAGAGGAAGAAAAATATTCATGTAAATTGGTACTGTGCAACTCAGTAATTCTGAGAGCTTTAGTTCCTTCTTAGTAGAGAAGGAATTTTGTCTGTATGTGAAACGATATGACTAAATACAGTGAGTTACTGAGAACTTAAAATTAAACTCCAAAGGCAGCTTCACTTATGTCCAGTGAATGCCTAAGTAGTCCATCTTTTACTGCATCTCATTGTGTGCAATAATGTCATATTTTGGTTATTATGTTTCTTCTTTCTTTGTTTTTGTTTCTGGTCTTATAGAAGTGTGGTATATCTCCTATGTCTTTTAAATCTCTGACCAGTAAGCACTTTCCTTTTCTGACTGTATAGAGGAGAGAGGAAACACTTTAGAAAGGACCCCAGACTCTTGCTTCTCAGAGACCAGCAGCATGGCATCATCTAGGAACTTTTTATAAAATCAGATTAACGGGCCCCTCCCCAAACATACTGAATCTCAACCTACTTTAAACAAGATCCCCAAGAGATGCAAACACAAAACCAAAGTTTAAGAAGCATTGTCTTGAAGCACCTTTACTCCTCTCAGTTCTGGTATTTCCCCACCCCCAACTCCAACTATTCTTCCATTTAGAAAGAGAGACAACTATGTGAACAATGGCCCATTTGCAAATAGACATGAAATAAAGATAATTATATTAATCTACTCTCTGTTTATGACCTCCTTCATCATCTAGAAACATCCACCCTCAGGGTGGGCAGGATTTGAACTATTACAGAAAGACTATAAAGAAAAAGAGAAAGTTAATGCTCAACATATAGCATCCTAAGTGGAATGTTTTATGCTGTGAAAAGATAAAAGATTTTAAAATCCAAGTTTATTAAGAGGAATAATGTTTCTATCATCCCTTCCTTTCCCCCTTTTATTATATCACAAAGCAAGTGAATGTAGGACACAGGGTTTTTCATAGACTAGAGAAGATATCCATTCTATCTGTTATGTCGGCCATGTTTTTTTCTTATATTAGTTTTATTTTGAAATAATTTTATGTTTACAGAAAAGTTGTATAGATAGTAGAGTTCCTGTATACCTTTCACCCAGCTTTGCCTAATGTTTCTATTTTCTATAACCATGCCATCAAGTTAGAGATTAAAAACTTAACATTAGTACTACACTTAGACTGTATTCTCATATCCCAGCTTTTCTACTGTCCTTTTCTTTTCAGCCCAACTTATGAAACCATATTAAATTTAGTGCATTAATGTCCTCCAAGTTGTGATTGTTTCTTCTTCTCTCCTCGCCTTTCAGGACCTTAACTGTTCTGAAGAGAACTGGTTAGGTATTTTATAGACTGTCCCCATTTTGAGTTTGTTTAATGTTTTTTCATGATTAGACTATCCTTATAGCTTTGGCGGGAGAAAACAAGAGAGATGATGTTAGGTCATGAATGTTTATCCTTGATGTATAAGAATAAACTCCGGAGGCAATAAAAAGCTTCTACTTCTGGACCCCAGAGATGGCAGGGAGAGAAAAGAGGCAGAAATAGGGCAAGTAAATAAGATGATCTTAGGGTTTTAGTTTTTATTCTCCTCTGCACACACACCTTTTTGGGGCAGACCGTTATGGGAAGGGCAGCTTAGTAACAGCTAGATATGTATAGGGTTATCACAGGTCATTGGGTTAGTGGCTCACTTTCCCAGATGCAGGCTCTGGGTGGTTGCATGCTGGTAAATGTTTAACAACTGGCTGGGGGGTGGGGAGGTAAGGGAGGGTGGAATGCTGATTTGTAATATTTGCCAATTTCCAAGATATAAATACTCCTATCATGGCTGATTTCAAGCTACCAAAGTGATGTCACTGAATGCAGAGTTGTGAAGAGCTGTGTGGCAGTACACCATTAAATATCATTATGTAGTATTTCCACCATACACATACAATAAGCATAGATAGTACTAAAGTGTAAAACAATAAATAGGAAGTGATGAGTTGAGGGCATTATCTTTATTTTTAATATATTTGATTATAAGTTTATATTGTTTAATTTTCAACAATGGCTGTGTTTAAAAACTGGCTCACAAAATTCCTGAAAATTTAAGAATCAGCTAAGGTATAAGCTGCCTCCAACATTCCACTGCTTCTAGAAGACTGACCATTTGGCTCAGCACCACATTCCATGTGACTCAGGAGGTACAGAGGTGACAGCAGAAAGTGGGTAGATATATCGGACTTAGAAAGCATCTGTCTCATCATGGCCTTTGTGTGGGAAGCAGGATCCACCAGGCTTCTTACTTCCCCACTGAGAGTGTTGGTGGACTGGCAGAGGTCTAGGGGAAAAGAGGCCATGGGGCCTTTTTGATGCTTGGGGAAATGTTCAGAACTACGGCAGTAGCAGTAAGGGCAAGCACACAACATCTCAAAAGATCAGTTGGGTTCTAGTTATATTTCAGTGGTCCCAATTCCAGGGAGAAGATAAATTGAGCCTCTCTATAGTAGAAACTATTGATTATTTAGAGGGTAGTGCATGATCCAAGGGTGTCACAAGATTATAATAAGACCCCACTCATGTACCCAGATCTATGTTGGGAATGAGATGGAAGAGGGAGGTAGAGAATCTAAGAAAGACTGTGCATTTTCCTATAAGAGACCGTGTCATCTATAACAATGTCACTCGAAGTGTGGTCCAAGGGCCAGCGCAAGTCCACAAACTGTTCCTGTTCGGGGGTGAGATAAATACAGATGAAAGTTCATGTTTAGAAACTTCTATCATAAATTGACATTGCCATGACATCCTAGTATGTGATCAGTGGGCTGATCTTGTTAAACAGGATATAACCTGTTCAGGTGTGTGGAACTGGCATGGTGAGTTGCTTGCAGCAAAAGCTGAATACTGGTCATGTGAAATAGGACTATGTATTTGGTACATGATTGGAAAAATCAATCAGTTTGAGGAGCATTAATCTAAGATACTTTTTAAATAATCACTTTTGGATATGAAATAAACTCTGAATAGTTTGAATCAGAGGTTCTTAAAGTGTGGCCTGTGGACCAAAATGTCGGCATCACCTGGGAACTCAGAAATGCAAATTCTAGGGCTCCACCTCAGATGTGCTGAATCAGAAACCTTGAGGGCAGACCCAGTAACCTGTGTTTTAACAAGCCCTCCAGGTGACTGATGCATGTTTGCATGTTTGATTTTTAGAACTACTGGCTTCAATGTTGAAAGAGAAAGAAATATGTTCAAGCTAGAGGAGAATGAAACACTATTAATTAAGTGTCAATTATCCCTGCTAGACTGCAGAGCTGAAGCCCATGAAGATCAGACCAGGTAGAAAAAAGAAAGAAAACTATTCTTTGCACACTGTATTTGAATGATATGCAAGTGGATGAGGCCAAGATCTGGAGTTGAACACTTTTAGTGGATGATCATTTTGGATTTTTCTCTACAAGCTTACCGCTACAAGCTTACCACTTGTGGCTCCACATTTCTTTCTTTCCTTTTTTTTTTTTTTTTTTTTTGAGATGGAGTTTCACTCTTGTTGCCCAAGCTGGAGTGCAATGGTGTGATCTCGGCTCACCACAACCTCCGCCTCCTGGGTTCAAGCGATTCTCCTGCCTCAGCCTCCCGAGCAGCTGGGATTACAGGCATCCACCACCAGACTAATTTTGTATTTTTAGTAGAGACAGGGTTTCTCCCTGTTGGTCAGGCTGGTCTTGAACTCCTGACCTCAGGTTATCTGCCCTCCTCGGCCTCCCAAAGTACTAGGATTACAGGTGTGAGCCACCACACTTGGCAGGCTCCACATTTCTAAGCATAACCCATTTCCCAGCCCACATCAGCCTAGAAGTGGTAAAAATAGGGTCACAGTACTGGCAACATTAATTTCTCTAGCTTTATTCTTACCATACAATTGCTGGCTTGCTGGCTTTTCTCACTTTCCCTACAAATACTACTACTATTAATAGTTCAGGGGGTCCCCTCTTGGCTAATTTGTGTCAGCCTCTTTCTCCCTCTCTGCCTGGGTTGCTCTCCATCCCTAGGTTGCGTCCTTCCCAGGCAAGGTTGATCTGGTTTTAGCTTAGTATCTGATCAACCTGGATATTAGCCATATTACAGCCCAGAGGAAATTATTTCTGCCACTTGTGCTCCATTATTTACTGTGGGATGCCACAAGATCTTTTGAGACAAACTCTAATGTGCATACAAATCACTCAGAGCTCTTGTTAATATGCAGATTCTGATTCAGTAGGTCTAGGATGCCTGAGTATCTGCATTTCTAACAAGCTCCCAGGTGAAGCCTATGCTGCTAGTTTCTGGACAATATTTTGAGAAGCGGAGGTTGACAGCAGTGATTTTTTCTATTTTTATTATGCCTTCTCCCCAGGTCTTGAACACAGGTGAAAGGGCAGAGTCTTAAGGTGACTAATTGTCCCGCTTTGACAAGGATTGTCCTGGAAATCCTATGATGTGGGCTATCCCTCACTCTTGGGCAAACCAGGATGACTGGTCATCCTAGCCATCTGGATTGGTCATTCTAGCAATCTGAACAGCTCACCTCCTGCCTCTCCCCTCCATCTCCTTCCCAACTGACCCATGATATCTCTGTCTTGACTCTTTCCCCTTTAGGATAAATGTTTCCCTGCGGCTCTTCATTTTTCCTCCATGTAGTGTGCTCTCCTTTGGCAAATTTGTATCCACCAGCCCTAAAGACACAGGTGTGTTTGTAGCCAGTGCAGTTGGCTTAGTCCTTGGCATAGGCTTAGCTGCCCACTTTAAACCAATTTGGAAGGTTCCATTTAATGTTTCCCCACAGTTGGTCAGGACTAAAGGCTTACTTACTCCTCTCTCTGCAGAAAGGTTGGGGCCGTATTTGACAGTCCGCTCTCATTTACTTTTTTCACATAAACATTCTCATCCTGCCTGGGCTCTGCAGACCAAGTGGGTTTCCCCAGTGCCTGGGAGCAATGCTTGCTCTGCTTTGCCTCTTAGGTAAGTATGGGGATATTATTCGGAAATAGGTAAAAACAAAATCTTCATTTCTGGAGCTTGGCAAATACGGTGTGTTTTCCAGTACTTCTAATTGTCCTTTTAATGCTGAAGTCATAGATATTGTAGGTACAACCTTCTGCCTCATCATCCTAGAAATACGGCTGTGATTATGTCCACCCACAGTTGAAAATCTTCATTAGCACCGAACTTACAGAAAAATAATTTCCAAACTCCCCACCTTAATACAAAGTCATGGTTCTCAAAACTTTGCTATGCATCAGAATGACTTAGAGAGAAACAGATTGCTGGGTCCCACCCTGAGTTTCAAATTCATAATTCTTTTTGCATTTCTAACAAGTTAACAGGTGGTATTGACACTGCTGGTCAACAGATCACATTGTGAGAACCACAGACCCATTCCAGCTAGCCACATTCACATCCCTAACATCCAGTTCTAGTGCATGCTTCCAAATAGAATCCCTTATTCTCTGCTCATATTATGTGCTTTCCTACTCCATACCTTTGTTTAATTCATGTATTCACTTATAAATTCATTCATTCAACCAATAACTAATTATTTCACCAAACATTTTTTAAATACCAAAACGACTGGCTCTGTTAAGTGCCATCATGAAATTTATGGTAAAGGGAGAAAAGGAAAAAAAGATACCCTTTTCATTTTCAGAGTGTTTCTTGGTTTCCAAAGAGCTTCCACATCTAAGCTCCCATTTGATCTTCTCCAGAGTCCTGAAAGACCAACAGGGCAGGGATTATTCTACATCTCTCACAAGTGAAGAAGTTGAAGGCTACAGGGGAGAAGTGGTTCATCCAAGGTAATGCCAACCTGTCCTTCCAATCCTGGGACAATGGTTTTTCTCTCAATTATACTACAGTTGTCCCTCCCCTCGGCATGCGCAGGGGATTGGTTCCAGGACACCCCACAGAATACCAAAATCCTGGTATACTCAAGTGGACCCTGCTGAATCCGCATAGAAGAAAAGTCAGTCCTCCCTATACATGGGTTTTGCATCCAGCAAATACCATATTTTTGATCCACTTTTGGATGACAAGAATCCACTATAAGTGGACCCATACAGTTCAGACTTGTGTTGTTCAAGGGTCAACTGTGCTTCAGTCATGACTCATTGTATTTCCTCTCTTCTTGCTTTCCAAACTATACCCATTCTTTAAAGCCCAAACACTACCTATTCCATGAAACCTTCCCTGGTAACCCCAGTTAAAATGATTTTTCCTGCTTAAAACCAGGACAGTGCTTTATTTTGTCTCTCTAATGGCATTAAAAAAAAATCTCCCTTTCTAGATGCCAATGTCCTTGAGAACAGAACAATACCTGACTCTCCTTTGTGTCTCCCATAGCACTCAGTTCTTAGTTCATAGTAGAAATTTGATAAAGCACTGAGAAATGAAGGATGAAGAGATGAGAATTTTGCTGTTTTTAGGTTTACTCATAAGGTAATCAATGAAGGATATATGTAAAAATAAAAGTAGAGCTGTCTGTTATCTTTTTTCTTTCTACCTCCATAAATAGGGGTGGGAAGGACTAGCATTAATTGCTTGCTGGGTGCCAGGTGTTTTATGTTATGACATTTTTGCTCTCATAACCTAATAGACAAATAATAGATAAATACAATTGTTCTCACTTTCAAGCAGAGGTAGTGAAGCTCAGAATTGTTTAGAAATTTGCCCAAGTTCAGACACTGAACTCATGTTAGAGAGGGAACCAAATCTATTCCATTTAAACTCATGTGGCAAAATGAACACATGAAATTGCTTCTAATTATACTATGACAATAAGAAATTATCCAGTATTTTCCTATATAAAAAAGCAATTCATATGCACCAGTAATCTTGAGGTCATCTTTTAGTAACATTTTTTCCTCACCATTTTACCACTTTTCATTGATTCACCACTTGCTGTTTGAATCCTTTGATCCACTTTTTCAAGAAGGAAAATGAATTTCACTACTACCAGACTCTGGTTCTTCATGTGACCGGTTATTTCTGGTTGTGAAATGCTGTCCTGAGACTTAGAAGGTAAATCTGTCTTAATAAGTACTATTGTGTCATAACAGAACTTTCCTGTTAGAAGAGAGTGTGGAAGGTTTGGGGTAAATCCTGGAATGGGTCAGGGGAGGCATAAATCCAGAAATGCCTTCATGAATAAGCCTGAGAGGAATAATAACTTCAACAAAAATGAAAAACTCAAACATTAAAGCAATGTGTTAAACATTTACCATATGATAGAGCTGAGAATTATTAGGAAGTTTAACCAAAGGACTTTGCCAATGAATGTCAGATGGACGTAACTGAGGCAATTAAAACACAGTATTAGTGAAATGGTGGACTCACCTACAAGGATTCACATGTGGGTTCTGCAGCTAACTTCTTACAAGAGCAGAGGCCTGCAATATTATGAAAACCAAATAGACACATTAAAGGCAATTGTTCTCACAAATGTATGAAGTGCCAATTTGTATCCCTTCCTCTTACAGGTACTGCAATATCCTCCCTGGTAAAATCCTGTCAGTTCCATTGGTAGGGTTTGTTACAAGGTCTTATATCACTAGCCATTAAGATAGCTAACCATAAGTCTTGGTAACCTAACAGATATATATATTCAATTTTCATAAAACAACTTCAAGTAATGAGGGAATTCAACCAAAAGCTTCCAAATTTTTTTTGGATCTGCCAGGTGAAACAAAAAGTTTTAAAGCACATTTCTAGGTTCTCTGGGGCACTTAATTCCAAAAAAGTCCCTGCATAGCAACTCTTCTATTTTTTAAAAAGAACTTTCTATTGTTATTTAGCCTGTCAGGTAAAAAGTCATACATCAAGAGACAGGTGGAATTGGTGACATTGATAGATATTTTCTCTAATTCAGTATTGATAATGTTAATGTAATATTGCTTTCAATAGACAGTTTCAATCACGCATGTACGTATGTTTAGAGATGTGACACAAGCAGGGAGGCTGAGCTTACTGAAAGGTAAAGAACACATCGGATGTTTGATTTTTGTCACTGCCTCTGGGAAAGAATTCAGAAGCAACCCTTCAGCCAATGGCAGGTAGGTTCCTAGAAACCTCAGTATTGGGGAATTCATAATAAGGATGAATAAAGATCCAAATACAGAAATGAAACTTACTAATAGATGTGCCCATCTGAGGACCAGCTGGAAGGAACTGCCATTTTGCCTGGTCACCTAGGGGCTCTGAAACAATAAGCTTTGGTAGTAAAATAACAATAACAACAAAATAGCTTATGATTGCATATTTTCCAAGTAACAAATAGTGTTCTAAATAATTTAATCCTTACAATCATGTTATTAGGTAGTTACTACAATTATCTTCATTTTACAGGATAAACTTAGAGACTTAGAAACAAAAGGTCAATAACTTGTCCCTGGTCATACATCTAATAAGAGATGACACAGGCAGTCTGAGCCCATGCTCTGATCTAATACATGCTACTACTTTTTAATATTTGTTTTTTAATATAGGCAACACACATTACTAAAAATGTGAGAAAATGAGAAAAGAAACTATTGTGCTACTAACCTGACATAACTGCCATCAACCTTTTGGGATATTTGCTTTCGATCATATTTATATGCATACATCACATCAGAAGTATTTGCCATATTGCTAAAAGGGTTCAGAATGTTCACTTTTTAATACCTGCAAAATGTCACACAGACCAGGTATACTGCACTTATTTAGTCAATGTTAGCTATTTAGGTTGCTTTCAAAAGCCTAAATAAAGCAGGTTAAAGTGCATGTGGAACCAGGCAATCTGGTTCAAATCTTTGCCCCTCTATGCACTAGCTATATAATCTTGAGCAAGTTACTTGACTTCTCAATGTTTCAGTTTTCTCATCTGTACAATGAGGATAGTAATGTTCACTAGCACCATAGATTGTTGTGAGGATTAACCTGCATTAATTGAAATAAAGTATTTAAACATTGTCTGTAGATAGTTATTACTATCATAAGTCTGTAGTGAATATCTTCATACATGAGGCACTGTGGATTTAAAAACTTATTTCCTATGGCACATTCCCAGAGATAAGATTACTGGGTTAAAAGATATAAATTTTTTTGTTCAAATAGTGAATTCACATTATCAAAGTATTTCCAAAAAGTGGTATATAGGTTTACATGTCACCAGTTACATGAGAGAAACCATTTTCCAATACACCTTTTCTGACTTTGTTAGGTATTAACATCAAAATTTCTATTGCTCATAAGTTTGTTCTTCAAGAATTTCTAATCTGCTCTTATATCCAACTATTGAGTTTTTAATTTCAGTTAATTTTTCAGTTCTGGAATTTCCATTTGATTCTTTATCACAGTTAATAGTAGTCTGTTGAAATTTTCTATCTACTCATATAATTTTTAAAAGATAGCATAGATATTTTAAAATTTGTTACTCCTATATCTGGATCTCCTCTAGCTCTGTTTTCAGTCATTTTATCTTGTCTTCTGGTATGCCTGGTAATTTTATTGAATGCCAGACATTGTGTATGAAAAATTGTAGAGATAATTTAGACCTCTGGAAGATCATCTCTTCTTTAAGTGATGTTTTACTTTAGTTTCTGACAGGCAGTTAGGATCTTTCTTAAATTCTCTGCTCTCAAGCTCTCTCCACTGTGGAGCTCTCCAGTGCTTTTAAACAAACGTTTGGTAGATTTTATTCAACTTTTCTATTTGTTCTACTTGTCCTTATAGGATGAGCTGATCTAAATGTAACAGCTGAAAGTGTAAGTCCTTGACATCAATTTTAAATAGTTGATTAAACCTAAACATAACTCATTTTTTTTTGTTTTAGTGTATATTCATTTGATTGTTATTAAGGCTGGATTTTTATGTGCTTGCAAATGTGTTATATTTCATATTTTATGAAATGTGATTTCATTCTTATCTCATATATTGATTAAGTATGAGTTTGTATGAGCTCTTGTGAAATCATATCAACTCTTTGTTATTATGTTCAAATAATTGCAATTGCACATAGGCCACCCTTTGCTTGTTACATTGTTGTTTTAACTAATCAAGTGTTTAATATAATCAAATCTATTTTACTGTTCACTTTGCAATTTTGTTACAATGTTTTAAGCCTATAAAATAAAGTCTCGTTAGACTTCCTAAGGTTTTAGTTTGCATAATGTATTTTATGTACATAATGAGTGTAAAAGCTGATTTTTTTTTTCCATTAGCCCATATATTGCAAAACATTTTCCCTCTCCTTTAATCTGTGGTCCAGCCATTATCAAATATTTCATTTTTATATATAATTTATTTGCCCACATGTTTTGCCTCATTAATATATTTATTTTGGTGCCAGTATAGTTTTAATTATTATAACTTTATTATATATTTTAATATTTGATAAGACTAGTCACTCCTTCTTTCTAAAAATTGAACTTTGCTATTCTTGACTACTTTTTCTTCTAGATTTACACTAAAATCAAATTCCTCTCACCACTACCTCAAAAAGTAAAAAATGAAAGGGAGATTGTTATTACATTTCCATTAAACTTGGGAAATAACAATATAAAAATGTTATCGTTCACACTTGAAACCAGTCTGTGAATTTGTTTTTTATAGTTCTCTCTTTTAAAAGTTTATGTTTGAGTTAATGATTGCTTACATTTATACTGCTGATTTATGTTAATGTTTATATGTTTTAATATTTTACCAATTATTTTTATTTAGGTTTTCATTGACTACTTTGGGTTTTTAAACTATAAAAATATTTTTTCAATACATAATGTTGTATCTCTTTTTTCATTCTATATAGCTTTTCTTTCCTTGGTATGTTTTATTACATTGATCAGAGTTTTAAAAATACTATTAAATGATATTATTATGGCAAAACCATTATAGCAACTTTCATCCCATCCTGTTTTAAATATGTACATTTTTAGAATTCTTAATTAATTTTGATATTAATAATTAAGATAAAATATTTTATTCTATTTTCAACATTTTTTCAGGAACAGATAGTAAATTTTCTCTTCTGCTTTCAAAAAATGTATTAAATTAATAATTTATTTCTTATTTAACCTACTGATACAAAGTATTTCACTTGTATAGCTCCTAAATTTGTAAACTTTTGTACTGCTTGTATATATATTATTTTGCTGTGGTAAGTAATACTGTATTTTTAAAACAGAATGTATAAATTATTTTTTATTTGTAGTTATTTAATGCATACTCTTTCAGTACTATTATTCCTTCAGTAGAACGACATTATTAACAAGTATAAAATAGTCCCTTTTGTCATGATTACTGTTTTGGAGTTTTTCTGCCAAAAATTCTGCCCTGTTTGATATTCATATTGTATTTTTGATTTGGATGTGAACATGTTAGGCTGGAAAAAACTTTGCCATTAAAAAATAATTCTGTGTTCTTTTCCTTTACGTATGACTTTTTTAAGCACCACCAAACCATTAGACTTTGATTTTAATTTAATATAAGGATCTTTCCATTTGAATAGGAAAATTTAAGCCATTTATACTTGTCATATTTTTTAAGCTTGATTGGACTTAAACTTTCTTCTCTTCAATAATTCCTTGTTGTTGCCTTTCATTTTGTCTTTTGAATGGACTATGTTTGCTTTTTTATCTTTGATAATTATTTAGAAAATAGATATCCTGCTTTCAATTCTACTAGTGCCGACATTAAATTGTCTACAACTATACTTTTATATGCATTCTTATTTAATGACTTGAAAATAAAGCAAAAATGCTGCTTCTTATAATGCTTTTATTTCCTTCCTGTCCTCTTTCCATATTGTGATCACTAGGTATAGATGCTTTATTTAAAAATGTAAAACCCTCCAGGATTATTTTATTGAAAACATTGCTCCCTTAGTAAAAAATATCTAGCTATCAGCATCAATTCCCAATTCACTTTGATTTCACTATATTTCACTTATTTTGTCTTTGCCTTCAATGCTTAGTATTAATCTTTTTTATTGGAATTTCTTATTCTTGAGTTTTTATACTACCTCACCTCTCAGTGATCTGGACAATATTTCCTGCAATTTTTAAGGAAAAGACATTCGGTTGTTATGTTCTCTGATACCTGGAAGATTTTGTTATTCTGTTGCTTTTATGTATAAGCTGATAATTGGGTAGGCATAAAACGTTTTATAGAACAACACCATTTCTACATAAATAGCTGTAGTTCCAAATATACCATCGTGTTAAAACTAATACTAGCTGGTACAATGCAAATGTTGTAGCTTAGTGCATCATTGGTGTTATCTCCAATTGCATTTGTAAAATATCAGGAAGTAGAAGTGATTGAACTCTCATACGGAAACAACCAGAGTTTCTAGTATACTTCAAACTTGTTTCTCTTAAAATTATGTGGACATTTACCTGTGTTCTTTAAAAAGTTCTTGTTCTATATAAGAAAGATGAAGGCAATCTACAAAAGCGTGTATGTTTTTCCTTCACATGTACTTTAAGAAATTTTCTTCGTCCCAGAAATTTAAAAATTTATTTACTTATGCCTTGCATTCCTTAATTTTGCTCAAAAGAAATCCTACAATGTCAGTGTAGTTGTTACATATGGAAAGTTTTATTTTATTATAACATTATAACAAGTTTTTACTTCTGATCCATCTGCTCTATTTTTAAAACACTCATTATTTTATTTATAAATTCAAGAAAATAATGTTTATTTAACAATAATAGTATATACTATATGTTAAGCTATGCTATATGTTAAGCTATGTCTTAGGGGTTGGGTAACAACAAGATGTTTATTGCCATTAAGTAGCTTACATTCTAAATTAGAGCTCCATAATTTGTCATCTAATTACCTCTTATCCATTTAACTCTTATTAATTTCCTTGGATGTTTATGAAGTTATGAAGTTTTTCCTCTATATCTTTGATTTCTATTTCTGCAAAACAGAAGTTACATCTCTCTAGTACATTTTTTCATTTGGTCATGATCTATTCTTATTTTCACCTGTTCTTGTTTAATTAAAAACAATATAGTCTCTCCTACTATACTGTTATAATTACATTCCTAAGAACATTCATATTATCAAATTGGTATTATAAAAACAATTATTTCCAGAGGAAAGGGGGCTAGGGGCCAAAGAGTTTCAAATGCATAACAATAAAATAATTTTTACTACAATCTCAACAATAAATGTGTTTCTATATCTCTAAATGTTTTCTAACTCAAATTACAACTAATGAATTGGTCTACAAAAACAAATATATACAATTCTAAACATTATTGATCAAGTAATGGAATACCTACAACGTAAAATAAGATCAGATCTTAGACAAGAAGTTTCCAGGACCATAAAATAAATTGCAACAGTTTGTGACTGCCCATGGTAAAGACTATAACAGTAATTGAGCAACTAGCCATTCAAACAAATGTATTCCCATTTTTTTTATGGAACAACTTCATTTCTACATGGATAACTCTAGTTCTAAATATGCCATCATGTTAAAACTAATAATAGCTGGTAAAATGCAAATGATGTATCCTAATGTATCAATGGTGTTATCTCCAACTTCATCTATAAAATCCTCAGGAAGTAGAAGTGATTGAACTCTCATTTGAAAACAACCACAGTTTCTGGTACACTTCATGTACTGGGGGATGTTAATTGCCCCACCTCCAAAAGCTGCAAGGAGACCCCACCAAGTGAGAACCCAAAAGGAAAAGAACCCATGCTTTCAGTGTGCTTCCATGAAATTCTCCTTTTCCTATAAGCTCACAGTCAGCTTCTGGCACTTACAACTAGAAAACAAAGGAGAAAACAGAAAAGATCAAAGAAAAAATATCTGTGTGGTGCTAGCATATTTCAAGTCACCCATGCACTAGGCTCAAGAAGCCATCAGATGGGAAGTTTTTTATGTTTGTCCATTAAAATGCAGAAATAAAGTTCTGGCCAGGAGCAACTTTCACTCTGTTAGCAGAGGAAACTCTCAAGATATTTCAAGGTCAGAAATACAGAAGACCATATGATAGGGTTTGGCTGTGTCTCCACCCAAATCTCATCTTGAATTTTCACATGTTGTGGGAGGAACCTGGTAGGAGGGAATTGAATCACTGGGGCAAGTCTTTCCCATGCTGTTCTCCTGATAGTGAATAAGTCTCACAAAAAAGAGGAGTTCCCCTGCACAAGTTCTCTCTCTTTGCCTGCTGCCATCCATGCAAGACATGACTTGCTCTTCCTTGCCTTCTACCATAATCGTGAGGCTTCCCTAGCCACATGGAACTGTAAGTTCAATTAAACCTCTTTCTTTTGTAAATTGCCCAGTCTCAGGTATGTCTTCATCAGCAGTGTGAAAACAAACTAATACACCATAGGACCATGTTAGCAAGCAAACTGGAATTGAAGAAGCAAACCCTCCATCCCTTCCAATAACTGAAATATTCTTATTTCTTATATTTTTATTGTTGATAGTTTTTTTTTCAGATGATTCTGAAGCTTTTAAAAAGTAACTCAGTAGAAGAGTGTTCATATACTGAAACTCACTCTGCGTCTTTCTAGAGTCCCCCAAATTGGAATCTTAAAACATGCATATTAGGATAAAAAAGCAGCTTAAAAACAGTTTTGTTAAATAAGTCTATTTTTTAATTCAATGAATGATTTTAAAAATTAGCTTCATTGTTTTTTAATTTACCATCTGTTAACTCAATAAATATGAGTTCTTAAAGTTATCCTAATTGTCTTGGAATTTGCTGTTTTTGAAGTTGATTAAAATTATTTAAATTAATTTTATTGTATATCCAGACTAGAACAAATCATGTCTGGATTTGAATAGATCTTGGCTAATAATTTATAAACAAATGTGCCCATTTCTAAAATGAACCATCTTTGTTTATGGCCCTTAATATGTATTAGTCAATACATAGATATGCAGAGAGGAGATGCCGATATTAGATAATCAAAAAAGTAAAAAACCAACACAACAATAATTGTTGCCATTAAAAACTGTGACCAAATGCAAAATTTTTGTGAACTCTGTCTCATGTCTAATGAAGAGTAAATGTACAGTGGATCTCAACTGTGATGCAATTTCTTTTCACTCCACATTACAAGAGATGAAAGAAAATGCTATGTTTCTTTAAACATCATCCTGCCTCTGGTCACAGCTTATTGGAATAAGGGTGGTCACTGGACCCAAGCAGGCCAATCAGACTCTTCCCTGAGAATTGTGAAAGACAGGAAGATGGTCCTTTCTCAGGGTGGACTGACTGAAAATGGCTCAAGAACAATTAGAAACCATGATTCACTGTGTGAACTGAGGAGGCAGGGAGCTGGACTACTCTGAGGAAGAAAGACAAAGATGAGATATGGAGAGAAAGAATTGACTTGGTTCCCTATAGCACTTCAATAGTTCTTCTATTCTTTTTTTTTTTTTTTTTTTTTTTGAGACAGAGTCTCTCTCTCTCACCCAGGCTGGAGTGCAGTGGTGCAATCTTGGCTTACTGCAACCTCCGCCTCCCAGGTTCAAGTGATTCTCCTGCCCCAGCCTCCCAAGTAGCTGGGACTACAGGTGTGTGCCACCACGCCCAGCTGATTTTTGTATTTTTAGTAGAGACAGGTTTTCACCATGTTGGCCAGGATGGTCTCAATCTCCTGGCCTCATGATCCGCCCACCTCGGCCTCCCAAAGTGCTGGGATTACAGGCGTGAGCCACTGTGCCGAGCCAGTTCTTCTA
Organism: Homo sapiens; assembly: GCF_000001405.40. NCBI lineage: Eukaryota > Metazoa > Chordata > Mammalia > Primates > Hominidae > Homo > Homo sapiens. Next base: position 18,455,983 of record NC_000003.12, on the reverse strand, counting down.
TTCTTAAGGCTCCATTGCATCCCTGATTTTGGATTGCATGAAAATCCCCCATGTGCTTTGCTTAAGCTCACAGAGTCAGCTTCTATCACTGCACTGCAGCCTGGGTGATAGAGTGGAGCCCCTGTCTCAAAAACAACAAAACAAAACAAACAAAAAACTTGAACTAAATGCACAAGAGAGGAAATCCTTCTAGTAGTAATGTTTGTTTAATAAGGAATTTCCAGATATCACTCCTCACTCTGCTTTTCTTTAAACATAACTTTTTAATTAATTAATCATAGAAATGCAGTCTTGCTATGATGCCCCGGCTTGACTTGAACTCCTGAGCTAAAGGGATCCTCCTGCCTCAGCCTCCTGGGTAGCTGGGACTACAGGCACATGCCATTATGCTAAGTTTTACATTTTAACATGTAATTTACCTATTTTTTATTTTATGGTTATTGTTTTCTATGGCTCATCTAAGAAATCTTTGTCTATCTACAATTTACATTATGTTTCCCTATAAAAGCTTTATACTTGTACCTTCTACATTTGGATCTATAATCCATTGCAAATGAATTTTGTGTATGGTATGATATGGATAAATGTTGTTTTGTTTTCCCACGTGGATATCTATTTATTCCAGCATTATTTGTTGAAAACACTTTTCTCTGCACATTGGATTACTTTGGTGAAGGTAACAGTGGGGCAAGGGTATGGAAAAGCATCTGAAACTAAACTAATGACTTAATACTAAAATGAAGAGGTAGACATTTTATTTTTATTAATTGTATTAATGAGCTTAAGGAAATGATAGCAGCTTCTTCACTTAACAAAAATAGGGGTTAATAATTCATTCATCCGAATTTACTTCCATGAACTCGCATGTAATACACCTAAGACCTATCTGATAACTAAGTCAACTCAGTTTTGTCTTCCACACTGTTGCCTGCTTACCCCTTTTCATTATCTGTATAGCATGTATCCATTATGTTTCAAACATTAATTGGAACCAGGCATGCTGGGATCCAGGCTGGGGCTGTATTCATTAGATGAATACATTTGTCCAAGATTATTAAATAAACACAAACTGATAACCAAATCAAAGCAAGATTTAATTGCTGGTCCTGCCTGTTTCTTTGTCCCATTTTTTTTTGTACTAGGGCTTTGTCTTTTCAATTGCATCAACCAACTTCCAGGTTATGTCATGAAGATCCTAGAGTAGTACTATTATTGTATGCCTGAGATGACTTCAAAATGTCATGTCAAACATAACAATAATGATTTTGACTGATTCTCAAAATCCACTGATTCCCATAGCACAAGTCACAGTTCACCTGCACATAGATCACCTTCATAGCTGATATGGTTTTGCTCTGTGTCCCCACCCAAATCTCATGTCAAATTGTAATCCCCACAAGTTGAACGTGGGACCTGGTGGGAGATGACTGGATCATGGGGGTGGTTTTAATGGTTTAGCACCATCCCCCTAGTGCTGTCTCAAGATCTGATGATATCTGATGGTTTAAAAGTGTATGGCAGTTCCTCGCTTGCTCTCTCTCTCTCTCTCGTGCTGCCACGTAAGACATGTCTTGCTTTCCCTTTGCCTTCTGCCATGACTGTAAGTTTCCTGAGGCCTCTCCAGCCATGTGGAACTGTGAGTCAATTAAACCTCTGTTCTTTATAAATTACCCAGTCTCAGGTAGTTTTTATGGCAGTGTGAAAACTAATACAATAACACGTGGAAAATACTTAATATTTTCCCCAAACACTGAGGTAAATAGGTGAGGCACCTGGCACTGGGACTGTGACCATCTTAGGTACTTCTCAGCCCCTGCTTTGTCACATTGAGGGCTGAATGCCTCAATGTCTTGGAATACTGGTTATATTTTTGTAACATTTTTGGATCATTCATCTCTAAATACGTCTTAAAAATGCTCAGTAGTGGAAGGAGATCTATAGTTTTGGCTAAAAAGCACCCATTTTCCTTATTTCTAAAAAAATTAATTCCAATTTGTCTTGGAGAACCATCCCACCTTCACGTCCAAGCCCACATGGTTTGAGTTGAGTGACTGTACTCCCAAATCCAAGGTGGGCATTTGACTCAAGGCTGCTGAGGTGTGAATCACAGGTGCTGACCATGGTGATGAGTGCAGGTACGGGTACCTGACATAATCTAATACAGTCAAGTTGGGTGTAGTTTCTTTAGCTGGAAAATTTGAGAAAAAGGAATACTCTTTGTGCTGGGGTTTCTATGTCAGAAGAATGGAAGCTAGGAGAAAAGGCAGATTAAGAATGAAGTTCTTAAAAATGAACTCCTTAAAGGAAAAACCAGACTAAGTATAAAGTTAAAAGAGAAGAAAGCATAACCAAAAGATGGTTGGTGACATTATTTGAACAGCTAGATCTAATTATGCCTTAAGCAGTCCTTGCATTGTATTTTCCAATTTATGTGCGGGGAGGGGAAGAGAGGGGGGACAAAAAATGAAGCAAAATAAAAAATAAAACCTTTCTTTTTAAGTTGGATTTTTGCTCCTTACAACCCAAGCCCCAAATCCATGTGGATTGCTGAATAGCATCTGGTTCTACCAAATCTGAATTTCTGGGCATGGACTCAAAGAACCTGCATTTTAAACAAAAACTCTATTTAATTCCATACACAATAAAGTTTAAGTTTAAGATCACATCTTTGTTTTGCAGCTGAGGAAACTGAGACTTTAACAAAGTGTCTTTCCCAAGATCATTCAACATTATCTATTTATTCAAGGTGTGGAGGATTATCAGTGAAAAGGACAAAAATCTCTCTCTTTATGGACATTAATAAGCCAGCTGGTTAGTAACAGAATGGGAAATAGAATTCAGTTCAGCTCTTTTCTTTTTTGTGACTTGATTTCCCTAAGGTCATGCTCTAATAATTTTCTTCTTTACCCCAACACATTTCTGGTTTAAAATCTGAACATTTAAATGGCAAAGATTCTGCACTTGGGCAGCATTCATAGCACATAAATACAGGAGGTACTTTCACAGTTTTGAGGCAAATGTAACTAATGTAACTAGTGTATATGGTCTGCTAATCATAAGCATTTCCACCAACCTGATAAAGGAGAGAGTGCAGCAAAAGGAAGAAAATGCAGTTCCCATTCTTCCCCCCAAAATCCGAAGCAGCTGAAAGATCTTTAAAGACTCTTGTTTTTCTTTAAAATTCATGCAAAATGCTACAGTTAATTCCATTATATGTGTCACTGTTTTCATAAGAAAATAATTTCTAAAATCCTCAAGTAAAAAATAAATATTCCAGAAATAGAAGCCATAATTCTTCTTTGGCTTGTGTACCCCCAGCACAACATCATGTCATCCAGGAGTTAAGTACTTATATCCCACTTACATCCTAGTAAATTCATTTTTCTATTCTGAAGCACTCTGCACCTACTAACCCCATCTACTAACTATTAGCATCCCTGTAACATGGATGAGGAAATTGAGGCATAAAGAAATTAGGAGATTTGCTCTAGGTCATATAGGTAGCAACTAATTGAACCAGGATTAGAATCCAGACAGTTGGACACCTAAAGTGGCTTTGCCTAGATATATTTATTTACTTCAAAGTTCACATAAAATATAATTTGCTCATGCTGCCCCTTCATATTCAAAACTCACAGAACACATAAAATGGATGATTGTTATTGTTTATAAGTTAGACAAAACAACCCAGGAACGTTGACTTTCTTTCAGTCAAGAAGATCGAATAAAATTTGTAATCTGTACAGCCAAGTTGTCAAGAACTTAAAGACCTGATGGCCCAGTGAATTGAATGACTTTAAGAATCTGGATGTACCCATGGGACCAAATCTACAAGAAAATGGTCAGCATGCGTTATGAAAGGATACCTAGTATTTCTAACATTATAATTGCTATAGGAAAGTGTGGGGTGTTGCTGCATATTTCTGACTATTGAGTGGCAGCAAGTCTGGCATGAAAGCAAGAGAGCAGCTAGGAAGAGTAAGTAATTAGTGGACTCAATTAAAAAAATGACAAAAATTAAATATCCTCAAGACAGTCCTTAGGCACATGGCTATGGGATAGGTTGAGATAAAACAGGCAATAGTCTTCCTTTATTTGAGGTTTCTCTTCTGGAGTTTCAGTTACCTGAGGTCAATTGCAGTCTGAAAATAGGTGAGTACAGTGTAATAAGATAACTTTGAAAGAGAGAGATCATAGTCTCTTTTATTACAGTGTATCATAACTATTCAATTTTATTATTAGCTATTGTTAGTAATATCTTACTTTGCCTAATTTATAAATTAAACTTCATCACAGGTATGCATGTATAGGACAAAACAGTATACATACAGTTCAGTACTATCCACAGTTTCAGGTATCCACTGGGGATCTTGGAACATATAACTTGCAGATAAAGAGTGGCTACTATTCTCCAATGGGTATAAACACTTTGACCTTCAGTAGAAATATACATGCAAAAGCTATACAAAATTTGTCTGTAGGTCAAAATTAGCTTAAGGACTAACAGTGTACTTCAAAATATGGATAAGTTGACAACATTTAATATTCAATTTTTCATATACATCTAAATTTCCTGCTTTTCTTTGGAGAATGGAGGCACCAATGGCATTTACTATCCCATTTGGACAGAGGATATATTCTTCACATTGCCACAGCCCCACGACTGCTTATAGTCTTAACTTGGTCTGCTTTAGTCATGTACATCCATGCATGGCCCAAGGTAGACATAAGAGTTTGCAGTTCCTGATGTATGGGATAATGTCCAAACTCCAGAGAATGTCTGCAAGGCCCTTCAGAATTTTCAGCCTTTACAAAGACCCCATGCGCCAGCCTCACTGAATTCCTTACAGTTCCATAAACAATAAGCTTTGTCATGTTCAGTGCCTTTGTCCATGCTGGTCTCCTTGGTTGAAATATCCCCTCTCTCCCTCCTCTTTCTGCCTGGAGAAGTCTCACTTATCCTCAAGACTTAGTTTAAGTGTCAATTCCTCTATGGAACTTTTCTAAATCCTGCCAGCTAGCTATTTGCTTCTTTCTAAATGTTCACATAACACTTTGTGCTTCTATTAGCATTATAATGACTTTTAATTCTGTCTGCCCAATCAGAAAATGTGTTTCTTGAAGAGGAGAACTCTTAATCATCTCCATATCCCCAATCCTTAAAAGAGTGCCTGCCTTCTACTAGGTAGAAAATGAATATTTATTGAATGAACAAAAGTAGGATAAATGAATGAATGAAGGATTTTTAAAATTTGTGTTACAAAATCATATAACACATTTGATGTTCACAACAAGGGAAGTAGCTACTCAGACCAAATTTCAAATTTTGATAATGACCATGACATTTTCAGAAAACAGTTGTTAAAAATGCCTGTTTATTATACCCTTGCCAGGAAAATAAGTCCTGAGAAAATACAATGTATATAATATTAGTAAATATAAAAGAGTGACATAAAATTGATAAGAGGCCACACTTTGTTAGGGGTTCTAAGGGTACAGGAGGTTGTAGTGTTGCATTCAAAGAGACAGTAGAGAGTAAAAGAAGTCACACAATGTGTTGCAGGAAGTCAGGGACCCCAAACAGAGGGACTGGCTGGAGTCACAGCAGAGGAACATAAATTGTGAAGATTTCACTTTAATATGGACACATATCAGTTCCCAAAATTAATAGTTTTATAATTTCTTACACCTGTCTTTACTGCAATCTCTGAACATAAATTGTGAAGATTTCATGGACATTTATCAGTTCCCAAAATTAATACTTTTATAACTTCTTATGCCTGTCTTTAATCTCTTAATCCTGTTATCTTCGTAAGCTGAGAATGTACATCACCTCAGGACCACTATTGTGTTAAACTGTACAAATTGATTGTAAAACATGTGTGCTTGAACAATGTGAAATCACTGCACCTTGAAAAAGAACGGAGTAACAGCAATTTTCAGGGAACAAGGGAAGACAACTGTAAGGTCTGACTGCCTGTGGGGTTGGGAAAAAAGAGCCATATTTTTCTTCTTGCAGAGAGCCTATAAACAGATGTGCAAGTAGGAGAGATATCGCTAAATTCTTTTCCTAGCAAGGAATATAATATTAAGACCCTAGGAAAAGAATTGCATTCCTGGGGGGAGGTCTACAAATGGCCACTCCGGGAGTGTCTGTCCTATGTGGTTGAGATAAGGACTGAGATATGCCCTGGTCTCCTGCAGTACCCTCAGGCTTACTAGGATTGGGAAACACCAGCCCTGGTAAATTTGAGGTCAGACCGGTTCTCTGCTCTCGAACCCTGTTTTCTGTTAAGATGTTTATCAAGACAATACGTGCACCGCTGAATATAGACCCTTATCAGGAGTTTCTGATTTTGCTCTGGTCCTGTTTCCTCAGAAGCATGTGATCTTTGCTCTGCCTTTTGCCCTTTGAAGCAGGTGATCTTTGTGACCTACTCCCTGTTCATACACACCTTCCCCTTTTGAAATCCCTAATAAAAACTTGCAGGTTTTGCAGCTCAGGTGGGCATCACGGATCTACTGATATGTGATGTCATCCCCAGCGGCCCAGCTGTAAAATTCTTCTCTTTGTATTCTTTCTCTTTATTGCTCAGACTGGCCGACACTTAGGGAAAATATAAAGAATCTATGTTGAAATATTGGGGGCGGGTTCCCCTGATAACAATGTTTCCCTCTAAGCTGGTGGCTACTCTGGCAGTTTGCCCTAAAAAATGGAAGACTTGGGCCATAAAGCTACAGGAAGAGACTGTTTAGCTGGCAGGTTATCATATGGACAAGGATTACTACCAGTAGCAGTAGTCTGCAGAATTGTGTACCACAGCTCTCTACTGTTGGGTACAAGATAGGCTGCACTATCCGACCTTCTTGTCATGATTCTTTGGAGCCACACAACTAATCCTGGTTAATTCTTTGTGAGGCCATATGATGTATGGCATTTCTGGGCCATAGCATTTAAATGTCTGCATGAAACCCTCCAGAGTGATCTTTATTTTTGCCATAACAACATGAAACATTCAAGATGGCAACTGTTCCATTAGCCAGGGACCTGGAGTGACAGACATGGAACAGACCAGCTGAACTGCAATGGATTCAAACCATAACCAAGAAAACGTTTGCTGTTACAGGCCACTAAAAAATTGGAATTGTTACTCCAGCACATTGCCTATCTTGACTGATAAACAAATTTGTTCTGTTTGGCTGCAACTGGCAGGACGAAGACTAACGGTTGGAAGTTTCAGGAAGACTAATTCTGTGCAATATAAGGTAAAAAAATATATATAAGGTAAAAACATAATAAAGTATATAAAGATGAAATACTTTTGAAATTATCCATTCACTTGCACAATATATAGTGAACTCTATTCTCTGGTAAGTACGGTATAGGTAAAAATCCTTGCCTTAATGGCGGTAAGTAGTAAGTTCCCCTTCACACCCAAAATATCTGCATTGAATGGCCTCTAAAGATTTGACAGAACAAATTAACTTTAAAAATACCTTCCAACCTAGAGCTTTAGGATCTCTGATTCCTCTGGTCTTAAGAGAAAAATATGTACATATATATATATATTTTTTCTTCCTCAAGTATTTCTTTGATTCAAACCACTAACTGATCCATTGTCTTTTCACATTTTGATGTCTTTTTTCCAGCAAATAACTTCCTTCAAGGCCAATGCTGTTTTATCCTTTCCCTTGATCTTTCTTCTAATATTTAGTAGGCAATATTTTATTGTCTATTCTTTTAAGGAAATAACCAGTGCAGCTTTTGATACCAGCTACTATTATTGGCCATTTGATATGTTCCAGATTTGTCTTTCAGTCATTTAAGTCACATTTGGACTTGTTAAAAAAATCTAGTAGCACAAATGTATTATTGTGTTAGTTCATTTGAGGTGCTACAACAAATTATCTTTGACTGGGTAATTTATAAGCAACAGAAATTTATTGCTCACAGTTCTGGAAGCTGAGGAGTCCAAGATTACAGCACCAGCAGATTCAGTATCTGGTGAAGGCTCACTCCTTGCTTCACAGATGGCACTTTTGTTGCTGTGTCCTCACACAGTGGAAGGGGCAAGGTAGCTAGATTCAGCCTGTCTTACAAAGGCACTCCTGTCACTCATGAGGGTTGAAGCCTTCATGACTTAATCACTTCCCAAAGGCCCTACTTCTTAATACCATCACTTTTGATATTAGGTTCTAACACATGAACCCCAATATTGGGGGAACACTAACATTCAGACCATAGCAACTAACCAAATAATCCAGATTAAATGCCCCTTTCTTCTGAAAAATGATCTTAGCCTTGTGCTATGAAATTTGTGGCCAACTACAATATTTTATTAACATCTGAGCTGTAAGGCTTAAGAGTTTATCAAACTATGTCATTTAATGCACTGCACCCAGAATTGCATAATTCTGTATTCTAACAGAGCCCATGTGCTTTCTATACAAGACTATTGGGAGGAAAAAGCAAATTCAAAAAATGAGGGGCAAAATGGTCTCGGTTCAACTCAGAGGAGCATATCATACTTTCAGTTATAGGGGCTTGGCTGATAACTTGGGGAAGCAGATGAGTATATAAGAGTGTAAGAAAGAAAAAAAAACCTTTTTTAAAAATTTCAAATTTCTGTTCAGCTTCATTTCAGGCTTTCAGAATTGGAAAATCAACTGCCTGCTACAATAAATTACTGTTAAGCAGTAATTAAATACCGAGAATGTATTTTTTTCCATTCCAAACCTGATGTCTTTCTCAGACACAGATATTGTTACTGGTTAGGAAATGCAGCATTTTGGTAAATTAAGGCAGGAGGATTTAATGTCTCCTGGGACCTGTGGGGACAGAAAGTGATCCAAGAAGGAAAACGTTTTACTATGTTTTGCTCATTATAATCATTTATACCTTTTTGCTTTGCTTTACAAAACTAGGAGTTGTGGTGGGCACTTGTATCTTTAAAAAGGAGGGTTGGTTCCCTAAAAGAACCCTAATTCATAATTTTAAAAAATTCCTATATGTTTGGAATTGTGGTCTCGGCATAAAATGATGATCAACTGAAAAAAGATGAATAACTTCCAGTGAATTCAATAACCATGGATGAGGGGAAAAAAGCAGCATGAATACATGCTGTATTCTCCTTTATTTAGAAAAAGCACACAAAAATACAGCAGAGTTGATGTGTTTGTCACCAGGGCTTGAAAGTCGAATCAACCACTGTGTAAAAGATAAAATAAGACTGCACGGATATCAGGATTTTCCCAGCGTGCTTTATTCATAGCCATCTGACACAACAGGACCTAACAGAGCTTTTAGGAAAAACTGAATTCTCAGCCCACAATCACTTTCCAGGAACTTCCCTGCAAACAGTGCTGTGCGCTGGCAGGATGGAAATCTTAGCAATCTCCCTCCTGCTTCCATAGTTTCCTCCTCTCTAAATAAAATTATTTATGGGGACTTAATGAGAGAGCAAGCCTTGTGTGAAAGGAATTCAAGAAAGTGCGGCTTCTAAAAATACACCTAGGCAGCTCTACAGTCCTTATTGTTACAACCTGACGTTTTGCAGTTCATGCCATGAACCTAACTACACTTCTTGCCAAATACACACAAGCGTACAAAGAAGAGGAAAAGTAAAAACTATGTTACTATGTTTTATCTTTCTGCAATCCCTTTGAGTAAACAGTAGTAATTTTCTGTTGACATACTCAATGCAAATTTCCCAAAGGCTACACAATACAAAACAAAAGACCTGTTAGCTTCCTCAGAGCTGGGGGGAGGAGAGGCAGGGGGAGAGAAATAAAGTTGATGGAGCTCCAGTTTCTCCTAAGCCTGCAGTCCTGAGCCTCCAGTCACCCTAGTCTTTTTGTAGAGATTTTTTGAGTTTCAGTCTCCACTTGGGAAGGTTCCTTGGCCCCTTCTCTCCCAATGTCAATAAAACCCTCATCTCTCCCGCTTTGCCCCCAGCTTTTTGGGGAAATTGGACCTTGCCTAGGCGTCTTGTTCCAGTGGGTTGAAAAGTACAGCTGGTGATGTGAGGATAAATATTTAAACTAATGGGCTGGGTCACAGCGTGGGGGTCTTCAAGAGAGGGCCTCCTCCTCCTTCCGCCACGTGCTCCTCACTTGGGGTGCAGGGCTCCTGGACAAGGGGCTAAGACGGACGAGGGTGGGATGAAGGGAGATGGACAGACCAGACTGTAAGTGAAGGAGGCCCTCTAGGAAACATCGTCTCGACCGAACATTGACGGAGAAAAAAAAAATGGCCCAAATGCCCCTAGTGGGGAAGCATACACCCCACGCAGGCTGGGTTGGGGTGGGGGTGCTTCGCGGCCTCTCACCTGACTTCCTCCTCCGCCTGCACACACACTACAGTAACCCCCTCTACTCACCCCCCAAAACCCAGCCAAACAACAAGCAACAAGAGGAAGCCGCAGGCGACAAGAGGAGGAGTGCGCGTGTTGGGGGCCCCCGGAGAGGTGAGGGGGCAGGGTTGGCGGGCGACGAGAACCGCGCCGCGCACCCCAAGCGCACCCCCAAGCGCCCACACTTACCCCTCGAGGCTGAGGGTCCTGTCTTCCGCGCCAACCCCCGTGTGCGCCCCCTGGCCCGCCCTCGCCCCTCCGGCCCGCCGCCCCCCACACCCCGGCCGGCGCGCTGGGAGGGAGCCCGGGAGCGGTGCGCAGCAGCGGCGGCGGCGGCGGCGGCTCGGGCTCGGCTCGGCTCGGGCTTCAGTGCGCCTAGTGTCGCCAGCGGCCGCCGAGGCTCCCACCGCCAGGGGGAGAAGCCGGGCGGGCGCTGGGGAGGCGGGCCGGGCCCTGGCCGCCCCGCTGGCCAGCCCGCGCCGCACAAGCTCCGAAGCGGCGGCTACGCGGGGTCCGCCGAGCCCCCGGGCGCAGCGTGCCCGGTCCGAAGCGCCACGTCTGGATGCGCGTCCCGGGTGGCTGCGGGCTCCCGCGGGGGACGCCCCGGCCGCTCCGGTGCGCCTCCAGACTGCAGGCGCCGCGACCGACGAGACGAGAGCAGCTCCCGCCGGCCCCTTCCCCCTCCCGCCCCCGCCGCCGCCCCCTCCCCCTTCTCCCCCCCCCGCCCGTTAACATCTCCTCCCTCCCCCTCCTTCTCTTCCTTCCCTTGGCCCCGCGCGCTCGCTCGCTCGCTCCTCGCCTCGCTCTCCCCTTTAAACGCCCACTTCGTATGGGGAAAGAGGACAACTTGAAGTCAAGTTGCAATTAACTTCCGCGGCAGCCGCAGCTCCGGCGGCGGCGGCGGCGGCAGGAGAGGCAGAAGCCGCCGCCTCGGAAGTCCGACGCCGGCGCGCCCGCCCGGGGAGCCGTTCTTGGTTTCAGGCCCGCACTCGACAGCCACCGCCGCCCCCAACGTCCATGCCTGAGTGAGTTCTGCTCTTTTGCCTCCCTTTTCCCCTTGCTACTCTTGCTGTTTTATCTCTGTCCCTCTTTTTCCGGAATCAATCCAAACTTCTCCGTAGCACCCACTCCTCGTCCCCTATTGGGGCGGCTGGGCTCCCCTCTCGTGGGCGCAGGGCTTCAACGGTCTTCCGAGCCCCTTTTCTCACGCAGACGGACCTTGGAGGGGTGGGCTGGTAGAGTAGGGGAGAGCGGTCGGGATGGGGGATTTGAAGATGCCATTCGTTTTCTGTCTGGGTGTGGACACACCACCACACCTGCCCAATAGACCCTGGCTGAACAAACTCCTTCAGGTCACCGGTATGGCCCCTTTTAGAAAAGGAAAGGGGAGTGGAAAAGACCGAAGGAAGCAAATGGGGAAAAGGGGAGCCTCTCGGTGCGTTCTGGAGCCGGGCGGGCAGTAAGGTGCCTGGAGGAGTGGGCTGCGGGAGTGGTAATGTTCCCCCACCGGATCGCGAGTCTGCTCAGCATCCTTTCCCGGTCCATCTCCGCCTCCCTCCGCTCCCTGCCTGCGCGGCTGATTGTAAGCATCGGCGAAGAGGGGCCTGGGAAGTTTGTGGCAACTTCTGCATCCCGGGAGCTACTCGGGCGCCGGGGCGCTCAAGTTGGAGCCCGGAGTTTGAAAGCCGCGGCACTCCTCATTTCGAGCCCTCGCTGGCTGTAGCGAGGCCGGTCCTGGAGAGGCTGCTGGCGTGAATGTGGGTTTGGAGTTGGGCAAGAGGCAGAAGAAAGGGCCGTCCTCTTAGCAGGGGCCGGGACATCACAGGTGCAGCCTCGCAGTCCACACCGTGTTTCCCTCCTGCTGTCCAGACCCGAGCGCGGTGGCCTTTTCCTATTGCTCCAGTGCTAAGGCTCCCGGGCCGGCAGAACCGGGGTTTGGGAAACCACGACGAGAAGGACGAAGCAGGCAGGTGGCAGGTCCGGGGAGTGCCACGTGCTTACTGGGGAAACGCAGTTTCCTCTTGGGATGACCTCAGAAGACCAACAGGGGAAAGGGGCATAGGGATCTCCTTGAAAGTTTTGGCCTTGGCCTCCACTGAGGTGTTGCAAATTTCACTAACAAATGTCAACCACAGGGTCCTCTCTCAAAGTGTCCTGGTTGGCAACTTTGACCTCTGCGCCCTTCCTTGGCGAACTTTCTCAGTGGCATTCCGGACTTACAAGCAAATGTTCTAAGACTTGGACTCCACATGGTTATAAAAGAGACAGGGAAAACAGAAGGATGCCCTATTCCCCAGAGAGAACCTTACTGCTCTGACTGACTGGGTTTCCATGTTTGCATCCTTGGAGGCCAGGGGACCTGACTTTCTCAAGGGGGTGGCGGGTAGGGTAAGAATGAGTAAAATGTTACCGCTCGGTGTCAGGTTTTGTCCTAAGCAATCTGAAATTTACGGTGTTTGTACTGCTGACAGAGTAACTCATCCCGTTGAAACTTAGTTGAAATTTACACTCTATCCAAAGTGGATTTTTCTGAGATGTCAGGAATGTGAGATTTATTCTGTGGTCAAATGTAGCTGCAAAAATCAAAAACAAAAACCCATACTTTAAGTCTGAAGAAAACCAAGGTTGAGGTGTTTGCTCTAAAAACCTCTCATCTCCTGTATGGTACTACTGCTATGATTTAGCAGTAGTCCTCTATTTCTATTGCATATTATTTTCTTAGAACAGTAGTACATTCATATACTGGCTGCTCCAGTCTGCTGGCAAACATTAGCATTCAAGCTTACATTTTTGACAAATGTGCAGACAGGAATAGCATGAATAGGCATCTTAAATATTAACAACCTAAGCATCTGTTGTGAAACAAATTTAATATATTTACTCTGTTTTTCTCACATTGTTAGAAAAGGTTATAATAAGTGCATAATTTCAACTTTAGTTAGCAGAAGTAACTGGCTGTATCTTTCACTACCTCTCCAAGTGTTTATTACACAATCATCAGACATAAATACTTTAATTAACTTGGTTAAGCACATTATTAAATACACTGTAGACAATGTGTATACTATATAAAATGTAACAGTAGCAAACTATGTATTCTATTTGTACACGTTTTAAATGACTATGCATTTTATAAATATACCAAATATGTTTATTCTTCATCTTCATTTGACACTTACTACTTCATAGTTTTTTCTAATGAAAACAATATTTTAAATGTAGAGTTGTTCAGTCATAGGTAATACATAATATTTAAACAGTAGCTATAAAATACAAGGCATTGTCAAATTTGGATAATGCTACATCTAACATTATACAAGAGAAATAAAATTACAATTCAATTTTGTATTTATTTCTGAATAATGAATATAAATAATATATGAAAAAATAACGAATAGGGATTTCCCTCCTAAAGTACTACCTCCTTAAAATTTGGTGGGAGGGCAGGATGGGGGGCGGGGGGAAGATAGAGAAAGAAGACCTAAATAACTTCCAAAAGTCTGAATAGTTATTTCCAGAATCAATGCATTCCTCACTTTCCCACAAGCTGAAATATGTAATAAATAATAGTTCTTTGTATGTAAAAGTATTCAAAAGGAATGTTTTTTGTTCAGATTTGTAAGAAATTAATATATTCTTTGGTTGATAATCTACAAAAGTAGTTCTTTTGTCTCCCAGCATCTTAAGAACGACAACAAAATGAATATTGGTTTATTTCTGCAAAGAAATCTGTTGCCAGCTATATGAACCTGTGATTAAATAAGACATGATATGCTGAGTGATGGTAAAGAAATACTACATTAACTTAGTAAAGACTAAAATATCTGGAGGAGAATTTTTAGTTCTTTTTCATATGACAGGTTGTGGATTGTAAATTAGGCCTAAAAGGTCAGGTGACAGGCACCTGTTCCTCATTATTGTAAAAATATTTTGGTTACAAACACTGTTAAGCTAAACACAACATGGATATACAGCAGGGACTCTATAAAGCACTCTAGTGGGTTTTCATCTGTTCTGTAAATTTCCAAAAGGGCTATACATAGATATGCCCTTTACACACATAGTTTCTTCCATACATATTGTCTTGGATGGCTGTAATTAATATATTAGCACTTGGAATTGATGAAGTATTTAAAATAAATGCATATGACTAAAGCAATCTTCAGACTATTTCTAGACATGATGTAGTTGAATGCAAAAATGTTTTTAATCTCTTTTCCCTTTTCAATATATTGATTATCAGAATTTTGTTCATGTTATAAATAGAAACCTCCCCAGATTGCCTTTTACACTTTTTAGATAAGATGGGTTCTTATTTTAAATGCTGCCACGAAATATTTTGCTCAGTACTCATATATAAAAAGAAAATTAGTTGCTATATACTGTCATAGCTTTGTGGCATACATAAAATAGAAAAAACACGTTTTACATGAATGCTGTTAGGAAGGATATCATCATTTGATCTTCAAACTTGCCGCTTCTCTCAGGAGAGTTCAGCAATATTTCTATTGGAATTAAGGAATGGGGTTTGATTTTTATGAATGGTTTACCTTCAGATATTTCAGAGAGCAGAATAAGCATACATATTGAAAAGACCAAAGTGGCACAAGGCTGCAAAATATTAAAGGTGCCAGGTGCTTTTAATTAACAAATGAGGACTATCTCGAGTAAATCAGATAACTTGGATTAAGTTCTATGATATTTCAAAATGTTTTTCGTCTTTTTCAGTTTTGTGTGGTTTGTGCTTATTATATTAAGTATTCATTTTTAGCATTTGTGATCAGATTACAGAACAGTCATTACTCTTGCTTTTCAAATTGATTTGGTTTTCAAACTCCAAAACTCTGTGATGATTTTTACAAATTGGTTTACATTTTGACAGAACAGAGTTAAGTTAATTAATAGATCAGGCACGAAAAATCATCCACAGTAGGGTATATTTTCTGGTAAAATGAAAGTTATGTTTCAGCATGATGAGCATCAGGCTTCAGTAATCTGTTCCTCGTGTGGAATGAACACTTCCTACTTCGAGCTAGCAGGCACCTACTGTTTATTTACGCTGCATTAAACTGACAGTGCAGCAATCAGAGGAAAAATATTACTTACCTTCCTGAAGTAAATACCAGTTTATAGTTTAGTGCACGTATTTATATTCCTGTCACCACTAAATAACGGCTCTGTCTCCATTTTAATATCTACCTGTGCTATAATCCAGGGCTTCAGACTCTTCCTGGTTGGGGATAGGGGTCGAGAGGAGTTTTTCTTATCATTTCCCTATGGCAAAACTTTAAAGACAAGTAATTTCATCTTTTCATTTCTGTCATGTGAGAACCAGTTGAAAGAAATGTTATGCACTTTTACTTTGCATACCTCAACTATAACATCAAAACCCCAAAAGAATCTGCATGCCACTTAAAATAGTCATCTTAAAGCAACCTCAGGATAAATATGTTCAAACACATTCAAATGTGTTTTGCTAAATTAACTTTCTACAAAGTTCCAAAAAGATTAAACTATTTGATTCCTCAGATAATAACTTCAATAAAGTGTCTCCTCTTCCAAGTCTTAGATGGAATGTTTAAGTTTTTAATGGAGTTCTGAAAATATGAATATAAAGTGGGGCTCATTGATTGATTTATTGATTGACTCGCTAAGCTTTTCTCTGAAAATATTCTTAACTCCTTCATTTGACTTCTTGTTAATCTGCCATCCTTAAAATAAGGGAGATTTCTACTTTGTTGTAATACTAAATGTATTTGTTGTTTTTCTTTTATGATAAAAATCCTTTCTTTTTCAAGACCCCTTTGAAACATCAAAATACTGTTAAAGTTGAATTCCAGAACTCACAATTAACTTGAGAAAAGGCTTATTTTCACTTAAATTATCTAAAAAGCGGTTACACTTAACTGTCTATACACAGTTATCAATACCTAGTCACATATTCCACTGACATCAGGGTAGAATATGGTCTTAATAACAACATATAAATCAAATCTGTTACATAAGGTTCTCCTTCACTACACTGAAGAAAAAGTGTCTACTATAGTAATTTATATATCGTTCCTAAATGCTGTTCTCAGTGGTAAGTCTATTTAAACTTGATGTCTTCATAGAGTGTGATCAACACATTAACACACATTATTTCATACTTTTGAACTTATGCCAATGGTATCTTTTGCTGTTTATTTTTTTAAGTCTTTTTTAAGATTAGATATTTCAGAGTAAATAGATACAGATTGTGTGTGTATATATTCAGGGTGAGATTTAGTAGTGTAGCATTTCTTCAACATATTGGCCTATTTTTATGCTTTCAAGTTATTTTGTATCACTTTTACAGTTGTTGCAGTTTGAAAGTTCAGAAGCGAAATTCTAATAACCTCTTTCAATGGACTTTCAAGGATGTAATTCAGTTTATGCGGTGATGTAGTTTAGTTACAAGAGATGAAAATTAGTTAACTGGTACCTCAGGATTTATGTCCCTGGTTTCTGCTGAAATTTATTCAGTCCAGTTATTTGACATTTGGTAGAGAAGTGGCTTGTAATCAAAAATTAAGAGTTGGTTCAGTTTCCAGTGGAGAAAAGATTTCGCTGGATAAAACATTTAACTGTGCAATATTTTATTACACTCCTCACTCATTTTAGAGCCTGCTTATTGTTGCACACATTTTTGAATACCTAGGGGTGCAGGTCCCCAGATGAGGCTGAAATGCTTGCGGAAGAAGCAGATGTCAGGCTGCACCTCGCTGTGCCTTTACTAGTACCTATGTGGACTTAAGCTGCCCGCCCCCCGCACCCCTTTCCCCCAGGTGTGCAGGAAGTAGAGGGCGTTATACTGGGTGAAGTGGGTGGACTCTACCCAGAGCTATGACCTGATTTGTGACGCACCCTCAGAACTGCAGTAATGGTCCAGCTGCTTCACAGGCAACTGGTAACCACCTCATTTGGGGATGTTTCTGCCTTGCTAGCAGTGCCAGAGAGAACTTCATCATTGTCACCTCATCAAAGACTACTTTTTCAGACATCTCCTGTAGGGCTAGATTCAGAGAGCAGCTTCTGATATTTGGAGGGTAAGTGCCAGAAAAGTTACTGTAATGTTACATGTGGAGAATCAGGACTCCAGCCACAGTGACAGATAGGCATTGAGTGTTCGGGGGAGGGCTTTCTGTTGGGATGTTGCTTTTTCTCAGCTCTAGAAAATTTGGGACCAGATACTAAGAAAAATTCTTCAGTGGGCATTCTTTTTTGGGTGGTGAGATACAGTAGCAAGTTCCCAGGGAGAATTATTAGACCTTCTTGAAATATTTAAAGAAAAGGTAGTCAGTAATCTGTGTGAGGGGGCATTCTTTAGATGCAGTTTTCCTGGAAGCTAGGCATGTAGTAGAGTTGATTGCTAGAGATTCCTCTATAGTCTTATTCATTGGTTCCTGATATGCCATTAAGAGCATGTAAATGACAATTTGGCCTTTTAATGTTTATAATGTTAAGGACTTTAAGGCAAAAGAGGTTTTATGTTATAAATATTTTATTGTAATAATTATTATAAATAGAACCTAGTGTATGCAGATATCTTTGAAATGGAGATAGTCTTGAATATAGCATATCCATAATTAGCTGTTTGATATTGAATGCAATTGAGTTTTCCTGTTCTAGTGAAACAGACAATGGAAATCATTGGGGATTAACAACAAGGCTATGTGATTCTTGATATAGCAAGCCTTTCTTTCCCCCAGAAAATATTTTATCAATGAATGAAGTACTAAATTAAGATGCATACAGTTTTAAATTTTTAAAAAATCTATAGAATTTGTAAAATAATCCAAATGCTTCCCATTGTATTTTCACCAACTGAAATGATACTTAGATGTACTGTTTAATGGTAGACAGTGATCTCCAGACTGTGGGAGGAAAAAACAATATTTTAATAACTATGTTTTAAAAATTTTCTTAGAGTTGCATTTCCCTTTGGGTGGTTCAAGAGGACTCAGAAACAATTTAGAACATTATCTTAAAAGTTTAACAATGACAGTTTGTATAGAATCACTGTATTTTAATAATACTGTATGCTTATTAGTGTTATTAGAGCAGTAGACAGTTAATTACAGCCTTTTCTGAGACATGTTAACTATATATTAACAACCATGTTAAAAAAGAATGATGTATACTCTTAACATACAAGCGGCTGCTTGCTTGATTCTTTAAAAAAAATCTTTTAGAATGTATGGAGTCAGGGTTTTGGTTCAGAATTATGAAAGGTTTTCTACTAAAGCAACTTAATTTTAAAACTTTTCACTGGGTTATAAAATTTTTCTCCTGTTTTTTTTTCTTTCCAGTGTCATTAGAAATTATTGCTCCTCAGTGGTTTTAGTTTTTCCAAATTGTATTTTGAGATACCCATGTTTTCTTGTTTTTTGATGACTTCGGCCAACATAATCCATTAAAAGCTTATTTAATTGATTTTGCTCCTCTTAATACTTCTTTTTGTGGAATAATTTTAGTCACTTTTTCTTTAGCCAAATTGTGATTACTTAAAACTCTATATAACCTAATATTCTACATACATTTCAGCAGTTAATCACAGAGGTAGTTCTAAGATTATTTCATTGTCTAAATCTCAAACCTGGATTTTCACTATGGCTTCTAGAATGGCAAAACAATGGGTTACTGAAACTAGAGGGATTTAAAGCTGGACTTAGGCTTACTTAGACAATTCTATCAAATTGGTTAACTATTTGAGTTATCTTGGTTGATTTGAATTTGTAGATCTTGTAACCTCGTAATATGGCTCTTAAAAACGCACTAGTATTCCCACTTTCTGAAGTTTGTAGAAGCTGCTATATATTTCTGTAAGTATTAAACTACAAAAAAGTAAGTAAGTAATAAGGTATGTCTGTGTTATATAAAACAGAAAGTTCATAGTTAGCATTCTGTGCCTTGTACGTATTGAGCACTCATTAAAGAATTGCTAAATTAATGATAAAATATAAAATGTAGCTTGTGCCGATAAAGATTTATTGGCAAAGAGAATTTTCTTTCTAATTTTCTGTTTTTACTAGGGTTATCTGAACACTTAATCTGCACATGCCTCATTTTCTGGATAATTGGATGATTTTTTTTTTTTTTTTTTTGGTAGCACCTGGGTCTCTGTTCTATCCTCATTGTCTGACCTTCAGTATTAGGTTAAGTGTGCCTGCTCAGCTTCATTCTTTGGTGTTTGGTTGTGGTAACAAACAATACCGGAGTCAAACAGAGCACTCCCCTGAGTTCCTTGCAATTTGAGCCACCAAGTAGCCATCCTTCTGATATTCCAGAACCAAAAATATTATGGACTAGTGCCTCAAGGCTGATTGACCTTCTATGCGTTCTTTCCTACAATAATGATTGTTTTTCAGGCTCCCATTGAATAAATACTACTGTAATTATTGCATAAAAAGATATTTTTCATTGCAGCTTAAATACATTGTTTGAAAAGTACTCTAAGATTTGGAGTGTTTGTATATGAATATTTTACTCCATTCCTTAAAACTAATTCTGAAATTGCAGTAGGGTTGTGTTAGCTGCATCCAAAATATTCTGAAAAGTTCTAGGCATTCTATGAAAGTTATCTAAAAAAGACACTTCCTTTTAAAATTTATTTTCATTTTAAAATATGAGTGGGGCTGCTTGTAAGACAGTCCTATTTAGTTACACAAAAGACAGAATTTCTTAAGTGGTGCACTGCTGTGTGACCTATTACATTATCATGCACATTCTGTCTCTTTAAAAACACAGTCTCCTCTATTTGCCCTATTAATTGTTGATATGTTGCCATCCACGAGACAAAAATTAGAGCTGTAATTAAATAATCATGTGATGCTCCTTAGTGCCAATGAGAGCAAACTCATTTTTCCAGGCCCTGATGGTCACTGATTATTGTATTACTACTGGCTTGCTTTATTTTTTTTTAATGATTCTCTATCTGTAGATTACCTAACTACTGTCCTTCTTTTCAAAATTAAAGAAAGTAGAAAACATTCAGCCAGTTAATTGGCTAGAGGTCCTCAGGGACATAAGGTAGACATACCTTTTTTGCTTTTGGTCACCTGGTGGGTTCTTTGGGGAGGCTACATCAGTGGTGTGGTTGC
Source organism: Homo sapiens (assembly GCF_000001405.40). Lineage (NCBI taxonomy): Eukaryota > Metazoa > Chordata > Mammalia > Primates > Hominidae > Homo > Homo sapiens. The sequence continues at coordinate 18,435,510 of NC_000003.12, read as the reverse complement.
CTGCCATTTAATTTACACTGGTGTTTTGGCTGGGATGGAGGCATATGGGGAATGCCAGGAGAATTACAAAAGGAGCCGGGTATTAAAATTCAGAAATGATTAAAATTGAAATAAAAGGATGCTGCTTCTTTGCCAGTACTCTGGCAGTCATAATGACACATAGAGATTAGTTTCCACCTTCATCTTTTCCTTCTTTCTCATTTCCTCTTGTTTATTGTTGACACATTTTCCTTATGTCTGTCTCCTGTCTCTGTATCTTTTTGCACCATTATGCATTCCTACTTCTCCCTCTTTCTTTAAGCATGGAGAAGCCTACTTAACCTTATTATAACAATAACAGAATAGGTTATTAATATTTAATATGCACATGATTAAAATTTCTCTCCCTTAAACATAGGTCAGCTGTATTATTACTAACCGGCATGTAATTTTTCATTTAAAATATTGGTATTCTGCCCCATGCCGTTTCTGAAATGCAGTCTACTTTAGTAGTGATTTAATACACAACGTTTAGAAAATTGTGGTCGGCTAGTGAGAAAAGAATTTACCAGTCATGGATAATCAATTATGCATGAATTCAGATGTAACAGATGGAATCTGGTGAGTTAAAGTTTCTCTTTGCCTTAGCGGTTATTTTTTTTTTTTATTTGTTTGTTTGACACCTGTCTCTTATATAGAGATAAACATCTAACGTAGCATGTGAGAAATTTCCTTATATTTATATTTTCTCTTTCAAGTGAACTTAATTTTTTTAATTGAAGAAAGAGATTTTTTATGTGATCTTAAAGATGATCAGACTCTATCCATTCATTTTATAGATACGGAACCTGATCCTGCTTAACTAATGAAGGATCACTCAGCTAGTGAGTAGAGTAAGAAGCAAGACCCAAATCTAGTTTCTCTATCTTTTCTCCACTACTTTTCCCACTATGTGACTTATGTTCCTTTTTGTGGGAGTTACTTAATAGTAGGGGTATTATACTACCTCTGAGTTTTAAAGGCTTTCTGATGAAAACTGTGGTAGACTAGTTTTAAATTGTGGAATACTCTCTTGTATAACATGCAAATATTATCTGTGTACATATAAAAATGTTATGCTATGTGTATATTTTATATATATATATATACTTATTCTTACTTGGATGTTGGCCAAACAATTGGATTTTTCAAATCTATTGAGAATGCCACAAGATTTGGTTTTACATCCTAAACTGCGGCATATGCCAGCCTTGAAGATACATTTACACTTGGTTGCAGTGTTGTAAATTTTTAGTGACAAAACCCCTTTGCACAAAGCGAAATAAAAAGTTATTTTTGAGAGCCTTGTTACCTCAAAGAAGAGATGAGAGGTTAATTTTTATTAAATATAATGTGAATATGTAGTGTTTCTTCAACTGTAAAAGTAATAGAAGAATAGTGGATATTGACCTTTAAAGCAGTCTAGCCTTAAAACAGAAAGCTGGTTTCCATCAAAATTTTTCATAAATGTGCTATTTGTTTCTCTCTCAAGTGTATTTATGTATTAAATAACACAAATGAAAAGTCTTTGCAAAATAAATAAAAATAAATGATTAAAAAACAGCCTCAAGGCTCTCTAGTTCTTTTTTAAAGTTCTACTGTGGCATTATTTATCAACTTTTTCCTTCATGTTGGCTCAAAATGTCCATGTATAGTCCATGCTAGTTATCTAATAAATTTTTAAATGAACACATTAATAAAGAAAAAGGCACCTACAAGATAGGTAACTGGATATGCCTTAAGCATAGCTATACTGTGAAGCTGTCTTTTAGTATTTTATTTAATGCTTTTACACATAATAAATATATGTTTGTAAGTTGGTTTCACTTTATTAGCATTCCTTAATTATGCGTATAAGAAAAAAATACAGATACGAACTTCAATAAAATGATTTATACATGAATTTCCAAATCATTAAAAACTCCATCATTAATACAAGTTTTTAATATAAAATCCATAGGAATAGATGATATGAAAACTGAATGTGGAACAGTACAGGAAAAGATGATATTTCAAATTATTATATGTAGATATACTTTCATCCTTATTACTAGCACTAAAAAAGTAACTGAGCTGATTAAATTTGAAAGCGTTTTTTTAAACAAAATTTTCTTTTATTAAAAAAATAGAATCTAAAGTCTTTTTATGTAGACAATTTGCAAATTAGTACTTTATACAGTTGTTACAATTGCAGCTGTTCTGCATATATGAGCGTGACACTCAAAGTACTGTGTAACAGAGAAAATCTATTTCATGCATATAGTTAATTTTTACTGTTTTGAAAAACATTCCAAAAGAATTTTTTGGACTTAAGGAACTCCTGTTTGTTTTTGTCTATGCGCCTTTCTCTTTTTTTGGCTAAGATATTGTATTGAATAAAACCTTAAAAGAGAACCATTTTCTTACATTGAAGGAACCTCAAAGTGAGTGGGATCTTGGTCTCTAATTACCAATCCATGTTAATTATCCTTGGGTCAGGTATTCATCATATTAATTGTGTAGCATAGACTGGACTGTAGCTGTTAGCAGGTAAGGACAAAGCAATGTAAGATTGGGGTGGGGATGGGATTGTTCAATGTGATGTAGCTCATTGTTTCTCTGAGGCTTGGCATGATATTTTCCTGGTATTATATATCTGCCAATACTAGGCATACATGAAAGATTGTTTTGCTTTTGTTTTTTTTTTTTTGAAAATGTTTATATGGTAAAATATGTGTTAAAAAATACGCCATTTTGACTGTTTCTAGGTGTACAATTCAGTGACATTAATTACATACACACTGTTGTGCAACCATCACCACAGTTTGTTTCCAACTCTTTTTCTATCAGCCCAAATACAATGTGCTTTAGTTTTGAATTTAATTTCTCCTTCACTTCAACAAATTTCAAGTGTTACAGTAGTATTTAATTATTGTCCAGGTGTGAAGCATTTGTTTCTGATGGTGGCTTTCCTTCCAACGGACAATGCCTCGTCCAGTGCCTTATGGTGGTGGGCATAGCAGTACAATATCAGATATTGCCTTTGGCTGATGTTGCCACAAAAATGACCTGGACAAGGATTCAGGACCATTGTTATCGCGAATTCTTTCTCCCTCCAATTAAGCTAGGAAAGATTAGAAATAACATTCATATCAACTAAGGAAATTTGGTTGATATGTACATCTTGGTTAAAAGTTGATTGGGAACAGTTGCTGTTCGATTTCACCGGAATTAAAAATTGGAGGATTTTACCTCGAGCTTTCTGAGAATATTAAAGGCACAGCAACTAGGTCTAGGATGCTTTGCAGTTGGCTCCTTGACATGGACAGTCTAAATACTTTGGTTCTGTTCAAGTGCAGTGACAGTCTGGAAATAAGTTGAACAGTTTTCAGCCCTTCAAAGAGAAGCCCACTCAAGGTTGAACAGTTGTCTGAGAGAAAAATCATGTTATATTGAAAAAAGAATTAGAGGAAACTTGGATGGTTCTGGCTCCAGTAAATAATAGACTGGTTTGAGAACTGTACTTCCATGTATAATTTTGTGGTTAGTCACTTAATGTCTATCATGATAAATAACATACCTGCACAGGATTTCTGGCACCCCAGTAAATCTCAAACAAGTGCCCAAATGCTAGTTTATTATGGTTCCTCAAATAGCATGTATTTATTTGCCAAATCAATGATCCAGTAGCTTCCTGCCCCCACTTTTATTGCCTTTTTAGAAATTTGAAACAAGTAGCTTGCCCACATATACATTTCTCAAATTTTGGTCTACTGCTGGTTCATACAACAGGTTAGCTTTTCCAAGTGACTCCAGGAGTGAGTTAAAAACCACCTCAGAGATGTCCTGAGTATTTGATTCTCTGTCTCTAAAACATCACCTAACCTGGTAGATGCCAAACCTGGCTGTATATGAGAATCACCTTGAGAGCTTTAAAAAACTGAATGTCTTCTCCTCATCCTCAGCCATTCTGATTTAATTGCAGTGGGGTTCAGCCTGGACATCTGGATTGTGATCTCAGTACCTGGTTTTACGTCCTAAGACTGTCAAAGGGAATGCAGAAATATATACATGAGTAAACCTTCAAGATGCTTAGAGTCTTGCAGTTTGGAGAGGCAGACATATAGATAGATATGAAATGTCACATTGCATTCAGGCAGTGTGATGGAGCATGGAGAAGGAAATAACTAACAACTGGAGAAGGCTTCGGACTGACAAGGGGAAATCAAGCTGCACGTTAAAGAAGATAGCAGAAAGGAGGTCCTCAAGTGAGAAGGGACATGAAGGGCACTCCACGAGCTACAGGAAAAAAATGAGGCATCTTTGTGGACTCTAGGGCAATTTCAAGAATCCTTCCTTCTTCTTACTCGATTTTGGATCTGGGTCCAGATAAAGGTACCAATTTTGGTGGAATTATTACCACCGTGCCCTGTCAAATAAGTGATCCATACTGACATCCATGGAAGGAAAGGTAGCTAAAAGATTTTTTTCCAATGAAGTTCCCAATGAAACAGTATTGTTTCTGAGTAAAAGGCCCAGATATCCTGTCGGTTTCCAGAAGCCAGCTGCAATGGCTGCTCGTTTTCCCTCTCCAGATCTCCCAAAACAAACATAAACATTGGGTTTTTTCCCCCTCAACTATAATGACCTTTGTCTATTAAAACTGTATCATGAATTACCACTCTGTATTTACATCTATGCCAAGTAATTAGGGAAATAACTTTTGATCGCTATCATTCTAGCTAAAACTGAAACTCAACTTCTTAGGGGAAGAAAACAAAACCAAAAAATCCTTAAACCCTATATTTAGAGTTCATTATCATCACTCCTTTAACTCGCCTGCAACATTTTGAAGCTTTTTGCCATTATTCTCTGCAGTGCATCATTATTTGTTATCTGGATGCCCTCCCAGTTCGAGTAGGTATCTACATTAATGCTTCCAGAGAGGCATTTCTAAGGGTAGCTATGCTTATATAATATAGGTACAGGGGTAAGGGTGGGAATGACTGTGATTTTTAACTTCACCTATGAGATACTTAAATGTTCACGGAAAGCAGCTTTTGGAGTAAACACATTACTTAAAATGTATTACAGAACCCTTTCAAGTACAGACATGTCTAGAAAGTTCTTAAATTTGTATTTAGCAGTATACAGGTATCATTTCCTGCAACTTTACAGATCTACAGGCTAATTCTAAAATGGAAAATTATCTTGACTCAGATGTCATTGGAATGTCTGAAAGCCATTTAGCACCTCTAAGACTCCTCCTGGCCAGGTCTTGGATTCCCTTAGTTGTCTTTTAAAGGAGTTCTCTAGGGTAAGCACTGTCCAATGGAACTTTCTGCAGTGAGGAAGTGTTCTGTAATCTACACTGTCCGCTATTAGAGTATTAGTCACATGGGGCTATTGAGCACCTGAAATGTGAATGAGGAATTAAATCATAAATTTCATTTAAATTAATTCAAATTTAAATGATATAGCCACCTTCTTCAATGTTCCCTCTTCCTACAATCACTTTAAAAAACTGTCAATGCAATTTGTAGTGGAAATTGGTTGCAAGTGACACTGTGAGCTTTTGTTCCCATTTATTCATTTATAATATAAATATTACAAGGACACTGTATAAATTCCTAGTAATATGGCAGTGAGCAAGACACCCAGTCTCTGCTCTCATAGGGCTTACAGTCTAGTAAGGGAGACATGTATTAAGCCAGTAATTACCCAAATTGTTAATTAATTAAGACTGTGATGACTGTTTCAAAGGAGAAATACAAGATTCTGTGAGGGTATATAATGGGGGCCAGAACTTCTTGCATAATTAGTCAGAGAGTTTAATCAGAGTTCTAATTATTAACTAGACAAGAAAAGCATGAGGCAGCTTCCTTTCCCCAAGTTCAAGGCTGGGTCAGGTTGGCTGCAGGAGGCACAGCTCTCAGAGTAGGGCAGCTAGCATGTGCCATGCCATGACCTCCAAAGAAGTGGGATCTGTTTAAGACGTAGGATCTTAATCTGATTAAGCTCTGTGCATACAAATACTGCAAACTTCTGAACTTGAACAAGTAGATTGTTTCCCAAACTGTATGCAGTTGTAATGATGTCGGTCACAGATAATATGTGAGAAGAAGCGTGCAATGTTTACAGGATATTGCATTTCTTCTCCAATATATATTTTGACAAAGTTGTTTGGGCTGCAGCCCCAGCTTCTTCCTCCCTGCTCTTTCAAATTGGTATTTGGTCCATTCAGGAAACGATGCAGAAATCGGTCCTGACATCCCAGACAGACAAAATGAGACACATGACAGCAAAACATATGGCTCAGACACACATCCTTATATGGCCAACAGAGAACCATATTCCCAGAAATTCATATATGGAAAACACCACCTGCAGCTAAAGCCAAAAAACAAAGAGTTGACACGACAAAAAGAGCAATATGCTACATAAATTGTGCTGCTTTAAGAGTGTAGAGATAGCCAACTGTATTTGAATTTAAAAAGATGAAAAAAGAAAAAAAAACATGTCCTTAGAAAGTGTTATGGTGGTAAGCATTGCTTTGCTAACACAGTCACTGGCGGAGTTGCTATATCTTAAAAGCACTCGAATTCTAAATGCTTTCTCTGTTTATTACAAATGTATGTGCTATTCAGAACTCTGAATGTGTTTTAATGCGTTCGGATATCTGCCTGCATATTTATCTTAATACATTGCCATCTGAAACATGCAGTAGTCCTTTCATTAAGTTTTTAAAAATTTTGTGTGTAGCCAGGATAATGCCTTCTCATGTGATAGAAAATTGATGCACTCTGTTTTAAATGTGCATCCACATGTTAAATAGTTCATGTATTTGAATTGCAATATTTTATGTTCCTGAGGTTTTCTATTTTGATGGCCAGACTTATAAAGTTTAACTTTCTTCAATACTTGCATGCATCATTATTGCTTAATATAAGATCCCTGTATTGAAGTTTTTTCCTCCTGCCGTGATAGTTTATGTTCACATATGCCTAGGAAGGTGGTATTTTCTTAATTATTGCTATTATTTGAATACTTGTCCTCTCCAAAACTCATGTTGAAATTTAATCCCCAATGTGGCAATACTGAGAGGTGGGGCCTTTAAGAGGTGTTTGGATCATGTGGGCTTTGCTCTTGTGAATGGATTAATCCATTCGTGGATTAATGGGTTAATGGATTAATGGGTTATCATGGGAGTGGGACTGTTGGCTTTGTAAGAAAAGGAAGAGAGCCCTGAGCTAGCATACTCAAGCCCCTTGCCATGTAATATCCAGTGCCACCACAGGACTCTGCAGAGAACTCCCACTAGGAAGAAGGCCCTCACCAGATGAGGCCCCTCCACCTGGAATTTCTCAGCCTCCACAGTGTAAGAAATAAATTCCTTTTCTTTATAAATTACCCAATTTCAGGTATTCTGTTATAAGGAACAGAAAACAGACTAAGACAAATTTCTTTCTTTTTTTGTTATTTATTTTTATCTGGCTTTACACTGGCCAATACTCAGTGGCTTATAATGAAATATTCTAAAGGGTAGTTAATATATAGTAATTAATTTCATCAGTGATGTATACCACTAGTACATTAACCTCTATGTGCCATTTTACTTATGTCATTTCTTATAGTTCTGGAATAAAAAATGTGCTTGAGGGAAAGTTTATTGTGCTATATTGTTATTCATTATAATATAGTCATTCTTAGATGCCTTTATGCTCATTTATTCTGTTTATCATTTTCCAAGGCCATGTCAGTCCTTATTACATACTTTCATGTTTTGTGTTTTTGAATAGATTTGTGACTCAGATAAAAGGTGCTATTCAAATTTAAGGATTGCTGTATTAATTCCCATATTATATTAGCATTCACCAGGTCATTAGGAGGGTAAAACATTCAGATGGCATTTTGTCTTATTTATTTCTGTAAAATGATGTAATAAGCATGTTTACAATATTTTATTTCAGTCTATCTTAATATTGATATTTCCCGTGATCTTTGTTTAGTGGTGTTTTCTCTTAGTTTAAATTTTATTTTGCCCAACAGCTTTCTTTTCTTTTATAAAAAACATTCAGCTTGAGGTGACATTGCCTGGCTAAATTACATTTGTGTGTGTGTGGACCACTATAATTTTTCTTTATTTTTAAATGTTGCTATTGTTTGTAAATTTGTACAACAAGGCACTAGAGTGCACAGTCCCTACTGAAAACAAGGCAGGTTTCAGGGAAACATGTCAGGCATTACTAGTTTGAAGCAACTATTAAAGTATCCATATTGGAAATTTCAAATTTAACCTACCATATTTCTATTTCTTATACTTTAGCTAACATATCTTCCTTCAGATTTCCCCACATTTTAACTTTTAAAAATTTACTATCATTTGGGCTTTTTACTAAAAATTTGCCTTAAATTTCTTTTCCTATTTTTGATGCTGTGTTTTCTGTTTATCACATGTTCATTCTTTTGCTCAAGGCTTGGGTTTGTGTGCCAAGATTCACGGTTGCCTTCCCAGATTTGGCTAACCTTTCTGGTTTGTGGGTGAAACGTGGGTGCTATTAGAGTGATATATTTTCATTTTGTTTCTCCTAAACTTACTCTCCCCTAGGAGGCCATCATTTCCTACACTTTTCTGCTTTACCTTTTGGCTTTTCTTTAGATTTGTAATGTAAACAGTGTGCCTAAGAGTGTATTGGTGGCTTTACAGAGCTTAATTTGCAAATTTCCCTTTTATCTCAGTACTTGTGCTAACTTGTTGCTTTTTTATGTGTAACAAAATGTTTATCTGACTGATTTTTCTCTTTTCCCTACCAGCAAATTCTGAAAAATAATTCTTGTTTTTTGTTAATGATTAACTGCCTTCAGGGTGCTAAAATGGTAGAACTAAAACCTAAGCGATAAATGAGGCATTTCTATTTTGGGTTACATTGTAATATTCTTTATTTTTACATGAACTATATTTAATAGATTGTCTAAATAATAGGATCATACTTATGTGGTAATGACCATTTATCTAACTGGGTAACCTACCCTAGATTACAGCAGAAGTGTTTATTGCTACAACAGATGTATTTACCAACCCAAACTTTCCTCTTTTGCCTAGCGTAAATTATTTGAAGAATGATGGCATCTTTTCCTTTATAATAACAAGTCAGGTCTCTTTCAAGTGACCCAAATTTTGTTTAACTCGGCCACGTATTTCTTCTTCCAAAGTATTCTATGGCTCAGAAGTGAGGGCGATTTGAACCAACGTCTGACTAGTACAGAACGCTCTTACTCAGTTCTTTCTAATGTTGGCTCCTCATAGTTTAAGGACCACCCTCCTTAGAGGATAAACATTCCGAGCGTTTCGAGGCTCCTGGCCTTTATTGCTGTACACGTTTCTGCACCCTCCGCGCTTCCCCGGAGAGAACTGCCTTCCGTCTGTACCCCTCCAGCCACTTCCTGATGGCTCCCTACCTCATTCCTCAGCGCCTGTCACCTGCGTACCCGCGCCCTTCTCCCACGGGGCCGGTGCGTCTCCCTGTCCCCCCACCTCGCCTGTCCCTCTGCGACGCTCCAGGCGTACTCCTTTTTGTGGCTTTTGTGGCGTGTGGGTGGTTGGTTAGTTTTCTCCCCTGGCCCTCGCCCCCTCCTCCCCGTCATTTTCCTTCCCCCCGCCCCCCGTGCCCGTCCTGCCCGTCCTGCCCCTCCTCCCTCCCACTCACACACCTGCCCCTGCCGCCCGCGCGCCGCGCGCTCCCCTCCCCGCTCCGGCGGACGCTGCCAGGGAAGCCCCCTCTCCTCCTCCCCTCTGCGCCCTCCCTGGCGCGTCTGGCGGCGGCCGGCGCTAGCCCTCGCACAGCGCCCTGTTATTCTGGGTATTGTGTGTAATAAATGTCGGGCCGCCTCACTCTAATCAAGCTCATTACAAATTCTTGCGCGCCCGGGGCCGGAAATCGTGCGCTCCCCCCATTCCCTCACTCATTCACTAGTTACTTGTCTTTCGGCTTTTTAACTCGCCGCCCCCGCCCCCTCCCCCAATCCCGGCCCTCCAGCCCGGGTTTTAATCCCCATCCCTTTTCCGCCCGCTCCGTGCACCCTGCCCCCCCACGCCGCCTTCCTCCTCGGCTCCGCACCCCCTTCCTCCTCTCCTCCCCCCTCCTCCTCCTCCGCCGCCGCCGCCGCCGCCGCCACTTTCTCGCTCGCTCCCGTTCCCCGGACGCGGCGGATGAGCCGGCCCCGCTGGGGAAGGCTCCGGGCGGCGGCGGGCGGCCGGGAGGAGGCTGCGTGCTCGGGGCTGGGGCTGCGAGCGGGGTGATTTTGTATTAAAATGAGGAGGAGGAAGAAGAGGCACCCACAGCGGCAGCGGCGGCGGCGGCGGCAGCAGCAGCAGGAGCAGCGGCGGAGAGGGCTGCAGCCCGGGCGGACGCGCGGAGCCGAGCGGGGCACGGCGGCGGCAGCGACAGCGGCCGGGATGAGTCAACTAATAATTTAATGGGGGCAGAGACGGCAGCGAGGGGTAGAGCTAGCGAGGGAGAGAGCGAGAGAAGCAGCCCCGTCCGGGGACTCGCGCTCACACTCACGCACACACACAAACACACACACACCTCTCCCTGTGCCACCCAGCAACACCCGGCCTCGTCACAACAACAACAGCCGCGGCCGCCCTCTATCCTGCCCGGGGGCCCAGCCGAAAGCCAGGGCGACTCTAGAGGACGCTGCCCGCCCCCCTCTTTCATTTCGGGAAACTCCTGATCAGTTTTGTCGGGGTTTCTGGGTTTCTTTTCCCCCAAAGTCCTAGTGCCATTGTGGTGCTCGTTGTTTACCTCGGACTCTGGACGAGTGAGAGCTTGGCGACTTTTTGGGGGGAGGGGGCGGGGAGTTTGTCGCTGCCTAGGCGGTGGAGGTGGCTGGGGGTGCCTTCTGATCTTCCTCCTCCTCCCCCTCCCCCCGAACCTCTTCTCTCCTCACTTGCTGGGACCCCAGACGCTCACAGCCCCGCGTCAATGGGCAGGGAGAGGGTCCTTGCGGCTGTTGTCAGCGAGGGCAGAATCAAAAGTGGCATTTTAGTGCCTTTCCGGGGCTTTTCTCGCGACCCCCTGCCCCCCACCCTCGCTGTCCCCCGCTAGATGCCCTCGTTGGGGGTGCGAGGCTGTGGGGAAAAGTTTAAGGTTTGTTAATATTAGTCGCGATTGTTGGCGAGGGGGGTGGGGGTGATTGGAAGGGAGGCGAGGTGGCCTTCCCAATGCGCGTTATTCGGGGTTATTGAAGAATAATATTGCAAGTGACAGCCAGAAGTAGACTTTCTGTCCTCACACCGAAGAACCCGAGTGAGCAGGAGGGAGGGAGAGACGCGAAGAGACCTTTTTTCCTTTTTGGAGACCTTGTCCGCAGTGATTTTTTTTTTTTTAAGAGAATCCTCAGTCACCACGTCGTTTCCCCAGCACCATCACAGTGTACAGCTCATAACGGGTTTTGCTTTGTTTTTACGATTTCCCCCCAACGAATCACTTGTCAGATCAATTTTATCTTCTTCCTCCTCCCTGCTTCCCACTCTCCCCTCCTCCCCATCGCAAACCCTGTTCTCTGAGGTTAGACATTTTACAAACCCCTATATGTTGGTTTTCGAATTGTGATTTTTTTTTTAAACCCCTTTCTCATGGCTACTCTTCTAGACGTTTATTTCTGCCCTTCCCCCGCTTAGGGGGGCGGGGGTAGGGGAAAGGAAAATAATACAATTTCAGGGGAAGTCGCCTTCAGGTCTGCTGCTTTTTTATTTTTTTTTTTTTAATTAAAAAAAAAAAGGACATAGAAAACATCAGTCTTGAACTTCTCTTCAAGAACCCGGGCTGCAAAGGAAATCTCCTTTGTTTTTGTTATTTATGTGCTGTCAAGTTTTGAAGTGGTGAGTTTCAGGTCGGTTTTGCTAATTTCACTCAGTAAAACTGCAGTGTTTCTGTTTCTAGATAGTACTTTGCTTCTTTGTCTCTTTAAAAGGTCACAGTGAAAGCTTGGCCTGGATCGTGCCGGCCATATGGAATGGATAAGGGCACAATCTTAAAATGTGATTATGGGGTTGTGTGGGGGCGAAGGAGGCGATCCAGCTAGAAACTCATTGAAAAGGATCTCGCTTTGCAAAAAATCGGTTCCTAAAAAACTAGAATTTCGAGATTTTCTTTCCTTTTAAAGGAAATAATTGTTGTTACTGAGTTCACTGTTTTATTCAGTAATTATCATATATGGTCTTAGTTTATGGGCAGATAAATGGGATTTTCAGAAAGTAGCTTGCTTTCTGTGTGGCAACCAGACATTGCACTAAAATGGGTTGTAACGTGTAACTCAAAAGAAACTCTTCAGCCTGGCATCTGTTGAGACCATAGTTAGTTCCTGCTGCTGTCATCCAAGCAGGCCTGTTGGAGGTTGCTCTTTTCAATCCCAAACTGAGGTTTGGTGAACTTTAGCCCGGGCATAGAGTTAAAATGAGTAAATTGGGTGTTTTATGCGCATTTAATTTTGGTTTGTAATGTAAAGCTTTTTACACCACGACTTAGTGTTTAATAGATGCTTATAGGTGGGTATTCAAAGGACAGTTTTTCATGACCTATATGATACTTTAGATTGTCAATACATTAAATTATAATGTATCACTTTCATTTGCTGTACAGTTTCTAGTGTTGTTAAGCCTCATGATTACTTAATATGTTTTATAGCATTAACTTTGATGCTGTTGTCTACACCCCCTCCCTTTTTTTCCTCTTAAATTGCCCCAAGGGCTAAAGATTTTTCTTTTCAAATCATATGTTTTAAAATTCATCTTCTGCTCTAGGATGAGGCAACCAATTTCAGAAAAAGCTCTGTGTTATCCACATGAAACGTTATAAAGAGTGTTTTGAATAAGTTAATAATCATCTCTTTCTAATTTTGGCTTTAGACTGCAGTTTAATATAATGGAAAAGAGTAATCTTGCTAAAAAGTGGTTTAAAAAGGCACATTTATTGTTAATGAACCTCATAACCAAAAACAGATGGGACCTCTATCAACGGTAAACCTTTAGTTCTCAGTGTGCCACTCTGGAGTACAAAGATAAATAGCCATTAATTTTTCTCAAACTTTATAGTTCTTCAATTGGCATTCTTAAGGTTGCTTTTAAACTTCCAGATTAACATTGCTGCCCCCCTTTTCTTGATTATATGGTAAGAAGTAGGCTATGGTTAAACAGAAGAAAAAATATTTACAGAAAAGCCATGCTAATACAAACTGGCTTTCAACAAATCCAGATTTAAATAGCTCCAGTGTAAGAATTTACAACAAAAACAAGCTATATCAAATTACTAGACAGCTAGGAAAAATGGTAATTATTCTCTCTGGTTTTCCTAAATATGATCCCCTTAGTTTCATAAGCTCAATACTTCAAATACCATCAAAGTTCATAAAATAATTCTACTTACCTGTTCTTATCAATTCTAATTAAAACTATACTTTAAAAATGACTTTGATATTGTCTAATCACTTTACTATAAATGATGGGAAAATTGATGTCTAATATATAACTGAAAATAATTATCTGTTAATTTTTTTGAAGTTAATTACAATGTTAATGCCATTGCATGCTGAGGTTATTTCTGAATACTGGATATTTTGTTTTACCAGTATCATCAAGGTTTTTTGTTTGTGTTTTTTTTTTTTTTAATTGAGCTTGGCACTTCAACCTAATGTGCATATCACGAAGTGTATTCAATTTTTTAAAAATATTTATTGTTAACAGCCCTCTATTACTAATGGACACCTAAATACTGACTCTAAAACACATGAGTTTTAATGCATCAGTACGTTGGATATTTGAAAACCCTTCACTTCTTCCTGTTTCTTTAGGGGTAAACTGATCCAATCACATCTTTGGCCCAAAACTTGACTAGGTCTGTCACATAACTCTTGGAACTTTGATAGTAGAAAACTTTTTCTATGCATTAATTTACAAAAGCCAATGGGGAGTTTAAAAAGCAGTTAGATGTTTGTTACCTTCTTTTGAGATGGTTTATGTTTTTTTCATAAGAATTAATATACATACACATATAAAATGTATACATATAAAACATATACATTAGATTTCTAATATTTTGAACTATGATCATCTTTCCATCCTTTATTAAAGTGTTTCTGCTGTATTTTGTAATGTGTTTCTAATTGTTAAAAATTGGGACTACGTAAATGCAATTTGCTGTTTTCTTTTTAGCTATACTTGTAATAATTCTTGTTCTAAAAGTAAGCCCATTTTTCCCCACTTAGTTTTTTTATAGGCCAGTTATCTTTTTATTCATGTGTATTGGTACAGTTTCCACAGATCATTTTGTTAATTTGAATAAGAATGTAATGCTATCATCTAGAAATATAGTAACATCTGTATCATATCTAGATAGGCCATTTTACAAATACATTATATTTGTGGAGAGATATCTAGAGCTAAAACATTTACATAGGACACATATATACACGTAGGTCCCCGCCCAACTATAACGTGTCTTCTTTTTAAATTCTGGCAGGTGATCTTTAGACAGTGACTGAGTATGGATCATTTGAACGAGGCAACTCAGGGGAAAGAACATTCAGAAATGTCTAACAATGTGAGTGATCCGAAGGGTCCACCAGCCAAGATTGCCCGCCTGGAGCAGAACGGGAGCCCGCTAGGAAGAGGAAGGCTTGGGAGTACAGGTGCAAAAATGCAGGGAGTGCCTTTAAAACACTCGGGCCATCTGATGAAAACCAACCTTAGGAAAGGTAAATACCTTCAAGCCAAATCTTGAAAAGCTGAAAGCCCTGTTGTCTACACAAGGCCACACTGTGTGGGGGTGGAGTGGCAGAACATGTTTTGTATACTCTGCCTTTATTCTCCTTATGATCGTACATTAGTTACATTCTGGGTCCTTAGTATCAATCACGTTGGAAAGTATAGCCTCCATGCTTGGGTGGAGCGTTCTACTGTAGACTGGAATCATGGAACATTTTGGGTAATAAGGACTGAATTAAATATAATGGTTTTAGTTTTGGCAGGGTCCATTCAAAAGGTGTTGTAGTCGAGGATTGTAGGCAGCTGTTTCTTCAAACTAACCTGATTAAGAATAAAACACTTAGGTGATTTGAGAGTTACCCTAGCTTCTTCCTAAGATTCTTAGTTGTAGGGCAGTTTCAGAGATCTTGGACATCTTATGTAGAAGTTTGGTAATGTTATTTTTTGTGGCTTATTTTCTTAAGAGCAAATTCATTAGCAGTAAAAAATCTGATGATTCTAGTTTTTTATTTTTGTTTTAATTGGGTATTTTTGATGAAGAAAGAACAGATTTAGGCAAGTTTATAAGGGGAAGATGTGTAACTGTGTGACTTTTTTCTACCAATATTAAATTGATGCAGTTTAACAACTTGGACTGTGTTTAACAGTGTTGTTCCTGTAAAGCAGTGCCTACCCTGGGTGTAATGCATGTGCCTCATAAGGAGCTTCATTTTGTGTCTGAATAACATGTATAGGAATCAGATTTTCCTTACATTTGCTAAGCAATGGATAAAAATGCTATATTTTAGCAACCAAGAATATTAAGTAGATAAAGTTAGAAGGCAGAGGAATTTCATTGTGTTTGATGCGTAACATTTATCATACAATCATTTATTTTTTCCTTGGTTTGGCGAAAACAAAGAATATATTGATCCTGAAATGAACAGACACAGCAGTCCGTATTGTTAGATCTTTATCTATTAAAAATGGGAAAACAGCACTTCAGCAAATTCTTTGGCCTCTACTCATGATTACCCTATTTATTGATTGTTTGCCAAGAATGTATGCATCTTAAGAAAGCCAGGGTAAGAGCATTAAAAATATAATTTATTACGGCTTTTCAAACAGAGTGCATTAATATTGTACTGTGAAGCACTGGGGCTGTATAAAAAAGACTTTCTGACGCCTGCAAACATGTAAGTTCCATAAATTCCTAAATAGGAGATTTCAGCTGTCTCTGGTATTATGTGATATTTGCACAGCAAACTTTAATGCCAGGACAGTTTTAGACAAGGATTCTACAGACTTCACTGCTCCTTATGGCAGACGTGCTGTTTACACAGGCTCATAAACCTTCAGCAAAAGCTTCTAAGACTGCCTTCAGGTTTAAATCATGTGGTATTTTTAGCATTCAGCAGTGACCAGTGCTCTCCCCTTTAAATGCTGGAAGGTTATGAAGTTGCTGTAGTTGGAACTCTCGCCAAACACTAGCACGAATAATCATACAGTTCAGAAAAGGCTTGTGTTCAGCATTACTCCCAGAAACGGGAGGGTAACCGCAACAGTTTGCTAGAAGGTCTGTAATTAGATAGTACTATTGTCACTTTATAGCCGTCTTTATTATTTTAGGGTACCTCTAAACATGATCAATAAAATCCACAATAAATCCAATATATTTCAATAGTTTGAAAACCCTGCAGTTATTTCATAGATCTAAGGAAAAGCATATTGTAGAATACATCTGATTCATCCTACAAAAGGAAAAATGAATGTGTACATTTTTGTTGTACTTACCCAACTCTTTGAAGATATCAGGACAGGAGGAGGAAAACTAAAAGTACAGTAAATTCACTTCCTGCTCAAATGCTTTTTGGTTTTGTTTTGTTTTGTTTTGGATGTATTCTAAAAATGCAGTTTAATTGTAGGAGGGTCTCAGATACTCCAAATAACAAAATTACTAAAGTCTTTTTGTGGGTTTTTATTAACATTTTCATCTTATTTTTCATGTGCATGGTTTCTGTCTGATAGGTGCTAAATGAAAATTATGGCTGAGATGAGAAAACACTACTAAGAAAAAGGGATTGAATGGTTTTATTTGTTTAGGCGATTTTGCCAGAATACCTTCAAGCCAAGGAAGGAATCGCCAGTTTGCATATTGCTATTTTTGCTGTGGTCTCCCCAAGTTGTCTTCTGATCCCCGACGGGTTCTTTCTCTGGTATAAAACAGCTGAATGAATGACAAAAATATTGGCAAGCTCTGCGGCTTGTTTTTCATGCCTAGCCTATTGGTACCTCCGAATGAGTTTGTGAGTTTTTCTAAGTAAACCTAAAGGGTTTTGTCAGACCTAGAATCTCTTGTGAACAGTTCACTAAAGCTTTGGTGAAGACTCACATGTAGAAAGATGTAGCTGTTTTATTGCCGGCTTTTGTTCAGCAGAAACAAGCAAATAGAGAATCTTTGAAGGGCCTCTCTGGTGTCAGTAGGAAATCCTGATTTTTAGCTACGGTTGGTGTGCACTAAGTCATCTTCAGAAGTTGGTAGGATTCTGTGAGTCCAGAGGACAGAGCTTATAGAGGCATTAGTATTGTAGGACTAATTGTGGATCCTGGGTGCCCTGTTAAAGTAACCCTTGTCATCATTTATGCTAAAGATGATACCCTTCTGGCAGTTTGCCACAGTACAATTCAGATGCATCTGCTTTTAACCCTTTTCCGTTATCATTGGAAGTCTGACAGTGCGCTGCATAAACACCTTGAGTACCACAGCATTCCGTAATATCAATTTCTAGAAGAAGCCTCTTTCTAATAGTAGTGTGGCCGGTGCTTATTAATCATCTAGCTACTGAGTTACTGTATTGGATTAAAATATATAAAGAGAGAGCACACCAAATCTATGCAGATTCCTTTATCCTAGTATGTCAGTTTCCTTTTCTATCTCTCATTTTTACCTTATTTACTGTAACAAAGATTGTTGATTTTAAAGACTTATGGGTACCGTGCTCTCTTTTTAGTTAGGTAGGTTAAATGAGTATTCATAAAAGCAAATGTTATTTTTCTACATTATGCAGATATTGAAATTGTGTATTATGAGCACCAGTTTGGTTAAGTACTTTTTGTGGAACCAGTTAGAGCTAATATCTAAAAAAGGAAGAAAATGATTTGTGGAACCAGTTAGAGTTAATATCTAAAAAAGGAAGAAAATGAAAATTTCGTGGTCGAAGATAATTTGTTTGGACACAAACCCAGGAAAAGTTTATTATTAACAAAATCATGTAAGCAGTAGAAAGGTGGGTTCTTCTGAAGATAAATGGTGAGTTATGTTTGCATACTGTATACTACTCATAGCAAATTAGAGAAGATACATTTATTTCTCTTTCGTCACCATTATTATTTGATCAGAAAGGTAATTCTGCATTCATTGCTTTTGGAAAATGCACTGTTAATTTAGAGCACAGCTTACCTTAGGACCAAGTTCATATTCTACTTAAATATTTCTGTTACGACTTTAAATAATATGAGAATGTATATATTTGTGTGCATTTGCCTGTACTGTACCCAGTCTGCCTTGGAAGCACAGTGAATCTCTTGTGATTATTTATTTTCATGGCTAATATTTCCTCCCGCCACCCCCAAGCTGTATTTCTGAAGATTGTTGGTTTTCCATCTCTTCTTCTTCATCTTTTTGATAGGAACCATGCTGCCAGTTTTCTGTGTGGTGGAACATTATGAAAACGCCATTGAATATGATTGCAAGGAGGAGCATGCAGAATTTGTGCTGGTGAGAAAGGATATGCTTTTCAACCAGCTGATCGAAATGGCATTGCTGTCTCTAGGTTATTCACATAGCTCTGCTGCCCAGGCCAAAGGTAAATAATGTGTACGTGGGGTTGGAAAAATTGCTTAGCATTCTTTGTTTACCTTGCAGAGAAAGCACTGAATATTTTTATTCAAAGAACTGTAGCCTGTGTATTACATTGGTTCCTTATAGGCTGTGGCTTTAAAAAATTGGCTTAATTCAGTTTGGTTTAGTTAACACACATTTTGCTCATGTGGAATGTCGAGGTAGATTTTTTTTTTAAATTACTTCAGCTGAATCATTAGTATGCTTATTGACCTTAATAATCTGCTCCACTGAGGACCCACAAGGAAGTGAGGAGCGTATTTGAGCAGATGGACTGTTGAGAGTCAATTTGCATTTATGACTGAATATCTAGTTCTGTTTCTTTTATTCTGTTTCTGATGGTTTTATGGGCTGCAAAGTATTTTTCAATGCTGATTCCCACTGCAATAGAGAATCTTATCTAAATCATAAAGCCATTTAGAACTGGTTCGGCTATGTCTTATTAGAACTTCCTGTAAGTTAGGAAAATGTGGCCTTATGCATAGGTTTTATTGATGGGGTTTTATTTCCAAAATAATAAACAACCCTACAGTCATTTACATAATTTTACAATTTGGAAAGCTAAGCTGTGAATATTTTCATTGACCTGCCTTTTAGAGGGAAGGGAATCATTCAAACAGAAATAACGGTACTGCTTGTGGTAGGGGTAGTAGAAAAGAAAAGAACACCCTTCTAGTAGATATATTATCTGAGGGTAAAATATTTAGTGACATATTCTCTTTATCTGAAATAGGGCTAATCCAGGTTGGAAAGTGGAATCCAGTTCCACTGTCTTACGTGACAGATGCCCCTGATGCTACAGTAGCAGATATGCTTCAAGATGTGTATCATGTGGTCACATTGAAAATTCAGTTACACAGGTGAGTCAAGACAGCAAATCTAGGGTGAAACATTCTTCTTACCTGGTCTTTTGAAATGAAGCATTTCTCTCTGGTCGACCTTCAATTTTTTTTTAGTCTGTGTTTCAGAAAGGTTAATACAGATCGATTTTGTTACCCTATCCTTCTGCCTTTTTTCCTAACTTCAATGTATAATTTAAAAGCAATCCCCCCCCCCACACACACAAAAAATGTGTAGGTTTGTGCAGGTTATCAAAAGACAAGACTTTTTACGTTTAGTCAATTAAATAATGCATCACAAGAAGGCATTTTACATAAAGTTTACTTAAGAAAAAAATATTTTTGCATATCATGAACAGTGCCATCTGTGTACATTTTGTGAAAGACTGTCTTATTCACTATTACCACAGTCTTATTTATTTATTTATTTTTTTATGATTTTTAATTCATATGAACAGAGTAATGAAAGGAAATCGGTTAATACATTAAAGCTTTTCATGATGGCTCAGGAGAAAGCAGTACACCTTAAATTGTCTTCCCAAGCGCATCAGAGCAGGAAGGTAGAAGTAACATGAAAAAATAGCCACCACAGGCAGCTGATGTATAATTCATGCATCGATACAGCAGATGTGTTGTATAAAGTAATTAACTAATCGGAACAATCAGGAGACCGAGAGCAATCTCCAGATGCATCTGTTTGATGCGCAAAATGAAATCTGTCTGTCTTAAAGGAATGTTCTGCAGCGGGATGCAATCTTGTAATAATCCCCTTTCTAATCTATGTCTCAAATAGTTGCCCCAAACTAGAAGACTTGCCTCCCGAACAATGGTCGCACACCACAGTGAGGAATGCTCTGAAGGACTTACTGAAAGATATGAATCAGAGTTCATTGGCCAAGGAGTGCCCCCTTTCACAGGTACTTAGCATAGAATGTAATAAATAATAAGACATCATGGGCAACCCTGATTTGAGGTTTGATGGAGCTCCCTGGTTTAAAGCAACTGGTATCTGAAGCAAGAATCTGCCAAAAATGCAAAGTGACTTGACCACTGGTGACCTTTTAAAATATGCCTGATTCCTTGTGAACAGAGCCTATAGGCTTTTTCTCCCTTGGGGAAAAGAGGCAAAGGACTGTTTACAGGAAAAACAGTTCAGTGGAAGACTCCGCTGGCTAATTTTTAGATTTGTCTTCTGAGTGCTATTAGCATGATGGCTAAATTCTCCTGAATGCCCTTATTTAAGAAAGAGTCGAGGTGGTACTACTCCCACGAAGCTTCGGTGAGAGGGAATGGCAGTGTCAGTGTTAATGTGTAAAACTTCACCGTGCTATCTGAGTAAAATAACAGTACAATTCTTGGATACTTTACTCATTACCAAAAAATTAAAAGTATTTTAGTACAAATAATTATGAAAATAATTACTCTTAACTAAAGGTTGAATAGTTAATTCATTAGGATTTTGTGACCAGTTTTGTGGCTTTGGTTTACTTCTTTTCTGTTTTTTTAAGTGGAATTTTCTTTTTTCCCTCTGAGATGCCTGTTATACCATCAGGGATTTTTAAAATAAAGATTTTTTTAATGATTTTCCTTGATTTCTTTTTTTAGAATAAATTTGGTGGAGGGCAGCTAAAACTCTAGATAGAGACTGCCTACCTGCTTATAGACAGAAAATCAAACATCATTTTTGATGAAACTCAGCTGATTTCAAATAAAAAATAAAAAGGATGCTGTGAATCTACTCTTAAAGGGCTGCTTTTGTGGTCACCATGTAAATGTGTTATAGTCATCCCCTCAGTACCCAAACCCGTTTTAAGGCCATTCCATGATACAGTATAATTAAAATGTTGGTCCAACTAGATTTTTACCAGATTTTTAATGTTTTCTTTTAATTTGAGTTTTAATTCTGAATATTAGTCTTAGCCATTTGAACTTGAACTGTAGGATGCTGCTGTAAACATTTCTGCAGTGGAGAGATCTCAAAGTGTATTTCTGCTATATTCTGAGTAGCAGATATTCTCAAAATGTGTTTCTAATGTGAGGCTTATGAAGATTATTGGGTACCTTTGAAGGGAATCTTGTCAGCTTTGTGCTTCTGTTTCATAGAAACTCCATGCATTTCAGATTTGCTAAGTTACGTTCCAACACTTTTACTTTGATATTTGCTAGAAATTTTAGGAATGAAGCAAATGAATTGTTTATAATTAATAGCTTTCTATATATTCTAAAATAAGCTATAGCCACAGGTTACATATTCTCTGTATTGTTAAGTGTCCATTTCTTGCAATTCAGAGAAAACTCTTATTTGTCATTTCAGTTATACCTACAGCTAATCTCCTGTCTTCCCTCTCTCACCCTTGGAATAGAGAGGATATGAATTTATAACCATCAAATAAAAATAATTTAAATTAATCACAAATGAATAGGATGATAGAATAAAAGGGTGACTCTTACTTCAGGGACTTTGTTTCGCAGACAACTCCAGATAACATGTTACATGGTTGCTAACATATGAAAATTTGAAATGATCTAGAAATAAACTTTTTAAAAACTCAGTTAAAATATGATGTAAACACCCAGTACTGGAATCGCATGTGTCTTTATGTTACTAAATGTCCCATTGATCTTGGAAGTATATTCAGACAAATACTTAAGGCATTTACTATGAGCTGAAGAAGAGGCTGTCGTTACAAATATTTATTGATACAGTCAGTGAGAACTAATTGTTAAATGACATCAACATTCAGCCAATAAACTCTACCTCACTATAACTTATAAATAGAATTGTGAATTTACTTAATGTTATCATGGAAAATGAATTGCATACAATTATAACATTAAGTAGAATGACAAAATGTAATTCAGGACTTGGTTTTGGAGTCATACATTGGTGAATTTCTATAGAGAGAGGTTTTCAGATATATGGCTTCCTGTGGCTGGATACCTCACTGTAATCATTAAGTGATGGAACTAGGCTACAATATCAACATCAGTTATAATTGCAGTATTCTTTTCCATAAAAAAACTTCTAAAAATTATGCATAGTTTAGGAGTGAAAGCAAATATTTGAAATTAATATTTAATAATATGAAAACATGTAAATTGTTCTCTAAATGAGGTACTTATTTTATATTTTGCTGAATCATCTTCTCTTTTTCTATGAATCTGATACTCCAGTCAGAATTTTTTCAACATAAACTGTTTTCTGTTTGCTTCTTTATTATGTTTTTCTGTCTAGAGTTATTAAAATGAGAGATGCAAGTTCCCTAAAGCCTATGTCCAAAATATATGCCAAGTTTGACAAAACTACTCTTTTTCCTATGGTTAAGATTTGGTGATGAAGATGTCATGGTGAAAAAAGCCTAGCAAATAAATATGGCCTCAGTCTTGAGCAAAATGGGACCTAACACCAAGAAATGCCAAGTGTTAAGCCCTTTCTTCCCCTGTGGAGTGTTGATTCATTCATGGGAGAGAACCTTTAGCATGCAATACACCATACACATTTTACTGTACAGTAAGGGTTTTATTTTGTTGAATATGATAAAGTACTCCAGTAGCAAGTATGGCTACAGGGGCCCTAAATATTATAGTTAGTAGAAAGTTCACCCTGTGGGCAGGTAAATTCCTTTTATAGAGCAGGGGCCAGGAGGAGTGGAACTGGGGAGCCACCAGGATTTTGCCTGGGGTGTTGAATAAGCCCTGCCTCCAATGCTCTTAGGACGATTGTCTAATACTTGCTAAGCAAATGTCCATTTGGACTTGGATTCTTAGAACCAGAAGGGATTATCCTTCCTAGGCTCCTCCTTTTGATAATTGAAGGAGCCAGTGTCCCTGGAGATTAAAGTCACGGTGCAATGACTAACAAGAAAGTCCTGACTTGCTAAGCCTATGTCCTTGCCTGACAATAAATTTTAAAGTGCTGATTTAGCTACTTGGGAGGCTGAGGCAGGAGAATTGCTTGAACCCAGGAGGCGGAGGTTGCAGTTAGCCGAGATAGCACCACTGCACTCTAGTTTGGTGACAGAACGAGACTCCGTTTCAAAAAAAAAAAGGAATACTTACATTTGGGTACAATAATGTTTTCTTTGATGATATTCATAAGGTTTTCTTCAGCTGCAGAAATTCCATAAGTGGGCTTAGTTTGATTTACAACTCATACCTTTATTTCTGTTATCACTTTCCTATCATAAATCTGCCCAAATCGATTGACACTAATTTATTAAATTCTTTGTACCATGTGTTTTTTTATTTTTGTAAAATGTTCTAAGACATAAGAAACACTTAGCTCATTATAGGTCTGAGGTTAGATGTTTTGTTGTTACTTTTGTTTTTTTCGGTGGATGTGGTTAGATAAGTTGGATGGTGCATTCTGAACTGCAGCTAAGGAGAGAATAAACACTGATTTGGGGACAAGAGAGCCTGTAGTCATGAAACTTTTGAGGATATGGATTTGGGAGGAAAATTGGGAATTTAAAAAGTAAACATTTTTATTTATAATAAAACATTAACATTTTGATGCTTATTTTCCCTGGAGTTTTAGAAATTGCATTTAAAAACTAGATAAATGTATATACATTCTGATACAGGGTAGATTCATTTTGTTAAGTAAAGGTCAGCTATTACTTCTACCAGCGTAATGTCTTCCTTCTAAAAATGTTTAGGTCAAATATTTCATGGAGGTTTTAATCTGATTTGCGCATTTTTACCTTCCCTCTTTCACCACACATGTGGGCGTACATACTCGCGCGTGCACACGTGCACACACACACATCACAACTTTCACATTTTTAAGGCATTGGATTATTTTCTATCTTATTTCTCACCTGGAAAAGATATCTTTAAGCCAAGTCATATAAAGTGGGTGAGAAGTGTTATTTTTATTTTCAAGTAGCAAAATATATATAAAATAAATTTGAACATTCCATTTAGAAGTAATATTGAGAAAGATGATTTTCCAACTTTCCTTTTATTCACAGCATCCTGAGATCTCAAATATGTTGGACAATTTATTTATTAATGGAAAAATAAATTTTAAAAAGAAACTACCTCGTGCTCCTGAAGCTTAGCTTCAGTACTGCTCTCCTGAAACATGACAGTCATTTCCGTAGGAATTAAATACACTTAGGTGTTTAGTTGATGTTCAGTCTGTATTATAAATGATATTGGAGCAACAATTACAAATCTATCATGTTATACAAATGTGTTTTTAATAAACTGTACTTTATTTCACAGTTTTTGGACTGGAATGACATGTTTCTTAAAATTTTAAATCAGTTTTAGTAAGCACATTCTTAAGAGAATAGCCAGCATCAGTGTTCATATACTGCATTTCACATGAGAGTCTAATCTATGAAATTTGTTCACATTCATATATTCAAAAGTATGTATTGACAGTCTGCCGTATGCCAGGCATTCCATTTCCTATGTAGTGTTAAGGATATAACATCTTATTAGTTGAAATAATAGTATTACACTTTGATTTAGTGCTTTTGATGTATCGAGAGCGCCTTTGGTCCCCCTAAGTAGGATATAGTCTTATATCCCCATTTTTAAATGAGGAACCTGAGGCACAGAATGTTGACATGAGTGAGCGTCCATGGCTACATCGCTGGTGAAGCACAAGGGTGAGACTTCATACCGAGAGCCCGGGAGCTTCACCAAGTAGCCTTTTCATCACATACCACAGATAAAGGAAGTTTAAAAAAGACAAAATGAAAGCCTCTCAGATGAATTGGATAGGTTTTATAATATGCTTTGATTTCTCTAAAGTAGTGATAACTACTTGTAGTTTTCCAAGTGTATTTATTCTCATTGCTGAAAATTTTCTTTACCGTGCTTTGGTTTTGTGTCTTTGATTTTTTGTTTGTATGTTGTCTTGTTTTAAAAGTACATTGCTGTCATATCAAGCCCCTAATCATGGGTGATCTAGACAGGAACTGACTTTTGGGATAACTTGGTATTTGGGACGTTCCAGAAGATTTGCCGGTATAGTTCTGTGCAGTTACTTCTCTTTCCTATTCTTTCATATTCTCAAGACCAGTAGGCATAATTATGCTAATAGCCCTTTGTTTTGAACCCCAAGGTAACATTAGTCATTTTCATTAGAAATAGTGGGCAGATGAATTTCTTGGGTCTGTTTGAAAATACAGACTCCAGTCATCAGACTGGTCTTTTACGAGCAGCTCCATTTTAAAATAAAAGGATTCCTGTTTGAGATGAGCTGGAATGATTTTGTACTTGCCCCTTCCCAGTATAAAATTATCTTATGTTTAAACATCATATATTTTGAATAAAAGCTCTACAGAGAATCTTCTTTCCTTTTTAACATTAAAAAACTTTCCCTAGTTTTTACCCTACTGACCGTGGGAATCTTAGATTATAAATATCTGCTTTGCCAGGCACTGAAGTACTTGATACTAATTGGATATTATGACCACTTTTCAGCAATTGTATTACTGTAATGGTGGGATCCATAAAGGAAATGGTAAACCTGTCTTATATGGGTAGTTGTGTGAATTGCAAAACTTACATCAAATAATTTTTTTGCCTCGTCTTTTGAACAAGTCATGACATCATTCTAGTTCCTTTTTCAACTTAGTGAGATGTCTGCTCTGTGTTAATATTATAATGTGTATAATCTACAACAGAATTGTCCTCCAAATTGCAAGTTTTCCTTTTTGAATCTAATATATCAGGCTCATTTTTAGATGACTTAGATGCATAAGGATTTTATCGTAGCTTGATGTTAGCTCTCTGTAACCTTTCAGGTATATTAATCAAAAAAGCCAAACTTAATAAAGCATCTAATTTAAAATGGATTGATCTCAAATATTTTATAGCCACTATCTTTTCACAATAGTAAAACATAAAAGAGTTTAAGCTATGCCAATTTAGAGAGTGCTTAACAATGTGTAATTACTTTATTTTCACTTAATAGATTTTTACCTGTGCCTTGTTTCAGATCTGAATAGGTTTCCTTTGACCTCAAAATCACTAATGCAGGGAAAATTACCATATCATGAGAGTATTTTTCCTCTTTCTTTTTTTTGCCTGATGCTTAGAATAATAAATACTCCCAAGGCTTAGGAGTAGACATGGCCTGAGAGAAAGCCTATTAAATGCTATTTTCTAATGGTTTTAAAAAACAACTTAAACAAATCATGCTACTCAAACTGATTTTCTTGCTAAAACAGAACTAGTTTTAGAGTATATTTTAGACATCTTTTTTTCTCAATTACTAGTTAAACTTGAAGTTGGGCTCTATCTGGATTTGCTTTATAGATCTGCTTCATTTCATGCCAGATTTGGGCAAACCATGAACAACCCCCAACTCCAGGAAAAAAAAAAAAAACCTGATAATCAAAACAAACAGATACACGAACTCAATTTCCCCCTCTTTCATTGGAAACTGCTTGATTATAACGTGCTCTGAGTATGAAAAACATAAGAGAGCCTTTAACATAACAGAGGAGAGCCTCAGCCCTGGTTCTGCAGCTCATTGCCAATTGAAGTAAGGAACGCTCTGGCTGTTGGGACTTTTAAATCTAGACTTAAAAGTTATTTGTTCTGTTTAGCATTTTTAAAATGATTCTATTAGGAATTGTATGTGCTTCAGTTTTAATTTTAACTCATAATGATTGTAAAGCACCCTGGGATGCTTGCATGAAGGGCGCTACAGAAATATAAGATTGTATTGTGTTCTAATATGCAGTCTTACGGGGTGCTGGAGTTTCATCATGGACAATTCATAAGATTGCAGAATTCCTCATGGCAGAGAAGGTGGCTGACTTCTTTAGCAGTCTTTTTCTCTCATTCTTACTCTGAAACTTTGTTCTCTTTAGTCATCATCTTTCTCTCTTAAAAAAATTGATTATTTTCTATTGTAATATTTTCCCATAGAAATGCTAATCTAATTTAGTTTACTCAGGTTGAAGATGCAAACCAGTTGATAGGTTGGAAGTTAAGAAAAGATTAAAGCTTTAATTGCTAGCACTATTTGAGATCACATTCTTATCTGAATAACAAGACATGGTACTTCATTACTGGATACCACCAACTCTCTCAGGCTTGTCCCATTTTACTGTCCACCTACTATTTGTTCCAAGGAAGTTCAGAAATGTAACAAGTATTAACTTTGTGAAATGTCACAATGAGACTCTTCTCTGTATTGAAACTCCTGTCTTATGATAACATACGACACAGCTTGATCTAGTTTTCTTTTTACTTTTTAATGGGACTGTTTCTTTAGAGTAATGGCATTTCTTCAGCAACTTCATTGTGTTACTTTTTGTGTGTTTTTGTTTGTCATTGCTCTCTAGCATCACTTTAATTAGCTCCTAGCATCGTAGGAATCAGGAATGTGAGTTATGTTGTGGCCAGCTATATGAGCTTGGGCAGCTGACTCCATGACTCAATTTTCTCATCTATAAAGTCGGAAGATAATAGTACCAATGTCTCGCATTGTTTAGAGAATTAAATGAGCTAGTACTTAGAAAACATTTAGAACAGTTTTCAGTCCTAAAGTGTGCCATAACTAGTTGTTTTTCTAAAATGTGGGCATTGAGAGTTTGAAATCACACTTGTGCATGCCACATGGTCTATGTAACTCTCTGGCTACATGGAAGATTTTGGTGCAATCTTCATTTTTAGTGAAAACAACCAAATACTTTTCATTTGTGAAAAAATTAAAAGACTATATTATAACTCAATCTCAACATTAAGGAACACTTACAGTCATTATAAAGTTATGATGTATTTTAAATTGGAAGTGGAAGACTGCAGCTTATACTTTAAATAAATCCATTTGGAAGTTTAGCATATATGATACCCTAGGCTAGATAATGTCAAGTAGAATAAAGATACCTGATGGGACTGTTACCAAGAGGTGAGCTTTTCCCAGTGTCTTTTCCGTTAACTAACTTCGCCTGTACTCCCAGCACCCAAGGTTCTGTCCTCTCCTTATGTGCCCATCGTAGCATTTGCCACATTGTTCTGAAATAGTCTGGACTAACTAGGCTGTGTACACTGTAATTGTCCCAAAGGAACTAAGTTGTATTCATCACTGTCATAGATCCTGACACACAGTAGGAACTCGGGAATATTCGTCAGACTTAAACAATCTTGTAGGATTTGCACATGTTTATTTCATAAGCCAGTATACCGTGTCAGTAGTTGTATTAGTAGTACTTTATACTTTTATCTACAGTATCCTATCTTATGAAATATTTTCCTATTATACTTAATTCTGTATTTTTACCTAACAAAGAACAAATCACTTCTGAATTTTTCTCTAAGAAAACCTACTGACATTTCAAGCTGTCTCATGCTTTTGTATATTTGATAATGTTCATGAATATGTGTACTAAACATTTGTAAGCACAACAATAGCCTTGGAGTTACAGGGAACTCAGAGGTCTGAATGCTTAAAAAGACCTGATTATACATCACAGTTAAGGGCAAGCTTTAAAAACATATGCAGCATTTCTAAATTTTAAAATTTTTCTTCCACAATTGTACATGTATTTCAGCCTGGCTAATAATTTTCATTTTGTCTCAGTTACATTATATTTGAGACCCACACTTCTTCACTATTATTTTCATTTGTTTATTTTCTTCTCATATTCAAGAGTAAAATAGGAAATTTTCAATAACAGATAATTTATAGACAAAGATACTGATGTTGCCAATACGGAAATGTTAACAGTATCACCCCATGTTCACTTCCAGCGTCCATTCCTCAGTTGTGTTCTAAAGTCTACATTTGGCATAAGAGACTCCATTTAAGGCTATAAACATGCAGTGTTTTAAAGTCAGCTGTATACAGGTCTAGAGTCACCTGAATTTAGAGAGAGCTGCAAGGGTAGATAACTGTTCAGCCATTCCATAATGGGCCTTAGGGACTTGGTTTGTCCACTTTCTGCGTGATCACCAGCTCAGCCTGGAAAACACATGTTTAGTGATGGATGGAGCTCTTTATTATATGATTTACAACCCATTCCAACACATTTTTATCATTTCGCCATAACTTCTAATGAGATGATTACCAGAGGATGGCATTTTCCTACACTGTGAAGGATTTTCATAATATTGATTGAGATGAAGCCAGATTAATTTGATTTTTCTTTATGATCTAATCCAGAGGTGACATTGGTTTATGTTTATCTGGTAGACATGGGAAGTCTTATCTAAAAGCTGACAATGATGAATAAAACACAGAAATCAAAGCTGCGGTTTAGCCCTCAGTCTTCTGTGAAGTCTTGGATCAGATCTGAGAGGGGTCCATGGACCCCACAATCTGTGCAGACCCTGAAATTATAAGCCAATTTTGGGAATGCATGGAGGACAGCTTTCATAGGTTTTATGTAATTTCCAGAGTTAGTTCTGTGGCCCTGTAAAGAGCTAAAAGCCAGGAGGTATTTTACCTCCAATTTTTAGGCAGTATGGCTTAAAAATCTAATATGCTCCTGTACAGAAGGAATGCAAAGAGGTAATATAAAGTCTTCCTGTGAAGAGTTACAGAACCTAATTCTAATATTTACTTTTGGAAAATGAATTGCTCAAAGTACTTTAGTTCTTGTTTTCGCTCTGTGGTTTAAGGGTTTTTTGGTTTTGTTTTGTTTTTTTAAAAGGCTCTATTTAGGACCTCTGGAACTTAACACGAATTTGGTATCTTTCCAGATACTAGAAATTGTAATCTCTAGAGAGGATGAGCGATTTAACCACACAAGGGCATCAGAGAAAGAGATTTCTCAAATGGGTACATTGGTATAGAGTGCCTAAGATTCAGAATCAGGAAACAATTTTGTCAATAAAATCAAATAAAATTCCTTGGATTCATATTTATCTAATGAAAAACTTGTGAAAATTCTATTTGGATATAACATAATATATAAGTTAATAATGAGTGTATTTTAAATAATCATAAGCAGGATGCCAATGGGGTCGTAACCTTCCTAAAAATAAGACTCTAGTTGGAGACATTTGCACAGTGAGTACCTGAGAATGAATAATGTGCGTTACAATTGAATCTTTTTTAGTCACTCTGTTTGAGAAGACATACAGATTTCATAGACTTTTAAATCTGTTAGAGGAGACGTTGGAGATTATCTAGTTCAGTTCCCTTCATGTTACAGCTTCTGTGTGCAGTTAATTTGGAATATCACATGCTCTTAATATACCTTTTAAAAATATTTTATAGTTTAAGCTCTTTACCAGTATATTCATTTGGTTTGAGTTAGGTTTCAGTGTGATAAGAAAGGTCTGGCTAGGTACTTATACAAAAGGGCAGAATAGAGAATCTGGTCAGAACATACTATCTGGGCATTATGTAAGTTATTTTAACTATATGGAAGAGCCATATAAACTGTGAACCAACATTTTCTTTTAAAAGTTATGAATCGAGTATTTAAATAAATAAAATTTCTGTGCTTTGATATGATCACATTTTCATCTTTAGGAAATATAGTAGGAAAATTAAAATAGAATTGGATGTGTTCTCTTTGTGCTTCCTTTTGTATTCCTTTGGAGCTTTGTACTGAGTTTCCAATTTTAGCAATGTGCCAGGGTTACTTTGTATGAAAATGCCATTTTCAGGCACTAGGATTGATCAAGATGGCAAGAGCCATAACTATGACAACTGGAGTTTAAGTAAAATTTAGAAGTGATTAGTCTCTTCTCAACAAATTGAGATTCCAAATATGCCCCAGTTGTATCTCCCAAGAGAATAGCTTAGAAAGCAATAGAGGATCCAGAGGGAAAGATTTGGGAAACAGAAGCTGACAAGCACAAACAGAATATTGCACTTAGAAATCCTGCCATTCGCTGTCATAAATTGAAGCCCATTTCCTGTCCTTCCCACCCCAAAATACCAGATGGGAACTACCTGTTAATTTTCAACAAATTCATTTCTTGTCAATATATCATATCTCATACGATGCCTCTTAGAGCTTGTTTGTAGTATTTGGTGTCCTTTGAGATTAAAAGAAAACCTCATTTACGAGGAATCCCTGTGAAAATTGTATTTGAATGTGTAGTTGATGTGAAGTTAAAGTTTGACCTTTGAATTTTCCATGGACAGATAAAAAGCTGCTGTAAAAAATCAGGCCATAGGTAGTCAGGACATGCACAAAGGGGTGGGAGATTAGAATGTATGAAGTTGAACTTCTCAAAAAATAAAAATATAATAAAAGCCAGTAGTTTGACAGATTGTTCAGTAAATGCTCATTTTATTGAAAACTACAAAAAGGTGCTTAATGCCTTTGCGCCATTAATACAATACATAAAAAGGTTACTGTCAAGATTAGTGTTCCATCCCTGAAAATTAACTGTAGGGCTTTATACATCACCATGCATAGACTGAGAAGTTAAAGGTTTTTTTTAAATACACATTTTGCATTGTGCAGGCATTTATTTCAGAAAACAATTATTTTAGACTTTGTGCCAAAGACATTAGGAATGATGTGCTTTCATTTAAAGCACAGACATAACAGATATGTATTATAAACAGGTAGAACCATGAAATTTTCCTTATAGAATAAAACCTGTGCAAGATTATTTCCCTTGCTGTCTCTCTAGAGTATTCCAATTCAAAACATACATTCCTTCCTACAGAAAAAAGATATTCAGATTCCTTAGTTGAAATTAATTAGCATTCAGAAACCAGATAGCATGTTTTTGGGTATTCATGAGATCTCTGTTTGAAAAAAATGTTTTTAACTTGTAGAAATGTGTTGCAACACACAGATGGGAAGAAAAAGAAAAAAAAATCTCTTTAGCAAGCACTGTGTGTAAAAGGAATATTACATTTTGCACGCTCCTGATTGCTCTGTGTAAACAGTTTTTGACATCTGTCTTTATAGTTTTCGAGGAGAGGAAGACTTTGTTAAAAGAATCATTTTTATACAGCAGTCACCATTTCAGTCTTGCTTTACCTGTATTATGAAAGCAGATGGTCTGCATGTCTTTTGAATATTTATAACTATCAAAAACAATCTCTTGCTATTCACCCTTAGGCTTATGAGATGTCAGGACTGTTCTGGTTGAAAAAAATCATCTTGGGTGTTTACAGAAAGAGGATTACATTAAGCTGAAATGACTATACATTTTCCAGTTTAATATTTGTCCATCAGCTGTTTAATCGTATTTAGATAATTGTGTAAATAAGATGTTGTAGCCCTTGCCCTCTCTGCTGATGGAGCCTGAAAGCTTTAAACATGGGTGAACCACCATTTTGTAGATGCTCTTGCTACCTCCTCCCCACCTCAGCTAAACCATCGGCAAGTCCTTGATAAGTTTTGATCATGATATCACAGTCCTGTTTTTTTTGTTTTGTTTTTAAAGTAGTGCAAAAAACGCAAGCATGTAGATCATATGAAATACTAGGAAGCTGCTGGCTTCCGGTACAGGCTGTTTAGTTTATTAGGGTATATTGTAATATGCAAATATGGTACAGCACTCCAATTACCCTTTAAAGCTGACATGGTTTTCTCTTTATTTTCTATGAGCATGCAGAGCTCTGAGGGTATTTGGAAAACTTTTGGTATAGTGGGGGTTAACTGTTTTTTGACTGGAAGCTGAGCAATCAGTGATAACAGATTTTGCTGTGGTTGGTTGATTTGGCAGAAAAGCATGAACAGTTTTGGTTTAAATGATTGAATAACCTGATTAGCATTGTTTTGGGGTGGTTTTTTTTGGTTGTTGTTAAAGACACAACAAAGCAATTTTAAGGGTAATCAGATCACTGCCTTTCCCCATCTGATGAATCTTTTTTTGAGAAGGCCTCACCTCTCTCAAAACCCCTTCATTGGCTACTGAGATGAACAAGTAAAAAAATAAAACCATCTTCCTTCATTTTTAAACGTGTTATAGATATATACCTACAGTACATATGATATTGTAGCAGGGGTTTAAAAGAATAAAATTTTTTGAAACATTATGTAACCTTAACCGATTCTTTGTGGTTTTTGTTTTTCAAATTTAAAAGAGCTAGAGTATTTTAGAGCAAAGGTTCAGAATGTTCTATCTATCTTTAAGTTAGGCTTTAGAAAAATTCCACCCTTACCTTTTCACAATTAGAAAGGTTATAAATAATGTATTTGGCTGAAAAGGAAGCTCAGCCTGTGGCAGATGGTATCATTCTAGAGTACTGGGGTTTCTGTGAAGATGGCATTCTTTCAGATCGGAACTTCAGCAGACTCTCAGAAAGAACCGAAGCTCCTCATAGGGAGTAGACATGTGCTTTATGGATCTTAGAAAAGCTTACAACTTGGCTCCTAGGATGAGAATATTGTGTCACACTGGGGTTATGAGACCCACAGCCAATTTCTGCCAACTTTGAAATTGTATTTCCCAACACTGGAAGCTGTGGCCTATTTATTGGTTGGTGTACCGTGTAGCATTTGAACTTGGTATTTCAACCGACTGAGTTTTGTCGGTTGGTTTATTTTATTCTGTGAACATTGATGTTTTATACAGACCAGCCACTGAATAGGAAACTTGCCATACAAGTTGTGTCTTTTTCAAAGTGCTTTGGATAGCTTATATAAATAGACACTGAGAGAGAACTGGAATAACATAACCACCGAGCACTGCAACTTCCGAGACATCTGTGTGGATGTATTTTGAAAAACCTGGGAAGGGATCTCTTGCAAATTAATGAACAAAGGTTCTTGAAACTATGATTTCTATCACGACAGCCAAAGCGATGGATTTGAAAGATTCGTGTCATAGTTAAGCTGCTATTATGTTTGACCTTTAAGGGGAAAAAAGGGGAAGAGGATTTCTGGTGGCTTGTTTCAGTGACCCTTTTTATTGATCACCTAGTCTGTGTCCAGCCCTCTGATGAGTCCAGGATATATTCAGATGAGACCTAAGGCCCACAGTCCAGTGCAAAATAAACAGCAGGATGAGTGCTCTGCTGCAGGAGGTTTGGGAAGTTAGGAAAGGCCTCATGGAAGCAAGGATGCCCAGGCTGTATCCTGAAGGATGAGCAGCTGTTAGCTAGAGATGGGAGAGGGCATGGGCCGTGCATCCAAGCCAGAGGAGTGGTGTGCCTTCTTGATGCTTTCTACCAGATATAGGCCAGCTTCAGAAAACACCACCAAATTGGAGTATGAGAAGGAAAGAAATATTTCCCCGTGGTGTTTTCCTTTACTATTCCTTGTACCAACTTGTAACTTAATAATTTAATCAGTATACTTCATTCTACATTAAAAAGACTCAAAATACTGTATATCATTTGAAAATTTTATCTGATACTCAAAACATAGTCACCTGATATGAAATGTGATCATATAATGAAAGCCCAGTGATGAGGAGGAGGCAAAGGATTGTCATAGTAATTAATATCTCTTCAGTCTATATGTAATATGTTACAGGCTCTGTGCTAATTGTATCACATCTATTATTTCCTGTCCAAGGGCAGATAATATGTCTCTTCAAGTCATTATTTTCCTAGTGACTTGCCCAGTGCTTGGCACATAGTAGAATTTAAGTATATGCTAAATGAATTTTAAAAATGCCTGAATTGATGGATTCTCAGAACAACTCCATGAGGTGTATGCTATTATCATTCCCATTTAGCATAGGAAATTGTGATGGAATGGTCAACTATTTGACCCAAGGTCATACTACCAGTGTGTGACACATCCTCACTTGAATATATGTTTATTTCTATTCTGTTTTGTCAGATGAACATTTAGTGTTTATATTAATGCATGCCAGGCATTGAGCTAGAAAATAATATGGTGCCCCAGACCTACGTGAACTCACAGCTTAGTGCAATCTTTTTAAACCAGTACCTCCTTTTAAGTGACACAAGAATCCCAAGCCTTTCTAACATGGAACTTGGCCTACTATCTGTACATCCCACCACCTAGGAAAATTTTACCAATCATGACTTTTTTATTTGTGTTATCAAAACATTACGTGTTTTTTTCCTGATATTCTAAATTTAAGATTACACTACTGTATATGATTTTTCAAATGCCATGTGCACCACAAAATTCTGCAGTCTCTTTCCTGCCATTGAAACCGGCTGGCTGGTCTACTCCAATGCTATGCCTAAGCCTTTAGTAGGAATTTTACCACCTGAAACACACACACACGCCCACGCCCACACACATACACCTCATGAAGTGGCTATAGGAGCAATCTAATTGGACAGATTATTGCATATTGTCCAATAAAAATAGACATGACTCCAAGTTACCTGAATTAGGAAATATTTCCCAGTCACCCAAAAGCACAAAAAGATAGGGAATCCAAAAAGTTGCTTTGTCATGCATTATAAGTTACGGATTAGCCTTTTGATTTAAGTCTTGCTTAGGCTATTATTTACATTAATCAGAGTTTCCTAAGCATACACCATGTGACAGAAAAGCACTTAAGCCCAGAACCTACCAATTTAGGGTTAAGTAGGGTAGGGGGAAGCTTTGACAATGATGCACATATGGATATTATTTTCCATGTACGAATAATAATAAACTGTATAGCACTATTACATATAGGTTCTAGTTTTATAAAACTATTTCAGACATTTTTTCACACACACCATGGATGATTCTTCCTTCCGTCGTCCCCTATACATTTTCCACTGTTGATATACCAAATCACATTAAATTGAGATGATCTATTTACATATCTGTGTTCTTAATAGATAGTAAACTTCTTGTAGGCAGAGGCTGTCCGCCATCTTTGGATGACAGGTGCCTCATCTTTGTAGGCAGAGGCTGTCTGCCATCTTTGCATCCTTACTACCAGCCAGGCATATAGTAGGTGTGCAGCAAAGAGCAAATTTCATATATAGAACTGTTGGCAAACTGGAGTAGACTGGATGTTTGTCAAAAACCTCGGCAAAATTTGGATATTCCATACACTTCTAAAAAGTAAGACATAAACCACATCTAGAACTCATGTGTATTATTAACATTTAAGGAACTGCCAGAATGTCTAGATAAAGAGTAATAATTTTTTTAAAAATTGGACCAGAGTGGAAGAACATCAACTGTCATCCATTTGCAGAAGAATCACCATTATCCATCAGCGATCTCAATAGTTTTTATTAGTGTCTGACTTTATTGATCCCTTATTACAAGAGAGTAAGTGAGATTGAAGCTGACAGATCAGGTAATCTTCTGGCTCTGGTTTTGGCAACTTTGCTAAGTGTCTTTTTACACTGTGGACTGTGGGAGGCTCTTAGTGAAATTGCAAGCTATTGGATTAATGGCAGAGCATCATGAACACATTAAGAATGTCTTTTTAGAGATATAAAATGTGAAAATGACTATAGAGAGTGTCAAAAAAAAAGATATCACAGTGCCTCTTAGGAAAGATAGCTGTGTTTTACATAAATAATGCGACTCCAGCTTATCCTTCACTGGAAGTTCTTTAGAGATCCCCCAAATTTACATATTCCAGAAATGTGTGCATGCTACAGAATTAACACTGATAGTGGATGTCAGGAGAATGAATAATAACTGAAAGAGCTTTACATTAGAGGTAACTTAAAGAAGATAATTATATAAAAATACTTTTGTCCCCAAACTGGCTTTTCTGGTTGTTCACTGCCTCCTGAACAATGCTGCCTTCTATAAATTATTTCACCATAGACCAACTGATGTCTGAAATGTGAGTTCTCATGTTTCTGCACATAGGGGTGAGGGATAGATTGGTGCTACAAAATCTTACTCCTAAGACTCGGTAGGAAATTAAGTTAGCTGTTACTAGAGAATATGGGTAACAGGTTAATATGGACCATGAATTTAGTCATTGAAATTACCGTAACCAAAATTTGCTGGGAAGATTGAAAATGATTTAAAAAAAGAAACCCTCCTAGTGATTCATTAAAATCATGTTTTTCTTCATTTTTGTATGTTAAAGGGCTGACAGTTTTCCGGGCATTTATTAAAAGCAGGATAAAGATAAGTCACGATAGGTCATCTTTTTGTGGTATCCTTGAGAAATTTAGAAGCATGAAATGTATAAATTTAAAATTTTTATGATCGGTTTGAAATTCAAAACTTAAGCTTTACTATTGATGAAGCCAGTAATAAGATTGCAGAATGTTTTTCTCTTGATAGAGGATCTCTGTGAATAGTTTGTTTCTTCTCAAATACGGTCAGTTAACCTTTGATCAGTGTTAATGCGCGTCCACTTTAAATCCAAATAATAGAGTGGAAAGTGCAAGTTCTGTTTCTCAAATTTTAATATACATGTGAATCCCCTGGGATCTTGGTAAAATTCAGCTGCTAAGTGCACTGGTCTGGGGTAGGGCCCAAGATTCTGCATTTCTAACAAGCTTCCAAGTGATGCCCATATTGCTGGTCCCTGGTCTATACTTTGAGTAGAAAAGATGTAGAGTCCAGTCAAAAAATCGCGAAGTCTCGTATATTTATGAGTCACAATTATAAAGTCATCTTCATGTATTTGGATTTATTGGGACCAGTGAGTTTGACAGCCTAGTAATAGATGGCATTGATGGAGATTCAATGAATGCTAGAGCAAAGTCTGTGGGTTTGATAGCTTTATACTGGTCTCAGTGGGCTGTTGCTTTCTACTTAAATAAGCATTTGATGATCTACTTAATGAATATTAAGAAGTCGAAGCTTTAGGCTAAAGTGTGAAACCAAAATGTATTGGTACTCAGTTGATTAAAAAAATACAGTTGCCACAATTGAGATCATTTCTGTGTTCCATCTTGTGCTGCTGTGTATTACAAATATTCTCCCCCCTTCTTCATGCAGAGTATGATTTCTTCCATTGTGAACAGTACTTACTATGCAAATGTCTCAGCAGCAAAATGTCAAGAATTTGGAAGGTGGTACAAACATTTCAAGAAGACAAAAGATATGATGGGTAAGCAAAAAAAACATTGCAGCAGTGGCTACATACCATTACGTGTCATTTGGGGGTTTATCAAAGTCACATCTAAAGCCAGGTCTTTTGATTGCCCAATTAGAGATCAATTTAGAATGTTTCTTTGGGGGTGGGAAGTGGGTATGAGTATAATGAGATAATTAAATTCAATAAATGTTTGTGTTTAAATCAGCCAAACTGACTTGGTTGTCAGACATGCAGGAAATTGAGGCGTTGGGAGGGGAGCTGTCATTTTTTAACAACTCAGTGAAGACCTAACCAGGCCTTGAATAACTAATATTAGCTGTGATTTCTTTCTCTGATAAGTCTTGCTTTTAGGTTTTTTGTTTTTGTCTGGTTGAATGAGAAAGTGCCTATTTTTACACCCAATTTTAAAGGAAATTAAACTTCTTAAATTAAACTATTTATAGTTTCCACAGTAGAGATCAAGTGATTTTTATAGCTCTAACCCCCAGCCGCCATGGATGGGCACTTTGATAAGCACATTGCTTTACCATCCATACCAGAACAATTATTGCATCATTTCTGAACTTTTAATTCCAAGGTAGCATTCTATCTTAACACATAACTTTAGGTGAATATTTGTTATGCAAGAAGTACACTAAAATTATCTGCAGTGTAAAATGATAGATAAAAGTTGTGTATGGTACCTAAGCATTTAGATGATGGCATTTTCTCTCTGTTGAGTTTGTTAATGTTCACAAAAGCAAACACTGTGATTAAGGTTAATGTTTTAATTTTTATTACTGTTCTCTTTCACCTACTTTTACCCTCCAAAACATATATTTTAAAATAATATAGGAATGGGCATTATGTCCTGTTTTAAATCTATTTCTATTTATTTCTTTACATTCATTTAATTTTTTTTTAATTTTTTAAGAAAAATTAATCCAAATTTTGAGCAAGTTTTAGCTCTTAATATTTGAAGAAAAACCATCCATCTACCAAAATGGATTCTTTGCCTTTTATAGCTTAAGGCTGTAATGAAGACAATGCATCATTTTTGGAATAATTGCTTGAATTACTGTTCTCTGTGAATGGCCCACTTGGGCTGATATCACTGGTAGAAATTGAAGATTTCTTCCCCAATTCTTAGTTATATTTTGCGTATATCAGGAGCTATAGCGCTATGATAAAGTTCCTCTAAATGTAAAACCTGCATATTTAATGAAAAGAGAATTGATGATTAAAATCAAACTAGAGTCTACATGTGGGAAGTCTGTGTACAATTTGGAAAGTCCTGTTTATGTACAGCTTCATGCTCAGCCCTTCCAGCCAAGAGCATCGAACCAGTCTCCTCTTCGTACAGAAAAGCATTTACATACTTAGAGATGATGCTCAGCCAATCCATATGAGGAACCTAGCCAAGGAAGAAGCATTCATCCTGGGTAGGTGGGAATAAATTGCAAAATCATGACAGCCTCACCATTGTACCAGAACGATTCCCTGCAAGATTGTCTTTAGCATCTGGTGATGGCCATAGCTTCCTGAAGAAAAAACATTTGGATCTTAGCAACACTGGGTATGCTGGCTTGATATACAATAAATCACTTGCTTTATTCTAAAAAGTATTTCCAGATATACCTACTGCCCATGATGGTTAGAATTAAAATGAAGCAAGGCATATAAGATATTCAGCAAGTGTTCAATATACACTTATTATTATGCCCATTTTTATTTATTACATTAACTACTTCTATTCACTGCTGGGTAAAAATTGAAAGTAGGTGACTTTTTATGTCATATTTTTTCTTTTACACCTTTTTCCTAGAGTACTAAAGTTAATGAATATCATGAGAATATATTTGTAAATTTTTTTAGTTGCTTATTATAAGCTTATTTTCTCAGCTCAGCTCACTGTTTGTAGTTGTCATTAAGCAAATGACATTCTTTTAGAAGCCATTTTTAAAAATTGTTGCTTAGAAGCCTTCTTGGGGTAATAAGTGAGAGTGAACAACTAGTTGGAAAGAGTTTGGGTAATAATTGATTTTATGCCTTAAATCTAAACCACTTTTTAAAAATAAGATTAGGAATGCTGTCCCATTTCCAAAGTTTGTAGAATTGTTCAGGAAAGGAGAGCAAAAACACAGCCTGGTAAGTTGCAACTTGAAATTTTCTTGGTTTTATTGGATTTGGGGTGTGCCCTGTGCCTACCCTTTTTTAATTTAGGAAATGGTTAGAAATCTTTATCAATGCCAATCATTGTTGGCTGAATGTGATTTTACTCTTTGTCCACTTTAGTTGAAATGGATAGTCTTTCTGAGCTATCCCAGCAAGGCGCCAATCATGTCAATTTTGGCCAGCAACCAGTTCCAGGGAACACAGCCGAGCAGCCTCCATCCCCTGCGCAGCTCTCCCATGGCAGCCAGCCCTCTGTCCGGACACCTCTTCCAAACCTGCACCCTGGGCTCGTATCAACACCTATCAGTCCTCAATTGGTCAACCAGCAGCTGGTGATGGCTCAGCTGCTGAACCAGCAGTATGCAGTGAATAGACTTTTAGCCCAGCAGTCCTTAAACCAACAATACTTGAACCACCCTCCCCCTGTCAGTAGATCTATGAATAAGCCTTTGGAGCAACAGGTTTCGACCAACACAGAGGTGTCTTCCGAAATCTACCAGTGGGTACGCGATGAACTGAAACGAGCAGGAATCTCCCAGGCGGTATTTGCACGTGTGGCTTTTAACAGAACTCAGGTCAGTTGTGTTTCATAAGTGGTTCTGTGCTGTCTCCTATTTTCTCTTTCTTTAGTCCCATCTATAACTAAAGTTTATTCTTTTACTTCTGTACTAACATTTTCTCTCTCTCTTCATGTGATCATATTACCTATTCCTGGTGGAGCCTCAATTTTACCACTCCTTTTCCTATGATATACTTCTGAATCAAGGGAACCTATGTGCAGATTGATCCCAATTCAGGGCCTTTGAAAGACTAATTAAATGTCAAACGTACTTTAAACTGGCATTACTTATGCTTTTATATAATGGAATCATAAGCTATAGTAGATGGTTAAGAAAAGTTTCATGACTCAGTCAAGGCTATTGGCAGGATTCCAGGCTTCTAGCCTATTGTCTTTTCCATTTATGTTGTTACTACCCATATCAAACTTAGGTATATAAATGTTCCCTCTTAAAGTTCTACTGCAGCGTTGTTGTTGTTGTTGTTGTTTGTTGTTGTTAACACCTTGGAAGCAATAATCCACTTAATTCTAAGCAGCCATTTTGAAAAAATATTATATGACTTATTAACATAAAATATTTGTAAGCTGTGTGCGCTCCCTCATGCTATTGTCTTCCAAATTCATTGTCTAGACCAGGCATCAGCAAACTTTATTCTGTTATCGACCAGATAGTAAATATTTTAGGTTTTGAAGCACTTAAATCTCGGTCACACTGTAGAGTAATAAAGCAGCCATAGACTATAAATGAATGGCACTGGGTATGGTAGTATTTCAGTAAAACTATTTATAAAACAGGCCATGGAGTAAGTGTGGCTGGCAGGCCTTAGTTTGCAGACTCATTTGTAGAGATCTCACTGCCTGCTTATACCCCTAATGTGCACACCTTTGTCTTCCTGGCCCAATTCCTGTGAAGGTACTATCTATCAGCCTGGAAGATGTTTAAGAGGGTCATGGAGAAAAAGTGATATATATGAGAGGTCATAAGATAAAGATATTTGAGAAGCCCTAAACAAATTGACTCTGTTGAACTGTGAATGAGAAGAATTTTTTTCTTTGTTTGGAAACTAGTATGATACGTGATATATATGGTGTTTATTTTTGGCCCAGGTACACTAAAACAAAACAAAAAACAACAACAAAACCAAAAAACAAACAAAAACGAAAAACCGCGTAACTTTGATTAGAAGAAGGACATTATGCCTTTTCAGCTCTTTTGTTTTACCACTGTTCTTTCTTTTGTCAATTTATCTTATTTTTTGACCTGACTCACATTTTCCTTTCATATTTAAGTTATTTTGTTTATTACATGATTATGATTATGAGAATAAAATTCTGGTACAGAAGTAATCTAGTATTAATTCCTAGTTTGCAGAGTTTCCATACCTAGGAGAATCCCAGCTGTGACTTATTTTTGGCGTGCCTTAACTAGATGGGGAGTTAGGAGACCTGACAAAGCCTCTAATTCAGTGTTTGTTTTCAGTCGATTCATCTTTTTTTTTTTTTTTGTACGTTCGTCTGTTTTTGAAAAGGCAGTTGCACAAGGCTATGTCTCAGGTTAAAATTGTATGGTTTTACCTAGTTCTATATCTTTATAGCTTAAAAAACTGTGTTCATCATTAGCTGGTGAACTTAATATGACACCTATATTCAGTTGGGGGATAATTATTGAAAATGAATGGCTCAAAAGTCAACCCTCTAAATATTCCTGTTTCTGGTAGCATTCTTTATTTTAGTAAATATAGTAAGTACTAATAATTCTCCGTACTAGGCCAAAAAAAGTAGGTCTCTACATAACATTTCAATAATGCTTTTTTGAATTGAGTTAAAAGCCCACAAAGACATCATGACATAGACACAAATTATATATATATGTATATATATGTGTATATATATGTGTGTGTGTATGTGTGTGTATATATATGTATATATGTGTATATATATAGTTACTGGTGTCTTAAAAATTGAGCAGTTATTTCTTAAAGCACTAAGTAAGTGTCCTTTATATAGTGAAGAATGCTAAGACAGTAGAACTCAGAGAAGTGAGGATAAAGTTGTCACCCATCATTACAGCTTTTCTCCTTTTGGGTTTATGATGTTACAGCCATTACTATGAGGAGTTGGCCATTTGTTCTGCCTTTGGTCCTTAAAAGGACAAATTCCACAATATCTACAGGATTTGTTACTGGAAGAAAGGCAAAATTTTCTCTTTTATACCATATTAATCTCTTTGAAAAAGGTAATCATCTCTGTGGTTAATATCAAAAACAGTGACTTTTTTTTCTGTGAGAGGAGAATGAAAACTTTACCTTGTATAGCTTGATTGCAGATACCTCCTTATTAATAATAGCCAATTTAGGAAAAAAAGTCATTACCAAAAAAATATTTAGTGCCCTGGATTATGAAGGGTGTTTTAAAGCTTTATATTGATAATTGATACTCTTCAGTCAAAGTAGATATAGGGCCATATTTGAAGATGTTTGACTTAAGAGGAAATTTGTATATATATTTCAATATTAATTCCTTGAGAACTAACTTTTGCACATGCAGGCATGAATTTATTTTCATTGGTCATTCTTAAAAACCACACACACATACATACACAGCTGCATTTATTTTTTAATGATTATGCATTGGTATGACTGGATGTAGTGTGTTGATTTCAAAGTGTATGCATTTCAATAAAAGCAGGTGCAGAGGGTATGGTGTGAGTGTGGAGTATGAAAATACACATGCTAATGCGTATGTATAGACAAGGAGCTCTGCAGAGTTAAATCACACATCACACATTTGTGTGCACCTAGTACAATGTGCAGTTCCAACTCCAACTTTTAAAACATTAAAAAACCAAACACCGCATATTCTCACTCATAGGTGGGAATTGAACAA
Source organism: Homo sapiens (assembly GCF_000001405.40). Taxonomy (NCBI): domain Eukaryota; kingdom Metazoa; phylum Chordata; class Mammalia; order Primates; family Hominidae; genus Homo; species Homo sapiens. The sequence continues at coordinate 18,391,591 of NC_000003.12, read as the reverse complement.
TGAGATCACATGGACACAGGAAGGGGAATATCACACTCTGGGGACTGTTGTGGGGTGGGGGGAGGGGGGAGGGATAGCATTGGGAGATATACCTAATGCTAGATGACGACTTAGTGGGTGCAGCGCACCAGCACGGCACATGTATACATATGTAACTAACCTGCACAATGTGCACATGTACCCTAAAACTTAAAGTATAATAAAAAAAAAATTAATGTAAAATATGTACATACAAATACAAAGTTACATGATAGGGTCAGATGAAGATACTGTTTCTTATAAACGGCATTAAGACCTTAATATGATAGAAAACACTTGTATGAATTGAGGGTTATTTTAGTCATTGAAGCTCTGTATAACTTTAAAACCCTGGGTCTTAGGTTTTAACTATTGAGAATTTTCTTATCATCTTAATAGGGTTCCCTATATTAACACATTACCCTCCCAAGACTTTCGCACATGGGTTTTTTTTTAAGCCTACCTTTTCTGAAAATTTATGGTAAACTTATATAGTTACTTGTTTTAAGGAATTTTTCCCCTTCTGAATTGATGGGCATGGGTTCTTTAATTGCCGTTGAAGATATCAGCTTTTAGCATATGTCATTCATTCAGTTATGCCTACTTGATGTCTTTTTAATGGAAACCTATGGCTAAAAGTAATTGCCAAAGCTTCTAGATTTCTACTTTTCAATTCACTTCTCTATCTTATTGCTATTTAATGGTTCTGATACATGCAAATACATTCCTTAATACCCTTTGATTTTTAAAAGAATAAAATTCAGAGTTTAACTCTGATCCCACTCTGTGGCTTTTTTCCCCTTTTTCTTCCCCCTCCTCTTGTCTTTTGGCACACTTTATTTTCCAGTAAAATAAAGAATGAAGATGGATTATTCAAAACTGATAACAGTAATGGACCATCATGTAATGTTTTATTAAATTTGAGTTCTGTAAATTATGTGGTGGAGAGAAATTTGCCTGCTTAAGTATAACAGAAATTGCTACTGTGTTTCTATAATTCTTCACAGTGTAATTTAAGAAAAGTCCACTATCCATATCACTATTGAATAAAAGGTAAAAAGGTGCTATTACCCCAACAAGACAGCTCTCTGGTTAGCCTGCCAAACGACAGAGATAAATGTGTCTACTTAAAACTTACTTGGCATGAATCCATGGTAGTAGGTGGAGTTTGAAAATAGTCTTTTACCTGGACATAGGATTAAAAATTCACCAAACAACAGAGGCAGGTAGCCTTGAAGAATATTCTATGTATTTTCTTTTTAGGAGGGAGGTTTCATCAAATCATATTTTCTTCCTGAGGGCTTTGAAGTTCCATGAAGCTGATAAAATCTATTTGAATCAGTGATTATGTTCAAAGAGGAGACAAACGGGAGGCCAGACAGCCTTTTTGTTCAGATTGGCAGTCTCTTTCGCTTATCTGCTGTTTTAAAGAATTCATAATTAGCTTTTGGAAATACTGATAATATTTATTGGAGGTTTTTTCTTTCTTTTACAACTACTAATGAATTTTACTTGTAATAACTTGTAAACTGTTTTTGGAATGTAAAAACAGGTTTAGGAATTCAGCAGTAAATTCATTCTTTAGTTGAAAAAATTAGAACTCTGACTTAACCGCTATGTAATGACAATGCAAAACAATTTTGTGTTTTCATAGATACAGCACACATCTAATTATTGGTAAGATGTGAAGTCCCAATGAAAGGCAGCTTCTGATTTTCAATAAAATGAATATTTATGAGGTACTGGTAACTTCCTACATAACATACAAGTTCTCAGGTTCTTTTCAGACACAAGAATGACTAATGATTTTGTTTAATTTAATTCAACAAATTTATTGAGCGCCAATGATTCTTGATACTGATGACATATTTTAGTCCTGATGTTTCAGCATATTCTATGACATAAATAAGGTACATGATGGCCTTTTCATACTATTTTTTAGCATGAAGAATTTTTGGTAAAAGGTCACGCTTACTGTCCACTGTGTGGGCAGTACTACAAATGACCTTGGCAAGTCTGTACTATGTCTTCAATTATAGGATATGGGAACTGGTGGCCACATATATCTTGAATTCAGCATATAAATATGAGTGCAGCTATTCAAGTAACAACAACCTGAACAGGACCAAAACATACATTCCCATATCTGGGATCTGATAGCAGTCATTTTGCATCCAAAATTATTCTAAAGTGACTTTTTTTTTTAAGTAATTATCACTAATCAAAATGTTTTCTGACAATATTTTCAAGCATTTCCACCAGGGGGCACTCCCCTCATTGAAAGCTCTGGGCCAAAAAAAAAAAAAAAAAAACCCAAAGGTTTCTGAAACACCTGAGACTGTCTACACTGGCTGCTTTAAAGCTCTTTGAGTGTTTCAGGGTTTGAAACATCACTTTATACCATCAACATATTTCAGACGAACAAAAAACCTTGTTCCAGTAGAATAATTAAGTGGTAGTAAAATGCTTTGCCCCTAAAAACACTTGTATGCTTAAATAGGAAGTCACACCAACATCAAAATATAGGTAGAGAACTTTTAAAATTTTCTCCCAAGTGACATAACTACCTTCCAATCTCAACCATATGGAAATGACTTAGTCTTATATGTTAGCAAGACTTGAGAAAGAATATTATTTTGTATGTTTTCCTGTATTTGACTTTCTCACTATAGATCTCTGCTGCCTCAGGAAATATTTTTGATAGAAATATGTGATATAGTACTTTGTTATTTGGGATTTTTAAATACCTAATTTCAAGTTTCCCAAATAACATCCTAAATATTTATAACTATGTTTTGCCCTAATCTAATTTTTTTAATTATTAGACAATTAGGAAAAACATCTCAAAAAATGCCACAGAACTTTTCACTGTAGGCCCAACATGAGTGCTAATAACTACTACTAGAATTGACTCATGGGTAACACATCTTGTTCTTAAGTTTCTATCACCTGTTTGTGATTGTTTTCTCCATTGTGGTCTTTATACACATGATCAGTCCATTTAGTAAATACTTATCAAACATTTACATGAGAGACATTGTGCTGGGATGATGAAAGTGAATATTAGATTATTATGCTCAAGGAATTTGTAGCATATTGTGTTTATACTGATGTTTTCATGTATCCATATCTGTGTAGTTGAGAATATATTGCTTTGTCAAGTACATTTTTTAAGACATAACATTTGGTGGAGAGGAGTAAAGAGCAAGGGTTATTTCATTACACCTATTTTCAAACTTTTTTTTTTTGAGACCTGAATGTTTTACTTTCAATATGGCACATCAGAAACACAGTCAAACTAATTAGGTGGCCTTGTGCAAATTAAATAGCTGGATGATTGACTGCCTGTTTGACTGAATTTTAGTTAAATTGACTAGATGTTTTGCTCTTGTGTAGACACAGTTACAGCATTACTCGTTAGTATCCTAAGGACACATGCCCTTCATTCTTCAGTCACATTTCTTAGGGTAAAAACGAAAGTTCAGGTCCAATTTCCAGGCTTTAGCTGTAAGAGACTAAGTGAGAGACAACTTTAAAATGGACTCTGAAGCCCTCTGCACCTGTTAAAAGTTCTTTTTAAATACCAGCTTATAAATCATTTTAAGAAGTATCAGTACTTTTGTATTGTCTGCACCCAACTGTTGCATTTCGGCAACATGGTACATTATCTTTAAATTTGGGAACAAAACCAGGTTTGTACTTCTAACAAACCATGAAAAAAACAAATGTTTTAACCTTGGGGCTTCATTGTTTTGACATGACACGTTACCTTCCTTCCCCCAATATACCTTTAACTGTTTCTGCAGGATATTGGAAAGTAGATTTGCAAATTATATAGAAATCCTGACAAAATTTTATTCTGAAGCTGATACTCTGGCTAAGTGAAGAAACCAAATATGTCTTACTATTCCAAGCATTATTTCATGTACAAGATTAAAGAGAGAAGAGCTGCTTAGCCCTTATAAAATGAACAGAAAATTTTCCAATTCTTTTATTTCATATTGTCTCTTAAATGCAATGGGGAGAACCACCCATTTTTGAAAGAGTTCTTCCAAAAGTTAAAAAAATTAGTTGAAAATTGATGTTCTGTTATTTAGGGGGGAAAGACACCTTAAGAGTTTTCTAATGATTTATAAATTTCTTCTATCACTAACAATTTTTATTCCCCAAGAAATTTGATAATTACAGAATTTGATACTCTTTTCCTTGGCATGCTGTGATGGACTTTCGCAATGTTGAAAATTAGTTAATATATTTCAAATCTTGTCTATGGTTTTTAAAGTTCAAAATTTAAACCTGTTACCCAGTGGTATAATACAGCAAGATAGTATTTAGAATCATTTGTGATAATCAGTGAGGTTCTCTGAAAATGGTAAATTGAAAGGGTCACGTAGTGTCATGTACTTTGATAAGTCAGAGTTTAAGGAATAATTTTAAACATTGCCTGTGAAAATACAGCATAAACCTTAGGTGATGCTTTAGTAATAACCTTTGTTCTAATATGTTAAAATTCATTTTCTGGTATTTTCTTTGAAAGTTCTACTTCTCTAGAAATGGCTTTGTATCTTTACATATTGGGCTGTAGGCATTACACTGCCTTTGTCTAGGCAGCTTGGGAACTATACAGTTCAGTGCTGTTGCATTATAAGGATTTCGTTTATTCTTAACTTCCCTGGATCGTCTCTCTGTGAAAGATTTCATGGCAAGTTAAGCTACTCAAAGGAAGGAGACCAATTAGGCAGTTTCAGTTTATGTTATATGTAAAGCAGATGCTTAATAAAATTAAGAATACAATTGAGGCTCTCTTCTCTACCACTTCAGTTGTAACTAATATATTCCTATGCAGAATTAATGCCTCTGACTGTTCATTTTCTAAACAGAGTGGAGAAGAAAAGGGAAGGATCACTGCTGGCCAGGCAAAGCAAGGCAGCAGGCTCACCCTGTGCCTTTCATTTCTTGCAGGGCTTGCTTTCAGAAATCCTCCGAAAGGAAGAGGACCCCAAGACTGCATCCCAGTCTTTGCTGGTAAACCTTCGGGCTATGCAGAATTTCTTGCAGTTACCGGAAGCTGAAAGAGACCGAATATACCAGGACGAAAGGGAAAGGAGCTTGAATGCTGCCTCGGCCATGGGTCCTGCCCCCCTCATCAGCACACCACCCAGCCGTCCTCCCCAGGTGCGGTCTCCTTTTCCTCCTTGCCCTTCTTTGTTTAGCTTTTTTTTAATGCTTGAGGAAGAATCTCAATAAGAAATTAGATAGATAGATACATAGATTTATATGTTTTTAAATTCGTATAGTTGCTTGAGGAGAATTTGGTCCCAAATCATTAATTCTGATATAAAAACAATAAGCTCCTAATTAGATAGAGGGAAGAAAATTGCTTTGTGTTCCTTCATTCTTTGGGTTATTTGGGGGTGAAAGTAGTCTTTAAATGGGATATTTGTCTCTACTGTTGTTATTAAGTAAAGTATTTTAAACTCAATAGAAAAAGAATAAAGTCAGTTTTTTCCCAACTGGTTTCAGAATCGCCATTTGAATAGTAAATAAATAAAAATAAATAATTTCATTTGTATTTATACTTTCCAGTACGAACTGCAGCTGGTACCAATTACACACCATCTCATTTGTAATCTTTCATAATTAAGTTTAATAAAATCCTTGAAGGCAGCTTTAAATGGGGCTGATAAGGAATTCTATCCATACTCCAAGATACGGGCATGTTTTCTCTTTCTTAAAATTTTTGGACTTTTTAGGAAAGAAAGTTGCCTTCCGGGTAACTTTGGGTATGTGAATCTGTATTGTTTTTTAAACTAAGTTTTAAAAGTAACCTCATAACTGTTATAATTCAGTAAATCAATTTGCATTACAAACCCTTAGATAAAAGTTTGCTAGTTAGTGTATTAGACTCAAAAACCACAAGCAAATATATTATCTTTTTTTTTTTTTCTTTTGAGATGGAGTGCCGCTCTGTCACCCAGGCTGGAGTGCAGTGGCACGATCTTCACTCACTGCAAGCTCTGCCTCCCGGGTTCACGCCATTCTCCTGCCTCAGCCTCCCAAGTAGCTGAGACTACAGGCATCTGCCACCACGCCCAGCTAATTTTTTTGTGTTTTTAGTAGAGACGGGGTTTCACCGTGTTAGTCAGGATGGTCTCCATCTCCTGACCTCATGATCCTCCCACCTCGGCCTCCCAAAGTGCTGGGATTACAGGCCTGAGCCACCGCGCCCGGCTGCAAATGTGTTTTCTTACATGTTTAACTTGTGACATTTACAGCTCTTAAAAATAAGGTCAGTTAAAATTGGATAAAAATTGAACATGGAAGAAAAAGTCGAAATATTCATATGACAATCTCATAGTGAAATTGTATCTCGATTTTACTTCATTCTCATCAATGGTAGAAAGTGGTTATACATTTTCATGTATAGAAATCTAGAAAAAACTCATTCAACACTAAAGAGTGAAAGTACTACGGATACTGCATAAATAAGAAATATTTAGCCACTTGTTGAGTAGCTAAATAAACTGCTTATCATAAGGTTCTGAAACTATTACTTTTTAGAAATGTCACAAAATCCATTTTCACTAGTTTATTTAATGAAAATCAATCTGGTCTTGATGTCTATAGGAACAGACTATAAGGAAATCATTGCTATAATTGTGAATAAAAAAGTCATGCTTCTTTAGGAGAAAAGCATGGCATCTATATACGTATGTACACACCCACCTGCCCACGCACACAAAGTTATTGAATTTGATCTCTAAATGCTTCTATAAAATATTTCCTAAGATAAAGAATGAGGAACTCTTTATGTATAAAAAATATGACTTCTAAGTATGGTTAAAGAGAAAAGATAAACTATGACTTCTAGGAATGATAAAAAAGAAAAAATATACGAAATGAAATAAAATAATTTGGTTTGGTACTTTTTCTGTAGTGTTTAGTGTTAATACACACACTTTTATTAGTTAACTTTGCTCCTGAAGTCACCACTGACAGGGCTCTGAGCAGAGAATTACTTTACTTATCACTTAATCTGCAATACTAATAAAAGAATGGCTTACTTAAGACCAATATGAACTTCAACATTGAACTGCTTTAAAAAAAAAAAAAAACATCTAGCCAGATATTTGACTTTGTGGTTCCTTAATACAGCTTTTGTTTTCTAATTTTTCTAGGACTCTGGTTTTATTTATTTTCCAAATGTGATTTGGGTGTCCTTACTCATCAAGCTTTTTCTTGAGCTAAAGTTATACCAATTCTTATTAAGTGATATTTCTTTTCATATGCTGTTAAGATACTATAGGATAACTTTCCTGTATGTATGCTTAAAGGCTTTATCTGCTGATAAGTTGGGATAGAATATATGTTTAATTTATTTTTGCCTGAATTATTGGTTAACTGGTTGTGCCACCCTTAGCTGTATTTGTTTGTTCTGAAGAGGAGCTGAGACCAAGCCCATAGCTAGGGTATTCAGCCAATGATGAAAATATACAGTATATACATACTGTAGATTCTTAGTGAAACTCTTTCAAATAAAACATTTCTATTACTGCAGTATTACTGGCCATCTAACCAAACTCCAAAATGACTAACTGATATGTGTATGTGTGTGTAATTTTATTTTGCTGCTGCAATATAAATCTTTAAATTATTAATATTATTATAATGGAGATCACTACCAGTTTGTTCACATTCTTCCCTTTAACCATGATTAAATGAATTAAATTTTAAGAAATCTTAAGGTATTAAAGGTATTATCAATGCAAAATTAGTACTTTAGATTTGGAAAAACACGTTATAGAGCACTTGAATTAGTGCTGTCTTGTAGCAGTTGAAATAATGAAATGATGCTTAAACTGGAACCAGTATGCATATTAAAAATGAGTTAAAATAAAGGATAAAATGGAGAAAACCACAGATAACACAGACTGCAAAATTTTGTCTTTTTAAATTTTACATTTTGCCAAAGAGGAGTCCATGTGAAATCAGTATACATTTCATTTCCCCCAAAATGAGGAGATTTGAAACATATTTTGAGACAAATCTTGGGTTTGGGTTGCACCTGAAACCTGATTTCTTTCTAAAGAACCACATGTTAAAAGCAGAGGCCCTCAGTGGTTCACAGAAAACCCAGCCCCCATTAAGGCCTGGGAAACTGGATTCTCTTCCACCTCTTTATAGAGTGTAAAACATGCAGAAGATGATTTTGGAGTGCCCTTGGGACATACCATAACAAGGACCTAAACTATTGAAGGACTTGAATTCTAAGTCATCTTCAAGAAAGGACTTCCTGGCTAGTCAGACCCCACCTGGGGACACCTAGCCTCAGGAAACACCAGAGCTCCTTGGTGGCCCAGTCCAGGTGAGATGCCTCCCTGCAGAGGTATCCCATGTGCTCCAGTAGGGACAGTTATGCCCTGTGCTTCATCCTCTGCCTGGGCTATAGGCTCTGGGCCAGACCTGGTTGCTGCAAACATTTTCACAACTTACATGCTCTAATTCAACAAATAAGAATATCTTGCACCTGATAATGATTCACACCCTAACTTGATAAAAGCTATTCTGAAAGCAGCTGAATACATTAATTCATTGAATCCTCATACCAACCTTTCCCTAGAAGAAAAATGAGAAAACCAAGTTTAAGGTTGAGTCAGAGTTTTCAAATCCTCTGCTAAGTCTCTTGCTCCTTCCTCTACTTCAAGCCACCTCCTCAGAATAAAAGCAAACTTATTTTAGAAAGGGAAAAGTGAAACTTGGAGATCTTTTTGTTTGTCATAGAGGATGGGAGGTTTTCTTGTTAGAATGGGAAGAGGAGCATGTGCTAAAGCATTGTCCTAATGAAATAACTTGTTTGACAAATTATCCAGTTGGGAAAACTAGACAATGGCATTTCTGGGATTGTGGGGAGAACAGCCCCTTTTAAACTTTGGTCTCATGAAAATATCTGGGAGAACCCAGTCCTCCCAGCTTCCTTGGTCTTAAGGTTTCTTTTCACTATAAGCTTTGCAGATTTTCCTGATGAGTTTATTAGAGGAATTTTTATGAACAATAATAATTCATGATTATTATCTGAGAATTGTATATTTTACAGAATTTTAAGTGATGATTTCTACCGTAAGGGTATACTTTTTAAAATTTGATTTGTGCATTTTATGGTGTGTGACTTTTGGAGTTAAATTAATTTAGCAGTTTGTTTCCATGAAGACTGTTTGAAAGCATATAATTACTGAGTTACAGCTTTTACATGAATTACACAAAAGTCTTTTTTTCTTCATTTTTTACATCTCTTTATGTAATTCTTCATTTTTTACATCTCTTTATGTAATTACCTAAAGAATTACTAAAGGTATGCTATTTCATAACAATGCTTTAGAAAATTTATGAAGTTAATATAAACAGTATATGATTAATCTGGTAGTTGCACTATTTTGTCTCTTTACAAGAAATCCCTCTACGATATAATGAAACATAGGTTCATCTTGATTTCAGGTTCAGTTACAGGCAGGAACTTAACACTTGGTAAAAGTTTTATTTCTTATGAATCCCTTGAAGATCATTTTAAGATGTTGCTTATGTGGTTATAAAATGCATCCCATTAATTGTCGTCTTTTAAAAGCTGGAAGACTTTTAAAGGCTAGATTTGGAAAATAATACTGTTCCTGGAAGGAAAGAAATATCTAAAAATATGAAACCATGGTGCTAAAGACAGTGTTAATATATTAAAATTTGAGAGTGGGAAATATTTTCCATCACTAATAAGCATCCATAAAAGAGGACATTTCTTATTTTCATTAATAAGAAAATATAATTTTTATACCCTGAAAAATAAATTTAGATTGGATTTTAATCAAAAATCAATAGCTATTAAAAAATTAGACATTAATGAGCTAGATTTATCAAAGGGCCACCAAAAAACAAGTCCAGCCTGCTCTAAAAATTAAGAATTTTTTCAAGTAAAGAAGGTGCAGGTAATGTCATGAACTCTAAATAACTTTGGGTTTCTAGTTAAGTTTAGATCTCAGCATTGCTCCACCAACAAATTGTTTAACCTGTTTGTTTTAACGGAGTTTTCTCAATTTTAAAATGGGACAATCATAATACCTCCTCCGGGCTGTTAGGCAAGTTAAGAAGTTAATATACATTAATACAATGTCCAGCACATAATAAACAACTAATAAATGTCAGTGTTTATTATCACAATTATTAAAACTACATATAACTTTAATTTTGCTTGTGTAAAAGCAGTGTGCTTGCAGGCAATTCTTCATGCATCAGAGTAGGATGTTCACCAATCAAGGCTGAAATAGAGTTCATTTCGTGTAAAATCTAAAAGCATGATTCAATGCATACAGCAATCCATGAAGAAGCAAAATAGAGTTTTTATGGAAAATGTGTGTCCTGCGGCACAATTTTAGTGAAATAAAAAGCAGACTCTAGTGCTGCACCCTATCCCCACATGGGAGGGTAAGTAGTAGAAGCTCCAATTCTTAACTACTTCCCCGGCGCCGCCTTAATAATGGAGTAGTACACCCTACCTTGATAAAAGCTATTCTGAAAGCAACTGCATTTATTTTACCTCCTGTGCTATTTGCGGAGAAGAGCTGAACAGTAGTTTGTTTTGCCTGGAATGAACTACTTTATGAATTTTAATGTGTGATATAATATTAAAAGCTAAACCAGGATTAAAGAAGATTTTTTTGTACTAAGCTAAAATAGTACTTAGTAGAGTGAGGTATAAAAGATTTTTGTTTCCATTTTTACCTGGGGAAAAATTCAGCTTTCATATTTTTGAAAAGCTGTCCAAGTCAGTTTCCCTTAAGCAATAGCTTGTGTTTAGGAAAAAAAAAAATGTGATTCTAGAATTCTAATAGCTTATCTATGATAAGATGTGTATCTGGGCCAACAAAATGGTAAAGAAGAGCTTTCCTAAATATTTTTTAAATGAGTAGTACAGAGATACTTTCTAACTTTGTAATTGTTAAAGTTTCACCCTCACATTCTTTTTTTAAAAAAAAATATTTCTTGTATACTTTTTTCACTTTTGTTTTGATTGTGTTGGCTACTAGGAAATGATTTTTTAAAATAATTTAGAATTTGTGCTTGATTATAATTGCTTTAAAATAAAAAAAAAAATTAACCAAAGAAGTTTTTAGAAACAAAGTCACAGGGTTGAAACAAATGATTATAGCGCACCTCAAAGATAAATTCTTAAACATCATTTTTACAAAATAATGAAAATTACTTTAAAAACAGATCGAAACACCAACTTTCCAAAGTCTGTTCTTTTAACTATTGCTTAGCAGATTGCTACCAAGGATCTGTTTCTTCAGTGCACTGGACTTGGTGCCCCCATTTCCATAACATTCAGTTTTCAAAATGATTGAAATGGCTTTTCTTTTCTCTTTCATTTAAGCAGTGAGAAAAATAGGTATTAAAAGGGACCCCATGGGGTGATCAAATCTATCCCTCTGCCTCAAAGCAAGACCACCCCAGAGCAAAGTTTCCAATCTCACCAAAGCAACTTTGTAGGCAATTTATGGTAATGTGTTGTTAACTCTTCTGGCTCTTAAAGTGGTGTTTAACAGATTATTGCTTCAAAGCCCTGTATGTGTTCTAGTGGCCTCCAGTCATTAATATATCTCTATGAGTGCCCTTGCTTACTAGAGTGGCAAAGCTAGAAGGGGAACTCTGGAGAGGAGGCGGATGAGGCCCCACCTTTGGTCACCTGTCCTGCCTTACCTGCTGTGTCCCCTTCAGGCCTGCGGGCCAACTATTTCCCAGCATTATCTTTTCCATGCTTGGAAAGGTGGTATCATGGTGAAAGCATCTACCAGCTTTCTCAAGATAAGCAAGAGGTGAATTATTTTGCTAATTGGCTAGAAATTAGGATTCAGCAGGCACATTTTAAAGGGATCTCCTATTTATGCTTTAAGTACGGAGAATTGAATCACTGAATATTTTAGGAACAGAGTAAAATAAATCTTAAAGTCCTGCAGCTTGACTCAAAGGCTATATCATTTAATGCCAAAAAAATCATTTGTTTATTCTACAGCATACTTCATTTTCTATTTTCATGGTTTATGTGAGAAATTGTCCAGGATGGTAAGTTTCTAGAGGATAGAAACCTGAGTTCTGTAAAGTAACTGAAAAGATGTCTTTAAGGGATCAGTTTGCTGGAAGAAACATGGTTTTGTATCTGTAGTAATTTTTCATTTATATTTTCATCAGTTTCCCAGTAAAAAATCAGCTACATGGTTTTTATGTAAATTTTCCAGGCTAGTTCATACTACTGTGTAATAAAAAATAAATTTGGAGTTTTAAACATGAATTATAGTATCAGTACATTTTGAAGTTGAGATTTGCTTTCAGCCCCTAAAATTTTGTGGCATTTTACTGCCGATATCTGCTTATCACTATTACTAAAGGCATTGATGCTGATTTTTCTCTCAAGATTGTACTTTTTGAATATATTAGTAAAGTCACTGATTATATATTTTGTGATGCTTACAGCAATATTTTATTTAATATTGTGAAACATTATCTTATTGTGTGGTTTCACAAGTCAAAAGGAAATAGTTATATACAGGGGTGCCAGGAAAAGATGAAATAATTATACAGAACAGCTTGGACATGCACGTGTAAAATTCAACCAGCCTTTATGATAATTAAGCAAGGCACTCTACCTGCTTCATGGATGGATAGAAGATTTAAATACGCAGTTCTGCAAATGGCTTTGTTATGGAAGATTTTTTAAATGAAACATAAGAGGAAGATGCATAAAAATAGTCTAAAATTAAAAAGGCCATAGTATGTAATAGCTATTAGTGATTCAATTGTCTATTAGGCACCGGGCACCCAGTGAAGATACAGCACTGTGCATTATGATTTTAATTGTGAATTTCCTTTGTTAGGATTGCAATGGAAGGTAATTGGGAGACAATTAGTTTAGGGTTTTCAAGTCTTTGAAACTATTTCGTTTTCCAGAAAACTTACTTTATGGCATTATAATTCCTGGTTGTCAGCTGGCAGTTGCTGTCATATTACAGATGCAATCACCTGTGACAATGTGACTTCCCTTAACTTAAGCAATCTGATCTCAGGGCAATAACTAATGTTGAATGACTGCACTGTTGATCACCTTGATCATAAAAGGAACAACAGTGTCCAGTTTGGATGCTGAGCCTGAGAAGCTTCAAAACAATTCAGCCAATGAAAAATGACAGCCATGTTCAAAATGTTTTGTAGGTGAAAACAGCTACTATTGCCACTGAAAGGAATGGGAAACCAGAGAACAATACCATGAACATTAATGCTTCCATTTATGATGAGATTCAGCAGGAAATGAAGCGTGCTAAAGTGTCTCAAGCACTGTTTGCAAAGGTTGCAGCAACCAAAAGCCAGGTAAGAGCCTCTGTTAGGCATTGAGAATGTTTATCTGTGTTGCCTGTAGAATTTTCATTAAAAGGAGTGTCTATTTTCAGTATGAACTTGCATCACGGAGAGGCCTCTGTGTCTAGGATTATTTCCAGAGCTCTAAAATGAAACAATATTCAAATTCAGGTTATAGGCACTTAGTTTTGTTTTTTCCAATAGCCACTCCTCAGACCAAGGATTTTATGGTAAATCCCCAAGTCAGTTAATAGGTATTTTGAGAAGGATATCATAATGGATAGTCAGTTTCTCAGTCTGGTCTATTGTAGTAGAATAAATAATGTGAATTACTATTATTTCATTATTGCTTAGATGATCTTTATTTTTTTTCCTACTAAAATGCTACAAAACTTTATACAGTTTCTTCTGTTCCAATTCAGCCATCTAATGTGGCATTGGTGGTATAGCAGTGAGCATAGTTGCCTCTCAACTCAGCTGGCTGCAACTATTAAATACACTTATTAAGACAAACTGACACACACACACACATAGCTTTGCATATTAATGATTTTAATTTTTCTGTAGAGTATGCAAGACACACAGATTGATTACAACTTGTCCAACCCTGAATTACAGCTGAATAGCCTTGAATTGGAAAAGTTGTAAACTTCTACCAAACTAAATAAAAAAGGATAGGTCGTATAGTCTTTTATCAGCATAACTGTCAAATATTAATAATTCATGTTCATCAAAAGTGGAATCATCTATATGAACAAACTTAGTTATCTATAAACCCTTCTCCAAAGCCAAGAATACTTTTTAAAGGACCAGAAGAACACTAAACTCTTTTCCCCCTTGAAAAAGAATTTCATAACACTATCAAGGTGACATTAGAGGCAAATAGGGACTCCAGGTAAGATTTTAACAACTTGAAATTTTACACAAGTATATTTTTATTACCATTAATGAATCCTAAAACAGCCTGGCTGTTGTCAACTTCTGATGAAATACACAATTGTGGGAGTATTTATAATCCGATATATTTGTAACATAATAATCTTTTCAGATTTTCCTAAACTTTTACCCTATCGACATTTATAGTGTTACTTGACAGGAGTTTTGCTTTAGAAGAATGTTGTTCTTGTTTAAGTTATAGGCCTGATGAAATACTTAAGGGATATCTTGGAAATGTTATATAAAAATGATTAAACTCAAGCTGTGGACTGTAAAAATTATAGCTTTATAGGCCACATGCCTGCCTACCCTTCAATCACTGTCAAAGTGATAATTTCTACAATAATATGTTTCTTTTATTGTGAGATTCTAAACATCAAGTGCTGTTTAAACATTAAACTGAATTGTTTATGTTAGTGCTGTACTCAGCGTGTCATACATCAGGCCACCGTAATCTCTCATGGAATGTAAAATTCTGTCATGAATCATGGCTTGTATATCGGAAATTACTGTAATTTTGATTGGAAATTACAGGGCTCTTGAAATGTTTCTAATTATGATAGAATGTTAGAGCCGCTTTAAACCTGTGTGCTTCTTCAGATGTCTTCATTTACATGCCAAGACTACGCATTTAAGAGAAATGTCCTGGTCTCACTCCCCCCCCCCACCTACTTGCCCACCCCACACATTCTTGTTTTGGCTCTTTAGCCTAATTATGATGAGGATATCATATTTAAATATATATTATCTTGCCTTTCTTATTCTACATTTTTTTTTCTGACCTGTCCGATCATCAGTAATAATCAGACTGCATTCCTACAAAAGCCTGTTTCCCTAAATCTCCAAAATGGAGAAACTGGACATGTATTATAGTAAAGGTTAGCTTTAAAACAAAAATTAATATTATAACTTATTAATAACCATATTTAGTTATCTATCACCTGTCATTTAATTCAATCTACCCCCACCCCCGCCATCATTTTCCTTTCTGATTCCCTGTGATTGATAATTCCTTTGCTATCTTTGACTTCATCCTTTTAAATGATACCCCGGGTTCTCCCCAATCTGGGCTGAGTACTGATTTTGGAGCTATTTAGATAGTAGCAGCAACTGGCTAATAATGTCATATAGGTGATGTTCTAAGCCATTTTAAACATCCCTGCTCTTTGTTACCCTGTCCTACACAGCTCCTCATGGGTCTCTATTTCAGCAATGTAAATAAGCAAATTCCAAGCATCTTCTGTGATGGTGTGTTTCCCAAAGCCCCAAAGCTTTTAGCTAATTACTCATTACTAGTTAAGAGAAAATCAAAGGGGCCAATAGTGGGCTATGGGAGTCAAGCAAACTATTAACTTTATTCCCTTGGATAGTTATTCTCAACTTCTAATTTACTCTAACGTCCTAGTAGAGCATTTTTGTAGTCTTGACTTAGTTGTTCAGTTTAATGTTAGCACTACCCTGTTTATGAAAACATGTAGAAAGATTGATGATTGCTTAAAAAATGAGACAGTCCAAAACCTGTGTATATCACTAACAAAAGAAACCCGACTTAATAAGGAAAAGTGGCCATTTACTTAGGTTCTGTTCTCATGCTATGATGTTTTGTGAAGGAAACAGAAAAACTAACAACAACAACAAAAAAACCCTTCAAATCAGACTGACCTTTTTAATGGTCAAAATATTGCACTTCTAAAATAGATATTTAGGCCTCAGATGTGTGCCAGGACTTGCCAAAATGAGGCAGCAGTCCCCCAAGACAAAATGTGTGTGAAGCAGGAAGAACCAGAGTCTCTTCTGTCTCAGCCCATCTACCTACATCTGCTTCTGTGTCTTGCCCTGGTTGTCTGGGTTGACTTAACCATCGTGTTTTTTTGTGCTAGACCCTATCATGCATTATAGATTATCTGCATTAATTTAGTAACCCTGTGAGCTATTATTTTCTTACTTTTACACATGAGAGTTTCTTAAATAATAAATGTAGTACAGCCAACTCCAAATTCTCTGCATTTCTCCTATTTTAGACTGTCTTCAGGGTTCAAGGCAGCATCATCACTGAAGTACTACCCTGATCTGAGGAAGAGGAATTAGGGATACTGGTCTTATTGACAGTAGAAACAGTGAGGGCTTTCCTTTCTTCATTGACATATTCATGGAACACAAGGTTCTTACCAACACAGAGCCTTCAGAGTCCAGGCTCTATCATACCTAATGGAGGTGGGTGTACAGGGTGGAGGAGTCAAAGGAGGCCAACTCTGATCCAGGTTGTGTCATTGGTGGTATAATATTGGAAAATTTTAACTTTTGAGCCCAGGATTCTTTTAACATAGAAGGCACATGCTACAATGTATGCAAAAGAGCTTTTAAATTATATAGCACTATACCCAAATGGTAACGTTTCATAATGTGCTAAGCAAGAGGTTCAGTCCTCCACATGGATAGAGATTTATTTATCAGGTATTTATGTATCATAAATACCTTCCATTTTAAAAGGTAAAGCGTGCTCTGCAGTGACTAATGCACAGTGTATTTTCGGTAAAAGAAGCCAACTCGTGGATTCCACCATTTCACATGTATTGTCTCTTCAATGAATAATAGATATGGAATTGTTTTTAACTCTAATAGAAACGTCTGATAAAATATGCAAGTAAAAACTGAAGGTAGGCTACTTTTTGTGCTTGGTTAGGAAAGCAGGCTAATGCAAACTTTAAAAAGATGATATGCTTTAAACATAATGTGAGTAGCTACAAATGAATACACTTTATATTCTGGGTATTCAAATAAGCAGCAGTTTTTCCAAGTGAATCATATTGGAATTTTATCAAACATTTAGTCTGATAACATTCAAATAATTATGAGAGCAGAATTTGCTAATTTTACTGTTTAAAAAAATAGTTGATTTGGGTAATAACCATTACAGTATCAAGGTTCAGTTACTGTTCATTGGTTATAGTGTTTTCATATGGGAGATGGAAATGGAATTTTTTCCTTAATGGTGGCAGATGTTGGAATCTAATTTTATTCCACAGCAAACCCCTCGAGAGCTCTGAGACTTAAGGTGTGTGTCCAGCAAGGAGACATTAGCAGCACTGTAGGCCTTGCCTTGTATACTGAATTGTTACATTGATTTTCATGTTTGCATAGGTGGAGCTTGCAGGTACAGTAGTGCAGTAAGACAGTAAAGGGCTTTCACAGAACCACACTGCATCATCACTTGTGCTTAGAAAATAATTTCCTCTAGTGTTTTATTGAACAATGTATTTATTTTGGATAAAGCAACTAGCTGGTGAAAATTCTGTTTGACTAACATACTTTTGGTATAATATTTTTGCAGTCTCTGAGTTGTAGTACTTTCTGGCTGCTACAACTTTGGCTGATGAATAGGTATGTTTTTAATACAAAAAAATATAAATAAAGAGCATTTCTGACTATGCAAAAATAACATGGCTAGTAGAAGAGACTGAATAATTTAAAGCCTTCTCTTTCATCTACTTTTCAGTCACTTTTGTTTGTCATTGAGATTCATGGCCCCTAGGATGAGAGAGAGGGGAAAACAAGGATGAAAGAGAGAAAAAGAATACCTCCATTTTCCTTAGGTTTGTAGGTGAAAGAAAACGTCATTCTGACCTTTAGGTTTGGAAATTCTCACATGGTAATGGATGTCTTAAATGCAAGTAAGACACGTGTCGCAAATCATTGGGGCTAGAAATAGGGCTAAAAATGTAATTTTCATTGCTGAAAATAGATCTATAGTGACAAAATCCAGGAGTAAAATCATGGAACCATTGACATTGCATTCTGTATGCTAGCATGCTAGTGAAGGCATCTTTTATTCTGTTAGAATTAAATTACACTTCAGTTTTTAATTCTGTGCTGATTCATTCTTTTGGAATGTTCATATAACAGACTTTGCTACAACAAGAGTTCACCTGTGTAGCCTCCTATTTAAGGCACATAGGAGGCCCTGCAGATTTGAGAATCATGGTTTCTGTTATTTCCGGTGCTACATCCTTTTGTAGCGGTCTGTGGGATCTTCACATTGTGGCCTAAGAGCCCCTTCTCTTGGGCAAACGAAGCCTTCTTCATTCACTTTCTAAAGAGAGAACTGCCCCTTTACATGTTCTCCATCTAAATGTGTAGAGGACACCCTGAGGGGGATACAGCTTCTGTCTCCCTGGGACCCACTTGCCTGGAAGAGGAGGAGGCAAGAGAAGTATTTGTGAGGAAAACAAGAAGACAAGTAAGACAGTCCAGAGTGTGGTCCCTGCATCTCAGCAGTCTGCTGGTGTTAAGTTTAACACAGATCTTTGGAGGTCCCTGTGCTCCATTCTTGAGTAAGAAGGATGTGGAGTTCATCAGTCTCTTTATTTAAGGTGTTCTATATTAGTGGCCATTTATAACAATCTCTTACATCTTAATGTTGGGAATTCATATTGGATTCAATTTTCTAAAACGTTGATATATTTTTATATTTCTAGTTGAATGCCAAACAGGACTATTAAAATTAATGGCTTTAAATATTGACATTAATAGTTTGAAGGTACATGATTGTGTATGATTTTTTAAGAGCTAATTGTGGATCTGAATATGCCTTCTTTTGAGATTCTTGCCTCCTAAAAATAAGTATGTTTGTTTTAGTGTATCTAGGATTTGATCTGTGAGGTCCAGAATTATTAAATAGAACAATTGCTTACTTATCATATTTCTGGCTAAAAAGTCGTATCAAGAGGTGATTTATCCCCTAGACACTTGGTATTACCTACCTTTAAAAAAATGAACAGAAGATCTCTGGTTATCGTGTTGCTTCTTTGAAATAATTTAAAATTTTCACCTTTTCCCCATAAATTTAGAATTAACTGAAAGTCAAATATATTTTCTCTTCGACCCACTTAATAAGCTTAACTGTTACAAATATAGACATAACTCATTAAGCCTCATTTCTGCATCTTTAGAAGATGTCATAAGAAAATTTTTAGACCAGATTTGAAGAGAATTAATTTGTGAATATTGAGCCAGCTTTAAGGAGGTTCATCATGTAAGGAAACACAAAGAAGTTCACTGCAAGAGTGGTCCCTTTACAGCAATCCAGCATATATGTTCTGAAGCACGGCTATGCCAACTATGTATTCATAGAACCTGCTTTAATATGAGAGCACCTTTTGTCCTAAAATGTTAGTGTAAGCTGAAAAGTGTAAACTAAGAATATTCTATAAAGTTTTCTCTTTTTGGAAGCTCTTCTGTATTCAGCTTTGTCAGTTGAAGAGTTAGTTCTTCAGGACAGGTTCGGGTGGGTACAGAAAGTAGGGAAAACAGCAAATCAACAAGGTTTCACTCCTAACAGGAATTAATCTTAAAACTGAGTGTCATTCAGTTAAACTTATCACACAGCTATAACACTGATATAATCCTTTAACAATCTACCAAGTTAGAAGATGAAAGTGTTTTTTCTTAAAAGTCTCAGTAGTTGTCTTTTATGTTTTTGATAATGAAGGTAGGTTTTATTTTAACTTTATCTTCTTTTTTCCTCACATGAGAAACGAAAATAAAGACCCTGTGAAATGAATGAGCTATGAAAATGCATTTATACTAAAGGACAATAGAAAAATAGCTGTGGAAGAAACTGTACCATTAAAATTTCACATCAGTGAAAGGTGCTAAGAGAGGAATGGAAGAACTTACGTTAGTAAAATGAATCTAATGTAGAAATTTTCTGCCCTGCCAAGAATATCGATGGTATCTTAAAAAGTAACCTTAGAGATTACTCATTTTTCTAAGTATACTTGTTATACTTTTAGATATGCAACCCATTTGCTTGGCAGAATGACACAAATCATAGACCACCCATTTAAAAATATATATATCTATATTTTAGAGATTAGTAGACATATAACTACTCTGTAATTTATAATTACATACCATGTAAAAATAGAAGTTGTAAACCATTTATGAAATCAGCATACAATTGTCAAATTGATGTTTTTTCCCCTAAGTCTTAATCTACTTCTGTTGTATATTAATAGAAAATCTATTCTCCTTTGATTTTGTGATTCACCTATTCCAGTTGCCTTTGTGTATTTTTTTAACAATTCCCTTTTCAACCAAGATGCTTCAGGAATTGGGTTTAAACACACTGTTTCATAAACTGCCAGCCTCCTCGGCCGCCTCAGTGCCTCTGATTTCGTAAATCAGATCATAGGCAGCATGCTGTCATATAATAAGGTGTCTGATCCTTATTACCAGTTTGTTGATGCACAGACTCCTTCAAATTGACCATTGCAACACATGGTTTCCCCTGAAACTAGCTGTGATAATTAGCGTGGTTCTAATGAGACAGAATGTCACTGATCTTGTGCTGAACTGTCGAGTATCGACGCTACGGATGGGAACTGTCAGAGCCTGCCATCTGTGACAGCGCTTGGCATATTCCAGTGGCAAGGTAGAGCATGCTCAATAGAGTATTTTCAAACAAATGGCCCTTTTCTTGATGAGGCCTCTGTTTTCTGTTCAACAGGAAGAATGCATGCCCCAACTCTGTCCTATGCTAAACCCATTTTGAGGTCCAAATTTGAGTAAATATTTAAATCTGTTATGTGTTACATAAGAGAGGAATCTTTTGTTTAGCAGGTGAATCTTAAGTGGCATTTCTTTCCTTGTTTTTAGGGTTTTTTTTTTCTTTTCTTTTCTTTTTCTTTTTTCTTTTTTGTTTTTCCTCTTTTTTTTTTTTTTTTTTTTTGCCTCTCTCAGTTGTCCCATATTGTCAGTTAACAGTAAAGCAGTCATTTAAGATACTTTTCCCCAATTTTAAAATTGCCTTGTTTAGAGGAGATTTGTTGGGGAGTTGGGGATGGCTCTTAGTGATAAAGCAGTCTGATTTAACAGAGGGAAAGGGGAATTGAAAGAAGTAGTTCAGAATGTATATAAGAATACACAGGTTGGATAGAAGAATTAAAATGGACAAGACAGTTAGATCTGTCGGCTCCAGAGAAAAGAAGAGATTTTTTGCTATAGTAAAAGTCCAGCGCTGCTTATCATTCCAAAATATGCTTTGTTGCTTTTTATTTCCTCCTCTCTGGCAGACCACACAGGGCTTGTTCTGAAGAACATTTTCACTAATCTGATCAGGCAGCCAAATACGCCGGGAAAACTGCTTTAATGATCCCACTAATTACCTCAAGTCAATATGAACTGTATTATTAGACTGAGGGAAAATATTCCATTAGGTCTCCCCCTTGGGAGTTTCTCCGCTTTGTGATGTCACTGAAGCCTTCACCCTCTCGCTTGTAATTAATTTTATTTACACACGCAGGCACGCACAAGGTCACACCTGCACAACCGGCGCTGGCCAGGGAGCTTGTGGCACTCCGGCTTAATCAGATCTGTCATAATTACCATTCTGCATGTTTCTGACACACGCTGTGAAATATTTCAATTTAACTGCCGCTACCAGCACAACCAGATGTAGTGCGAGTGTGGCTGCATTGGAAATATTATTCCTCAGGATAAACTCTCTCCTCCTCCTTTTTCCTCCCACCCCCCCATCCCTTACAGCTAATGTGGCACAGAAGCTGATGTATCCTGTAAATCTTGAATGCAGTGCTAGATTGATAACAGGCGATTAGACAGTTTAACCACAAACAGCTTGTTCATTTTTCACAAATGAAAACCACATGTGGTGTAACTAAAATTTCAGGCCCCCCTTTTTTTTAAGGGTTGGGGTATGTATGTGTGTGTAAGATGTTCTTAAATAAAAATAAAATGCAGTCAAAAGAAGTTGTGTCTAGAAAAATGGGGTTGTCTAGTTTTTTTCCAGGTTATTTTATCAAAACCTTCATCAAATTCCATTTTTATACTTTTACCAAAATTCAAATGGTAAAAAGATTGTATTCTGTGTTGGGCTTTTCATTTTTTTTCTGTAAGTTTTTTTTTGTGGAGGGGGGTGGGTAGGGTGCATAATGTCCCTTGATTCTATGCCGTATTATGTTTTCAGTGTTAAACTGTTTATTTGAACCTAAATTCTGAAAGGATTTCTAAGACTGGACACAGGTAGTTTTCTAAAGGACAGCTTTTCTTTCTTTTTTTTTTTTTTAATGCAAAGTTGTTACTTCAGGCTTTATAGTCAGATACCAGACACTCAAAAAGCAAAAATGGCCCCAGTTAGGAACTTTATTTCATGGAGATATTTGTGGATTTGTGTAATTGATTTGAAAGGCAGAGTTGGAAACCCTGAGGATTCTGCTTTTATAGAAATTGGAGATAACCTGGCGAAATGCAGGCACAGTAGGTAACTGTTTAAGGCTAAAGTTATCACCAGTCTCGGAAGAATCCCCCTATAAATAATTGGATCCATAAGAAGGCAGATAAGCTGGTGGAAAACTAAAGCTAAGAGCGGAGGAGGAAATAGGATCAGTGGTGTTTTTGAATCATACGTCCTGGAACCAGATCACAACAATCCACTTTAGAGACCATTTAAAACATAGATATAGCCTACTTAAATATCTTTTAACTCCAAATAAAATACACTCTTTTTCTTTTTATCTTTATTTTTGTTTTATGACTTCAGTTATGAACCTAGCTTGGAAGCTACTTAGAATGGTGGTGGTGGTGATTCCTGCTGTCCAACTGAGAGAAGGTGTACTTTCCCAAAGAATAGTGGGGGTTTTTTGATTCCTTACTCATTTTCCCTTTTGCTTAGTAGTTTCCTCATGTCGTGTTTCTTTTTCTTCTTTGTATAATCTTTGCTTCCTAGTTTTTTTCTGGAACTTTCTTCCCACTTAGTCTATTTTCCATGTGTTTTGTGTTTACTCCACGATAACTTTCAGCTTTAAAATCTGATATTTTTTCTTCCTATTCATAGTTTCTTTTGGCCTAAATATCACTTTAAAGGGAAAATAAAATACTGTCTTTGCCTTTTAGTTAGAACTCTTCTTCCATCTAATTTAGGTCATTTGTTTCTCCCATCTTAATCTACCTTTGTAATCATTTTGCAAGATATAGTTATTGTAGAATATTTGATTCAATTCCTATATCACAACACTCTCCTGATGAGTACAGATATCACCTCAGAACCCTTCTTAACACAGAAGTAAAAATACCCATTGCTAATCAGGGAGATAAACCCATCCCTGCTGTAGTCACTTGTATTTTAGGATTCCCAAATGGGGGTTTGCTATTCAAAGCATAGTTGTGTGGGATAAGTCAAAGAAATAAGAAAAGTGGAGGTAAATAAAATTTATGGTTTCATTGCTAATGCCCTTGCTTTAATAACCCTGAAGTTTTTTGTACAGCTACTTGAAGGTATGTTAGGGATAAGCCAGCATGCAAGTTCAGTCACTTTTTGCAATCACTGGTGGAGCTCACCATTAAAAGGAGTCCTAAATTGTTCCTTTGCAAATGAAAGATTTCACTTGCAAGATAAAAAATTATCCCCCAGTTTTTCATGTTTGCAAACATTTTTGTGTATTTGTATTTCTTTGCCTGGCATGCCTGTTAATACAAAAGGGAACAGAAAAGAGAGGGGAAAAAAGTTGCTTCGTTAGGGATGCTGTTGTGTATACGGAGTTTAACAAGATCAGTATTCTCAGTACAAAGAAAGAGCACATCTTTTCATTAAATTAATCGTTAGACTACAAGAATCCTGCGTTTCAAAGACAAATTATTTATTTATGGACCCTTCCAGGTCCCTATCTAATAAGAAGACATTTTCCATTTGTCTGTTAACAAGTCACCGATGAAGAATCAATAGAAGTGTTACAAACTTTATCTTGCCCCAACTGAATCCACCATCCTCAGTCACTCTGCAATTGCTATTCTTCAGTGCTCTCATATCTTCATGAAAACATACAGGAAGGAAAAGTGATTCCTTTTAATGTTCTTTGTTGTTTTCTTCTGGACCCACTGTCTTCATTTTTCATCATCATTGTTGAAGTCATCAGTATCATTTGCAGTGTAGCCTAAGCTGAAAGGAACTAGAGGGCATGGCTCCTGATTTTCTACATAATACAGAAATAAGGTAATAGTACCTAATTTGCAAACTCACCGATGTTTTACCTAACAACTTGTACATGAATTGCATCATTCATGGAAAACATTGGGAACTGCAAAGAGTGGTAGTCCCAGTTCCACTGCTAACCTGCTGTGTAGTCCCAGGCAAGCCGTTTAACCTCTCAGACATTGAACTTCCCCTTCAGGAAAGTAAAATAGATTAGGTCATATTATATCTAACGTCCCTTAAAGTTCTAGGTCTGTGTGTTTGTGACTGAAACAGGTACACAAGTATTACAGAGGATGCTATTTTGATTGAAGACACTGCTGACAGGTGTTCTAGTCTGGGAAACAAAAGGTAAGAGTTTGGATAATGGAAGGGCTTAGTTTGGGGGGTAGGCGGAAAAGTGATATTTTGGGGTCTAGAGCCAAGAAGGGTTATTTACAGGTGGCATATAATGGGTTGAATTGATTGTTGGAATCCAGTATATGAACTCCATATTACATGGTGTGAGTTGAGCTCATGATTGATATACACTTTTCATCTGAGACTTGTTGATAGATGACTGGGAACTCTCCCTATTATCATACAGAGACCTAGCAGCATCAGTACAGTATAGAGTATGAGATGAGCCGAATTCCATTGGGGAATGGGCTTGGTTTAATATGTGGTAGGGTGGTGATTGCTAGCATGATATGATTTGAAGGTTGCTAAAGACTTTCCTCTTTAAATATGTCTCTTTTTTGTTTGCTTTTCAATTGATGCCTGAAGGTCCACCCTTAGCTGCTCTTTTGATTGATTGATTGATTGATTGATTGATTGATTGATGGAAGTTTTTTTCTGGCACATTAAAAACTTTAATAGCACATTAAACGGGAAAGCAGGGCAATGTGAGAATACTCGATTGATGAGAAATCACAGATTTGGAAGAGATTAGGGAGATAGGGAGTAAATACAAAGGAAAAGGAAGCAGGGAGTGACAGCTCATTTGAGAGAATACCTTGAAAAAAAAAAAGAATACCTTGAAATCCATTTTTGCAAGTTTATAAATTGGTACCTGTAGCATTTAATAGCTGCTGAGATGTGTCCATCCCCAAATGTCGCGTTTAAATGTTTACCCATTTTACTTATGGTACCAACAGGAGTGCTGCTTGTCATGGGTGTTACTTGACTGGTTTACTGATGAAGTATTTGGTTGTTTAAATGAAATGCAGATTAGGTAAAAATAAATTACTTTCAACAAGGTCAAGGAAGTGAAGGTTGTAAATAAAATATACATTCACAAACAGACAAATGCTATTTGGAAATCTAGCTTAGTCCATGCCAAGCTGTTACTGTCTAAATTACCTTCTTTCTTCCTGGCTTGCAATTAATTTTTGCTTCTATGTTTGGAGATTGGGGGAAGGGTAATAGCCTAATGGGTAATGATTTTATTTTAGTATTTTGATTAAAGAGACTAAATAGCTTGGACCCTGGATAACCATAAGGACGAAAGCCTTATCCATCAAGCTTAATTTCTAAACAGAAGTTTATGCTTGTATTTCTGAGCAAATTAGCATTGAGCCACATATAATATAAAGTTATCAGACGGTTATGTGCTCAATTATTTTCTACCTGTCTCCCCCCTTACCATCTTTTCTACTCACCTTCTTTGATCTTCTGTTAGACTGGAGGACAAGGCACAAGGCAGCTAGTTAGACAAAGACTGTATAGCCATGTGCTCTTTGAGAGGCAGTGATCAGAGAGCAGGGACTGGTATTTGATCACTGCTAGTTTCCTAGCATTTGCAGAGCCACTCCCCTCCCCGACCCTACCCACCCGCACATCCAATGCTTGTGCCACTCTTCCATTCTGTATCCTGCCTCTATCCTGTATCTGTCCTACCTTATCTCCTTCTATTTGGAAAACCCCTGTGTCTTTGGAAAAACTTGTTGGTGTTCTCCTGGCAGGTAGACATTTCTGAAAGGATACTCTGCTAATCTTATTTACCTTTAAAATTACTTGGATGACATGATGTCAATACCCGTAACAATTTAGATGCTTTATTCAGAAATTGTAAGCCCAATCTCTGTGTTTGTAACAGGACCAGGAAAACAATGAGGTATATATGTGCTAGTGCAATTGTAAACCAAAAATTGTAAGCTGTAGAACCATCATTTAATTAATGAAATCTCATTCAGAACTGAAATATATAAATGAGATGAAAGTTTTCTCCATTTTGATTGACCTGAGGATTGAATGGGGGCAGGGACCTTCTCATCAACCCCTTAACCCTACACATACACAACGCGGGTACTTCTGAAACACCTCTAATGGAAACCTGGGGCTACTGAGGACACAGTCTAGGAACCCCTGTGGTAGTGACTGTTTTTCTCTAACCCATCTCTAAGAGGCATGGTCCTTCAGTGGCAAAAAAAAAAGGAAATTTGTTTCACAAATCCATAAATACTAAGATTTTCTAATATGTTAAGAACTTATAGGAGATAGTTCTGGAACAGTATTTGAAGTGTGTCTATACGTACGTGTGTGTGTGTGTATATATATATACATACATACATATATATTTGATAGCTATGTATGTATACACACACACGTTTATGTGGGGTAAGAGGAAGGGTCACCCATTTAGGGGTTCTTAACCTTGGCCCACCTTCTCCCCCAGGGAACCATGAACTTGGATGAAAAAAATGACTTTATTTTCTCCAACCTCTTCTTACTGAAAGTTGACATTTTATTCAATTATCAATATAGGCAACAAATGACAGTAGCAATACCTATGAATTTGTCACCATTAAAAAAAAATCACAAAATATTTTCCTGTCCTATTATGTTGTTCTAGATATCTTAAAATATCATTTATGCCCATCACTATAAAATTACAGTAGTTATTAGATCTGTTGCTAAACCTTGTTATTTAGTGTGTTAATAAAGAAGTATATATATTACTGTATCACAAATTTTTGATACCTGTATTTCAGTATAATTGATTTTCTTTGTAATCTTATGTATTTTATTTCAGGCACATAAAAACGCTGTTCTGAAAAGGCATCCATGGGCTTTACCAGACTCCCAGAAGGGTCCATGGCACAAGAGATGAGATCAATGATTAGATAAATTTTGTAGAGGAAAAAAATATATATGTATTTTATCACATGAGCTGAGGGATTCTCAAATTAACCTGAGAAACATTTACTTTTTGTTTATTGCATTTTGGTATGCTTGCTCTTCAAGCATCCTTCACTCCAAAGCATGTAAACAGAGGTAACAATGATGCAGTGACATTTAAAACAACCACCAAAACAGAAACCTTCCAGACAACCTTTTCTCTGATATTCGCATGCCCACATGCAGTGCTGTAGGACTTTGTGAGAGAACGCCTTTGCTTTTAGATTAGACATTTTTTTTTCCAATTGAACTAACTATACCTTTAGTATCAACTTAAACCTGAAGTTTAAGTGGTTCTTACCTCACTGGACAAGAAGTTTTGTCCCCACATCTCCTGTTAGCCTACACAATGACTAGCACATAGATGGTACTCAGGAATTCTTTGTAGGAGGATAGAATGATTCAGAAGTAAATTTTAATCAGCTCCCAATATTACCCTCACAAATGCCAGCCTATTCCAAAGGGAGTCAGTGTGGGACAGTGGGAAGAGGCGCTGGAGTGGGCTCACAAGGATGGAGTAGGGTCATGCTTCACTGCTGCCATTCTCCCCTGGAGCCTTCTCTGAGCTTGCTTTCCCCAGATGTAAAATGTGGTCAGAGGAGTGATTGAGACAGTCTGTGCAAAGCCCCAGTCTCCCTTGTCTCCTTTTATTGGTAAAATTATAACCCGGCCATTGTCACTGAGACCCACATGATGCTTCTAGAAATATTTATGCTTGCCTTTTTTAATGCCTACTTGTAAATCACAAGATTTGGGTCTTTCAAATTAAGCCAACTTCTGATTAGCAAGTTTGTATAATGGATAAAATGATGCGGTTTTGGACACTTTATCAGCAAAATCATAGGCAAGTTGGGAGCTCATAGTGACCCTGCTTGCTTGTTCCTCTTAGGGTGTGATTCCCTAACTTTTACAGTCCCAAATTGCCTTGCCCTGCTTTTAAAAATTTTTTGTTATCTCTCCTAAAACATCATAGAGGGAATATTTAAATTTTTAATTCCCAGTCCCTAAATATGCATAATAGGGAGTGTAGCTCATTTTAGGATATACATGCAGTGTTGAAAAGTTTCACATAAATCAATGTAAAATGCAGTGGCAGAAATATTTATCCAAATCAACCTGGTAGTAAATTATTTTTGTAAGCAGACAAACTACCCTGTCAGGTAAATTGTCACCTTAAAATTATTCTTTTTATGATTTCTTATATTTATTTGGGGTTTTGGTTTTTTTTTTTTTTTTTTTTTGCACATGGCATATATGAATATTCAGCAATATTTTTTCTTAATGACCATTATTTTGAATAGGAAAATAAATATTATAAATTTTTAATAGTGACTTTAGGAAGCAACATAATAAATTTGCTTCATAACATTGCAATATGAGAGCACATACTCATTTGGGTTAAGAAATTTAGGAAAAGTAAAGTTTCCTAGCATAAATTCTTCTTTTTAAAGAAAATAATAATTTTATTTGCCTTTGACAGAGTTTTTTATGGTGCTGTCCTGTCTTAAACCTATTATGCTGAGCTCAATTTGAACCTTATTTTTTTTTTGAATACAGAAACATCATTATGAATACAGATTGTTGGACTTTGCTACTATACATGAGCCCTCAGAAATTGCAGAGGTGTATACAGTATTTTACCACTAAATAGCCCAGATTGGGCCATTTTTGTATCTTTCTGTGTACCCGCATTTGCTGCCGCTTGAATTTGTTGTGGTGAATCCTTTGCCGCATTTTTACATTTCACTCGTTGAAGTGTGAGCCTCAGGGTGTTTCCAAGCTCTTTGGGTGAAGGAAAGTGAGGAGTTTGCCACTCAAAGGGCTGTTTGTGTTCACATTTGTTTGTGATAAATGTAACTCAAATAGCAGGGTTGGGGGTGGGCTGGAATAAAGAAGGCCATCAGAATTAGATTATTGAAGAAATGCTGTGGGACTGAACCACAGCAGGAGGAATGGAAAAGAAGGAACAAATTCAAGAGATGTTTGAGGGAGTATTGACAGGAATTCATCAGTTATGGAAGAGACAGACAAGAAAAGTTAGATTTTTAGTTAAAGCCACTTGCTATATATTTTTATTACAAAACTAATACCTAGCTACTATAGAAAAAGTAGAAGATATAGGCATAAGGAAAAACATAAAATTATCCATAAATTTAATCACCTAGAGATGACCACCTTAAGGATCCTGATTGACGCCCTTTATACATACACACACATGCACATGTATCTATATGTATATATGTGTGTATGCATGTATGTCTTGCATTTATTCATGTGCTGAACATACCATTTAATTCCCCACTGAGATGTATTTAGGCTATATTCAACTTTTGCTAGTACAAATAATATGAATGTAAACATTATAGTTAAATATTTGTACATATCCTTATTTCCTTAAATCCTTAAAAGTGAAATTATTGGATCAAAAAGGCATTTGTGTTTTACAGGTGATTGCTAGATATTTCCACATTCTGCAATTCACAGTGTCCTTCAGAAAGACTATACCAATTTATGCTTCAAATAACAGTCTTTCAGCCTAGGTGATTGGGTATGTGGTAATACTATTAACTGAGTAAAACTTCCTAGGAGAACCTGGCTTAGGGGAAGATGCTTGGTTCAGACTGGAATATTATAACTGAATTATTTTCATTAGCCCCCTTGATATTCAAATCCCTTGTGTGATAATAACAACAATAAAATAATAATAGCTTACATTCATCATACTGTTACTGTGTGCCAAGCCCTTTTCATGAATTATTTTACTTAATTCTCACAACCCTGTGAACTAAGTGGTAAAATTAGACCCCATTTTATAGAGCAGAAAATTGAGGTTTAGCGAACCTGAGTAATCTGCCTAAGGTTACAAGGCTATGATAAATGGTAGAATAGATATTCAAATTAAAACCCAGACTTCTTAACAAATAGATCTTAAAAGTCCAGTAGAGGAAATGAGGTTACAGTAACTAAGTAGTATTCTCAAGAAAGTATGGTAAAGAGCTATTAAAAAAGGGTCATAGACAGTTCAAAAGCAACTGGTCTGTTTTCCCAGCCCCCTGCTAATTCATCTTGTTCTGTTATTTATTATTTTTCCTGTTTTAAATATTGTCCCCTTTTCAAATCCAAGCCAGTATTTCTCTTCATCAATGAAGAATTCCTTGACAACCCTACCTCAACTCTTCTTCTCCATGTGGATCCACTTGATGTCTGCCCATCAATGACCTTTATCACATGCTATCTTGCACTAATAGTTATTTTTGAATTCCAGGTTTTCCCAAATGTGCTTGGAGACATTTAAGGCAAGTGCTTTCAGTAAAGTTTATAAGACCTTTTGGTAGTTACCATGGAGCAGGCATTGGGCTGAATGTATTCTGTTTCACTTGTACTGGCTACTATCCTGTGAGATTAATACCATTATTATCTACAGTTTGTAGAGGAAGAATCTTGAGGCTCAGAAACATTATTCAAGTTCACATAGATAAATGCCTATATGAGATATAATCATTTTATTGGCATACAGAAGTGCTTGAGCGTGTCTTGAAAGACAAGTAGTATTTGAATGGGCACCAAAAAAAAAAATAGGAGAAAGGGCTTTCCCATTAGAGAGAATTGTATAAGGAATGGAGAATAGAATGTAGGGCAGTGCTCAGCAATAGCTAATAAATAGCCCAACAGATTTGGACATCAGTGTCATTGGGAGGAACCTCGAAAACAGCCCCTGAGAGGGTGAACTTTTCTCCTACCTTGGGAAGCCACTGAAGGTCATGGTGCACAGTAGGGTAACTATGGGCAGTTTGAAAGTGGAAGACTAATGTAAAGATTCTCACTCTGGGATCTGATTTACAAGGATATCACAAACATGGTTAAGAGGATTCAAGAAAGCTTAATTAAACCCGTTTCTTTACCTATCAGTAAGTTTCATGGGCGAAATTAAACATCAGATTAATGTGCTTTTTTGTAGGAATCACATCAACTCTGTGTGATGACACTGGTTCTCTATTCTTCTTGAAAACTCTGGTCATCATTGACTTACTTTTCCCCTAACTTAAGAGAGGAAAAGGAATGATTACTTAAAAGCTTTTTTGTTCAGAAATCAAAATAATTGCCCACTGGAAGTAATTAAAAAAGAATGTTGTTGTCTAACATAGTAATTCAAGGAAGAGGTGCTCCAGTTCTGACAAGTCAATAGTGGTAGAATGGAAAGGAGTGGATGGTTCTTAATGATAGAAAGAGACACGAAAACTGATGAAAATGTTACACCATGAACCTTCGGAGTACTGAGTTTTCTGTTTTTTTTAATGATACCAGCTATGAAGAATGAGGAGAAAATTAAAAGTTAACATTTGAAGAGAAAGTGCATAAATGTTAAATAGGAGCCAGATCATATCACTGAAATTTATGTAATGTCAAAAATATATCTTAGGCTGACGAGAAAAAAAACGGGAACATTTTTTTTCAGAGTCCTTATTCAAGTATCAGATATATAAGCCAGAATTTTATTTGTTTTGTTTCAGCTTTGACTAAACTACCCTAAAAGCAGGTTTGACGTATATATGAAAATTAAACTTTCAAATTAGGTATTTTCCAAATCTAATGTTTTAAAAATAAATTCAGACCTTTTTTTGGGGAAATTCTCTATTTCAATTAAGAGCTCCTCTTTTTGCTAACTGGTTTAGTGGGTTGTCTAGAATTTTATACTTTTATGTTCATTCCTGTTTGTTTTTTTCTCCCCCCTTCTCAAATTCTCCCTCTGAAAATATTCTTTAAAATGTGAGATCTCCTTGCTCAACAACCTATTTAAGTCAGAACCATTTGTATCTGCTCTGGCCAGGTTGTCATTTGATAATCTTGTTATGGACCAAATGATTTGTAGCCTAAGAAAAACCACCAAATCCACATGTGCCCTAAAGTTAGTGGCTTTGAAAAAGTAGAGAAGAGGTAAACATAAATACCATTAAAAACAAATGATTTGCACCTTTTTATCTGATTAAATTGTAAATAAAATTGAAAAATGAAGATCATTTACCAGTGACTGTGAGTATTCCTTCCAAGTTCACAAAATTTTAATAGAAATTTTTCTCCAGGTTTATGCTAATAATTTTCTTTCTGTGTAACCTTTAGAAACTCTGGTAGAGGTGTTTAACTTCTTAATGTCTAAGTGGCAAAAATTTACTCAAGCAAAAAATTTTCTGATAGCCATTTTATGTCCTATTATTACCCCAGTATTGGAACGCACAAATTTTTGGCTAAGATACTGAGTCTCTTAAATAAACTGGAGCCTCTAGAGAGAATTCAAAAACAGTAACAGTTTAGAAGTTAAGAATAGTAACATTTAAAAAGAAGATTATTATTATTTTTTTCTTTCAGCAAATATGAGTATCAGAAACCACACTTTGAAAAATAAACATATTGGGGGATACATACATGCACACACATATGCCTTTTAAAATATATTTCCTTTTTAAAACCCGTCTTTGAATCAAGTGGATGTAATGTGCTACTTTTAGAATGGAAAATGCATTTACTGGCACGTCTCTGTTCAAATTTATTTTCCATGTTTTCTTTAATAAGACCAATGTTAACTTAGCAGGAAAAGTTACTTACAGTGCCAGCTGAGGTTCTTTTCACTTTACACAAAGTAGATGTTATTAAGCTGGAGAGAAAGATTAATGCATTTCCTACTAATTCCATAGAGGAGAACATGTATCTTTATTAATGTTAATGGTGGGGGCCTCTCATAATGTTATAGAATAATCTGCTTTAGCGAAGGTTTTTCTTCTAAAGAACTTCATAACATTTAAAGGTTAATATGTTAGGTAAAGAACAATATCTTAAGACAAGTGTTTTTATTACAGGACATGATGGGATGGTTTATATTAAATTATATGATGATTTGAATGGGAAAGAAGAAAAAGTGCATCGCTTCTTGCCCTCAACTTTAATGCCTTTAATCAAATAATGACCTTCTGGAAAATAGTTAATTTTAAGCATTTGGAAAGATCAATACCACTTTGCCACCAAAAAATGGTCTAGATGATGAAATTTGATGTATTTAAAGTATCAGTTCACCCTTTTAACCTAGTAAATAATTTAAAATGCTTTCAGTATTGCTTTGCCACTGTTTCTCACTGCACAGTGTTATGATTCTTCATGAAAAAAGGTCACAAGTGGGTGTGTGAAGCATTTAGACCTCACACCTAGAAATGGGGTTGTATCTTCCTTAGGTCTTGGGTGTTTCTGCATTAGCCACCCCCTCAAAAGTATATATATTTAAATAGTACCTTTGAGGCACAGTGTGCATAAAACATATGAAAATAGAACCCTTCTGTAACTATACTGTTGTAATATTGTTTTAGTTGTTTTTTCAGACAGAAAAAGGGGTGGTTTAAAACATTATTAATCACTTGGCATCTTTGTGATATCTTTAAACCTTTATGCTAAAGGTGAAGGATTTGGTAGCTCTGACAATTAGAACTCATTTTCCCCCAGCTTGTAGAACACACTGATATGAAATTACCCTTGAGTGCCGACAGCTTTATTTAAAAAAAAAAAAAAAAAAAAAATTGCCCTCTATTAGCATGTTTGTGGGCAGATTAAAAACTGTCTTCATTAGCATAAGTAACACTTACAGATTCTTTTAAAAGTAGAAAATTATTTGCTGAATGATAAATTGCTAGCTTTATAGTTAGTTGTTGTTGAAAATGTACTCATTCAAATGCCTGGTGTAGTTTAGTCTACAATACTGAATTTTTTGTTAGAAGTACTATTTAATGGATTATGTACTTAATCCTTGTTCCTACTACTTGCTGAAATGTAATTCATGCTTTCCACTAAAATGTTTGTATCAAATACTTTCCTATTTAGATTGATTTCTTTTAATATCATATATTATTATACTGTATGCCCCAGAGATTGGAACAAACTATTCCTGCAAATAACACATAAAAGATGAGGGTGAGGGGGAATAAATACAGACTGTAAAATGTTTTGCTTTTTAGAACTCAAATTACCATTCTGTTTTTTCAGATGTATTTTTCCTTCTTAGTTGCAGTAAGAATTGTCATTTTCTTTCTCTTTTTATAGCTCTTAGTTTTAAAATGTATATGTACATAATGATAATATATACATATATGTATATTGCATTAAATGACTTTTTTTCTCAGAGAATACCAAAGTCTGTTTCCTCCTGGAAAAGTAGTTATGTTACATACTCCCAGCTTTGTCACAGAACAGGCCTTGTTAGGGGTTCTCATTCTATGCATGTGAGGCTTTATAAAGTACAATAAATTCATTTATGAAAGGAGGTTACTTTCTTGACTCAATTAAAATCATTGTGCACCCCTTCCTTATCTGTTAAAATGTTAGAAGCGAATTGACTTGAATTAAATGTTGTAAAAAGAGTGGAGTGGAAATCAGAGATTGAGTTTGGTTGGAAATTAGCAGCTGAGAGATGAAGGTGCCAGGATTTTTATTTAAATGTGGTACAACAAGATTTTGTCAGTAAAGCACATCATTAGAATATTGAGTTTAGAACTGCTAATTTTTCCTTTAAAATGAGCATACAGTCATGTGTTTCATGGACCATAATAAATTGCCATTGTGTTATCATTGAGTTTGTTTTGCTTTTTTGCAGTACTGATTTGGCAGTTATTCTGCATTTTCTCTTTTCCTTTTTTTTTTTTTTTCAATCTTACATTTCTTTAATAGATCCCTAACCAAAACCAGTCAAAAGAATGTTATTTATTTCGTACAGTCTTAGGTTTAGCATCTTTTGCACCATTTTCTTGCTTACGGTAGCAAGACATTTGCACATGGTTCTTGGTTACTATAAAGTACATAACAGTATTTCCTTTGTGGCAGATGGATTTAAGACTTTTAGTTCTCAATAAATGTAGGTTTACAATACATAACTTTGCAGGATTTGTGTTGTATATAACAGGTTTGAACATATTATCTCAGAATTCATCTGCATGGCATTTTCAGCTTATTCAGCGTCCATGCCAGTTTTTTTTAAGTAATAGGGGGAGCACTGTGATTGATTGCAACAGCTCAAGGCGTGATTTTGAATAGAAACAAAGGGTTTAGAACAGAAGGTGTCAAATTAAACTTTGTCAGTTTGAAAAGTAGTAACATCCTGAAAGTTTTACTAATTTATTTACATGTGGCTACTGTTTATATTTTGCCCTCTTTATATGCAGTGTAATGTTGCTTGGCAAATTTACTACATTTAAAGTTTAGGTTGTTCCTTGTACCATTTTAGTTTTCTGAGAATGGATCGGTCTCATTATTTTAAGGCTGTTAGTCCCCTGTCTTTTCTACTGTTCAAAACAGTTGTGAGCTCATTTAATTTAGAGAACAGTTCCCTGTTCTTCCTATGGTCTTATGTATATCAAGTCCCAGAGACCTCTCTTAAAAACGTAATTATGTTTTGTTTTGTTTTGTTGGTGTTTTTTTTGTCTTTTTGCAACAAAGCACTGCATTTCATTCCTCATCTCTGCTCCCCCACATAAGTCTATGCAGTTAACACTTAAAAACTAGTACAGTACTTTGGGGAATCATTATTTTTGTTAGATATTAAAAATATTGTGACATATTCATTTTCTTCCCAAGTTTATTTGTTCTAACAATATCACTTGTGGAAAACTGACCTAGAAAAAGGTACTGAAGCATTAGAAAGCATTTGGCTTCTTTAGTCATTTTCTGCAAAACATAAATCAGATTACTGTCATTATTAATAGAGTAACAATCAATAGAATTTGAGGTAGTCAAAATATTCCAAGGTATTTAAATAGCATTAGAATAAATTATCTTATTTTTGCCAGTGTAAACTGGGAATGAGCCAATTTATTTCTACACTGACAGAGAGCTAATGTGTCAAAATGTCTGTTTTCCATTATTTTTTTAAGAGCAATGCGCATCAAGAGAAGCATCCCCTCCCCCTTTTAAATTTTTTTGGAATACCCTTTAGAGCAAACAGTTCCCAGCTGCACCGTTAAATATTTTTCTAAGAAGCATCTGATTTCAGTCTCTTAAAATCATCGCATTTCTTGAAAGGCTAGCGGAGACATGCTTCGACTTATAATTCATCAAATTATTTTTAGATAAGGAATTAGAAGTATTATTTAAGGGCAGAGGTTAATAGCAAACTACTGGAAATGTTATGTTAGTCATGGGCAATTAATAAAAATAAGGATCTGTCTCGTAAGTCTAGAGACACAGAAGTGACAATATGAGCAAAATATTTGTTGAATGAGTCGGGGCTCTTTTTCTGAAATATTTGTTAAACCAGCATGAGTGTGATTGTTTAGGAATTAGCTATCATTATTAGCCATTTTAAAAGAACTAATGATTTTCTTTTCCAAAGAACATCTGTGATCCACATGTTTTTTTCACATATATCCAAGTGCTAACTGATCTCTGCATTACTTTAAAAAGTTCCTAAAGGATGTGAAAAATCACTGGAGTTTTTCAGCTCTCTCCAAGAAGCTTTTCTTACATGAATCATTCTTAATTTAACTTTTAGCAATTTTTAGTTACAAGCATTTATTTCTAAAAAAAAATTCTTGGATGCTCAATGTTTAGCATTTATTGCAATAGTAGAATGCTAGCTGAGTTTAAAAAAAATCTTCTGTGTTCTTTATGAACCTCTAACTTCTTTTGAAAGGTATATAAAACTGTGTGATTTGCTGTGTTCGGGTAGAGGGGTTCTGTCAATTATGATAGCTAAAGGAGGCAGACAAGGGGGAGAGGGAAAGTAATCTCACCCACAGTTAATATTCAAGCCTACCAGAAGATAATCTATCTAAAACATACATAGCAACAAAATTTAAAGGTAAAGTATAAAGAATAGCTTAGTTGTAGGAAAATGTATATTTTCATGGCTTAATTCAGATGGCAAATATTTACCAGTAAAAGCTAAGTAAACATCTGCAGGGCACCATATGCAAGTGGGTCTCAGATACTTCAGATGTTCACATAACAGTTTTATAGTTAATATATTCACATAAATAGAGCTGAAATATGTCATATTATAGTATTCTGGAAATAAACATAGAATTGCCATGGTTAGAAGAGAAGCAAATTCAGTGACATTGCCATCACAATGATTTTTATGTTTTATTTAGCTAACAGTCTTTCAGGTAAATCTTCAGTTTACTGCCTGCTGTCTTAACCTTGAATTATGCATTCAGTGGCATCAAATGAGTGCATGGTTACAAGACCATGACATGCATATATTTGCTTAATTAAAAGACATGTTGAATAGGAATACTAGTAGATGTCATGAGATACAGCAGTCGTCACGATGAGCTGCTTAGCAGATAGGCCTTAGGAAGCCAATATGTCAGTTTTCTACCTTTTCTTTTAAAATATTTCAAGGAGGCCATTTTTGGGAGAACAGGCCATGCTTCTTTCCACTATACATATTGCAGTTGAAGAATTTTCTCTCTAATCGTTTCAGTTTGAGAAGGGAAGGAAAGTCATGCCATCCTCTGGCCTCACTCCTGGTAACATAAGAAACAAAACCCTCCTTGGCTAGATCTAAAAATTACATAATTAAAAAAAAAACTATACTTCCATTTTCATCCAACTAATTTATTTAAAATTTCCGAGAAATGTCTTTGTCTTAGATCAAGTTCCCTAAATGCAGAGCCTAGGATGGGGAGTCAGGTGATCATGATTTGGTAAGGGCCCTGGGAAGAAAGGAGGAGGATAGGGAAGCGAAAGAGGTCCCATAAGGATATGGTCTCAGGCAAAATCTAGCCCCAGATTGATGGAGGGAGCAAGAAGAATGGGGATGACTGTCTCTAGAGAGTAAATTGAAGGGTAGAGTAAGTTGTCCATTTTCAGAAACAGGGGCAGAGACTTTGTGCCACTGGGTCAGCCAGTCACTGGCCACCCGGGGTGAGGAGGTCAATGAAGAAGTGTAGAGTTGGTTTCAAGACATTTTTTGAGAGCAGAGTGCAGGTGAGAGGTATTAGCAGGCAGCAGAACAGCTGAGGGGTAGCTGCCTTGGCTGGTGGGGGTCTGGATCAGACACCCTTACTCTTCCCCTTCACTCCATTGTTTAGTGTCCATCATGGCAGCCAAGGTGAAGACTCGAGATGACTGGAAAATATATTCTTCATGATCATTCAGTTCTTGATAGATAACCTCAGGGTAAAAAAACTGGGCCTTGGAAACATCAGAGAGGTGCAGATTTTGGCAGTCATTGGACATTTCCTTCTCTCTTAGCCCAAGAAACCTATTAAATTCTTGCCTGACAAATCATATGCTCCCACTGCAGCAGGCGGAAAAATAGGACTCCAGTGTCTCTCTTTGGAGAGTTCTTTCATAGCAAATTCCTGTAATGCCCATTCTAATCATTATGCCTTATACTGGAAAACATTCTTGCTGGTGTAATTGCACCTGTCCTTTCTGTTTCATACATGTACACACATAAATATTCACACACAGTTTTCTTTCAAATCCAAAAAGTACAAGCTTAGGAAATCCTTTTAGAAAAAAATTATTTCTAAAATCTGTCCTGCCTCTTAGGCACTTCCGTATCCTCAGATGGCCAGCCACTCGTCAGATAGCAAAGTTGTGCAAGACTGAAGCACATCAACTTTGTTTTTCTCCTATTTCATATATTAAAAAATCTGTGATAAATGCTCTGTTACCCTCAGAGTCTGAAAAAATATGTCCCTCCTTTGAGATGCAAATCTGAACTTTGATTAGAAACAGAGTCTGCCTCCTTGACAGCCACAGATAACCTCTCTTAACAAGTTAAAAACAATTTTTAAAGCAGAATGGTGTGTTCTGAGCTTATGAAAAAGTTAATTCATAGGGTTTTTCCTTTTTAGCTCCTAATGGAAAATGCCAGCCCCTCTCATAGGCACAAACTGACCTATTATGCCCTTGTCTCTAAGGGATGGTTGTGCGAGCTGTTACGCTGGAAAGAAGATCCTTCTCCAGAAAACAGAACCCTGTGGGAGAACCTCTCCATGATCCGAAGGTTCCTCAGTCTTCCTCAGCCAGAACGTGATGCCATTTATGAACAGGAGAGCAACGCGGTGCATCACCATGGCGACAGGCCGCCCCACATTATCCATGTTCCAGCAGAGCAGATTCAGGTTCGTTTACTTTGGCCAATTCAGTATAGCAATAAGTAAATAAAGCTTTAAACTTAGCAGGGAAATTAGCGTTTCTCTTCCTCCTGCCAGTCTAACCATAGGCTTTTTAGCAAGAGATAACAATACACTGCCATCTTGCTCAGGGGGATAAAATGAATATTAACATACTTTTTCCAGCGTATGTATCGTGTTCCTCTTTCCTCATCTCCCAGCCACCAAAGCAACAGGAACCCCTTTTTTACACTCGTTTGGCAAATGTGTCTTTGTTGGTATTGGGTTTTGTGTTAAGAGCTTAAAATTTTTGTGTGTTTTTTAAAAATCACAATTTAAAACACCACCTATTTTTTAATTAATACCACAGTGCCCCTGAGGAAAAGAGCAACCGCTGTTGCTGTAAAGGAAGTTTGTAGAATCACAATTTTATACATTGGATTCTGTCCAGAAAGAGGAGGGGAGGGAAGCTTAATTGGAATCTTGCCTTACAGTCCTTGGCCCTTCCTTCACCTTGTATGTAATAGCTGTCTCCCCACACTTTACAGAATGTAGGTTAGGGGTGAGTCATCTCTGTTTGTCTTTCCTTTAGAGCCCCTCTCCCACCACCCTTGGGAAAGGAGAGTCTAGAGGCGTTTTCTTACCAGGCCTGCCGACCCCTGCACCATGGCTCGGTGCTGCTCCTCAGGTGAGCGGGCACAGTTACCTATGCCACCAAGGGACACAGAGAGGGGGTGACCTAAAGACCTGCTCCCCAGGTCAGGATTTTCAAACCTGTAAAGGCCCTACTAACCATGGTCTTGGGCAGAGCTCACTGTGCCAGCAGATGCAGCCTTATGCTTTGTTTGTCATGTCATGGGACTTGTCACCATTCATCTCCTGAAGACACTCTTCTGTGAATTTAGATGGAAAAGTTCTGGGATCAGGTAGTCATTAGCGCTCTTAGGGCCCCAGTTGCTTAGAAAGCGTGTTGTCATTGAACTTGAGTTGTATAGCTTATTTTTGTTAAAGGGGATGATTTTAGCTCTCTTTTAAAGTAAAATGCCACTGCCTTCCAGAGTCCTAAAATTCTACCTCTGTTGAGTCACCTACATTCTGCAATTTTTTTGTATTTCTGTGAAAAATTATATATATGTGTGTGCGTGTGTGTATAGATAGATACGTATAACTAAAAACAGTAATAAAGTTATTTATCTACCAGGATAAAAAAATTCTCAAGTGTGTATTAAAGATAAAACAAGTTGACAAAGAGCTTCCCTTTAGGATATCAAGCACTAAAATAATCGTGAAAGCCTGAAAAACTTACTGTTTAGCAAAAACAAAAAAGAGAACGATATATGTTAATTAATTTAAAAAGTACTTATTCGAAAATATAAATTGTTTTTAATAAAATTGCTTCTTAGGGGTATAAAAGGAAATGCATAGACACGGTATCAGCATTCTAATATTTTGCCACTTAGGTTGATTTACTTTGCTGATAAGAATT
Source organism: Homo sapiens (assembly GCF_000001405.40). Classification (NCBI taxonomy): domain Eukaryota; kingdom Metazoa; phylum Chordata; class Mammalia; order Primates; family Hominidae; genus Homo; species Homo sapiens. The sequence continues at coordinate 18,350,514 of NC_000003.12, read as the reverse complement.
ATGGATATCGAGTGTACAGTATGTGCATGTGTCACATATTTATGTATAATTGTGTATGGAAATTGTAGCACATATACATATACTAATTATGAAAAAGTGTCTGTATACACTAAATTTAAATCCTAACCACATCTGAGTTTGCTATAGACAAAACAATTCGCTAGCTGTCGTATGGTGGATTGAACCTTTTGAGGTAAGAAAAAAACTTGCAGTGTCAGCCTAGTGCAATTCGGTAAGAAATTGTGTGTGTATTAAATTGGAACTGTCTGATAGAAAATTCACAAGTGTGAGAATATCAGAAATCCTTTAGTCTCATGACAGATAACACTGAATAAGAGCATAAGCTCATCTTCTGTTCTTCCTGGCCATCCAATGAAACGGAGCAGAACACAAATTTCTTTCCCCGCTGCTCTGTAGCTCACCTTTCTGAAATGTCTTTGAAATCCTTTCCTCTCCATCTTCATTTTAAATCTTTGTTAATTATTTACATCATAATTTGATGTGCTGTCTTCGCCTTTGATGCGTATCATTCTAGTGAATTTTATGGCTCACATTTTCAGAGCACTGAGTTTTCACTTCCTCTGCTGATCTCTGATAAGTAAGTGCAGTAGCCCCCCAAAGCTGTCTTAATTCATCCCTTCCTAGTCATATCATTTTGATTTTTTTGTAAATGCTGTCGGCCATTTCGCCGGCCTACCTTTTCTTTCTAAATCTTCATCCCTATCAAAGAAGCTATATGTAGGATCCGGGACCACATTTTTCCTGATTGGAGACGGCTTTGTGTGGAACTCCACGATAGCAGAGCTCTGATTGTCTCCTTGTTTCTTTGCAGCAACAGCAGCAGCAACAGCAACAGCAGCAGCAGCAGCAGCAGGCACCGCCGCCTCCACAGCCACAGCAGCAGCCACAGACAGGCCCTCGGCTCCCCCCACGGCAACCCACGGTGGCCTCTCCAGCAGAGTCAGATGAGGAAAACCGACAGAAGACCCGGCCACGAACAAAAATTTCAGTGGAAGCCTTGGGAATCCTCCAGAGTTTCATACAAGACGTGGGCCTGTACCCTGACGAAGAGGCCATCCAGACTCTGTCTGCCCAGCTCGACCTTCCCAAGTACACCATCATCAAGTTCTTTCAGAACCAGCGGTACTATCTCAAGCACCACGGCAAACTGAAGGACAATTCCGGTTTAGAGGTCGATGTGGCAGAATATAAAGAAGAGGAGCTGCTGAAGGATTTGGAAGAGAGTGTCCAAGATAAAAATACTAACACCCTTTTTTCAGTGAAACTAGAAGAAGAGCTGTCAGTGGAAGGAAACACAGACATTAATACTGATTTGAAAGACTGAGATAAAAGTATTTGTTTCGTTCAACAGTGCCACTGGTATTTACTAACAAAATGAAAAGTCCACCTTGTCTTCTCTCAGAAAACCTTTGTTGTTCATTGTTTGGCCAATGAATCTTCAAAAACTTGCACAAACAGAAAAGTTGGAAAAGGATAATACAGACTGCACTAAATGTTTTCCTCTGTTTTACAAACTGCTTGGCAGCCCCAGGTGAAGCATCAAGGATTGTTTGGTATTAAAATTTGTGTTCACGGGATGCACCAAAGTGTGTACCCCGTAAGCATGAAACCAGTGTTTTTTGTTTTTTTTTTAGTTCTTATTCCGGAGCCTCAAACAAGCATTATACCTTCTGTGATTATGATTTCCTCTCCTATAATTATTTCTGTAGCACTCCACACTGATCTTTGGAAACTTGCCCCTTATTTAAAAAAAAAAAAGAAAAAAAAGAGTTTGTTACTCTATTGTATGTTACAAAAGAACTATAGACTGTGGAATGCAGTTTAAAGATGACATATGCCAACAAATGCCTTGTATTATATGGCACTGCCGTAATTCAAATTTGTTTTTATTTTGGAAATAAAAGTTCACTGTACTTTTTTTTCATTCTCATTGTTACATGATTTTTTAAAAAAAGGAAAAGAAAATGTGAAACACAATTTAGTCCTCATTATTTATTTGTAGATCCTGCAGCATCATGTTGTAATTAATTTTTTGGAAGTTTCCGTTAAATGTAATATTGCTTCTCTTGTTACCATACTGATTCTTTTCTATTTATAAATGTATTTTGATGGGCAGTAAAACAAAGTGTCTTAAAAGTTTTAAATAGAGAAAATGTGCTTTACACAGTTGCCTATAAAAAGTGCTCTATGTTATCCAAGCAATTCATACTATAAGCTTCACTCTTATTGTTGTATGCAATTTTTACTATCATGCAAATAAGCTTAGGTAAATAAAACTAATAGATCACCTTAGAAAATTATGCAATTAATGTGAAAATAATTGATGTTTGCAATGTGTCTTCCTTTGGTTTACAATCAATTTTAAAGCTACATCTGTATAAAATTTCTGTATAAAGGTGTATTTCTTTTTTATGAGTTTATGGCTATGAAAACAGCTATTTTGTTACAGCTGGCTGTTTTTATAAGTGTATCACAATTTTCTTTATGCAGAAATGTTCTGACTAGGAGTGGTTATTGACTGTAACTACACAATTAAAATTGTTTGTATCGTATGACATGGTAGGGTTTGTCTGCTTATGTGAAGTAACTAAAGGAGTCAAAGGATGGCCCTCTCATTTAGGTGCATGTTAATAACTTGTTATTTCACTGATTTTAAAAAGAGCAATTGACAAGTTACTTGAAACACTGTAAATTTAAATCACAAACACATGCTCATTTTTAAATAGGTATGAAATTTCACAATGAAAATAACCTGTTTGGTTAACATTTTGCTTAATAAGTAGAGATAGGATGGTCAAAAGACTCTCCGACAAAAACAAATCCAGTCTCTAGCAGTTATGTTGTTAGAATGGATTCATCTGTGCTTATTTCACAATACTTCATTTATAGCAATGCTTTTCCTTAAGCTAATGTATAAATATTTCTAAAGGCCATTAATAGTAACAAAATAAGTAGGGGAAAAAATGGACCTTCTGTATAAAAACCCCTTAGCTTTTTTTTTTCACAAGTTATAAGTGGAATAAGTTAATAACTGAGCTCGTAAGTGTATCTCATAACTATAAGAGCTACATGAAGAAAATAGGAATAACACACCTGGTATTTAAACACAATCTTCAAAATTCTTGCAACATTAAACATAGTAAAATGCCAGAATATAAAATGAGGTGTGCTAATGGTCACAGGATTGAGGCCAGCATTACAGTTTGGGGTGATTTTTCTTTTATTTGCTCCCTCACTTTGTTTCCTAGATGCTAGTAGGGGTATCTGGGTTGCTTGAGATACCATTTTGCAATTGCCCCTTCTCTTTCTGCCTACCATCTTCTCAGGCCCTGATGAGCTTATTGGTAGGCAACTGGGCTGCTTTAGTGTTGAACTTGTACTTTAGAAACTGAAGTGGAATCATTGAAAACTTTCAATAAAGCTTTAAAGTTCCATTTACTTTTGAAGCACAGCTAAGCTCCTCTGAAGGCAGCTGGTTTGTTGCAAACTTAAAATTGTACTGAAAAGTTGCCACTTTTTATTTAGTAAGAAAACAAACATTCTGGCTCACTAGAGTTCAGAAAAGTAATAATTTGAGCCAAAGGAATTTGAATTAAGAAAATAGAAACTAGGTTTCATGTATTTAAAAAATAGGAAATAAAATAGAAACTCAAATGCCATGAAGTTATCTTCCTCTTCCTTATATCCCCTAAGTTTGGGTTGCAAATAACTTTCCAATTCCTAATAACCTAAATTATTTTGAAATAGTGTTTTCAGTGAAATGATGAATGTTTGAATGTTTGTTTGGTAATCAACATAACAATGCTAACAAAATTCCCACTTAGATTTTTTAACTTTTAAAAGTCAGCGTGGTTTTGATAATTTGATATTTTAAATGCCCACACATACACACACACACACACACACACACACACAAGCACATGTTAATAAACTGATAGGATGGAGTGAGCAAAATTGTTTTCAGGGAAGATGGCACATTTTAGAAAAGACTTGCCCAGATGATCTTCCATATTGCTCCCCCAATGTCATTTATCGCTCATGCCAATCCTCCTCTTGTTACCTGTGGCTATGGTAAAATTCCTTTAACAAGCTTCATTGTGTCCAAGTATTTCAGAGACTTTTAAAAGCTGGGCATGACATAGCGTTTTGTGCTGTTAAGACCTTAGCAGAGTCAGGTAGTTTACGGGTAATATTCAACCTTGTGCATCTGAATCTGTCATGGATTCCCTTCACTCAGCACTTTGCCACTAATTTGTATTACACTCTGTGGCCATATAATACTTGCACATTATGCAAAAAAAAATGTTGATAGTATCTCCTTGCCACACAATATGCAGAGTTGACAACCTTTGAAAACCAAGGTAACTAATATGTATGTCCTAGTTGTGTGGCGCTTGGTAACAAAGTCTGTACATATTATGTATAAAATGTGTATTGGTTAGCATTTAGTACTAAGAAATTCTGAGTTTAAAATAAGTGATTTTTTTCAAAGTAGCGATATCTATATCTGTGTTTATCTAAAAATACTGGCTTGAATAGAAAACATTCTCAGATGATTCAAGATTGAGTAAAAATGAGAATCCCATACATTCCATTATTAAATTCTGCCCTATTCCCAATTGTTAGCATCTGGCTGATATTAAGGTCTTTGATTGTCACAATATTCTCAATAAATGAGACATTCTGAACTGCCTGGTGATATTTTCAAAAAGAGCAATTAAAATGTGTATTCCCTCTAATACAGCTGATAGAACTGTTGTGTTAAAGCAAGTTGGAAATTTGCATGATAGTGTGGAAACCAATGGAGGTCCAAAATATTAATCATATCTAAAATATCAGAAAATATCAATACTAGTCTTCTTTATGCATATTTTTGACTTTTTAAGAGGGCTTATGAATTCAATGTTTCTTCTGAGGCAATCCTTTTAATGTAAATACTAAATACTTGCATGTCTTTTGACAAAGGCTAAACTACAATCTATTAATATGCACATTTTTGATAAAATATAAAGTACCCTAATTAAAGAAATTGTGGTAGAAGGTGTATGTCCTGAATACTATACCTGTTTAACAATACCAAATGTTAAATAAAAATAGTTTGAAATTAATGTTTAAAAGATGAGCCACATTTTTAAGACTTTCTTACATTACCCTACTTACAGAGAGCATATATCTCCAAATTTAATTCTATCAAAAGAACACTACCAAAACTCAATTACAGCTTCTTGCCTCGTACCAAGGTTGTGTGGTTACCGTTTCCCAACAATTATTTTCAGCTGCTAATACACTTACTGTGATCAAAAGCACTTGACTTGGGCCCTGTTCTCTATGATAGTGGTTGATGAGCGAATGCAGTAGAGCAGTATGTTATGCAAAGTAAACACTTGCAAAGAAACTCCGAAGTGACATATTTTGCAACAAAGTAAATGGTGAACGTTATTTACTGTGAGTTGAATCAGAAATACTTGCTTTTTGTGGTACTCAAATACAAAATTTTCATTACAATGACACTTTAATGCATGCCCTTACACCACCACCCCCACCTGACACAATGATGTCCCGTGTGCTACTCTGATTTTCCTTTCACAGGAGAACCAACAATACCTGTTAGATGAGAATGTTGAAGAAGAATATTCAAATATTTAAATATGTTTATTCGTTAGTCTGTGGCAATGTGATGCAAAATGAACATTTGTCCAGAGCACAAACCTGTTGAACGGCATCTTAATCTAGGGACAGGTTTCATCTATTCTACCTTTGTTTCCAAAGGGAATTTGCAAACATTTGTTTCACTAGATCTAGTACAAAGGCTTTCTCCTTCTGAGGCCCCCTTCTTAGCACCATCCTCACACATGTTTTAAATAATATAGAAAAAATATTTGCAGAATGCTTCATTTTATTAGGCACTGCCACAAACATATCTTGTTTAAACCTCTGCATTCCACCTTGAGGTATTTAAGGCAGGCACTGACATTCTCACTTCAAAGACAACGGAAGGGAAACTCAAATAGGTTAACTGATTTGTTTAGCTGTTAAGTGGCCACATTTGTCTCAAACTCAAGTCTACACATTTCTCTCTCTTTTCCCTAACAAAAACTCTCTCAAATGCAAAAAAAAAAAAAAAAAAAAAAAAAATGCACACACAAAAACCTAATGGCAATTCAAAATTTTCAGAAATATGTTGTAATGCATATTTTGCTAATATGAAGACTTTGATCACTAACTACTTGAAATCAAGTGTATGGAATATTTCCTCATGAAATAGTGACCTCCAAAGACCTATACACACTAAATGTCTTTTAAAAAACAAATTTTATTGTGGAAAATTTCAAACACACACACAAAAGTAGAGACAAGGAACTCCCATGAATTTATCACCTAATTCAACAATTGTAACATTTTTTCATCAATAAATACTTCATGAAACTAACGAAGATAAAACTTCTACAAAAATCTTTAAACTGTTCAATGGTTTTTACCCATAATGTCGTTATGACATCATCTTTTTTTTTAAGAAATGAATTTTCTGATTTCTAGAGAAAACATTAAAATTTGAAGTTTTTCTCAGAGCTCTCTGAGCATTTTCAAAAAGCCAAGTTTTAGAAGGAGAACATGTGAGAATTCCACAAATATTTGTAATATAAAAAAAGAGACAAACCAGTCTCTATTTATAAACAATACATGCTTTCATATCATTGTTGAAACTAAAGTACATAATTTTCAGTTATGCATAATAAAATATGTAATTAAGCAACATTCCATGGTGGATTAAAGAATTAAAAGCTTCAGGTGCAGAAAAGAATTTGTTGGCATTTTCCTTTTCAAGGTGGTATTTTGAGGTGTTACTTTTCATTTTCCTTTGACATCTTATACACAAATAAATAGACAAAAACAGGTGAGAAGCAGAGAAAATGAAGAATTGGCTCTACTACAATAGACCTGGAAAACATAACTAGGTAGAATATTTGCAACATGCCCAAGAAGGCTAAATAAAAAAGAACAGAAATCTTAGCCTGGAGAGAAAAAAAATCTCTAAACAGGGGTGTATGCCTCAAGACATAGAAATAGCATAATAAAAACTTAACTGGATTTGGTAATTCCTATATTTCAAACTACATTAAATTAATCCACACTCCAACTGGCAGAGTCCAGCAAACTTATTTTTCAAATGAAGAACTAAATTTAATTAATAATTCTGTGCTGTAAACACTGAAGTTGATACAGGCATTTGGCATTTGTCCTATTTTTTTAAAGGATAATATATCATGTAAAATCAAACTACTTAAATGTCAGAATGTGTCAGGATGATTCTGAAAGTAAATTATTCTACCAAGCATCTAAGAAGAAAATAATGTTACAGAAATGAAACTGCATCTAACATCAGTAGGACTTGCTATTTAGTGTCTAAAATTTTTCATGTAATGCTTAAACTACAGTTATAATCAACCACATAAGATCAAGTAAATTCAATATCATGTACTTATATCATTCAAATCCTGCCACAGAAATATGTTCAGTGAATGAATGAATGAATGAATGAAATTAGACAAATTAGAAAAACCATTGAACAGATTGTATGGGAATGAGAACTACATCCTATGGACAGTCCTCTTAGTGAGGCATTCTAAACTGACATGCAAAGAGGCATTTGTTGGCCTTTAAAATATCACATCTCATGGTCCTGTTGAAATATAACATTGTTATACATCTTATTACAAAAAGAATTTGCTAAGACTTTCATATATACTACAATGCAATAGAATCGAAAAGAAAAAAATACAACAAAATGAATGCAAACGAATAGAAAATAACACAAATTGAAAGGAAAGCTTGACACACACACGAATATCATGAGATCTTAACGCAATTTATTAGAGGGGACTACCAAAATTATTGATGTATGATTAACATAAACTTTACATATTTACAGTATTCAATTGATGTTTTGACATATATATGAAAAATATACATGAAATGTTTGTATATATCTATACAAATACATACATGCACACAACTTGGAAACATAATGAACATATGCATCACCCCAGTAGTTTTCTTGTGCCCCTAATCCCTCCCTCCTATCCTTCCCATTAGCATCAATCACCATCCCCATGAAATCATTGATCTGCTTTATAATGAATATTAAATTCAAGTACCCAAGTCTTCTACATTTCTTCTTTTTCTTCTAACTTGTTTCAGTGATTCTGGGTACTTACATTATGAATTTTAGATTCAGCTTGTCAATTTCTAAAAAAAAAAAAAAAAAAATACAGGATTTTGATTGAGATTGCTTTCACTCTCCACAGATCATTTTGGGGAGAATTGGCATGTTAACAATATTGAATCTTTAGATCCATAAACACAATACATCTCTCCATTTATTTAAATCTTTAACTTCCCTCAGCAATGTTTTATAGTTTCCATGTACAGTTCTAGCACATCTTTGTCAGATTTATTTCATATTATAAATATTAAATTATCTCATTTTTCTATTTGATTGTGAGTGATATTTTTACACATTTTCATTTCTAATTATTTGTTTTTAGTATAGGGAGATACAATTGCTTTTTTTGTATTTTGAGCTTTTATCCTACAACGTAGTCTGAACTCAGTAGTTCTAATAGTTCAATAGTTCTATCAGCGTTTAGATTTCACCGTCAGATTTTCTACATAAACAATAATGTCATCTCTGAATAAAGACAATTTTATTTCTTCTTTCCAATCAAAATCCTTCTTTCTTTTTAGTTCCTACAACGTCTAGTAAAATGTTCAGTAGAGATAGATAGTAAGGACAGATATCCTTGCTTTGTTCCTGAAGCTAAGTGCTAGCTCTGTTCTAAGTCCTTTACAATACACATTCACTTATTCTGTAAAAAGACCATGGAAGGTAGCTACATTATGATCACTATATCTACTGATGATAAAACTGAGGCACAGAAACATTATATAACTGGACCCAGTGGGTATGCTGTCCACCTCTCAAAATGCAGTTGTACTTTTCGCCCTACACTCACTGGTCTATCCTGACTTGCCACAAGGAATCAGCTTCTGATTAGATTGTCAGGCTAATCCATAAAATCCTATTTAACCAAAATTAAGATGAAATATGGTAAGGGGAGTAGGAGGAAAATTGTGCAAAAGAATAAAACTAAGAGAAGAATAGGAGAGCTAGGAGAAGGGAGAGGGACACAGGAAGAGAAGGATGAAGGGTGTGTTGGAGAGATGATAGGAAGACTTTGGCTGGTAAGTGCAATTACTCAAAGGGGAAGCATATCTGCCGCATGTGTTCATATTATGAGTGAAAAACAAATTCTAGGAACCATATAGAAATTTATTTTGTAATGATTCTAAAGACATTACCTAATTATAAGTTTGGTGCTTTCTATAAAATGCCCTAATTTTGGAGAAAGAATGTATGTATACATACAGTTGTCCCTGGAACAATGACAGAGTTAGGAGCACCAACACCCCACACAGCCAAGAATCCACTTACAACTTTTGACTCCCCCAAAACTTAACTACTAATAGCCTATTTTTGACTTGAAGCCTTATCAATAACATAAACAGTCTATTATTAACATCTATTTTGCCTGTTATATGTGTTATATAATGCATTCTTACAATAAAGTAACCTAGAGAAAAGAAAATGTTATTAAGAAAATCATAAGCAAGAGAAAATACATTTGTAGTGACGTACTGTATTTATTGATGTCATAAGTTTACAATCTATTCACAAGATGAATCCTCTGTCTGAAATGCTGGGCCACCATGGCTGCAGACCTCAATCTATGATACATATCAAGCAATTTAACTTTTTCTTGTAATGTCAACACTTTCCTCTGCTTCTTGGAAGCACTTCTAGTATCACTAGTGACACTTTGTATGTGTCCCATGTTACTCAAGATTTACAGTATTCCACGAAACATCATGAAAAATACACAGTAACTGCGAAAGATCACTTTTTACTGAGATGCAATTTACTGGAGAGAGGAACAGATCACATGAAGGTGATTAATTAGTGTCACATGGTGTTTTAAGCAGACACTTGAAGCATGTAAGTTCACCACAATGGCTACATGGGTACAGTATGGACTGTCATTAATTTTATGCAGTTATGGTTTAACACTGCACCTTTACATTTCTCTAGACTGTGAATGGCACATGTACAGTCTATGTTTGTGTTCCTAGGTTCTGATAATTTTAACTTTTTAAAATAGATTTATATATATTTTATGGTAGGGAATGATAAAAATAGACTGGTATCTACATACATTTTATGCATTCATGACATACTTAACTTTTTCTTAATGTTTTCATCATTTCTAGGCTATGTGGTTCTTCTTCAAGTTTTTTCAAATTGTCGCAAATATAAAAAAAAAAATCCCAGTATCTTTATTGAAAATAATTCATTTGTAAGTGGACCTGCACAGTTCAAACCCATGCTTTTCAGCATCAACTATATAATGTTAGAGGAGATAAAATGATAATGCCCTAGATCAAAGAACAGCAAGCTCTGGTTCATGGGCCCAATTTGGCCTGCCACTTGTTTTATAAAGTTTTGTTGGAACACAGCCGTACCCATTCATTTACCTATCTCTATGGCTGCTTTTGTGCTATGACAGCAAAGTTAAGAGTGGTTGTGAAAGAGACCATATGACCCACCAAGCCTAAAACATTTACTCTCTGGTCCTATACACAAAATGTTTGTCAACCTCTGCCCTAGATCATTAAGCTGTGCCTAAGTTTGCAAAGGTAAAACATTAAAGCAATTTTCTGAATAACTTCTATCAAAACAAAATAATCATTTCAGTGTTTTTCAGTAGAGTTGGAGCATGTATTAATCAGAAAACTCTTTCACTCCCAGTTCTACATCTCACTTGATGTGTATGAAGAACCTAATTTTTGTGTTTCTATTAATTACATTGGCCTATACAAGAGCATGAGATCAGAGATCCTACACCCTGTTGCTCACCAGTAAATATTCTATAAATTTAGAAAATTATTGAGTAGAAACTTCACCCCTTCTCGATAAACTCTAGAAGTGTTAATATTCTTGGCAAAATTGTTTTTGCACTAATTGCTGTATCCATCTGCTCTGTGAGATTGATTAGACTGTGAGAGCATTTGCTCTCTCCTGCAATCAATGCTTCCTGGCCCAGCAGAAAGCTAGAGCTGTTTTATTTCCATCCTGAGAAGGACGCGCCACTGACAACTGTAAGCTTTTCCTTTGAGGATTTGAGATTAAATTGGCACTTCGCTTGATGGTCCTTCGGGAAATGATTCAGTCTAGAGAGAGTTCCATTGAAGTAAACCAAGACCACGACCACGAGGATTTAAATGATTCCTTCTTACACTAAGAACCCTCCCCCACCCCGCCCCGATTTCAGAAAGGCTATTTTTGTACACCCAGTGCTTGGGTGCTATATCCTGGAGAAATGTTCTACTGACCACTGGAGAACCAACGTAGAAGAAAGGGCTCTGCCCTTATCTCTCTTAACTTTTTGGCTCATGAAACCTGCAGAGACTGAGTAATGCTGTCAGTGTGTCTAGGAGAAAGCAGCTGCATGGACTAATTCTGTCTGGATTGGCTAAATATTTATCTGAATTTTATTTATTTATTTGCTAAAAATCCACTCATCACGATAGCCTCTGGTAAAAAAAAAATAGGGAAAACATGAGAAAGACATAATAAAATTTTATGCCAAAATATTAACAAATTGTAATCCTCTTCATGGATCTTAATGTAACACCATATTGGACAATCATTCCAGAATCTGGGAGTATGTGGTTTAGTGTCCTGCACAGAATAAGCAACTTGATTTTACAGATCAAGTGTGAAAAGATACTCTTCTCTGCAAGCCTCACAGAATGCATCTGGAGACTATTTCGTTTAACAAAATCGTATACTCTCCTTACTTTGAGCCAGGCGGTGTTACTTTAAAATTCCCATTTCCAGAAAGGCCAACTACAACAGGAGTTCCCACATACTTGCCTCATACATGTCTAAGGAAAGCTGGGTTTCCACTGGACCAGAGAGAATTGAGAAAAATAAAAAGACAATGGAGGTCAATTTTTTTACAGTGCTAAATTTGTGCATCTGAAAGGACTGAAACTTCTGAGCCTTTAGTCTTTTACTTCTGGCGGTAAAACACCTCTTCTGTGAAAAGATGGAGATAAGTTATAAAAGGGTCATTTGTTTTCTACTGTCTTTATGTGGTGCAATGAGTAGAAGGCATTCTTACTGACACCACCTTCAAAGATTTTTGTTTTATTTTGTTTCACATATTTATAACATTTAATACCTAAGAACATTTGAATTTGGCCAGCAGTTGTCAAACCTTTTGGACTGAGGATTTCTTTACATTCTTAAAAACTACTGAGGCTTCCACTTCTAGGAAAATGGAGCAGGTATACTTTTCCTTATTCCTTCTGCTAAGTACAACTAAAAAGCTCTGAACATTATACATAAAACATGCACTGAAAGACTCTGAAAGTGGACAAGAAGAAGGAAGACCAGGTAGGGACCTCAGGACCGAAGGAACAACACAGTGATAAGTGCCCTGGATTTTCTTTTTGCCTCATCCATCCTAGACTTGAAGCTGAAGAGGCTAGCAACCCAGAAATAGCAATTATGACAAAGGAAGTCTCCCAAAGCCTGTTCTCTCTAACTGAAGGAAAAGAAAAAGGACAGCTCAGCAAGACAGAAAACTTTTAGACCGTAACTATGTTACTCCAGCCAAACACCATAGAAAAACTGCGGCCCTACCTCCACCCAGGCCAAAAAAGTTGAGTGGGGAGCCCGGATTTCTACCCTTGAGAGGCTATAAAAAGGTTCCCCAGTGTCCCCAGGGAGTGGTGTCAGAAGAGAGCCTAGTGGACAGTCAAGACTTTTATCACTGCCCAGTGGTGACAAAGCCACCCGAACCCCCACCCAATTATGTCAGTGGAAGGTGCAAAAGGAATAGTAACAAGGTACTCCCACTTCTCCCAGCCAGGAAGATAGCACTGGAGTCCTAGTGGGGAGCTGGAACTCCTATCCCCACTTGGCAGTAAAAAGGTGGCATCCCCACTTTCCTTGCCAAAGCAATGTCAAAAAAAGACAGCTAAAATAGAGGATTTAAATAAGATCCAGAGTCTCATAACATAATACCCAAAATATCCAGGTTTCAAGAAAAAAATAAGAAATTATACTGCAACCCAAAAAAATCTCAAACTGGATATAAAAAAAGGAATCAATAGGGGTAAAGGGAGGGAGAAGGATAAATATGTGGCACACAGATGATTCTTAGGGCAGTAAAATTACTCCCTATGATACCATAAGGGTGGGTACATGTCATTGTAAATGTGCCCAAACCCATAACATGTACAACACCTGTAATTAACCCTAATGTAAACTATAGACTCTTGGTGATGGTGATGTGTCAGTGCAGGTTCATCGACTGTAACAAACATACCACTGTGGTGGGGGATGTCACAATGGGCAGGCTATGCATGTGTGATCATGAGGGCAGGGATGTATGAAAATCTCTGTACCTTCTGCTCAATTTTGCTGTGAACCTAAAACTTCTAGTTTCTTATTTTTGGTGGTAAAACACCTCTTTTGTATTCTGTCTTTTAGAGCTAAAAACACATTTTTTGCTCTAAAAAGTGAAGCTTATTAAAAAATGTTTAAACCTAAGTATTACTTACACTAGTTTGAATTAATATGTTATGAGAAGATAAGATTTTTAACGTTTTTCATTACTGTGGGGAGCAATGAACATTATTTCAGACTAAAAAAATAGACCTAGCCTGGGCACAGTGGTTCACACCTATAGTCCCAGCACTTTGGGAGACCAAGGCAGGCAAATTTCTTGAGCCCAGGAGTTCAAGACCAGGTTGAGCAACATGACAAAACCTCGTTTCTACAGAAAATACAAAAATTAGTCAGGCATGACAGTGTGCACCTGTAGTCCCAGCTACTTGGGAGGCTGAGATGGGAAGATCATGTGAGCCCAGAAAGGCAAGGCTGCAGTAAGCCATGATTGTGCCACTGCACTCCAGCCTGGGCAATAGGAGGGAGACCTGTCTCCAAAAAAAAAAAAAAAAAAAAAAAAAAAAAAAAAAAAAAAGGCCTATTATGATTGCTTTGCTCCACAATGAAATAGAGAAATACAGGATATATTCAGTTTACCCACTTTAAGAAAAAAGATCAAGATAGAAAAGAACTTATATGTGTGCCTTTTTAAAAGATCATCTTTATAAAATAAACATATTAAGCATTAAAAAATACAATATGTGCAGACATTGAGATTACAGAAATGTTAGAATTATCCAGTAAAGATTTTAAAGCAGTCACATAAATTGCTTCAATGAGCAAGTACAAATATGTTGAAAACAAATGAAGAAATAGAAAGTCTCAGCAAAGGAATAGAAGATATAAACAAGAATCAAATAGAAATTTTAGAACTGAAAAGTACGAAAATTAAAATAAAGAAAAAAACAACTGAGGGGATGGGCTGAACAGCAGACTAGAGACAGAAGAGAAAAGATCAGTGTATGGAAGATAGAACAATATATGTTACCAAGTCCAAACAACACAGAGCAAAAATGCCAACCCCAAACCAAATGAGCAAACAAAGCTTCAGAGATCTGTGAGATGATCAGTAAAGATCTAACATCGATGTCATCTGAATCTTAGAAAGAATAGAAAGAAAGCAAAGCTGAAGAAGTACTTAAATATATATTTTACTTTTTTAGTGTAGTTACTACTATATCCCACTTCAAACCTCTATGGATTCCCATTTCATTGAGTTTGGCTATTATAAATATATCATTTGGAAAATTAAAAAAAAAGAAAAAGAAATAATAGCTGAAAACTTCCCAAATCTAGCAAAAGACATGTAGTCAAATTGATGAAAATTAATACTAAGAAATTATCTTGAAAAAAGCAAGAGAGAAACAACAAATTACAAACAGGGGAAAAACAATTTGAAAAACAGCACATTTCTCATCAGAAACCATGGAGAACAGCAGGAAGTGACACACCATTTTTTAAGTCCTGAAAGAAAACAACTGTCAATGCAAAGGTTAAGAAGGGGATGAGAGGGGAAGTAGGTCTGACTATAAAAGGGAACCATGAGAGCTCACTGTGATGATGAAAATGTTCAGTATCTTTATTGTATCAGTGTCAATGTCCTCTTTGTGATATTGTGCTACCATTTCTAAGATGTTTCTCTTGGGGATAACTAGGTAAAGGATGCATAGATCTCTCTGTATTAATTCTTAAACTGCATGTGAATCTACAATTATCTCAAAATAAGAAGTTTAGTTAAAAATAAATTGTTGAATCAAAAATAGAAATACCATATGATCCAGCAATCCCACTTCTGGGTATATATCCAAAAGAATTGAAAACAGGATCTTGAAGAGCTATTTGCACACCCATATTCATAGCAGCACTATTCACAGTAGCCAAGAGGTGGAAGCAAATCAAATGTTCATTGACAGATGAATGGATAAACAAAATGTGGTATATACATACAGTGGAACATTTTTCAGCTTTAAAAAGGAAGGAAATCCTGTCACATGTTACAACATGGATGAACCTTGAGGACATTATGCTAAGTGAAATAATCCAGTCACAAAAAAATAAATACTATATGATTACACTTATGTGAGGTATCTAAAGTAGTCAAATTCATAGAAACAGAAAGCAGAATGGGTTTTCCAGGGGCTGGAGGAAGGAGGAAAAGGGGAGTTGTTGTTTAATGGGTATAGAGTTTCAGACTAACAAGGTGAAAAAGTTCTGGAGATCTCTTTCACAACAATGTGAAGTTACTTAACACTACTGAACTGTACACTTAAAAATGTTTAAGATAATAAATTTTATGTTATTTGTTTTATTTACCACAATAAAAAAGAAGGAAAAAAATCACTAAAAATCCCAAAGACTTTTTGTTTATAAAGATGGTATCTATTAATATTTACCATATTTAACATTAAAACAGAAATTTTAAAAATATGTATTTGTAAATTCATTTAAAATGATAATTAAAAAACCATTGCTTATTAACATAAATATATTTTCATAAAAATTGCCATATATCTGGAAATAATTTACAAGAATAGTGGTATTGTTTTACATTTTGCAAACTTCTTTTTTTGTTTGTTTGGTTTCTTTGAGACAGGGTCTCACTCTATCACCCAGGCTGGAGTACAGTGGTACAATTGATCATGGCTCACTGCAGCCTTGATCTCCCAGGCCCAAGTGATCCTCCTACTTCAGCCTCCTGAGTAGCTGGGACCACAGATGTGCGCTACCATGCCAGGCTAATTTTTTTGTTTGTTTTATTTTTTGTAGACATGAGGTCTCACTTCGTTGCCCAGGCCATCTCAAATTCTTGGGCTGAACCAATCCTCTTGCTTCAGCCTCCCTAAGTGCTGGCATTACAGGTGGGAGTCACTGTTCCTGGCTTGCAAATCTCTTTAATGTCTGCTCCCTCAGAAGACAGCTGGATTTTTAGGTCTGCTTCTGCGTTCAATTGCTATCATGTTACACATCTTGTAGACTCTGGAAAACTACACTGTACATTCACGAAGGAATAAGCATAAACAGGTCAAATAACATCTCATTATTACTATTGTGAACATAGTTTTAACCTTGCAGAACCCTAAAATATTCTTGGGAATCCCAACAGGTTTCAAGATTACACTTTGAGAACCACTAAACAAGACCATTTATCACCCCAACGGAAAGAGCGTTGTAGTGCATTGAGCTATTGGTCACAGTTCTTGATTACCATGTGGTAGTGTTCACATCCTCACTCCTGCCATGGAAAAGTACATTTTCCCACACCTTAATTTTGGGCTTGGCCATGTGATTTGCTTTGGCCAATGAAATGTTAGCTGATTTGAGACAAGTACGGGGCGTTAAATGTCTTGGGTAGCTACTTTCCCTTCAGTTGAAACCTCATAACAAACATGGAGTAGAGCTGAGTTCAACTTACAGTGAGGAAACAAACTCAACCAAATACCCAGATTAAAGCAGAGCTCAACTGAGCCCACTTGATTAGCTTAATCCACAACCTGCAGATTCATGACTATAAGAATAAATATTTATCATTGGATGCCACTGAGTTTTGGGTTGGTTTATTATACAGTCTTACTGTGACAATGATTTACTAACTAAAGCCTAAACCTTGTCAACAGAATAACTGAGAAGAAACAGCAGGATTGTTCAGATAAAAGAAAGATAAAAGTAAAGGGCAAAATTATTATCTTATTAAAAGAATTCTGATCGTGAGTCTTGTCTTGAATGAGGTCAGAACAAAAGAAAATTCATTAAAAACACAGCTAAAGCTCAGTGAAATGAAAGATAAATTCTTTGATGAGAGTAGCCATGAAATATTACTGAAGCAGACCTAGACAGGAAGAAGCGCTCTTTCCTTGCGTAGGGAAGCTACTAAAGGTGAATCCCAGTAAAGACTTTTAGAAACCATGTAGAATGAAGCCCAAAGTTGCCCTTCTAGGAATGGGAAGGCTTGGATATTTATCCACCGATTTCTACCTCGTTGATTGTGAGATGCCACTCAATTTATTAAATCCAGTAGGTTTGAATTGTTATCATGATAGTTAATCTTAATATAATTTTATTGACAAAGAGTTGCCAACTATAGCAGGAAATACTAGAAATGTGATTGCGGTGGAACAGGCAAACTGAGCATATTCCAGATAACCACTTACCTGGGAGTATTAATAACCCACACGTTGATTAAGCCAGGCCTTTCATAATGTGGTCCAGAGAGGAATGCCCTTGGTTCTTTTTAGAAATGCCGATTCCTGGCCAGGCGCGGTGGCTCACGCCTGTACTCCCAGCACTTTGGGAGGCCAAGGCAGGCGGATCACCAGGTCAGGAGATCAAGACCATCCTGGCTAACACGGTGAAACCCCGTCTCTACTAAAAATACAAAAAATTAGCCGGGCGTGGTGGCGGGCGCCTGTAATCCCAGCTACTTGGGAGGCTGAGGCAGGAGAATGGCGTGAACCTGGGAGGTGGAGCTTGCAGTGAGTCGAGATCGTGCCACTGCACTCCAGCCTGGGGGACAGAGCAAGACTCTGTCTCAAAAAATAAAAATAAAAATAAATAGAAATGCCGATTCCTAAATATCTGAGGGTGACTCTTATATCCATGAAATGTCAGATTTATTTAGACTGAAATTTAGGATCTATGGATTAGGAAGTAAGAGTCTGTTGATAGGGAAAGCACAGGACACTGGAGAAAGATTTGTTTTCACTCGAGAAAAATGCATACTACAGTCTATTAATTTCCAGATTAAAATCTCACCTACACGTATCATTATATCTTTTATTCTATTCTATTGTCCCCAACAACTCTGTGGGTTGTGAAACTGTGTGGAGGACATACGAGGATATCTAAAACTGGTGACAAATAAATCATAAGTAGAAAAGCCTGCAATGAGGAAAATGCTACCATAATACAGAGAAAAATCTCTCTCCAGGACATTCACCACAAATCTTTATTCCTGAAAATGTTTCAAGGTTAATTGTTTTAAAAATGTTACCATGAAGTTCCTCTTCCTACTAGCTAAAATGGGTAGGGTGACAGTGGGGTGAAATGGGAATTCAATTCACAAACAAAAATAATATCATCCATATGATTCTCCAATCAGTAGCCTCTAATAAATGAAAATTTACTTTCAAGTTTTTCAGTTAGAGATTGAAATACAAAACAAATTCACTTTCACTATAAATATATGTTAGAAAAGCATCTTTATCAATGAGACTTAGGTATAAGATTGCTCTGATTTTAATTTATTCCAGTATACCTTTCCACATTTAGAACAGTTGTTTCACTGGAGTAGAGATTGCTGGCTAGATGACAATTCAAAAAGTTAAGATGGGGTAAATTTAAGAGAATCAAAATCACAGAGCATATCTTCAGACATAATGGAATTAAACCAGTAACAGAAAAATATGGGAAAGTCTCCAAACACAAGTTAAACAATATACTTGCAAGTAACCCATGGGTGAACGAGGAAATCTCAAAAGACGTTATAAAATATTTTGAAGTGTACCAAAATTAAAATGCACTACAGCTAAAGCAGTGCTTTGAAAGAAATTTATAGCATTAAGGGCTTATATTAGAGAAGAAAAAAGTCTCAAAGAAATAACATAGTTTACCATCCTTAGAAATTAGGAAAAGTAGGGAGGAGCCAAGATGGCCGAATAGGAACAGCTCCAGTCTACAGCTCCCAGCGTGAGCGACGCAGAAGACCGGTGATTTCTGCATTTCCATCTGAGGTACCGGGTTCATCTCACTAGGGAGTGCCAGACAGTGGGCGCAGGTCAGTGGGTGCAGCGCACCTTGCCCGAGCCAAAGCAGGGCGAGGCATTGCCTCACTCGGGAAGTGCAAGGGGTCAGGGAGTTCCCTTTCCTAGTCAAAGAAAGGAGTGACAGACGGCACCTGGAAAATCGGATCACTCCCACCCGAATACTGTGCTTTTCCGACGGGCTTAAAAAATGACGCACCTGGCTCGGAGGGTCGTACGCCCACGGAGTCTCGCTGATTGCTAGCACAGCAGTCTGAGATCAAACTGCAAGGCGGCAGCCAGGCTGGGGGAGGGGCGCCCGCCATTGCCCAGGCTTGCTTAGGTAAACAAAGCAGCTGGGAAGCTCCAACTGGGTGGAGCCCACCACAGCTCAAGGAGGCCTGCCTGCCTCTGTAGGCTCCACCTCTGCGGGCAGGGCACAGACAAACAAAAAGACAGCAGTAACCTCTGCAGACTTAAATGTCCCTGTCTGACAGCTCTGAACAGAGCAGTGGTTCTCCCAGCATGCAGCTGTAGATCTGAGAACGGGCAGACTGCCTCCTCAAGTGGGTCCCTGACCCCTGACCCCCGAGCAGCCTAACTGGGAGGCACCCCCCAGCAGGGGCACACTGACACCTCACACGGCAGGGTACTCCAACAGACCTGCAGCTGAGGGTCCTGTCTGTTAGAAGGAAAACTAACAAACAGAAAGGACATCCACACCAAAAACCCATCTGTACATCACCATCATCAAAGACCAAAAGTAGATAAAACCACAAAGATGGGGAAAAAAACAGAGCAGAAAAACTGGAAACTCTAAAAAGCAGAGCACCTCTCCTCCTCCAAAGGATCTCAGTTCCTCACCAGCAATGGAACAAAGCTGTACGGAGAATGACTTTGACGAGTTGAGAGAAGAAGGCTTCAGACGATCAAACTACGAGCTACAGGAGGAAATTCAAACCAAAGGCAAAGAAGTTAAAAACTTTGAAAAAAATTTAGACGAATGTATAACTGGAATAACCAATAGAGAGAAGTGCTTAAAGGAGCTGATGGAGCTGAAAGCCAAGGCACGAGAACTACGTGAAGAATGCAGAAGCCTCAGGAGCCGATGCGATCAACTGGAAGAAAGGGTATCAGCGATGGAAGATGAAATGAATGAAATGAAGCGAGAAGGGAAGTGTAGAGAAAAAAGAATAAAAAGAAATGAACAAAGCCTCCAAGAAATATGGGACTATGTGAAAAGACCAAATCTACGTCTGATTGGTGTACCTGAAAGTGACAGGGGGAATGGAACCAAGTTGGAAAACACTCTGCAGGATATTATCCAGGAGAACTTCCCCAATCTAGCAAGGCAGGCCAACATTCAGATTCAGGAAATACAGAGAACGCCACAAAGATACTCCTCGAGAAGAGCAACTCCAAGACACATATTTGTCAGATTCACCAAAGTGGAAATGAAGGAAAAAATGTTAAGGGCAGCCAGAGAGAAAGGTCGGGTTACCCACAAAGGGAAGCCCATCAGACTAACAGCAGATCTCTTGGCAGAAACTCTACAAGCCAGAAGAGAGTGGGGGCCAATATTCAACATTCTTAAAGAAAAGAATTTTCAACCCAGAATTTCATATCCAGCCAAACTAAGCTTCATAAGTGAAGGAGAAATAAAATACTTTACAGACAAGCAAATGCTGAGAGATTTTGTCACCACCAGGACTGCCCTAAAAGAGCTCCTGAAGGAAGCGCTAAACATGGAAAGGAACAACCGGTACCAGCCACTGCAAAATCATGCCAAAATGTAAAGACCATCGAGACTAGGAAGAAACTGCATCAACTAATGAGCAAAATAACCAGCTAACATCATAATTTCAGGTTCAAATTCACACATAACAATATTAACTTTAAATGTAAATGGACTAAATCCTCCAATTAAAAGACACAGACTGGCAAATTGGATAAAGAGTCAAGACCCATCAGTGTGTTGTATTCAGGAAACTCATCTCACATGCAGAGACACACATAGGCTCAAAATAAAAGGATGGAGGAAGATCTACCAAGCAAATGGAAAACAAAAAAAGGCAGGGGTTGCAATACTAGTCTCTGATAAAACAGACTTTAAACCAACAAAGATCAAAAGAGACAAAGAAGGCCATTACATAATGGTAAAGGGATCAATTCAACAAGAAGAGCTAACTATCCTAAATATATATGCACCCAATACAGGAGCACCCAGATTCATAAAGCAAGTCCTGAGTGACCTACAAAGAGACTTAGACTCCCACACATTAATAATGGGAGACTTTAACACCCCACTGTCAACATTAGACAGATCAACGAGACAGAAAGTCAACAAGGATACCCAGGAATTGAACTCAGCTCTGCACCAAGAGGACCTAATAGACATCTACAGAACTCTCCACCCCAAATCAACAGAATATACATTTTTTTCAGCACCACACCACACCTATTCCAAAATTGACCACATACTTGGAAGTAAAGCTCTCCTCAGCAAATGTAAAAGAACAGAAATTATAAAAAACTATCTCTCAGACCACAGTGCAATCAAACTAGAACTCAGGATTAAGAATCTCACTCAAAACCACTCAACTACATGGAAACTGAACAACCTGCTCCTGAATGACTACTGGGTACATAACGAAATGAAGGTAGAAATAAAGATGGTCTTTGAAACCAATGAGAACAAAGACAAAACCTACCAGAATCTCTGGGATACATTCAAAGCAGTGTGTAGAGGGAAATTTACAGCACTAAATGCCCAAAAGAGAAAGCAGGAAAGATCTAAAACTGACACCCTAACATCACAATTAAAAGAACTAGAGAAGCAAGAGCAAATACATTCAAAAGCTAGCAGAAGACAAGAAATAACTAAGATCACAGAAGAACTGAAGGAAATAGAGACACAAAAAAATCCTTCAAAAAATCAATGAATCCAGGAGCTCGTTTTTTGAAAAGATCAACAAAATTGATAGACCACTAGCAAGACTAATAAAAAAGAAAAGAGAGAAGAATCAAATAGACTCAATAAAAAATGATAAAGGGGATATCACCATCGATCCCACAGAAATACAAACTACCATCAGAGAATACTATAAACACCTCTACGCAAATCAATAAATGTAATCCAGCATATAAACAGAACCAACGACAAAAACCACATGATTATCTCAATAGATGCAGAAAAGGCCTTTGACAAAATTCAACAACCCTTCATGCTAAAAACTCTCAATAAATTAGGTATTGATGGGACGTATCTCCAAATAATAAGAGCTATCTATGACAAACCCACAGCCAATATCATACTGAATGGGCAAAAACTGGAAGCATTCCCTTTGAAAACTGGCACAAGACAGGGATGCCCTCTCTCACCACTCCTATTCAACATAGTGTTGGAAGTTCTAGCCAGGGCAATTAGGCAGGAGAAAGAAATAAAGGGTATTCAATTAGGAAAAGAGGAAGTCAAATTGTCCCTGTTTGCAGACGACATGATTGTATATCCAGAAAACCCCATCATCTCAGCCCAAAATCTCCTTAAGCTGATAAGCAACTTCAGCAAAGTCTCAGGATACAAAATCAATGTACAAAAATCACAAGCATTCCTATACACCAATAACAGACAAACAGAGAGCCAAATCATGAGTGAATTCCCATTCACAATTGCTACCAAGAGAATAAAATGCCTATGAATCCAACTTACAAGGGATGTGAAGGAGTTCTTCAAGGAGAACTACAAACCACTGCTCAGTGAAATAAAAGAGGATACAAACAAATGGAAGAACATCCCACGCTCACGGATAGGAAGAATCAATATTGTGAAAATGGCCATACTGCCCAAGGTAATTTATAGATTCAATGCCATCCCCATCAAACTACCAATGACTTGCTTCACAGAATTGGAAAAAACTACTTTAAAGTTCATATGGAACCAAAACAGAACCCACATCACCAAGTCAATCCTAAGCCAAAAGAACAAAGCTGGAGGCATCATGCTACCTAACTTCAAACTATACTACAAGGCTACAGTAACCAAAACAGCATGGTACTGGTACCAAAACAGAGATATAGATCAATGGAACAGAACAGAGCCCTCAGAAATAACACCGCTTATCTACAACTATCTGATCTTTGACAAACCTGAGAAAAACAAGCAATTATTAAATAGGGAAAGGATTCCCTATTTAATAAATGGTGCTGGGAAAACTGGCTAGCCATATGTAGAAAGCTGAAACTGGATCCCTTCCTTACACCTTATACAAAAATTAATTCAAGATGGATTAAAGACTTAAACGTTAGACCTAAAACCATAAAAACCCTAGAAGAAAACCTAGGCATTACCATTCAGGACATAGGCATGGGCAAGGACTTCATGTCTAAAACACCAAAAGCAATGGCAACAGAAGCCAAAGTTGACAAATGGGATCCAATTAAACTAAAGAGCTTCTGCACAGCAAAAGAAACTACCATCAGAGTGAACAGGCAACCCACAAAATGGGAGAAAATTTTCACAACCTACTCATCTGACAAAGGGCTAATATCCAGAATCTACAATGAACTCAAACAAATTTACAAGAAAAAAACAAACAACCCCATCAAAAAGTGGGCAAAGGACATGAACAGACACTTCTCAAAAGAAGACATTTATGCAGCCAAAAAACACATGAAAAAATGCTCACCATCACTGGCCATCAGAGAAATGCAAATCAAAACCACAATGAGATATCATCTCACACCAGTTAGAATGGCAATTATTAAAAAGTCAGGAAACAACAGGTGCTGGAGAGGATGTGGAGAAATAGGAACACTTTTACACTGTTGGTGGGACTGTAAACTAGTTCAACCATTGTGGAAGTCAGTGTGGCGATTCCTCAGGGATCTAGAACTAGAAATACCATTTGACCCAGCCATCCCATTACTGGGTATATACCCAAAGGACTATAAATCATGCTGCTATAAAGACACATGCACACGTATGTTTATTGCGGCACTATTCACAATAGCAAAGACTTGGAACCAACCCAAATGTCCAACAATGATAGACTGGATTAAGAAAATGTGGCACATATACACCATGGAATACTATGCAGCCATAAAAAATGATGAGTTAATGTCCTTTGTAGGGACATGGATGAAATTGGAAATCACCATTCTCAGTAAACTATCGCAAGAACAAAAAACCAAACACTGCATATTCTCATTCATAGGTGGGAATTGAACAATGAGAACACATGGACACAGGAAGGGGAACATCACACTCTGGGGACTGTTGTGGGGTGGGGGGAGTGGGGAGGGATAGCATTGGGAGATATACCTAATGCTAGATGACGAGTTAGTGGGTGCAGTGCACCAGCATGTCACATGTATACATATGTAACTAACCTGCACATTGTGTACATGTACCCTAAAACTTAAAGTATAATAATAAAAAAATAAATAAATACATAAATAAAGAAATTAGAAAAAGTAGACCAAAATAAACCCAATTAAGCAGAAGGAAGAAAATAATGAGCTGAAAATTTAAAAATAAAAACAGAAGAACAATAGGAAAATAAAACCAATAGCTGATTCTTTGAAAATATCAATAAAATTGATAAACCTCTAACAGGATGACAAAGGAAAAAAAGGACTCAAATTATGCGTATGGGAAATGAAAGAGGAGATATCACTACAAACCCAGCAAATGGTAAAAATGAATAAATAAATAAAAGAACACTATGAACAACTCTGCATACATACATTTGAAAACCAAGATGAAGGGGACTGCTTCCCCCAAATCCACAAACTACCAAAACTCACCCTAAATGAAATGTGTAATCCAAATATCTCTATAATTATTAAAGAAATTTATTTTAGAGTTAAGAAACAAATTCTTAAAAAAAAATTTCCAGGTTCAGGTGATTTCACTGGTGAATTCTACCAAACATTAAAATGAGAAATAATTCAAAGTTTGCATAGAATAGAATTTTCACAGAATATAAAAGGAAGAGACACTTCTCATTCGTTTTATGAGACTATTATCCTCATACAACACCAAAGACATTAAAAGAAAACTAAAAACCAATATCTCTCTCAAAAACAACAATACAAAAATACTTTTAAAAAAGAGCAAATTGAATCCAGCAACATATAAACAGAATAATATACCACAAACAAGTGGGATTTGTTCAGAGAATGCAACACTTGTTCAATGTTTGGGAATCAATCAATGCAATCCACCATATTAGCAATTGAAAGAAGAACACCCACATGATCATATCAATGCAGAAAAGCATGTGAAAAAATTCTATTTACAGCAAACTAGAAATAGAAGTAAACTTCCTCCAGCTGATAAAGGGCATCTATAAAGAAAAGAAAGAGAGAAAGAAAGAAAGAATGAAAGAAAGAAAGAAAGAAAGAAAGAAAGAAAGAAAGAAAGAAAGAAAAGAAAGAAAGAAAGAGAGAAAGAAACCCTACAACTAACATCAAAATGTGTAAAGGCTGAATGCTTTCTACTTAAGATCAAGGGAAAGGCAAGGATGTCCACTCTCACCACCTCTATTTTTCACAATAGGGTGAGAAAAAAAAAAAAAAAAGGCAAATGGTCTGGAAAGAATGTTAAACTAG
The DNA here is from genome assembly GCF_000001405.40 of Homo sapiens. Lineage (NCBI taxonomy): Eukaryota > Metazoa > Chordata > Mammalia > Primates > Hominidae > Homo > Homo sapiens. The sequence goes on along the minus strand of NC_000003.12, from coordinate 18,324,570 downwards.
CCCTATCTGAGGATAATATGATTTATTTTATGCAGAAAATTCCAAGAAATCTGACCAAAAAAACCTTCTGGAACTAATAAGTAAATTTTGAAAGGTCATGGAAATCAAGGTCAGCAAATAAAAATAAGTCACATTTCTATAAACAAGCAAAGTAAAATGAAAAACTGAAATTTAAAAATAATACCATTTACAAAAGCTTCAAAAAACAAAACACTTAGGTGTGTATCTATCAAAACATTCACAAGATCTGTGTACTAAAAGCTATAAAACACTGCTAAAAGAAATTAAAGAAGTTATAAATAAATATATGATGGATTAGAAAACAGCATAATGAAAATATCAATTCTCCCCAAATAATATATAGATTTAATGCAATAATGATCAAAATCCCAAAAGGATTTTTTTGTATATTTATGCAATGTTCTAAAATTTATGCAGAAATGTGAAGTAAAAAGAATAGCTAAAACAATTTTGAAAAAAAAAGTTGAAAGGAATCATACTACCCAATTTTCACCCTTACTATAAAGTTACAATAATCAAGGTAGTACTGTATGGGCAAAATGATAGACATAGATCCATGGAACAGAATAGAGAAGCCAGAAATAGACTTGCACAAATGTGCCCAACTGATTTTTGACAACTGTGCAAAGGAATTCAATGAAGGAAGTATAATCTTTTCAGCAAAGGGTGTTAGAACAATTGAATGTCCATAGGAAAAAATATTAACCTCTTCTGCATCTGTTGAGATAATCATGTGGTTTTTGTTTTTAGTTCTGTTTATGTGATGAATCACATATATTGATTTGCACATGTTGAACCAACCTTGCATCCTAAGGATAAAGCCTACTTGATAGCGGTGGATTAGTTTTTCAATGTGCTGTTGGATTCAGTTTGCTAGTATTTTGTTGAGGATTTTTGCATCTGTGTTCATCAAGGATATTATCCTGAAGTTTGTTGTTGTTGTTGTTGTGTCTCTGCCAGATTTTGGCATCATAATTTTGCTGGCCTCATAGAATGAGTTAGGGAGGAGCCCCTCCTCCTCAATTTCTTGGAATAGTTTCAGTAGGGTACCAGCTCTTCTTTATACATCTGGTAGAATTTGGCTGTGAATCCATCTGGTCCTGGGCTTTCTTTGATTGGTTGGCTTTTTAGTACAGATTCAATTTTGGAACTCGTTTATTAGTCTTTTCAGGGATTCAATTTCTTCCTGGTTCAGTCTTTGAAAGTTATATGTGTCTGGGAATTTATTCATTTTTTTCTATATTTTCTAGTTTGTGTGCATAGAGGTATTCACAGTAATCCCTGATGGTTTTTTGTATTTCTGTGGGCTCAGTGGTAATGTCCTCTTTCTCATTTCTAATTGTGTTTATTTGGCTTTTCATTCTTTTCTATTAGTATTGCTAGCAGTCTGTCTATCTTATTAATTTGAAAACAACAACAACTGCTGGATTTGTTGACCGTCTGTATGGTTTCTCATGCTCAAGTTTGTTCATTTCAGTTCTGATCCTGGTTATTTCTCATCTTCTGCTAGCTTTGGGGTTGGTTTGCTCTTGCTTATATAATACTTCTAGTTATGATGTTAGGTTGTTATTTTGAGATCTTTCTAACTGTTTGATGTGGGCATTTAACACTATAAACTTCCCTCTTAACAGTCTTAGCTGTGTTCCAGAGATACTGGTGTGTCGTGTCTTTGGTCTCATTAGTTTCAAAGAATTTCCTGATTTCTGCCTTAATTTCATTATTTACCCAAAAGTCATTTAGGAGTAGGTTGTGTAATTTCCACGTAATTATATGGTTTTGAGCAATTTTTTTGTACTGTGGTCCGAGAACGTGGTTGTTACTATTTTAGCTTTTTTTTTGAAAGGCTTTCCATAAAATACAACATATTTTCATGTTAAAAAACCCTCAACAAACTAGACATTGAAGGAACATATTTCAAAATAATACAAGCTATCTATGACAAACCGACAGCCAACATCTTACTGAATGGGCAAAAGCTGGAAACATTCTCCTTGAAAACTGGCACAAAACAAGGATGTTCTCTCTCACCACACCTATTCAACATAGTACTGGGATTCCTGGCCAGAGCGATCAGGCAAGAGAAATAAATAAAAGGCATCCAAATAGGAAAAGAGGAAGTCGAACTATCCCTGTTTGCAGATGACATGATTCTATATCTCTGGCCCAAAGCCCCTTGATTTAATAAACAATTTAAGCAAAGTTTCAGGGTGCAAAATCAATATGCAAAAATCAGTAGCATTCTTATACAACAACAGCATCTAAGCCAAGAACCAAATCAGAAATGCAATCCCATTCACAATTGCCACAAAAAGAATAACATTCCTAGGAATACAGCTAACCAGGGAAATGAAAGATCTCTACAACAAGAATTACAAAACACCGATGAAAGAAAACAGAGGTCATACAAACAAGTGGAAAAACATTCCATGCCCATGTATAGGAAGAATCAATATCATTAAAATGGCCATACTGCCAAAAGCAATTTACAGATTCATTGCTATTGCTATCAAACTGCCAATGACATTCTTCACAGAACTAGAGAAAACTATTTTAAAATTCATATGGAACCCAAAAAGAGTCTGAATAGCCAAGGCAATTCTAAGCAAAAAGAACAAAGCTGGAGGCATCACATTATCTGACTTCAAACTACCTTATAGGGCTACAGTAACCAAAACAGAATGGTACTGGTATAAATACAAAAATATAGACCAATGGAACAGAACAGAGAGCCCAGAAATAAGGCCACACACCTAAAACCACCTGATCTTCAACAAAGCTGATAAAACAAGCAATGAGGAAAAGAGTCTCCATTCAATAAATGGTGCTGAGATAACAGGCTAGCTATAGGCAGATGATTGAAACTAGATTCCTACCTTACACCACATATAAAAATCAACTCAAGATAAATTAAAGACTTAAATGTAAAACCTAAAACTATAAAACCCTGGAAGATAACCTAGGCAATACCATTTTGGACATAAAACTCGCCAAGAATTTTATGATGCAACCCCAAAAAGCAATTGTAACAAAAGCAAAAATTGAAAAAAGGGATCTAATTAAACTTAGGAGCTTCCACACAGCAAAAGAAACTATCAGCAAAGGAAAGAGACAACATACTGAATGGGAGAGACTATTTGCAAACTATACATACAACAAAGGTCAATATCCAGATCTATAAGGGACTTAAATAAATTTATAAGCAATAAACAAACAACTCCATTAATAAGAAGGCAAAGGACATGAACAGACATTTTTCAAAAGACATATATGTGGCCAAAAAGCATTTGAAAAAATGCTTAATTAACACCACTAATCATTAGAGAAATGCAAATCAAAACCACAATGAGATACTATCTTACAATAGTCAGAATGGCAATTGTTAAAAAGTCTAAAAACAGATGCTGGAGAGGTTGTGGAGAAAAGGGAACATTTATACATTGTTGGTGAGAGTATAAATTAATTCAGCCATTGTGGAAAGCAGTGTGGCAATTCTCAAAGAACTTTAAACAGAATTGCCATTTAACCCAACAATCCCATTACTGGGTATATACCCAAAGGAATATAAATCATCCTACCATGAAGACACATACAAATATATGTTCGTTGCAGTACTATTCACAATAGCAAAGACATGGTGGAGTCAACCTGAATGCCCATCAATGGCAGGTTGGATAAAGAAAATGTGGTACATATATATCATGGAATATGATGCAGCCATAGAAACAAATGAGGTCATGTCCTTTGTAGCAACATGGGTGTAGCTGAAGGCCATTATTCTAAGTCAACTAACACTGGAACAGAAAACCAAATACTGCATTTTCTCACCTATTAGTGGGATCTAAATAATGAGAACACATGGACACTAGGAGGAGAACAACAGATACTCGGGCCTACTTGAGGGTGGAGGGTGGGAAGAGGGAGATCAGGAAAATTATCTATCAAAGTTCTATGCTTATTACCCAGGTGACAAAATTATCTGTACACCACAACCCCATGACATGCAGTTTACCGATATAACAAATGTACACATGTAAGCTTGAACCTAAAATAAAAGTTAAAAGAAATTAACCTCAACCTAAACTTTACATCTTTTATAAAATAAATATATAGAGGCCAGGAATAGTGACTCACACCTGTAATCCCAGCACTTAGGGAGGCTGAGGTGGGAGAATTGCATGAGACCAAGAGTTCAAAACTAGCCTGGTCAACATAGCAAGACCCTGTCTCCAAAAAAATAAAAATGAAAAAAATTAGCAGGGTGTAGTGTCATGTACCTGTAGTCTCAGCTACTCGGGAGGTTGGAGAGAAGGATTGCTTGAGCCCAGGAGTTCCAGGCTGCAGTGAGCCATGATCACACCACTGCACTCCAGCCTGGGTGACAGAGTAAGACCTTGTCTTAAAGAAAAAATTAACCTAAAAATGAAACATGGATCTAAATGGAAAAGTATAAAAATTTTAGAATAAAAAGAGAAGGCTGCATGCGGCGGCTGACGCCTGTAATCCCAGCATTTTGGGAGGCTGAAGAGGGTGGAACACCTGAGGTCAGGAGTTGGAGACCAGCCTGGCCAACATGGTGAAACCCTGTATCTACTAAAAGTGCAAAAAACAAACAAACAAAAAAAGCTGGGCATAGTGGCAGGCACCTGTAATCTCAGCTACTTGGGAGGCTAGGGCAGTAGACTCACTGGAACCCCGGAGGCAGAGATTGCAGTGAGCCGAGATCGCGCCGTTGCACTCCAGCCTGGGTGACAGAGGGAGACTCCATCTCAAAAAAAAAAAAGAGAGAGAGAGAGAGAGAGGAAATCCATGTGATCTTGGATTTGGCAATGAGTTCTTGAACATGACACCAAAACCATAAGCCATAAAAACAAAAACATCAATAAATTGGACATAAAAATTAAAAATGTTTGCTCTGCAAAAGACACTGTTCAGAAAATAAAACACTGGGTGAAAATATTCACAAATTCTATATTCAACAAAAGATTTATGTCCATGATATATGAATTCTCAAAGCCAACAAATAAACAAGACCATTTTTTACACAAAGCAAAATCTATCAACAGACACTTCCAACAAAGAGTATGTCAGAATGTTGAAAAGATGTTCAACATCATTATCCATCAGGGAAATACTGATTAAAATCACAAGGAGATACCATTACACACCCATTAGGTGTAAAATATACTGAAAATACCAAGTTTTGGAGAGGATGTGGAGCAATTGGAACTCTAATGCATTGATTAGGGAAATGCAAAATGATACAGCCACTGTGGAAAATTGGTTGTCAGTTTCTTATAAATTTCAAGATATGCATGCTTTTTGATCCCACAATACCACTACTGAATATTTGCCCTAATGAAATGAAAACTTACATCCACACAAAAATCTGTACACAAGTTTATGGTAGTTCTATTCACAGTTGTCAAAAATGAGAAACACTCTAGATGTCCTTCAAACAAACAAACTGCAGGAAATTCATACAATAAACTACTATTGAGCAATAAAAAGAATGAAATTTTGATAAATGAAACAAGTTAAATCACAAAAGCATTATGCTGAGTAAACAAAGCCAACCTCAGAAAGGTTACATTTTGTATGATTCTATTTACAGTTGAACCTCATTATTCATGAATTCTAAATATACACATTCACCTACACACTAAAAATATTTGTAACTCCAAAATGTATACTTGGGACATTTTCATGGTCATTTGAAGACATGTGCAGAGAGCACATTCCCAGCTGAGGTAGAATAAGACAATACTCTGCTTTCTAGTTTCAGGTCTCATCCTAAAGAAGTGCCCTTTTCAAAGTATATAATTTTGCATTTTTGTGCATTCTGTTGGTGATTTTGCTGTTTAAATTGGCCCCCAAGCATAGTGTTGAAATGTCTAGTGTTCCTAAGTGCAAGAAGGCTGTGATGTGCCTTACAGAGAAAACATGTGTGTTAGATAAGCTTTCATTCAGGCATGAGTTACAGTGCTACTGGCTTGAGTTCAATGTTAATGAATCAACAATCTACAGTAGACCCTTTGTATCTGTGGGTTCCACATCTATTGATTGAACTAACCAATGATCAAAAATATTTGGGAAAAAAATTGCATCTGTATTGAACATATAAAGACTTCTTTGGTCATTATTCCCTAAACAACAGAAAATAACAAGTATTTAATAGCATTGATATTATATTAGGAATTGTAAGTAACCTAGAAATGACTTAAACCATACAGGAGGATGTGCAGTAGGTTTTATGCAAGTGCTACATCATTTTATAGTAGAGACTTAGGCATTCACAGATTTTGGTGTCCATGGGAGGTACTGAAATGAATCCCTCAAAGATACTGAGGGACGACAGTATACTGAATGAGATATCTAAACAGAAACACATATAAAACAAGATTATGTATTGATAAGTTGATGAAGATGTTGTGATCAGAGGTTCACTGTTTAGCCCCAAGTCAATAGTTTGGTATTTGCTAATTCAGTGTTCATAGCAACTTCATAGAAGATAGCAACTGAGAATCAACTGTATATGATATTCCAAAAAGGCCAAACTATAGGGATGGAAAATAGATCAGTGGTTTCGTGGAAGTGTGGAAGGGGAGTGTGAAACAGGTGTGATAACAAAGGAATGGCACAAGGGATATCCTGGTGGTGAGAGAAATGTTCTGTGTCTTCATTACGGTGGTGAATACAAAAATGTATACATATGTTAGAATTTAGGGACTTGCATATTAAAAGAGAAAAAGTCATTTTACTATATGACAATTTAAAAATAAAATTTTTGAAAGCTCAGCAAGGCCACGTTATTGCGAAGGTCTTCCCTGCCCTGATTATAATATACAACACTTACATTCTGTGTTTCTCCTTATACTGATCAAGTAATAATTGATGACTTCTATACCTTTGAATGATTATGAATTTGAACTCACATAGCTACAATCTATAGATTCAAACATTTGGAACATTTCACTTTGCTGAGTCTTCATACAATTTGTATTCTTCAAAATCAACATACAAGAATCACTAATATTCCTATGCAACAACATCCAAGGTGAGAACCAAATCTGGAATGTAATTCCAATCACAACTGCCACAAAAAGAATAAAATTCCTAGGTATACAGCTAACCAGGGAAGTGAAAGATCTCTACAAAACAAACCCTGATGAAAGAAATCAGAGGTCATACAAACAAGCAGAAAAACATCCATGCTCATGGATAGGAAAAAGCAATATCATTAAAATGGCCATACTGCCAAAAGCAATTTACAGATTCAATGCTATTCCTATCAAACTACCAATGACATTCTTCACAGAACTAGAGAAAACTATTTTAAAATTCATATGGAACCCAAAAAGAGTCTGAATAGCCAAGGCAATTCTAAGCAAAAAGAACAAAGCTGGAGGCATCACATTATCTGACTTCAAACTATATTATAGGGATACAGTAACCAAAACAGTATGGTTCTAGTATAAAAACAGAAACATAAACCAATGGAACACAATAGAGAGCACAGAAACATGTTGCACACTTAAAACCATCTGATCTTTGACAAAGCAGAAAAAAACAAGCAATAGGGAAAGGATTCTCCATTCAATAAATGGTGCTGGGAAAACTGGCTACCCATATGCAGAAGATTAAAATGGACTTCTTCCTTAAACCATGCACAAAAATCAACTTGGATTAAATACTTAAATGTAAAACTTAAAGCTATAAAAACCCTGGAAAACAAGCTAGGCAATAACATTCTGGACATCAAACTTGCCAAGAATTTTATGATGAAGACCCCAAAAGCAATTGCAACAAAGGCAAAAATTGAAAAACGGGATCTAATTAAACTTAAGAGCTTCTACACAGCAAAAGAAACTATCAACAAAGTAAACAGACAACCTACAGAATGGTAGAAACTACTTGTAAACTATGCATCAAACAAAGATCTAATATCTAAGGCTGGGCACAGTGGCTCACGCCTGTAATCCCAGCACTTTGGGAGGCAGAGGCAGTTGGATCACTTGAATTCAGGAGTTTGAGACCAGCCTCGCCAACATGATGAAATCCCATCTCTACTAAAAATACAAAAATTAGCCAGGTGTGTGGTGCATGCCTGTAGTCCCAGCTACTCTGGAGGCTGAGGCAGGAGAATTTCTTGAGCCAGGGAGGTGGAGGTTGCAGAGAGCCAAGATTGTGCCACTGCCCTCCAGATTGGGTGACAGGGTGAGACTCTATCTAAAAAAAAAAAAAAAAAAAAAAACAAAACTAATATCTAGCATCTATAAGCAAATCAATTTTACAAGCAAAAAACAACCCCATTAAAAAGTCGGCAAAGGACATGAACAGACACTTTTCAAAAGAAGACATACATGTGGCCAACAAGCATATGAAAAAAGCTCAATATCATTGATCACTAGAGAAATGCAAATCAAAACCATAATGAGTTACCATCTCATGCCAGTCAAAACAGCTATTATTAAAAAGTCAAAAAGCAACAGATGCTGAAGAGGTAGTGGAGAAAAGGGAATACTTATACACTGTTGGTGGGAGTGTAAATTAATTCAGCCATTGTGGAAAGCAATGTGATGATCCCTCAAAGAGCTACAAACAGAACTACTATTTGACTCAGCAATCCCATTACTGAGTATATACTTGAAGGAATATAAATCATTCTATCATAAAGACACATGCTTGTGTATGTTTATCGTAACACTATTCACAATAGCAAAGACATAGAATCAATCTAAATGCCCATCAATGGCAGATTGAATAAAGAAAATTTGGTACATATACATCATGCCATACTATGTAGCCATATAAAAGAATGAGACCATGTTCTTTGCAGGACCATGGATGGAATTGGAGGCCATTATCCTTAGCAAACTAATGCAGGAACAGAAAACCAAATACTGCATATTCTCACTTGTAAGTGGGAACTAAATGATAAGAACACATGGACTCTAGGAGGGGAAAAACAGACACTGGGGCCTACCAGAAGATTGTGAGGAGGGAGAGAAGCAGAAAGCATAAACATGTAGTACTAGGCTTAGTACCTGGGTGATAAAATAATCTGTACAACAAATCCCTGTGACATGAGTCTACCTAAATAACAAACCTACACATGTACCCCTGAAAGTAAAATAAAAGTTAAAAAAAATCAATCAAAAAATGGACAAAGGATTTGAATAGACAATTCTCAAAAGAAGACATACAAATGGCAAACAGGCATATGAGAAGATGCTCCACATCACTGATCATCAAAGAAATGCAAATCAAAACTACGATGAGATATCCTCTTACCCGTTAAAACAGCTTTTATCCAAAAGACAGACAATCACAAAGGCTGGCAATGACATCGTTGATCATCAGAGAAATGCAAAGCAAAACTACGATAACCTCTTACCCTAGTTAAAATAGCTTTTATCCAAAAGACAAACAACAACAAAGGCTGGCGATGATATGAAAAGGGAACCCTGGTATCTGCTGGTGAAAATGTAAGTTAGTACAAGCACTATGTAGAACAGTTTGGAGCTTCCTCAAAAAACTAAAAGTAGAGCTACCATATGATCCAGCAATTCTACTTCTGGGTATATACCAAAAAAAAAGAGTGGAAATCAGTTTATCAAAGAGATATCTGCACTCCTATGTTCACTGCAGCACTATTTACAATAGGCAAGATTTGGAAGCAACCTAAGTGTCTATCAACAGATGAATGGATAAAGAAAATTTGGTACTTATACACATGTACTATTCAGCCTTAAAAAGAATGAGATCCTTTCATTTGCAATAACATGGATGGAAGTGGAGGTCATTATGTTAAGTGAAATAAGCCTGGCACAAAAAGACAAACATCGTATATTCTCACTTATTTGTGGGAACTAAAAATCAAAATAATTGAACTCACAGAGATAGAAAGTAGAGGGATGGTTACCAAAGGCTGGGAAGAATATTGGGGGCTCAAGGGGGTGGAAGATAGGGATGATTAATGGGTCCAAAAAATAGTTAGAAAGAATAAGACCTACTATTGATAGCACAACAGGGTGACTATAGTCAATAATAATTTAATTATGCATTATAAAATAACTAAAAGAGTAAAATTGGATTTTTTGTAATACAAAGGATATGCTTCAGGAGATGAATTCCCCATTCTTTATGTGATTATTACACATTGCATGCCTAAATCAAAACATCTCATGTACTGTATAAATACATACACATACTATGTACCCACAAAAAATAAAAATTAAAAAAATTTACAAAATAATAAAAAAATTATCCTTGTTCCTAGGACTCTTCTGAAAACCACATTTACTTGTACTTAAAGTCAACTGTTCTGAAGTGAGCTAAAAAGTTCAACATTCTTCATTCATGTGATGCGAGATTTTCAAAGTAGCAGTAAAGGCCAGTATTTTACCAACTGCCTCCCCACTTGCCCACAACCACCATCACCATCAAAACCTGGAAATGTTAGAAGCATTGAACTGAACTAAGCTACTAGTACTTCATAATTAAAATAAAAATATTAAACCTTACTATCTCATTATTGACCAAATTAGTGAGTATCTTACCTTCCAGAAATAAGATGTCAGGGTTTGCTATGGGTATATAAAATCTGTACATACATACAACAACAGAACTAACTGATGTTTAGAATTTTTTTCACTCTTTGTTAATTTAAAACTATGAAATGTAAGTGTTGGGATATAAACATTTATTTCTATTTTTCATGAACTTAACTTGGTATAGCACATAGATGACATTTTATACACTAAAAACCACCAAAGACAGTAGACATATTTTTATTTAAGATCTTTGGTGATTAGGGAAATGTTTAGAAAAAACAGAGAATTTCTTTTTAGGAGATGCAAAGTGGTTTTAGGCCTATGAGACTGTAAACCCAAAAGAAATCATTCTGCCCTCCAAGGCCAAATGTTGGGAGCTAACATAGTATAAACACACGAAAAGGAAATGGGATTGTTGCACTGATGAAGGAGTAGTTGAGATCAACAGACTCTGGGATATTCTGAGGCTTTCTCCTGGAGAGGTGGGTCAGGACCAACCTGAGCAGAAAACGTTGATAGGATAAACTTCTGTTTTGCTTCCTTTCTCCTTTCTTCATGGAGTTCTGTTTATGTTCTGTGAAGGCAGATAGTTTCTGGGGGAGTTAAGGAAGCTCGATGACAATACGAAACATAAAAAACAAAGATTAAGAGAACATTAATTGGCTTTTTAAAAGTCAGGACCATATGATCCAGCCATTTTATGCCTAGATATTCACCAAGGGAAATGAAAGCATATGTCCACACAAAGACTTGTATACAAATGTTTGTAGCAACTTCAGTCATAATAGCCCTAAATTGTAATGTCCATCAATTGGTGAATGGGTAAACGAATTATGGCATATTCACACTATGGAATATTAGTTAGCCATAAAAGGGATACATTACTGATATATAGTACAGTGTAGATTAATTGCAAAACATTATACTGAATGAAAGAAGCCAGATACAAGAGAGTGTATACTGTATTATTCTATTTAAATATAATTCTACAAGAAGCAAAATTGATCTATAGTGACAGAAAGCAGATTAATGTTGCCTGGGGCAGGGGTGAGGAAGATTATAATGGGACACAAGGGAACCTTTTGGGGTGACGGAAGTGTTCTGTCAATTGTGGTGGTGGATATGCCAATAAATAAATTTGTCAAAACTTATAGAGATTGTTCCACTTAAAATGGGTGCATTTTAATTTATATAATTTATATCTTATTACTGTTTGCTTTTAAAGAAGACAATCTCTTTTCTTTACTTCTTTCTACCAACTATCTGGCTCTGAATTATCCTCCCTCCCTCTCTCTCTCCCTCCCTCCGTCTTGCCCTTCCTTCCTTCCTTCTTTCGTTCCTTCCTTCCTTCCTTCCTTCCTTCCCTATCTCTCTTTTTCTTTCTTTCCTTTATTATTACTATTATTATTTTAAAACTCAAATACTCTTCAAGCTACAGATGGTTCTACTGATCTTGGGATAAGAAGAAAATCAATATCCTCTGGTCAACACCCCAAAATATTAAAAAGGGATTGACAGAATGCTGGAATTATTTGGAATCACGTGTGATAAAAACATATTCAGTCAACTGGTAGAAGGCATAAATCATACCTGTATGGGTATTTCTGAAACAAGTTCAAGCTTAGCGTAAAATATGGTGGACAAACTCTCTAAAGTGGCCCGCCTAGGAGAAGGCAAGGCTTTCAGGCTGTCAAAGAATTCAGGGGGAAGAGAAATGTTTTGGAGGCTAAGATATTGCTGATGGTGACCCAAGCTGACTGAATTACTCTAACGGAAAAGACAAAGATGGCACTTTCTCTTATTGTCAGATTTGGGCTCAATACCAAGATGAAAGAAATTGTTAGGGAGAATTTCTCTTCTGGGACACTATGGTCACAAAACAGGACATTTTAGCTCTTGTTTTACATTATTCTGAGTTTGGAGTCTAATTCCTATATTCACATAAATTTTATTTGGATCAATAAAGAATTCCTTCAAAGAGGAAAATCTCTGCTTGGTTCACTGAGACAATAGTTTTCCTTTAGTTTTTTAATTCATAGAAACCAGGGTTCTTCCTAAGGACAATTTATTAAACAGCTAAAAGTTTAGTCAAGGAAATATCTTGATATCATTTAAAACAAAAATTGAGCTGATATAAACTTTTTTCATTTTCAGTAAATTATATTTGAAGGCACAATCTAAAACCCATTTCTCTGTCTAAAGTTCACTAAGCAAAAAAGAACCAGTAAGATTGTATCAGTGCATCCATGTGGGTACACAAATCAATTTGGCCAGGGCAGACAGGACAGAGTACGAATATGGATAAGATCAGCAGTGTTCTTTTCCAGTTCAGTGGACAAAGCCACATAGTGGTCGAATGGTTTGACCAAACATCTTGTACCATTAGTACAAGTGCAAATGACACACACAAGTGTGCGTGTGTGTGTATGTGTAATGGTTTCCTGTTCCCACAGGTTAATGGCTATATCTTCAACCAATAATCACTGAAAGTTTGAAATGTGACTACACCCCACCAAAACACAGCCAAAAGTTCATTAGTGAAAGAATGTTCTAAAATTAGCTGCACGACATTATTTGCTAGAATGACACTATCTGCCAGATACGTAGAGAAAAATGTCACTTCTGTACAACATTATTTTTAATTATAAAAACAATATATTGACACAAAATATACTTTGAAAGATAAAAGCCTAATGTCATCATCTTAATGGGACTTTTTGTTTTGTGCTTTTCTTTATTATTGGCCCATTAAAAATAAGTATCTATTTACTTTATTGAAGTTTTATGTTACTTACAATTGTGTTTTGAGAAACTATACCAAGAACACTTTGAAGAAACATTTCCCTTTTTTGCTGTTTTTTCTAAATGTCCTAAAATAAAACTATTAAAAATTTCTGCAATAGACCATAACTCACAAGGAAATGAATGTTTTAGTGAAATAACAGGTTTTTTCCTTAGTTCTATAGTACCTTAATTTTGATTCTGAAACTCTAAAAAATACCTACTCTGCTTGCCAGAATGGTTGATGAAATCCTACTGTGCTATAAAAGAATGAATTCTTGGTATCACATGTAGTTCTTTAGCAAACATTCTACTAGCTCACATACTAATGTTATTTAAGGCACACTCTATTAGTAATGTTTTAGTTCAAAACACTGCTTCTAAATGATATGAGTTAAGGGTTATTTCTGCATGTTAAAAAAAAAAAAAAGAAGTATCCTTTCCCTCATCCTCAGGATGGCAGCTGATATTCCCAAGATATCTGTATTTCTTTAATCTTAAGACTTGATCGATATGTAATGCTAATATAACCTTATCAGTTTGTATATGCAAATGAATTTTCAAGAACCCAAAGTTCTTGTCCTTGTCTCTGTCTGCCCAGACCAGAAACTTCCTTTTTTTCAAAATCTCCTCAGAATGTTTCTGGGAATCTCCAAAGGGCTAGACTTTATCTGGCACATGCTGGTCTACCAGTTATTTTTGGCAGGTTTTCAGTCAGATTGGCTATCATGGTATCATGCTGTACAGGTTGTTAAATATTTTACATTGAAACCCCTTATGTGCTGACAAACTAGGCTATGTGCTATGGACAACTATTGGCACCTGTTGCTTCTCCTATCTGCTTTGCAAGGAGAGTGACCTGTCTTATAAATAAGCCACTCTCTAATTTCACTCCTCCCATTGCCAATGGTACTTACTGTGAAAAAGTCTGCCATCTATGCTCCTGAAGCCACCAGTCTCTGATGTGTCATGACAGACTGTGCAAAGAAAAGGAGAATGACTCTTGTCTCCACTCTGGCCACATTTTGTCACCTATAACCTAAAGCAAACTTGCTTCTGCCCAGAGCTTCACGAAGTCCCTCATGAAAGGAATCACACTGTCCTCAGACAATTCCCCAGATAGACCCAAACCCAGCCCATAAGAACAGGGTCAGTCTTAGCTGCTTCACCAGAGTACTCATCACTTCTCCACATTTTGTGAGTTCTGCCCTCAACCATATACTACCCTTTTCAAATAGTCTCAGAAAGAAAGTTCTCGTGAGTATCAGTGAATGCTACCAGATAGGTGGTAGCTTGGGAATAAGTATAGTTCTCATCAGTTGCTACCTGGATCCCAAGTCAAGTCAAAAACATATCCCTTCATACTTATTAAAAGGTATCAGGCCTTGGAAGGATAAATGTACACACTAGTGTATATTAAAAGACTTGCATAAGTGACAAGGGAGAACACAGAGGGGTGGGAAACTGATGAAGACATCTGTAGCACTTATATTGAAATAGCTATTTCTTGGGTATTTATTGAAAGCATTGACTGTTGACAACATAAACTCTTCTATCTCCACTAAGCAATGACTGCCTTCTTAACTCCACAAGAAAAAAAAAATGCATCAGTATCTTTTATTTTTGTTTCAAATGGCAGGAATGTAAGGTATAGGCCTACACCTTCAGATTTACAGCTGCAAGAAAAATCTGGCCTTTAAAGTTTCCAGTTTCAAAACACAGATTCTGTGAAAGAATGAAAACACTGACGGTTAAGCAGCCATGGTCAGGTGAAAACTTTAGTGATATTGGTCAAATTCTATTCCAAAAAGCCTCTTTAAACAATCGGATATGATGCAGTCTTTCAAATAACATATGAAGTCCCAATCAGTGGAGATGGAATATTTCCAAAATTAAAAAATGGTGATATTTCAAAGCTGACTTCACATATTAAATCAATGCATCAGTGTAACTGTGGCATCTTATATTACTTTTGCTCTTTCTTTAAAGTTATGACTCTAAAAAGAAATGCTCAGAAAGGTAGTACATGGTCACGTAATACAGTAATTTTATTATTTAATGAGAATTATCTTCAATATAAACTTATATCATGATTCCAACTTTGCACGCAGAAGGGAAGGTAACATTAAGTGCTGAATATTTTTGGTGCCTAGATTATATTCTCATTAAATGTGGCAGAGGCTGTTTACCAAAATCTTGGTGCTTTTCTTCCTGAGCACACAGTTATGTTAATTTTCCAGACTTCCTTGTAGTTGGGTATGATCATGCGACCCAGCTCTAGCCATGGTGTACATATAAAAATGATGTAAGCCCTTCCTAGGCCAAGGCTTTTAAGAAATGGCAATTTTTTCTACATGCTCACTTTCTTTTTATAGGCTGAATGTAGATAATGGCAAGAGTTGGAGGGGAATGTGATGTTCAATGATTCATGGGTATAAATGAGTTTAGTGAATAAAGACGATTGCAATTGTATGTGTCACAGAAACATAGATGGACACATAGGACTGTCAAGAGTAGTGAGGGTTAGATCATGAGGACTATTTTTGTCATACCAACATGTACTGGCTGTGGAGCTATGGAAGAGTTCTAAAAAAAAAAAAAAAAGAAGAAGATACTTGTATGTAGAAAAATCAGTCCAGCAACGTTAGAGAGGATGGACCAGTGGCTCAGAAGTCTGGAGGTAGAGAGTCAAGTTAGGAGATGATTGCACAAGGCTTTACATAGAAGACAAGAACTTGGTCAGTGAGAAAAAAGAGCAACTGAGCATTCAGGAAATGCCTCAGAGACGCAATTCATGAGGCACGTGATTAGATGGATGTAGATAATGATGAAGAGAGATAAGTTTAAAATAATTCCTGTTTTGTGTGTGTGGTTTAGTTTTGCCTTGAAGGCCGAGTGGATTGTAATACCGTTTACAAAGGAAGAGAATTTTTTTAAAGGAGCATAATGTGGGGCAAAGCTGAGGAATGTTGTTCTGGATGTCAAAAATGTAAGATGTTATCACAGATGTAGTAGGCAGTTATATATCTATGCATCTGGATTGCAAGAGAAGTCAGGGAGTGAATGGGATTTGCAGACCATCAGCAGAATTAGGAGTTGAAATATTGAGTGAGGATGTGCCAATGTACAAATGAAGAAAAGACAAGGCCTGATAGAAGAGTATCGAAGAGCCCAGATTTCAGAATCAGGGGAAGTAAAGCCTGAAAGAATGAAGAACCTTATAGACCCAAGTGATTTGACAGATGTTGATGAGGAGAGAATTTTCGAGAAAAGAGAAAAAGTACATACTGTTGTTTTAACTGTCAGGCATCCCATTCTCCATGCTCCTTTCCTTCATTGCGAGTAGTGTTGGTCAGAGGGCTGGCCTATTCTCTATGATAAAACCAAATGAGGCCAGGTCCCTCCTTTTCCTTCCCTAAGCCAACACAGATCTAGGCTGGGCCAGAGGGAACATTCTCTGTCATAACTTTCTGTTTTGAATGTAAACAGCAAGAAGGTAGGGAACAATGGAGAGTTAAATCACCTCAGTGACAATGTGGACAAGTCTGAACCTGGTATGTGCTCACAGTAGTAGGTCTTTTACCAAGTTCACCTGGGCAGATTTGTCCCTCCTAATTTTCCAGTTTCCTAATCATTTTCCCAATAAATTCACTTTTACTTAAGATGGATAAGGTTGAGTTAAATGAGTTACACCTAAAAACTCTATAATAGTTTCACTGTATAAATAGATTAGTAAACACAGGTTCAGCAAAATTAAAATCACCCAGAATCACAGAGTTAATTATGATGTAGATGGGACTAGAATTTATGTCTCTTAACTTCTAGGTTAATTTTCTTTTTAATTTTAATTGTGATAAAACACACAGAACATAAAATTTATCATTTCAATCATTTTTAAGTGTAGAGTTCTGTAGTGTCAAGTACACTTCCATTGTTGTGCAGCTAATCTTTAGAACTCTTTTCCCCTTAGGCTAAGATACGTTTGGTCATACTACTTGGGTAGGTACTTCTGTATATCTCCCCCAGTATTCTTTCTCCCCTTTGCTTTCATGGTAAAAGGACTCCTCCAACCTCTGCAAGTTTAACCTGGGCACATGGACACCCAATACAAATCTACTTTCTGAGTATTCCTTGTAGCTAGGTCTGGTTGATGGATGTGAGAGGATATGACTTGTGCAACCTATAGATTGTAGCCTTGAAAAGAAACAGTAACCCTTCTTTTTCCTCTTCCATTGAAAGAAATGTGGATTATGGGCCAGGATGTTGAAGGCAATATGTAGAGATGAAGGCAGAACAAGTTTGAAGAACACCCTAACAACTGACAACTTCATGAAGCAGAGAGCCCATGATAGCTCAGCCTATTATATGCTAAAAACAATAACAAAATCCTCCTATACCCTTTAAACCACTGTTATTTTGGGTGCATCTGCTACAAAAGCTACACTAATTGCACCTCATACAACCATACTGGATCTTATTTTCCTTACACTTCTCAAGCCCCACAGAAAAATGGAAATAGTTTAGGTTCTTTCCTTCTGAAATGTTGAATAGACAGACTCACATTTAATATCTTTGAACTGAAAATCCAAGAATGACATTTACTTTATCTGGTTAGCAAAGTCAAGTTGATGGAGACACACATGCATATAATGCTACAATTGAGTGGATGGGGAAACCGGGAGGAAATCTATTTTAGACAATGTGTTTGAAGTGAGACCTTGTTACCAAAGCTTACCAGATAAATAAAGAGAAAAAAAAAATCTCTTTTATTCAGGTTTATTTCCAGAAGATAAGTGTGTGCAGGTGGGGCGGGGGATGAGCAACAAGAATAATGCACAAACATTTTAACGTACTCTTACACATGTGAAAACTAGGAATATTCACTCAGGAGCTGGTAGTTCCACCAGTTGGTAAAATGCTGGATAAATAATACAGAAAAGAACGTTTTGTATTTTAGCAAACCATGGATAGCACTATAAATGTTATTCATTCTAATTCACAAAAGCCTATAATTCTTACGAAACACTCCTTTACATAAAGATGAATTATAACGCTGAACGCTTTTCTTCTAGAGACTTCTTAGATGAATCAATCATGTACTACTTCAAATAATGACAACAAAGCTACTTAATTTTCCTCCAGTAAGGTCATTTAGTGTATTCAGTAGAGATGCTCAGCGCCTTAAACTCTCTCATCCAGGAATCAGAAAGAGTGCGGTACAAACTCTACCTCAACCACATGGTAGTTGGAGAAAGCTACTTAGCTTTTCTGAGCCTCAGTTTCCCCACCTGAAATTGGAGATAATTATGTTTTTACTATAGGGTTGCTATGTTCTTTAGAGAATATAATTATGTAAAGTGCTCAGTAAATAGTGCATGCTGCTATTGTTTATTGTTGTTATTACTATTTCTAAATGGTAATTTCATTATAATAAAGCTTGACAGTTGGAAGCATTCCCTTCATGTGTCGTTTTTAAAAATTTTCTTGGCCCTGGTGATGTTTTTGAATATGAATATTGAGTTTTAAATTAGAGAAATTACAATTCAAAAAACTTTAAGGAAATATTTTACCTGAATTAGAATCAGGACAAATATTTTCTTAGACGAGGGGAGAGACAGAGAGAGAGAGAGAGAGAGAGAGAGAGAGGAGAGAGAGAGAGAGAGAGAGAGAGAGAGAGAGAGAGAGAATTCAGGTCATATGCAAAAGTGCAGAAAACAAAAGAGTAAAAAATAAAATAAAATACAAAAACTAAGATGTCGCTGGGCGTGGTGGCCCATGCCTGTCATCCTAGCACTTTGGGAGGCTGAAGGGGGAGGACTGCCTGAGCTCAGGAGTTCGAGACCAGCCTGGACAATATGGCAAAACCCTGTCCCTACAAAAATACAAAAAATTAGCCGGACATGATGGTGCAAACCTGTAATCCAAGCTACTCAGAAGGCTGAGGCAGGAGAATCACTTGAACCTGGGAGGCAGAGGTTGCAGTGAGTGGGGATCGCACCACTGCACTCCAGCCTGGGTGACAGAGCAAGACTCTGTTTCCAAAAACAACAACAACAACAGCAACGACTAAGATGTCTAGTATTTCATTGGTGCTTAATAAATATTAAGTATCACTAGTGTGAAGTTTTATTATTGAAAAACATTGCGTCAACATACATAGACCAAAAGCTTTTGGAAATACAAGGAATAATACACAAAATATTATTTTACCAAATTACTTGATAATACAGGTAAAAAGTAAATAATGACATATAGGACCGAAGTAATACAACTTTTCTAATTGAATACAGTTAAATACACATACACACACACACACACACACACACACACATACATTAGTCTTTAGACCCTTCAGAAAATAATATATATATTTTAGGCGAGTATAGAACATGTACAAATTTTATTTGTCAAAAAGAATCTCCACTACTAAAAAGCTAGATTTATACAGGCTATGAATGCCAATGCAAAGAAAAAAGAAATTAGTATTGCGAGCTAAAATTTAAAGGCCAAATTACTACAAAAAAAAATTTAAACTCAACTTTTGTGTCAAAAGAGACAAAAACATTACAATTACAAAAATATTTAGAAAATAGTAATAACAATGCTATGCATCTATAACTGTGCATTGTGGCCAAAGATATACTCAGAGGAAAGTTCATAAACTTTCACTTTTTAATAAGAAAGAATTTTAGAAAACAAAGCAGATGTTTAACCCAGGGAGAGGGATTTGCTGAGTTCCTAAATAGCTTTAATCAGATAATATTCACTTTAACCAGATAATGTGTAGCCGAATCAACTATCTTGAATTAAGATACATTGAGGTAACAAATGACTCAAAAATTATACGGGTTTATAATAACAAAGGTTTATTTTGAATGATTTTATATGCTCATCATGAATTGGCTGTAGCTCCATGCTTTCACTCCCATCTCCAGGATGATGGAGTAAGACCTTAGGGAGCTGGCTCATGGCACAGGGAAAAGAGAGCAAGTTCATGCTTCTTCAAAGTTATTCTCAGTAGTGGTACATGTGTTTTCTGCTCACATATCATAGCCAAAACTGACTTCAATCAACATAGTGTAAATGTATAATTCAATCACAGGAAAGGACAGCAAATGCTTTGAACAGTAATGCAATCTTACCACCCTCCTACCTCTTGGTCACAAATATTTTTTCCTTCCCTTCTGCATGTAAAATACACTCAGTTCATCCCTAAAGGACACAACACAAATGACTCCTCCAATCACAGTATCAGTCTTAAATAACAGAATTCTGACAGTTTACACCAGGTGTGAATTGACCTCCATCTGGTTTGGAGATGTATGAACTAAAAAGAAATCAGGGGCAGGATAATCACAGTAAACACACTCTCTCGGAAAGGGAAAGAGTGAGAGTCATTGCAGCCACTGATGCATAACAGTGTTGAAAGCCCTTTCAACAGAGCCAGGACTCTGAACCACAGCACTGGAAAATATATCTTTAATAGGTCCTGGTTTTGCCTCTGCAGTTACTGCCCAGTCCATTATTCTTCATGGATCTTGTCCATTTTTGTGAGGTCCTGCCTTTTCCACATTCTCTCTTGACCACATATAAAACCTAGGGGAACACTTCCTCCTTGAGGACTGAGCAACTCTCTTGACCTGCTTCTTGGCTACAGAAACATGAGAGTCTGTGTATAATCTTCCTGATGTGTTAGAGAAGAGAATAAAAAATACTTTCTACCATAATACAATCTACCACACATACTTATTTTCATTTCTGTTGAAACCTTCCATGGAAAAACATTGTTACCAACTTGGGGCCATATTGGATTTCCTTTCAAACATGTATTTCAGGTTCTAGGTTTTTTGTTTAGTTTTATTTTGGTTTCTGCTTTTTTTTTTTTTAAATGAGGCTCACAACTTGCCTCAGAGAGACATTATTTTGGTTAATCAGCTTATTGTTTGATATGCCTGTATAGTTATCTTGACTTGGGGCCATTAGTTCTCAACTGCGTCCGTAGTTTCTAGGAACTTATTCTGCATTTTTGCAGCTGTCCACCAGGTCAGAGGAAAACGAAATTTATCAAGGTATGATGGTTTTTCTTATCTTGCTGTAAAGGCCTTAGAATAGTTCACCTGCAAAAAAAAAGAGCTACCCATGCAGCTACTGTAGTCTTTTCCTTGAATTAATCTCAGTACTAAATCCTATTCCTCAAAATTAGGAAATATGAGTTAGGGTTTTTAATTTTTTTAAGTATTTCTTTTACATTATGGTGTTTTCTTGAAGGTCATTGTGAGTTACTTTATGGTTTCATGTTTCAATTTGATTCCAATTTTACATGTTAGTTTCAAAATGGAAATATATTTATTCTCTTTTCTGGTTACCAAAGTAGTACATGCTCATTGTTAAAAAAAAAAAAAAAAAAAAAGCAAAATGAAATTAACAAACTCTGACCTGATTGCATCATCTGCTGGAAAGTGGGAATTTCCATTTGGACACCTCATATATGAAACAGAAGCAGCTGGATGGCACAATCCCAAAATGGGCTCCATATGTGTAGTAGATCATCTCCACCGACCTGTACTTATGCAACCAAGTCCAGTTTATTACCAGCTAACCAGCAGCACTCAGAGACTGTGCTTCCTTAATATGGGACAGAAACATGTGCAGTGTTCTGGCTTTGCAAGACCTACTTCATTTTCTCTACCATGAACCTCATTCTCCAGTGCCTAGACTGTGTAATTCGGTTTTGTGTTTGGCAGTAAAATTATTTCACTCAGTGCTCAGCATTTGAAGTCTGAATCTTTTATTTTCTTTAACAAGACGTTTTTATGAGCTTCTTGCCAATTTTAACCTCTGCCTCTTGTCATTACCTGTACCGGACTTTTCCTATTTTTTCATTTTCATCATTTTATGTGTTCATCTTTTAAATTTTTATTTGTAGGAGTACTATCCTTTTGTGAAATATGTTCAAGCTTTTATTTCAATTTGTTATTTGTTTACTGTGTATATTTTCGTACATAATATTTTACATATTTATAGAGTGTATTAGTCCATTTTCATACTGCTATGAAGAAATACCTGAGACTGGGTAATTTATAGAGAAAAAGAAGTTTAATGGACTCACAGTTCTACATTGCTGGGGAGGCCTCATAATCATGGTGGAAGGCGAAAGAGGAGCAAAGCCACATCTTACAGTAGGCAGTAGGCAAGAGAGTGTGTGCAGGGAAACTGCCCTTTATAAAGCCATCAGATCTCATGATTACTCACTATCACAAGAACAGCATGGGAAAACCCTACCCCCATTATTCAATTACCTCCCACCAGCTCCCTCTCATGACATGTGGTAATTATGGGAGCTATAATTCTAGATGATATTTGGATGGCAACAGAGTGAAACCATACCATGAAGTAAATGTGATATTTTGTTACATGCATAAAATGTGTAATGATCAAGCCAGCATATTTGAGGTGTCCATCACATTGAGTATTTATCATTTCCATGTGTTGAAAACAATTCAAGTCCTCTCTTCTAGCTACTTCCAAGTATAAAATACATTGTTGTTAACTATAGTCACTCTCATCTGCTGTCAAACAACAGAACTTATACCTTTTATCTGTTATGTT
This sequence comes from Homo sapiens, assembly GCF_000001405.40. Lineage (NCBI taxonomy): Eukaryota > Metazoa > Chordata > Mammalia > Primates > Hominidae > Homo > Homo sapiens. The sequence goes on along the minus strand of NC_000003.12, from coordinate 18,301,606 downwards.
TGGATCTGTTAACCTACCTTTCTTTATACCCACTTCCTACCCACCCATTCCTCCTAGCCTCTATTATCTATCATTCTACTTTCTACCTTTATGAGATTAACTTTTTTTAGCTCCTACATATGAGTACATGTGATATTTGTCTTTCTATGCCTGCGTTATTTCAACTAATATCATGGCCTCCAGTTCCATCCATATTGCTGCAAATGACATGATTTCATTCTTTTTATGGTAGAATATTATTCTGTTGGGTAGATATATCACATTTTCCTTATCTATTTGTCCATTGATGGACACTTATGTTGACTCCATATTTTTGCTATTGTGAATAGTACTGCAATAACTATGCGAGTGCAGGTATTCCTTTGTTATACTGATTTCTTTTCCTCTGGATAGATACCCAGTAGTGGAATTGCTGGATTGTATGATACTTCTATTTTTAGTTTGTTGAGAAATCTCCTTACTGGCTGAACTAGTTTACATTCCCATCAACAGTGTGTAAGAGTTCCTTTTTCTCCACATCCTTGCCGGCATCTGTTATTTTTTATCCTTTAGATAATCATTCTAACTGGGGTAAGATGAGTATCTTATTGTGGTTTATTTACATTTCCCGGATGATTAGTGATGTTGAACATTTTTTTATATACCTGCTAGCCATTTGTATGTTTTCTTGTGAGAAATGCCCATTCATGTCTTTTGCCCACTTTTTAATGGGATTATTTGTTTTTATATTGTTCAATTGTTTGAATTCCTTGTATAATCTAGATATTAGTCCCTTGTCAGATGAATAGTTTTCAAATATTTTCTACCATTCAACAGGTTGTCTCTTCACTCTGTTAATTGCTTTCTTTGCTGTGCAGAAGCTTTGTAGTTTCATATAGTCCCAGTTGTCTATTTTTGTTTTAGTTGTTTGTGCTTTTGCAGTCTTAGCCATAAAATCATTGCCTAGACCAATGTGTTGAAGTGTTTTCCTCATGTTTTCTTCCAGCAGTTTTATAGTTTTGGGTGTTACATTTAAGTATTTAATCCATCTTCTTTGATTTTTTATATGATGAGAGATAGGAGTCCGGTTTCATTCTTCTGCACAAGGATATCCAATTTTCCCAGCACCATTTATTGAAAAGGGTATACATTCTCCAATGTATGTTCTTGGCACCTTTGTCAAAAATCGGTTGGCTCTAAATATGTGGATTTACATATACTGATCCATTAGTCTATTCTGTTTCATTGGTCTAATTTTAATTTTATTTTTAATTCTAATTTTAGATGCATATGCTGTTTTGGTTACTGTAACCTTATATTTTGAAGTCAGGTAGTGTGATGCCTCCAGGTTTGTTCTTTTTGCTCAGGATTGCTTTGGCTATTCTGACTCTCTTTTGGTTCTATGTGAATTTTAATATCGTTTTTTCTATTTCTGTGAAAAATGACATTGGCATTTTGATATGGATTTCATTGAGTCTGTTTATTGCTTTGGGCAATATGCTCATTTTAACAATATTGATTCTTCCAATCCATGAGCATGGGATGCCTTTCCATTTGTTTGTGTCCTTTTCAATTTCTTTCATCAGTGTTTTGCAGTTTTCCTTGTAGAGATCTTTCACCTCCTTGGTTAAATTTATTCTCAGATTTTTTGTAGTTATTCTAAATGGTATTGATTTCTTGGTTACTTTTTCACCTATTTCATTATTGGTGTCTAGAAATGCTACGGATTTTTGTATGTTGATTTTGTATCCTAGAATTTTACTAAATTTCTTTATCACCTCTGAGAGTTTTTTTGGTGAAGTCTTATGGTTTCTCTAAATATAAGATCCTGTTATCTGCAAAGAGGGACAATTTGACTTCCTATTTTCCAATTTGAATGTATTTTATTTCTTTCTCTGGCCTGATTGCTCTGACTAGGACTTCCAGTACTATGCTGAATAGGAGTGGTGAAAGTATGCATCCTTGCCTTGTTGCAGTTCTTAGAGGAAAGATTTTCAACTTTTTCCCATTCAGTATGATGTTAGCTGTGGGTTTTTCATAGATGGCCTTCATTATTTTGAGATATAGTCCTTCTGTGCCTAGTTCATCAAGACTTTTTATTATGAAGGAATGTTGAATGTTTGCAAATGCTTTCACTGCATCTATCGAGATGATCATATGATTTTTGTCTTTCATTCTGTTGATGTGATGAATCATGTTTACTGATTCATGTATGTTAAACTGTCGTTGCATCTCTGGTATAAATCCTATTTGATCATGGTATATTACCTTTCCTATGTGCTGTTAATTCAATTTGCTAGTATTTTGTTGAGGATTTTTGCATCTTCATAGACACGTTGGCCTGTATTTTGTTGTTGTTGTTGTTGTCTTTGTCTGGTTTTAGTATCAGGGTAATGCTGGCCTCATTGAATGAGTTATGAATTCACAGTCATATCACATGAATTCTTTTCCTGACCAATTTTTTGGAATAGCTTGAGGAGGATTGGTATTAGTTCTTCTCAGTATGTTTGGTAGAGTCTGACAGTGAATACATTCAGTCCTGGGCTTTTCTTCATTTGAAGACTTTTTATTACAAACTCAATCTTGCTACTCATTATTGTTCTGTTCAGATTTTCTGTTTCTTCCTGATTCAATCTTAGTAGGTTGTATGTTTCTAGGACATTATCCATTTTCTCTAGGTTTCTCAGCTTGTTAGTGCATATTCACAACATTTCTGATTATCTTTCATATTTCAGTGGCATTAGTTGTAATGTCTCCTTTTTACTTCTTATTTTATTTCAGTCTTCTCTCTTTTTTTCTTGGTTAGTCTAATTAGTGGTTTATCAATTTTATTTATTTTTGAAGAACCAATCTTTAGTTTCATTGATTCTTTGTGTGTGTGTGTGTGTGTGTGTGTGTGTGTGTGTGTGTGTGTGTGTATATATATATATACATATACATATAGTTTCCATTTTATTTAGTTCTGGTCTTTATTCTTTCTCTCTTCCTGCTATCACTTATTTCCTTCTTCTCATTTTGGATTTGGTTTGTTCTTGCTTTTCTGGTTCCTTGAGGTGCATCATTAGATAGTTTATTTAAAATATTTCTAATTTTTGATGTAGACATTTATTGACATCAATTTCCCTTTTAGTACTGCTTTTGCTGTATGCCAGAGGTTTTGGTATGTTGTGTCTCCATTTTCATTTGTTTGAAGAAACTTTTTTATTTCCATGTTAATTTCTTCATTGACAACTATAGTTCATGAGTGTGTTATTTAATTTCCATGTATTTGTATAGTTTCCAAATTTCCTTTTAGTATTCATTTATAGTTTTATTCTATTGTGGCCTGAGAAGATAGTTGACTTGATATATATGTTTTAAAATTTGTTGAGACTTCTTTGTGGTCTAACAGATAGTCTGTCCTGGAAAACATTCCATGTGCTAAGGAGAAGAATGTGTATTCTGCCATTGTTAGATAAAATGCTCTTTAAATGCCTGTTAGGTCTATTTGGTCTGAACTCTAGTTTAAATGCAATGTTTCTTTATTGATTATCTGTGTAGATAATCTGACTAATGTTGAGAGTGGGGTGTTGACGTCCCTGTTATTGGATTGGAGTCCATCTCTGTCTTTAAATCTAGTAATATTTGCTTCATAAATCTAGGTGTTCCAGTATTGGGTATATATGTTTAGAACTGTTATTTCCTCTCTCTGGATTGATAATTTTATCATTATATAATGATCTTGTCTTTTTTTTTTTAACTGTTTTTGGTTTATTGTCTGTTTTATCTAAGTATAGCCACTCCTGCTTGTTTTTGGTTTCTGTTTGTATGGAACAGCATTTTCCATCTTTTTACTTTCAGTCATTACATGTCTTTACAGGTGAAGTGCACATTTTGTAGGCAGCATATAGTTGAATCATGGTTTTTATCCATTCAGTCAGTCTATAGCTTTTAAGTGGAGAGTTTAATCCATTTACATTCAAGATTATTATTGATATGTGAGGTTTTGTATCTGTCATATTGTTTTCTGATTGTTTTGTATAGTCTTTGTTCCTTTCCTTTTCTCTTATTGTTTGTTATTGTGGTTTGGCAGTTATTTGTGGATGTGTCATTTGAGTCCTTTCTCTTTCTCATTTATGTGTTTGCTTTACCATTTTTATACTCTTAAGTGTTTTTATAATGGTAAATCTCATTATTTCACATCCAGGTTTAGGACTCCCTTGAACATTTTTTGTAGGGCTGGTTTACTAGTGATGAATTCTCTCAGCTTTTGCTTGTCTGGGAAAGACTATTTCTCCTTCATTTAGTAAAGATATTGTTGCTGGGTATAGTATCCTTGGCTGGCAGTTTTTTCCTTCCATTTCAGCACTTTGAATACATCATCTCATTCTCTTGTGGCCTGTCAGATTTCTGATAATAAGTCCATGGTTAGTCAGTTAGGGGTTTCCTTATAGGTGACTAGATGCTTTCCTCTTGCTGTTTTTGGGATTCTCTCTTTGTCATTGACTTTAGACATCTTGTCTGTAAAGTGCTGCGGAGAAGACCTTTTTGCATTGTATTTGTTTGGGTGTCATTGGGCTTCCTGTATCTGGATGTCTAAATCTCTTGTTAGACTTGCAAAGTTTTCTTCTATTATTTCATTAAATAGGTTTTTGTATCCTTTTGTTTTTCTCTTCACCTTCTGGGATACCAATAATTCAGGTATTTGGTTGCTTTATGGTGTTGCACATATCATGAAGGCTTTGTTCATTCCTTTTTTATTCTTTTTTAAAATTTTTGTCTGAGTAGGTTATTTCAAAAGACCTATCTTCAAGTTATGAGATTCTTTCTTTTTTTTGATCTAGTCTATTGTTGGAGCTTTTGAATGTATTTTGTCATTCAGTCAATGAATTCTTCAGTTTCAGAATTTGTTTGGTTCTTTTTTGTGATATCTATCTCTTTGGTAAATTTCACATTCATATTCTGAATTTTTTTTGTACTTTTTTTTTTTTTTTTTTTTGAGAGAATTTCACTCTTGTTGCCCAGGCTGGAGTGCAATGGCACGATCTCGGCTCACTGCAACCTCCACCTCCTGGGTTGAAATGATTCTCCTGTCTCAGCCTCCTAATCTCAGTAGCTGGGATTGTAATCCTGCCAGCACACCCGGCTAATTTCTGTATTTTTAGAAGAGACCAGGTTTCATCATATTGGTCAGGTGGGTCTCGAACTCCTGACCTCAGCTGATTCATCCTCCTCAGCCTCCCAAAGTGCTGGGATTACTGGCATGAGCCACTGCATCCGGCCTGTACTGTTTTTAAAGTTCTTTTGTATTTCACTAGGCTTCTTTAAAATCAATAATTTGAATTCTTTTTCCAGGAGTTTGTGGATTTCTTTTTGATTGGGATGTGTTTCTGAAAAATTATTTTGTTCCTTTGGATGTGTCATATTTCTTTGCTTTTTCATGTTTCCTGTGTCCTTATGTTGATATCTATGCATCTGGCGTATAAGTCGCTTCTTCCAGTTTTCTGAATTTGCTTTTGTAGGGAAGGACTTTTTCCTAAGGATGAATCTATGGTGTTAGTTGGCTAAGGCACTCTGGCTTTGATTCTTGGTGTATGCAGGAGAGTTGTCTCTGCGTGATTTGTTTGTCTGTAAACAGCGTCAGTGGTATTTTATATTTACTTGGTGGCTTAGAGTGCAGTTATTAGTAGATGCTGTGTGCAGTTTTCCTGGCAACTGGGATGCCAGATAGGTCAGGCTTTGGGCCTCAGTGATGGGTAGAATGTGCCTGTCTTAAAAGAGAAGCTGGCATGGCATGGGCAATGGCAATGGCAATGGCAGTGGCAGTTGTAGGACAACTCTCTGGTTCCTGATCACTGTGTGCTGGTGCTGGCAGTGGCTGAATGGCTGAACAAGTCAGTCTCCAGGCCCACAGGTGGCAGTGCAACTAGGTGATAGTGGCCCAGTTTAGGCCCAACCTCAGGTCCCTGGGAGGAGTGTTCAGGTACCATTGGTGGTGGACTAGGCTGGGCAATCCCCCGGTCCCTGAACTCTGTGCTGCTCTGTCATGGCAGAGGAAGGAAGGATGAAGCTGGGGCAGGCTGTCTTGCCCTCAGACCCCTTGATAATGTGTATAGGAACTGGCCATGGTATGCAGGGGTAGGGTAATTCCTAGGCAATCAGTGGAATGTTCAGGTAGGGGGTGGCAGTGGCCATGCTGCTGCTCTGCCACTGGGGGGCAGTGCTATCTTCAGTGATGGCAACCTAGACTGGCAGGTGGGGAGTGTGCATACCACTCATGCCTCAGCCCTGGGTGTGGTAGCCTGCAGTTACTCATGCCTAAGCCAGCTCTTTTCTTGCACCTCAGCCTCAGCGCTGCTGGGCTTCAGGATAGTGTGCAGCCTGTTGGGGATGGAATTCTAAAATGGCACCTTGCCATTGCTGCTTAGGTCTCAAAGAATGTGAGGGACCCAGCACAAGCTTTCCTCCCTGGCACAGTGCTTGTGGTACAATTCCTTGTCAGCTCCCTACATTAGTTTCAGGGCCTGTGAGGGTTGAGGGGTTCTTCCATGGCTAGGACTGGAGTCCAGGGTGAGAATGTGGACTGCTGAGGGTCTCTCACTCTTTCCCCCATATTGGGGAGTCTCTCTCAGCTCCCAGCTAAGCCAGCCAAGTAGGCTGCCTTGCTTCTTTCTCCTTCCTTGCTTTAGGTATTGCCTGTCACTTATATGTTGAATTCCAGTGTTTTCTCTTGGATGATCTATTTAAAGTGTGATTATCTACTTGCTATTTTTGTTCTTCTTAGTGGAGGAAGCAAGTATAAAATGCCCCTAGTTAGCCAACTTGGAGCCTCTTATTGTGTACTTTTTTACATAAAGACTCAACTTTGAAAAAAATAGTTAAAACTGCCAATTCTTTCCAAAGTATACTATTTTTGTGTGCTTTTTTTTTTCAACTTTAGGGAAAATGTTTTTAAAATTTGCACTTAGTATACCTGAAATTCCATTTAATTTATAATAATTTTCACTTTATATATGTGGTTGTAATTGGAATTGGTACAGGGAGGTTTATAATTTTTACATTTTCTTTACCAAATATATCCTGTATTGATGTAAAATGACCCTCTAAGACAAGGACATCCTTTACATGTTGCACTGAATTCTACTTTGCCTAATATTAATTAAACAATATGGTTTCCTTGATCAGCACTTATTAAACATATTTTAATCTGTACTTTAATGTTTAGTGGTACAGCTTTGTGTCCGTTTTTGATGTATGCCATTGTCAGCAGATAGTGGGATTTTGGTTTTGATCAAATATAAATCTTGGCTTTTAATATGGTATTTTAATCAATTAATTTTTTTACAAAATAAATATTTGCTTTTTAACTATCATTTTATCCATGTGATCTATTTTATGCGTCATTTTTTCACTTTTTTCTGACTTTTGCTATCAAAACTATATTTCCATATTTCATATTTTCCAAGCTTTGTAAAGATAGCTTCTGATTTTTAATTCCATTAATAGTTATAATTAACAATTTCAAAATGCATATTTAATCTATATTTCTCTAATTTTCAAAACCTTAGAAAAACAACAAAATTTGAGTTTTTTCCCACCCCACATCAATCAAAGTTCAGTACACTTTTTCACATATACCTCACTTTTCAGTCTTTCTTAGTATAAGATTTTAGATGCCCAGTATTATATATATACACACACTATATATATCTATAGTTATAAATACTATATATAGAGTTATACATTATATATACTATATTACTATGGATATATACCAACTATATCTTTAATTTTGAAAATAATTATTGACAATTATAATTATTTAATAGCTAGTCTTCAATAATATTGTAATGCTTTATACTTACTGTTACAGTTAATTGGCAGTACTTACTGCTTTTTGTATCCATCTTTTTTCTTGAGTGTTGTTTCTTTACTAAGTTATTTTTAAAATATCATCAATTTTTTCCAAGAAGGGCATATGTGGGGTGTATTTTAAGAACTCTTGAGTATCTAAGAATGTCTTAACTCTATATAAAATCATTGAGTCAGAATATTTTCTCCAAATTCAGTAGATATGCATTTACAGATATCTGCCATTTAGTGTTGTGGAAGAGAAGTCTGATCTATTTTTATTTTTGTTCTCTTAAGTAACTTTTAGGTAGAATGCTTATTATCAGCACATAACTCTTTTTAATATATTTTACATATAATAATTTTTGCATCAACATAATATATAGGTAGTTTTAAAATGATGGCAAGGTATGTCAGCTATCTATTTCAGCATTTTTAAATTACCCTCAAATTTGGGGGCTTAATGAAAACAGACATTCGTTATCACTTCTGTGGGTCAGAATCCAGTAGAGGCTTAGCTGAGTAATTTTGACTTAGCATCTCTGATGAGGTTGCAGTCAAGGTATTGGCTAGAGCTATAGTTATCTGAAGGCCTGCGTGGAGCTGAAGGATCCACTTCTAAGATGGTTCACTCACATTGGCTATTGGCTGGAGGCCTCAGTTCCTTACTCGTTCTCATCTGGATGCTTTTGTTCTTTACCACATAGAACTATTTTATAAAGCAGCTGACTCCCCTCAAAGCAAGTGAAAAGAAAGAGAGAGAGAGAGACAGAGAGAGAGAGAGAGAGAGAGAGAGAGAGAGAGAGAGACAGAAGCTGTGGTGTCTTTTATGTTCTAGTCTCTAAGTCACAAACTGTCGTTTCCAGAAGCAAGTTAGAAGCAAGTCACTACTAAATCTGGTCCATTCTCAAGGGAAGAGAAACTAAGCTCTTGAAGGGAAGAATATAAAATAACATGTGGCCATGTTTTCTTAAAGCATCACACAGAATAAGTTCAGTTATGGGTATGAATTCACCGATTTTTTTCCCTGCAAATTAATAGCTCATGAAATCTTTTTTTTTGAAAGACTTTTTCTCAATAATATTTTTGGTGTTTTTTTCTGTTGTATTTGCTTAAGATTTTCTTCATGAATTCTAATTATTCAGATAGATACATAGATAGATAGATAGATCAGCTTTCTGTTCTTTATAGTTATATCTTTTTTGTAACTTTCATATCTGTGTTCTTTTCCTCTGCAATCTGGTAAAGGATCCCAAGTTTGTGCTCTACACCAACTCTGCTCTTTCTGACCTCAAATATCATTTTAAATTCCCTGTTGCATTTTTAAATATATCTGCAATACTTTCACATCTCATCCACATCCGTTTTTCCCTAATACTGTTGTCTTTTTGTGTCAACTTATTGGCTTTCTTCCTGGGTTATTCTCACCATGCACATTTCAGCCCCTCTTCATCAAAGTAATTTTTTCTTGTATGAATTAAAGATGCCAAAGAGTTTCAAGATTTTCTTCTGAACTAGAAGCTGATAATTTTTGTAGTTACACTTGTCATTTGAACCTTCCAGATTGGCATTATTTTCTTAGGCCAACTGGTGCTTTCTTTTCACTTTCTTTATAATATTGTCATATGTCAACAAATAAGATATATGGATTCCCTTGGTTCTGTCCACTTGCAGACAGATGGCAAAATTCCTTGTTCATCATAACAACTAAAGGGCAGGTTGATGAGTTTACTCCAAGTTCAATATCTACTTCCTAGAAGGTGCTCATCTATTGCAGCTTTACTTTATTGATATGGCATCTTCTGCTGCTACTGTCTGGTTTTATGATACTGTGAACAGGTACTTTTTGATGCACATTTCCCAGCATTCTTCCTATCTCTGCCCCTAACTTAACAGATTTCTTTATAGAGCTCCGTATCCTAGGATGGGAGGTATTACCACCAGCATCCCATTTGTTTCATCAGTTGCACCTTGGGTATAACTGTTTATGTAGTGGTGTACAAAAAAGAGGTATCAAAAGGAAAGAGTGGCATTCTTAAGAAGAAACAGCTGTAGTGCAAAGAATAGCTTCTAATGTTCCATTTAGCGAAGATCTTGAATTCCGAGTAGGGGAAGGAGAGTGGGAATGCACATAGAGTCATTTTTCTTCTCAGAGGGCTTTTGTACTAAATACAGGAGATAAAGATTGGGCATCTCATGAGGTAAAACTTAAATAGTTTTGTTTCTTGCCCAGTTTTTTTTTTTTTTTTGCTTTGTAATTAGTAGTCCTTTGAGAGTCTAATGTTTAATTGCTAATAAATCAAAATTTTTAGAGTTTCTATGAGCTTTCATTATTTTCTGGTCTTTATAGTTGTTTTGTTTTAGTTGGAAATTAGATAAAGTTGTATTCTGGTGATCAGCCAGAATGGAATTTTAACCTGGAACTATCTCACGGTATTATTTACAGTAGCAAAAAATAAAATACTTTGAATGCCCAACAATAGAGGATAAACCAAATAAATTAAAATGTCTCGTTGTGAAAGAACACTTTGCAGTCATTAGAAATCATACTGTTGAAGCATATTTAGTGGTATAGGAAAATAATCACAATTTATCATTTGGTGAAAAAAAATTGCAGAACAGTATGTACAACGTGGTTCCAATTTCATAAAGTGAAAAAAAGGAGAACAAAAGAGGCAGGAGAGATATATAACATTCATGGAGGTTGTCTAGAGTGTGGGGTTTGTGGTAACCTTCATGTGTTATTTTGAACTTTTTTTCTTTATTTCTTTAAAATTCTTAAAATTTTATATATTTTTAAATGTTTTTATTAACATATGCATTACTTACCAAAATAAAAAAAGTTCTATTTAAATTATCAGTGTATATCTGCAAGTTAATTCATTTGCAAAGATTATATCTTCTCTAAGTATTAATTATATATAGTGGTTTGGGAGTCAAAAGGGAAATATATTCCCAGGTATAGACAGAAATTTCTATATCTAATTAAGAGCAAACACGTGAGAACCACAGTGTTCTATATTTAATGTAACACTAATGAGATATAGATTTATTATCTTTTAAAGTGATTGATATATAAATATTCTAAAGTGTGCATGCACCCACATATGTGGCGTGTCTTCTAAAATTGATTTGAGGGTATTCAATGGCCACCTTAATAGGATACTGGTATCCTATAGCTGTAATAAGGCAACGTCTGGCCACAATAAGAAAGACCAATCAATAGCCACAGTGTAGTCCCTGGACCAGCAGCAACAGCATCACTTGGGCTCATATTTCAAATGCAAGTCCTCAAGCTTCACCCTAGACCCACTGAATCAGAAACTCTGTGTTTTAACAAGCCCCCCAGATGATTCTAACATGTGTCAATCTGACAGACACTGCCATGGTCATGGTAATGTGAACATTACCAAAAGAGCAAAAGACTTTTACAGGTGTGGTCACAAAGAAACAAGAACACTCTGAGGCAGAAACCTCTCTGATACTCAGCAAGATGACTATTCAAAAGACATGATTGACTGTGAGTGCCAGATTGAACAATAGGAAAGTGAGAACTTGATCTTATTTCCTTTGTAGTTCTGGTAAGCCACATGTATTTATTGTGGAAAATAAAGAAGAACAAAAACTATAATGTGTATTATAAAGTTCTTGTGAACCCATCAGTTTAATTTGTACACCCATCATAACGTAAGAAATAGCAGGGTCCCAGAAGTATGTTACCCTGTGCTTCAGTAGAAATGATTTGCCAGCACTCCAGCCCTGTGGAAGAAGGGTGCTGATGTCAAGGAGCCACATCTAAGGTCATTTGTTGGACCACACTGCTTAGTGTTGGAAAGATTGAAGGTGTGAGAACTCAGAGACCTTAAAGCAGGATGGATATTCCCAGTCTCCCTTTCTTCTTACATGTGGTTGGCGTGGTAGAGGGGCCCTGGGCTACCTCGCATTTGGGAAGAGGCATCTTTGTGGTGAAGCCTGAGCTAAAATGGTTAGATGCATCTGCTATAGACTTTATAAAGAAAATCTCTTTCTTCCACTTCCTTATTTGTGATGTCCTTTGCTAGCTAGTGGGCTAGTGATGATGTATGTGACTGGGATATGGATGTAGGTCCAGGTGAAAGGGGCCAAAAAGGGCACTTGCCTTAGGCTTACAGGTAATTCAGGTACTGGGAGTCTTCTCTTTAATAGGTTTGCCAGATTTAGAAAAAACAAAACAAACAACAAAACCCCTAATGCCCAGTGAAATTTGAATTTTAAATAAACAACAAATAATCTTTTAGTATAAATATGTCCCATGCAGTATTTAGGACTTCCTATATACTATAGAGTATAAGTTTTCCTTATATAAAATATAATAAATATTTTATATGTATAATATATATGTTATTTTAGTATAATTATAATTTCATAATTATACTTGCATATCCTATGTCACTAGATGATTGGATATTTTGGGGGGGGGTTGGACTATACATTATACCTCTAGCATGCAATATTTGGGACATACTACTAATACCACTTATTTGTTGTTCATCTGAAATTTGAATTAATGGGGTGTCCAGTATTTTATCTGGCAGCCCTACCAGGTACACTTGGCTCACTGGGAGACTCCATTAGGATTGAGACAAAAGCCTTATGAGAAAAAAAAAATATTTAACCTGAATATTCATCCTCCTTCAGGAACGTGGCCTAGTAATAGGCAGATGGCTAGAGATTTGAGTGTTTAGTGCTCCTGTAACCCAGAAACCCTGAAGCTATCTTAATATGATTCAACCAGTAGTGGAACAGCCAACCAGCTATACATTTGAAGTCATTTTTTTTCTTGAGTAATTTCCTAATTTCTCATGAAGTTGACCCTCAAGGAGGTGAGATTGTGGTGGAGCTAATTCTTTTTCATGACCCATTATCAATTTCTTGAGAGAAATATATTTTTTTGGTTCACTAACTGCAGAAAATACAACCATAGTTCTTCTGCATACAATTTCCAAGTGGAAGTAACAGCATTGCTGATAAATGGGTCCATCACTAGGACTAGCAGACAAATTTCAGCCAGGAGCTCAGGAAAGCAATTGTGATTTATACTTGATTTTTACATTCCTATGTCCGTGACAGTTTACCTAAAGCAAACAACAACAAAAAAGACTTTCAAAAAAAGAAAAATGTCATTTATGAAAAAAAAATCAAGTCCAAAGCTCATCAAAGAAGGCTAAAGGAATTTATTTCATGTTCTCCAACTTGGCCTATTTGTCAGTTTGGAGGCACAGTTCTATGCAAAGGTTTTGTGTACTGCTGGTTTTCAGCTAGGGAAGTTGTGTATGAGCTATTGCTCCTCTCCCAGGTGAGAACAGGTGTACACCACTTTAAATTTCCCGTGGCTCTGATTGCATCATTTGTTATATTATCCAACATAATGACATGAAATACGTAAATAATAAAATGCCAGTTGCCTGCTGAAAATTTAAAGTGGCAGATCCTCTTTCTTCCATTGGAGAGGCTGCTATCTCTTGATGGGGCTTTCACCACTGAAAAATGACGATCAAGCTGAAGGGAGCCACAGGGAAAAACTTATTCCCCTGGGTAATAAAGTGAATACAAAAAGGAACAGCAGGACATTGCCCCATCTCCATTCCACACAACTGGCATATCTTCCTGCAGTTATCATATGCTTGACAGAACAGGTTAACTTTAAAGAATGCATTTAAATTGTAAGACTGTGGAAGGGAGTATATGCAAAGGTTAAATGCTCTGCTCTTAAGAACGGTGAAAGAAGTTGCAGCCTTTTCCACTGTTTGTTTGTTTAAATATATATGGTTACTTTTGCTTGCTTTTTTATCCAAGTGTCAATTTGAAAGGTAAGTGTTCATTTTGGGTAGAATCTATAGTTCCAGGAGTGGAGTGCAGAAACATAATATGTTGATTAAAGTATTTCCCACAGATTTGGGAATACAAGGCAAAACTCTTCCAAGTTGATTCTACATACTGTTTGTTTTGCTACCTAAGTTCTTTAAAAGCCCAGAAAATTTCCCTAAACTTGGGTAACATTATCATCAGATTTCCATATGTAGCATTAACAAAATGGGCCAGGCACGATGGCTCATGCCTGTAATCTCAACACTTTGGGAGGCTGAGGCAGGAGGATTGCTTGAGTCTGCGAGTTCAAGACCAGCCTGGTCAACAGAATGAGACCCTGCAATGTAAAAATTGCATTTTTAATTAACCTTAGCTATTTTGTAAAAAAAATTAGCTAAGCATGGTGGCACACACCTGTAGTTTCAGCTATTCAGGAGGCTGAGGTGGGGCAATTGCTTGAGCGCAAGAGGTTGAGGCTGCAGTGAGCTTTGATTGTGCTGTTGCACTCTAGCCTGGGCAGCAGAATGAGGCCCTGTCTCAAACAAAAAACCAAAATGAACCACCATTTTTTATTCAGTTGCATTCAACACAAACATATGAAGCACCCATTTTGGAAGTTTTGTGTGAAGTACAAGGAGTATGATTGCATTGAGTTGAGTGAATAAAACAGTTTCTGCTCCCAAAGGCCTTACAGTCCTGTCGATCATTTTAATATGAATTTAGGATTTCAAATCTATGATGCCATTTACAGCCAAGAGATAAAGAAGCTTCATAAAACAACCATTATTCACCTCTAATTTTCTTTTAAAAAGAACAAAAGATATAATTTTCAGCTAGTGTTTAAACGATTGGTACAGAAATGACAATTGAAGTCTAACTCAGCAAATGTCTCTAGATGCTAATACTAGGTCAAGAATTGTAAGGGATAAACATATATATGGAATATGAGAATAAATAACCCATTAACAAAGTAATGTTTGTCCTAACCAATACTGTTGGGCTTTTGTTCTGGACCAGAAAAAAAATAGATATACAAAATATATTCTGGAGACCCTACAGGAGACAGAAACAGTGTGGTGCAGGACTTAACGGGGGATTTGGCTATGGAGCAATTGCTGGTGTGTTGGATAAGGAATGGATGCCAGCACTGAACACAGTTATGAGAATTGCCAGCTCAAACTATTATCTGCTTATGAATTAAGAATGCATTTTGATGGAGCTCTGCTAATTTGCCTAAAGGAATGAGAGTGAGGGCCATAGGAATAGAAAAAGCTCCCAGATTGGTGAGATACTGATGACCTCAACTCTATGTCAGTTGTAGTTGAATATGTATGTGGGAGGAGAAAACATTATGTATTTATATTGTTACCATTCTGGGCAGTGTTTTGGATGGTGCACCATCTGACTATAACTATTCTGACTTAAAAACTTGTCATTTACAACAAAAGTGAAAATGAAGTTTTGAGATATTTATTCAGAACTATCATGGTGTCTTATGTCCTTTTCTTCATATATGTTAGCATTCCTTCTATGCTCTGTTTACCCTTCCCGTCCCTCCACTTTCAACTTACTCCTTCTCCCTCTAGGTAAGAGAGTAAAAACGTATGATGAACTGTTGAAGGCTTAAAAGTGTAAATCTGGATTAATGAAATGTAAATGGTATTTCTCCTAAAATTGAATGGTTACACAAAGTTTCATTATGATTATATATATACATGTCTTATCTCACTTATGTCTATTTTTGAGGGCAATGATTTTACTTTATACCTCTATGACCCCTCTACTATGCCTTAAGAACAATAGAAGCTCACTAAGTGTTTACTGGATAAATAAATAAATGAATAATTCTAGAGAATCGTTCACAGTCCTATTGCAAAATAATACACAATACCATATGCTTCTATGAATTGGATTTTTTTTAAAAAACAACAACTAAGGAACAAAAGTACCAAAATTTGTGCACCTACAACAAATAGTGCTTTCTAGTTCCAAACATGCCCAATTAATCACTATTGTTATTATAACAGATCTCAATCTTACCATCAACATGGTAGAGCATCAACTCAAGTTTGTAGAATGAGCTGGTCTTTTTCCTCAAATCCTGGCTCCACTTGATCATAGTCCTTCTATTCAAAGAGTTCACACTTCACAGTATAATTAGAGCTGTATATAACTAGTTCTGATACGCTTGGATGGTAGAGGCCAGATACTAGAAAATAAAATAGTTAAGCTATGGTGCTTGAAATCAGATGTTCGTGGATTTGAATCTCAGCTCTGCTAATTGCTAGCAACTTGATCTTGGCTTTCATTTCCCTTGTTTGTAAATGAGAGAAAATGATTGTGAGAATTAAGTTAGATAGGCGTATAGAGTACATGACACACAGTAAAAGCTTTTATGTGTTAATGTTATAGAATATTGGGAAAGACATGATCAATTTTTGTGATGAAAATTGGATGTAAATTTTGGGCAAGGCCTTAAAGGATGAGCAGGGATTTGTTTTATTTTATTTTGTTTTAGACATAGAAATAAGAGAACAAGATTCCAGACACAGGAAACCGCAGAAGCAAAGGCACTCAGGTTAGAAAATATATATGTTCAGAGGCCAAAAGGCCATCCACATACAGTGCCTATAACACAGTGAAGAGTACACAGGGATGGCCGGGAGGACATTCAAAGCCATGGCTTGTTCATAGAATAGATAATGCTTAGAACCTATCTCCTGACTTTCAATGAATGAGTTCTTTAATAAATACCAGTCTCCCTGAACCTAAAATTTAAATTTCCAACAGTTTTTAGTATCTCCAAGGAAGTTAAAATTCAGTCAACGCAGATTGCTGGGTAGAGAGGATCTTTATTCAACCCCCTGAAAGCCAAGAGCCTACCTGTTCTGGGTGAATATTAAAGCCTTCTCAGCATGCGCCGACAATGAGGACAGATGTTGCTGCCAATATTTTTAGACAGAATTCAGAGACCTGCTAAGAATTCTGAGCAGCTGAGCATTTCACTCTCCATATAGGCTATTAGTCATCCCACAGACATATCTTTAAATGCCCTAGTATGAAGTTTGCTCATCTTGATCCTGCAATTCCAACATCAGCTGTTTGTGGATGGTTACTTAGTAATTGTGATTTAAAGAAGTGCAGTGGGGTCCATTTAGAGTGGACCATCCTATTTATAGACAGGAAGCCCAGAATTACTGCCATGCTTTGGGAAAATTATAGTTCTTCTTATAATGACTTCTTACTTTTCATTACATTTGGCTTGGGGAAAATAACAACTGTTAAGTTTTTAACTCGGTTTTTTTGATTCTCTCTGTAGGAGTGCAGTGATTAGCATAAAATGTTCAATAGTATATGGATGCTTAGCATAGTAGGTGTTCCATGGCATATGGTAGGCATATTTTCAATAAACATTTGTTGAATAAATGAATGAATGAATAAAATCGGCTGACCTATACTTTTAAACTGTATCTCAGGATGTGTGAATCATTGGTTAAAGATGACACCTGTGGCTACGCTACTCTATGGAAAAATGAACCAGGATATGTTCTAGAGAGATTCATGGGCTGGTGTCAGTTTACTGACCTTGAACTAGTCATGTAACTTCTTTTATTTCCTCTTCAGAAAAATGAAGGATTTGAACTCAATGACAACTCATATCCCTTGTAGCTCAAAAACCCTATGATCCAAATTCTGGTTTGGCTGACGCCAGAAGACATAAAATGGTCTCCTGTAACACTGTCCAAAGTTGAATTATTTTGTTTCACATTTGAAGCATTGCAATCCATCTTAATTTTTTAATAAAAATAATGTTTCCTTTCATGGTTTGCAGCCTTGTTTGAATTTTTTCTTTTACACTCCCCTTGCGTTTAGTATATATTTTTCTTATACTGAGTCATTTTTAATTCTGGTGTTTCCCTCTCTAGCCAGGGAATCCTGAGAGGCAGAGTCCATGCTTTATTCATCTTTGTATCCTGTAAGCACCTAGCACAATGCCATGCATAACGGAATCCATTTTTTTTTTTACAATCCCAGTGTTATTTGTTTAGCAGTCATCCTGGAATAATGGTTCCACCCTAATTTGTGGGTTTAATAAAATGCAGCTGCTGCAGCAGCCAACCCATTTTATCTCTCCCTCCCTCATTAGGTTCTAGCCACGTGGCTGCCTTTTGATTCCTCAAAAATGCCAGTTTGTTCTGGCTTCTGGGACTATGTCCTATCTGAAATGCTTTTTCCTGAGGTCCTCATTCAGGCTTCAGGACTAAGGGCACCAACTCAGAGAGAAATTTCCTGGCCACCCACTCTAGGTTGCCACTCAGCAAATGTTGCCTCCTTCTTATCACACCACTACCTGAAATGACCATCGCTTAAAAACTTAATTTTGTTTGTCTTTCCCACTAGAATATAAGACTCACAAAAGCAAAAGATTGTGTCTGTCTTGTTTTTCATTCTATTGTTAAAGATTTGTGAAATAACTGGAGTGCCTTCTTCCTCCCTAGCACAACCAGCTCCCTGTCACCCTGTCACTTGCTGCTCCTTTTCACTGCTCCCCACAACGCTCTATGGCACACCTTGGTCAAGGACCATCACTCAACACTTCCATGAAAGTTTCCATGTTTTCTTTTTGCTACCTTCAGCACTATCAACCGAGACTTTCTTACATTGGTCCCATTTTATGACTAAAAATAGAAAATGTAATCTGTAAGCAAGTACAGATTTTGTCAGCGAAGAGAAAAATTCTTTGAAATTTTAATGCGATGTTACTGCTAGACATTATATGATTATAATAATGGGAATGGAGTTGAAGGCGTACCGGAAACTTACCAGTTTATGGAATAAGAGCATGCTAATAATAATTGTTATAAGACTTCATTAACACTGATACTATCCTGGGTTCTATATATAGAGGAAAGAAAAATAAATAGCTCATCATAAGGAAAGCAAATAAACTAATATTTAAAAAATAACTATAGTCTGGTGTCATAATATAATATTTTGTGTGTATTTTCAGAACAGTTTTTGGTACAATGAGATCCCTCACAGAACAGCTGCCTACAGAAAGCCCTGTTAAATAACTTATAGGCAGAAGAGTTAAGTGGAAGCAGTTTCAGACAATCCTGCTGCAGTTGCAAACTTTCCCTGAGGTTGCTGTGGCAGCCATTGGACTGTCGCTTCTCAGTTTATTTCCCACCCTTCCCTTGCTCTGCAGTGTATCACAAAGGACTGAGACATAGATTTCCCAGTTCCTTTGCCAACTGACTTTCAGTCAGACTCTGTCAATGGGAGTTCCTGGCAGGAAACTGGATGTGAAAGGAGGGTAAAATCCAATGCATTTCTTCCCGTTTCTTTGCTTTTGGCTGTATCTCCAGCAGTGGCTGCCTCTCCTCCCTGGTTCCAGCTCTCTGGAGGGAAGCCCTGGCACCTGAACTTGGGCTACACCACCTCTTCCACTTGTCCTTCCAGTGCTAGAGATGAGAACAACTTTTTGCTGTTGCTAATATCTCGGCTGTCTAGGCATCTACTATCTTCCTTTTTGTTTTTCCAATATCTTTCTAATTATTTCCTGCCATAAACTTCCCTCTATTAAATGATCTGGAGTGAGTTCTCCTGTCCTGAGTAAATACTGATGGATAAAATAGCTTAGCAGTCAATTCCAGAACTACTAGGCTATTGTATCAATTTAAAATTTAAAATTTAAATTTATGAACCCATGGTCTTTATAAAGACCTTAAGAAAGAGAAAAATGATCTTCACTAACTTGGACCATATTCTTTTCAAGTACTTTATACAATGCTTAGTCTCTATTGAAAAAAAAGTAATTGAAGTTTAAGAATGAAGGATAATTCATACATAATAACAATGAAAGCATGATTTAAATATAATAATGGGAACTTTAGCTTTTGAAAGACCCACTTAAGCATCTAATTAATAAAGGAACAAGGAAGGGCAATAGAAGGTTTTCAACACCAAGTGATTCGACTGAGAGCAAAAACAAAAATAGCTTTCTCAGAAGCCAAGAATATTTGCCTATTAAAAGGACATGGACATCTTGAAACTCATTTTACTGAATTTGAGAGCAAGCTAACTGCAAAGTCAAATGACATTCAACAAAACACTTCTAGAGAAAAGTTATAAAACTCTAAACAATATGTAGGAAAGGTAAACAAGAAGGGATTCAAAGGTTTTACTAATGGCCCCAGCCAAAAGAGTCCTCATGATACTGAAAAACAGGGCTGTGTGTTCTACTAGTGGACACAAGCTATAATGGCAGACAGGGAAAAGGAATATTGTTAGAAAACTGGAAACAAACTAGACAAAACATTATTTTAAAAATCTAATATACCTAACCCACATACTGTAAGACATAAACCTTCATTCCTTTCATGAAGATACAGCAGATTTGGCAGTTTTTATATCACCTACCATGGAATTCTCTCATTTTCAGACTACGCTTTGCGAAATACATGATCTGAATGAATGTGCCTCAAACTGAAGTTTCTAAAAAATAGTTCAACCTGAAAAACATTGCTTGTGCACATTTATTATCCTTCTCCTAACCCTCCCCAGGCTATTTCAAATCTTTCCTTTCTTCTCTGGCTTTTGCAGTGTAACTCCTGAGACCCATGAAAACACTTTCTTTTTTTTATGAATTCTTTTCTCTTTTCACAACATATCATGTTCTCATGATCTAAAAAGTTGTCATTAAAAAAGATCAGGCACAAATACATTCTGAGGAATACGT
The DNA here is from genome assembly GCF_000001405.40 of Homo sapiens. Classification (NCBI taxonomy): domain Eukaryota; kingdom Metazoa; phylum Chordata; class Mammalia; order Primates; family Hominidae; genus Homo; species Homo sapiens. Next base: position 18,281,208 of record NC_000003.12, on the reverse strand, counting down.
GATTGCTAACAATTTAAAATGTTGCCTATTCTGGAGAGAGAAGTTAAAGATATGAAGTATTAAAAAGTCACTCATTTCAATTCTAGCTCCAACACTTCATTTACTTTTTGTATGATAGGTATTAGATGAATTAATTAACTTCAATGTACCTCCATTTATTTTGCTCTTTAGGAGGATAACATAGGCATGCATCACTTAACAACAGGGATACCATCTAAGAAATGTGTTGTCAGGCAATTTTGTCATTGGCGAAAAGCATAGAGTGTACTCACACAAATGTAGGTGGTACAGCCTGCCACACACCTAGGCTATATGGTATGGCCTATTGCTCCTAGACTACAAACCTGTAAAGCATGTTACTGTACTGAATACTGTAGGCAATTGTAACACAGTGGTATATATTTGTGTATCTAAACATAGAAAAAGTACAATACAAGTATGATATAATCTTACAGGACCAGGGGCCACCATTGTATATGCAGTCAATCGTTGACTGAAACATTGTAATAATGTCTATGACTGTCCTAATAGTACTGTATTAGTCATATTTCTTAGCTGCAAACAACAGAATCTACTTTGGCTATGTTAAGGTGAGATCAAAAATTTTAAACGATATTAGGCATCTCATAGAATCTGTAGGAGTAATGAAAGAACAGGCTCAATTCTAAAGTTTCAGAAACAATGAACAATGTCCTAAGCCATGAAGAATTAAATGGATGAGGAAGATAATACAACTGTATCCCGAATCCAACTGGACAGGAATTCTTCTGCATTCACCACTGCTACCCACTTCTTCTGCCACCCATGAGAGAAAAATGGTTGTCCTTCCCCACCCATTCAGAGCCTCTTACCTCAGGCTGTTCAAATCTGAATGAAGCATGAGCAGATCATTGAAATTATGGCACATCTCCACCCTAGCTGCAAGGGAGCCTGTGGGAAGTGAATGTTTGTGTACACCTTGGGAAGGTGGGACTCATACAGGGAATCATGAAAACAACAGATGTCCATTGTTAAGTGTTCACCTCATATAATTGGAGTAAGGCATGCTTGTGATAATCCACATAAAATGTTTAGTAGTTGTTCAGTCCAGGAAACCTCTTTACCAAATAGATTTTATCAATAGTTGTAATAAGAAACTGGGAATGAACTTGTTACCCAAACCAAGCACCAACTAAAAGTTTGTCAGAAAAAACTAGCTCAACCACTATAAACTCTCACGTGATTAATTCCATAATCGCTTTAATGAGATCAAGAACAAGGACTCAGCCATTGAATATGGGGACCACAGGCTAGATATAAGGTAAGGACATAGAAAGCAGATGTGAGGATTCTGTAGGTTTATGTGAATAGATACAAGGGAAGCCTGGGAAGCAGAAATTTGAAGAGATATGAGAGAAATCAGGAGAGATATAATTGTAAATAAAATCCCACTTACAAAGATATCTTGGCCTTGTACAACTGTTTTTGTTCATTTATTTCTAGATGAAGGATATTTGTGATTGTTTATACTTTGGTTGAATGGTACTTATGAAAAGAGGCTATTATATTTAATGGCAGTCATTGAAATACAAAACATAGAATATGTAACAAAGGAAACTTAGGACCCTTATACTACTTTCCTTTCCTTGTTCAAATTCTACTTTGAATTGTACACCATTGCGTAACACAGAAGATGTTATTTTTCCAACATCAAATAAGGTAAATGGTGGTTTGCAAGAAAGCCTGGATGTTGTACAACCATTTGCTTAGCTCCTAGAAGATGTGCATATATCCTGCTTCCCTTCAGCATATGAGGCAACTTCAGTTTATTTAGCATATGAGGCACCTTCGGTTTAAAATGCAGATGTTCTTGGTTACAGTTGCTATGTGAAATGTTATGAGATAGAAATTACTGTCATAATTAATAATAGGTAAAGGTTTTACCTTTGATATGCTGCGTTCTACATTTGATTGAGTCTTTTTGATTGTATTTATTGTACATCTCTATCATCCCATTGGTTTTCCAGCTGTTTGTGTACTTAGCTTGATGTCTGTTTCTATTTAGTCAAGGCTATTAATGCCTTTCAGACTTACTTTCAACTGCTCTGTAAACCCATATGGTTTACGTTTAAAGGGAGATTTACACTATTACACTCCTGGATATTAAAACTCACTTGTGTCTTTCTACATTTTGCTATCCTTAGAAAGATGCTGTGATTTATTGAGAAGGTGCATATAATTTTGTACTCACAGTAGCTGAAATAAGAACAAAGACAGTCCAGAAAATAGGCTCTCCCAAAGCCAGAAATTTTAGTAAAATAAAACCCCTCCCTGGTATATGTGAATGGGGAATTCCATTGGTAACTTACAAACACCATTCACATATACTGGGGAGGTATTTAATATAACACTTTGGTGTTACGTTAAATTGGATTTTATGATTGGAATGGACAAGGTTTGCTTTTACTTGTTCAGCATCTTTTATCCTTTCTTCTGGAAATAGCATCCTAATTTTGCTTTGGAAAATGTCTCATCCTCAATTGAATATAATATGGATAAAACTGTTCATCAAAGAGATCTGACCTCTCCTGGCAAATGGGTGGGCACATGGTTGAAAAGACATTAGTATCCTTCTTCCTGGAATGTGAATGTTAAATATAATTCCCCAGGCTGAAAATAGGTGAAGGTAATTTATTTTGACCATGTACCCCTAAAGAGACTGCCTGTTAAGTTTTGCTACTCACCCATTCAGTGCTGTTTGGCTTTCTAAAACTTGAAATTTAGCTTTTCTTCCAATTCTAAAGGTTATCTGATATCCATTTTGTAAGATCATGCACATTTTTTTTGTCGTAGCACCTTTTATTTGCAACCAGAGAACCCTGATACAAACACTGGGAGGTGGAGTAGGGGGGCAGCTAACACCGTCAGGATAATACACAGTATTTGGAATTGGTAATTAGGCAAAACACACAATGGAAAAACAAGGAAGTTATTGCCTCTGGATACGCAGCCTCATACACCCATTGGAAACAAAAGTCTCCATGGAGTACATGTTTCAGTCCCACAGAACAACATGAGGAAACTGGAGTGAAGTTGGCATTGGCCATCTTTAAGGGGAGAGGATGGTAAACCAGAATAGGGAAATTCTTTTATCAAGGCCCCAGATGAAATTCAGAGACTGTCCTGACCATGCCTCATATAGAAAAAGGTTAAAATCACCAAAAATCAAAGCCCAGAGTAAGATTCACAAGTTGCTGAATTGTAATAATGGTTGAAGTCACAGCCACAAAATTCTTTTACGTGAAAGTTAGGTGGTAATCTAGCCTGTGACAACAGGAATGGTGACGTCTGGAGAAAGTTCAGGGTGTTTGTAATACCCTGAACCCAACAAAACACTCTGAAAAATTCCCGTGAAATACTCCCTTATCTCATGAGATATTCTCTTCATTGCCTGATGAAGCAGAGACTTTTGTGCAGGATGGGAGAACTAATAAAAGCTCCCCCAAATCTCCCACCATTATTCTAGGCCAGAATCTGATCTCAACATAGAATGGGGTGAGGAATTAGGAGTCAGAGCAAAGAAAAGAGTTACAAAAGTTTGCTAATGTATATTATAAAAATATGTGCGTTGTGAAGATGGACTCTCAAGGTAGTTGATAAAACGGCATAGATTGGTCTGAATTCTTTGATATGAGTGTACCTTGAAAATGTCTGCCCTCAATGTGTTAGCTCAGACAGCTGGCTGTGGTTCCGAAACTTTCTAGGTCAGTTAATACAAACATGGATTAAATGCTTTCCTCAGTAAATTAAACAGACAGGCCAGAAATTCTGTGGCATAATGTAGAACAGTGGTTCTCAAACTGTGGCTCCTGGACCAGCAGCATCAGCCTCCTTTGGGACTGTCTAGAAATAAAGAGTCCAGTCTCCACTCAGACCTGCAGAATCTGAAACTCTAGGGTTAGGGCACAACAAACTGTGTTTGTAACAAAACTTCCAGGTGATTCTGTTGCATGTTCAAGTTTAAGAACCAAAAATGTAGGGGAATAATTTAAGGAGTGGCAGGCCACAGTGCTGGCTGTTTCTGTTAGGTACTTCCTGCCCACTCACCCCAAACCTATGCCCTTCTAGAGGGCCTGGAAGATTCTCTTGTTCAGGAAGGCCTTGAGCAGAGGGTGGTAGAAATAACTCTGTTGGCCCCTTTCTCTCTCAGATGGCAACACTCGTGGAAAGGACTGCAATAGAAACTTCCCTGACTCTAGTGGGCATGATCTCATAGCGGCAGAGGGAACAGATGCCAACCATAATAGGCATCAAGGCTGGTGGGGCAGCCAAAATATTCGAGGCTTATTCCGACCTGCAGATAGTTCTGGGTGTTCTTAATTAAATGTGAACTCGAAAGGATTAAAATTAATAAGCAACCACCCCTAAGTCTTCTCTTCATTTATGTAATGAACAAACCAACAAAACACTCTGGGTCTGGTGAATAGAAGTCCAACTTGAGTCATCATCCTTCAGACCCACAGCCCTTCACCAGGTCCCAGACCTGAACTGTATAGCCCCAGAGTCCCAGCCATGAAAGAACAGTAGGATCCTGGGAAGAGAAAGTCCACAGCTATACTATTGGTGTTTATTTCATGCTTTCTGTGTGCAATAAACACAGGTCCCTGGAAGGGACCTGCAAAAATGTATCAAAGCAACTGTGTACTGGAAAAAGGTAACATCTAGAGAGACTTTCGCTTAATTCTGCCTCGTGGTATGTCTAATATGATCTTGAATATTTTCAAGAGTTATTTTCCCAGATTTCCAATATGTAGTTGGAGTAGATGTTTCTATAAACCATTAGAATTCCTTCTTTAGATTATTCAGCAAGTTGTGACTATTACAGAAAGGGACTAGACAAACTGATGCTGCTCTTTTTCCATCTCAAAGGGGTAAATCAAAAGCCACTGAGTATCATTGAAGGGACTATGGTGATCAGAGCCTATGTAAAAGACTTCATAAGAATAGGGTATCTTAGTCCATTTGGGCTATGACAAAAGCCATAAACTGGGTAGCTTATAAAAACAGAAATTTATGTCTCACAGTTTTGGAGGGAGGAAATTCAAGATTAAAGCACCAGCAGGTTTGGTGTCTGGTGAAGGCCTGCTTTCTGGTTCAAAGATGGCACCTTCTTGCTGTGTTCTCATATGCTGGAAGGGGCAGGACAGCTCCCTAGGGCTCGAATCCCATGAGGGCTCCCTGACTGGATCACTTGCCAAAGGTCCCCACCTCCTAATTCCATCACACTGGTGATTAAGTTTCTATGTATGAATTTGGGGAGACACAAACATTCAAAGCATAGCATGTGGGCAAAGTATCATTCACATATAAATCACTAAAACTAAAGGTGGAGTTAGAGCATTGATGATAAATGAGGTGCATCCTCAGGTACCTTGGCATGGCATAGTGGTCAAAAGCATAAACTCCAGCACCAGACTACCTGGAGTGAGCCCAGCTTTGCCACTTACTAGCTGTGTGACTAAGAGTGTCACTTGATCTCTATGTGTCTAAATTTCTCTCTGTATAAAATGGAGATGGTACTATTAATTTCCAATAAATAGGGTTAGAGTGAGGAATGTATGAGTTAATATAACTTTATTTAACAAGTTATATTGTTAAATTGGACAGTATCTAGAACATAAATGCCCTATAAGATGTTATATAAAATCAGAAAAATTCAGAACTATGGCTTAGTTTGCTTTTATTTATTCATACTCAATGACTACATTAGTCCTGTAGATCACTGTGTCAGGGGTTTAAATTGGTTCACATTGACTATATTTGATATGTTCATCTAGACAATGGATAGTCCTTTCAGTGTATCTGTTTAGTTTTCTAAGGCTTCCATAACAAAGTACCACAAATTGGGTGGTATAAAATAAAATAAGTTTATTCTCTTACAGTTCTGGAGACCAGAAGTCCAAAATCAGGGTGTCAGTAGGGCCATGCTCCTCCTGAAACTTGTAAGAAATCTTTCCTTGCCTTTTCCTAGCTTATGGTTGTTTATTGGCAATATTTGGCATTTCCTAGTTCATAGATGCATCGCTCCAATCCTCTGTCTGCATATGGCATTGTCCCTGTGTCTCTTCTCCTATAAGTAAACCTGCCATATTGGATTAGGGGCCTACCACATTCCAGTATGACCTATTTTTAACTTATGTTTGCAGCAAACCTATTTCCAAATAAGGTCACCTTCTGAGGTACAGGAGTCAGGACTTCAACATATCTCTTTTGCAGAGACACAATTGAACCCATAATGGTATTTTTAAATGAATTTTAATAACTTTGGATAGACATATGTTCTTGATTTTGCCACAGATCCCACCACTCCATATTGTCTCACACCTAACTTGCTTTATTTATTCATATGACTTGCTTTCCATTTGCTCTACACCATGAATATTAACAGACAATTAGATGAGAAAAGAGAAACTACTTTATTAAAATGTCATATTCAAAGCTGGATTATATTCCACATACCTAGAAACTTCCATGTGTCTATACTTGAATGCTGTAGAGAATACCAGATTTCAGACTTTTTTCTTTTTAAGGGCATGAGCTTTGGAGTTGAATTTACTTGGGTCAGAATGCAGCTCCACTACTCACAAGCAATGAGTCTAAACTGAGCTTGTTTCATCATCGACAAAGTAAAGGAATTAACATCAATCATATAGAATTGATCTACAAAATGAGGAAAATAACATCCATCAATGTGAAGTATTTAGTATAGTTCTTGGAACTTAGTAGGCCCTCAAAAATGGTAGCCTAGCAACAGCAGCAGTAGGAGTAATAAGAATGACAGTTATTCTTAGGTAGGTATTAATATCAAACTGGGCAAATATTTACTTTAACCATGCATTCTGTTTTTTAATTATATTTTTGCTTGTATATTCTTATTCATCTTTTTTGCTGATTGCATGTTTAATTTTGCATCTTTTTCCAAGAAAGCAAGTCCTTAATACTTATCCGTCCTTATACCACAGGGTCTCTCGCCTGCTGTTGGCACAGATTGACCCTGTCTGTGCCCAGTGACATTAGTACACCTCTTGAAAATTAATTCCATATATTTTTTATATTCAGCTATATCTTCTGCATGCTTTTAGCATTCAGACTTCATGTATCCTTGGGTCTATGTTTGCATTATTTGTTCACCCCTAGAGAAGAAAGCCAAAGAAAGATTAATTCATAAAAAATGAATGATTGTTGAAACTCTCTCTTCAAAACCTTGATTTACTGCATAATTAGTAGACAACACTAGAAAACAGAATCTCTTTCTGCCTGTGAATTAAGTAAATTGATTAATTCATTAATTACGTATGATAACTCCATAGATAGCATAATTGTATCACTGGTTAACAAAACACAGCAAAAGAATCAAGCATGTTTTCAACATGGTCAAAAATTTAATTTACAATATTGTATCTCTCTCTTAGAATACTAATTAAAGATCTCAGGCCCTGGCGCGGTGGCTCATGCCTGTAATCCCAGCACTTTGGGAGGCTGAGGTGGGCGGATCACCACGAGGTCAGGAGATGAAGACCATCCTGGCCAATATGGTGAAACCCCATCTCTACTAAAAATACAAAAATTAGCTGGGTGTGGCAGTGCGTGCCTGTAGTACCAGCTACTCGGGAGGCCCGTGGGGTGGAAGCCTCAGTGAGCCGAGATCATGCCACTGCACTCCAGCCAGGGCAACAGAGTGAGACTCTGTCAAAAAAAAAAAAAATTCAGAAGAGCTCTATATAGTCCAAATACAAACACATTACTGGAAGGAGAGTTGTATTACTTATAAAGTATGCTACAATTAACAACAATCCTCTTTTCTCCCAGAATTTCTTCTCAACAAGAAATAACCCATTCATTTGCTCATTAAACAAATGTTACTGAGCATACAGGATACAGCAGTGAAAAAATTAGACAAAAATCTCATCCCTCATGGAGCATACATTTGAGCACTGTTCTGTTCATTATGGTAGCTGCTAGGCACGTGTGACTTTTTACACTTTAAATTAATTGAAACTAAAAATTTGGCTCCTCACTTTGACTAGTTAAATTTCACATGTTCAGTAACCATACATGGCTAGTAGTTGTCATATATATCTGTACTTTTTTTTGAGACGGAATCTTGCTCTGTCGCCAGGCTGGAGTGCAATGTCACTGCAACCTCTGCCTCCTGGGTTCAAGTGGTTCCCCTGCCTCAGCCTCCCAAGTAGCTGGAACTACAGGTGCCCATGCCTGGCTAATTTTTTTGTATTTTAGTAGAGACGGGGTTTCACCATGTTGGCCAGGATGGTCTCAATCTCCTGACCTCATGATCCACCTGCCTCAGCCTCCCAAAGTGCTGGGATTACAGGCGTGAGCCACCGTGCCCGGCCTAGTTATCATATTTGACAGCACAGAAGAACATTTTCAACATTGCAGGGAGTTCTCTCAAATAGCGTTATTCTAGAAAGTGGAGACAGAGAACAAAAATTAATTAAGTAAAGAAGATACTTTTAGACTATGATAAAAACTCTGACAGAAACAAACAGGGAAATGTGATAGAGACCATTTGGGGACTGGGACAGACATGTCTAATGAGAACACATTTTAACTAAAACTTAAAAGAATTCAACTACATGAAAAGCTGTCAAAGCAAAGGATCAGCACGTGCAAAGGCTGCAAGGCATGAATGAACCAGATGTATTTGAGGAAAAGAAAAGGGGTCAATGTGAAATGTAAATGCAAGGAAGAAATAGAGTTGAGTACAGAATCTTCTGAAAATAGAGTTGAGTACAGAAACTTTTCAGAAATAGGCCCAGAAGCTGCAATGGAACAAGGTCTCAAGAAAGGACCTCTTTTATAATGGGAGAAAGAAGAACATACTTGCATGCTTAGGAAGCTGATGCAGTAGACAGGGAAACAATGATGGATCTAGGAAAAAGAGGGAAAGATCTTAAGAAGCAACATTATAGAGATACAGAGCATAAATAAAAAGGGTTGGTCTTCTACTGTACTAGAAAACAAAAGCAGAAAATGAGGGTGGAGATACAGATAGGTTAGCAGATTAAGTGGCTGGTTTGGAAGAAAAGAGAGTTCCAGTAATGTTGCTTGTAGCTTCACAACAAAATTTTTTAAAAAAATTGTTGAAGCCACAGTTGTAAGACGCAATGAAGTAAGTCATTTTTCATTGTCTTGGGCTGAGAAGAAATCATTTCAGTGTCCTCTGAGGTCATTAGCTGAAGACTGTACCAGATAGGACTTTGGAGTTAGACCAAATCTTGGTATCAAATCTTGGCTCCATCAGTTAGGACATATGTGCCTTTGAGCAAATTATTTAAATTATCCTAGCCTCTGCCTCTTTGTATGTAAAATTGCAATTATCACATATTTAGCCCATTAAGGTTCTGGATAATATGTAAGAAGCAATATACATATAAAGCACATTTGAAAAGACAAGCAAAGAAAATATAAAAGCAGCAAACAGAGATTGAAGAACAAGAGGGGCACACTAGTATTAATGTCAAGGAAGGAGAGAATTTCAAGACTAGGAAGTGGTCCATAGACTCACATGATACAGAATAATGCAAGGAGATTCAAGCAGAGGGAAGGCTGCTGTATTTACTCATGAAAATGCCACTGATGATCTTCAACATAATAGTTTCTGTGAAAAGGTAGTCACCAAAATCAGAATGTATGGGCTTTGTATATAAGTAAGCTGTGAGGACACAGGTAGATACTATAGAGTTTGAGTGGTAAGTAAGGAGAAATAGATCCTATTGATAGTAATACAAGAGTAGAGTTGGAACAAGAGAAGGCCCTCTTTCGGTATGAAGGAAATGGAGCTATGCTTTAGGCAGATGAGAAGGAGTTATGCTAAGGGAGAGAAGATGCAGGAGAGAGTGTCCATGTTAACAAAGAGCAAAGTACCTCAAGGACTCCATAGAGGTGGGACTTTGGAAAAGCAAATGAATTTCTGTTCTTATAGACAGAAAAAAAGGAGAGGATGAAAGCTGAAGGAACCAGGTTGATATGACCTCCAAGTGGAGAAAAAATAAAGGAGTAGAATACCAAATGAAAACCAGAGTTACTAGGAAATCAGAAAAATGGAATGAACAGGTTTAAGAGCATCAGATTTTGGTAGACTGAGAAGTCTTCAAAATTAGGATTCACTTGTCTGGAAGATGGACTTTCCCAATAGCCTTTCCCTTCTTGGCTTCCAAGACACAAAAATGACAACTTCGTTTTTTTTAATTAGTCTTTTTTCATGATCTGTTCTCAAATAGGTTCCATTATAGCAGATCTGGTCTCCCCTTCCTAGATTGCAAATGAGTTTCTGATCCATCATTACACGATGTCTTCCAGTTCATTCTGTCACTCTGAGATTTCCTTAGATAGTCCCAAAACATTGAGTCACAAACTTGTAGATACTCTTACAGTTGGCTAATCAAATGTACTGTGAGTGGAACTTATTCATTGAATTATTAATAGAAAATCTTAGTCTGTTGCTCCTATGAAGATCACTAACAGGACATAGCTAAAAATCAACCAATTCACAGATTGATGTAACAGGTGCTCATATTGGAATGAACTGCTCATCAGAGTTCTCATCTTATTCTCTCTCTCTCTCCATTGTCTGTACCCCACAGAAGGCCTGAGCTGTAAAATGGAAATGATCGTAAGACAAGTTCTCTCCACCATGGCCTCCAAGCACATATACCACTTCATTAATCAGCTGGTATTCCCAAAACCTCCAGGTTGTAAAAGCAGTCTATTTATGAAATATCTGGCTACGGCGTATAATAAACAATGCCAGAGTGAACTGAAAACAGACTAATTTAATAAGCAATTCCTTTCCCCTACACTGTTTAAATTTACATAATCAACTGGCTATAATATTTAGCATACTTTTAATGTTTCTCATTTGTTTACACTACAATTCTGTGCTTCAGACTTCTCCATTCACCAAAATATTGATTGGTCTACTAAGGGTACAGAACAGCAGATATTCCACTGGTAATCATTACGTGAATATGGAGGAAGTGAGAAGTGGAGCTACTGTATTTTTCTTGTTAATTACAAACCTAATATTCTATTAAAATGTATGAGATGACAAAATCTCAACAAACTCTTTAAAGCTATTACTAGCAGATAAAGTATTCTACCAAAGTATTAATATTAGCATCATTAAAATAGTTTTATCAAGTGTGCGTTTATCTCCAGATTGGAAACAATAGCAGCCTGAAGGTAAGAAATGCCCTTGAGTACTGTGGTATGAAAACCAACAGCAGCTTTAGAGTCACATAAAATCTCCTTGTGGCTTCACAACTAAAGAAAAAAAAATCTTGAAGCCACAGTTATAAGATGTAATAGAGTAAATGAGTCTATTTTTCATCACCTTGGGCTCTGAGAAGAAAACATGGCAGAGTTATATCGATAAGGGAAGAGCTCAGATATTAAAATACATTAACTTTACTTTAATTGATTTAAACAGATCCAGAGCTTTCTTAATGCACATGATGTTATTTCTGCATTAGTGGACAAAATAGATCTGCGTTAGATTGCAAAGCTCCATCTCTGTATCTCTGTCTGGTATGGAGAGAAAAACCTCTCCATTTCTTAATCTCTCTTAAAAAAACAAAACAACACAGGAAACCATACATATTTATTAGCTCTAGTCAAATAATTTCTTTCTTTATCTTCTCCTTGAAATGTCTTCTGGCAACATCAATACAGTGTTCTCCTATAGCTCAGAAAGCTATAATCAGGGAACAATAACAACAGATAGCCAAAGTTTCTTCTATACACCATAAGAATAAAACTTTAATTAGACCCCTCCAAATCTCTAACTGAAATAGTTTATCTCATCAGTTTCTTCCTCTCTGTTATTCTCTTTGTTTCTGTAGCACAGTTTGAAAAATGTCAGATGAATCACTGAAGGGTAGAACCAACTAGAAAGCCTCACCAGACATGACATCCATTCTCGCATTCACAGATGAGGAAACTGAAGCTCAAAGAAGGAAAGTGACATCACAGAACTTGTTTATGACAGAGTCCACTCTAAACTCTTGATCTCCTTTGTGTTATTTGAAGCATTTGTATGGGATCCCAGAGAAAAAGTGAAAAGTATAAGTATAGGCTTCCATTTCAACTCACTCCTTTTAAATTCAGAAAATTTTAATTTTTGGTCAAAAATCTGTAACAATCCCTTATTCTGATATGAGAAGAATGTGAGAAATGTGTAGATGTTTCTCTAGCAGTCAAATTAAATGATGAAGCTTCCTCTTTGTTTTTTGGTTCATAGAAAGTATTTTCTTCTAGAGTCTCTGCAGATTGGAGTACTGCTTTTATTCGTGGGTTTACTGAAGCACCAGTCAGGGCCATAAAAAAAGTTAGAAACCTATGTTGATTCTCAGAAAGGTAAAGTCCAAGGTGATGTAGAAATATGCTGCCACCACCCCCACTTTCAACATCCTACTGCACATACAAGGATCAGCAAATGAAAGAATAATCCATGTTAGCACACTGCGGAAGTCAAAACTCTGTATTTCTTTAATAATCCTAAAACAAATGCTATTGAATGGACTGATTTAAGTGCTTTGTTTATTTTATGGAAATATTTCCAAGGAAAGGCCTTCTATGTAATGCCATGAAAAGGCTTTTATAAAAGTATATGAATTATATGCTGAAGTTGAACCTATCATTGAGCAAGTACTTTCTGGATAAAATACCAATATACTATCACATAGATCTACTAATTTAGGCTAGTCCTGATCCTAGATTTCCAGCTGGGATCCGGAATTATTTAGCAATTATTTAGCTGAGCATAAATATTTAGAGACAGTTTTTGCTAACAAATCTTGCCTCTAGGAGCCAGGCCCATAACAATATTCTTGGCACTAGCTTTCCACACATAAATCAAGGATCTAACTTCACACCTTCTCTATTTCATTTTTACTATTTTGTGTGGTACCATCACTCCTTTTTAAATTTCTGGTCTCTTTTTGCAGTATCCTGTAGAACAGAAATCTGACTGACCTCATGGGGCCTGTAATGAGAGTCTGAAAAGTTACTCAAGAGAAACAGGTTGAGTTCTTTTTGAATATTCCATTTTGGATTTGTAAAATTTATAAGAGTTTGGGATTTTCCAGGCCTGGGATCTCACTTTTGTAAAATGTGCTCCTGTTAAGCATTCTCTCTGTTTTGTGTCTGTGCACACATGTGCACAAGTGTGTGTCCCTGATCCATGACATGGAAGGCTATGAAAAGCACTAGGATATTTCCCAACCTGCAGGAGATTCCCCTGCTTTGAATAACTCATGAACTGTTAATATGAAATCAAGTGTTCAAAGCAAGATGTGCCCTTTGGTGGAGTGGGGTAGGTTTTCCTATATCGTGTGGTTTTTGAGCACTATGACTCCTATTAACTTTTATCCTTTGAAAATGTAATTCCTCTTTGGAAATAAACAATTTGCTGATTTTCCAACTCTCTGCTGAAATTTCATTGGGAGCATCATTGACAGTAGCACTCCAGCTGAATTCTCTATATATGGTAAATAAATCATGTGAACAACAGTACCCAATTTCACATTAATTGTTTGGAAATCTCCACAACATCAAACATTTTGTTAAAAGTCTAGAAAGAAATAAGTGTGGCTCTTTTGTTGTTGTCATCGTTGTTTTGCTTCGGAGTGATTTGTTCTAAATACAGCTTAACAGGCAGATGACTGGTTTGTGACTAGAGTATCTTTTCTGAGATGAAAAAGCAATACAAATGCTTCCCAAAAGGATGCCAACCAGGCTCAGAGCAACACAGGGACTATGGAATGGGTGCACCTGGGGAAATCCTTATCACAAATTGGATTGACAGGGAGGACTCAGTGCCTTCCCCAGCACACGTGCCTCTGAAAAGCTGAAAGGGAATCACAATGCTTTAAGAACGAGATCTGGGAATTGCCTAAATATGAGAGTTTCAAATTGCTCAGGCAGTAAGAGAATAAAAACATGAAATGCAAATATTGTAGGGATAAAGGGGGAGAAGATGTGGCACAAAACTCATAATCATTGAGAAATGGGAGCAGAATCTGAAGCCATACTCTAGGATTGGTTTTAGAGAGATCGCTTGTTCCTTATGAAGGGCATCCTTCACTTGCTTTCATTCCTCCTTTTCACAGCTGACTTCTGCACACCATGCCTGAACAGAAAGAGAAAATGAGGATTCCTTCAGAATTCCGTTGAGCATGAAAGAGGAACATCTATTTAGACCTTTGTTGGTCAAGATCTTTCTCACTTGTGAAAAAAAATACCAGACGACAGAAATAGGTGAAAACCAAGCTATAGTTGTCTGCAAGAGTTGCTAAGGGTTAGAAATTAAGGGCTTTGATTTTTTTAACGTGATGCCCTCTTGGCTCTTCTAGAAAGTTAAGATGCCAATGCCTCTATTACTACAAGGGATTAAATAGCATAAAGCAAGACAATGAAAGTTATTCCACAAAACTCACCCAGAAATGTGGAAATGTTGTCATATTTCTATATGGTTCCTTAAACTCTACTTATATTTCCATTTAGAGTCTGCCTTGCAGGTAAGACCATGGCAAATTTTGCTTACATTTTTATTTTTATAAGATGGAATCCAAAATCCCTGTTGTAACGGGTTTCTATCTAATCAGTCATGCTCCCCAAAATAAAATAAATCACTTATTTTATTCTGATGAGCCCACTCATGTGAGTTATGAGCATGGGCATTGGCATTAAGGTACTGAGTTCCAAAGCTATATGAATCCTTAGACATTATTTCACATGAAGACTTCTGGATATAAGAACACCTGACCCCACTGAGGTAAAGGAACTGACTGAAAATCACAAAAGCAATTTTAAGCTGAAGGGCAGAAAGAGCAGCCTAGATTCTCCCAACATTACTTTTTTCACTCCATGCTCTCGGGATTGAGGCAGACTTGAGATTTTGCATAGCTCAGTATCAATGGAAGCTTAAATGTTGGGGTATTAGGATGAAAGAAATCAATCCTGTTGACTCTTCTCAATAGAAAATAAGAGGAGCTTGTTCATAAAATGAACAATGTGAGATCATGGAGTTTCCCCCAAAGTATTAGCTCCTATATTTTCTCTTCCTCCTCACTCTATAGAGCATATTAAATAGTCTTAGGAGGGGGCAAAATGTTCCTTTGACAGAGCAGTGGTTGATATACTTATGAGCACAAGACAGCGGGAGGCAGGAGAATGGAATCAGGAGGTTAAACTCTGCCCAGGGCTTTTAGGAAGCATAGGCTGGCTCATTACCCTGTATTGAGACCTAGACTGTTGCTTTCTAGAATGGGAACAATTCTAACCCACTGTATTGCTGACTTGACTTCCTTTCTTTATAGTAGTGTTTCCTATAAATACCACAGAACTCTTTCCAAGGGGCTCCTTCTGCACACAATGTATACAGTGCCTTCTGGGCTATCATGCTACACAGCAAAAAAGGAATATGCTATTCTTATTAAGAGTGAGGACTGCTACCCATTATACCTGAGTTGGCTCTTGAGTAAGCTGCTGAAGTTTCCTAAACCTCAGTTGCCTAATATGTAACATGGAGCTACTGGTATCTCCAAAGGTGATTAGGAATATTGAATAAGACAGCGTGTGTAGCATAATCTGAAAAATGCCTGTTTTATAATAAACTTGCAATAATGCTTGCTATTGGTATTATTATTATTAAAAGACGCTCAATAATATTTCTGGAATCATTTCATGACCAAACAGGGAACAACTGAAAGTGTTTTTCCTTAAAAGCTTAACCTATGTTTCCACCCGTGGTTCCGTAAACATTTGTATATCCCCTAAGGTTCTAATGTTGTACATGCAGCTGGCCCTTAAGTGAGATGGGCTCCTACCCTGGAATTCTGTCTTTTTACTGGAAGCTAAAAATGTAAAGGCTCAGGTATGCTAGTGATCCCTGGAAGAGGAAAGCAAAAACAGTAATACTAATTAGTAGCTACCAGAGCTGTTCAGCATGGCAATAAGCTGTGAATTTATGGTTTTGTTAAGAGTCAGGATACATTTGAAATCTTTTATATAATATTAGATATGAAAATACACACCATCTGGACCTCTTGCTGGTAGCCTTGAAATGTCTACATCTCACAGGAATCAAACCCATTTTACCTGCTAGGGAATAAAACACCTGTTTCACATATTACTTCACACTGGGTGATGAACATTTCCACTATCTCCAGCCAGAAAGAAAAAAATGAAACTGTGGCTTCGCATTGTTTAGTAGATTTTAAAAAGCTAGCAGGGCTGGGGGCTGTTTTACTGTCTTGTTGGAAGAAGGCTCTGCAAATTGCCCCTGTAACAACCCCTGATAATTTGGGGGAGTTCTCTGTAGCCCTGGTTACTATCAATAAAATGCATTTTCCTCTCATTATAAATCTGCTTATGAAAACACTTAGTGAGATGAGCCAACTGCATCTTGGCTTCTGGTTGCATCTTGTAATGGATGGTCCCAAAGCCGATAGAGGACTGTAATTCACTGGAGGAACTCTGCTGATGACATAAAATAGCTGAACAGTTTATGAATAGTCCTAGAATCTTGAAAGAGAATGAGGCTTTGCATTCTTTCCTAGGACATCTGTTGCTATTCTATAGATATCCTTCTGCAAACTTGGGGAAGTGGGGGCGGTGGCAGGGAAGCTTCCTTAGCATGTCCTTCCTTTTCACTTGCCATAAATCCTTTTGTTCTTCAGCTGAAACTAAACTGCCCTGGTAGGAAATCAGGTTGCTTTTTTTTCTTCAACATAATCACACTACCATTATCTCTCTTGAAAAATGTCACAATAATCCCTTAATATTTTGAAATATCTAATCAATGTTAAACTTTCCAGTTGTCTCATGATTTTTAAAGTTTATTTGTTTGAGTCAGGATCCAAATAAGATCTGTACATTGCTATTTCCTTGCAATGTATTGCCTGCCATTTATTCCTTGCATAACTATTTGTCTTATAAAGGTTCCCATAGTCTGGATTTTGCTGATTCCATCCCTGTGGTGTCATTTAACATGTTCTTGTGTCCTCTGTATTTTTGTATATTAAGATAAGACATAGTATATACAGTATATACTGTATGTTAAACACTTGATTGAATTCAGGTTAATTTCTTTGGCAAGAGAGTTTGATTGGCAGTATTTCTTCTCCTACCAGGAGGCATGTATTATCTGGCAGCTTGTGTTCTTGTCACATCAGCAGTCATTGATGATCAATATTGAGATTCATTAGTTCATTAATTGAAAAAGCATTGCTATTTTAGTCCTATCACACCTTCCCTGTGTATTAATTGTAATAAGAGGAAACTTTTTCCTGATCCACTCTTGGTTACTCAGTGAAGCATTTCATATAGGAAAGAGAGACCAAATACATTATTTTTCTCTTTCTATATCAATTTCAAAATAGTGATGTGGTTTTCTAGCCTGCCCAAAATTACCTATTTTCTGAAGTATCATTATAAACTCATAGATTTAAACATATTTGAAATGTTCCAATCAATTGAAGTTTTATACATTTTTATGTTTTTTCTTGAAGAGGAGATTTTTTGACGCTCTAGTAAATTTTAGTAACTTCCTTACCATCTGCTACAAGATGTTCCAGACTCATTTTGTACATATGCTGCCTCAAACCTGGAGTCGACAGTTTGTTAAAGGTGTCCAGGCTCCTCTTAGCGGGAAATCGTATTTGTATACTATCATCTGGACACTAGGATGAATCATTGTTACTGGGTTGGTCAATGTTTCTAGACGTTTTCAGTGGAAAGAGCTCAATGATATATACCCATACTATTAAGTAGTGGTAGTGATGCTTTCAATTCTAATTCAAGACCAAAAAACTCTTCAATCTCAAATGTGTATCTCCTCTTTCCCTTGCCAAGAATCCCAGTTCTTAACAATGACAACAACAATGATAGAATTGGAATATCCCATAATTATTTGGCTGCTTTATCACATGGTATACACAAAGCAAGGTCAGAATAGCAATACCTACCCTACCAATGATAATATGATTACTGAAAATAGTTTATGATTTTTTAAATTTCTTTCTGTACGTAAGATACATCACATTAGACATGTCAAAGTACAGAGTTTTAATAGCAAATGGAATTCTCTCTGTTGTTATGCCACCAACTGTAAATGCATTACGTCCATTTGTTTCTTTTTATTTCATTTCTCTCTCTCTCTCTCTTTGAGACGGGGTTGCAGTCTGTCACCTAGGCTGGAATGCAGTGGCGCCATCTCAGCTCGATGAAAACTCTGCCTCCCGGGTTCAAGCCATCCTTCCACCTCAGCCTCCCGAGTAGCTGGAACTAAAGGCACACACCACCATGCCTAACTATTTTTTTTTTTATTTTGTGTAGACATGGGGGGTTTACCATGTTGCACAGGCTGGTCTCAAACTCCTGAGCTCAAGCAATCCACGTGACTCAGCCTCCCAAAGTGCTGGGATTATAGGCATGAGCCACCGCACATGGCCTCATCTTATTTCTCTTTCTAAAAGTTACTTTTTAAATTTTGTTTTTATTTTGTAATTGTGTAAAATATTTACATGATGTGAAAATCAAATCTACAAATAAGGCAAATTAAATAAAGTGTAGCATCTATTCCTATCCCCTAGTGCTGCCCTCTTCCCATAAACCACAGGTAATTTTTTAAATTACCTCCTCCAGAGATTATTATATAGTATTTCAAAAACCAAATTATGGCTTAACCATTCAGGAGCTTGTTTCTTAAATATAAGTAGGTATATTTTATATCTGTCTCTATATAGATATATCTTTTTAGATAAACAGTAGCTCGCTATATAAATTTTTATCCACTTTGCTTTTTTGACTTCAGGTACAACTTGAAAATCTCATAGTGGCATACAAAGGAATTTCTTGTTTCTTTTAATTGCATAATACCCCATTCTATGGCTATACTACAGTTTATTCAATCAGTCTTCTATTGTTAACTGTTTGGGTAGATTTTGGACCTTTGTTATTAAAAATAGTTCTGTAATGAGTATCTTAGGGCACATATTTTTTCATAATTTTATCAGGTATCTAGCTGAACTAGATACCTAGAAATGGGATCACTGGGTCAAAGGGTAAATGCCCAGTTTTTGCCAAATTCCCTTCCCGTAGATATCATACTATTTTGCACTCCCAGAGACAACATAAGAGAGTAAGGCCCTGTTTTCATGGCCAACATCTTCCTTGCTGGGTAGAGTAGCAATTGGTATTTTTACCTTACTCCCTTTATTTCAGGAACAAGATAAAAGGACAGTCATTTCTTTAAGTGACGTTTGTGGAAAACAATATTTCAATATAGCAAAAATTGAAAGAGATTTATAATGATCTCTTGCTCTACTCCAGTTAGTCAAGAAGTAGGAGTATGAAACTTACACAAAAAAGCTATCAACT
Source organism: Homo sapiens (assembly GCF_000001405.40). Lineage (NCBI taxonomy): Eukaryota > Metazoa > Chordata > Mammalia > Primates > Hominidae > Homo > Homo sapiens. The sequence continues at coordinate 18,261,765 of NC_000003.12, read as the reverse complement.
TATGAAAATGGTCACGTTCCTTATTCCTTTAATATTTGTTGACTAAGTTATTTCTTCCTTTTAATTTTTTCTTCATGTGATTTTAAATGGTTTGGCCTCCTCTGTGTCCTGCTAATCATCAGAATGAGTTAGCGTGTCTTCTTATCTATTTTATTTTATTTTATTATTTTATTTTAATTTAATTTTATTTTATTTTATTTTATTTTATTTTATTATTTTTTTGAGACAAGAGTCTCGCTCTGTCGCCCATGCTGGAGTGCAGTGGTGTGATCTCGGCTCACTGCAAGCTCCGCCTCCCAGGTTCAGGCCATTCCGCTGCCTCAGCCTCCCGAGTAGCTGGAACTATAGGCGGCCGCCACAACGCCCGGCTAATTTTTTGTATTTTTAGTAGAGACGGGGTTTCACCGTGTTAGCCAGGATGGTTTCTATCTCCTGACCTCGAGATCCGCCTGCCTCGGCCTCCCAAAGTGCTGGGATTACAGGCGTGAGCCACCGCGCCCAGCCTGTTTATCTATTTTAAAACATTCTGGGTTGAAAAAATTGATGCACCAGATTTACATCCTCAACTTACTACCCTCTATGGCAGTGTTACTCGAAGTGCACTCCATAGGCAATGCCAGTCCACAAATTGTTCGCTACCACAGTGAGATAAGCACACAAATTAGAATAGGTATAGCAAAACTCTTAATTTGACATCATGTCGACACCAAGAGCATGATCAGCAAACTTTACAAAGGTATTGATCTATGATGGAAGAGATATGATTTAAAAATGGCCATTTGCCACAGATAGTTTAAGTAGCACTGCTCTGTGGTCCTGTGTTTTCTTTCATCATTATCCTGAGATCCTGAGCCAATAGTTCTGCCTCTTATGTGTTTGCAGAATCTCCTTTCATTTGACTTAATCTTCGAATACGATTTTCTCCATTGGTTTGGTTCAGGGCTTTCCAAAGTAGGCCGTGCTGTAGAGTTATACAGATGTCATTTATGTCTTCCCTGCGGAACTTCTCAGGGACTTTGTATGCTAATGTGTATTGCCAGTCTCTCTGAGATAATACCCCAGAGGTAGTTGACTATGGAAGTCTTGTTTATAAGTGTTTTATAGAATCAGGTTTGCAGAGGAGACACAGGGAAATTCTGGTATAGGCTCATAATTTTCTTTCTACAAAAATGGCATCAAAATTGGATAGTTCTATCAAATCATCGGGCACGAAATAAAGGCAGGGCAAAAACAAACAAGCAAAAACCATCCCAAGACTTTAGATCACCAGATATGTCTTAACCTCTAAAATTAACCTTTATTCCATGCCTTCAAAATATCTGATTATTTATTTGATGCTGAAAGATTAGTTAGAAACAAGGTCCTGTAAATTTTTTAATAGCTTGCTGTAATGTTTAATAATTTCTATTTTCTGGAAGTTCTCCTATGTGACTGCTATAAATCTTATTGGCTTTATTACAATCGAAATTATCTTCTCTGTGTTTCTAAAGTACTTCAAGTTTCCTTTTCCATTTTTAATAATTCCAAGGCTAGAACTCTATACATTCAATCTTTGTCTCCCAAGAGCAGAATATTTCTATAGTAGCTTTCAATCCATGTGATAGCGATACAAGGGGCCTATGTTTTGGAAGCAAACACACCTGGGCACAAGAGTAGTGTAAGATGTCTAAGGAGACACTGACTACTTCAAGCAGATTTTTGCCTTGATGAGTTGAAATTCTGTGATTGACCCTTATTCCCCATCTCTTTATTTCTAATTGTGTTCAGTTATGTCCTATTCTCAAAATGAATTCCAGAGGCCATTTCCCTCTTCTCTCAGTGATTTTTTTCAGTTAATATTTATTATTATTCTTCCTCATTACCAAAGATATATTCATTGCAGAAACTTAAGAAAATATAGAAAAGTAAATATTTAAAAACAAAAATAATCCCAAATAACATCACCTGACATAAAAATCATTCTGGCATCCCTCCATCTGATGCTTTCCCCAAGAATACATATTATCTGTATATGCAATAGGTATTCAATCTGTACAACATTGTATATCTATTACATATATGTATCAACATATGATACATATATTAGATGACAAGTATAATAAAAAATAGGTTTGTATATTGCAAATATCAGTTCTCATTACTATATTTTATTTTATGAATCATTTTTAGTGACTGCATAGCTCTTCATTTCATGGATTTGCCATACTTTCTCTACATTAACTGCTGTTGTGTAACACTCAGCATTATGTTCTAAGCAAAAGGTAACACTTAATATTATGTTCTATGATTCTCCATTTTGTTGTATATAGTGGGGGTAGATTTATTTTTATTTTCACTGTTGTATATTGTGTTAATATACCAACATTTATTTATGTAATCTCCTCTCAATGGGCTTATAGGATGTTTCAATATTTTTGCTATTATTTTCTGGTGTATATTCAAGAATGTCTTTATTATTCTGGGTCAAATGATATGTGCATATTCAATTTTATAAGACAATGACAAATTGTTTTCCCAAGTGGTTATATCAATTTATACTTCTATTAAAAGAATATGAGAATTCCATTTCATCCAGATTCTGACCAATATTTGGTTTTACTAGACATTTTAATTTTTCATTCTGAGATATTTATAATGCTCATCAGCCTATTAAGGACTCTGAGAAGTTCTACAAAAGAAAGTTGTTTTATTTCATTTCATTCCAAATCTCTCAAATTCTTTGACGATGGAAGCCTTGTTTTGTAATTTACCCATGAAACTTATGCATCAGAGCCCACTTTTGGGAGCCCTGACCTGAACTGATGATGAAAACTAGATGAGGGTATGAAATTCGGTGAGCAGAAACTTCAAGCCCACAGTTGGAAAACTACTGGTTCAGTACAATCGTAGCCAAAGAAACAGGGTCATAGAATAATGCTTCTCAAAGGTACAAATTTATGGTTAAGAATCAGTACTTACTACCAAATCATTCACGAATCGATAATTTTATGAAAGTCCACTGATGACATGTTTGAATGTAACCACTGCAGAAGTTTCTAAAAGCTGAGTTTCAGTTTCTGTACTCATCTCATTGTGAAACGGTGACACGCGTTCATGGACCGGCATCATCCATGGACCACACCTTAAGCCAACACTAACATAAAGGATAGTACTTGAAGATGAAAATCTAATACATCATTTTATTTAATGGAGACTATTTAAAAATAAATAAATAAATAAGGGTATGTCCCTTTCCTTGGTGATAGTGACTAGTCAATGCCTGAGTAAAAAGGCCAGGCTTGGGCATGGTGGCAGGCGCCTGTAATCCCAGCTACTCGGGAGGCTGAGGCAGGAGAATCGCTTGAACCCGGGAGGCAGAGCTTGCAGTGAGCCAAGATGGCGCCACTGCACTCCATTCTGGGCGACAGAGCGAGACTCCGTCATTAAAAAAAAAAAAAAGGCTCGGCTTTCTTGCCTCCATTAGGGATAACGTTGACGAGTGATGCCATCTCCAGGGCTCCCTGTGGGATGGGCTGAGGCTTCTATTACAAATAACTTGAAGTTCACACGTTCCAAAACAACTTTCCCTCCACCCAATTATGTTTGCTTCACTTCCTTATAGATCTTCATCTTGTCCATGAGAACATTTCCTAATAATTCTTCTGCAAGTAAAGCTCAATCTCAGTGTCTGTTTCCTGATTACCTCACCTAAGACACCATATTTTTATATGCTTATGTGTCAGTTGTGTTTCGTTTTATAGGGTATTTCTGTTTATATTTTTCTCTATTTTTTAATTTATTGGGTTGTTTGATTTTTTCTTGTTGATTTGTGAAAGTTACTAATATGTTCTTTTTTAATTTTGTGGCAACTGTCTTTTTTCATTTTGTGTCTTGTCTTTTCGTTATCTTTTTGGTGACTCTTGATGTGCAGATAATCTTATTTTTATGGCAGTTAAATTTGTCAATCTTTTCTTACACAGTTAATTATTTTTGTATTTTATTTAGGAAAGACTTCCATACTCTGAGATCAGAAATACCTTCTCCATATTTACTTTAAAATGTTTTCTATTTTGTCTTTCACATAAATCTTTAATTTATAGGGAATTATATTTACAAGGACTGTTAAGTAAAGATTTTATTTACTTCTACAAGGATCTCATATCTATCCATATTGCTAAACTCTTATTTCTAATAAATATTTGGTAATTTTGGAAAATTTTTTTATATTAAAAACCACTTCCTCTTTGGAAAATGACAATTTTGTTTCTTTCTCTCTCTCATATTTTTTAAACCTTTTTTCTTGTTTTATTCCAATGGCTGGGAATTCAAATTCAGTCTTGAATATAAGTAGTAGGTAGTGGGCATTTTTTCTTGCTCCTGCCTTCAGAGGATCATTCTCACCATTAAGAAAGGTATTTGCTTTACCTTTTGGTGATAATTTTTACAGGCTAAAATACATGTTTATTTTTAAGGGAATTAAAAAAAATCATTATCAAATGCCTAAATTCATCAGATGTCTATTTTGCCTATATCATGAAGATCATATGTATTTTTATTTAGTCTTCTTTAAAATATTTTCTTTTTTTATTTTTTAGAGATGGGGTCTTGCTATATTGCCCAGGCTGGTCTCAAACTCTTGAGCTGGTGTGATCCTCCCACCTTGGCCTCCCAAAGTGTTAGGATTATAGGCCAGAGCCACAGCACCTGGACTTATTTAATCTTTTAATAGTATAACTGATATTTATAAATTTTTCTAACACACTGTCCTTGTAGAAGTGTGATAAATCCAACTTAGTCATGACATATTATCTCTTTTATTTTCTTCTTGAATAATTTTGTCCATAAGTTGTTTTAAAAGTTTGTATCTATGTTCATATATAATGGTGACTTCTCTTATACTCTCCATTGTCTGGCTTTAATATTAAAGTTTTATAACATTCATAAATTGAATTAGAAAATTTTTTTGTTTCCTATATTGTAGAAAGTTTTATGAAAGTTTAGAATGATTTGGGTTTTTTTGAAAGTTTTGTAGAACTCACTTAAAAAGCCATCTGGGCCAGGCGCGGTGGCTCACGCCTGTAATCCCAGCACTTTTGGGAGGCCGAGGCAGGCAGATCACGAGGTCAGGAGATCGAGACCATCCTGGCTAACATGGTGAAACCCCGTCTCTACTAAAAATACAAAAAATTAGCCAGGCGTGGTGGTGGGCGCCTGTAGTCCCAGCTACTCGGGAGGGTGAGGCAGCAGAATGGCCTGAACCTGGGAGGCAGAGCTTGCAGTGAGCTGAGATCACACCACTGCACTCCAGCCTGGGCGACAGAGCGAGACTCCATCTCAAAAAAAAAAAAAAAAAAAAAAAAAAAAAAAAAAAAAGCCATCTGGAACTGGTGTATTCTTTGTAGAAGGTTTTAAGCTACTGATTAATTTTTTTTAAACCTTATAGAGTTATGCAAGCTTTGCAATTCTTGAGAAAGTTTAGTGTCTTTATTTATTCTTCTTTTCAATGGATCAACTTTTGGCTTTCTGGTCCTTCTCTATTGTGTTCTTTTCTATTTTTTAATTTTTCTACTTTCTTTCTTATCTTGTTGAAGTTTTTTCTAACTTCTTAAGTTGGACATCTTCATTTCCAGCCTTGCTTTTTTTTTTTTTTTTAACTTAAACATTTAATGGTACAGGTTTTGCTCTAGGTACCACTGTGGCAAAATTCTGTTTTGATCTTAATATTTTCATTAATGTTTAGTTCTTGTGTATTGTTATATTCCATACAAGTTCATCTTTGGCCACTTATTTGAATTTATGTCATTTTGTTTCCAAATATATGGTTTTGTCTTTTGTTATTGACTTCTAATTTAATTGTATTTACAAAGAATGTGGTCTTTATAATAATGATTCTTTGAAATTAGTTTAAAAATGTATTTTGTAACCCAGTACATAGTGCTTCCATGTTTATTTGAAAAGAATGTGTTTTCTTTTTTGTAATATTCCATAAGTGTCCTGTATCTCAAGTTTCTTTTAAAGTTTCTTCTTTCAAGTTTTGCCCTTGAAATAGTCTTGGTTTATTAAATTTTTGGCCATTTGGAAGAGATATATTGAAATGTCTCACTATGATCATGGATATGTAATTTTCTCCCTGATTTCTACCAACTATTGATTTACTTATTTTGAGATATTTTAATGATGCATAGACATTTAGATTTTTATGTTTTTCTGGCAAATTTCCCCTTTTAGTCTAAGATTAGATTTCTTCCCTAACACAGCCCATATTCAATTATCATAGTGTCCTTTGTGGTAAGCAGAATTCCACAAATGTGCCCCAAGATTTCCTGTCCCCTTGCTAGACCCACACTACATAATCCCTGGGACTATGATTTTGATGGCTTTTTCCCCATGGTTATGTTGTGGCACTGTTGACTTTAAGAAAGGGAGATGACCAGGGTGGGCATAAAAGGCTCACACGAGCCTTTACACAGAGCGTTTTTGCTGGCTAGGGGCAGAAACAGAAACCAGAGAGATTTGACGCATGAAGAAAGATTGGATGCAAGAGAGGTCTCTGTTGCTGAGATGGCAAGGATCCAGTGTGAAGACCTGATAGTAGCCCTAACAGCTGAAAACAGTCCCTGATTAACAGCTAGCAAGACAATGGAGACCTCAATCATATAGCAACAAGGAAATATTTTCAGCCAACAACCAGAAGGTGTTCAAAGCAAATCTCTCCCTCCTTAAGCCTCCAGGTAAGAATGCAGCCTGCCAACATTTTGATACCAACTTTATGAGATCCTAAGCACGGAGTCTAGCCATGTTGTGCCAGTCTTCTGACCCATGTTTACTGTGAGATAATAAATTGGTGTTTTTTAAGCCCAAGTTTGTGATAATTTCTTACAGAGCAATAGAAAACGTATGTAACCGCCTTACCCTTAAGAGTGCTTTTTGTTGGGGCAGAGCACGGTGGCTCATGCCTGTAATCCCAGTACTTTGGGAGGCCAAGGCAGGTGGATCATAAGGTCAGGAGTTAGAGACCAACCTGGCCAGCATGGTGAAACTCTGTCTCTACTAAAAATATAAAAAATTAGCCGGGCAGGTGGCACGCACCTATAGTCCCAGCTACTCGGGAGGCTGAGGCAGGAGAATTGCTTGAATCCTGCAGGCGGAGGTTGCAGTGAGCTGAGATCACGCCACTGCAATCCAGCCTGGTTGACAGAGCGAGACTCATATCTCAATTAAAAAAAAAAAAAAAAGAAAAAAAAAGAATGCTTTTTGTTTTAACATCTATTTTGTTTGTTATGATTACAGTTATAACAGTTCCCTTTTGTTCATATTTTGGATGTTTTCCATCCCTCTGTTTTTAGGTTTTCCATATTATTATTTTTTAGACATTGTCTTATAAGCAGCATATATCAAACTGCAAAAATCCAAACTGAAAATCTCTGTGTTTTCATTTAAGAATTTTGTCTAAATGCATTTAGTGCAATTACTAATGTGTTTAAATTTGGATCTACCATCTTTTTTTCTGTGCTTTTTTCTTCTATGCTTTCTTCTACTTCCTTGCTTTTAAAAAATTGGTATTTTCTTTTTTATTGAATGTTTCCCTTTTAACAGTTTGGAAGTTATACATTCTAACTCTATTTTAGTGTTTACACTTAAATTTTACTATGCATATTCAATAAAAATATGGGCAATTTTGTGAATTTAGATGTCATTCTTGTCCCTGGAACCATCAAAATGTTCCTACATTATTTAAATTTACTAAACATGTAACTAAAGTGAGAAGTTGCCCAGTGATTCTTTGCCTTCTCGCTTCACCTCCTCTGAAAAAAGGGAGGGAAGATGTCTTCCTCTTCTTCCCACCTTTGTCCTGTCCGTGCTGATATCATCTATATACAACAGCGTTCAGATTCCAGAACTCCTGCAACTTTTGACAAGTTACCTGTTTTGAGTTTTACTTTGCTGATCTATAAAGTGGGGATAGCAAAACCAAGCTTATTGGAGTTTTTGAGATAAATAAATTAGATAATATATGTATAGCAGGTAAATGCCTAACGTGCAATAAAATCATTATTTTTACTCATTAAATATATTGATTTTACTTTTTATATCATAACTTCCTTTGATTAGCAACTTCTCTCTTCTCAAGGATATGCATATCTTTATGTATGTCTGTGTTCACATTATATCCCATTTTGTTTCACTGAATTAGACTCCCATATCAGACACAGTAGTCTATTAAAGGCCTTTTCATATAGGGTTTGGAGTGTAAAGACTATCAAGTGAAAAGTAGTCCCTAGGGAGCACCATTCTGTAGGTTCTCATAATACTTTTGAATATAGAATGAGTGAGCAGCAATAATTATAACCCTAAAAAATATTATCTCCTTAACAGCCAAGAAGGACAGGGCAACTTTAGTAAGTTTATGTAAATTGAAAACTGTATAATTTTTAACCTATGTATTTGGACTTCAGTAAAAGCCAAGTGGAGAGCATTGCTCCAAATAGGCTTTCAAAAAGAGTTCATGAGATTTTAGTAGCTTTCTAAATTTGACGATGGATGCTTATACCTTTTAATTTAGTGGATTTGAAATGCTTGGCTTCAAGTAGCATGTTGTAAGAAGGTTATTTCTGGACCTTCTCCATGTGTAATGTATAAAATTAGCATCCTTCTTTGGCAATTGAACCTCTTCGTTTCAAAGCTAACCCAACTCATCAGATTGTTATAAATGAAGACTAATTAACTATTCTTCTGCTTTAAGTTTAAATCCTTTATTGGCACAGATGTCTAGAGGTCAAGTTTGTGTGGCATGAGTCAAACAAATGATCAGCAGTATTACAATTACACTGAAGCACAAATAATTGAAAAAAAACCAGAATTACCTCTTTGTGATAATATTAAAGTCAAAATGTAATTGTAAGTGTTGCTCTTCAACGATTCAACCCAAAAGTGAAAAAAAGGAAGTCTACTTAAAGCATATCTCTCGGACCTTCACATTTCTTTCTTTCCTGAAGTTGAGCAGCTGCAATGGAAACTGCCAACACGTCTGCCTTGCACATGAACAATGAAAAATATACCCATGATTGCCAAGTTAGCTAGAACCCACGATGGTAGAGAGGCCAATGTTGTTAAAAAGGATGCAGATCTTCACTAAATAACTGTATAAAAAGACATGTCCTAGATCACTACTGCCAAGGGCAGGGAGGAGAGTCCTTTAAAGACTAAAAGACACACAGAAGACCATGTTGTCCTCATTTTTCAAGGAACTGGGAACATTACAAGCAGGGAAATGTTAAATGTGGGTATATAACAAGGTTTCACTGTGTTTCTACTTTCAAAAAGTTTCAACAAAATGAGAAAATTGAATCATTCTGCAGCAAGACCTCATGAAAAACAATGTATGGGGCATTTGAGGAAGAGAATGCACACAGACACTATGCTTATTTTGCCTTTAGAAATCTATATAGTGTGGATGCCCTCTCTTCAATGCACTTTGAATTAATAATCATTTTAAATTATTCTTCCCAAGAGTTTTGTGAGGCAAAACCCTTTTACGGATAAGGAAATAAAGTTAAGGAAGATTTAAGAAATAATAATCATAATACTTCTATTATTCATCAGGTATTGATGATACACCAGTCACTGAACTAGTGAATTAGAAAACATTATCTCGCTAAATACAGACAACAATCACAGGGATAGGTCACATGATTTCAATATTAGAAGTTAGAAATGGAAACTCAGAGAACTATAATAATTTCTCCCCAAGGACAAGTTGTGAAGGAATGGCAGAGTCAGAATTTGAATCCAAGCTTGTTGGATTCCAAAGTCTTGTCCTCTTTTCTAAAATCCTCTAATGAAAAGTCTCTCCCAGTCCACTATATTGTTGAGTCAAGGAAACTCCAAGGCTGACAAGTGTCCTATAATAAACAGCCCTGCGGGTTCCACAGCAATAGTAGAGCTATCACTCAGATGTACCCACTGAGCCAAAAGGGCTACACTGATCCCAGAAACTAGTAGCTCTGTAATGAGCTACCATCATTGCCGATGGACTGGTATTAAAACAAAAACTGGGATAGCCCCAACAGATGCTTTCCTTGCGGCTGCTAGCACAGGTACCACAGCCCATGGTGTGGCCCACCATAGTGAGCTTTAGCCTCCTGCCTTGGTTGTGGTAGCTGCTGCTGATATATATTTGTACCCAGGCTGCCATGTCCTTTTCAAGATGCAAGACAGGACAATACCGAGCTTAAAACATTTGCCAGTAAATGTTTGCTAGGGATCTTTATATTCATTCACCTCGCTCTTTCTCCAGGATGCAAGCCTGCCCGCAGCACGCTGGTTAAACGTAAGCTTCAGGGACTATGCTCCTTGAACCACTCAACTCAGCACCAGCTCTTCCTACTCTCATGGTGATTCTCAGAGACTGTCTTGCCTGAATCTAGGCCTTAGAGACGTTTGTTTCTCTAAAACAACAATTTTCTGAGGACTTCAGTAGACTGCAGTGCTGGTGAATTTTTTTCTGCTACAGTTTCATCAGAGATGAAACGCAGTATCTCCTTTCTCTCTGGTCAGGGCCAGCATTATGTTCCTAAAGAATTGACTTCCCCTTGCTAAGGTAGACTATTGATGTGGGAAGTTGATAACATTGTGTTTTGTAACATTTCAGATGCAACATTTAACATGATAACATTTCAGAGCAAGTAGAGAATTTGAATCATGGTTCTACCACTGTTTGATCTTGTGAAAGTTACTAAAGCTTTGTGTGCCTCAGTTTTTTGCATCTGTCAAATGGAGGTAATAATGGTACCTACTTCATAGGATTATGTGGAGGATTAAGTGATTTAAAACATACAAAGCAATTAGAAAAGATGTTGACTAGTGACTCTAGGTCCTAGAGTCAGGCAAGAAGGTCCCCGGGGGAAATCACCATGAGATTAGGAAGAGCTGGGGTTGAGCTGAGTGGGTCAAGGAGCATAGCCCCTGAAGCTTATGTTCATTTAACCAGCCATGCTGCGGGCAGGCTTGTGTCTGGAGAAAGAGCAATGTGAATAGAGAGAAGCTCCATCAGGGTGTTTCTGCCATCCTGCCATAAAGGAGGCTGTATATTTCAAACACTAATAAGAACATTAGCCTGACTCTGGATGACTCTAGAGACTGCAAGGAAGATAGAAAATTGTAATACAAGGGGCAGAAACTGGATTGTCATGTGACTCACCACATGAGGTTGACTGCATGGTACCCATGTAGGCTGGGCCTTCAGGCACCATGGCCTTGCAGAGGCTGAGCTTGGTATGCAAGGAGCGGAATGACAACAGAGCTGGAATTTTAAATAATCCATTCAGGCTTGAGCAAAAAACTACACTGTGGCCTGAGAACCTAAATCCTCCTTTAGTACTCTGGATTGTGTAAACTGCTAAGATATTATATAAGCAAAGACAGGGGAAGACGGCCCTTGACATGGAAAATTTACCATTGATGGATCTATCATAATTTTGAGTGATAGCTAGACCTAGATTTAATTTGATTTATTTAAAACAAAACAAACAAACAAAAAAGGACTGTAACCTTTTTTGCTCTCAAATCTGTCAGTTATATAGATCTTTTCTATTCTTTAGCTGCTTTGTAGGTATTAGGGATGACTGCAATGTTTGGACAATTTTGCCAAGCACTTAGGGGCTCTGCCATGAATTGTGGGAAGCAGGAAATGTACAAGCAGCATAGGAGTGCGCCACTGAGGAGAGAGTGACTATTTTACAGCAAAGTTTTCCTTTCTAGTGATATAAAAGGCAGTGGGACATTCACTGCTAATCTCCTCGTGATGACATAAGGAAGAATCCTTATAAAGGTTTAGGACTCTTAGGGAGAGATGTACTTCCGTTTTGAAAGGATATTTCTATCACTGTAGAGCACTGAATTTGGCTTCTGTCACACACATCTAATATGATGGGTGCTACACGTGAAACTCAGCACCTGTGACAACCTACTGAGGGACTGCTCAGAGACTACTGCTTCTAGGAATTCGCTGAAAGCCTTGCAAAAAGTGGGGAATCTCCATTTTCAGGGTTAATGGACTTAGGTATAATTGTTTCAATTATCTGAAATAACATGTTTGATTTTCCTCAGAATATCACAGTGATTAAAGGGCAGGCTCTGGTTCTGAAGTAGTTGGTTCAAATCCTAGCCCTGCCACTTCCTGGTGGTGAGACCTTGAGCAAGTTGTTTAGCTTCTCTATACCTCAGTTTCCCCCTTACTAAAAAGCAATAATAATAACCACTTAATTTCTATGAGTTTAAATATATGATACACTTGTAATCAATGAATTCAATACACCTGTAATCAAACTGGTATGTATTAAGGATTCAAGAAATGTTGGCTATCAGTCTTTTACTAATACTATCATATTTATACCCTGGAGAATGCACGATGCAGTCATTTGTGGTCATGCAGGTATGCATACTTGGGGTCCAGCCCACTGGATTCTTTGGTTTCTGCATTGGATAAGCACTGGGGAGTCCCAGCTGGAGTTGAAGCTCTGCTCACAACTAGAAATTGTAAAAGGCTAGACATTCTAGGGGACTGGTGGTGTGTACTGCCAGGGTTTATTGTATCAGAAGATAGACGATCTTCCTGGAAGACCGGTAAGGAACCAGCTGAGACACAAGCTCACCCTGGGGAAAGAGCCATCAGGTACACAGCAGAGTTGATTGGCAGTGGCCAAGCCACTGAAAAGAAGGGTAAGGGTGACTTCAAATACATCAGAGGAGACTATTTTATTCTTCCTATATTCCCTTGTTATTGAATATTTAAAAATTAGGGGCTATTAGAAAACCCACAAGCACTATTTTCATGAAAACCTGCACTAGATTGTCATGAGAAATCCTTAAGAAAATCCTTAATGTAATGGTTTCTCTTCCTCTAGGAATACAGGATTGTCACCAAGTTTGCTAAGCAAAGGAGGCTTGGGAAACACCAGTCGGATTCCCACCAGCTGTCCATTGGGGAATCTGAATGTTTTTACTGTGGGAAGGAAACTTCCATTCCTTTCTTTTGGTAATGAAGGGAGTCTGAAAGATTGGTGAGGACTAAAAGAAATAGAGGTGGATTGTGCTCATTCTGGCTGGTCGAAGTAAACTGAACAACCTTGTTCTCTAAAGCTTGCAAGCCTGATGATATTTCAGGATGGGCCTGGCTGACTTGCATTCAAATTTCAAAATGCTTCTCTTTGGTTGAATTTTTTCCTTTTTCCATTTCCATATGTTATTACATGGACATCTTTGCCTCTGGCCCAAGTAAACTATGATACCAGAGTCCTCTGAATACAACTATACATACTGTTTAGATTTTGGACTGTATTTCCAATAGGTTCTTACCTCCAAAGGTACAGCTAACAGTAAGTACACTCTTCTCCCCCACTCAAACTTCTACTCTGCTCCAGCCTCCCCTCTGTGCTTTCCCTTCAAAAGAGGTGAGGTTTTGTTCACAAAGACCTGTTTTAAAATAGAGACATTCATCTTAAGGATAATACACTCCACCTCTCCAAAAAGAATGAGGCAAACAAACAGTTACTGTTGGAATGAGAATAGGAAACCGATGCTAAATACCATATCTGCTCCAGGCATGGGATCTGGCTTCCATTGAACTCTGGCCTGTTTTTTGCATTGTGACTGGCCAGGGGGCCCAGAAACCAAAGGTGGCCTGGTCAGGATGCAGCCATGAATAGAGTGGGCATAGATCATTTACAGAAGATTAGTTCACAATACCTCTGGAAATAAAGAAGTCTAATAGGATCTGGGGTCAGAAAGCCTTCACCTTGTTTACCCTCTGGAGCTTCGAGTTTTGTCTCAGGCATATTCCCTGATTGTTCACTTTCCAAAATCCAGTAAAACCTCTTGTTCCAATGACTTACTGATGAATTTCTCTACAGGCCACCTCCCTGGGAGCTATTGAGAACTTCCACATATCAAAGCTGTTGAATTATACATCCTTTACACAGACTGCTTCAATGCATTGTTAAATGTCTTGACAGTGGCCCTATTTATCTGATACTGCTAATCTGACTTGATCTAGCCCAACCCCCCAACCCCCCAAAAATGTCTGCTAGGCGCCACAAAATGCAAAGGAACTCTCTTCTCTCTAACTACAAAGCTTGCTGCTTAATTGTACAAATATTTGTGGTTTTGGCAAAGGTGAATGCTAATTTGTTGTTTTAGTATAAAGCTGGAAAGGTTAGGAGAGTGCTAAGAAAATAGGATCTACATACATGTGATGTGCTAAATTCTTGGGAGAAGCTGAGGCTCTGCAAATAGGACTCTACAAGTAAATGCTTGCAAAAAATCTGAAAGGAAACATTTTTGGTAGTTATGGGATACACAGAAGAGATAACAGGAAAAAAAAAGGCAAGAACTGGCCCTAGGGGTAAAAAGGAATTTTTTTTCTCTCTATAGATGTGTGTCTTGCCTTCATTTGGTTGCTTACTGCATTTGATTTTTACTTTAGAAATTGGTTTAGGGATTATAAGGGAGGGAATAATTTAATGAGTCATAATGCTTCAGCCTGGAAATTAGAATATTCAACAATGAGAGATAATCAAATAATTAAAATTACAAATATGCCTTTCTTTATGCATCTCTAAAATAGGTGTAGTGTCCTGTTAGGAAGATGAATTAGCTAATGATTAGGAATCACTTGGAGACCCTCAGGTGAAAGTTTTATTGCTTTGCTGGATTTATTTGTCTGAGTTAAATGTTCTGTGGTCTAAGGCAGTGCTTCTCAAACTTCAATGTGCATACGAAACTAGGGGGGGCTCTTGTTAAAATGTGGGTTCTGATTCAGTAAGTTTGGGGTGTTGCTCAAGAGTTTGCATTTCTGGTCAGCTCCCAGTGTCAATCTGCCGGACCACACTTCGAACAAGGATCTAAAATCCCTGTTTCTGAAAGCTGGCTATAAATTGGAATCAGCTGTTGATCTTTGTAAAAACTTTCGAAAGATTCCGATTTAATTAGCCTGGGGCCTCTGCCGGGCATTGGGATTTTTTAAGTTCCTCCTTCTCTTGAATCTCATGTGCATCCAAGTGTAAGAACCACACTGGTCCAAGGAGCCAGTATCCTGGCCCAGTCTAACAGGTCGTGGTGAGAACTAAATGAGATAATGCAGCAAAGTACTTGGCCCAGCCCCTGTCACACAATGGTCCCTCAATAAACCTTAATTGTTAGAGGCAGCCTTGGCTGTGACAAGAGATACCACCCAAGGTGCAGACAACACTAACTCACAGAATATCAGGCAGATGTCAAGGATATTGGCAGACATCAAGGTCAGCAATAGGGCAGGGGAAACTTTGGCACATAGTAGCTGCACAGCAGGTATCTCTGTGTAAGCAGAACAAGAGAGGAGATGGGACAGCTGTGAAGCTGCATGTCATGGCCTCTGTGTGAACTTGAGAAGGACCCTTAAAAGGGTGGTTCACACTATGGAAAACAATATGTCAGATCCTCAAAAAATTAAAAATAGAATCACCATATGATCCAGCAATTCCACTTCTGGGGATATACCCAAAATAACTGAAAACAGGGTCTTGAGCAAGTATTTGTACACTCATGCTGATAGCAGCATTATTCACAATAGCCAAGAGGTGGAAGCAACCCAAGTGTCCATTGGCAGATAAATGGATAAACAAAATGTGATATATATGCACAATGGCATAGTATTCAGCCTTTAATAGGAAGGCAATTCTGACACACGCTGCAACATGGATGAATCTTGAGGACATTATGCTAAGTAAAATAAACCAGTCACAAAAGGACCAATAGTGTATAATGCAACTTATATGAGCTACCTGTATTAGTCAAATTCATAGAGACAGAAAGTAGAATGGTGGTTGCCAGGGGATGGAGGGAGAAGGGAATGAGAAGGTTGTGTTTCGTGGGTACAGAGTTTCAGTTTTACAAGACAAAAAAAAGTTTCGGAGGTTGGTTGCACAACCATGTCAATGTACTTAACGCCACTTAACTGTACACTTCAAAACAATTAAGAAGGAAAACTCTATGTTATGCATATTTTACTATAATTTTAAAATAATATATATTTAAAAATAACTAGAAAAGTGAATTTGGAATATTCCCAATGCAAAGAAATGATAAATGTTTGAGGTGATGGAAATCCCAGTTACTCTGATTTGATCATTACATATTGTAGGCTTGTATCAAAATATCACACGTACCTCCCAAAATATGTACAATTATTATGTATCCATAAAACTAAAAAGAAAAGTTTTTTAAAAAGATGTAACTCAAATGTCCTCAGAATGAGTGAACAAGGAATCAGAAAAATGTAGGCTTTTGTATAACTTGCCTTTTCCTGTAGACCTCTGGAATATGGAAATTTCTAGGTCCATAAGTAGAATGCATTTGAGAGTATCCAGTAGAACAGCTGGGCTATTAAAATGATAACTTTATCAACAGAGTAACAGTTAAGAACTTACTGTGTGGCAGACACCATGCTAATCACTTCGTATTGATTATTTCCATTTACCCTCATTTTAACTCTGTGCAGTAGGTTCAAGTATTATCCCATTTTCAGATGAGGAAAAAGGCTAAGGGAGCTCAAGGTATCTAAGGAAGCAAAAGCTGAGCTTCTAACTGAACCTAAAATTATGCTCTTAACTACCACATCATCCTATGCATATAATATATTGCTAGTGAACATTTCTTTATTTTTCAATCCTAAAGACTCATATTACATATTGGTTAGAATATGAGACCTACTTAGCATTTGCCACAGGAAAAGATTGCTGGCTAAATTACTCAGCTATTTAGAAAGATTGAATACTTTTTCACAAAAGAGAAGAAAGCATTTAGATTGCAACAAGAATGTATGTAGAAGCACTCTGACTTCATAAAAGTCTATTTTGATGTAGTATGTTACTAGAGATCTTTTCAGTTAAAAAAAAATCTAGGCAATGGTATTTTGAGGTAGACTAAGTGACCTCTTGAGCTTTGACTTTTTATATAGATTTACACCACCTAAAAGCTAAAAGTAAACTAGAAGTTAATTATTTTAAAAAAATGCTTCATTTAAAGACAAAAGCCTTATGGAATATCTTATGAAATGATATGGGGAAAAATAAATATATATATAACTACACACACACAAATAAGAGAACCACTGTAATTTTGAACAAAGCATAAGGAAAGATAAGTCTCTGTCTTTGAGAACAGTTTGAGGAGATGCAGCATGCATTCGTGGCATTAGTCAAAGGCGGGGCTTCATATGGTGATCTGTTACCTCTGTATTTACTTCTTACTACGTGCTAGACACTGTTACTAGGTACTTTGCATATCGTATTTCATCTGACCCTCACAACCACTCCACAAGCCAAATATTATGATCCCCAGTGTACAGATGAGAAAACTGAGGCCCAGAGAGTTTGAGTGACTTGCCCAAAGTCACACATCTAATCAATAGATGAGCCAGGACTGAGATCCAGGTCTTTCAACTCCTAAATCTGTGTGCCTCCAGGAATGCTGTGCAAGGGAAGACTTGGGACACATATCACAGAGGGGTAAGGGAACGTTTTAGCAGGGAGAGTGAGTGGGAGCTTACAAAGAGTGATGTCAAGGACTTTGGGATAATGTTCCTGTGTACTCCCCTCACCTCCATTATATGTCCCTTTCCATTTGTGTCACATTCTCTATTGTTAGTAATTGTTGGGCTATTGCATTATGTCTCAGGTTACCCCATTTTAAAATGAGATACTCATGACAGGGATCAAATGTGTGGATTTGTTTATTTCATAATATGAATTAGTTTATCAAGTCAAGTTCCTAAACGATCTGAAAATGGAGAAAATGGAAATGTAGATTGACTGGTCAAGGGAAGGGATCAGTTTGAAGCCCACTTGGGGGAAGCCTCAGTGGAAACCCAGATTGATGGGGCATTGGGTGTCTATGAAAATGGGCAGACTGAGGAGCACAGAGGCACCAAGGACAACCCTCCTTCTAATTCACCATTTACAAAAACAGTCTTGAGATGCTGCTTGAAGAAAATATTCAAAAATAAGTGAGGGTCTTCCTCACATAAACTAAGATTGAGGCAAGAATGAGTGGACAGGAAAGGGGGTAATCTCACTGGAGAAGGGGATCTATGTTGGGGAAACATGAGATGAGAACCTACTGGGTGAGATTGGACAGTAAAAGAAGAGGTGCTAGTGAGCCACTGCATGTTTTAGACGGGAAAAAATGATGGGTCGGTACATAATCTGAAGGATAATAAAAGGGAGAAGCAAGACAAAAGGTTGCTGACATAAACTCAGCTGCCGATGACATGGAGCAAAGAAGAGAACCCGGGGAATATGTCAAGGCAAATAGGCAAGATTTGGGGATGAATTTTAGCCTCAAGGACTTAAGAAAGGTCTTTAAACAAGTGGGCAAGCTAAAAGTTTGGGAGAGAGGATAATAAGTTCAATTCGAAATTGTGGTAAACATAAATGTGTACTGGTAATAATTCAACACAGACTCTGATTTTAAAATAAACCATCATTTAAAACTTTTTTTAAAACACTGTAGAATTATTGAATTATAATAATAACAGCTAATATGCATAGAGAACTCTATGAATCCACAGACACTGTTGCATATTACTTCAATGGATTATTGGAGTTGGAATTCGAATCTATGACTTCCGGCTCCTCTTAGAATCTGTGTTGACTCCCCTATCCTGCTTGCTAAGCCCCTCTTCTCAATGATAGGAGGGTGTAAACATGGCCAAATTAATCTGAAAGAAGAATTTCAGCCATGGGTGAGGAGAAGGAAGTATTTGTCTACAAAAATGTCAACAGCACTTATCCAGACCTCTTTAAATAACTATATAGGTTGGCAACTATTTTTCCAGCAAGTTGAATTTTCTCGGAATTGTAACCATTATATGAAAGAGTAGGCATCTTTGTTATCTGATCTGCCCTTTACTATTTCAGTACTCTGTCTTGAAAATGATACAGAATACTGGTCAATCCCTGAAGTGAATAATGAACTTCCCTGAGCACAAAAGGTCTTGGTTAATGTGGCTAGCAAATAACAAAGATAGTATTAGAGTGATAGATCAAATGACCCTGCCCAGGTCAAGCACATGGGGATGCTATTAGTTGTGTTTATTTTATTTATATTTATTTATATATTTATATATTTATTTATTTGAGACAGAGTCTCGCTCTGTCGCCCAGGCTGGAGGGCAGTGGCACGATCTTGGCTCACTGCAACCTCTGCCTCCCAGGTTCAAGCAATTCTCCTGCCATAGCCTTCTGAGTAGCTGGGACTACAGGCACCTGCCACCACGCCTGGCTTATTTATTTATTTATTTATTTATTTATTTATTTATTTATTTATATTTTTAGTAGAGACAGGGTTTCACCATGTTGGCCAGGCCAGTCTCAAACTCCTGACCTCAAGTGATCCACCTGCCTTGGCCTCCCACAGTGCTGGGATTAAGGCGTGAGCCACCGCACCAGTCCATTAGTCGTTTGTTTTTAAACGGCTTTATTGAAGTGTAATTTGCATACCATAAAATTCACCAGTTGTAAGTATACAATCCACTCATTTTTAGTAAATTTATAGAGTAAAACCACACTCTAATTTTAGAGCATTTCCATTCCCCCAAAAAGCTCCCTCATGCCTGTTTCCAATTAATCACTGCTCTCACCCCCAACCCTAAGCAACCTCTGATCTGCCTTCTGTCTGTATCAATTTGCCTCTTCTGGACACTTCATATAAATGGAATCATGCAATATGTAATCTTTTACATCTGAATTCTTTCACTTAGCACTTTTATTGAGGTCTATTCATGTTGTGGCAAGTATCAGTACTTTATTTCTTTTTCTTGTTAAGTAACATTCCACTGTATTGATACACAATATTTTGTTGTCTACTCGCCAGTTGAACTTTTAGGTTGTTTCCAGTTTGGGGTCATTATAAATAACGCTACTGTGAACATTTGTATACATGTCTTTGTGTGGACATTACATTTTCTCTTGCACAGATTCCTAGAACCGGAATTGCTGAGTGGTACAGAAGGTTTAATTTAAAAAAAAAAAAAAAAAAAAAAGCTATCTGCTTCCAGAATAGCTGTACCATTTAACATTCCCACCAGCAGTGCATGAAGTTTCTAGTTTCTCCATACACATCCTCCCCAACATTTGGTAATGTCTGTTGGTCTTTTTAATTAAGGCCATTCTATAGGTGTACAGAAGTATATCATTGATTTTAATTTGCATTTCTCAAATGACTAATGATATTGAGCATTTTAATATGCTTATTAGCCATTTATATTTCTTTTTTGGTAAAATGTCTATCAAATATTTTGTCATTTTACAATTGGGTTGTTTGTTTTGTTACAACTTGTAGCACTTTGTTATATGTATTCTGCATAAAGTCCTTTGTCAGATATATGATTTGCAAATATTTTCTCCCAGTGTGTGGCTTATCTAATCATTGTCTTAGTGGCATCTTTTGAAGCACAAAAGTTTTCAAGTTTGATAAAGTTCAATTTATCTGTTTTTTTTTTTTTTTCCTTTAAGGATCATGCTTTTGATATAGTAGCTAGGAACTCTTTGCCCCACCCAAGATCACAAAATTTTTCTCCTATATTTTCTTCTAGAAGTTTTATTGTTTTCACTCTCATAGGTCTACAATTCCGCCTTATAATGACTACATAAGGAATATAGAAGCAAGGCTGTGTTCATTGGGGTCACACAGAATATAATATCTTTTTTTTTTTTTTAATTTTCACTGTATTCTGGAGGTCAAGCAGAAAAAGAATCCCTGAAATTTGAATCCTAGAGGACAAAGATGCTTTTGGTGGGGAAAATGTTTTTTGTGAGACTTTGATGTAAGTGTGGAGGAGGAAAGGACAGGGCTGGGATATGCTGCAAGCATGTCCTTTTCCAGGTCAGCCAATCAGAATGTGCTAGATGCAATAGCAAGTAGAACTGGCCATCTGGTTTCAGCCTAAAAATGAAAAGGAACTATTTAAATCTGCTGTCTATATGCTCTAGGCATTACTTAGTACATCTGCATATACAATAAATAAAAATCAATTATAAATTCCATTTCTTCTTACATGTCTATGTTCATTTGATTATAGAAGTGGTTTGGGCACAGGTAGAGGGAAATGGGAGGACAAGTGATTAACCAGGAGGGACTTGATGTAAGAGGCAAAATCATTTTGAGTTACCAGGAAAATTGAAGATTTTATATTAGACCTACCAGAGGATAGATAATTTCAAGAACGTAAGGATCTTCCTAAATATTCTCCTTCCCCCTCCATCAACTACTTTAAAGTATGCAGTAGCCACTAGACCCCTAGCCTCTCTCAAATGAAAGTTTTCACGTTCTTCTCAATTGTAACAGTAACATTCATAAGCAACCATCACAGGGCTAATAAATAACACCTTAACAAAACATAAGCAAATCGTGATGATGATGAGAATGACAAAGGAAAGGAAATGTGCTCAGAGGATGGCTCTGTGCAAATGCCAGATGGAGCAGGAAGGGAAGGATTTGGCCAAAAGGGAATGCAGTAGATGTCTCAGTTCTTTCCAGGGAGCAGAGCCGTCAGTGCAGGACTAAGAACTGATATCATGAATTAATGTTTTAAAATTAATGTTAATTACAAAATAATACATTAACATCTAATCCTTCCAAAAAAAGAAAAAAACCTGATGGCAAATAAAAGTAAAAACGCTCTTTGTACCACCCCTATGATCTCCAGAGCCACTCCCTTTCCCTTTTCAGAGATAACCCTGAGTAAGTGGTTTGTTGTGGCACCTTCTAGAACTTTTCACCGGATTTACATGCATACATGAGTCCCCATAAAGTATGTAAGTGTTTAGGGTTTTTTTTTTTTTTTTTACATAGATGGTGTTAAACTATATGACTCACTGTGCAACTTGCTTTTTTCATTTATCAATACTTCTTAGAGATCTCTTCACACCAACACAGGGAGACCACCTCATTCTAGTTGTCTAGATGTGGTAGGTTGAAATAGTTAAGAGTTTTTCCTATGCAGCTGGACTACAGGGGTTCACGTCTCTGTCCCAGCTGAGTGACCTTGAGCAAGATACTTAACCTATCTGTGCCTTAGTTTCTGCATCTCTAAAATGGGAGTTAGGATGGTACCTACATCAGAGAGTTCTTATGCATATGAAAAGCACTTATAACAGGATCTGTGACATTATAAGTAACCAAGAAATGTTATTGATGCACATTTAGATTATCAACAATTTTTTGCTATTGCTAATAATGAATAGTTCAATAAATTTCCCTAAACATGCGTCTTTATGCATCCATGTAAGTGTTTCTGTAGAGTAGATACCAGGAAACAGAATTCCACAGATGTAGGAATTAGATATCTCAGATATAGCAGTAATGCAAAATTGACCTCCAATTTCTATTCCTGTCCATGAATGAGAGTACCCATTTCTCCCCACTCATGCCATCAATTAATGTCTTAAATGTTTATTCCTCTAGAAAGCAAGAAATGATCATGCTTTAATGTTTTAATTTGAATTTCTCTAGTTATAATGGGAACAAAAATATTTTCATATGCTTATTAGTCATTAAGGTTTCCTCCTAGGTGAATTCCCTTTTCATAACCTTTGGCTATTTTTATATTGAGTCATTTGATTTGCAGAATTTCTTTATATGTTCTGCATGCTAATACTTGGTTTGTTACATATGCTGAAAATATTTTCCCCCAGTCTAGGTATTAATTTATTAAAGTACTCCAAGAAAAACTTAGCCCATCCTCAAGTAGTCCTGTAATCAGTGGGCTCCCAGGGGAACTAAACCACACAGAGACCACCACAGCCACACTCAGACCACAGCTCTAACAGATTGAAAAATGACACAGATGAGCTGAGGGCTGTGGACACAGCTTAGAAAACAACTTCTGCGCCAGACACCCTTTAGCTTTCCTGGTCTAGACATAAGTGGTTCTGAGGGCCTGTGTATTTTGTTAATTTGATTATTCCTATGCCCTGAACCCCTGAAATACGGTTCCAGGCGAGGAAGTGGTGACCAGCAAGCCCCTGGGAAGAAGTACAATAGATATGAACAAAAAGAATAAGAATAAACAATCATGAAATTCCTCCAGGACCTTGCTACTCAAAATAGCAGCAGTAGCATCACTGGGAACTGGCTAGAAATGCAGAATCTCAGCACCCACCCTAGATTGACTGAATCAAAGTATGCATTTTAGCAAGATCCTCAGGTGATTCGTGTATACATTACAGTGTGTGAAGTACTGCCCCAGGCCTGTTTAAACAACAGAACTAGCTTCTTAGTGGACCTAGAGTTTCTCTCACCATCTGTTACGAGTTGAATTGTGTCTCCTTCTCTCAAATTCATATGTTGAAGTCCTGACCCTCAATACCTCAGAGTGTAACCTTATTTGGAAATAAGGTCATTGAGGATGTTATTCATTAAAATGAGGTCATACTGGAGTAGAATGGGCCCCTTAATCCAATATGACTAGAATTCTTAGAAAAGGGAGAAATTTGGACATGGGCACTCATACAGGGAGAACATGTGAAGATGAAGACAGAGATGTAGTGATGAGGTAGAAGCCGAGGATGCCAAAGATTGTCAACAAACTACCAGAAGCTAGAAGAGAGGCAGGGAATAGGTTCTTCTTCACAACCGACAGCCCGCACCTTAATCTCAGACTTCTGCCTCCAGTAATGTGAGACAATAAAATTCTGTTGTTTAAGCCACCTCATGTGGTACTTGTTACTGCAGCCCTAGCAAAAGAACACATCATCCCTTAGGTTTCCCATGGTGGAGGGACGGGCCATGCAATGCCCTAGAAAAGACCCCTGGGTTTATCCTCTGGATGATAAAACAATCTAAGGGCACAGATGAATAGGGCACAGATGCCACCTCCCTCTCAGGCAGTCACGGTGCTCCAGCAGTGCCTGCTGCTGCATGCTCTGCACTTTTTGCAGGGTCAAGTGACACCTCCCAAGGCTTTTGGCAGTTGGCTCTCTGATGCTGCTCACACTGTGGAGCACTGGGGCTTTTTTTTTTTTTTTTTGCCTTTAAACAGGAGTGGGAAGCAGTTAGATAAGGAGAGGAAAGGCTGGCTGATGAACAAACTCCATTATCCTTGCTTTTGTGTTTCTACTCAAGTGTTTTAACTAATGGGCTGTTTAGAGAGAGTTTGCCCTGGTGAAATTAAAAGCAAAAAATGGATTTGAAAGAGTATCCATTTCTTTCTTTATCACTCATTAGTGACTCAGAGCAGTTAAGTCCACAGTTTCCGATTTACTCACAGCCTGTTGAGGCAGAGTCTGTGGCCTTTATTGAATCACAGAGTAGACAAATCATCATCTTCCGGATTAAGGTTAGTTTCCTCCTACTTGGGCTTTTCTGAAATGTGCAGTACCTGCAAACAAGGTACTTTAGCCACTGACTGCCCGCTGTACATTACCTAGGTTTATCTCTGTGCATTAGAATATAGCATTTTTTTGTCCTAAATAGTTCTTTTAGAATGATGCTCAATTCTTCCAGAAAAGGGTTTTTTTTTCCTAATAACAATAGCAAATGTTTATTGTGTAGTTAAATGTGTTAAGCACAGAGCTCATACCTCACACATGGATTGTCGCACTTAATCTTCATTGCATCCATCCCAGGTAGGTGATGTGATTATCTCCATTGCACAGCAGAGAACACTGAGGCACAGAAAAGTTAACTCAGCTGCCCACACACAGCTAATAAGATGTGAGGCATTATCTTCCTGGTCACCTCCAATCTCCAATGGAATGTACGTAACAATAGCGCTGCAAGGAAGGCTCACTTATGACACATTTTACTCCTAAAGGGTCTTTTGTTCCTGGTACCACATAGCCATGAGTGGGAAGGGTGTAAACAATGGAAGGCCAAAGGAATGGGATGGTGAGATTTTGTTCTGGAGATAGCCAGATGCAAAGGCTGAATCCAGCTGAAAAGATCAAATCAGTTCAATAGATTAGGCTCACCAAGCCTAAAGTGCCCCATAAAGGGAAGCAAAAGTGTCTAGGGCATGGTTCTCAAACTTGAGCATGCATCAGAATCCCTTGGAGGGCCTATATTGAACTCTGGTGCCGGACTCCACTCCAGACTTCCTGATTCAGTAGGTCTTGGGTGGGACCTGAGAAGTTATCTTTCTTATAAATTCCCAGGTAATGCCAATGCTGTTTCTGTGGACCACGCTGAAAATTACTGGGCTAGGGGCTAAGAGCAGAGTCTCTTAAAGAGAAGGGAGAACATCAAAAAGAGCTAAATTTAAGTCCCAGTACCACCACTGACCAGCCGTGTGACGCTGGGCAAGTTTTAATCTTCTCTGTACTTCTGTTTTCTTTAGTAAAAAAAATGGGGCTTAAAATTGTACCTTATTTCTCACATTAATTATAAGACATGAACAAGATACTGCATACTAAAATAATTAGCACAAGACCTGGTACTTATTAAGCATTCAACAAATGCTAACCACTGCCACCACCACCACCGCCATCATCATCATACTTTTTGTTGTTACATACAGTTTATTCTTACACCTCTCCTCTCATCTCTAACATGCCAGACCTCTTTGTGTTTCTGTGCAAACAATGGATCTTCATAATAGGTCTTATGTCATAGGTCATAATAGGTCAATAGGTCTGTTGTGAGGATTAAATGAGTTACTCTTTATAAAGAATTTAGCACTGTGCCTTATACATAGAGCTCATTATAATTCCTCCTCCTGCTATCAAATGCATTCTACTAATTGTTTTATATAAATTATGTTATTTAATCCTCAAAGTAACCTTGAGAGGTAGAAAATGTTATGATCGTTTGATAAATGACAAAACTAAAGAATCAGAGGTTAAGTAACTTGCTCAGACTATGCAGTGGTTAATTTAAACACAGATCTGTTTGACCCAATAAATACTGCCCCTTTATTATTTAATAAGAGGCAGTATCTTGCTCGAACTTATAACTCATTTCAGAATGAATTGGGACCTACTGGATCGGGGACTGGGAGTTTTAACAGAAAGCAAGTTTTGATATAGAAATGTAGGTTTGGAAAAATAGTTTCACTTATTGGCCCACAAAATAGATCAAGACTTGTTGCCGTCATAACCCCCTTTGCTTTTGAGACAATCAAGGTGACTTCCACCTTGTAAAAATTTGCTGAGAAAGAAAGCAGAACAGCTACCAGCTAGGCTCATGCATATTTTCCATGTCACCAGCTGAAAAGCATTAATCTTATTCCTGATTCTACACCTTGTTCCCTTGCTGGGTCACCGTCTATCCACACAGCCAGACTTGGGAATGTTGAAATCATAGTTATAATAATTTGAAACTGGCCAATGCAATGTCACAATGTTAGACTCAGATTTCCCTGAAGTCAAGAGGTATTTAAAGAAAATCTAGGCACTAGCTTTGAATCTACCTAGTTAGTTACAAGATGAAAATGATTTTTCTTTCTGTAATTATGCAGGTAGTCCCCAAAGACATTTATTATGTTAAACTGGCACCAAGTGTCAAGGAGTGTTCATAGGTAGCTTTCAAGGTTATAGAGGAGGACCAGATATTTACAGAGGCGGGAGCCACAGGCTTGACCTAGGAGAGGAATGCCATCCAACTGATGCATGTGGTTAATGTCTCTAGGAATGAGAAGCCTCTAGCAGTGGAAGATCAAATTTCAATTTACCTGGAGGCAAAAAATAATCATAAACAGGTGCTCTTGAATGTTCAACCATGCTGTCTGAGTTCTTAACCAAATACCTCCTCATCTACCTCAGGCTTCAGTGAGGAGAAGGCAATTTTAATTTGCTTCCCTTTTACCTCTGGCTCCCTTAAAAAATGTAAAATAAAATCTTTTAGGATAACAGAACATGTGTACAGAATGTGGTTGTAGCCAGAAGTTATCCCACAGCCCTGGCCTGTGACCAGTTTGCCTGCGAGGATTTATTTTAAGCTATTCTTATCTGAATTCGTCTGGCTGCGCCAGCATGGGAGCTAATTCTCTGACAATAAGCCTGCTGGGGTGTGTTTGGGTCTCTGTTTGTTTGTTTTGATGTGCACAAAGACTGCAAAATGGATAGCGGCATCACACTCCTCTCTAAATGAGAGGCGCAGGCTGGCACAACAGGGGAGGCTTGACGATATTTGGGAATCTGGGTAGCGAACAAACAAGCACTTCAGGGAAATGCAGGTAGGCACATTCTCTCCCTGCAGGGAAACCCAGAAGCACAGGATCTCTTGAGATGAATAGGACTACCAGGATTAGAAAATTCCAGCCTGTCAAGATCACGGGGAGACATCCAAAGTCTCTGCACGGGCAATGAAGTGAGCAGAAATGCCGAGCTCTGAGCTGCAGTTGCTTGAAGGAGCCCCTGACTCAGCATTTTATGCCACTTACACCCCCAACTGAGGGGTACTCTTGCTCACAGTCTTCTGCTATCATGCAGTCTTCACCGGCAATAACAGACTATTAAAGCCTCTGGCTTCAGTTCTTTAACCTCCTCAGTTCCAAACCCTCCAGTCTTTTCCTCTCTTCACCTCAGCCACACACCTCACACATCACCTCTCAAAACTGTTCCACTGCCAGAATGTCACTCACTGGAATTTTCCCCAGCTCCTACTACCTTGTGTCCACTGAGCACACGCCTTTTATCTTTTACCAGTGGGCACTACCTCTTTTCCATTCCATCACCATCGTTCTGATAAAACCTCTCTCAATACAGCCTAGACCTTCTTGCTTCCTTGATGTTGCCAGAACTCCATTCTTGGGAATACTGTGGTCTGTCAAATACCAGGAGGTCAAGATGTTGATGTTGGGGTGATGGGGTCTACCGCACAGTCATGCTGTTTGACCTCAGGTGGCCCTTTAGCCTATGCCAACATATTTGTGTTGCTCTCTAATTGACTGTCAAATTCTCCCATGGTTCTTGTTCCAAATGTTTCATTTCTCCCTAATACTGCCACCTTAGCCCTGGACCTTCATTTGAGAGAAATATCCTGATGGTTAAGTTCACCCCGCAGACTGAGGGCATGCAATAGCTAAGCATCCTCACTTTCTTTTCTCTTCACCTCAAGATCCCTCTACCCTTAGCTTCTCTACCCTCAGAGGGAGAGATACTTCTCCTTTCTGCCAAGTCGTTCAACCTTATCCTATAGTTGGATCTTATTCCCTATAACTTCAACAATTATTTAATCTCATCTTCCATCCTTCTTTCTGTTTCGTCAAACTCTTCTTGCCAATAAACATGCTCAGATCTTCTCTATATTTAAAAGTAAAACCTTTCCTTGACCCTGCAACCATCTTAAATTACTAATTGATCCCTGTCCTTCTTTAACAACCACATTTAGTAAAGAGGTATTTCAAGACATGCACACACCCTAACTTTATTATTTTGTTTTTTGGCATCTGAATTCTGTTTCTCACTCAACAAAAACTGTTTGTTCCAAGATTACCAATGAAAATGCCAAACCCAATGTCTGCTGCTCCCTTGGTTTCTGTAACTTTCCACCATCCTGGTTCTTTTGTCTTTGTAGCTGGTTTTTCATCTATCTTCTAAACTTTTAATATTGTTTTACCCTCTCAGTGCTTCTCCCATCTCTACGCTCGCTGTCAGCAATCTCACCTGCTTTCCTGGCTCCAGATGCTATCACCAAGCAGAGAACTCCTCAGATGAGCTCTAGCCTCTCTTTCAAATTCTACCCTATAAATCCAACTGTTAGCTGGTTCTCTGAGGAATAATACTAGTAATGATAATATCCACAACGTATTCTATGCATATACTATGCATATTCTATGCATTCTATGCATATACTATGCATATTCTATGCATTCTATGCATATACTATGTTCCAGACACAGTACTAAGTTAAATTATCTTGTTTAGTTTCTTCCACAACTCTACAAGTAGATATTATTGTGCACTCTTTACAGAGAAAAACATCAGGGCTCAGGGGGATTAATTAACTTGCTCAAGATTAGATATTCTATGGCAAAGGACTAGTACATGAATCTGACCCTGGAAAGAGCATTAGGCTAAGGGTTAGAGGATGTGAAATTAGAGTCCTGGCTTTGACACTAACTGGGTTTGAGTTTTGAATGGACCATTTAGCCTTACTGGGCCATGGCTCTCTTATCTAAATGATGACAGTAAAAAATCCTACTAGTGTTACTCAACTCTAAACGTGCAACTTCTTATAGTTCTACTATTGCAACGTATTTCTATGACATCTGAACTCCAACAAGATTAAAATCAGTTACTTGTTCATACAAGTCCAAATCTACTGTACTCCCTTTGGGCATAATCATTTCAGAATGTCTGGCAAGTGCCCCTACAAGAGTTTCTTTCCTTGATGGGTGTAGGATGCGCTGTCCCAAGACCATTATTACAATAGAAATAGCAGCTGTTTGTACAGGATGATCACTGTACCAACCAACTGCAAATAGTGAGTTTGGAACACATTAAAAAAGGTCTGCAGTGAGCTGAGATCGCACCACTGCACTCCAGCCTGGGCGACAGAGTTAGACTGTTTCAAAAAAAAAAAGAAAACAGTCTTTGAACTTGGTAATAGGGCCTTATAAAAAGTCATTTTAAAAATCTATTGGTTTCAAAAAATGTTACTTTCAAGTTGGTCTGTGAAATATCCTGGATGACAAAATGAAAAAATACATGAAATCATCCTGAACAAATCACTATGTAACCAATTAGGACCTCCTAAATCAAATGTCTGTGATTTTTTTAAACTTCTACTTTTTTTCTTTACAAAAGTAATAGAAACAACATAAAAAGTATATAAACTATGATAAGAAAAAGAAAAAAAATCATTCATAAGCCTCAGTCCCTGGAACATCCACTATTAACATTTTTGTGTATAATTTTCTAGCCTTTTTTTTTCCTACATGTGTTGTTTTTTTTTTTTTTTTTTTTTTTGACAGAGTTTCACTCCGTCACCCTGGATGCAGTGCAGTGGCATGATCTCGGCTCACTGCAACCTCCATCTCCCGGGTTCAAGTGATTCTCCTGCCTCAGACTCCCAAGTAGCTGAGATTACAGGTGTGTACCACCACATCCATCTAATTTTGTATTTTTAGAAGAGATGGGGTTTCACCATGTTTGCCAGGCTGGTCGCGAACTCCTGACCTCAGGTAATCTGCCCGCTTCAGCCTCCCAAAGTACTGGGATTGCAGGGGTGAAACACCATGTCCGGCATACGTGTACTTTTAAAAAAATAGTGGAATCCTATTCTAAATACTGTTTTTGATTGGATTTTTTATTTTAAAGTACATCTTGAATATCTTTCTATAGTATTAGGTATTTTTTCTTCAACTTCTTTCTTAAATGAATGGATGCACAATAATCTGGAATCAGGATGTTCCATCATGTATTTAGCCTATCTTTCAATATTGGCTATTTAGGTTACTTCCAAATTTTTACTCCTCAAAACAATGCTCATTGAACAGTCATATAATTAAGCCTTTGTACAAATTCTTAAATATTTCAAATAGATTTATAAATATGGAATGGGAAAGTTAAAGGGTATGCAATTTAAAAAAATATTTGATATATTATTACCAAACTGTTTCCGAAAAGGTTGTACTAATACATTGTCTACCAGCAGTATAGGAGGTTTTCTGCTTTCTTCCAATTTCACCAGTGCATCATATTATTGTTTCAATTTTTGCCAAATTGGGAGTTGTTTTAATTTGTATCAAATAAAATGCATATCAAGTATTGTGTCTAAATTGATATTAATTGGACAACTGTAACTGATAACTATATAGTTATAAGTAAATTGGACACTATATATATAGTGCTCTCTATAACAAGAAAAATTTATTAGTGTTATTGATAGCACTTCATTATTGATAGTACTAAGAGTTTATTAGTGCTATCAACAACAAAGGTATCAGTAGATTATTTTTCTTGTTATAGAGAGCATATATATATATATATATATGCGTGTGTGCAGTGCATGTGTGTGTGTGTGTGGTTCTCTATAAAAAGCAAAACAGCTCAAGAAAAGAGAGAAGCAACTCCAAAAGTGTTACGGATATGGAGTAAAATGTATTTCTTGAAGCAGTTGGCGTAAACGACTGTGCCAGGACTGGTTGTACAAAATCAAAGGAAAGAATAGACCAAAACAAACAAAAACAAAACACAAAAAAGTCCTGATGAAATAGACTTTAAAGGAAAAAATGAATTGATCATAGGAGAAACTATTACTCTTGGGGGAAAATATTTCCTTGTGATTCTATGAGAAATAGAAAGGTAGTCACATTACACATGATAATAGTTAATGCAAAGAAGACTGTGACACAGGATGCAAGAACTGGTTCACACATGATGCTAGAATAAAGCATCATCCAAAATGTTACAAGGCTTAAGCCTTGTAACATGAAATTTTTTTATGTACCAAGAAAACTCTTGGGTACATCATTGGGAAAATGTCCAGCAGCCCAGTTAATAGAATAACCAACTCACTTATCATTTAGTCCTCAACAGCCAAAAGGTTTAGACCTTATAATCTTGGCTCTCACTAAAAAGGAGGCAGAACAGTGGGGTGTGAAAGGTTTCTAAGACTGGGGTTTACATCCTAATGCCATCAATTCCTAGCTATGTGACCTCCATTGGGCAAATTGTCCAGAGCCTCAGTTTCCACTTTGGTGAAATAGGGGTAATACTATTATCTCACTTACCTCAAAGAGTTGTCATAAGGCTCAAGTAGGATGACAAATGTGAAAAAGATCTTTGTAAACAGTTAGGACTGGGGACTACAAAGTTAAATATGGTAGGATATTCAAATCCATAAATCTCACATGACTAAGTTGAAAAGATATCCGTAATATTTTTCAAATCCAAAATGTTAGTCACATTCTTAAATCCCCAAATCTAAAAAGGCTGTAGGGTCTAGTTTTGCAAACTATTTTAATAACTATCAAGATCAAATAAACGTATGTCTTTCTGTGGTCTGGGAAGCCTAACTTTCTTAATCTTGTCTTGGCAAACGCATATCACAATTTGAAAAACATGTTGTCTCCAACCCATCTGACTCTGTCTCCAGTGTTATATTATGTTCTACATCCCGCCAGGTGCTCGGCGTAAAACTCCAGAGTCTTTTGATGTTTGTCACTTTCATCTCCTCCCTCTCTATCAAATTAACTCAGGAAAAAAAATCCTTTCATGAAGATATATATATATATTTCTGAAAACTACTCTATCAAAACTATAAAATTAGTCCTCAAAACTCAAAGTTAAAAAAGTTATAACTTAAGTAGGTGAGTAGGTATCTTGATTGCTGTATTTTTATTCTGAATTATTATTTGCTATACAATTTGTTTATTACTTTGCAAAACACAAAAATAACTTCCAACATGAGTTTTCTTCTCCCACGTGCAAATTAAATACTTGCTACTGGAATTATACATTGGTTGGTTGAAATTGGCTAGCTCTTTCTTATCAGTGGTCAGTGCTTCCTGCCTCAGAATTGACAATTATCATGTCTCCTGCTCACCCTGAGAATTTTATCAAGTACATGTTAGCACATCTGAAGGGCTGTTGTCTATCATTTCTCGGTAGTTGATATACCTTTGCTGAATGGCTGCACTATCAAAATACTGTCTGTGACTCTTTGTTCTAAAGAGGTTATTTCACGTAAGACAAGAAGGAAGCCAGATTTATTCATTTATCTAGTGTTTACTGTGTGCCAGGTACTATTATGGGCACTGGAATATGGCGTTGAACCTGTCTTCTTGCTGTCATGGCCTTTGTATTCTAGTGAAGGAGACTTATTACAAACAAATAAATCAATGCCCGTCTAATGGCACAAGGTGATAAGTACTGTGATGGTTACATTTTATGTGACAATTTGGCTAGGCAATGATGCTCAGTTATTTGGCCAAACAGTAGTCTAGATATTGATATGAAGAAATTTAATAAATATGATTAATATCTTCAATTGGTTTTTTATAAATAAAGGATTTACATTTGATTACGTGGGTGGGCTTCATTCAATTAGCTGAAGGTGTTAAGAACAAAAACTGAGGTGATGCCAGAAGAAAAAGGAACTCTGTCTTAAGACCATAACACAGAAATCCCCTGAGTTTACAGCCTACCAGCCTTCCTTACAAATTACAAACTTGTCAAACCCCTCAATTACATAAGCCAATTTCCTAAAATAAATTTATATATTCATACGTAGATTTATTCTACTGGTTTCCTGTCTCCGGAACACCCTGACTATTATAAGTACTATGAGAAAAATGAAGCAGGTGAAATGGGGAGACCATGTGGAAATCAGGGGGAGACAGCTTGGAAAGATTGTTGAGGGAAGGCTCCATGGGGAAATGACATTTCAACAGAAGCCTGAATCAAGTGATGGAATGAGCTAGGCAAAGAAACAGAAGATATTCCAGCCTAAAGGAATAGTAAGTGCAACAGCACTGAGGTGGAACTAACCTCAGTGTGTCTGAAGAACAAGAAGTGAGACTGGGTAGAGCAGAGTAAATGGGGAGAGGAGTGACAGACGATGAGTTTAGGGAAATGGGCAGGGGAAAATCTTGTAGGGTGTAGTAGATATGAATGTGATAAGAAAGCACTGGAGAGTTTTGATCAGGGAAGCAATACAATCTGATACACATTATGAAATAATTGCCACTCCAGCTGCTGTGTAGAGAACTGACTAACAATGAGAAATGGAAGATCAGAGAGATCAGTTAAGAGACCTTGCAAGCCAGCTGTAAGATCATGATGGCTTGGATGAGGGTGAAAGGAATGGAGGTATTGAGAAGTGTTCAGATTTGGGATATATTTTGAAGGTAGAACTGATATCACCTTATGCTTTCCTATCTCTTTAATAGGGAATATGGTTAAAAAAAAAAAGAGAATCAAGAATGATACCCTAGTTATAGCCCAGGCATCTCGACATAAATGATGCCATCAAAGAGATGGGAAGCCTAAGATTTAGTAAGTTTTGGAGTAATAGAGAACTCAAGAATTCTGTTGCGAACATGACCCATTTGAAAGATCTGTTGGATAGTTAAGTGGAGGTGTCATGTAGACAGCTGTCTGTCCTGAAAAATTGCCCAACTCAAAATATTTTTGAGAGTTTAAATCATGGTAATCCATTTTGCATCTTGGACATCAGTTATGCACCAGTGATAAGCAAGTGGGTGTATTGTTTATAGATTGCTCTCAATAGTCTCAATCTGATAGAATGTTTACTTAAAGGTGGTTGCTCTCTTTATTAGCTATCTAAATACTGAAACAGGTAGTTTAGGAAAATGGATAAATTATCATTACTTTTTTCCCAAAGCAAATTTTTTAGGGGTTTTCACATATCCTTGTAATGTGATAAAATCCCGATCTAATATAATAAAAGTGCAGTTATTAAACAAATAGTCATTAGGTAAAAAGAGAAGAGGCAATATCTATTAATTTGTTAATCCCTGATAGATCCAGTTAATATATATACATATCCCTAAGCAGGTGATTCTAAAATTTCTATAAAGTAGTATTAGACCTAGATTCCAGTGGAATGTGATTATAATTGATTCAAAAGAAGATATGCTGCTAAAGTGTTACCCAAATGTAAGTTTCAGTCATAAGCTAGATCCTGCTTCACTTAAGCAATACATTCCTTTACAAGTATTGGTCCCATGAAAATTCCCAGTAAAGCAAGCTGCCTACCTAATTGATAGAGATTTAAGTTCAAGAAAAAGTTGCGATTTAATCCCCCAAATCACCATAAGTTGTCCTTTACATGTTCTTAGGAAACAGGACCTGTATCAAGCATTTCCATTTCTGTCATGCCTGCTCTGGACAAAGGGCCATCATCTGAGCTTGTCACATGAAATCCAGCCAATTCCATCATACTTTGCAAGAGTCCAGATCTCTCTCACTGCCGATGCCTTTGGAGCCACAAAGTGACAGTCAGCCCGGCTGTTATGGATGCCCAACACATGGCAAACCTGAAAATAAATGTTACGAAAAAGGCCACAGGGCCATAATAGAGTTGTTATTAGAGCCGAGATGAGTGCTGCAAAATGACTGAACGTCCACTATCTAGAGAGGAACAGAAATTTCAGAGACTGGGGGTAGATGACTGATGGAGTTGGCTAGTTCCAACTTCCATTTCTGCAACTGACACACAGATGCAGAAAAAGCTGAATGTATTCTAATGCCTTTAAAAAAAAAAAGAAAATCCAAACAAACCATGAGTGGGGCTAGTTTACAGTCATCAAATGGTGACTTTCATTTGATTTGGAATGATTTGGAATGCTTTTCTGATGTGTTCTATCTTTCCTATAAGGAATTGTGAGCTTATTATACTCAGAAATCTGAGAGCCAGATAAAAGAGAGATCTTGCCTCAACTTCTCTGACAAGGAGATAGGAAGGAATAGTGTAGGCCCAAAACTTTAGGGCTCAGATCCTGCAAAAAGTCATCACTCTTCATCTATTCAACTTCCTGTCTTCATAAGTATTAATTTTGAAACGAATGCGTAAGTTGAAGCTTTTCTTTAAGATTGACTATACTTTGTCAAATGATGGAAAATGCTTTTAGCCAGAAAATCTATTCTTTATCATAAGGCACTCTTCATAATGGCTTTTTAAATTCAATGTAATTTGTTTTTGGAGTACAAACAGGTTCTGCTGCTCAATTGGTAATTCAGGATTCGTTTTCAAAATAAACTAAAGACACATTCGTGATCACCACATGTTACTGAATGTCTATCCAAACATCTAACACGAAAGTTTTGAAAAGTTAATTTTCTGACCATTCCTCTGGTGTCATTCTTAATTCTGTCACCTTGACATCATGTTGACTCCTTCAGGAAGCAGTGTTAAGAAAAGTGAAAATGTGTCATCAGGCAGTGTTGTGGGTGAATGTACTACTCTGACAGCATTAAACTTTTATGGATGTGTTTATGTATCATACATGTACAAGTCAGCAAGTCTGTATTAGAAATAATCTGCAGAAGCAATAAATTAATGCTGTATTACTAATATTAGTTTACATGTTCATCAAATGGCTCCATGTTTGTGACCAAAATCCCCCTCCACATGAGCTATCCAGCCTGTTCCTGCCCTGAAGCTGGCATGTGCCCTTTTCAGCTCTGAAAAACCTCAATTTGCATAAAGGTCCTCAGCCATCTGAATTAGCTTTGTTTTTGTGTGGAACTGTAAAGGTTGAGTGGTAAGGGCTTAAAGAATCTCTTAAATAATTAAATGGAGTAAACAAAGTGACATCTTGAAGAGTGAGTTTTTTTTTTCTCCCCTTGGGAGAAAAATAGCAAATTCCTTAAGATAATACATTAGATAGAAAGGGGCAAACATTTTTAATGAATAGAGTAGGGTTTGGAGGAGTGTTGAAGAAGCAATGCAGGTTTTTGGCTAGCTACTTCTGGTGCCAGAGATGGTTTTTGGGGTCTTCTTTATCAATGTGGTGGCAACATCTGTGAAAAGTGAAGATTTAAAAAACAACATTGCAGGCTGTTACAGAGGATACTAAAGATGCATCACTAATGACATAGAAGGGTGTGTGTGTCTACATAGGAGAAAATGGAGTTACCTCTCTCAAAAGTGTTTCATGAAAGAACAAAGATGACTGCAGGACATAAGGGATTTTTTTGAGGTATCATACTGTTCTGCCCACCAGCTGATGATGAAGCTATAGATAATTTTCAAAAAAGATAAAAATTAACAAAAAGTGAAAACAGGAACATTTTCTGATGCTATTGATAACTTAATGAAAATGTAAAGAGACTTATGTGAAACTGAATTTTATTTTCCAAGGGATAAAGGAGAAACGTAGACTTCCAGAGCAGGTTCATTTTTGCTATCGGAAGTATAGCTGAATAAGGCAGCCTCAAATGAAACCTAGAGCCAAAGGTTTTCTTCATTCCCTTCTAGTGTGTCCATAACTCTCCTGGAATCTGTGAGCTTGCAAGACAATCTAGCACACATTTGAGCTTTCAAGATGCATGGCACATCCAGACTCGATGTGGTGTTAGTAGCTCCTGTCATTAATAAATTCCTTTGCACAGTGGCTTCAAACTACCTGTCCACCAATTGCTTTCTCTGTTATTTGGTTCCCCTTATTTCTCGATTTTCTGAATGTCAGAACTTGGCTAAACAAAATGAAATACAACTTTCTACATGTAACCCTTTTACTTCCTCATTTCCACATGGCAACATATTTTCTTACTCCAAACACTGCAGTCCTTAAAATTCTACTCAAAACCTCTTTCTTCTATAAACTTCATTCAGTTTCTTTTCATTTCTTATAGTATCCTTTCAGAATTCATTCATTCATTCATCAAACTTTTTTGGAGCACTTACTATACATAAGGCAAAAAAAAATAGGATCGGAGACTACAGAGATGAACAAGTTGCATTCTCTACTCTCAAAGAATAAATCGTCCAACTGTCTAGACGGGCAATAGATTGTGGTAACTGCAGTGAGAGAAATATCTAGGAACAGGGGAGTGCACCTGAGGGGGTGTCAGTAGAGAGACAGGCTAACGCGGAAGTTTCCTGAAAGATACGATGTCTGTGATGAGTCTTAGAAGATGAGTAGAAGTCAGCCAGGCTGGGCATCCCAAGTATGAAGGTTAGTACCAAGCCTGAAAACAGTATACTAGAACTTCTCTTCACATTGACGCTTTTGTTGCCTAAGTGTTCACAATAGTCTGTCTTGGTTCCACCTTCAGGCTGACTTCAGACCATCTGAGGGAGGAATTAAGTGAGATAATGGGTTTATCACAAAGTGGTGGGAGACAGCTTCTAGAATTCTTATTATGATTATTAAACCTGGTTTCTGCTTTATCTCTTATTTTCCTGAAGTACCATTAAAGTGCTCTAAGTACCCAAATCTTGCTATTGGTTTCTTTACTCCTCTCTTGTCACTCTGGTAGCAGGCAGGGCAGACCTCGGCTACCAAAGTGAGAATGAGGACTCAAGGAGGAAGTGAAAGATGGTCACAGAATCAAAAAGCATCCCCAGACTTCCTGTTGGGAGCTCTCTGCTAGTGTCCCCAGGGTGTTGACAGTAACTGTTCTGGGGGATGAGGCGAGGGAGGGGTGCAGTGGGCTGCAGAAAGACACAGCAGCTGGCTTCATTACTACATCCCTAACAAAGGGTCTCTATAAATCAGACAGGAGGGAAGTGTATGTTTGGCAGGGGGAGGGAAGTTGGTGGGTGCTTGCTCTTTGGCAAATGGTTTAGAACTCATTGGGGCTTACAACCATAATCTACTGATTTGGGAGCCATGGACAAAATCTTTTCTTTTCTAAGCGTTATACTAACAGTGAATATAGATTTTGTTTTCTGGTTTAAATGTGAAGCAAAAAGACACATGATATGATTTTTAAGTAATATGTTCTTAAGTCTATTTCGTTTTAAGCAACTCATCTTCACCAAAAGTGCATCATTAAAACTGGTGGTAAATATATGTATACAATTTTTAATATAAATCTGCCTCTCAATCAGTTTCCACATCGCCTGTACATTTATATCAGATCTCTGAAGCCCACTGAACATTAGCAAGAGAAGTGTGAAAAGACAGAAATAGTATCCAGTCCTTGCAGAATGTCTCATTTAGCGGAGTGGGGAAGCTGAGGGGAAGAAATAGTAGTAATATTTTTTGTGTGTGGCCCCATTACTTTTTCAAAGCATTTTCCACCTTTAATTTAGTTGTGACTTCCAGCTGTTTTTGACAGATGGGAACACAAAAACAAGTAGCAGCCAATCAAGTGACACCCAAGCCACGTTTCCTATAGCTGCTGTATCCCAGGCTTAGTCTTTGCTTTCCTCTGCCAAATCCCTCTGCTTTCTTCACAATGAATGCAAGTCTCTGATCACACCTCAAAATAGCCAGCACATTCCTCAGCCTAGCTTTGTGACCAACGTCAGGCACCCAGAAAAGCTCCAGGCAGAAGTCACGAATTTCACAGCCCACTGGGACCAAAGAGGTGATTTAAGAGAGGAAAGTGGGCAGGGTGGAAGACAGCATGAAGAGGTGGGAACCCAAGAGAATGCAGGCCCCCCTGAAATACAGTGCTGTGATGGAGTGGACTTCAGAGGGCCGATTATACACATCTCTTCCCAAAGCTCTTTTCGGTGTCCTCATCTTGGTAAGTCAAAATTGACCATTTACGCCACAGGAATTGTCAAACATTGCAAATCAGGGCTTCCACTCCACTCCCAGAGAGTTGGTTATTAAACATTTACTTGCACACCAATGCATAAGAGCATTCAAATCCAATTCTTAATTACTGGTGTATGAGCCAAACAAAACTCATTTGCTCCTGTGTCTGCCCCAAGGCTCCAGGTTTGAGACCTCTGCTCTAGGGGTTAGGCTGTCTTTGGCATGGTGACAAATTTGAATCTTTGTTGGTTCTCCTACTCTTTCCTTCTTTTCTCCCCTCCCCTCAACTTTCTGACTTCTGAAGGAAAAGACCAATAAAGTAGCTCTACAAAATTACTATAAAGGAAACAATCTAAAGGAAAGAATACAACTTACCAACAGGTGTTTGGATAACTTCAGTCTGAGTTACATTCTCTTGGTTGAAACTCTTCGGCCCACCTCTATTGTTAACACCTGTGAAATTGTTCAGTCAAATAATCCCACAGCCCTCTCTGTCTCTCGAATGTGTAGTCTGTTATATTTCTTGTCAATGAGGCAGCACAGAATTCATTTAGAGGGCCATGTGAAGTGTTTGTAAATAACAAATTAAGATTTAGTTCAAATATCTCTGATGGGGTCTTGGTGTGCTTACCAGGTTTATGGATCTGTCTCATGGGAATGCACTTTACAAAGTCGCATTTGTGGGTTGTTTATCCAGTTAATAAAGGTATACATTATATATTTGTCATAGATATGAATGGAAGAAAGGGAAATAATCACTGGAAAAAGCTGTTTCAGATTTTTGCAAGTTGAAGTACTGTGTTAAAGAAAATGGAATAATATGACAAGTATTAGATACTTCATTAGCTAAAATAAAAATAATCATAAGTATTACTCTATTGTTTTTCTTTTTGTGAAATGATTTTCAACCAACATTGGAAAAGCTTGGTAAACAAAACTCGTGGACTGTCTAAAATCAGGTTCTTACTCTGGGGTTCACAGACCCAGGATGTCTGTGAACTTGAATGTAAAAACAATTACAACATTATTTTCACTCATTTCCAACTGAAATTTAGCATATCCTTCCATTATGAATAGAGTCAACAACCTATGGTACTATTAGCAGTACCTGTCTGTCACTAATAGAAATCACAGTTTTTTTTTTCTATGAAATTACAGTTGCTGTAGATATATGAAAACAGTCTTTATACTCTTCATTTCTTCGAAATTATAGTAATTATTAGATGCACTGCAAGATTTTATTTTTTAAAAGCACATACATTATTACATCACACATTTGACTTTTATATATTTTGATAACTATGATTCCATATAATTGGTTTCCTTTGTAATACCTATACATTCTATTTTTTTCACTTAAAAATATTTTCCTGAGAAAGGGTCCACAGACTTCACCAGATTGCCAAAGAGGGTAGGATCCATGGCACTAAAAAAACTTAAGAACCCCTGTTCTAAAATTGGCCCCAAATTTCATTTATTAATTTATTCAACAACAATCAATAACAGTTAAGTGCCTTCAAATGCCCTGCAGTGTTCAATGAACTAGGGATATAAGAACAGATGAGACAAAATTTCTACCTCAAGGACCTTATATTATATAGAAGATAATTTATTTTCCCAAAAAGGATAATTCTTTAAACATTTAATCTCAAAAGCAACAAGAACAAAAACTCACAAGTAGCACTATCCAAAACGTGATCCATGAAACAGCAACTTGGGCATTGTCTGGGGTTTTGTTAGAAATGTAGAATTTCAGGCCCCATCCCAGAATCTCTATTTTAATAAGATCTCCAGAAATTAGAAAATTTGAGATGTGCTGGCCTAGACTTTAGTCATTCATACTACTATCCTTACCACTTCCTTCTTCCCATTTGGCCTGAACAATGATCTAAAACAATGACAAAGTCCCAAGGAATCAGGAGACCACTAATAAAGTCAAGTGTAGACCAAACTGATTTTTCCAAGGCTTGTGAAAGAGAGCATGGCTCTTTTGAGAATTCTATTTCTAGCAGTACCGAAGAGTACAAATCTAAGCTGGGGAAAAAAAAAAAAAAAAAGAAAGAAA
Organism: Homo sapiens; assembly: GCF_000001405.40. Taxonomy (NCBI): domain Eukaryota; kingdom Metazoa; phylum Chordata; class Mammalia; order Primates; family Hominidae; genus Homo; species Homo sapiens. Next base: position 18,220,561 of record NC_000003.12, on the reverse strand, counting down.
GAAAGAAAAGAAAAACACGATTGGAAATCTTGTCACATTTTCTCATGCCTAATTTGGTCATTCCTTTGTATGAAGTAAAACAAGCTCATCTTGTTTAGTGTTACCTCAATGGAGTGAAATTGGCTACACCGTTCTTTCACTCAAAGAACTATTCATAGATTTCTATTCTCAAGCATGTTATTTATATTCTGCCTAAAAGTAGGTTTCACAGTTATTCAGAATCATGCAGCATCAACTGAATACTTCTTTAATTTTGATCTGAAAAGTGAAACACATTTGAATTTCCTAATATAATATTTGGGGAGAACCCCAAAGTGTGAATATTGAGAAAACAATGATATATAAAAGATATTAGAATCCAGTGATTACTTAAAAGCTTGAAATCAATTGAATTCTATGTATGGTGGATACTTATGAAATCACATGCAAACTGCAGTGATGTGGCTTGATAATCTAAATCTTATTAATGATCCAGGGGCAGTGCTCTCTGTCCATTGCAATCTCTGACCCTGTCTTTATTTAAAATTCCAACTTTTTTCCATTATTAATTTTTCGCATTAATTTTTATTTTTAAAACTATTGCATTAAAATATTTATCTTGATTACTGAGATTTTGGACACTCCTTAAATTTTGTACTTCAGATCCTAGTCCTGACCCTGTTGGACATACAAGGTCAGAGATGAAGAAATAATTACAATTAGAATAAATTCTAAAAATTACAAATAAATATTCATTTTTGCCTAGCAATTGTATTTTTTTTTTTTTTTTTTGAGACGGAATCTCGCTCTGTCACCCACGCCAGAGTGCAGTGGCGTGATCTCGGCTCACTGCAAGCTCCGCCTCCCAGGTTCACGCCGTTCTCCTGCCTCAGCCTCCCGAGTAGCTGGGACTACAGGTGCCCACCACCACGCCCAGCTAATTTTTTGTATTTTTAGCAGAGACGGAGTTTCACTGTGTTAGCCAGGATGGTCTCAATCTCCTGACCTCGTGATCCACCCGCCTCGGCCTCCCAAAGTGCTGGGATTACAGGTGTGAGCCACCGCTTCTGGCCAACAATTGTATTACTATTACTCTTAAAATACTACCAGTGTCATTAGAATAGTTTTTTAAACAATCGTAATACTTGTGTCACACTGTATATATATGCCACTCATAAACATAAAGATCTTTTCTTTCCAGCACACATTACAGGCAAGAAATTCTTTCAGTTAATTAATAGGTAAACTGAGGCTTGGATCATTAACTTGTAGATTCATAATTTCTCCTAACTGTTCCCAAGTAAAATGTTTACCAAAAGATCATCCCACTGTCCTGTAAGAAGCAGAATTTTATTGTTTGTACATTGTGTGAAATGCTATTGTCATCAAAGTTAATCACCAAGAAAGCCAAGGCCAATAAATAGCTTAGATGAATTGGAAAATTTGATCTTTACTTGGATTTAAATTAATGAAATTATACGGTACCAAAGACAGCACCTCGCTAAGGCAGTTTAATGTTAACAACTTTCATAATAGTCTCAGAGGGCATTGTTAAGAGGAACTCTCTGAATTGCCTGATTTTAAAAAACTGCACTGTACCAGTATTTTTTGCAAACAAAATGTAATGTCAAATAGAAAGGGGTACATCATAGGAAAATTAACTTTAAACCCTATCATCCCATAAAGCACAAATAATTCCAAACTTTCCCAATGGCAATAACTGAATAAAAATTGTCTGGTGCCATACTGAATAATGCCTGAAGGATAGAAAATAAGTAAATAAGACACGGTGATCAAGCCCTTCACTTGCTACTATGTTAGCTTTGTTTGGTTTTAAGAAGCAGAGCCCAACTCAAGCTGGTTCAAGTTAAGGGAGATTCATGTTAAGGATGCATGGAGAGCAATAAGAAAGATAGAATTGAATGGAATGTGGCTAGTTTTGAGATTTTCTGCAAGTGTAAAACACACAGTGAACTTTAAGTAGTATGAAAAAATGTTTAAAAAATTATATTGCCTATAGATTGATAATATTTTGGATATATTAGGTTACATAACATATTGTTAAAATTAATTTCATCTGTTTCTTTTTACTCTTCTTAATATGGCTGATAGAAAATATAAAGTTGCATATGTGGCTTGCATTTGTGACTCACATTCTATGTCCACTGGACAGTGTAGCTCTAGAGATACTGGTATTGGGTTTATGTGAGGGGAAGGGATACTCTTTATATAAAACAGGGAAGGCAGGTGGAGCTGAGATTGAAGTTTCCTTTAGCAAAGAGTGAGGGCCTGACAAGAATAATGTACTGTTAACCCACTGAAGGGTAGGAGAAACCAATGTGTAGACTAGATACCACAAGTCTGTATGAGAAAACACTCTCCTTCCTTCATCTCCTCCCTCCTTTTCCTTCCTTCCTCGCTCCTTTCTTCCTCTTTCCTTTCCGTCCTCTCTTTCATCCTCCTTCCTTCCTTCTTTTTTTTCTATTACTTTTTAAGAAAATAGAAGAAATCTTGATGATCCTGAGTGGGTCATACAAGAAAGCAAGTCATGACTAACCACTTACTATAATCCTTGCTAGAAAATCAGAAAGGGAAATGAGCAAAATTTAGAAGTTAAACATTTATTAAGTTAAAAACTGAAACTGAATTTCTCATTGTTTCCTAGGGACGACAATGTCTTGTTTGCAAGGGGGAGCTTGTTGCCCATGCCTTACTAAATTGTTCTTCCTAATCAGCTTCACAGCGTTTGAGGTGATCCTTAAATGTTTGCGCAGACCATCGTTTATATATATGTCAAACAGATTGCATTTGTAACATTTAATGCCCACAATAACAATAATAAAACATGCTGGCATGTGCTCTATGTGTAAACACTTTCTTCTGAAGATAGAGCCAGTGAAATGTTTTAGGAACTTTGACATTTATAGCTGTATTTATAATCTTTTTTGGATCATTTCCTCACAGAGTCACATGTTTGTATATTTTAAATTCTCTGGAGAAATAAAAATGTTTAAACACAATATAATGATGTGATATGCATTTTATGAGCCCTTACTCACCATCTAAGCACGAGCAAAGAGAGTTGTATAGTGAACCCTGGGAAGGGTTTCTATATAAATGTCGAATTTTCTAGACATATGTGACAATGCCAGAGATTAGAAAGAGAAGGAGGTATGTATTCAACTCAGGTAGAGATTTTTTTTTCTTTTTTCTTTTTTTTTTTTCTGCTTAAAACCATACTATTCTAAAAGTAGGAAACTAGACATTACGTATTTGGGAATATACACTGTGGAGAGTCCTCTGGGCGTCACATGCACTTTTTTCCTACTTTCTACAAGGGTAAAGGAAGCCCAGGAGTTTTATTGTCATGCTAAACTGACACATCATAGGAATTTACCTACTGTTGATTTCTTGAAATTTCTCAGCCTGTGGCACAGCAGCACAAGGTGTATTCATTATGGTCATACACCTTACATCATATGGTTAATGATTATTCAAACAAACAAATTACAATCCCTTTATTTTTAGCTAGAGCAACGAAGTTATGTATAAAAAAACATTTAATTTGGTAATGCCAAGTATCTTACATGTGCTAATTTATTAAATACTCACAAATCGAAATAGTAAGTGACCAAAATGGTATTCAAGCCAGGGTATATCTCACACTGAAAGCTGTGAGGTGTACCACTTTTGAATGAAAGTGTATGGTGATTTAAAAACATATTTTCAAATTATTTGGCATTCCTAACAAGAGGTGAGGTGTATTTGTATTCCCCTTGAATCCAGACCAACCTTAGTGATTGGTTGACCAATAGAGTATGGTGGAAGTGACTCTGTTGGCTTTAGAGGTTAAGCCATTGGTAGAAAGTCATTCAACTTCTATCCCATTCATTTTGGACATTCATTTTTGGGGCCCTAAACTGTTTTGCGAGAAGCATGAAACTGCCATGTTGTGAGGAAGCTCCAACCACAGTTGGGGATGAGTTCTTATGTAACTTTATGTAAAGTTTTAAAAAATATTACCGTTATATTTTTAAATTTCAGGAAACACTTCACTGCTTTTTAAATGTGTATGGAATTTTCTTTTAGTGAAGCACATGTGTTAGACATCTAGATTTCCTTTTCTTTTTGGTCCACTCATTGATTCTCATTTTCTGACCAATATCACATTCTACTAGTTATTATAGATTATAATTTGTTTTCATGTTTGGCAGGATAAGTTCTCCCTCACTGTTCTTTTCCAGAAATATCTTGGCTTTTCTTTTCTTTTCCAAAGTTTGCAGATGTGTTGTTGAGTTTCTCTAGAATTGTAAATTAAGATTTCATTGAGTTATTGATAATTTAAAAGGAAGTAATACCTTTAAAATCTAGGAACATGGTCTTCTCTTCATTTATTCAGGGTTTCCATAAGTTTTATAACATTTTTTTTCATCTAAGTCTTGCTCCTCTTATTTCATCCCTAAAAATTTAATTATTTTGTTAAAATTGCGAGACAATTATTTAATTTTGTTAAGTTATTTCTAGGACATGAATCTTGGAGTTGGTCTCTATTTTTCTATCTTAGTCTTCTTGGGCTGCTGTAACAAAATACTACAGACTGGCTGGCTTAAACAATAAACATTTATTTCTTACAGTTCTGGAGGCTGGAAGTCTGAGATCAGGGTGCCAGAATGGTCTGATTCTGGTGAGGGCCCACTTCCTGGCTTGTAAACAGCCACCTTCTTGCTGTTTCCTCACATGACAGAAAGAGAAAGGAAGCAATCTCTCCCTTGTCTCTAGTGAGGGTACCAGTGTCATCATGAGGGCTCTACTCTCATGTCCTACTCACTTCCCTAAGGCCTCCATCTTCATATACCATCCAATTGGGGATTAAGATTTTAACATATGAATTTGGGAGGGAGGGACACAAACATTCACTGCTTAGCATTATCTGTTCTCACTTCAGCCTCTTCTATTTTCTGAGTATAAGATGGTATCATCTGTGAATAATTACTATGTTGTCTCTTAGTTCCCTCAAATTTACAGTTCTTATTTTTCTTTATTGTTATGTTGATTGAGACTTCCAGTAAAGTTTTAATAAGTTGAGGTGATATTAAGCACATTTTCCCTGCTCCTGAATCTAGTATTTCATTACTAAGTATAATACTTGCTGTTGTTTTCTAATAAAAAAAACTTTAACAAGATAAAAGGGTTCATTCTGTTTCTAGCTTTCTTAGAGTGATAAAAAGGGGATATTGAATTTTATGAAATACTTTTTCGGCTCAATTAAGATATGTTGTAGATTTTTTCCTTTAATCTGTTAATGTAGCAAAATAAATTAAAAGATTACATCATATTTGTTCAGTCAACACATATTTATTGAGCACCTATTATATGCCAAGAGCTATGATAAATGCAAGGAATAAAAATGAGAATAAGCTGAACAAGTTCTCTGCTCTGAGGCTGATTAATCTTTGCATTCTTAGGATAAACTCTATTTGCTCTAGATATATTACTTTTTTCATATGCTGCTGGACTTGATTTGATATTGTTTAGCTTCAGATTTTTGCATGTATGTTCATTAGTGGGATAAGATTATGTTGTTCAAAGCCCCATTCAAAACTGACAGCCTTACAATTTCTCAGCAAACAAATAGATCAAAGTATAGTGTTTCTCCCCATTGATTCAGATCTTCTTTTAAAACCATGGCATTTTGTAATTTTCTTCCTGTAGATCTTAAACATTTCTTATTAAATATAGTCTTAGATAATTTATTTATTTTATTATGAGTGGAATGTTTAAATTAAATCTTCTAGTTAATTATTGCTTGCATATATATAGAACCAATTGATTTTTGTACACTTGGCTTATGATTTGTTGCCTAGATAAAATCTCTCATTAAGGCTATTAGTTTTTTAATTGCTTTCTTCCTGTTTTTGAGATTTCTGTATAGATAATCACAATGTCAGTAAAAAAAAAAACATTTGTCCTCCTCCTCTTCAAAACTATACTTTTTTTTTTCTTTTGCCTGATCTTATTTCCTGGCTAATAAATTACAGAACAATGTTGAATAACATTCATCACAAGGAACTTTCTTGTATTTTTTTTATTTTATCTTTTAAAGTGACTATTTCTAGAGTCTTATTTTTAGATATCATGTATTGAGATAAATAAGCTGGATCAACTTGAGAAAGAAGACTTCATTCTTATCCTCGTACTAGTTATCAGCTGTTCTACTAGAAATGGATGTTGCAATTTTTTCAACTTAATTTTCGGTATACATTTGGATGTTCAATCCGTTTCTCTCCCATGACATATTCATGTGAAAATTATAATAATAAATCAATAATATTTAATTATCTCTTCATTTTTGAAACAAAATCTTCTGGGAGTTTCTTTGCATTATTTCATAAACAGCTAGATAAATTTCATATTACATTTCTGATTTTGATGTTCATAGTTCTGAAAGTATCTTATCTCTTCCCCTTTTGTATTAGTTTTATCGGTTTTGCTTTTTTTTTTTTTTTTTTTTTGAGACAAGAGTCTCGCTCTGTCGCCCAGACTGGAGTGCAGTGGTGCGATCCCGGCTCACTGAAACCTCCACCCCTCAGTTCAAGCGATTCTCGTGCCTCAGCCTCTCGAGTAGCTGGGACTACAGGTGCCTGCAATCATGCCTGGCTAATTTTTGTGTTTTTAGTAGAGACAGGGTTTCACCATGTTGGCCAGGCTGGTCTGGAACTCCTGACCGCAGGTGATCCACCTGCCAAGGCCTCCCAAAGTGCTGGAAATTACAGACATAAGCCACCTCGCCCAGCCAGTTTTATCAATTTTTGATGTTAGGGTTTTGCCAGTAATTGAATTAGAACTTTGTCCCCACATATTTTAATGCCCAGAAAGAGTTGATAAAGTCAGAAAATTATTTGTTGTTTAAAATTGAAATACTTTTTCTTTAAATGACCTGCACAGGTTAACTTTTACAATATTTTTCAATTTCTTCTTGAGAATGTTTTCTGCTCCTTCATCAGTTAATAATCATATTTGATATAAATGAGAACGATTCATTATATAAATATTTTCAAATGTTTTTATATCTGAGATGACCTCTCCTTTCATATGCAATTTTTGTCTCTTCTCATTACTTCCTCGATTAAGATAAATGGAGTTTTCTACGTTTTATTCTTTTTGTTCTATTTATTGTTTGCGTTTTTTAAAGAACCAATTAAAGATTTATTTATTCTATTCATTTTTCTCCACTAAATTTCTGCTTTCATTTGTAACAATTTCTTCTCCTTTTTCTCCTTTGTTACAAAACAAAGTACGTTTTGTAAATTTTTGCTTGCTTATAGCTTTTACTAAACACCATAGGTTTGATTCGATAATGTTTTTATTATTGGAATTTTTACTTACTTTTCTGAGTTACTCTTTCTTAGGTATCTTTCGTAGAGAACTATTGTTGATTGGGACCTAATCTTTGCCATTTAATATAATAAAATCATTACATTTATTATAAATTACATGTTTGTGCTTACTCAAATACATTTGTGCATATTCATGTATTATTGTGTTTCAGTTTCTTGGCTATTTCCTTTGATATTTATCCTTAATTATCATACATGTTTTCTTTTCCCCTTTCTCTCTTCTAATGTAAAGGCATCATACTTCGAAGTCTGCTAAATCTTACTTTTAAAAAATAAACAACACTGTCTGTCCACATCACAGGGAATCATTGTCTACCACTTTCCTCCAATGTACCATGAAGATATTCTCATGCTATTCCTTCCTACTACCTCTCTTCCACTGCTGGGAATATAGAACCAACTTCTTATCTCTTCAAGATTATTATCTACATTCTATATCTTAACATTCAAGAATCATTGATCAGGTTTGCAAACTCTGTTGAACTACATTATATTTACAACAATTTAGACTTTATCCCATATTAAAATAATTCAATGCTTACTGCCGGTCCTTTCATAGCACACCTTCCTTGTCCATCAGGTTTTTTTTTTTTTTTTTACTGGACTCATTTCATGGTTGTCTGAAAAAACTTTTTTTTCATGAACAGAACTTGATTGATTTTCTTTCTAACACTTTGTTTCACAGAATTTTTTTTTGCTGATTTCAAATGTGAGTAACAACATGCCCAGATACAGTGTTCTTAGATCTTATTTTTTGCCCCAAATTGGGCCTCTGTAGAGATTGTTATATTAATTCCTGGCCTTGATTTTTCTTCCTTTTTTGCTAACTTGTTTGTTATTTTTGGTTGTTTTATTTTGTTTTGTTTACGTTCCAGTGTATTTTTTTGGAATTCAAATTCTGGACTTCTATAGAAATTGGTCTCTTTATATTAATTTTACCTAATTCACATCAAACCCATTTGATCTGAATACTGACTTGCTTCTTAAGTTTGCGAATGTTGTTATTTTCTATACACTCCAGAACCATTGCTAGTTTTCTATTTGTTCAGATGTCTTCTTTAGGGATAGTGGTTGTCTTCATGTCGAATTTCTACTATTTGCCCACAAATTCTAGTGTTTCCTTTCTCAGTGTTTTCACCTCTTTTACATATTCCTTTAGTTCTGAAGGACTATGCCTCAAATTTGTCCTTTCTATTACTTGATTATGTTTTGCTAATTATTTTATTAATTCTAATGTACTTTTAATTTTCATATTTCATATTTAGTTTTATAACATTGTCCTCATTTTATCTTCCTCTATATTCCAGTTTCTCAACCAATTTTCTTCTCACTTCAGTCTGTTTTCTTGTCTCATTTTTCATCTCTTGCTTCATGGGGTCCTTGAATGTTATTTAGATCACAAAGCATATGCTGTTTAAAATTTATTCCCATTTCCTGTAGTAAATCTTTTTCAAAGTGTGCTCTTCCTCTGCCTCTTGAGTGCTATATTTTCATTTCTTAAAGTTGCAAAAATTTTCACATGCCTCATAATGAGGTTTTATTTGCTTGTTTATTCATCCTTGAATGATGACTATTTTATCTGGCCTGTTATTTTTCTGCAAAATACAGTGAATAGATTTCTCCTGAATCCCATCATATTTTACATGTTTTTTTCTAATCCTCTCTTAGATTTTATGCTATATAATGTTTTGCCCATTCAGAGATTAAACATTCTGTTGGAAGATTTATTCAGACTTTACACGAGCTGAGGTCATGTTTCTCTCTGTGTATGGCACAGCCATTGTGCCAGGGGCTGGATCTGACATGGCTTGGCCATGTTTTTTTGCTACCACAAAACAGGTTGAAAAAGAGCCTTTGACCTTTGTGGAGAATTCCCTACTCTGTAATCCAGCCACAAACCATATGGTGCACCCATAAAGGCCTGGCCTCAACTTGTGGCTACCCTCAAGTTCAGTAGGACCTTCAAGCAGAAGGAGCCACAGTGTCTGTTTTGTGCTTATTTTTCACCTTCTGCTGCATTAGACCTTACTGACCACTGCCTTCATAAACTTTTCTCCTACCTTAATTTCCGTGACTCCACTCTCCACTTTCTATCTCCTTGCTCTATTCCCCCATCTACTTTCTGTTTTTATATTTTCCATTCACCCAAACGTTAGCTCAAAGGTCCCAGCATTCCTTTTTTTGGCCTTTGTTTTTGTTTTTTAATCATAAAACAATCTCTTCGATGTCTAGAGCTTCAACTGACATCTGAATCTGATTGCTTTCAAATCTACGTCCAGAGTCTGGCCCTTTCCCTTATGCTACACTTCTAGCTGAGATAGAGCAGCCATGTGAAGATATTCCATGGGCACCTCAAAGGTTTTCACTTTCCTCCATTGCTTTGTATTCCTGATTAGAGATGCTAGTAACCCCATCCTCAAAATCTTCCAGCCCTCCCTGCTTTTCCTCAAGTCCTGCATTCAACCAGTCACCAAATTCTGCGTTTTCTATCATTTTGTCATTTTTTTTTAATTTTTTTAATTTACATGTAAATATAATCATTTTACTTCCTTCCTAGAACCCTATCATCTTCAGGACAAAGTCCATGTATCTTATGATTCCTATTGAACTTCCCAAAATGTCCAGAATGCCCACACATTATCTCTCTCCCTCCCTTTGCACATGCTGTTCCTTATTCTGGAATTTATCCTTCTCCCTTGCAACACTGTCTTCTTGGGAAATTCCCAGTCATTCATCAAGACTCATCCCAAACATAATTTCCATTTTGAATTTTGATCTTACCTTCCAGAAACGCTAATACTGTCCAGTTTGTCATTTCTCTATGCTCCCACAGCACCAGGTATACACACTTCTATGTCAGCAGTCAGCATATGGATTTATAGTGGGTTTGTTCACTTTTCAATCTCCCATATGAAGCCATAAGCTCTTTGAAGACTAAGACACTGTTTTTCAATGGTCCACTTAAGTCTCCAGGGTCCACTGCTGCAACTAGATCAGCTGTTTTAGCTATTCTGTCTGGTCGTCCAGACCTTGAGTAGTGCTGCTATGAATAAACCCATAATGCTCTGTGCCTGTGTCCAAGTAATGTCACAGCCAAATGGGGGAAGTGAAGAGAAATGCTGTTATCATGTGGTATTCAAGCACTAACTCCTAAAAGGGATGGCTTATTTCTCAGGATAGTAGACACTCATGCTGACTGTGGTAAGACAAAACATACGGAGAAAATAACGTGTTGCTGGAAACCAATGTGATCTAATAATGAAATTTTCCAAGGCATAAATGATTGCTTTTCCAATTTGCCTTTATCCATAACTAGAGTTGTGGGGAAAACATAATTCATGAAGGTGTATTGTCCAAAGAGGTTAAAAAAAGGTTTGTCATATGCCAATGAGGGATTGACATTTGTTTGAATCTGGTGACCTCCAAGAGGAAGCTGCTGTGGGACTGGGCTTTCGATAAATTCTAATTTGGTATCCTAATGGGTAGTTATCACCATTTTCAAAGTGTTTGTTCTTATTGACACGTATTTGCCTTCTTGTTTATACTCTCCTATTTGTATTAGCCTTTTTGCCATTTATCTGTCTGGGTTCTGAGTTTCAATATTCAACCAATTCTACAATAAGCATTTGGTCATGTTTTGACATCTCTGAAATTGGAGTGTGTTAGTACAATTGTTGACATCTTATTGTCATGGGTCAGCCAGGACCATTTGTGACTTTGCCGCTATTGTCTGTGCAAACTTGGTCATTAATTATTGGTGGCCTGACAGACTAACTGTAACCCCTTGCCCCATAGGAGAACTTTTTGTATCCCCCACTGGTGTGAGGGCAGGACAGGGTTTTCTCCACTCTGTATCTTCACTAGAGTGATCTGGATTCTCTATTTCTTTCATCTGTTGTCAGGAAGCTTCTTTGCCAGGGCTACAATGCCTAGTAGTCCAGAAGAGATGTGAGCTGAGGAAAACATGAGGTCCCATCCTGCTCACCCTTATCTCAGTGTAAAGATAGATGTCTTTCCATGCAAAAGGAAGAACAGTCAACCTCAGAGTTCCTCCTCTGTACCACAGAGATTAGGAGCAAACACTTCTGCATTTCACTAGGGTAATGTGTCAGCCTCTCCACATCCTAGCATTACTAGATGTGTTTGGAAGAAAAGAGTGCTAACTCATGGTGGCCTCCCAAAAGCCACGTGGTAGCGTCTGTTCTACACTGCCTGCTTCTGCTCTTTACTCTCAGCTCTACCCTGGTATATCTGTCAGTGTTCGTTCAAGAAAATAGACACATGCCTGATATTCAAATGGAGAGGACTTAATAAAAGCAATTGGTTACACAGATGTTGAAGATTAATGGCAAGAAGGAAACCCAGAAGCAATAGTAGCCACAGGAAGCAGCTACAATTCCTAGGTTTGAGGGAACCAAAAGGAAAATTTATGGGCACCAAAACCTAGGAGTCAAGAGGAAGGGCCCCATGTTGCCAGTGCTCAGGGATGGAGGTGCCACACACTGATAATTAGGTCTCTGAGGGGGTCCAGACACAGGGCTGATGATGGTACCTCTAAGGGATGGGTCTGAAAGGGTTTTTAAAAGCTGGAGACTGGAGCCATAGCTGCCCTCTGCTGCTAAAGAGATGTGCCAGGAGCTGCAAACAGGAAGATGTTGTCCAAGGACTCTTTCTCTCATCCTCTCATGTTGCAGTCTCCTGCCAATGCTGCTCAAAGGCAGAATTTAATGGGAATCTATCCAGCAGAGGAATCTGGGAAATGTAGCTTGCAGACTTCTAGTAGAATATAGAGAAAATGTGGGCTTGGGACTCAGAGACAACAAAGAAATAAATGTCACAATAGGCCACTGAGTTCTTTGCAGCTGGTTACTGCCTGGAACTGGAGATTCATTTCCTCCCAGATGTGATGCGTTCACCAGGGGATACACTTCAGAAGTGGGGTGATCTGAGGAAGACCACGTTTCCCCATGTTGCCCCCTCCTGATCATCTTCCATAGCACCATGAGCACAAAATAACATGTACACAACATACTCCACTGATGGGAATTAAAACTACAAGGAAAAGAACTTAAGTTAGGGAGCATAATGTGGCTATTCTTAGTCTAAAATAGGGGTTCTCAACCTTGGTTCTACTGACATTTAGAGGTAGATAATCCTTTGCTGTAAGGGGCTGTCCTAGGCATTGTAATATGCTTAGCAGCATCCCTGGCCTCTACCCACTAGATGCCAGCAGCACCCTGCCCTAAGTTGTAACAATAAAAAATGTCCCCCAACATTGCCAAATAGTTGGAAAGAGGCAAAATCACCCCCAGTTGGTCTAAGAGTAAAGCACAAAAATTTAAACCTTAAGCATTTCCCTGTGGGTATTTTCCAATTCCTAGATTTACTTCTCTTCAAAAAGAGCCCTTCTAATGTCTTTCTATTACAACTATATCCCTCTTTCTGGAACATTCTATATCTTTCCCACAGGACAATTGGTTATATCATGGAGAGATCCCTTCTCATAAGAAAGAGGGGTGGATATTATAACTCACAACTTACATTTCCCAAAGTGTAAATTATGTGTTCTAAAATAGCCTCAAGAACCAGGGTGCATTATGGCACTCAATGCCTGGCCCATCTCAAGGTCTCTCCATTAACGTGTGGTGGCAACGCTGTAATATTCAGAAGCTAACTGCCTTCACCTCCCACACATCCCATGCAACATGAAACTATACTTCTCAGAAACCATGCAGTTGACACTCATATTGAAGGAGGAAATTTTTCATATGTGCGATATAATCTTCCTCTTGCTGCAGCAGAAATAATGTTTCACTTTATGGTATGGTGCATCATCAGCTTCTCTTTATTCATTCTCTGACAACCAGACCATGCCTACACATCTGTTGATAGATAAGAGTCTCTTCAAGCAACAAAGCCATATAGCCCTCTATAGCTACACACAAACACTTTGAAATGACATCTTGCTTTACAATGTAATCTTATTTTTAGGTAAGGTAGCCACTACAACCCTAAGTGGAAAGCAACAAGAATAAAGATATATTTTCATCTTATTCAGGTTTGGAAATTGGAGTGGGAGGATGGAAGACTGTTCTTTTAATTATACTCTCACTGGATTAATGATCTCTTGCTGACAGTAGTGCCCTGGATGTTTAAATGGACATTCTAGAACCTCAGCTTTTGATGGTAGTTATGAACAACTAGAAAAAAACAAAGACTTGTCATAAACATCATTGGTTTGTTAATCTTTACCACATTCTGGTGTGATTACAAATATAAGGGAAATAACTCTCAAATATCAAGTAAACACTGAGAGCTGACATCCTTTCCCATTTTGAAAATAAAAAGCCCTGTGTTTCACATATAACTTGAGCACTCTACCATATTTTAACTGGCATATGTCTATTTCAGAAAGCAATGTCATAATGCCTGTTTTTGGGTTACAGAAAAAACTAATGTTTTTATCTTTCACAGCATAGGGCTCTGGAATTACAAGGCATGAGTTCTAGACAATTCTTTGCCATTAGCCTAACATGTCTCATTTAATGCCTCTGGATTCAATTTTCTCATTCATAATAAGGGAATGAATGAGGTAAACACTAAATATATTTTCCAGTTCCACGATTCTGTAAACCAAAGATCACCTTCCGTAAAACATGGATAAGATAAAAAAATGCCTCCACCAAGATAGGTACAGCATTAGTCACTGTCGTTATCCAAAGAGAAGTCAACTCATTATGGTAAACCATATAAATCTTTGTCAGTGGCTTTGGTGCAAGAGTTACCCAAATCTGACTTTATTTCAGACAATGCATTACTATGAATAGCCAGATAGTGAACAGAACCTGGACAATTCTCTGCTCGTTAGGCTCATTCATTAATGAAGGATTGATATGGTACAATATTTGCTTTTAAATAGGCTGTTTTGTTGTGGTGGTAAAAATAAGAGTTGATGAGATGAAGCAGTAATCTAATACGTTAATGGAATACACTTTTTTTTCCCCAAATCAGTGAGAAATCTCTATTACAAAGTATTCTTTGTGGGTATGAATAAAAGCTGATCAAATGGTATTTCTAGTTCTAGATCCTTGAGGAATTGCCACACTGTCTTCCACAACGGTTGAACTAATTTACACTCCCACCAACAGTGTAAAAGCATTCCTATTTCTCCGCATCCTCTCCAGCATCTGTTGTTTTCTGACTTTTTAATGATCGCCACTCTAACTGGCGTGAGATGGTATCTCATTGTGGTTTTGATTTGCATTTACACACCAGGGTCTGTCAGGCGTTGAGGGGTAGGGGAGGGATAACATTAGGAGAAATACCTAATGTAGATGACAGGTTGATTCGTGCAGCAAACCGCCATGGCACGTGTATACCTATGTAACAAAACTGCACATTCTGCACGTGTACCCCAGAACTTAAAGTATAATTTTTTTAAAAAGCTGATCAATATGTGAACATTGAGATTTCTTTCCATAAATTGTGGATTTTGCAGAAATAATTGGTATATGCCTAAGTAGTATTTTTTACTCTGGCTTATAATTATTCCTTTTATTTTCCCATTCTTTCTTCATCAGTTTGATCATTTTTTTCTTCCTTTTGAGGCCCCAAAATACAGTTATAGAAAGTTTGTGAAAACCGCTTTATATGAGGAAATGGTTATATCTTCAATCACCAACAAAGAAATAAACAAAGGATTTGAGTGCTGGAAGAGCCATCATACATAATTCATTCAATATCTACTTGTCCATCAGTTATTTCCTAAAATTGAGAGAGAGCTTAAGTTTAATGTTTTGTTATCTCCCTCACTCTTCTTTAAGCACTAGGAACTTTCCATCCTTATAATTATTTCAAATATGCCACAACATTAATTACAATCAAACAGTTCTGTATCCTAATCAGATCTTGGACTCAGAGCACCCATAAAACTATTTTTCTTTGTATATGTAATAATATTCAGTTTGAACTATTCTTGGCTGAGGTCCCAAGACAATAAAGGTCACAATTCAAATCAAGTTGTGAGGTATCTATGCAGGACATGTAAAGGTAGTCTTTGATAACCAGTTTTTGCAATTCTTAGTTGAAGATCCACCTTTATACTACGAAAGAAATTTGGAGAAGATAAAAGGGTCAAATTAAAAGTTAATATTTTGGAGAGAGCTGCTGTGATGCTATGAATCCTACCTTGCCCTCAAAGTGGAGACCATAATGGGCAGGGAATGAGTTTTGAGGAAAATACTTGGAGAGTTTAAAATGAGTCCTTTGAGCCTTGCTGCCACAGTGGCTTTGTGTCCTCCCCATTCCTGAAAAATTTAACATAAGAGAGGCTGACTGGTAGTAGAACAAAGAAAGATGGGTGCGTTCGAGTCAGCCTGCATGCCCAGAGTTTTTGTCACTTAGGATTTGTATGTGTTCTATGCACCAGAAATGGGCTTCTTTGCAAAGAGAGTGCTGAAATAGGCACCATCTTAGGTGCTGTCCAAGAAGACTCTGCAGGCACAAAAAGACAGGAGAGAGAAGCTGTAAGTAAACCATGGGCTGCCCACAGACTGAAGAAGTAGTTTGGGATCAGCTGAATGCGTGCATTTACTCATGTCAAGGGAACTGATTGTATGATTTTGTATGGATTATCCCTAGAAAGCAGAGCCTGAGACAAGAGTTTGAATACAGATATGCTATTTTGTAAAGTGAATGAAAAGGAGTGGGAAACAGGCAAGAAATAAGAGGAATAGAGGAAAGCTTATGCAAGTGTGTTATTGAGCTAGGAGCAAGGTAGAATGTGTCTCAAAATTGTCTACATGACAGACTTCACATGTTCTCACTCATTTGTGGGACTAATGACTGAAACAATTGAACTCATGGAGATGGAGAGTAGAATGATAGTTACCAAAGGCTGAGAAGGGTAATGGGGTGGCAGGAGTGAGGATGGCTAATAGCTACAAAAATGTAGTTAGATAGAATGACTAAGATCTAGTATTTGATAGCACAATGGGGAGATTACAGTCAACTATAATTTATTGTACATTTAAAAATAACTAAAAGTATAATTGGAATGTTTGTAACGAAAAGAAATGATAAATACTTGAAGTGATGGATACTCAATTTACCCTGGTGTGATTATTATACATTGTATGCTTGTATCAAAATATCTCATATACCTCATAAATATATACACATACTATGTGCTCATAAAAATCAAAAATTAAAATTTTTAAAAATGTCCACTTTCTTCCTGAGAGACAGGGAAAAAAAGCATTTATCTATGGGGCAGCAACTCCCTCATACTTGCCTGTGTGTTTCAAATGGGTTCCCAGAGGTGTCATACACAGTAGCATCAGAAAATCCACACTGCAGAAAGAAAGAAATGTATGGTGCACCAGAGATAAGATGCAACCAGTTACTTCTGAACTCTGTGGTTCTCAGAGCAGTGACTGAAGCAAAAGGTCATTAGTCAAGAAGATGGGAGGTAAGGCATATGAGGTGTCTGATACATACGATATCTTCAAAGAATTCAAAAAAGTATTGTCAAAGAATGTGTCAGATTTTAAACTTGACAAACCCAAAGAGAGTGGAATCTAGACAATCATACAGGTATTTGTCAAGCTCCTGCTGCTTTCCTCTAAGCCCTTCTCTCTTCTTATAACTATGTTACAATACTAATTATTATTATATTTAAGTTATATGTTATAATAACAACAATTATTATAACAGTGGACTGAAGATGTTAAACAGCTGTTATTCCTTTAAAGGAATAGTAGATAAAAAATGAAGTAACTTTATGATTACATCCACCATGGTATTTCTGTTAATAAAAAAAAAAAGCAGTTAAACAACTGCATATGGAATAAAGTTGTGGCTTTGGCCCTGCCATTGGTTATAAGTTTATGCATCTGTGGAAGTCTGCTTTTTCATGTGTGGAGGATAAATCAGAGAAAGGACAAGAATCCTTCTTGTATTTGATGGATTTGTTTTAGTATAATGAATGCCTGGGAATTTTCAAAACCATGACCCCATGCTGCTATGGACACCACCATTCCACTGAGTGAAGACTGTTTCCATATAGCCTTATATAGCTCTAGGAAGCACAGTCCCAGAAGCTGCTATTTAGTGGAGAAAAATATTAGGGATTAATGCTGGGAACATTTGCTACCATCCTCCACGATTTATTCAGACAATGCCTTATATCCCATTTATTGCAGGTATCACCAGATGCTGAGCCTATGGAATTAAAATAGAGGTCTCCTAAAAAAGAAGAAGAATCAGACTGGCATCAGATGATCCAGAAAAAATGGAGGGAGAAGACAACAGAGCAAGACCTTCAAAGTTATGAAAGGACTACTATATCCAGTCAAACTGTCAATTAAATAAGAAAACAAAAATAACCTATTTTGAGACATGTGAAAACTGCAGAGGTTTACCTCTCATGCAGCCCTTTCCATAAATTTTTTTGAGGATATACTCCAGTAAAATAAAGAGGAAGATGTAGATTGTACAAAATCATAGATCTACCATAACTCAGAAAAGATGCCTCTGATCACCCATTCTAGGTCAATTCTGACCTTTCTTTATTACACCACCTTGGTCATTTCCTTCTTAGGCTTATAAAAATCTATATTTATTTCCTGTAAGTTTATTTAAAATGTATTTCTTAACTTGCTTATTCTTGGCCTCACCCATTAGAAGGTAAGCTCCATAAAAGGTGACTATGCTGTATCAAGGAATCTTGTATAGTGTCTGGTATTTAGGTAACAGACAATAAATATTAAAGAATGAATAGCATATCTCTATTTTTTAACTTGAGTTAAACCAAACTCCATAGGTGAGACTTCTAAGAGCCTTTAAAATGCTTTTTGAATTTTCATAATGGAGGCATAGTAAGAATTATAGCCTAAACATAGAATCCTGGTAGCATCTTAGATGGTGGTTAATGCTTTGTGTAACACACTCTGGCACTTTTAAAATTGTAAATCAGTTTAATTTTTATCACAAATGTCCAACACTTTTCTCTTATGAAGAAGTAAGAGTCATAAATCAATTGAGAGATTTCTCCCAGTACCTGTGTTTTTGTGTGTGTGTGTGTGTGTTTTTCCTTAAGAGTTGGGGCCCGGCACAGTGGCTCATGCCTGTAATCCCAGCACTTTGGGAGGCCAAGGTGGGTGGATTACCTGAGGTCAGGAGTTCGAGACCAGCCTGCTTAACATGATGAAACCCCGTCTCTACTAAAAATACAAAAATTAGCTAGGTGTAGTGGCGGGCGCCTGTAATCCCAGCTACTCAGGAGGCCGAGCCAGGAGAATCGCTTGAATCTGGGAGGTGGAGCTTGCAGTGAGCCGAGATCACGCCATTGCACTCCAGCCTGGGTGACAGAGTGAGACTCCATCTCAAAAAAAAAAAAAAAGAGTTGGAAGGTTCCTTTAGTATTACCTCAACTGACCACCACAACTACATTGAGACATGTGTTGAGAGGTAAACTTACTTTTTTGAAATAGATAATCTTCATAAGGTTGATTTTCTTTTTGTAATTTGGTGACCCACTCAATTTCTAACTTATTAGACAAGGACAACATGTGGGGGTCACCTCTCTGCCCTTCACACCACAGAGCACAGCTGCAACACAAGGATACACAAAGGAGCCTATCTACCACCCATTGCTCTCAAGTGTTATCTACTGGAATGCAGTCCAAACTACAACACCAAAAACACTTTGCTAATTTCCCCCCACTGAGAAACTAATATGGTTTTGTTGTGTCCTCACCCAAATCTCATCTTAAATTGTAGTTCCCAAAATCCCCATGTGTCATGGGAGGGACCTGGTGGGAGGTAATTGAATCATGGGGGCAATTATCCTAATGCTGTTCTAGTGATAGTGAGTTAGTTCTTACAAGATTTGATGGTTTTATAACAGGCTTTCCCCGCTTCGCTCGGCATTTCTCTCTTCTGCTGCCACATGAAGAAAGACATGTTTGCTTCCCCTTCTGCCATAATTGTAAGTTTCCTGAGGCCTCCCCAGCCATATGGAACTGTGAGTCACTTAAATGTCTTTCCTTTATAAATTACCCAGTCTCGAGTATGTCCTTATAGCAGCATGGGAATGGACTAATACAGAAACCAAAGATAAGAATTTAATATAAAAAAACCCTCTACAGAGACTTACCCCTCTGAAAACCTCCAGAACAGAATGCACTAACTATACTCAATATACACCACAGTTCAAGGAACACCAGCCTTCTCATATGAGAAAGAATTAATGCAAGAACTGTAGCAATTCAAAAAGCTGGAGTGTCCCCTCACCTCCAAACAAGCCCACTAGCTCCCAGCAATGGTTATTAGCCGGTCTGAAATGGCAGACATCGAATTCAGAATCTGAATAGCAAGGAAGCTCATCAAGATCCAGGAGACAGCTCAAACCCAATCCAAGGAAGCCAAACAATCCAGTGAAATGATTCAAGAGCTGAAAGATGAAATAGTACTTATAAGACAGACCTAAAATAAGCTTCTTGAGCTGAAACATTCACTACGAGTATTTCATAATACAATTGGAAGTATTCACAACAGAATAAACCAAGCTGAGGGAAGAATCTCAGAGCCCAAAGACTGGTTCTTTGAATCAACTCAGTCTGACACAAATTTTTTAAAAAATTAATGAACAAAACCTCTGAGAAATATGAAATTATGTAAAGAAAGCAAATCTATAATTTATGGGAATCCCTGAGACAGAAGGAGAGAAAATAAGCAACTTGGAAAATATATTTAAGGTTATAGTCCAGGAAAATTTCCTAAATCTTATTAGAGAGGTTAATAGGCAAATTCACGAAATATAGAGAACTCTGGCTAGATAATACACAAGAAAATGATCTCTGAGGCACACAGTCATCAGATTTACCAAGGTCAATGCAAAAGAAAAAAAATCTTAAAAGCAGCCAGGGAGAAGGGTCAGGTCATGTACAGAGGGAATTCAATCAGGATGGCAGTAGACCTCTCAATAGAAACCTTACAAGATGGAAGATATTGAGGCCCATTTTCAGCATCCTTAAAGATAATTCCAATCAAGAATTTCAAACCCTGCCAAAGTAAGTTTCATAAGTGAAGGAGAAATAAAATCCTTTTCAGACAAGCAAATGCTGAGAGAATTCATTTCAACTAGACCAGCCTTACAAGAGGTCCATCAGAGAGTGCTGAACATGGAATCAAAAGAATAACACCTGCTACCACAAATACTCACTTAAGCACATAGCCCACAGACACTACATAACCATAGCAACTGCATAACCAAGTCTACATAACAACCAGCTAATGACACAATCTCATATCTCATACCATAAAATATGATCTCAAAATCTCATATCAAAATCTCAATCTCAAAATCTCATATCAATACTAACCCTGAATGTAAATGGTCTAAATGCCCCCTTAAAAGACATAGGGTGGCTAGCTGGATAAAAAGATAAGACCCAATCATCTGCTGTTTTCAAGAGACCCATCTCATATGTAATGACATCCACAGGGTCAAAGAATTGGAGAAAGATCTACCATACAAATGGGGGAAAAAAGAACAGGAGTCACTATTCTTACATTAAATAAAGCAGACTTTAAACAAATGGGAAACAAAAAAAAGCAGGTGTCACTATTCTTACATTAGATAAAACAGACATTAAACCTTTAACAATTAAGAAAGATGAAGAAGGCATTACGTAATGATAATGAGTACAATCTCAAAAGAAGACTTAACCATAGTAAATATATGCACCCAACATTGGAGCGCCTAGATTAAAAAAAGTTCTTGACCTATGAAAAGGTTTACATAGCTGCATACAACTACAGAATATACATTCTTCTCATCCACATGTGGAACATATTCTAAGATCAACCACAAAAGCAAGTCTCAATACATTTAAAAAATTGAAATCATACCAAGTACACTCTCAGAGCGGAGTGCAACAAAAACAAAAATCAATATCAAGATGATTTCTCAAAAGTACACAAATAAATGGAAATTAAACAACTTACTCTTCATTTCAATAGCTTTTGGGGTACAGGTGATCTTTTGTTATATAGATAAGTTCTGTAGTGATGCTTTCTGGAATGTTGGTGCACCTGTCACCTGAGCAGTGTACACTGTACCCAATACGCAGTTTTTTATCCCTCACCCCACTCCTACTCTTCCACCCTTATGAATCCCTAGGAAATACTCATCTCAACATTTGTCTCAGCAAAGAATATTTGGCTAAGCCCCCAAAAGCAATTGCAACAAAAATAAAAATACACAAGTGGGATCTAATTAAAGTAAAGATCTTCTGCACAGCAAAAGAAATTATCAAGAAGTAAACAGACAACCTACAAAAGGGAGAAGATATTCACTGTGTGAATATCTTGATATTGAACTATGTGTTCAACAATGGCCTAATATCCAGACTCTATAGAAAACTTAAAGGAAACAACAAGTAAACAATAAATAACCCCATTAAAATAACCCCATTAAAGTCTACTATATCAGTCTTATTCCTTTGCATCCTCATAGCTTAGCTCCCGCCTATAATTGAGAACACACAATATTTGGTTTTCCATTCCTGAGTTCCTTCATTTAGAATAATGGCCACCAGCTCCATCCAAGCTGCTGCAAAAGACATTATTTCATATATATATATATAATATTTTTTATCCACTCATTGGTTGATGTTCACTAAGGTTGGTTCCATACTTTCCAATTGTGAGTTGTGCTGCTATAAACATGCGTGTGCATGTGTTTTTTTCATATAATGACTTCTTTTCTTTTGGGTAGATACCCAGTAGTGGGATTGCTGGGCCAAATGGTAGTTCCACTTTTAATTCTTTAATGACTCTCTGTACTGTTTTCCATAGTGGTTGTACTAGTTTACATTCCCGCCAGCAGTGTAAAGTGTTCCCTTTTCACCACAGCCATGCCAACATCTAATTTTTTTTTTTTTTTTTTTTGCTTTTAAATTATGGTCATTCTTGCAGGAGTAAGGTGATATTTCATTGTAGTTTTAATTTGCATTTCCCTGATAATTAGTGATGTTGAGCATTTTTTCATGGCACTGGTACAAAAACAGACACATAGACCAATAGAACAGAATAGAAACCCCATAAATAAAGCTACACACCTACAACTATTGGATCTTTGACAAGGCCAAAAAAGCAAATAGAGAAAGAACTCCCTAAATAAATGGTGCTCAGATAACTGGCTAGCCATATGCAGAAGATTGCAGCTGAAACCCTACCTTTCACCATATACAAAATTAACTCAAAATGGACCAGAGATTTAAATGTAAGACCTCAAACTATGAAAATTCTAGAAGGCAAGCTAGGAAATACTCATCTCAACATTTGTCTTGGCAAAGAATTTTTGGCTAAGCCCCCAAAAGCAATTGCAACAAAAATAAAAATACACAAGTGGGATCTAATTAAAGTAAAGATATTCTGCACAGCAAAAGAAATTATCAAGAAGTAAACAGACAACCTACAAAAAGGGAGAAGATATTCACAAACTATGTGTTCAACAATGGCCTAATATCCAGACTCTATAGAAAACAACAAGTAAAAAATAAACAACCCCATTAAAAAATGAGCAAAGGACATGAACAGACAGTTCTAAAAAGAAGACATACAAGCTGCCAGTGAGCATGCAAAAATGCTCAGCATCGCTAATCATCATAGAAATGTAAATCAAAACCACAATGAGATACTATCTCATACTTGTCAGAATAGCCATTATTAAAGAGTCAAAAAACACAGATGCTGGCAAGACCACAGAGAAAAGGAAACACGTATACAATGTTAGTGGGTATTGTCCAGCCACTGTGGAAAGCAGCCTGGAGATTTCTCAAAGAACTCAAAACAGAGCTACCATTCAACTCAGCAATCCCATTGCTAGGTATATATCCAAGGAAAAATAGATCATTCTACCAAAAAGACACATGCATTCATATGTTCTTCACACATTATTCACAATAGCAAAGACACGGAATCAACCCAGTGCCCACCAATGGCAGTCTGGACAAAGAACATGTAGTACATATACACCATGAAATACTACCTAGCCATAAAAAATAATGAAATTAAATCCTTTGCAGCAACATAGGTGCAGTTGGAGACCATAATCCTAAGTGAATTAATGCAGGAATAGAAAACTAAATACCACACTTTCTTACTTACAACTGGGAGCTAAACATTGAGCATACATGGAGATAAACAAGGGAACAATAGAAACTGGGGACTATTATATGGGAAAGGAGAGGGGCATGGGTTGAAAAACAATCTGTTGGGTGCTATGCTCACAACTTGGATGACAGGATTGTACCCCATACTTCAGCATCATGCAATATTCCCATGTAACAAACCTGCACGTGTACCCCCTGTATCTAAAATAAAAGTTGATATTTTAAAAAAATACAAAAACAGACTAAGAAATCTGGAAAAATAAATATATAAATAAAATGTAAAGTAAAGAAAAATGCTTCATTTAAAAAATCAACTAAATACAAAAGCAGACAGTAATGCAGAAAGCACATGACAAAAAAGCTATAAGGTACATAGAAAACAATTAGCAAAATCAAATAAATAAGTCTTTTTTATGAGTAATTACTTTAAATGTAAATGGATTAAACTCTCTACTCTAAAGACAGAGATTGGAGGAATAGATTTTAAAATATATGATCCAACTATTTGCTATCTGCAAAGGATTCACTTTAGATCTAAATACACAAATAGGTTGAAAATGAAAGGATGGAAAGAGATGCTTTATGCAAATAATAGACACAAGAGACCATGGGTAACTATACTACTTTCAGACAAAATAGACTTTAAATTTTATACAAGATTGCAAGACACAACAAAAGGCATTATATATTAATGTTTGCTAGTACAGCTAGACAGAAGATAAGTAAGAAAACAGAGGACTTGAACACCACCACAAACTAACTAGATGTAACAGACATATACAGAAATCTCTATCCAACAACAGTAGAATGTACATTCTGCTCAAGGGCAAGTGGAACATTTCCTAGGATGGGCTATATTTTGGGCCCTAAATTAAGTCCCAATAGAGCTATAAAGATAGATATTATACAAAGTATCTTCTTTGACCACAACAGGATGAAGTTAGAAACCAATAACAAAAGGAAAATTGCAAAGTTGACACATTTGTGGAAATTAGAGAAATAAATAATGGTTACCAGCATCTGAGAAGGGTAGGAGAGTGGGGGGATAGAGAGAGGTTGCTTAATGTGTACAAAATTACAGTTAGAGCAGAGAAATAAATTCTAGTGTTCTATAGCATAGTAAGGTGATTATAGCTAACAACAATTTATTGTATATTTCAAAATAGCTAAAAGACAGGAATTAGAATACTCCCAACACAAAGAAATAATAAATGTTTGAGCTGATAGACATCCCAGCTGCCCTGATTTGATTGCCACATTTGTAAACATGTATTGAAATATTACATGTATCCCATAAATAGATGTAATATTAGATATCAATTAAAAATTAAAAATAAGTTTAACAAAACAAAAATAATAAGTATTGCCAAGAGTGTGAAGAAGTTGGGGAACCCCTATGAATTATCAGTGGGAATGTAAAATGATATAACCACTGTAGAAAATTAAAAATAAAATAAGAAATATGAGTCAGCAATTCCACTTCTGAGTACATATTCAAAAGAATTGAAATCAGAGTCTGGAAGATATATTCATACACACATGTTCATAGCTGCATTATTCATGATTAGCTGAAGTGTAAGCAACCCAAGTGTCCACTGAGGAATGAAGGGATAAGTACAATGTGGTATACATATATCATATTAGTCAGGGTTCTCCAGAGAAACAAAACCAAGAGGATATACATAAAGGAAGAGATTTATTATGAATAATTGACTTACACAGTTATGGAGGCTGAGATGTCACACAACCTGCTTTCTGCAAGCCAGAGAGCAGACAAGCCAATATTGTAACTCCAGACTGAGTCTGAAGGTCTGAAAACCAAGGGAGTGAATGGCATCAATTCCAGCGAAAGGACAGAAGAAAACTGATGTCCCAGCTCAACAGGTAGGCAGGAAGCAAAAAGGGGTAAATTTCTTCTTCCTCTGCTTTTTGCTCCACTCAGGTCCTCAGTGGATTGGATGACACCCAACTGGGGAGGGCGCTCTACTTTATTAAATCCACCCATTCAAAGGCTAAACTCATCTGAAAACACCCTCACAGATACATCCAGATATAATGTTTAATTTGGGCACCCTTTGGCCCAATCAAGTTCACACATAGAATTAACCATCACACATACAATGGAACATTATTTTAGCCCTCAAAATGAAGGTAATTCTGACAAATGCTACGACATGATTGAACCTTGCAGACATTATGTGAAGTGAAATAAGCCAGTCACAAAAAGACAAATACTATATGATTCCACTTACATGAAGTACTGAGAGTACTTAAAATCGTAGAGACAGAAAGTAGAGTGGCCATTGTAGGGGCCAGGGGGAGGGGAAATGGGGAGTTATTTTTGCATGGGTGTAGGGTTTCAGTTTTGCAAGACGCAAAGAGTTCTGGAGACGGATGTGGTGATGGTTGCACAACAACATGAATGTACTTAATACTATTGAACTGTGCACTTAAAAGTAGATAAGATAATAAATTTTATGTTACGTGTGTTTTACCATAATAAAAAATTGGGAAAATCAGATTAAACACACCTTTAAAAAGAAAATAATCATTCTCCAAGTAAAGAAAATAATCACTCTCCAATAGGGTCCAGTCAAAACTACCAGTGGAACCACGAAGCCAACCCACAGAATGAGAAATAATAAATAAGATATACTTTTTGAAGATATTAAGTTGGGGCTGGTGGATGTTTGTATGGCAAAAGATAACTGAAACAATTGCTGATTTCTAGAGAGGGAAACTGGGTGGATAGAGGACAAAAATTAGGACATAGTTTTACTTCTCACTTCATGATTTCTTTGTAACTTTTGACATTCAACCATTTTTATATATTACCTTTTTTAAAAAAACTAATTTTATTTTAAATTTTAAAAAATGTTATTTTGCAAAGCAACAAAAAGAACATATAAATGTTCCCCTAGGAAATTGTTTTAATTATCTATTCCTAGTGCTGCTAAAAAGGTAGAGACAGAGAGAAATTTTTCAGAAATATTTTATTACATGAAATTTGAATCAATTTTCTTTAAGACATGTGTGTCCTTTGATCTAGCAATTTCTTGTCAAGAAATTCATCTTAAAGAAATTATCTAAGCTTTGACTAAGTGTATTTACCCAAATGCACTTATAACTCCTTTACAATAGCTAAAAATAAAAATTTTTTTAAATCTAAATGCTAAACAATAATAGGTTAATTACTTGATTGTTACTTCCATATAGTGGAATACTATGCAGCCATTCTAAATCATATGGTGAAACCTCACTTATTCACTTGAACTAATTATGGTATATTGTTAAGTTTTAAAACATAATAAAATGATATATATCACATTATACCACAACTCAGAGAGCCATAAACCACTGGCTATATATGCTGCATGAAAACATAATAGACTTACCAGACAAAAAAGAGTTTCCTTTAGACATTCAAAGATTTCTACATTTAGAATGAATTATTTTATAATAAGAATATGTATTTTATATATAGTAAACAGATATTTAGTCCTGCATATAAACTATGCCAACATAATAAAAGTGACTTGCTTGAATTTAATAAAGTGGGGAAACAATTTATATAAATAATAAAAATGAAATTTTTAATTTTTTAATTCAACTATTATGCATCCTGAAAAGTCCTCAACACACACATTCATGACTATGGTATATGGTTATGTATGCATATATATATATCCATACATTTATTCAATACACAAGGCATATGTCAAAATATTCATTATTAAATAATGTTTAAAATAATTTTACTCCTAAAGCCATTGCTACATCATGCTTCTTAGATTTAAGCTATGAGTGAGACCTGTAAGTCAAGAACAAGGGCAGGAATTCTTAGCAAGTAAGTTTATAGGCTTTTCTAACATCACTGCTCACCTACATGGCAGCCATTCTTTCTTTTTTCCTCCATAACAGAATCCCTCTTCTATTCAAGTACTAGATATCCTTGTGCTTCAGAAGGCTGTCCAATGGAATGAACAACCCCAGGCCCAAAAGATGAATACTGATCCATTTAAGACAATCATGGTAATTTTATTCCTGTTGTCAGTTATTAGTTTAAGAATAAACGCTTGACAAAAGTTCTTGCCAGAGACACATGAGTGAAGTCTAATAAGAGAGCTTTAGGAGAAGACTTTCTTGTTCTCAGAGATGGACCCAAGGAAGGGTCACATTCCTTTTCCCTCTTCTAGCCTTTCAGGGTTGTTGCCTATTGTGATGGCCACCACCTTGTGACCGTGAAGTGTAGCTGATATATTGAGGATGAAAGAATGGAAAGATGGAAGGAAGCTAGGTCCCTAATCACATTATTGAATTCTTACATTATTAAGCTCTGGAAATTTCTTACCTTTGAACTTCCTACCAACCGAGAGAATATTTTTTCCTTATTTTTTAAGTCACAGTGGGTTGGAGCTTCTGTTAAATGCAGGTGAGAGCACTCTGACTGATACAACCTCTAATAGAATCTATACCTCATTTAACAACTTTAACTTTTCCTAAAGTCTTGCTGCTGTGTTTAAGTAAAATAATACTCTTATGAATTTTAATGAGGAAAATTATGGTGCATTCCATCCCAACCCAATGCATTCAAATAATTTCACAGATTGAAAAATCTATCAATCAAACAATGAGAACAAGTTCATATAAGTAACAATATAATAGTAAACAAACATAGCTTGTACACAATATAAAGATAATGAAGGTTTATTGTACTCATCAAGGGTGATAATCAGTGGCAGTTATTGGAAAGAGATGTAAAGTTGTTAGAGGTAGCATCCCCTGAAACAGAGATTAGCATGCCAAAAGTGTGTTAAGGAGTGGCCTCAAGATCAGTATACTGTGAAATGGAAGAAAAGAAAGCAAGATTGGGCAGAGTGGTCTCAACAAAGTCCTCAGCCAACTCCATTCATAGCTCTGACGTTGGGGCAGCCTTTCCAAATTGTTCTGAATTGAAATGAAGAAGCCAGAATTTTACAGGCTCACTTTAACCAGTTGTGGGATTCGGGCTGCCCCCTGAAAATGCCACGGTAGTTCTCTTAAACTTAGGGCAATTCCCAGAGAGGACTGCACCTTGAAAGCTGTCAATGGATTGTACTTCTAAATACTGAGTAATAATCCTTTGGTACTAAAAGGAAACCTAGTCTGTGTATCACCACATCAGCTCTACAGTGGAGCCTTTTTTGGAAGGTAGTGGAAAGGCAGGTGACTGATTTTCATGTGCACAATCAATATTAGAATCATACAGCCTTGTCTTTTTCTTTAAAGCTTTGACCAAAAAAGGTAAAGTTGACTTTTGAAATACACAGAAATAGCATCATGGAAATGCTGCTACATCTTCCTCCCTTTTACTTGGCTTACATATACAATGCAAAACCTGGGGACTCATTCAAGCATGACATGAAATTCAAATTTGTTTCACATGATATTCTTTGATTAGAAGCTATTGTGTTGAGTAAATTAGAAGTATGTCCTTGCCTGAAATAATAATGTGAAAAATGATTTCTTATGGTATGTGTTACCTAGTGGATTTGGGGAATTAAATGTCATTATACAAAAAAAATTGTTTGATAAATAGCATAAGTTTTCAAGTGTGGTTATAGTTAAAATTCATTAAATGAACAATTGTTATATGCAGTAAGCTTATGTATAATATATCCTAACCACGTATCCATAAAACGTACCTCCCAATTGTCAGGTAATTGAATTTTCTTTACTTTTCTACAGTTGTCCATAAATCATTACTCACTTTCATGCTGATGGTATTAAAGGTACAGAGGAAGGCACTGCCTTGAAAATGTTCACTTTAGTTGACCATTTATAGAGTTGTCATTCTGTGGGATTTTTAAGCAGCATAGATACATTCAAATATAACACCATTAGGGTCAGTCTGTGACAAAACCCATATCTTTATATTATCTTGATACTAAACATTGTAAATACTCCCAAATTATCTAAAAAGAGGGCCATGCAAGGCCAACAAAAGGATTTTTTTTAAAAGAGTCACTTACCTAGCCACAAATATCTCTCTTCTGCTATCACAGACATAGGCTCTGGGTGAACCACTATACCCAAAATGCTTCCCAGAAGCAGACTCTGCTGGTGACCTACCCACTTCTTGACATAGATCAAATGGTAACTCTTCTGTGGGAAAGGGCTGGCTGAGACAGCAACATGAAGACCAGAGTCTAGACACCAAGATTGTAAAGAATGTTGGAAAGAGAGAATTTACATAACAGCCCTGTAACCCAAAAGATCCTGTCTCTCTTTCATAAGACATAGTCAAGCTCATTATGGAAGCAACCTCCAGCAGCTAATTGGTATTGCAGTGCTTCTGAGCTGTGAGCTAAAAAAGGAGGGAGATGTAAAAGACAAATAAAGTGACATAAAGAAATTCCCATCCTGGTCCTATCATTGTCTTGTGAGCTATTTCTATACTGTATGTACATAAACAGCTCTTCTTGGGTGGTGGTTTAATGTCTCTATACCTTCCATTGCAATTACACTGAATGGAGCTGCAACAAATCTTCGTAACGCCAATCTCATCTTTCCACCTCATTGACAGCTCAGGAAATGCATCTGAAATTCATAGTAGCCTCATAGCCTATGGCAAGAGAAATCCATGCTGCTAAAATTTTATTTTAGAATTCAAGCTGGTTTTCCTCAGTTTAGGATGCTCCGTTTTTTAATCTTTTGCTGCCTACCACACTGTATCAAAATAACCAGCCAATATTGTTCAACTGTCAGGGGCCTCAGCTGCCTTTGAATTTTATCAGTACAAATAAATACTGGAACATGTTAAAAATAATCCCAATAGATTAGCGTTAACAGTAATAGAATTAAAAGCAGAGGGGAAAATGTGTATAAACTTTGACTTCACTGCTCTCTCCCTTCCTTTGCTGACTTAAAAAAAAAAGGTTGAATAGATATTCAGACTGATTTCATGTTTAGGCTGATAGGGATGCTAGGCTGGGTCCCAAATTTGTGCAATGTTCAAAAAGAGAGAGATTTTAAAATCCCAGAAAAAGAGATATTTCCAAATTAATGGCATTGCCCGAATGCCTTGGCTCCCTGCACCCCACCAGGAAGGTTTATTATTTTCTGGTAAAATGTTGCTCGGATGGGGAGTGGTAGTCAGCGATGCGTCAGAGCTGCTCTTTGAACACATTAAAAAGCTGAATGCACAACAAAGAACAGATGTTCCAGCATGCCTTATTTATGCACCCATCAGCAATCTTCCAGTGACCACAAAACACAGCCTTTTTTTTCCCTCCTCCTCTCCATAATATTATGTTCTGATAAACTCACCCTCTTTATTAATTTATTTATTTTTGGCCCCAACTGAACTCCTGGGTAATTGTCTATGTGTGTGTGCACAAGTGTGTGTGCGTGTGTGCATATGTGTGTGTGTTATTTGAAAGTCTGCCTCCATCAAATCTGAATTCTATTGAACTGTGGAACAGGTGTGGATTCTGCAATTAGATCACATTTCAGAGAGAGAGACACTGAGGGTAATAATGGCGGTGAATTCTTCAAAGTCGAATGCAGCACCATAGCGACCAGCAACAATGAAGGAGAGGTATTAGTATTAGAGGTGATTATTTTTAGTTTATGGGATCATCTGATTGAATACAGCCATAAGGCACTGTGTACATGTACTTGGGGCTCACCAGCTGTAAGACAAACTTGTTTTACTGGCACTTATCTGAAATGCCCCATTCGCCCACCCTCTGCTCACAATTGGAATGGAAGTAGCGATTAGGAAGTGAGATATAATGCAGATTAAATATTATGATGGACCAAGATACTGTTGGATTATTAAACTCCATTTGCTTTCACTGGTTTTAAAGGCGTAGCACTTTTATTTAAACCTCCGGCTCTAGATCTCTAAGCTTTAAAAGGTGGGAGGTGGAGGAGTGCTAGGGAGGGTTAGGTAGAGAAAAATAATTTAGAATCCAAAGAGAAGCAAGAATATTTCCTCTTCCTACACAAGAGAGCTATATTTTTCAGTGAGTGAATCTAATCTGTGACCTCAATTTGAGCTTCAGAAAAACATGATACATTAATACAGAAAATACTCACCCCCATAAATTGATTTAATAGACTGAAAGTAAATAATGCAGCCAATTCTCACAACACTATTTGGTCAATTTTGGGAATTCTGGTTCTAGGTGGCATTTCCTTAATATATATTTTCACGAAATGGGAAATATTTGGGACCAGACTCAGTGGTGTAAAATCAGCCCTTGGGAGAGTTCCAGCTGTTCCCTGGGGCATCTCAGAATGGTGCTATGGGCTGGCTGGCAGCAGCTGCTATCCCTGAAAGAATAAAGGAAGCCGGACAACAGAGGGAGGGGTTTGCACAAAATGAAGTCGTGGACATTCTGTGGACACATCAGAAATCTGGGCTCAAAAGAATGAGATGTGGGTAGCTTGGTAGGGTACAGATTACACCATCCCATGGGCACAGGCCTAGGAGCTCAGAATGAGAACTTCTGCTCTTTGTCCAGTGGTCTTTGAACCCAGGATGGCTCAGGATCTGGGGTCTGCATCATGGGATATGGGACCACAGCCAACATTTTGCCAAGACCAGTATTCTTTTTCTGGTGCCAAAATAAGCAATTCTGATGAAAAATCTGAGAGATGGAAAATTGTTCTATTGTCCACAATGCTAGTTCATACTGAGAAATCTGTTACAATGACAGGAATTTTCTGTTTTGTATAGGTGGCCTAACCAAGATTCCTGGCAGAAAAAAAATGCATTTTCTAGCTAAGAAGCAGTAAAGCAGGAGTGGTGGCAGATGAATACCAATCAAAACGTGTAGCTTTTCTGTTACTAGTCAATCCATTAGTTCTCCAGCTACCAAATTCTACTCAGCATTTGTTATTTCTCTCAATCAGACAAAATAAAATTCTCATATTATAAATAACCTGAATCTAGCCAAATGGCTTTGACCTTGGGTAAATCACTTTCCCTTTCTGGACTAGGTTTCTGTGAAATGAGGGTTGGAATTCAAATTGTAGTTTTACAAACATTAGCACTAAAACCCTTTTACAAACAAAGTGTTAGCTAAGAATTGGAGGTGCTATATTCAAAAGTGGGCATTGGGGCCCCCATGCTTCTCCTCTGTTGCAAATGAGTTGTCTCTACTAAAGTCCGAGGTTGCTCAGAACCAGGTACAACATGTCTTAATTAGATAGTATTGCACATCTCTTCCAAGAGAAACTGTGATTGAATATCTGGGTCTTCCCCATAGTATCCCTACATAAGGTTAGTGGCAAGGAGATGCTATGCCAGCAATCTCACCCGCCACACCCAAGATGGCATCTGCATCCTCTATGAGTACAAGTTAATAGTCTCAGCTGTGAGGATTGTCTCCATGAGATCAGGCAACCCAATTGGTTAGCTCTTTTTCACTATATAGTTTGAAGTCCCTGTCTTTTCCAGTTGTCCTGAAGTCACAGGTTTTTGCTTCAGTTTTCTTTCTCTCTCTCTGGCAATGAAACAGAAGTTTTCAATGAGAAAGGAACCTTTCATTTGTCTTGGCTGTCACTTGCCATCACTCATTTTAATAGTCATTATCAAGAGCATAAAGATTAAGTGGGGTTTTGTACAATATTAGTTTTCTATTTTTTCTCATTCAAGCTCCAGATAACTCTGGTTCCACTCTGTGTCTTGTCCAATCATTACATTGAGTGTTTACCTTTAAATATTTGAATATATTTTCTTACACTTTTGTTTGTTTTGCAAACAGCCTTTTACAAAAATACATAATAAAACATAGTCTAATTTTTCCCATGCTGGCTCAGTAACAGTGTCTTTCTTAGCTGAAGCAACAGGAAAGAAATGGCAATATTACTTACTGTTATTGACATGATGATGACTCCTTTGCAGATGTTACAATGTCAATGTTTTGTGGCAAATTTGCACTGTAGTTTTAACATGTATTAACACACCTTGCCATTTAGTCATCTCAGTGAACACTGACAAGAGCCATGGGTACCCTGTGTTGGCATAATGCAGGAGCCTGCAAGCTGTGGAAATGAAGTCAGACCATAGAATTCTGGTTGAAAGCTTTACATCATGGGACCAAGTAATCCAAAGAAAATGTAAATCATAGCCTATGAAACAGAAGAATTCAGTACCTCTCTGGTAATTGGTGTAGTAATAAATCAGGATTGGATTTAGCTTAAAATTATATGTTCTTTGCCTGGTTAAAAAAATCAGATTTATGAAAGAGTTAGTGGTTTGTTTGAAAAGCAAAGAAACACCTACTTAATTTTTCGTCTAAATTTTACAAAGCCTACTCACCTTTTCAAAAAAAAAATTAAGACATAATGATAAAGCAACATTGAAATGTTGCTGTCAATGCCAACTTAATGCATAACAAAGTTAATGGCTAGTTATAGATACCTATCTTTCAAATGGACTCAAATTGGAATTTCTGAATATTGCTTTCGCTTCTACACTTTATTTCTTTCAAGCCTGGGAGAGAGAGCCTCAGCTCTAACATGTTCTGCATTTGGCCAAATACAATACATCCAACCTAAATACAAGGTATCCATAACAGAAAATTAGGCTTTGACCCCAAATTCTTAAATTGGAGTAAGCCATTTCATTCATATACACTGAGAACAAAATCAACAAAATAGGTGGCTAGAGCATTTGGTCAAAGGGTATGTAAATAAATGTAAATTTTTTCTCTAGCTTTTAGTGTGTTTAATAAATTATGTTGGTGACCCTCATGGCAGAAACCTGACCACATGGGTCATGCTTACCTTCCAGCCCTTATTTCCAATCACTGACATTATAGTTAGTAAGAACCTATTTTTCTCTTAAAATATATGTAGAGGAAAAAATGAGAATTTTCTGTATTAATGACACAATAATGGCATTGTGAAAACAAAATGGTGATGACATATCCACTATGGGAATAATATGCCCTCAGGCTAACAAAAGCTGCTTACCTGTTTAACTTATTAGAGTATTTTATAAACATATTTGAAATGAGCAGCTCAGTTCATCCTGAAATAAAACAATGCTACATTTTTTATGCATACGAAAAGAGAAGATGTTAATTGCTCACCTACAATCCACCTAAAAAGCTGATGGAAAAACATCTACAATAAAATCAGAACAATATCATTTCCAGTACCTGCATGATACTCATTTTGATGAGTCATCCCAAAAGACTTTTTAAAAGAAAATAGAGTTTTGATTCTATGTTTGCCATTAACCTGCTATGGAGTTGGGCAACCACTTGGTTCCTCAGCTCCCTTCCATCAAAAAAAGTCAGGACCAATTATTTGAGTGGAGTGTAAAGTGGATAGGTGTGAGTTAAAGAACTTTGGAATTGCAGAGATAAGAGGTTTTCTCTCATGGAATGCCATTATTATTAATATTATTGCCATCATCATTATTTATGCTCCCAGCACACGTATTGTGAAAATCCGTTATTCGCGTAACTGCTATGCCCTCACCATGTCATTTGCAAAATCACCATGTTCTTCTCACAGAAATGTCAGTGAAATGTCATTTTTACAATAGCTGCATTATGAATCTGCTATAACTTGAATTGCTTTACAATGAAAATGCAATTTCTTAGCAATTAAAATTATTCCACCCACCCCAGTCAAATAATAGAAAATCGCCTCCCTGCCCAATGTTGCTTATAGTGAACTGCAGAATACTGCAAATTGAACAGAGCATGGCTTCTCACATGCCAGGGAAGGTCTACATCTTGGCCATACCAGTGGTTGCATTATACTATCTGTGATTATCTGCTATACCTAATGTAAATTAGTATAGCATATTACTAAAACTCTTACAAGATTGAAAGATTGCACTCAGAGTCTTTGAGTTTTCCCAGGATCCTAACCACATCTAAGTTTGCTATAACAATGCTAGATCAAGGTATGTAAAAAACTAATGTCAGTTTTCATTATAGGAAGAAATTCCTTTTATAAATGCAAGTCATTATCTTTAGGTCTACTTATATCCCCTTCTGGTATTAATTGGAAATTTTATTCTTCATAACTGCCTCTCAGAAACTGTTGACTTGACATGCATTAGTATCATCACTAATAAGAATGTAGCAGTGTACAAAGCATAATACAAGTTATCAGCATGCTGCTCATGAAGTGAAATTATTAATGGATATAGGGTCATGTTCGAAGAGATTTTTAAAGGCTCACTTTAAAGGCTCATTCACTTGTTTTCAAATGAAATCTTACATGGAAACCCAAGATGTAAAAGGCTAAAATGTAGGGCAACGGAGATTGTTCAAGATGAGAGTCTGTACCTAGACCTCTAGAAATAGTAGACAATATGTGTTTACAAATATACCTTCAAACTGAAATACAGCTACGATGAAAACTAAAGAGCAAGAGCTGCCATGGGATAAATATAAGTGTTAATAGCCAAGAAAATGCATGTGGGACAACATGGCATTTCTAGACTTCCTCTAGAAGTGCAGGTGGTATGTGTGCTTGAGCCAAAGAGTCAGGACAATGTTTTTAATAGCTGCCAAATTAGGAGAAATAGGGCAGCCTCCATGCATGAAACATGTTACAGGTATACCCCGTCTCAAAGCACATCCAATCCATACCCAAAGACCAGAGGAACTATGCTTATATATTGAAGCCAGAATCCTCATGGAAGCAAAGAGGTATTTTCAAACAGAAAAATGAGCAGACAATGAAAAATTCACAAACGTTTAAGGAAATCCAATAACATAGGAAAAATAAACAGGATTATGCCTGTAATCCCAGCACTTTGGGAGGCTGAGGCGGGCGGATCGCTTGAGCTCAGAAGTTAGAGACCAGCCTGGGCAACATGATGAAACCCTATCTCCACTAAAAATACAAAAATTAGCTGGGCTTGTTGTCGCATGCCTGTAGTCTCAGCTACTCAGGAGGCTGAGGCATGAAGATTGCTTGAACCTGGGAGGCGGAGGTTGCAGTGAGTTGAGATCACACCACTGCACTCCAACCTGGGTGACAAAGCGAGACTCTGTCAAAAACAAACAAACAAAACCAACAACATAGGAGAGATAAATAGAAGAACTAACTCTTGAAGAAATAAAGCTAACAAAATAAGGAAAAAAGTTGGAGGTGCACTTTAAAATAAAGATATCGGATATCATTAGAGAGATTGCAAGTGATGTTACAAATGTGAAAAGTGAATATTTACTTTATTATTCTGTTCTCATGCTGCTAATAAAGACATACCAGAGGTCGGTAATTTATAAAGGAAATAGGTTTAATGGACTCACAGTTCCACAGTTCTCTAGGGCAGGGGCAAAATGCCACCAGTCTCTTTGCTATAGCATAACAAGAGTCATCTTCACTCCAGTTACCAATAAGCTCCTCATCTCCATCTAAGACCACCTCAGCCTGGACTTCAATGTCCATATCACAATCAGCATTTTGGTCAAAGCCATTCAACAAGTCTCTAGGAAGTTCCAAACTTTCCCACGTCTTCCTGTCCTCTTCTGAGTGCTCCAAACTGTTCTAATCTCTGCCTGTTACCAGTTCCAAAGTCGCTTCCACATTTTCAGGTATCTTTACAGTGGCACCCCACTCCCAGTACCAGAATCTATATTAGTTGGGGTTCTATAGAGGGACAGAACTAATAGGATAGATTCATATATGAAAGGAAGTTTATTAAGGAGTATTGACTCACACAATCACAAGATGAAGTCCCACAATAGGCCCTCTGCAAGCTGAGGAGCAAGGAAGCCAGTCTGAGACCCAAAACCTCAAAAGTAGGGAAGCTGCCAGTGTAGTCTTCAGTCTCTGGCTGAAGGCCTGAGAGCCCCTGGCAAACCACTGGTGTAGCTACAAGAGTCCAAAAGCTGAAGAACTTGGAGTCCCAGATTGAGGGTGGGTCTGCCTCTCCTAATCCACTGACTCAAGTGTTAATCTCCTTTGGCAACACCCTCACAGACACACCCAGGAACAATATTTTGCATCCTTCATTCCAAGCAAGTTGACACTCAGTATGAACCGTCACAATGAACAACCCCAAAAATCAAAAGTATTATTATCAAAATTAAAATGTCAGTATATGAACTGAATAGCAGAATCAACATGGATAAAGAGCAAATGAGTGAACAGTAAGATTATAATTAAAAAAAAAGTTGAGATTTCAGACTAAAAGGTCTCATTGAATGCCAAACAGAATAAATTAAAATAAATTATTTTATATACCTAAATACAAAGAGTGAAACTTTAGATCACAAGAATGAGAATAAAGCTTCTGAACAAATATTGCATGATCTCACCTATATGCAAAATCTTAAAAGGTCAAATTTATAGAAGTAGAGAATACAATGGTGGTTACAAGAAGCTGGGGTTTGGGCTGTGGAGTGGGAAAGGGCAGATGTTGGTCAAAGGGCACAAAGTTTCAGTTAGACAGGAGTTCTAAGTTCTGGTGATCTATTGCACTGCAATAATACAGTGCAACTGTATTATTAACTACAGTTAATAATAATGTGGTATACATTTCAAAATTACTAAAAGAGTGGATTTGAAATATTCTCACCACAAAGAAATTATAAGTATGTGAGATAATGGATATGTTAGTCTGACATGGTCATTCCACAAGGTACACATGTATTGAAACAGCACATTGTACCCTATGAATATATGCAATTATTATTTATCAATTTTAAAAAGAATACCGATTCGAGATGGGTTTGGGAGAGATAAAAATAAAAACAAAATCAGATTTAGAGTCTGAGTTCTCATTGGCAAAAGTGGATAGTAGAAGAGAATATAGGATTAATGTTTTGAGAGAAGATTGTTTTGTAGAAAAGTCCTGTATCTAGCGAAACTAGCATTCAGTAGAAAGACAAAATTAAAATAACTATTATTCTAGACCACTTTGGAAGCAAAATGTGTTCTTTCAAAATAAAACATAAGCCCCAGAAAGAGTAAAATGTTAGACATAAGAAATGGTAGTGAACAAAGAAAACAATCACACTCCTATTTAAATCAAAAAATGTTTTGATATACATTGAAAAAGTAATTAACAATCTGGAACTAAAATCCCGAATGATCTCAACATGGAAGGAATTGTAATAAAGAGTGTGACTCTATTTCTGATATTTTGATACAACAATCCTACCGTTTCCCCTTTTCCTTCTTCCCAGCATCTGAGCAGGCTGAAAACAGAACTCTGATTGTCCCTCCCTTGGTGCTAGCTGAAGTGCAAACCACATAAGCCTCTGCCAGTGTGCAAGAACCCTCACTGCAGCCCCAACCCCAGTCACAGGCTGAGATTGTCTCTTTTCCCTCCTCTCTCAAGCCAGATTTGGACCAGCTAAAAAGTCCATGCTGCTCTCCCCCAGAAAGCCTTAGTATGTGAATAATAAACCTTTTCATAACATGTTGGTAGGTATGTGGTATCATCAGTCTTTATACACACACAAAATTTTGGATGGGAGAGCTGTGCCACCTCTATAAGATGACCACAATAGCTGTAGAAAGAGGGATGAGAATATGATGAAGGAAATTAAATAGAGCATGGTTAACTTTAGAGACTGATTTTTTAAATCAACACATTTAAATTATAAGTATTACTAAAGTAAATCCTAGAAAGTAAAATACACAAATTCAAAACAATTAAATAATTGAATAAAGAAAACGTGTCCAATTCAAATAGGAAAGAAAGCAAAAAGAAAAAAGAAAGACTTGTAAAATAAAAAAAAAAAGTTTAAAGAATGTTCAAAAATAAGTTCATAAGGCAATAAGTGTGAATGAATCAAAACCCGTATAAACAATTAAGGACTCAGACTGGAGTAAAAAGGAAATTCACCTCCATTAACAACTAAGTGACACTTAGGCTGGGATAAAAAGAAAATAAAAACATTAAAAACTAAATAGCTCTTAGGTATGGGTACAAAGGAAATCCATCTTTATGCTGACAGATACCAATAAGACCAAATTTTATTTAACAGGCCAAAGATACATTATGGAAATAGATGTGCCATGGCAAATATCAACAAGAAGAAAATAATGTGACATATTAATATTAGATGCAACTTTTATTGCAACTTAATAGCAGCTTAATAGCAAAGGCCTTATAGAGGATACTTAATTTTGAGAGAAGCTGTAATATACCAAAAAATAACAGTCATGCATCTTTATGAACAAAATTTCACAATAAATGTCAAAGATAATTTTAAAAAGTAAAGAGCACACACACTGGAGTCAATACACCTGAGTTAAAAATACCAGCCCCGAAGCTTAGTAGCTTCAGATTTGGGGAAACTATCTCATATACAGTGCCTCATTTTCTGTTTTGGAAAATGAGGTAATAATAGTACCACTTCATATAGTTATTATGAGGATGAGTTAAAATATATTAAGTGGATAGATGGATGAATAGAGATAGCTAGAATGTTACAGCAAATTGTTATCAGGGGTTACCCACAGGGTGTGAAGTAAGAAGGGGTGAGGAACAGGGATACCCTTCTTAGTTCACACATTTGCATTTTTATTTTAAAAAGCACTTATTATTTATTTTTAAAACAATACAAATTTACAAGAAATAGCACAGTGCATATATCATGAGGAAGGGGCTCAAAGTTCCAAATCCTTTATCTCCTCCTGCTTCTGCTCATCCCACATGGGAGGTCCTCAGCCTCTGGGTAAGTGAAAGAGAAGTCAACACCACTCTCTCTTTTGATGAACACACCTCCCTTAAGACCATAAGATTTGAAGGACCAAAACACTAATCTGGGTAACTGGGACAAAAGTTTGATTTTGTTGTTGTTGTTGTTGTTGTTTTAACTGATATACAGTATACAGTGAACAAGAAAGTACTTACTGTTCCTTTTTGCTTGAATGCCCTGATTAAAAACCCTCCCTCCCTATGTCACTCTGATGGTAACACTTTTGCAGTGGTGGTTTTGAGGAAAGAGAGAGGTGAAATCAAAATTGTTTTATACGAAATGAAGGAAATCAATTTTGACACGACACGAATCTAAATGAAACATCTTTCTTTAGAAGTAGGTAAGATGTGTGAAATGACAGCAGAACTGGAGGTGGAAGAAACTGCTCTAAAAGAACTGAAAATCTGAAAGAAAATTCTCATGTTTGTGGATGTAAGAGAACAGTGATTTAAGATTCCATGGAAGCAAAAATAACTGATCCAAAATCAATAGTGGAGGGCAATCCAACAACCAAGATTTTGGAGAATTTAAAGGCAGAAACAGAAAAAAAAAACTGTGTAGGCTCCAAAATTTGTATAAAGGAAGACTGAGGATATTTAGGGATGACAATCTGGTTGAAAGGGGAGGCCAAGAGATTTATCATGAAGCTGTGTTTGCAGAGCAAGCACATGGTTTTTAATTGGATTTATGTTTATTTTTAGTGGCTGAGAGAGTGGGTTTGACGGTGTGTGTGTATGTGTGTGTGTGTGTGTGCGTGCACGTGTGTGTGTGTGTTTGATGAGGGGAGATTGTAGTGGTCACTGCCTTCCCCAGCCAACATTTGGGTTTGCAAATGAAATGGAAGGTACAGTGAAAGTAATACATTACTAAGACAAATACTTTTGCTATTTTTTCATATACACTATGTCTGGTATATACTGAAGAAAACTAAATGAAGAAGCCAGTGGTAACAAGTTACCCTAGATGTCCAAATATAAGGCAAATTTTCCCCAAAATGTAGAGAAAAAGGAATCATTTGATATTCAAATGATAATAAAGATTCTCAGGTTAGAAGTTTCTACTATCACTCTACTTTGAACAACAAAGTCCAGTTTGTGCAAGGACACCATCCATAACATAGCTAAATCCAGGGAGGAGAGTCGGTGTAATTTCCCCAGAGGTCTCTGCCAATCCCTGGTGGCCCATTGCCTGGACTTAATGGGCCAAGCACATGGCAGGCAGAAGACAAAGCCTGTAAGGTCACACCAGAGAGCATCACTTAAAGTTTAGGCCCCTG
The DNA here is from genome assembly GCF_000001405.40 of Homo sapiens. Taxonomy (NCBI): domain Eukaryota; kingdom Metazoa; phylum Chordata; class Mammalia; order Primates; family Hominidae; genus Homo; species Homo sapiens. The sequence goes on along the minus strand of NC_000003.12, from coordinate 18,179,049 downwards.
AAGGTTGAATTAGGGAAAATCTATCCCATTACAGAAGACAGAGGGGGTAATTGCCAGTCTTGGCTTTGGATTTTTGCTAAATAGTAAAATGAAAATGTCTCTCCTGAGAATGGTCAACTACAACACTATACTTACTCATGTTTGAGAACATTTCTGAAAATGACTGGAAATTTATTTTAAAGTTGTCCCAGATTAGTAGTGTCTATAGGCACCAAGCACAAGCATATACACACACCCCATTAAAGACATTTTAAACCCAGATGTAAAAAAAAATTCCAAGAAACATTAATTGATAAACAAAAATTACAACACATATGAGACAAAATACCCTGAGTAAAAGTAAGAAAAAAAAAAACAAAAAATGGCATAATCAGACATCTAAAGACCATAGATATTGAAATTATCATATACACAATAGAAAATAAATTTATATGTTTAAACAAATTTTTAACAGGTGAGAAAAATATAACAAAGTAGTAACAGTTTCTCAAAAAATAACCAAGCAGGTTAAAAAAAAAAAAAAAAAAACAGCCAAGCATGGTGGCTCATGCCTGTAATCCCAGCAGTTTGGGAGGCCAAGGTGGGCAGATCACCTGAGGTCAGGAGTTCGAGACCAATCTGCCCAACATGGCGAAACCCTGTCTCTACTAAAAATACAAAACAATTAGCTGGGCGTGGTTGCAGGTACCTGTAATCCCAGATGTTCCAGAGGCTGAAGGAGTAGAACCACTTGAACCCAGGAGGTGGAGGTTGCAGTGAGCTGAGATCATGCCACTGCACTCCAGCCTGGGTGACAAGAGCAAAACTCTATCTCAAAAAAAAAAAAAGAAAGAAATTCTTGAAGCTAAAAATATAGCAACTGAAATTGAAAACAATTTCTAATTAACAATTAAATTCAGTTTTAATGGAGTGGATTTAGTATGGCTGAAAAGAGATTAAAGAACTGTAGGACAGTTTAGAAGATATTGTTCAGGATGTAGCAGAGACAGAGTGGAGACAGTGTATCATGATATCTAACTAGAGTACTGAGAAGAACTCATATTGAAAATGGGGAGAGATAGCTTTCCAAGACCCAAGGGCTGAGCGTTTTCTAGAATAGATGAAAGATATCAGAATCAGATTTGAGAGCCCATAGACTCTCAACAGAATAAATGAAAAGAAATGTTCACTTAGATCCCCCTACAATGAATGAACAAAACTCTAAGATAAAGAGAAGATAATAAAAGTAGCCAAACAGATTCTATAGAAGCACAATAATTAGAACAACAGAGAACTCCTTGACAACAGCAATGGAAGTCCAAAAACAGTGGAAAAATATCTTCAAAGTGCTGGGTGCAAACCAACCGTTAACTCAAAATTGTATACCTAGTTAAATCAATCTTCAAAAATGACAGTTTAAAAAAGACGTTTTCAGACATTAAAAAATGTATTAACCTTAAGCATACAATTTCCTGAGTTTTTACAGTTGTAATTTAAGCCCTTATCAAGATATGGAACATTACCACGCCCCTAGAAAATTCTATCATGCCCTTTCCCAGTCAATCCCTACTCCCCCGCCCCACCCAATGGCAACCTGATACATTTTCCACGATAGACTAGTTTTACCAGTTCTAGAACTTCATATAAATGGAATCCTACTCTTCTGCACTTTTTATGTAAGGCTTCTTTCAGCATAATGTTTTGAGATTCACTCACATTATTGCATGAATTATATGTCATGTCTTGTTCTTGTTGAGTGTTATTGAATAGTGTTCCATTGTATGAATAATAAACTCTTTATCCATTTTTCTACTGATGAGCTATTTCCAGTTTAGGGCTATTATGAGTAAATAGATATAAACATTTTTATACAAGTCTTTTTGTGGATGCTTATTATTTATAATCTCACATGAAAATCATTTACAAAAAATGATTCTGTTTTTTGAACCCAGCCTGAAAGAGCAGCTTATATTTGATGCAAATATAAGCTAATCCTTTTTGTACTTGTTACAAATCAAGATGCAACATAATTCACTATCAAACATATGTATTCTCTGAATAACACAATTGAAATATAAACCAGTAATTTAAAAACACACATACAGGTTGAGCATCCCTGATCTGAAAATCCAAAATCTAAAACGTTCCAAAATTCAAAAGTTTTTGAGCACCAATATGTCACCTCTAGTGAAAAATTCTAAATCTGACTTCATGTGATGGGTTAAAACTTTATTTCATGCACAAAATCATTACAAATGTTACATAAAATTACCTTAAGTCTATGTGTATAAAGTGTATATGAAACATTTCATGTTTAGACTTGTGTCATACTCTCAAGATATTTCATATCTATATGCAATAATCTAAACTTAAAAAAATCTGAAATCAGAAATACTTCTGGTCTCAAGCATATCAGATATGGGTTACTCAACCTGTGCTTGTACATTTAAATATACTTCTAAATAATTCATGATTAAAGGAAAAACCATAATGAATATTAGAAAAAAACTAAATAACTTTTAAAACTGCATATTATAGTATTAGATTCAGCTAAAATTGGTCACAGAGGAAAATTTATAGGCTTAGATGTATGTATTAGTAAAAACAAGCTGAACGGACAAGGCATCCAACTTAAGAAGTAAGATAAGAACAACAGAATTAAGCCAAAGAAAGTAAAAGAAATAAAATTGTAAAAACAGGCACAAAAATTAATGAAACAGAAAGCAAAGATATACTAGAGAGATACCACAAAAGCGAAGTTGGTATGTAGGAAAGATTAATAACATTGACAAACTTCTAGCCAGATTAAGGAAAAAGAAGAAAACGCATAAATAAGTATTGTTAGCAGTAAAAAGTGAGCATAATTACCAAAGAGATTAAATTTTTAATATAAGTATAATAAAATTTCATAAAAGTAAAATTTAAATGTAAGTAAAAAATACATTCCATGCATAAATACACACATCTCCAATATGTAAAACTTATGACACGACCTAAATTTTCTTTCTAGAGACATGCTTTGTTTAAAAACATCTCTGCATAAGTCACAAGTTTGTTAGATATATTGAGTTTTTCAGTTATTGCAGAGGTGAAATAAAAAATAACAATCCAGAAATTTCAGGAATTGAAGGGTTGAAAGTTACAGCTATTGCTCATCTACAGATAGTAAAACATTTTCAAATTTGCGCACGGCCACAGGGATAAGATGTGGATATTAAAGCACAGTTTGGGATCAAATATTCAATCAAAGCCTTGGCTATACACCTTTGTTGAGAGCTCTGATTGAATTAACATGGCTCTCTATAAACTCTTTCAATTGGACAAAATGGCTCAGTAACTAAGACTAAGGCGAAATACAACAGAATCCCAATAAGCTCAAAGGACTCATCATTATGTGTTTAGCATTAAGCCTCTAAAAGAAAATTGAATCTTTTTTCTTTTTTGAGACAGTCTTGCTTTCTTTCCCAGGCTGGAGTGCAGTGGCTGTAGCCTTGACCTCCAGGCTCAAGTGATCCACCTATCTTAGCCTCCCAAGTAGCTGGGACTACATTGTGAGCTGCTATGCCCAGCTAATTTTCTTTTTTAATATTTTGTAGACGCAGTGTTTCCTATGTTGCCCAGGCTGGACTTGAATTGGTGGTCTCAAACTCTCCTTCCACATAGCTGGGACTACAGGTGTGGGCTACTGCACTGGCTGGAATCATTTTCTAAAAGTGTTTTTATTTCATTTCCAATAGTGCCAACAGCCTGAATTAAAAGAGACTATGACTGTAAAGAAGAGATTGTAACTGTTCAATCCAGCTGGGCTGCAAACATTTTATTGGCAGGAAGCAGACTGAGAAAGCCTTGCTTTTGGATTTGGCTGAGGAAAATGATGGAATATGAAGGATGATCTAAACAGTACAGTTGAGAGTCAAGGAGAACAATTGACAGGAACAACTCCCAGGAACCATGACCAGAGTCTAACAGAAAAATACCTGCTAACCCCCAAATAAGAGGCCTTACCATATTTTCCCAGAGGAATTTCAGAATCTCTATGAACTAGTAACAATAAAGAACCTCCCATTCTTACCCTTTCTAATGAGGGCGTTTGTTTCAGTTCTACTGACTCTGTTCCACCATTATAGATGGGAGATGGGGACAGAAGCACCTAAGTTGTCCTTTTTGTACTTAGGTTTCAGAAGTAAGAGAAGTTGAATTCAGACATGATGTAGATCACTTGATCTTGGAGTTAGAACCTAATGCTATAGTCAACTGTGACATTGAATGCTGTGGTAAGCAGTTTAGTGTATCTTACTTGCAGAAGAGAGAAAATTTTTGTGACCAAAATGGATTGCCATGGTAGGCTGCTATTTATTACTACTCATTATCACTCTATCAGTGTCAAGCTCTCTGGGATAGAGTGTAATGTCTCACATCATTGACTTTAAGCTTGTCCGTGTAACTGCTTTGGCCAATGAAAATATGTGATGTTTGTCACATTTGGTTTGCATCATGCCTCTTATGACCCTCAGTCATGAAAACTACATGTGCCAAATATAAGCTGCTCTTTCAGGCTGGGTTCTAGAAGGAAAAGGCATCTGGAGAAGAGCCCACCTGAATCCCAACCAAAGCTATAATAATTACAATATAACATGTAATATGACCAAAAAATAAATGATATTGCAAGCTACTAAGAAACTAGTTATTACTGCAACAATAGCTGAATAAAATACTCCCAACTTATGTTATAACATTAGTATAACCTTATCAAAACTAAGAAAGAAAAGGAAAAAAAGTGTAGATTTTCTCACTCACTGATATGGTTTGGCTCTGTTTTCCCACCCAAATCTCGTCTTGAATTGTACTCCCATAATTCCCACGTGTTGTGAGAGGGACCTGCTGAGAGATTATTTGAATCATGGGGGCGGTTTCCCCCATACTATTCTCGTGGTAATGAATAAGTCTCACAAGATCTGATGGTTTTATCGGGGTTTCCACTTTTGCATCTTCCTCATTTTTATGTTGCTGCCACTATGTAAGAAGTGCCTTTCCCCTGCTGCCATGACTCTGAGGCCTCCCCAGACATGTGGAACTGTAAGTCCAATTAAACCTCTTTTTCTTCCCAGTCTCAGGTATGTCTTTATCAACAGTGTGAAAACAGACTAATACAGTAAATTGGTACCAGTAGAGTGGGGCATTACTGAAAAGATGCCTGAAAAGATGGAAGTGACTTTGGAACTGGGTATCAGGCAGAGGTTGTAACAGTTTGGAGGGCTCAGAGGAAGACAGAAAAATGTGGGAAAGCTTGGAACTTCCTAGAGACTTGTTCAATGGCTTTAACAAAAATGCTGATAGTGATATGAACAATAAGGTCCAGGCTGAGGTGGTCTCAGATGGAGATGAGCAACTTGCTGGGAACTGGAGCAAAGGTGACTCTTGTTATGGTTTAGTAAAGTGACTGGAGGCATTTTGCCCCTGCCCTGGAGATTTGTGGAACTTTAAACTTGAGAGAGATGATTTAGGGTATCTGGAGGAAGAACTTTCTAAGCAGCAAAGCAATCAAGATGTGACTTGGGTGCTGTTAAAAGCATTCCATTGTAAAAGGGAAACAGTACATAAAAGTTCAGAAAATTTGCAGCCTGGCAATGCAGTAGAAAAGAAAAACCCATTTTTTGAGGAGAAATTCAAGTTGGCTGGAGAAATTCGCATAAGTAACAAGGAGCCAAATGTTAATCCCCAAGACAACAGGGAAAATGTCACCAGGGCATGTTATAGGTCTTCATGGCAGCCCCTCCCATCACAGACCTGGAAGCCTAGGAGGAAAAAATGGTTTTACGGGCCAGGCCCAGGGTCCCCATGCTGTGTGGAGCCTAGGTACTTGGTGCCCTGCATCCCAGCTGCTCCACCCATTGTTAAAAAGGGCAAAGGTACAGCTTGGCTCATGGTTTCAGAGGGTACAAGCCCCAAATCTTGGCAGCTTCCACATGCTGTTGAGCCTGCGGGTACACAGAAGTCAAGAATTGAGGTTTGAGAACCTCTACCTAGATTTCAGAAGTTGTATAGAAACACCTGGAAGTCCAGGCAACAGTTTGCTGCAGGGGCAGGGCCCTCATGGAGAACCTCTGCTAGGGCAGTGCAGAAGGGAAATGTGGGGTCAGTGCCCCCACACAGAGTCCCTATTGGGGCACCCCCTCATGGAGCTGTGAGAACAGGGCCACCATACTCCAGACCCCAGAATGATAGATCTACCAACGGCTTGCACCATGCACCTGGAATAGCCGCAGAAACTCAACGCCAGCGCATGAAAGCACCCAGGACGGGGATATACCCTATAAAGCCAAAGGGGCAGAGCTGTCCAAGACTATGGGAACCTACCTCTTGCATCAGCATGACCTTGATGTGAGACATGGAGTCAAAGGATTTCAGACTTCCGTGGGTCCTGTAACCCCTTTGTTTTGGCCAATTTCTCCCATTTGGAATGGCTATATTTACCTGCATTGTATCTAGGAAGTAACTGGCTTGCTTTTGATTTTACAGGCTCATAGGTGAAAGGGATTTGCCTCGTCTCGGATGAGATTTTGGACTGTAGAGTTTTGGGTTAATGCTCAAATGAGTTAAGACTTTGGGGGAGTGTTGGGAAGGCATGATTGGTTTTGAAATGTGAGGACATGAGATTCAGAGAGGCCAGGGGCAGAATGATATGGTTTGGCTCTGTGTCCCCACCCAAATCTCATCTTGAATTATACTCCCAAAATTCCCACATATTGTGGGAGGGACCTGGTGGTAAATAATTTGAATCATGGGGGTGGCTTCCCCTATACTGTTTTCATGGTAGTGAATAAGTCTCATGAGATCTGATGGTTTTCTTAGGGGTTTCCTCTTTTGCATCTTCCTCCTTTTTCTGTTGCTACCACCAGGTAAGAAGTGCCTTTCACCTCCCACCATTATTCTGAGGTTTCTCCAGCCATGTGGAACTGTAAGTCCAATTAAACCTCTTTTTCTTCCCAGTCTCGGATATGTCTTTGTCAGTAGCATGAAAATGGACTAATACACTCACAAACATACATTTTAAAAACTAAACAGAATATTGTCAAAGTAAATATTTGTACTCAAGAAATAATACTTGGTGACTAAGTTTGGTTTACTCCAGGAATGCAAGGTTGAAGCAACAATAGAAAACGTATTGATACAACTTATAACATTAAAAGAATACAGAAGAAAAGTCATCTGATCTCCAAAGATGTAGAAAAAGCATTTTTAAAAATTCAACAATTATTTATAATAATATTTGTAAAAAGCTCACAGAAAAGAGGATATCCTTAATCTGATAAAATATTCTGTGATAAACCTACAGAAAACATCTACTTAATAGTAAAATATTAAAATACATTTCTTCTGATATCAGAAAAATATCAAATTTAGTGGATGATCTGGTAGACTATACACAAAGATAAAAAGAAAATAATTAAGATTGGAAATTAAGAAACAAAAATATCCTGTTTCATAGATGAATGACAAACTGCCATTTGAGAGAAAGTAAAAATATTGTGTTCCTTCTAGTTCTTGTCTATTTTCTCATATCTTTGTGTGTTAAGACTGTACACATAAAAAACTTATGAAATTTTCCAATAATATATCTAAAAAGATAATTAAGCAAGTTTGCTAAATATAAGATTAACAAACATAAGCCAATTGCATTTTATATACCAGTAACAAACATAAAATATAATTTTAAAGAGATTCAATTTAAGATACCAAAAAATAAGATATACAAAAATCAAACGTATGTATATATGGGTGAATTTATAAAATGGAAAGATATAAAGGAGATCAAATAAGTGAAAGAGCTAGTTATGTTCATAGATAGTAAAAAAATATTTTAAAGATGGCAATTCTCCCCAAATTAATCTCTAGATTTAGTATGGTTCCAACTGGAATCCCAAGAAGGATTTAGGTGGAACTTGGCAAGTAATTCTAAAATTAGAATTAATTAGGAATAAGGGATGGTGAATGGCCAAGATAATCAAGATACTACTAAATAAACTAGTCCTAAAATATATCAAGAATTTTTATAAAATTCTAGTAATTAAGACAGGGTGGTGGTGGTGCAGAAATACATATGGAGCAGAACAATACGAAGCCCAGACCCAGAATTCCACATATATAACGATTTGGTCTGAGAGCTTCAGTGTATCTTGTGGGGGTAAAGAATGAACTACTCATCAGACACCAGAATAACTGGCTCTTCATCGGAAAAAATTAATTTGTAGCCTCACTTCACATCATTCCCTCAAATCAGTTTCAATTGGATTAATGTGACAAGCAAAACTTTAAATTTTAATATGAAATACAGTAATATAACCATAATATAAAAGGAAAGATATCTTAAACAAGACACACAGAAATACACATTTAAAGAAAAGGATCAACAAATTCTACCACATTCAAATTAAAAATTTCTATTTATTAAAAAAAAGAGAAAGAATGTGAAAAAGCAACTCACAAACTGAGTAAAATATTGGAACACAAAAATGCAACAAAGGATGTGATTCCAAAATATGTAATGTAAATACAGATATATTTATAAATACTTTATATTTGCAAAATATAAATTTGCTTTTACAGAAGAAAAAGCATACCTTTCCCATTAACATGCAAAAAAAGATCAACACCCTTAATAGTCAGAAAACTCTGATTTGAAATCTCAAAATAACATTTTACACACACCAGGTTTGTAATAATAATAAAGTCTTACAATACCAAATTTTAGCTGGAACATGAAGCAATGTTGTCCCTTATACACTACTGGTTGGGTTACTAAACAGTGCAGCTATTATAAAAACCCACATGGAGTTACTTCTGAAGCTGAAGATGTTCTTCTCCTATAACCCAGCTATTGCTCTCCTAGGTAAGTACTTCAGAGACACTTACACACGTGCCCCCAAGTGACATTGTTTGTAATAGCAAAAAATTAGAAACCATCTCAATGTCCATCAACAGTAAAATGCATAAGTCAACTGTTGTATATTCATAAATGGTGCAGATAGAGTAGTGAAAAATGAATGAACTTTACCTATACATATCAATGTGAATGAGTCTCAAAATTCAATGTTGAACAACAAAAGCAAGTGATAGAATCTATTCTGTATGAGTTCATTTATATAACAAGCTAAAATTGTCATATATGATAATATGTTAAAGAAAAATTAGAGAAGAGTGGTTACTTTTGGAAGGGAGGAAAGAGATACATACATCGAAGAGCATATGGGAAGTTCAAAGGCACTGAGATTGTTCTTGTTCTTACACTGGGAGCAAGTGGTCTCATTTTATTATTATTTATTACTATTTTTTAAATTATATTGATACATTTTACATGTATACATTATATCTATGCTGTATTCTCACATTTAAAGAAAAACACAAAAGGAAATGGATGACTTGCGGAGATCACAATATATTCCAATTGGACAAATGAGCAAAATCAACTCTTTTAATGTGATATAAATAGGTATTTGGGGGTTTGGTATTTAAAAAATAAAAATCCAGTGTTAACATTATACATGGATTCAAGAAGTGCTCGTCAGTTCCCATGGAGGGCCCTGCATATGCCATACTTTCAGACAATAAAATTATTAATTGTACTATTTAGGATCTTCTGGTTTTAAGTGTTCACAACCTAAAAACCTAACTATCTTAAGCTCTTAAGCTAAATAGTGAAATATAACTCTTTGGTTCTATATGGTAGAAGCCTGATCTCTGGCTGACTATACTACCCCTACCTGCTTTTCCCACTATCTCATGAATTGTCCAATAAATATCAATTTTGCTTAAGAAAGATAGGTTCTAAGTTTCTAACAATGCCAAAAGAATCCTAAATAATACAATTCTTTTTTTTTTTTTTTTTGAGATGGAGTCTCGCTCTGTCACCCAGGCTGGAGTGCAGTGGTGCGATCTTGGCTCACTGCAAGCTCCGCCTCCTGGGTTCAAGCGATTCTCCTGCCTCAGCCTCCCAAGTAGCTAGGACTACAGGTGCCCGCCACCAAGCCTGGCTAATTTTTTGTATTTTTAGTAGAGACGGGGTTTCACCATGTTAGCCAGGATGGTCTCGATCTCCTGACCTGGTAGTCTGCCCGCCTCGGCCTCCCAAAGTGCTGGGATTACAGGCGTGAGCCACCGCACTCAGCCTACAGTTCTTAATTTTACTTTGAACAAAAGACTTTTTTGCTGTCTTTTGCCTCTGTTTAACTCTATGTGCCTATTGTCTTCTTTTAAGTCAATGTCCTCTACAAGGCAAGAACATTATTGATGACTACTCCAGGACTTCATATTTACAAGCTTCATCACATATAGAATAGAAACATGTTCCCTGAAAAACATGTTTAAAAATCTAAAGGAAGTCCTCTGATTGGCCCAGCCTAAGTCAGGTGCCTATGCCTGGGCTAATCCACTATAAGCAGAAGGACAGGATCTGTAAGAAGATAATGGCACCAAGTCAAGCCCCATTGATTTAATGAGGGAAACTTCCTTCTCATCCTTCATTGCTCACCTTGAATATCACCTTCGCTAAAATGTCTCTCCTAACTACACTATCTAAAGTGGGTGCCCTATTCTCACCTCTCTCATAGCACTCTCTTTATGTCTTTTTCAGCATGTGCCACAATATGTAACTATTTTATTGTATTTGTTTGTTAACCTGATGTGGTAGGCAAAATAATGGCACCCAAAAGATGTCCATGCTCTAACCCCCCGGACCTATGAATATATTATCTTACATGGCAAAAAGGGACTTTGCAAATGTGCGTGAGGATATTGGATTTTGAGATGGGGAGATCATCATGGTGAGTCCAGTCTCATCACATGAATCTTTAAAAGCAAACCTTTCTCAGCTATTCTCAGGGAGAGATGTGATGACAAAAGAAGAAGGGTCACAGAGATGTGACATGAGAAGGACTTGCCCTGCCATTTCTGGTTTTGATAATGGAGGAAGTGGACCATTAGCCAAGGTAGCCTCTAAAAGCTGGAAAAAGCAAAACAAGTGAATGAATTTGCCCCTATTTCTCTCTTCTTTTCTGGAGGAAGAAATGAATTCTTTTGTCCAGAGAGAAACATGCCTTTATTTTATACAAGTGTTACCATGTTGGATTTCTGACCTACAGAATTGTAAGATAATAAACTTACGTGGTTGCAAGCCACTAAACTCCTGGCAATTTGTTACAGTAGCAATATGAAACTACTACCTCTGGCTATCATCTTTTACTGAAGGTAATCTTCAAGTGAGAGGGAATATGCCTGTCTTTTTCATTGTATCTCCAATTTGTAGCACAATGCCTGGCTATTTGGCTATTCAACTTATTTGTTGAATGAATAAGTAGACAAACAAATGAACTAGGACACCTGTGACTTATATCCAAAAGTTCATATTGCAGTCTTCACATGAAGTGTTCATCTTCCCTTTTCCAGAGTCACAAATGTAGAGAATCAAATAGAAAATAAAGCAGATGATCTCAAGTTTCTCTCTATGGGTCAGAAGGGAAAACTTCAGCTGAAAGAAGGTGAAAAATGAGTCCTCTTCTGCAAAGTGAGAAGAATTATGCCAAGCCAAGAAAACAATCAAATATGCTAGCAAATCATAGAACTGAGACAGCACTTACTCTATTTGAGCCTTTAGATGGAATGTGTTTTCAGCCAGCTGACATTTCCTATTCAATTTCCAGAGAGATCCTACTGTCAGAAGTTTGGTAAAATACTGGGTCATCCACATCCACTCCAAAATGGCTTCTTTTCTGGTGAAGTTAGATTTTATGATTTACACCCATTAATGGGAACCACTAACTTTTCCAGAAGAAAAATGATGGCATACTCTGAAGAATGTATCCTTTTTCAGGCAATTTGTTTTTGAATAGGAAGTTCAAATTATCCATTAGATAATTCAATCTGTCTCCACAGGTTCAGTAATAGAATACCTTTAGAAATCAGAACCAACCAGTTAAAACTGAAAGCTCTCCTCATCTGGAATAATAAGATAAGAGTTGTACCAGAAAATGAGCAAGTCCCTGTAAGGAAAGGGTTAAGCAATATCATCTGAGACAGACTTAGAACCACTGAAATACTATAAAATATATGCAACAGAAAATATTGTCAGAGTGATAAAAGAATGGTCCTTGACTATTTTCCTACAAAAGTTGTGCTTCTACACCATATTCTTGACCAAAGCATATGCATACATATATAATATGTATGTATGTGTGTGTGCATGTGTGTGTGATATGATATATATATACATATATAAAATATGCAGTAGCTGACATATTTTTTTTACTCAAAACATGTATTATGGAATGGCTTTGCATGGTGGTTCAGCCAAGTCAGGTTCCAGGATAGAGAAGCCCTATCTTTGCCCAGAGGCCAGGAGCATCCACTGGCAGTAAACTACTATCCTCATTTGCAGATGAAATGCACATGTAACTAGAGGCCTTACTCTCACTTCCTTCCTCCCATCCCCCCACAAAATATTTCTAAATCCTTGAATTCCTGTCTTTCTTCATAGTAACTGTGAAGAAAATTATTTTGGAGGGAATTAAGTGGGCACAGGTGGTACTATAGCACATACTAGCTCCCAGCATAACATCTGCTTCAGATTCTTCAAAGCTTCTTATTTTTACAACAGTCTTCTTTGTCTTTTCTCTCTTTTTTGTCGTTTTGTGAGGTTTTTTTCTCCTATTTTAAGTCTCTGGAAGAGAGAGGAAATGGGGGGGCAGAGGACAGAGAAATTTCCATACGCTTCATCAGATGATAGCATGTAGTTATGTCTGTCGGTATATGATGGCAAAGTGCTCAAACTTTCTACACAAGCACTGTACAGGAGGGCTTTCAATGATGGAAATGTCCTACATCTGCCCCAGGTCTGTCCAATACAGTAGCCACTAGCCTCATGAGTTTGCTGCGCACTTAAATTGTGGCTAGTCTACTGACTAACTGCATTTTTTATTTTGTTTGAAACTAATGTACTTTCAAATAGCCACCCATGTCTAGTAGCCAACATATTGGGCAGCACAGTTCCAGACACTTGAGGAATGTTTCAATTCCAGTTCACTTTTTTCTATAGTTTGCATTCTATTCAAATTATTTATGATAAAATCCTTGAACCTTAAAGTTTGCACCTCAAAAGGGAACATTGATGTATTTTAAGAATAATCACTATCTCTCTCTCTCTCTGTTCACTCTACCTTGCTTCTGCTGTAACGCTTATTCTTTTCCTACAGTCACATACAATTGATTACAGACACCCCTGGAAGATGAGATATCACCAAGAAAGAGATATGTGTCATTTCTATTTGATGTTTGCTTATGAAACAAAAATATGAGTGAATAGAAATGGGAAAAATGTGTGATGGCTAGTCTCATAACATTTTCAAATGTAAATACTAGGGAAAGTTTATAAATATAGTGTCATGTCTACATGCAGAGGCATGTACTTCCACAATGACAATGTTTTGCCCAAAGTGAACTGTGTGATGAAGTGTTATAATTAAAAGAGCAGGCAAAGTAAAACAGCACTGGAGATTTTTGAGAGGTTTAACAACTTTGGAGTTTCGTGAAACTTTTTTTTCTCTCAAGGGATATTTTTTTCCCTTAAGCCACTGTTGGTCAAGTGAATGTTAATAAATAACTTGCTTTTATTTCTAAGTGGAAGACTGAACTGTGTGAATAATAAAGCCTATTATTTGACAGACTTGCTGGCTGTCTTTCTGTCATAGAGCTAAATATAGTGATGCAGCATTCCAAATCCCACCAGATCCAAAACTTTCCATCAAAAGTTAAGGTTTGGTTTCCAAATTTAGTATCCATAATTTCTCAAATGTGACCACTAACAAGAACAACTTTATTACAACAAAATTTTTTCTTAGAGGAACATAAGAACTAGCATGCTGTTCCAGTGGTTCCTTCCTATCGAATGCTGTCTCCAACAGCAAATAGTGACATGAAGGGCAAAGCTGCTTGGAATCATGGCAAATATTTGCCATGATCCTTTAGAAGGTGGGGCATAATCTTAATATCCTTTTTAGTAATCTTCTGGTTCCCTAAGGAAGCAGATGTGACATAAGGATTAATGCACATGGTTTATTTGGGAGGTGCAGGGACATTAGTATGCCAGTAGGCAGGTAATACAGGGAAGGGAAGGCAACAAATAAGAGTGCATCATTAAGCCAGCTACTACAGTGAGTAACTGAAGCTTCATGCCAGAGATTAAGCAGGATACACTGTAAAATACTGGTCAAGGGAACAGGGATATTTGTACCCTTACAGCTGCTAGTTACCGGTTAAAGAATGCCCACAAATGGTACAAGAATTGCAGACATTATCACCTGGATGAAGTGGATTCTGTAAAGCCAAGGGCAGCCCTCTGACAAAGACGCAGGTGCTAACCATCAGAAGCAAGGTTGGCATGCACCAACATGGTGAGCTGTTCCAAGGGCATATGAACAGAGCATTGACAGAAACTGCTGCATAAATATTATATGAGATGGAATCCTCCTCAGGATAAAGAATAATAATTTTATAGTGTTCTCTAGCTATTCCAAACATTCAATTTTCCAGCTATAAAAGGAAGTCTACACTTTGAGAGGCCGAGGTGGGTGATTACCTGAGGTCAGGAGTTTGAGACCAGCCTGTCCAACATGGTAAAACGCCATCTTTACTAAAAATACAAAATTAGCTGGGCATGGTGGTACATGCCTATAATCCCAGCTACTTGAGAGGCCAAGGCATGAGAATCCTTTGAGCCTGGGAGGCAGAGGTTGCAGTGAGCTGAGATCCCAGAGCCTGGGTAACAGGATGAAATGCCATCTCAAGAAAAAAAAAGAGGAAGAAGTCTAGAATTTGGTAAATTTTGCCATCTTTACTTCAGGATTTAATGAATTTTAATAATGACATCCCTACATATCTAAAATTAAGAGGGACTACTCTTTTGGTTTCCATACAGAAGCCACTCTGTCTTTGATCATTTCAGTTACATAATTTTCCTACCTCACTTAAATTTTTCTTCACATAGAATTATCTGAATTTCTGAAATATGCCAGGTTTGGAGCCACAGACAGATGTGTCCATATTGAAAAGGCACAGAATTCCACGAAACTTCACTTGTAGATCTCCAGATTTATGAGGCATATTACAAAAAAGGAAAGGAACAGCATAGAGCTTTCATCTAAGTTGTGAGTATATGCTGAGTTAGTGTAGTTAAAACTTGAAATGATTAAACAGTAAAACCCCACATGGCTTCATTCATGCACATGAAAAATTATAATAGAATCTACCTGTCATGCATCACACTCAAATGAGAAGTTTCTTTCTCTCCCTCTCAGAGAAATCCAGGACTTTATATAATATACAAGGTAAATGCTATAAATCAGACCACCCAAGCCCTACCCATGAGGCTGATAGAGATTTGGTGAAGGGTGGCACGTGACGGTGAGGTATGGAGGGAAGAGGAGAGGGGCTGGGCTGAGCTCAGGGCAGTTTCCATGAAGACCACCCACAGAATGGCAGAGCAGAAAAGATGGGTATAAACAGGAGTCAGAAAACAGAGCCAAAATAAGGATGATGAGACAAAACCAGGCATCCAACTGGGCAAAGGTATTACTGGAGGCACAGTCAGGAACATAGGAAAGGAAGAAGACAGAGGAAGGAATTTCCTGAGGAAAAAGAAGGCAAAGAAGGGTAGAAGGGGAAAGAAATACGAAGGGTACATTCTGAGGAGGTGGCTCAAAGTGGTCCAGGGTCTCCCCTGGCAATGCTGGCAGCCATCAGGGGTAGCAGGCGTTCATGGGACCTTGGTACATCCTTCCAGCCAGAGTCTGTCTGAGAACTCTACTGAGAAGAACACGTTGGCATATGTGTAAACAGCAATCTACACAGCAAGGCTCATTCACTTTGTAGTTACTTACTTACAACTGGCATATGACTTAATATATGTTTAGACTTTTGTTCATTTGCTAATAATTTTAAAATGTTTATTTACCAATATAATACATATTTATTGTAGAGAGTTTAGAGCATGTGAAAAAAGCAAAGAAGAAAATTTGTCTCTAACAATCCACCTTCTCAGAAATGCTTATATGTATTCTATAGTTTCAACAAAAAACAATATAATACATACCGTTTTATACTTTTTAACTTCCTATTTCAGAATGTATTTCCACTGAATCAACACTTTGTACATTTGTGAGAAATACTTCTAAGAATATGTATTTGTGGAGGCAAAAATATCACCACCACCACCACCACATCATACACAAAACATACGAAGGAGCAAAATGTTGGTTCGTGTTGGGAAACTCACTTCCCACATTTCAGTGTTACCAAGTAGCCCACACTGTTAACACTTTAGTGTATGTGTCAGTCAGTGTCCCAGCAGGACATAGATTGCACACTCAAATGAGAACAATTTGAGGAGGATTTAGTAAATGGTGTAGAGAAATTGCCAGTACCCAGGAAGTGGCAACAGCAGAGCTACTATCACCCCTAGACCTGAAGAGCAGGGAGGAGGGAGCAGTTACCAGAACATGGAAGAAGAGTCCCGTGAGGTGACCACCTTGGTAGAAGCTGTAATCTGAGTCAAAGGACATAGCCAGTCCAAGGCAAGGCTGCAGGAAAGGAGCCTAGAGAAAATACTCACCAACCCTCCTCTTCTCTTCCTTTTGACCTTGGCCAGTGTTTCCACTCACCCTTGCTGAACGTGGCCACCCAGAAACCAGAGGTCAAGGAAATCTTTTGATACAGCCCGCAAAGGCAAGCAGCTGGACTATATCATTCATTTAACTATTTATTTATTCAATAAAGATATTAAAACATCACACTGATATTCACAAAAAAAATTGGGACAGGAGGATAACCTAAATATCCAGTGATAGTGGATTGTTAAACAAATTTTGGTACAATAAAGGGTGGGATACTTTGCAGGTAGTAAAAAATATGTATTATCCATAACTATGTCAGTTCTCTTTTTCATTTTAGTCTGCTGACATAGTCACATTTGGAAGGAATTAAGATTGTAAGGAATTGAACCATGAGTCTAAAGGTGGAAAATATTTCATTCAAACGAGTGTGGGTAATTTTCTAAGTGTCTGTCCCAATTCCTTTCTACTCCTGTGTTTGAAAAAAAAAAAAAAATCACTGCAGTTTGGACCAGAGTTCTGGTTTAATTTTTACTTCCTCCTTCTTTCCCTGACAGTCAACATACAAGTTTTGGTATCAAAGATGTTTTAGCACAAACTTTAAGAAACAATTAGTCAAAACAGACATAGGCTTAAGCCTATCTTACAGAATAAAGATAAAATGCAATTTTCCCTGTTTCCATTGACTTTATCTAGCCAATTATTTTCTTCCTCCTACTTTATATATTTTATCAAGTTTTCTTTACAGTCAACAGCTGACACAAGGTTTCAAATTATTAGCCACGTCTTACTACAATAGCAGAGCGTACACAGCACACATAAAACAATATCCCTGCAGCTGCACAAATGAGAATAACATTGACCTCACTTAACCAGGTCGCTTTTCAGTGAGAATAAAAGATATATCCCTCTAGTCTAGGTCAGAATGACCTTGACAAGTTTCTAAGCTAAAACGGCTTCCAGTTGTTTTTTGTACCCATCAGCCATGTTACTTTTCTAACTAGAAATATTTCTGGAAATGCCACAGAGATTAAACTCTTTATCTAAATCATGAGACTTTTTAGCTGTTGCATTTTACATTGCAAAAAGGTAGATTAATGCCTTCTACAGAGCCAAGCCCAGTGGCTCATGCCTGCAATCCCAGCACTTTCGGAGGCCCAGGCGGGCAGATCACAAGGTCAGGAGTTCAAGACCAGCCTGGCCAATATGGTGAAACCCCGTATCTACTAAAAATACAAAAATTAGCTGGGCATGGTGGCGGGTGCCTGTAGTCCCAGCTACTCAGGAGGCTGAGGCAGGAGAATCGCTTGAACCTGGGAGGCGGAGCTTGCAGTGAGCCGAGATCCCGCCACTGCACTCCAGCCTGGGCGACAGAGCGAGACTCCGTCTCAAAAAAAAAAAAAAAAAAAGGCCTTCTACCGATGATTTGAATAACCAACAGTACACTATAACAAAGTATATGAGTTAGTATGTTTCTACTGACATAAATGCCCTTCTTCTATGCTAACTCATTTTATTTAGGGTCACACACATGAGAAAAGATAATTTGCAACAAAAATAAATATGATAGTCACTATTGTTAACAATCTCAGAAAAATTGGCATTTCTTCTTTATGGCATATATTCCATACTCCTTCAACTGACAATTCAACTGATGTCAAACTGAAGGTTTTATTCTCCCAAGAGAAGAGAGAAGTAAAATGCTCCTGGGAAAATAGTATGTTTATTGTGGTAGGTGCTTATATTTTCTTACCCTAGTGAAATACTGTGACAAATTTCCTTCTGCAAGCAAAAATTCACATTAGGTATACAAAACCCAGGTAATTGTGATTATAAATCATCCCTCCTTAGATATTAAGGTGCTATTTGTGGGTTATTCAAAAAGTGAGCTTACAGAGATATTTTTAAGAAACTAATTTTATTACAAGGCAAGGAATCATTGTAAGTATTTAAACAACAAATTGATACTTTTCAACATTATGGCCTAACCAATTCAAGTATCTCTCTTAGTTTGGGACAAGCATTTTGCCAGTAGTTGAATGAAATAACGACTCCTTAGAAAGCACTCACAGGCTGCCATTTATGTAGCACCATAGTTACTGGAAAACTTTGTCCCCTGTTTTGCTGCCCTTGGTATATCTTCCTTGAAAGTTCAAAAACTGTCAACAGGCTTTACTTTTAGTTACATTTTATGGAACACATTTCATCCATAGATGCGGGAGATTGGGGAAATCACATGTTTAGGACTGTGGCCACTTCAAACTAAGGGGACGCCAAATCACAAACAGTCATGCAGCTGATCCACTTTGCAATGTTGTCACACATGCCTAACAAAATATTGTACTACTGACACAATCATCCTATTCTGCACTGGTAATTAACCTTGTAAAGTTATTTTAAACAAGCCTCATGCATATGTCATAAAGCAAATGACGAATTAAATGTTCAGATATGATTACAAAAGCTATTTTCCTTTAGGATTTAATTCTTTTCCAGGTGGAGCTTCTGTTAAGTAACACTTTATAGATCCATAATGCTGGAAAGAATTTTAAAGACTCCACATACCCTTTGTGGTTTTGTTTTCTTTGTTTTGGTTGAGGCCCAGAGCCATGATATGATTTGCCCAAGGTCACACAGCCAGTTTGTGATGGAATCAGTAATAGATTGTTCTGACCTTGAAGTTAATACTCTTTACTCTGGTCTTTGTCATAGTGTATTAAGCATATGGCCCAACCTAAGAAGAGCAAGCATTTGACCTTATGGATTAAAAACAAGCATATGTATTTGCCTCTGAAAAATGTCCAAGATTCACTCTTGTTCTACTTCGTTTTTCCATTTTCTTTTGCTTCCATGTCCACTAGACCTTGTCTAGGAACTTTCCTATTTTCCCAAACTCACTAAAACCTCCAAAATTCCTTTCATCTCACCTAATACATTTTGACTTGGTCCATGTACTTCAATCATATCATTTATGCTACCTTAGTCATTTGCTCCCCATTCCACTAGGTGGAAGTGATTTTAAAAAATTGTTTACCCATGGAAAAGGGCATGTGGAGATGTGTTCCCAACAGGCAAATCATGAGATGTAGAATTTCCAATCGAGGAGCTAAATACACACAGGCTATCAAGTTTACAAATGTATGTAGGGGAATAGCAAACTGAAAGTAAATGGAGACTGTTGTTTCCATTAAGCTTGCCACCTATTAATTTTTAAGGTCTGCAATTATAATTATCAGGGTTAACATATTTACCCACATTGTCTTCCCTTTGACCCTAATATTGCTACTCCACAATTACTGTAATTGTGGCAAGGATGACTAAATATCACCCAGATATTCACTTAACTACTGTCTTTAGCTATCATTCTCATACTCCAGTTCTAAAACTTAGAAGCTCAGCCCCAAACCATAAATCATTAGTGATAAAATTAATGTAAACTTTCTTTGTTCTAATCTCACATAGCAATTCCTCCTGATCCTGAAATGTACTTAAAGTGGCAAAACATAAATAATTATAAAGAGCATGTATTTCACAGGTTATTATGATATGATATAAAGGAAATAGAGAGAGACAAAAACACAAAATTGGCATGATTTTCACAATGAGAAGCTCTCAATGAGCTTCTAAATTTCTTTCCCTAGTGTTAGCTTTGGGGCTTTAGCACTTTGTGAAGATGCACCAGGCAGCTGGTACATTCCCAGTTTCCTACTCCAGTTTTACTCAGGTGGCTGAAGTGAATATGAGTGTCAAATAAATGCACCATAAAATAAATATTCACTTTTTCTCTTGACCACAGTTGGCCACAAATAAGCAGATGAATGGAAAGAGATCACGCAACAGAAGTAGAGAGAGAAATTTTATTTCTCTCCTTGATCATCTCTGAAGTAGGACAGTAGCTCACTATTCCCTTAACTTTACTTTTACAAAATCTAAGTGAATTTGGTTTTATACCCACAGACACACATGCAGATACACCCATATATTTTCTCAAATGAAAGCACTTTAGGAAACAGGCCCTTTTGTGTGTTATTGTCACCTTTTTCTGTGTTATTTATGTTTTATAATTCTTATCTGTGTGGTCAGAGGAGCTTGAGTGTAACACCATTGTAGACAGATGCTGTCATTTTTCCTCCCATATACTCTCAAGCATTCCCATCTACACATGGGAAGACTGCTTACTGCAAACACCTGTGACTCTCTGCCTGGGGGCTCTTTTCTGGTCTTGGGACTACACTCCACCTATGTTCAGGTCAAGCCAGAAGTGTCAGAGACTTAACAACCCTGGAAGCAGCTCTCAATCCATTATAGATGGAAACCAATTATAGAGGACAAATACTCCAGCTCCTTCACTCCTCAATTGAGATAACTCTAAAGCATGTTCTGCACTGTCACTCAAAGTTCCCCAGCACGTCCATGCTCCAGTTGCCTGCAGTGGTCAACTTACTCAAAAACTCATTTATTATTGACTTCCTTCCCTTCCCTGTTTCACTTCTTCACAAACCTACTGGTGTTTACTGGAATCAACTTACAAATACACTTCTTGCATTTGAATCCTTCCTTGTCTCAGATCTGTCTTCTGGAAGAATGCAGCCTGAAACAACCATAGTGGTTAAGAGTATACATAGGCTCTGGACCCATTTCCAATTCTAGTTATACCACATCCTACCTGTACAATTATGAGCAAGATATGCAAGCTTCAGTTTCCTGAGCTTTAAATTAAGAGTAAGGGCAATACGATTATTGAGAAGATTAGTTGAGGAAATATAGATAACATGTTTGTTACAGTAAATAGTACATAGTAAGCATTTAATGCATGTTGACTGTTTGTTCTGGTTTTCTATTGCTGCATCACCAATTAGCCCAAAACTTAATGGCTTAAAAGATCCATTTTATTTTGCTCATGATTTTGTGGAAAGGATTCTACTGGGTGGCTCTCCCTTGGAGTCTGTCATGCAGGTGTAATTGGAAAGAGGACAGAAGTCATCTCAAGTGGGTGCTACATCCTGGATGGCTCATTCGCAAGGCAGGCGCTTCATTCTGGGGCTGTCAATGTGACACCTACACATGGCATTTTCCATGCCATTTGCACTACTCACAGCATGGATGCTAAATTCTGAGAAGGAGTAGCCCAAAAGTGAAAGTTCCAAGAGACTCAGGTAGAAACTGCCACCTTTCCTCACCTTGTTAGAAGTCATACAGCCTCACTTACACAACATTCTGTTGTTTACAGCTGATACTTCCCAGATTCAAGGAGAAGAGAATTGGACCTCAGCACCTGATTGGAAGAATGTCCAAGAACTTGTAGCCATTATAATCTTCTGTATCATTATTATTATTATTATTATTATTATTATTATCATTACCATTTATTGTGGCCAGCTTGTTCTGGCTGTGGAAGTTCACCATATGTTTGTTGAATTAACACAATTGTGTATACATCACCCCGTTATCAATTCCATTCCAGTCAGTTGCCAAGTCTTATCTTTTCTAGCCACAAATGTTCCTAATGTATACACAATGTCTCTAGATATGTTCAATTTTCTCCCTTGTTATTGGCCCAAATCTTGTGATTCGTGCCTGCATTATTTTTCACCTGCACTCTTGTTATAGATGCTAACTAGTCTCCTGATTTCTACCTTCTCTTTGCTCCAGTTCATCTTAAACTTGATTCCCAGATTAATCTTCTAAGGGATCAACCCTAATCAGGTTTTAATTTTCCCATGCCTTCTCGTTGCCTACTTACTTAATAAAATCCAAACTCCATGGCTTGGAACTCAATGTGCAATCCAGCTTTCCAGAATCACCTTCAATTATTCCATTTCTTGAACTCTTTGTTTCAGCATACCAGACAACACATTTTTCTCTATAGTTACATAAGGGTCTCTCTCATTTGTGTCTTTGACCCTAAATGTGTCACTTCACTCATACCTCATCAAAACCTGTGAAGTATGCATCACCTCCTTTCATAAATCAGTGTAACATGAATTAATGTACCACTACCACCATTTACTTCCTTTTACAGATGAACATTGCAAAATTTAAAAAAATCAGGGATGACAATAATATAATAGTAATTAATACTTCTATTAGAACAGATGTTGTTATAAGTGTTTTACATATATTAACTTGCTCTGTCCTCATGACAACACCATGAAGCATATATTATTATTTCATTTTATACTAAGCACCAACTTGCAACTACTTAATAGATCAAACTGACCAGTCTGTCTTGCTATCTTCCTATATCCACACCAAACACAGAGAAATGTTGCATAAACAATAGTGTATTTTAAATACAATAGCCAAAGTTGTTGTTTTTTTTTTTTTAAGAAAAGAAATCACTAAAGGGCTAGAAACAAGAAGGACCTAAGAGCCTAAATGTCAAGTCAGTGTCATTACCAGCCCTGGAAGTACCAGAACTCACTTGGTGATAGGACACATAGCCTTGAACACATACAAGTTGAAGAACTGGAATGCAGAACTCTAAGAATGGTTTATTTGGGGAAAAAGAGCTTAGAAAATTTCCATTTACTGATCCAATAAGAAGTTTGTCATCTGCTCAGAGTCCCCAATGGGAAAAAAATTCTCCAAAGAGGAATTAGTACCTCAAGTCTGTGCCACATGCAGGTATGAGGTATAAAAATAAATACAGATATCATAAATGGTGAAGAAATCCCAAAATAAGCAATCAATATAACTATTTGTCCTAAAGCAATAATGGCTTTAGGCCTGAACATCTGGCCTCTGGCATATAGGTCCCCTTGAATCTTTGATCAAATACTAAGTTGCACGTGTTCAGGATTAAACACCATGAGACTGAGCACAGAAAAACTACTGAGAAAAGAACAATTCTGTAACTCACACAGGACTGGGGAATGTTTTGGTTCCAACTGATGAGGTTGGAAAGGCTTAACTGAGCATCTTAGGGATTCAGTAAAGATTCTAGAAAGTTCAACCCTTGGGAACAGGGTTATTTTAACCCTAGGCAAAATGCTACTCTAAATCTTTTCTCACAAATTTTAGAACAAGCTTTGAATGGATCGAGGTGACCTGCAGGTAAATTGACTAACTTCCAGGGAGAAAAACAAAACCAAAAACAAACAAACAAACAAACAAATCCTCAAGACTCCAGAATTAAGAGGACAAAATCCAAACATTCAAGAATGTTGGATTGACAACGTCCAGCATGCCATCAAAAAGTACTAGCCAGGTGAAGTAACAACATTTGACTCACAACTAGAAGAAAAATTGGACAATACACAGGTTAAAATGAAAGAAATAATGCAATTTACAGAGGGCTTTCAAATAACTAGTATAAATATGTTCAAGGATTTAAAGGAAAAACATAAACACAATAAGGAAGTGAATAGAGAATCTCAACAGAAAATTAGAAACTATAAAAGCAACCAGAGAGAAATGACTAATTGTTTCAGAAATCATACACTTCTTGTCTACAATAATATGTCCAAAAGATAACAGTAATAATTCCAAAGTGCTAAAGGAAAATAACTATCACCTTAGAATTCTATATGCAGATAAAGTAGTGTTAAAGCTTGAGTGCAAAATCATTTTCAGAAAAGTAAGTTTATATCATAAAAATACCTACTGAGGGTCAGAGCCTCATTATAAGCACTAGTAAATCATTTACTTCACCAAGAAAATAAATTGAACTCAGAAGAAGCAGTAGAATACAGGAAGTAATAGAGAACAAATAAACAATTAGATGTGGTTAACTGTAAATAAGCATTGGCTGTAAGAACAACAAAATAAATAATAATTATAGCAATAACAATCATAATAATAGCTTAAGTGTGGAACAAAAATATGAGAGGATAATACTTTAGAAGTCATGAATGTGGCTGAATTTAAAGGATTCTAAAAGTCCTTGTAAATTTAATGTTTGAGAGAAGCATAAAGATATTATCCTCAAACTTTAGCAATTTTTTCTCATTGAAGTATAACCTTTTTTTAAGAAATAATCTTTAAAACCTCTTGTTCAATAGACAAATTTAACCTTTTAAAGTCAGTTTTATATTTTAAAAATGTTAAAATAAAATAAGATTTTAAAGGAGTAAGGAAACTTGATCAATTAAGGTAACAAAGTGGGGGAGAAAAAGCAAAGAGAATACATAGAAATATAAAACACAAAATACAAGGAGAAATATGTCCCCCTATAAGTAAGCTTCAATAAATATAAACAAAAAAAATCATCATATTGTTTATGAGAGACATACCTAAAACATAATCAGACCTAAAAGTTGTGGGATGGTTGGTTTGGGTATCAACTTGACTGGATGAAGGGATGCTCAGATAGCTGGCAAAGCATTATTTATTCTTGATGTTTCAGTAGGCACTGAACGCATCCCTCTACTGCTGGAAAGGAAACTCAGGCTGTTTGTTACTTTTGATTAGAATGATTGCACTGCCCCAGGTGTGTCTGTAGGGGTGTTTCCAGAAGAGATTGGCATATGAGTCCCTGGACTCAGTGGGGAAGATCTGCCTCTAATGTGTGAGAAACCATCCAAACAGCTGAGGGCCTGGATAAAGCAAAAAGGCAGAGGAAGGGTGAATTCTCACCCTCTCTTCCGAGCTTGTACACCCTTCTTCTCCTGCTCTTGGATGACATAACTCCAGGTTCTCTGACCTTTGGACTGTGGGGACTCTCTAGTTCTCAAGCCTTTTGACTCACACTGAGAATTACACAATTGGCTTTCTTGGTTCTGAGGCGTTTGGACTTTGAATGAGTCACACTATCAGCTTTCCTTGTTCTCCAGCTTGCAGACAGCCTATTGTGTGACTTCTCAGCCTCCATAATCAAGTGAGCCAATTTCCCTAAATCCCTTTTCAAAATCTCTCTATATATTCTATCATTTCTGTCTCTCTAAAGAGCTCTGACTAAAACAGATCATAAATATTGAGGAAGGAAAAGACATGCTAGGAAAACACTGACCAAAATAAACTACTATAACAATGTTAGTATGAGCCCACTATAACAATACTACCATGAGATAGACTAGATAATTACTAGGTGTGAAGAGAACTATTACATAATACTAAAAGAAAAGAACAGTTTACCCAGAAAGATAAGACTATCCTGATTCTCAACATACATAAGCAAAAATAGAAAGAATTCTAAGAAACTGACAAATCTTCAAACATGCATGAAGATTTTTTACACATCTCTTTCAGAAACTTCACAGGTCAGCCAGAGAACTTAAGAAACTTGACAAGTTTACATATTAAGTGATGGAGTAAAGATGCAAGCCAGGCTGTCTAAACCAAAACTTGACTCCCGACAGTGACGCGTTTTGTTCCTTCCATCTCTGTATGCTCAAATCTTCAGGAAACGACGAGTTTCAGCTTAAATGTGTCCTTTGTGCACCCTTCCCTCTCATCTCTTTCCATAACCATGAGGCATCTTGCCACTAATAATAATAATGGTTAACATGTTATAAGTGCTTTATATATTAATCTTCACAACTCTATAAGTACCATTATTATTTCCATTCTATAGATGAATAAACTCACAAACAATGAAGACAGCTCTTCACTCTGTTCATCAAAACGTATGCCCCCACCTCTCTCTAGCATGTACTTTTCTGTTGGGCTTCACTATTACCTATATGCACCCATATGCATGTGTCTTATCTGTCTTGATAGAGTTGAAGCTCTTTAAGAGAACAGGGCATTTTTACGCATCTTTGTAATTCTCATTCCCCAGGCCCTGTTCCCCACTGTCCAGTAAGGTTCTTTACCCACAGTAGATGCCAAATAAATATATTTTAAAAGAATCATATTTTCGTTTGGTTAGATGTAATTTGCTTCAGTTTCCCAAGGAAAGGTGAATATAGCCATGAGGTTGCAATCAGCATATTTTGACAAAGGAAGCAGATGTGAAAAGTAAGAAAAGTTAACAATTTTTATTCATGCTTAGCCACCATAATCACCCAAATAACAGATTAGACCACTTGCTAAATATGATGATTTAGTGGAAAATCTACACAGTATGTAAAGTAAGCATGGTTCCTGGCCTCCAGAAGTTTATATTTCAGAGACAACTTCAGAAACAACTCTGGAAGACTTGAATGCCACATATTACTCTGGCTAAAGATGCCTATTCATCTTTTAAGGTAAAACAAATATAAATCATTTCATCCTTCCAACAACCCTGTTAGTTAGGCACTATTGCTTTCCACATTTCCAGATGAGGAAACTAAAGAACAGAGCAATTAAGTAACTTGCTTAAAGTCAAAAAGACAGTAGTTGTGGGAGGTGGGATTTTGACCCTGACAATCTAGCACCAGAAACTGCGCTCTTACACAATATCATCTCTAACAAGACTATATGTTTATGTGCATATCAAATCATTTTTTAAAAGTAAAACCATAGCTACACACAAGAATCCTGACCCCTGATGACCCCAAACAGCTGTAATTGTCAGTGAGTGCAATTCTTCTCACTAGTGGCAGTGTATATTCCCCTGACCTTCCATCATGTATATCAGGTTTGGCTATATGGTTTGTTTTGGCCAATGGAATGCAGGTAGATGAGGCAGTGTACCAGTTCAAGCCTAGACCTTGAAATGTTTCGTGTATTTCCACTCATCTGTCTTGCACTTGCACCATTGTTATGAGAAGAACATGGCTTGGTTAGCTACTGATCCAAAAAGTACAAAAGACTCCTCCATCAGAAATGAACCTATCCTGCAGCTTGGAGCCAAGCCTGCCTAAGCCCTACCTAGATCAACCAAAATCTAGCTGACCCAGAGACACTGGAATAAATGATTTTAAGCAACTGAGCTACAGTGGTTTGTTACACAGCATTCTTGCAGCAATAGCTAACTGACAAAGACTGGTAGCAGGGGTTGTAGTACTTACTTTAGCATCAATGACTTTCACCTTCCTCTTCCTTTCTAACAACAGAAATTCCTGAGACAAGTGGGTGTGGGGTCCGAATTAGGAGAGTAAATGTCAAAATCAGACAAGATACATTTGGGAGTTTTCATTTTCTGCCATGTTGGCATTTTACTCACACATTAAAAGTCCCTGAAATATCGCTTGTTGGCTGTGCTGTCACGATCCATTCTATAGACATTTTGATGCACTTTATTACAAACTTTAAAATCATATTAGCAGCTGTTATTTTATATCACAATGGATTAATAAGATGCATTTTCACAAATAAGACACATTTTAGATAGTTTTGAAAAAATTTCAGTGTGAAAATCTTATGCCAGGATTCCACATTTTAAATGACACATTTCCAAATAGCCTAAAGTGAAAATGCTCAAGGAATATGCCTATTTGTACTGTGCTTGAAACTATCAGCCCTCCAACAACCCAGGAAACACATAATCTTCCTACATATTGTGTTATTTTCTATTGTTGCATGTGACATTCAGGGAAAATACATCTCTTGGTTCTTGCTGCAGGGTAGTTCAGTGAGTAGCACTAAAAAAATGAAAATACGTATTTTTTCAGTTTCCAATTGCAATACACAAATGATGTACATGAGAATTATCAGAAAAACATTTATTCCCCTTCAAATATTAGAATAATGGAATGTTCTATTGCCTTTTCATGTGAAATAATTAGGAAAGATAAGGATTTTTTTTTTCTTGGAGGCAATCCTGCTTCCTATGGTGTTGCTAAGGAATAAGGAATTTTCTTTCCAACTGATCTTAAAAGAGATATCTAAGATCTATATCGCCTGTTTATGGATTACAGCTAACTTTATAGTCGTGCATAAACTGTACATTTGAGTGCAGTAAGACACGTCCCCTGTCTCACAATAAAAATATTATGGAACATTATATTTCCATATAGTAATGGTACTCTTATTTTACTAGTAGAAAGGTACAGTACTAATTTAATTGACTAACATAAAAGTCTCTCAAGTAAGATCAATACTTTATTTTCTCCACAGTTTTCATAAATGAAGATTTAATTCCACCTGCGTTCCTGAGCCCCCAAGGCAGCGATCAGGCACACGTCTGCTGACCACCCTGCTCTCTGTGACATAGACACGAAACCTTCTGAGGAACTTCGTAATGTGAGCAGCACATCTCAACATTGCTGCGCATCACGATCACCAGGGAAGCTTTTAAAAGGCACCAATGCCCCAGCTCCTCCTCAGACCAATTAAATCAGAATCTCTAGGGGTGGGTTTGGGGTACTATTATGTTTTTAAAGCTCCCCAGGTGGTTCAAATGTGCCTCCTGTTTTGTCATCCACTGACTCAGGCTCTGAATTTCAGGGGGACTGACAGAAGTTACAATCTCAGGTAGACAGGCCCATTGCTTGGTGTCTACCCTGCATTCCTGCTCTGGTTGCTAAGGGCAGAAACTCCCTGCTTAGTGCCCACGCTAAGCAGTTTTTCTTGTTGGTGGTGGTTTTTTTTTTTCCTTCGTACACTGTGGATCTTTATTGCCATTGCTTCAATGCTTTTGAGTGTAGAGCTCCCACCGACATCAGTGGGGGTGCTGCTCCTGGAACGAGTTTGGAATGCACAGTTGAGAGCGCCTTGGTGCAGTTGGAGAGGGAATCTTGCCCTAAGCTTTTTATACACACCAGGGTTTAGGTTTCTTCCTTCCTTTGCTTTCTTCATTTTAATTTTGCATCCTCATGTCTGTGCTTTGTGATTATGAATTTTGAATTTGGAGTTGCTCCTTTACTTTCTCTAAATTTTGCACATATTGTCATTCTTTTTAGGTCTACTGAGATTCACTCTAGGGTAGCTTTTCCTCTGAGTCAGCAGATAGAAAAAGAGAGGAAGAGACAGGCCCAGTTTTACTCCCGACCAGAGCAGATCTAGGCCCACTGAGGTCAATGGTTTAAAACTCACATTCCTCTTCAATGCGATGAGCATACCAAATAAGAGGAATGTTTTAGTTCCTTTTGATCATCAGATGTTATTAATCTGGGTAGGTCTATCAGGATTTAATGACATTGGGCATATGATAGTTTTGTAGCATATGAAGAAAACATTATTTCATGAAGTTTTTTAGAAGGGGAAGGGGAAACAGAGACAGTTAGTTGCCTGGGAGTTTCTCTAGACTTCCACGGGAGGGATACCCATGAAAAGTCCTGAGTGAGAAGCAGCTTGCTTTATGAGATTAACAGTTCTACCTTCTCCTATCCTGAAAGGAAACCTACAAACACTGATACTACTCCATCAGTCAAAGTGGATAAATTGACAGTTGGGGCCCTTTTCCTCAGGAGCACCATCAGAATTCTACCCCATTACAATGGATGATATGAAATGATGCATCTAGGCTTATAATATATAGTCAGATCTTGCAATTATTGAAAGGGAGAGAGGGCACCCAGTGCAGCTACACAAGTGGCTTTGAGTGTGTTCGATTATGATGGAGTCTTTCAATTTTTAATTGTTCTGTAGAGTACTTATGATAGCACAGGTTATGTAACATGCCGCCACTCCAGTTATCTTCCTAGGAAAAAGTCAAAGGAATATTTTTTCTTTTTTCTTTTTTTTTTTTTTGAGATGGAGTCTCACTGTGTCACCCAGGCTGGAGTGCAGTGGCACAATCTGAGCTCACTGCAACCTCCGCCTCCCGGGTTCACGCCATTCTCCTGCCTCAGCCTCCCGAGTAGCTGGGACTACAGGCGCACACCGCCATGCGTGGCTAATTTTTGGTATTTTTAGTAAAGACAGAATTTCACCGTGTTAGCCAGGATGGTCTTGATCTCCTGACCTGGTGATCCGCCCGCCTCGGCCTCCCAAAGTGCTGGGATTACAGGCGTGAGCCACCAAGCCCGGCCGGAATTTTTTGATAGAGAATATTTTATTTCCATTACTGCCATTTTCTTTGGATAACTATTCTTCAAATCCTCTAATCCAGAAAAACCCAAGATTCTATGATAGTTCTCATTATAGAAAATCCAAATTGATGACTTTCCTTTTTTAGAGGAAAATGAATGCTTTCATTGAAAATCATATTGCCCACTTGATGCTGGGCTCTTAACTCTTGTCATAACCACTAATCACGAAGCTCTCATTGGCATGGAATTAACTCGTCATTGGATCCCATGAAACCTACCAGGAGATCTCACTGTGGTGAATATTTTTTTTCTTTAGTCAGTTATTTAGGAGATTTTTTTTCAAATAAGATATTTTAAGACGAGATCAGGCGTGTTCAGGGTGGTATGGAAGTACACTCAAATAAGATATTTTAAATATTTGAGGAAGTGGGAAAGGTGGAATTCAGAAGTTAGTCAAATACCTATGTCTTTATTATCTTCAGAGGAAAATCACATATCAACAATATTTAGAGTATTCCCTCCAAAGGAAACCTTGGAAAATGATAATCAGCATTAAAAATTAATATAAAAGCCTCTATATTTCAATTGTTAATTTTTTCTGGCTGCAACTAAAAGGGAGCGGGTTGTGACCAATTTGAGCCAGTAAATACTGGACTTAGACAGAAGGTTGGTCAGGAATATTTCTGATAATAAAAGAAAAGTATCCAAATTCTTGATAATTACTGAGGTTTCCCCCTTACTTGCTATCTTTAGCTCAGTGCTACTTGACATAGAGAAGATCTGTGAAAAATCATGGATTTTCGCTATGAATTATTTAGCAAAACAAAGGAAAAAGGAAAAAGACAGGCTCATTTCTTTCCTAAATCTAACATACCACTACTCTCACAGCAAAAATAATCAAGCAATGCTGGAAACTTGAAATGGGAAATTTTCAAATTCACATTTCTATTTGGCCATAAGATTTCCTTATTGACTCATCAGCCTTCAAAAATGGAAAGGTCATAATAAAAAGCATAGAAAAAGAATCAACTTAAAGGAAATGTGTGGGAAATTTCCCTCCAGGGTTACATTTTTTAAAGGGCTCCAAAACGAGTATACAAAATGTGGGTGAATATGCTAGTGCACATACACAGTCATTTTGGTGTGAGAGAAACAGCAACGTAGGTATCTCACGAGGCAGACTGTCTATTCAGTACGCAAAGCTTTGCATGAACAAGGTGTAAAAGGTTGTGAATAGGGAGAATCCAGAGCAAGGAGCTCCACTGGGCAGTATCTAAGCCTGCAGCAAACATGCTGAGTTTGGCAGAAGGCTGGGCAGAGATATCTAAGTAAGCAGTGTGTGGTGAAAGTTATTTTAGAATAAATCAGATGCATTGGTTAGCTGATCAGAGCACAAAAGCAAAAGTGGAGCTGCAAGAGACCCCCAAAACATTTATTCAAACATTGGCTGAATCAGTAGCTTTCTTATAAACATGATCAGTGAGTTTAGAAGGCATAGGGTGAAAAGGAGGGGAAGAAGACAAGGAAAGAAATGAATATGAAGGAAGAAACAGATCCAAATATAGATAGTACATGGTTAAGAATTAAGACTACACGGGTGAAAAGGTGAATATCTGAGTAACAGAATAAAGAAGTTAACTGGAACAGTCCCTGATTAATGAATGAGTTAAGTGCCCAAACTAAGTCTGCAAGTCGTACTCTACCACCCCTCAAATTACTTACTCGAGGACTCCTCAAACATTTCCATTGGCAAAGGACAGTGAATACATTCCCTGGAGGCTACAACAGCAGAGTCTGCAGCAATCCTACAAATATGTTGTTTTCTTTCTAAAATAAATGCAAATCGTATATTCTAATCTCCATTTTACCCATGCTTAGCCATACAGGTTTTCCTCAAATCTAGATTGCCGGGCCCAGTGTTCCCCATTAATGGCATAGCTTAGCAAATCTGGCAGTACACACTGTAATCCTGAGTATACACAGTCCAGTTTGGAAATAAGGGAAGGGGAAATGGATCTCCAGCTACTAAGGATGAGCCTTGACCTGGACAGAGGACTAAATAAAAAGTACCAACAGCTTGGAGAAACAAAGAGCCTTGGGCTTCTATGAATATTTCATCACAGTTTCTGGGCCACAGTAGGCATGACATTGATGAATTAAAGCAAATTGGTACCTGAGAAAGAACTGTAAGAGTAGACATAAGCACAGCCATGAGGGGAGTGAAATATTAGACTGCAGTTTTGATCCAGTGCTTTCTTCCAGTCTCCACTCCTGACATCGCTCAATATAGTCCACTTGATCTAATGCACTCAATCTAGTTACCAAATTCTAGCCTGCATAAGAACCACTTGAAGATCTTATCAAAACACAGATTCCTGGGCCCCACACCAAGGGTTTCCTGCCTGCTCAGTGGGACTGGGATGTGGTCTAAGGATCTGCATTTGTAACACATTCCCAGGTGATGCTGATGCTGCCGTCCTGTGGTCCACACTTTAAGAGACACTGATCTAAACAATTCTTTGCTCAATGATCCAGGAAAGGGATGCATAATGGAAATTTGAGAAAAAATCTGAGATTTGAATTTTAAACCCTAGACTTTGAATAGACAATGATTTGGAAATATACTCAAAGAACTGGAAGCAAGTCTTCTTTTCCTGAAGGGAACTGATTAGAGTTTAGATACTGGTGAGGTCCCTGAGAAATGAGCCTGGATTCTGACACCTTCGCTATGAGTCTGGGATGGAGATATGGGGGAAACGACAGCTGATGAGATGTAAAAGTATAAGAAACCTACACCCCAGTCCCCAGGTAGAGCCCTGGGAATGTGGGAAGGTGGGAAAAGCCCAGAGAAGATATGGATACCCGGTGTGTCCGAGTCAAGAGCTGGCAAACTATTCCTTAAAGGGCCAGATAGTAAACATTTTAGCTTTTGTATGCACATGGACTCTGTCACAAATACTCAGTTCTGTCATCAGCACAAAAGTAGCTACAAGTGATATGTAAATGAATGAATATGGCTATGTTCCAATAAAACTTTATTTACATAAACAGGCAGCAGGCCCCGTTTGGTCTGTGGGCCATAGTTTGCCCATGCCTGGTCTAAGCCAACAGAGCTTTAGATAGCTCATGAGCACTTCCTACATTCCAGCATGTTCCAGGGGACCCAAAATCACACCATATGCTAGATGGCAGCATGCAAGTTGGAAAGGGCCTTGGGCAGCTTCTCTGAGATTCCAGCAACCAGCATGGTGGGAGAAGTAAGCAAGCCCTGGCTCTCAAAGGGCTTTGCTGAGGTGGAAGGATTCTAGGCCTCACATCCCCACAGTATCTTGGGATCAGGTAAGCCCCCAGAGCAGCTACAAATCCAGGCAAAGGAGAGAAGGGGAGGGTGACTCCAGATTGATTCTGTTTTCCCAACTCTTGCAGAATGGAGGCTCAAAATAGAAATAGAGTTATGACAGGCAGATTTATGTCGTAGTTTTATGTTTGTAAGAATAAGACATTTTCTTTCAAATTTGATATGTATTTTACACTTGCAACACATCACTAGCCATATTTCAAGTGCTTGATAGTCATACTATTAGCTGGTGGTTTCCACATTGAACAGTGCAGATTTAGATACCAAGATTTTCCCTTTTACCCCTTCCCAGAACAGTCAGACACCTGTCCCATCATTCCTGCCTTTTCTGACCTTAGAGAGAGTTCAGAGAAGGTTGTGTAGGGAGGGTATAGGGTCCAGAGGCTGGAGGGGTGGAAGGAAAATGAAGGAAGGAAGTCAAAAGCCTCCCTTTGGAACCAGTAAAGAGACCAGGAGGATAACCAAACTCATGAGATAACTACTTGTAAGGAATGTGAAAAATTCAGGTTCAAGTCAAGGTCTGTGTGTCTGACCATTCTAGGAAAAACTGTACCATGGATTAATTTAAAAGGCTAAATATAGTAACATTTCCCAGCCATGTTCACTTTTAATAATTTTTAAGTGAAAGATAAATACAGAATAGGAAATAAATGCTATAAAGATAATTCACAATTTGTCAAGAATAGTAAACAAATAGGATAACTTGATGTTCACACATTCTAAGAGAAATAGCCATAATTTATTTATATACCCTAGTACATGGCTTATAGTCAAATTACTATCTAAGGATAAAAGTTGGAGATCGGATGGTTCACCCAGACACTGGTGCCTCAGGCAGGTTCAGAAAAGGGGTGTCCTGTAACTAGAGTGCCCTGAGATCCCTGATTTCTCAAGATCTAGGTACTTCATCTCTAGTCCAGTGGGTTTGGAAGTTTAAGTAACACTCAGATATGTGATCCATAGAATCATGCAAACAAAGCCATATCTGGAAGCAGAAAGTCTAAAGCAGAGGGAAGAGCCCCATTGAGCAGTCTATGAAATTTAGAGACATGATTGCTAACACTACACTCGTGAACACTACACATTGCATTCTCATGGACTAAAACGGCTAACAAAACTCACTTCCTTTTAACCTGTACCAAAACAAGGACATGGTCATAGATTTCTGGATAAATAAAATAATGTTTTTCAATTCAGGAGAAAATATGTCATTTAATGTTTTAAGAAATTACATTCATGAGGTGACAATGGATTAATCATGGATTTCCATTTGGGCAACACCTTCCCTGCCTCTCTGGGATCAGTATGGTCCTATCAATATGTAGGTCATTTTAAATGTTATAGTAGCAATTCTTATAAAAGTAAAATAAGCAGGTGGAAGTAACTTAAATAATATTTCTTCTTACCCAATACATCAAAAAATTGTTTTGACATGGAATATAAAACATCACTCATGAGATTTTTCCTTTTTTATACTAAATTTTTGAAATAGTGTCATATTTTACACTTACAGCATGTCTTCGGCCACATTTCACATGCTTAATAGCCACATGTGGCCATACTGGACCCCACTACATCAGATATCCTGTGATCACCCAGGGAGTAATGAAAAACAAGACCTGCTTTTCGCCAGAAATGGCCAGAGCTCTCTTCCCCTTCAACCAGCACAAAGCTGCTTCACAAACTGTGAGTTCAGTGCAGTCAGCAAATTTCACTGAATGGAGACTCTTAATATCACTGATTTAAACATGTGGCATGTGTGGAGACCCTGATTATTTCTACCGACAAAATAAGAATAATGCTTAGCTGTTAATGACAGCTGAGTGTCAAACAGCAAACACTCAGCATGACACCTCGAGACGATCACATGTGCTTTGTCTTTTTTTTTTTTTAAGGAAATTGAAATCTTTAAAAGCTTTCTTGAAATTGCATTCTTTTTATTCTTAGATTTGATAAATAGCATATGTTTTGGGAGGTGGTGGGGGGGCACAGGGCACCAGGAGAGGGAAGATTCGTGTTTTTACAGCTGACATGTCGCTTGGGAAAAAGTCCCAGGGAAAAACAGTTTGGATGGAGGAGAAAGAAAAAAATTTTACTGCAACCCCATCTTGCCTAGCTTGCTAGCATCTCCTGCTGCCTGGATATTCTGGCCAAAGTGGTAGGTATCACCTCAGGTCACAAACTGCCAAATAGGAAGACGACACTTACAGAAGTTATTAAAATTTGCCTTGAAAAACAAAATAAAAATATAGATTAGCCAGTGTGTTCAAGGAGCTCTTTTCTTGTCCCTAGAGGGAAAGCAGAGGCTACCCTGCTAAGGTAGCAGGCAGCTGGGATTCAAAATGTCCCAGGATTTGGAAGGCATGCCTCTTAGAATCACTCCCATCAATGTATTCACAGCAGAACCAGTGACTTGCCAGGGTTTGTGGGGATTTTAGGAGGGTCAGTGTGTCTTTCTCTTCCACCAAAAAAGAACAAAAGGTGCAGGCCACTCATGCTGTCCTGTCTGGTTTTGGGCCATACTGATAAATAATCTTGCAAAACATCCCAAAGGAAGTCAGGCACATGGGTGTGTCTATACAACCTGAGCCAAAATGGACCAGGCCGAAAATGTTTTGCCACCTGAACGAGCTGTGGGGCTGCCAAATTGGCTCCAGAAGGCACAACCAGGACCAGTGGGCAGAAGCTGCTGGATGTAATTTTCAATTCATTATTTGAAAAGGGCTTTTAGAAATCAAGAGTCCAACAATGGCATGGATTTGCGAAGAAGAGAGCTTCAAATCAATGGATCTGTCCAAGCACTGATTGATTGATCTCTCAGGCAAGCTGCATCGGGAAATTCTATATTTTGAAAGATTCCTTCATTCAGTTGATAACCTCTAAGTGCCCAGCACTGGAGTCAGAGAAATGAAAAGGACATGGTCTCAGGTCTCAAATTACTCTTAGTTCATGATGGGAAATCGCAGAGTTAAATCTCAAATTGGGTGGGTTCGAGGGAGTGTGGCCCATTCTAAGCCCCACATCCATATAGGCAGCCTGTTCCAATAAGGTAATAAAATCAATCAAAATACTAACGATGACACAAGCCTCAGGGCATGCCAATCTTTCTGCCTGGAATTTCTCCCTCCATCCCCTAAGTTTACTCCTACCTTCCTATGGTCCCCTCTATTTTTTTTTTTTTTTTTTTTTTTTTTTTGAGATGGAGTCTCGCTCTTTCGCCCAGGCCGGAGTGCGGTGGCGCTATCTCGGCTCACTGCAAGCTCCGCCTCCCGGGTTCAGGCCATTCTCCTGCCTCAGCCTCCCGAGTAGCTGGGACTCCAGGCGCCCGCCACCACACCCGGCTAATTTTTTGTATTTTTAGTAGAGATGGGGTTTCACCATGTTAGCCAGAATGGTCTGGATCTCCTGACCTCGTGATCCGCCTGCCTCGGCCTCCCAAAGTGCTGGGATTAGAGGCGTGAGCCACCGAGCCCGGCCCATGGTCCCCTCTTTGACAATGCAAACTGACAATCAAAATATTTCTCTTCTTGGGAACCATATTACACAGATAGTTAACACTGTCAAGCTACTGTCATTTCATGCATTTTTATCTTCTTGGTAATATTACAAAGTTCTTTAAATTCAGGGGTAAACATAGTCTGCATTTTCTATATCTAGAACTATGATAATTCTAGGTTTGTTGCAAGAATGATGAAAAATATATATTAAATGAATGAAAATTCAAGAATATTAAGAATATTGACAAGGTGGTATATTAAAAATAAATGATCCCAACCAAGAAAACCAATGAGAAAACTATATCATGCTACTTAGGTCTCTAGAGTACATATGGGATAGGCACAGGAAAGACACAGAAATGCAGAGATTCATGATAAAGAAATTCAAGTAGTTGTTGAATTACTAAATTAATATTTGAAACTCAATACATGCATAAATTAACTGTTAGAAACTACTGGGTTTGGTTGCATTTATATGCTCAATACAAAAGAATTTACAGTATGTCAATTTAAAATAAAAAGTCCCAATTGTGTTCTCTTTCTCTAACAGTTTTTGTCTGTTAACATTAACAGACAAAATTTGTCTGTTAAATTAACATTCTTGTCAATGTTTAATTTAGGTATATAATTGGCTTAAAGTTCTCTTCACGTTGTTGAAGGATTTCTCTATGGTACTCAAGCATCCCTCAATAACATGGACCAATCAAGCCACGCACAAAAGCTAACCAAAGCTTTCTCTCAGGGAAAGGCTTCCTTACTTCCTGCCTCAACTGAGTCACCTTCAGCTGATACATTTCCATCTTCCTCACCTTTCTACAAATGCAATTAACAGTATAGTTTCCATTAAACAAGAAAACTCACAAAAATATTATGTTTCATTTAATGTGTGTAAGAAGATATGAAGAATCAACTGCTACTTCATTTTAGCTATTAGAGACATACTATATGACTTTTCTAGAGGTATTTTAAAGAATTAAGAATTTTAAAAACACTCTTTTTATTTTAAAACATAATGATTGCAGTCAAGTTACTTGTGCTGATGAGAGAGATAAAGAAATGCAGCCAACTAAGACTTTTAAACCTAAGTATAATCAGTACTCCTGTCTGTCTTTCCTATGAAGAATGGCTCAGAGCAAATTTTAAGTATTCTGGTAAACACAAATAAGGCAGTTCTTTTATTTATCTTATTTCTGTTCTTATGAAGGTATTCATGACAATGATATAGAACAAACTTGGAAAAGGAAAACATGAGCAGATTATAAATAATCACACCAAACAGTCAGGTATCAAATCACCGACAGGCATCCTATCACGGCTGAGAAACAGGAGAAAAAGATAAAGGAATGGCCATATTCATGGCCAGCCCCACCTGTGAAAATGCAAGCCTCAAGAGGGAAGAAATGTAAACAACAGATCTAGTTTTGTTAGCTTGAATTACTGAGGTTCTATTCACATTACAAGGCTTTTTGGGCCCTTCCACATCCAGGGTGCCTCGCCTTGGATCTCTCTGAGCCCTCCAGGAATGTTTAACAGCCCAGTGACCCATGTCCTGACTATCTCTTCACTTGAGAAGAGAAAGTTAAAACTTTTGCTCAGTTACCCCTAAGGAATCCCATCCCCTTTAGTTCTTAGTTCTTGTGTCCCACCCATTGTCTAGTTTTTCCTCAGTGAGACAACTGGCAGTGACATTAACAAGCCCCTGCCCCTGAAACCAGGAGACTGGTAGTCAGTGAAGAAATGGACCTTGGTGACCTGAGATCCCCAGTACCATCACTGTCTTCAGACTCAAGGAGTGAGGGGTTAGAAATCCCTGTCCCCTGGACTTATGCTTTTCTATCACAGCCCACACACCTTAGGCCCAGGCTCCCTTATTAAATCACTTTAGTTACACACCTCTCTCTGGTTACACACACATACACCACATAGCTTCTTTGGCTGAGACATCATCATTATCATCATATTTATTGAGGGATTACTGAGTTAAAGCCTTCTTGTCTATAACTTATTTAATCCTCACAACTCTTTGAGGTGAATTCTACCACTAACCCTATTTTATGGGTGCCAAAACTGAGGCACACAAAGAGTAAGTAACTTTCCCAATGTCACACAGTTGGGAAGTGCAGAACCGGGATTCAAATCAAGCAGTCTGATTCTAGAAGCCACATTTTGTTCTGTGCCCAGTATTACCTGCCATTCCCACCCCTGGCTTGCACATCCCAGTCAGAGAGAGGAAGAAGCTACCACAAAACCCATGGAGACCTGGTGACTTGCCCAAGGTCAAGAAGAGATGGCAAGAAATTAGTTCACATGGCATTCATGTGAATTACCCCTGTAATAGGCAGCATATGGTGACTTGGTCTCAGTTTTTGGCAGAGGTCTGGCAGAGAATACTCAAAGGACTCTGTCTCTCCAGAATCTCTCTGGATGAGCTCTGTGGAGTTTGGTATATCAAGCCACAGAGACATCTTCCTCATCCATCCTCCACATTAGCAGTCAGCCCTGCTTCCTTACTAAGCTTTAAATTCCCTTTGTATAGGAGCCAGCTCTGGCTTTGTCTTGCTGGGTAAGAGCCTGCTCTCACTTTAGCCTGATGTCCCAATGTCTTCTGTGTCTAGTGTTTATTTTTCAGATATAAGGATTGCTGAAACCATTCTAGATGAACTTCTGAGAGTCTGGAGTGCGTCTGGAGACCATATTGGATATAATAGCAAGTGGTTTCTACAATATCTACTGGATCAGAGAGTGTATTTTTGGGCTGAAGCTTATGCATTTTCTGTGCCATCTTGCAATTAAAATGGAAAGTAATTATCCAGTTCTAAAATGTGGATGAACTAAAAATTATACTGTAATATTTCCCCATAAG
This sequence comes from Homo sapiens, assembly GCF_000001405.40. NCBI lineage: Eukaryota > Metazoa > Chordata > Mammalia > Primates > Hominidae > Homo > Homo sapiens. Next base: position 18,138,916 of record NC_000003.12, on the reverse strand, counting down.
ACGAAGGGGGTAATAGAACTACGCTGATTCCATTTATTTTTAATGGCCCATCAAAGATGACAGGATTTGCCATTTTGTAAGAAACCATCTGACTCATCTTGAACTTCAGTGAATCCAGTGCCTAATTCTATGTGACATGTCTGGTGGTGCCTTATATTTTTGCAAAAATAAAATCCCTCTGATTAAAATTTCACACCTAGCTGAGGACCATGAAACTCTGATTACCTGGTCCAGTCCTGGCCCAGCATTGCCAAAAGGTTTACAAACCTCAGTACAACTTGAGGGGAACTTGGCCTAGGCTTCAAGTTAGTGGAATCATTCAAAGCCCAAGGCATTTGCCAGGTGGCTGTTTCCCTGCCCTGTGTCAGCAGCTCTAAATTAGGCACATGCTCTTTAAACCAGCCATGAAAATGATTGGCCAATATAGCCAGAACCCAAAGGAAATATGATCAGGCTGGCCGTGACTGAGGCTAAGGGCATAAAAGAAGTTCATCATTCCTCTCCTTTGTCATTCTCCATGGGTTTGAGGAGAGAAAGCAAAGTTTATTCTCTGAAAGCAGATGCTAGAGTTCCAGTGACATTGAAAGAAACAGAAAAAATTGCAAAAGCCCAGATTTGCAAATGTTGGTGTTATGAAATAGAGGCAGGGGCAATCTTTAGGCTAATGATATTATAAAATTGTTTGTAAAGCCTGGGGCTTAAACATCTCTAGTGCCATAACTAGCTACTGTTTTAAAAAGGACATTTGGTTCACATTTGCATCTTTGAGATAAAGATTTTTATGTCAGAAGTTCAGCCCTCTGGACAGCGTAAAATCTTAAGAAATACTGTCTGGGTTTTACGAATTGTCCACAAACTTAGTGTTTGGTTTTTGAAGATGGTTTGTGGCCCAGGCTCCCATGTGACCTCACCCTCCAAAGGTTAAGGATGCAGTCTAAAGAATTATCCATAAGTTTAAAGCCTTCTAAAAGTTATTAATGTTCTCAACTTGTATAACCTTGTCTATGCTACCTACATGCTATATAAAACAGTGTTTTCTCATGTTTGTTCTTGAATTCTTGCTAGTTTCAAGCAGGTTCACTAGTTTTCTAATTACTATAGTTGGTGAACAAGTTCTATACTCACTTCTTTTGATTAGATATATTTCAATCATTTCCAAGCTCAGATTGTGGTGGCAAATATGAAAGATGAATTGATATCTGTGAGATGTCAGTGAGAATACCCCAAAAACTATGCAGAAAAAATATGGGGAGGGGTTGAACTGAGAGAGTAGCACAAGGTTAGAAGAGGGGGGTAAAAGGGATCTATATTGTAGCCCTAAAATCATTACAGTTTATCTATTAAACCTCAAAGAAGAATAAAAACTTTCTGAGACCTTTTGGAACTATCTAGAGATCCTTAGCAGAAGTCATGAGTGCTGAGAAAGAAGTAATGAGAGAAAGCAAGAGGTGGAATCTAGGACAGAAGCTTGCTAGCGAAAAATCTAGAATTTGGCAGAGTCATTTGAAAGGATATGATTGAAGAACACAGCAAATGGAAGGGGTTCATTTAAAAATATTTGGCACATCCTGATCTGAACAAGGACATAACAAAAGAAGAGGCACACGAAATATAGATAGAGACGTAAATAGCGTGTAGGACCAAGGTCGAGGCTGGGCCAATTTTGGAAAATAAGCATTAGATGCTACTGCAAGGCACTGACAGGGTCCCCGAGAATTAGGGATGCATTAGACCACCTGACAGATGCATGGAGGTGTGACCCACACGAGTCCCAGAAATGAACAGAAGAAGCAAAAAAAAAAAAAAAAAAAAAAAAGAGCAACTGATGACTTTAAAATTAGAAAAACTAAATTTGGGCTTATTATACCCAAGAGGAATATAGCCTGATGCACAATTTATGCAAATTGATAAAGCTGATTACACAAATTAGCCAAGGCTTTGGCTTGTTTTTTCTCTGGTCAATAAGTCCCACCCCCCTCCCTCCTTTTTTCAAACTCAGTCTATCACTATTGGCATTTACAACAAACCATCTTGTTACTTGTGATGGCCAATTACTTGAAAACACTGAATGGAAATAGTTTCTTATTTCAGGCTCTAGGCCTGGACTTGTAGGACGCTGAATGAGCAGGACAGATTAGAATAACTAGCTCTCCTATAATAGTGACATAGTTAATTTAACATAGCCCAAAATCAACTCTCAGGAGATTTTCCATTCAGATAACCCTCAACAAAACTCCATCTGAGTTTTACTCAACAGAATGCAACACATTATTTGTGAAGTATTATTAATATGCATCTCAGCCAATCCTCAGAGTTATCCTAGGAAGAAGAATCTATGGACATAATATAAATGTGAGAAACTAAGTTTTGGTAAAATTAAGTAACCTTCCTGATATGGTTTGGCTGTGCCCCCATCCAAATCTCATCTTGAATTCCCACATTTTGTGGGAGGGGCCAAGTGGGAGGTAACTGAATTGTGGGGGTGGGTTTTTCCCATGCTGTTCTCGTGATGGTGAGTGAGTCTCATGAGATCTGATAGTTCTATAAAGGGGAGTTCCCCTACACAAGCTCCCTCTCTCTTTGCCTGCTGCCATCCGTGTAAGATGTGACTTGGTCTTCGTTGCCTTCCACCATGATTGTAAGCCTTCCCCAGCCACGTGGAACTCTAAATCCAATTAAACCTCTTTCTTTTGTAAATTGCCCAGTCTCCGGTATGCCTTTATCAGCAGTGTGAAAACAGACTAATACACTTCCCAAGGTCACGGAGTCAGTAGGGAATAGAACTAGGACTGAAATCCAAGTCCGCACTCCTCTATCAAAAAGGGGTTATCACTTATATCAGTTATCTTGGCTCAAAAAGTTGAATTGAATTTTCTGGCTCAAGCACTCACCCTAGTGTGTGTAGTTTTAGAGAGTGAAAATACACTACATGATGGGCAGGAAGGCTCCCTGCAAGTCTTCTGGTGAGGGTGGTGTGCTACAGTGTTCAGGAACCTAGGGTTAGAGTCCTGCTACTTAGGTATCTGTATGGATCATGAAAAGAAAGTTAATATCTCTCAATCCCAAGTTTCTCATCCATACAATGAGGATACTATCATACGGTATCTTCCTTATGAATTGTGTGAAGGCTAAATGAAAAAAATTAAAGCACGTAAAACACAATGCCTGACCCAGAGAAATCAGTCAATAAATCATTAACTACTAGGACATTCTTAGTGACAGAGAGAACCCATGTGTTATTCAACAAACCACTCCTGTAGTCCTAAGTAGCAGCTACTATTCATGTATTAACTCATCGAATCCTTACAACCACTCTATATGAGGTAAGCATTATTACTAGGCCCATTTTACAGTGGAGGAAATGGAACTTTGGGTAAGTTACATGCCTATGGCCACAGACCTGGTGCAGGGCAGGCAACGGCCAGCAGCTGGCCCTCACTTCATCAGTTTATGGCAGCGCTGTTCTATTCAATCACTCTGCTACCCACGGAAGCCTGTAACTACAGACTGCTGCTCCTTCTTCCCTGCTTTGCTTAGTTTCCACATGGATTTAAGCAGCTATTAGAAGCCAATCTATCCTCCAGAAAAGTACAGCCCACTATTAATAAAACAGAAGCCATGTGACCAATGATCAGGATTCTAACAACAAGCAGAAACATGCACTCTGACAGCCTTAAAAAGATAAATATTCCCAGACAGAAATCCCTGATCTCCCAGTGACTCATTTTATTCTACTTTCTTCTCTTATATTTAGAGCATTTTCTTCGACGAGGCATACCATTTCCCATGAATGAAAATGGAGAAAGTAACAAGGAAAGGGAATCCCATCTAAAAAAAATAAAAGCTCTGTCTTGTTCTTTCCTCTTCAACCAGCCCACATGCCAGCTGTGAGCTTTGATGGCTTAATAGGACTTCCCCACGGCCAAAGGACAAAAGAACTGTCTGTCAATGTGGTGGGATCAGTATTGCCACCAAGGTGCAGATTTAATTTCTTCAGTTTGGTGACATGTGACTGATGATGAGGTCACCAAGACAAGGAAGAAAGTTGGGAGGAAAAATGAAACACCCTGAGTATTAGTAAGAGATTTAAATAAAAATATATTTCCTTCTTAGAGGGTTGTTCCTTATGAAGTATTCTCAGGCCATTTACTAAAGCATTTGTAAAAATCTACCTAGTAAATAGAGACCACTTATTGTTTCTCACTGTCACTGTTCTTAGCAGTGGTAATTTTTCCAAAAAAAACAATTAGCAACAATTGGGACATATTTTTAAATCATAGGATACATGAGGAAATACTGCATATGTGAAATACAAAGATGAATCATTGAGAAAAGATGTTGCTGTACTACATAGAGAAATGACTCAAAGTGGGAAAGGCAAAAGCCTTGATAAGAATTTATCTCCATGCAAAGAGAAGAACCGAAAAGCAAAAGTAGAAAGAGGGTCTTCTGGTATACAATTATAGCTTTGGACATAAAGCAAGACACCAGAATTATACATTAATATTAACAGGACAATAGCTTTTCCTTCCTTTTAATTATTGTGTGAATACTTCTGTAGAACCAGATGACTGCACTTAGAATAACACTGAGATCTGAAGGAGTGCACCGGGAGAGCAACAAAAGATTCTGAGGAGTCTGAGGTCCTAAATTACTAACAGACAACATTAATGGAATACTTACCTTACTACTTACAAATATTAATGAGTACTTAACGTAAGCTTGAGTAGATATAGGAAATAACATAATTCCAGGTATTACCAAGAGAATAGATACACAAAGGTGAACATCCTTTCTCTCACATTCTTGCTAAAAGTTTCCTAGTCTTTTCTTCCCATGCACACTAATATGAAGGGGCCAAATTTAAAATCCTATGAATTTGTTTCACCAAACTGTAGAGGAAGATGGCAGACAAAGTAAACAGGGGAATTATAACATCTCAAGACTTCCATTGAATTTTCAGAGGTGAATCCTCTGAAGCAAACTACCAGTGTGGCATTTAGAAGGGTCTGTTTGTTAATTTTCTCTATTCATACGCCCCACTGCTCGGCACCTATACTATTCTCAATGAAGTTGGCCATGACCTCCACGTCACTACAACCAATGGGCTGTTTCACTCTCAAATTCCTTGATCACTCAGTAATAGTCAACAGCATGGACTGTTGTTCCCCTGGCATCCATAAGACCACACTCTCTTGACTTTCCTCCTACCTATCTAGATACTTCTCCTTAGTATATTCTCATCCTCTTCTACCCAGCTTTCAATTTCAGAGTTTCTCAAGGCTTGATCCTGGAGCTTCCTGCCTTCTTACTATCAACTCTCTTCCTCAGGGAGCTATTGATGTCCATGGCTTCTATTACTCTCTATATACCTATGACTCCCTGAGGTACATCTCCAGCTCAGATATCTTCCAGTCTTCACTTGGATGTCTCAAAGGCACTTACACTAAGCCAAACTCATGGTCTTTCCCCTCATCTTGAACCTTCTCTCATATTTCTGAACTCAGTCAATAACACGTCCATTTACATAGTTGCAGAGGCCATAAACAAGTCTATTTCTCATTATCCATTAATTTCATTCTTAAAATATTACTAGGGCCTTTCCCTTCTTGATTTCCACTGTGACAACTTTCATTTAAGCCTCTTTCACATTTCATCTGAAATATCTTTCTAATTTATCACTCCTTATCTTCCCTTGAGGCCCTTGCATGCATTCTCCCTTTAGCAGTCAGGGATATTCTATGAATATGGAAATTTGATCTGGGTTCTCTCTTAAAGGCCTTTAAACTTTCTCATTTTTCTGAGGATTAAAAACTCCCATCTTTAACATGGCCTAAACATGAAGGCCTGCAAAATAGGGGCAGGTTATCTTTACTGCATCCCTGCAATTTCCTGCTTCAACCACACTTGCCTCTTTTCTGCTCTTCCAAAGGGCCATATTCCTACCTGCTTTGGTGCCTTGTACATGCCTGGGCCTTTTCTCCTATTCAGCCTTCAGAGTTCAATGCCACGTTATATCCTCAATAAAGGATTTCCTGACCTCTCAGCCTAGGTCAAGTCTTTTTTTTAGATGATTATTTAGCCTGTGAACTTTTGCCTCATAACACTTATCATACGTTTGCTTATCTATCTATCTCATATGCACTTAATGTGGTCAATAAATGGATGCTCATCTTAGTGAACATTGGCCCAAAGTTTCCGACCAGGCAACCTGGGTAGTAAGCAACATTGTAGGGCATCTGTGATAATTACTGTGGTAGATTAATTGACAGCCCAATTAATAACTTCCCTGTATTCACACCCTTCACAACGTGACTTTGCAAATCATTCCATCAAGTATTAGAGTTGATTTCCCTACCTTTGAATGGGGACTGGGCTTGAGATTTGCTTTGGTGAAAGAATGAATGGGGGAAGAAGTGACAGGGTGCCAATTCCAAGCCTAGGCCTCAAGAGCCTTTGCATGCTTTCACTCACTCATTCTTTGGACCTCTGCTTTTGCCATGTGATCAATACCAGGATTGTTTATCAGATGATGAGAGATCCTGTAAAGCAGATCCTAGCCTTCCTAGCTAAGGTTTTCTTAGACTATGAAGCTTCTACCTAACCCACCATCTGACCACAGACCCATAAGCAAGTCCAGACACACTCAGCCAAACCTGGCACAGATTAGCTGAACTGCTCAGCTAAAATATGGACCCATTAGAAACAATAAATGGTGTTTTAGCCACTGACTTTTGGGGTGATTTGTTACACAGTAATAGATAAAGGATTCAGCTACCAACTAAAAGTTTCTCTATAATGTACACTTTATCCAAGGAAATGTATTTGAAGCCTCAAATGTTTAGCTATCAACAAATACCAGTGCCTTCTTTTCCTTTCCTTCTTATCTGGCTGGGTAAATGTATACATATTTTTACAGGACAGTGAATTCATCACCAAATATAGCCCTCTGAAAGGAATATAGGTGAAAGTCACTCCATATTTACAGAGAAATTTTATCAGACAAAAGCATCAACAGAAAAGACATGTTTAGTCTCCATTAACTACACAGCTGGACATTCTGGCTGGTCTGGGAGTTCAGCCTTTATTGGTGGGAGGCAATGTGTCAATTCTTCACCTGTATGTCCATCGGCTTTTGGGTCTTGAGGGCCATTGAGTGGAGTCTGATTATAAATTTGCTGCCTTATATCTACTGTATCCCCAAATCTACAGAGAAATAGAGAAATTTCTTGGCAGAAAAGAGAATAGAATATTGATACAGTCATGTGACAATAAAATATATCTAAAGGACAAGTGTGAATGCACCCTTGACCAAATAGTGGGAGGGGGCAGCAGACTCTGAGGGAACTCTCAATTGGTCCTGTCTAAGGGTTAGAGGTGACTCTGGTTTTAAATGCAGCCTTTAATATGCATCAGATTCCATTCTGACAGACTCATCCAGTTACTGGAGTATACCTTGGAGTAAATAGCTCCATGTGCATATATATATTGAAAGAGATAAACAACAAATTATAAATAGAATAAAAACTTAAGGATGGAAAATAAAACATCAACATTTAGAAGGAAATATGGGAGAATTTAGTTAGAATGTTATGTTAGGACATTATCTCCTAAACAAAATGCAAAATTTATAAAATCATAAAGGAAAAGATTCATATATTTGGCTGCATGAAAATTCTAAATTCTGTTCAGTAAAATTACCACATACAAAACTAACAAAAGAAAAGCCATAGACTGTCACACACACATATATAAACACACACACACACACGGAATCTAAATATATGGAAAAGGATCAGTATTCAAAATATACAAAGAATTCTTCCAAATCAATCAGAAAAAGCCAAGTACTCCCAGTGAAAAAATGTGCAGAGAATATTAATAGGAAATTCACACGATAAGAAATCTAAATGATTCACAAAACATAGGAGAAGATATTCAATCTCACTAAATGATTTGTCCACTTTATCTATCTGTTGGCAAAATTTTTAAGTCTGACATTATCAGGTGTTGAGCAGATTGTGGAAAAGTACAAACTATCATAAACTACCAATGGGCATATAAATCTATTGAGCCACTTTGGAGAGTAGTCTAGCAATGACTAGCACAATCCAGCAATTCCACTTCTGGCTATAAATTCTTTTTAAAAACTGTATTGCACATGTACAGAACAAAAAGTTCATCACATCATTGTTTCTAAAAAGAAAAAAAAAGAAATCTAAAATGTCCATCATTAAAGTGTGAGCGAATTAAGTTGCTGTGTTTGTATATAATGAAGTACTATATGGCAATTAAAATAATTTACATTATGTGTATGAATATGGCTAAATCTCTGAAAAGCATAATGTGGAGTGAAAAATACAAATTGCAGTTTCATGCATATGTAAAATACTATATATGAGAAAAATATATACATGTCTAATTTAAATATAACAAATGTATGTGAATAATAAACATAGCACCCATGATTGTGGCTGCCTTTGAGATTGAGAAAGAAGATAACAATGTCAGAATATATTTTAGAAAGACTTAACTGAATCTGGATTGTCTTCATTCTTTCATGAAAAATGAAAAAGATTGAAGCAAAAAAAAGAATACTGGAATATGTTAGTTCTACGTGATAATACATTGATATTTAACTTGTGTTTCTCTATAGTTTTCTGTATTTTAAAAATATTTAATCTTATTGTACAAGAACTTATTAAGCACTGATTAAGTGACAAAAAAAAAAGAAAAGAAAAAAGCAAGAAAAAAAGAACTCAGTTAGCTTCAGGTCCCTGTCTGCTCCGAGAAGTGTTCTGCAAAGTTACAAATGATGCCCGTGCATAAAGAGTTTCATGGTCAACAGAAATTAACATGAAGACCCAGGCTTGGCCTTCAGAGAGCTCCCGCTCCACGGGAAGAACTGACTCAGTTGTGTGTCTATGTAGCAGGTGACCAAAAGCTTCCCAAACTTCCATTTCTAGTAAACTAGGTGCACGGAACTCTGTTTTCACTTTCCTTTACTCCTTTCTGCCACACCTTGCAAGAGCTTCTTAAATTGTGAAATTTCTGACATTCATTTCTGTGAGTATTCTACAAAAGTAAGGATATTTTTGTCATCTTCCAAATGTCCAACACCTTTCTGGTTTTCTTTTTATATGGCTTCTAGATAGATTAACTTTTTTCTACCACGCTGTCTGAAAAGGTTACCATTTCAAAAGCTTTATTCAAGAAGGGTTGTGATAAAAGTGCCCTAAATTTCCACCCTATTGGATTGAGGATGTTGGATAGAAGTCTGAAAAATAGAAATATAGAAGCCAAAAAGAACTTTTTAAAAGGAGTGATAGAAAACCCAGTAGCCTAGTGAAGATCAATAGTACAGTGAAGACAAATGATCCAAGAGGCCAAGTTCACCTTTCCTCCTGGCATCCCTGGTATGTTCCAGGAAGAAAATCGGTACTGCTGAAGAATGGGATTGCCCGTAAATATTTCTTTAAAGCTGAAAGATATGGGGGAGACAGTGTCTTATTTTCACTTTCCCCTGAACTCTCCCCATCCATGTTCAACAGGAGTAGCTGGTGAAAGTGGGTATCAATGTTGCTTATTGGAGATGTTGTAAAGGGGACTCCAGCTTGGAAGGAAGGTTGGATTAGATCACCTCACTGCTTCCTTCTAAATCCATGCTTCTGATCCTAGAACAGGATGTTGCTGACTGAGACTCTGCAGGCTGGAAGCCTCAGAAAATGCACTCGGGTGGGGTGCTGAAAGCAAGTGGAATCTGAGGGAATTTATTTGGGCATTTACCCTGGGACCGCTTTGGAACCAAAGCGAGAGGCTGAGGAAGAGGGGAAAATGACAAGGAAACAATTTCTGAATGTGTGCAGAATCCAGAAAACATGTTTTACTATGTCCTCAGCTGAATTTTTGTCTCCCACTTTCCCTATGCCAAAAATGACCTCACTATATTCTTCACAGAATGAGGCTCATGGTTAGAAGTCTCTTTATACACAACAATAATTTTAGAATGTGATACATGAAGGAAAGCTATCCACCACATTATAGAAAATCCATGGCTTCCCTGTATCTATCAGGTAAAAGAAGTTACCTGAAATGCTCTGTCCTCTTCCTCCTCAGGGGTCAACAACTCACCCAACCCCTACAGCCCTGTCAAGGAGATCACATACAAAACCCACATGCCAGCCTATTTTTCTCCATTAAGCAAAATATCATCATGACATTCACTGAAAAAAGGGGTAAAGGAAGTCTGTGTTTCAGATTTTGTTTCAGTCTTCTGGAATCAAACAAAATAACCCACATAACGGCCTCTGGGGCAAAAAGTGTGCAAAAATGAAGGTTTTAGGAAAACTCCAAATTGGATCAGGCCTGAGACTTAAACTATATACCGTGATTCTTTGGTATTGTTTGGTTTCATCATCTGTCTCCCACTTTGCCCAACTTTTATCAGACAAGACAGGAAGCAGGCACTCTTTATTCTGTATGCACAGTAGCTCTCTCAAAAACATCTTTATTCAGCTTCTTCGCTAATGTCTCCGGCAAAGGCATCAACATGCTTTGTGCAAAATGAATTACTGCTAATTAAAAATCAACAGAAATGAGCATGCAACACTCTGTGCCCCATTAATATTTTAACCAGCAGCATGAGTAATTAAAGCTGCGCTAATTTTTTCCTCTCTCGCACAGCATCTATAACCAGTCAATAAATTACATAAAAAGTACAGGTGTGTTTCGCTGTCAGAGGCATAATATAATGATAAATCGACATCATTTCTCATACTTAACGGTCCCCCATTTGGTGCCAACTAAGAACTTGCTGTTATCTTTGCATTTGTAAATGACACACACGCATGCCACACACACACACACACACACACACAAAATACTAAAAGGGAAGGCCATACGCCAGTACTGGCCCAAGTTCATGGGCTTCAGTTTGTACTTCAAAAGAGGGAAGCTAGTTGTTTGATAAGCAAAGTCTGCTGCCCTATATTTTGTTTCCTCTATTTTTTTTCCTGATGTTCATGAAGAGGGGATATGCTCCCCAGCCCCCAGGAACTATGTCAGAAAGTAAGATGGAGGAAACCATTACCAATTTCTATTATATTTTTCAATGCACATCAAGATTCACACACACACACACACACACACACACAAACACACACACACACACACACACCCTGGTGAGTACAGACCCTAGCCCTCTGCCATTCCCCAGTTCACTAGGCAAACCACTTCTGCTTTTTCCATTTCAATGATTACTCTTTGTAAAGCTTTCTCTTTCAAAAAAAAAAAACCCGATATGTACAGATGTTAAGTGTTGCTCTTTTTTCTTCCATAGAAAACATTAAGAAGTTGTTATTTACTGCTTCCTTTGGAAAGGTTCTAAATTATTTATCCCTCAGTAGTTCTCACTCTTCTTTTCCCAGTTACATTCCTCTTTCTTAGGACCCCTCTTGCCCTCCTTCCACTGGCATCAGCACCACACAAGCCCCCAGGTTGTGCCTAAGAAAAGCACTACCTGTTTCAGGCCTTTCAGAAGGCAGCCAGTAGGTCCTGCTGTAGCTCTACATTTGCCTTCGTTGGTGAAGAGCTAGAGCTCCAACACGGCTTTCTCTAAGAGGCTGACTGTGAATGCAATTCTGAAGGATGGATTCAGCAATTCTGGGCATCCTACAATGTGTCTTCACTTTTCTGCTAAAAAATGAATGTCAGCAGACAGGATGAGAGAGACCATTTTTAATTCAGTATTACTTAAGTCGAAAATACGTCCCTCAATCTTTCCTCCTCTAAGTAGCTTTTTTATTTTTACTAATTAAACAATTGTTTGCTTTGGAGAAGCAGTAAAATACGTTGAGAGTACTTTTAGCCTAAGGCAACTAGATGCCCCAGATATATCAGGCCAGTACCATCTTTTTAATGGACTTTCTTGCTGTCTGCTGCAAACAATCTGGGCAGTGAGATGCTCCAGCTCTCCTGGTCTGTTTCCCCTCCACCCTGTTGCCGTTCCAATGGCCCGGACTCCTTCATGCCTCACATCTGCACCATTAGGCCCCAGAAAGGTGGGCAAGGGGCCCAGTGGCCACAAAACCACTTCTACTCACTGGCAATACTTCAACAACCCTGCTGCCTGCATCACAAAAATCTTCGATGATGTTCAGTTCACAAATCTGGTTAGCTTATTTTAGCCAACTGTACTATCCACAAAAATTAAGGCAATTATTGTTTGCTTTAGGAGGAGTTTGATCTGACAGTCCATTCTGCTCAGAAATTTTGTTTCCCATTATGGTGTGATGATTTTATTTCTCTCTAGCTCTCTCTCTTTTTAAAGATGTGTGTGATTGCTCAGACCCACAGACATACAACATACAAAGGTATAAATTTTACAAGTTAAATACAATTACTTCTATCCAGAATTCTACTAATGTTTGTTAATGACTTGACCTGTCTAAAATACATAGGAGGTAGTTTAAGGTGCGAGAAGGAACAGCAGTAAACAGAGGGGGAAGCTGAGCTCCAACCCTCGGTAATATCAATCACCCTCTCTCCCATAACTCCAAGTGCCAAAGGAAATACAGGAAATCTATGAAAGCTATTCTGCTTTTTTTCTCTGGGAAAATTCTATTTAAGTGGCAAGAGGGGAAAAAGGAAACAAGGAAGGAAGGAGGGGAGGAAGGAAGGAATGAAGGGAGGGAAGGAGGGAGGGAAAGAGGGAGAAGAAGGGGAGGAAAGAAAACACACAAAGCACACATAAGTGCCTCTCAAAATGTGAAAGATTTCTGTTTAATTTTGTTTAAGTGTTCTGTGCTATCAGTTGCTGCTTGAATTAAATGAAAAGCAATTTCAGCGGTAAGCTGAGCCCTTAAATGTAAGAAATAATTTCCACTTTTCCTCAGCTCCAATCCTAAATTAGAAGAGACCCAATAGCTCCAATGAGGCAAAGGTGGAGGTGGGGTGTTGGTTTCCACTGGCCCACCTCCTCAGTGGTCCTCTGGGAAACACTCTTAATAATAGCTCAAGGGCTGAATGGAAAGGAGACATCAAAGCCCATATTTGAGAATCACGAATCTTTCCTCTGTGATTCTTAAAAATATGCTACAGAAAGAGCTTTGACATTGCCTGAAAGAGCCATGTGCTTTTTAAAATCGTGAATTGGATTCTACACTATATCTTTGTTAGCATTTTTTTCACTTAAAAGTGTTTTAAATGAATTCCTCTTGCAGAATTTTATTCTTCCTTTGGATGCTCAATTTTCTAAGAAAGAAAGTAAATCCTGCCAACTTTTCGTTACACATGATAATGAGAGAGGGACATCATGGGCAAGTTACATTTATAAATAATCCTAAATTCCCCTTCTATGCAATGGTTTGAGCAAAAATTTGATCAAAATTGTTTTTAAAAACGTTTTAAAGAGAGAAGATAATAGTTCTATTTGTAGTTCCACTTATTTTTTTCTGCAGGGCTAACAGAAATAACCGTGAGGAGTGAAATGTTAAAAAGACAATTAAAAAATTGTTAATCAATGTTTATAGAAGGTCACTGCTTTTAGAAATCCTGGAGAAATGGTCACCATCATCAGAAATACTGTCAATATCTTTGACTTGTAAGATATGCTATAGTCAAGTTGTGCATCAAAAGCAATTGAAACAGATAAGAGTGTAATTAATTCTGTCTAAGAGTTGGAGGGGGAGACAAAGAGTGGAGAATGAGTATAAAAAATAGTACACAAGAGTTATAAAAGGTTTTCTCAAAAAGCTTAGATTCAATGGGGAAGAAAAAAGTAATGTGCATGAACAGATAGGCATGGTCCTACTGATCAGAAATATGGTCATCTTAGGCTCTCCTCTCTCTCTCCCCCATATTTAGTCTTTTACTAAACTCTGTCTCTTCTACCACCTTAACATCTCTTGAACTTGTCACTCCTCTCCCTTTTTGCTGCCATGCTATTATTTCAGGCCCCTGTTTCCCCTGACCTGGTGGTCAGAATAGTCTAAGTCATGCAGTGATAACAAATAACCCCAAAATCTCCGTGGCTTAACACAAATTTCTTATGTATACGACATATCCAGCATGCATCACCTGGAGCTCTGTTTATCATAACCACTCAGGGACCCTGGCTAAGTTCCTAATGGAAGCTCCATTATCACCAAGTTAGGAGCAAAAAAACAAGATGAATCATGCACTGGCTCTTAAAATTTCCACCCAGAAATGACACATGACACCTCAGCTAACATTTCATTAGCTAAAGCGAGTCACACAGCTACACCCAGCCTCGCAGGGAGCAGAGCAATCATGCCATGTGCCCAAAAGAAAGAAAGCTAGAAATATTTGTGGTTGCACAGCATGAATAACTACCACATCTGCTTTAACTGAATAGCCCCTTAACTGGTCTTCCAGCTTCCGGCCCCACCTCCTCCAATGCATCCTCCACACTGACCTTTCTTAAATTCAAATACGATTATCTAAGCATATTATCACTCTGATTAAAAATGTTCACTGCCACATATATCACTTGAGATGAAGCTAAACTTGTTTCCCATGTTGAGCAAGCCAGTTTAGATCTGGCCTTGGGCTCACTTACAGTTTCTTCCTCGTCCACCACCACTATGGAAAGCATCCCAGTGTGTACCCAGTGTACCATGTACTCCAGCCATATAGAAATATAAAAGTGACATATCTTTGTTACCTTTGCACATGCTCTCCCTAAGCCTAGAATGACTCCCAACCTATCCCATCCCTTTCCTCTTAAAGAAGACATCCACTAAGACTCATCTAAAATGTGATATTCTCTGGACCACTTCCCTGACATCAAAGGTTGAATTACATGTTTTTTCTCTGCTCATATGGTGCCACCTATATACCTCTTTTCATGCCTTTTTTGTGTGAGAGTTACTACTTACCTATTCAGTTTCTCTACCAATAGATTTTGAGCCCTCCAAAAGGAAATGGACTCTTTTTATGGCAAGGGCCTGGCTTATAATTGGTTATTTGAAAATGTTTATTGGGTAAGTAAAGTAAAGCACAAATACAAAGTCAACTTCTAAGCTCCAGTACATATTCTAAAGTCTATGGGAATACCGAGTAAATGAAACACTAGTCTCCATCCAAAAGTATATTCATTTTCTCTTATTTGCACATATGTATGTGTTACAATGCTGAATCATTGAGAATAATTAATGCACTTTCTCTTTTGTATTTTCAAGTACAGGTCCTTCATTTCTATTGACTTGGGACATCTGTCTTCCTAGGGAGAAGATTAGAAAGGCTGAACATGGAATATGAAAAGGAAATAAGGTAATTTTCAGTTTCTGACATTCAAATACACTGTATAAGATTTTGTGGCAAGACAATAATCCTGCAAGCTAGTCTCTTATATTAAGAAAAATTGTCCAAATTTAGCATATTGAAAGCCAGACTTGGTAGGCTGGAGGGAAGTTCAGACGAGAATAAGAGAAAACGCTTGTCCTCAGGAGTCAGATGAGAAGACACTCCCTGATTTAGTCTCTACAGACTACCTGGAAAGGGAGTGGATTGTTAGACAACTGGGAATAGTACTGAAGGCAGAAAGAGGCTCTTCTCCTTATGCCCCTCACCTCTAACAAACTCTCTAATTAGTGTTCAAAGAGTAGGCCACTTTGCAGATTATTTTCACTAATGTGGAATACAACCACATCCAAGTAAAAGAGGCAACAAGCCATGTGAAAAAGGAAGATCTGACATTTATCCTTCCCAAACCTGTGCTGTATACATGAGACCCAGAAGTAGCTACCATGTTTTCCCAAGGAAGTCATCATAACTAGGTGAAGTGACTGTAGTATGAGCTGTGGAGTGGACCACTGTCTCACTACGTTTTGTGTTGCTCTAAAGGAAAACCTGAGTCTGGGTAATTTTTAAAGAAAATAGGTTTATTTGGCTCACAGTTCTGTAGGCTGCATAAGAAGCATGGTGCCAGTCTCTGCTTCTGGTGAGGGCTCAGGTTGCTTCCACTCATGGCAGAAGGTGAAGGGGCACTGGCCTGTGTAGAGACTACATGGTGGGAGAGGAAGCAAGAGGAAGGTTGAGGAAGCAAGAGGAAGGGAGAGGGGTGGAGGTGCCAGGCTCTTTTTAAACAACCAGTTCTCCTGGGAAACTAATAGTGCAAGAACTCACTCACCCCCACAGCCAAGGTGCAGATTAATATATTCATTAAGGGTCCACCTCCATGACACAAACGCCTCCCATTATACTCCCACCTCAAACATTTGGATCAAATTTCAACAGGCGGTTTGGGGACACAAATGTTCAAACTACAACAACTACCAAGAGCAGCTCTCAGCCAGAGCTCAGAGGGGTTAAAGGTGATCCTAGGTGAGACCAAGTCAGGTATGGCTCACCATCATGAGCACTGTACAAGTCAAAGAGAGGACCATGGTGCAGCAGATTCCAATATCAGAGGCCAACAGGACATTCAGCGGTCTGTGAACATGAGTCATGACCTCAGACATCAATGAACTACAGCCTCAACACACCCAACAGCAGCCTGAAGCACAAAGCTTCTTCCTCTCAGTATTAGGAGGGTGTGTAGTAAGTCTCACATCCCTCCACCCTGTTCAGCTGGATGCTATCAGATAGAGAGGATATTTGGAAAAAAATAATAATTTTAAAGAAACTGATAAAATTATTGCAGCAGTGAAAGCTTTAAGGCAAATTACAAGAAAGAATGGGTAACCCAGTATCTTCTATGTCTTCATCACTGCAGCTCAGATATTTGCCGCTAAACCACAGGTTCCTAGATATTTAGTTAATATTTTTCCTGCCTTCCAATGAGCAGGGGATGTAAAAGACTACATTATTACAAAAAAAGAAATTTTTCTTTGCTGTACATCTGGTTAAATTTACAAACCCACTACATATGTATATGTGTATTTCATTTGGACTTACATGTCTTACAAGAGGAAAATATATTTCAAATGTTTCAATCACATATGTTTTATCCCTTGCAGTCTACACAATACTAGAATCTGGACTTATTGATTGTAAAATTCATTCCAGAACCTTCTAGAATTGTCCTTCCAGAAGGTCACAGTATTCATTTTTAATACCTGTGCTAGAGAGGTCTGGTACTTTCCCAAGTCTGGTTCTCGTCTTCCAGGCACACAGGAAGATGGCATTCCACCAGCTCTTTGTCATGCTGAAGGTCCTGTACGACTGTTTTTGGCCAGTGTGTTGTGGAAAGTGTGGCGTGGTCACTTCTAGCAAAAGAGATGAGCATGACCCTCCAAATGTCTCTTCCTCTGCCCCCGTCACTGAGAAGGCCATATATTTCAGGCGATATATTGGTAGTATAGGTCTCCAAGTTCTGTGTGAAGGAGAGGCCCCAGCTCTCTCATAGGGTACATGTAACATAAGTGAGAAATAAACTTTTGGTATGTTAATTAAGGGAGATTTTGGAGGTATTTGTTACCACAACAAAACCTACACTATCCTGACTAATACACTATATTTCAGTTTCTCAGACTGAAAAATAAAGATACGAACTGGGGTTTTATCAATAAAATGGTATGAATATGGGAACAAAAAGATATTTTAAGCCACTTAAAAGAACAATACAAATAAACTCTGCTCGCAAATATCACAACAAAGAATGGGTAACCCAGTATCTTCTATGTCTTGGTTACTGAAGCTCAGATATTTACCACTAAACCACAGGTTCCTAGACCATCAATGGCTCTTTGCTTCTGTAAGCTTCACTGGCCTCATCCAGATGGCAAGTGTGAATATGATGATAGGAAGCATCATCATATTAAAACAGTACACCTAGCTTCAAAACAGCAAAACAGTGAGATTCCAAATACCAGTGTGTTACTAAAATATGATACTATAGAACAAAGGATGCTATGATAGTCCAACATGTTCCAAAACACTTTTCCTGAGTTATTTTCTTTAGCTAGCTCTGTGTAAAACTATTGCATACTCTCTCAGGAAACATAAAAATGATCTTGAGTGAACTTAAAAGCATGGAACAATCTTTATATATGCTTTTGATTGGGGAAATGAATAAATAAAACACGCTTTAAAAAGAACAATTCACAAAATTAGCAATTCCCAATACATAAGAGTATGTTGGGTGCTGTACCTGTGGCAAAGTTCCAATACAGTGGGATAGTTTGTGGCGCCAGGCTTGGACTTTTTTGTAGCAGAGACATCATCATTATAATCCATTAATAGACAGCTCACTCCATAAATATGTACATAAATTCAAAATCTTAGTGGTGGTATTATTATTCTAATGGAAATATTGTACATCTCAAATCAATAGAGGTGCTGCATTTAATTTGGAATTCAAGTTTCTGTGACAATGTCGGACTGCCTTGAAGAATCCCATTTACTCTGTGGCGTCTTCATCTCTGATAATGGACCTTAGTTTTTTGATTACCTGAAAGCTAATTACTTTTAGGGCCTTGGAGATCAGTAGTCAATCATTTTGCCTTTGTTGGATCTTAGATGTGTTATCCTAGAGTGTATAGTGACCCATGTGCTCATTCTTCATTAATTCCCTCAACATATATTTATTGTTTCCCATGTGACAAAAACTGTACCAAGTGCAGCAGTGAACAAAACAAACAAAAAATGTTTGCTCTCATGGCACTTATGCTATAGCGGGGTATAGGGTTAGAAAGTCAGGGTCAAAGTTTGGCTCTGCTAATCCTCAGAACCTCAGTTTCCTCACTGATAAAACTACGGGGCTGGAGGAAGTTCTCAACCTAAGGCACCGCCTTAGAGGGTGTTTGGAAATACATTAGAAGGTTTCTGTTATAATAATAACTGAAGGATGCTATTGGTATTTAGTGTCAGAGGCCAGGAATGTTAAACATCTTTAAGGCAGGACAGTCTGTCACCAGAAAGTCTAGTTCTACCTAAAAATCCAAAAATGCAAGTGAAACTCCCTTTGAAAACCCCAGATGCTTTCCAAAGCTCTTTCCAGCTCTAACATCATATAAATTTGGACGAATTGGCTTCTATCTCTTCTTGAGAGAAAACAACTAGGTGCTTGCTATCGCAGCGGACACATCTAGGGAAGAGAATCTCTGATATTTCTTCGTTTCTCTTGGATCTTTTAACTGAAAATATAAACCTAGAGCCTTGTGAAAACGAAAACGCAAGCCAAAGACACATTGTCTCATTCCAAGAACAGATTCCCATCAGAAAGGTGTCTGGATTTTTTCCCCAATAAAGTACAGTAAGAGTTTCTTACAACCCTGAGAGAGCATTCTATACCAAAAGAGGCACCCTATTCACACCACAGATACAAGAAGCACACATTAACCTGGAATCTAAGTCCATCCTGAACAGAATTTTGTGGCTTAATTAACCAGATTGATCTCCCCTGCTCTTCCTGAACCACAATAGATAATGTCAGTGTTTTCTTACTATGAGTCTATTTATGGCATCAAATACCTACAAATGAGTTCCGTGATGCTCAAACATATATACCCTTCTCAGGCTGTCCTTCTTTGGAGATTTTGTTTACTTGCTTAGGGGAAAAATAAGAAATGAAATCAGTTGAGGGGAAGGGATGAATATGTGCATTTCTAACTATTCCCAGGTGACGGTAATGCTGCTGATGGCGGTCCCTGGCCCTCAGTTTGAGAACCACAAGTTCAGGCAAACTTTCTTCTAAGTAATTTCTGGGCTGAGTAAATGTCAAAATTGTTCTGTAGCTAGAAAATGCAGAAACTGGTTCCAGAGTTTGACCCTATTTTTGATGTTCAACTTTGGTGCCAAACTTTGACAAATATTGAACTCATAGTTTTCATTCAGGGTGGCTGACGGCCACTAACTACTAAAACAACAACAACAAATTCCATCAGTGGTATCTTTACCCAGCCCAACGAAGAAGCAAGTTTTAGGGGTAACAGCACATATTTCCTGGAGTTCCCACCCTTTAAAAATAGTGCTGCCCACTGGCCGGGCTCGATGGCTCACGCCTGTAATCCCAGCACTTTGGGAGGCCGAGGCGGGCGGATCATGAGGTCAGGAGATTGAGACCATCCTGGCTAACATGGTGAAAACCTGTCTCTACTAAAAATACAAAAAAAAATTAGCCAGGCGTGGTGGCGGGCGCCTGTAGTCCCAGCTACTCGGGAGGCTGAGGCAGGAGAATGGCCTGAACCCAGGAGGCGGAGCTTGCAGTGAGCCGAGATAGCGCCATTGCACTCCAGCCTGGGCGACAGAGGGAAACTCCGCCAAAAAAAAAAAAAAAAAAAAAATAGTGCTCCCCTATCTGTTTCCTAACCCAACTGGATTGGAAGCACTGGATTCAAGCTTAACACACTGGAGTCTGGACATCAAAGGGCAGCTAATAACGAGTGCCAGCACTCCCCACAAACTGATCTCATTCTGGCTGAATTTGACAGTGATGCAGGTTTTTGCAAGGTCATATTGCCCTTCAGGATATTCTGTGCCAGAGGCCATTGACACAGAGCAATATGAACTTCCTAAAGTCAGGATATGCTGTGGAATAGATTGAGAAGACTTGGTACAATGACTTAGGTTAGAGTCTTAACTGGCAGACATTTTTTTCTAACTTTTTTTATTTTATTTTATTTATTATACCTTAAGTTCCAGGGTACATGTGCACAACGTGCAGGTTTGTTACATATGTATACATGTGCCATGTTGATGTGCTGCACCCATTAACTCATCATTTACATTAGACATATCTCCTAATGCTATCCCTCCCCGTTACCCCCACCCCAGGACAGGCTCCGGTGTGTGATGTTCCCCTTCCTGTGTCCAAGTGTTCTCATTGTCCAGAATCTACAAAGAACTCAAACTGGCAGACGCTTTCTGCCAGTAACAGTGAGTCAGTGATTTGAAGACTCCGAAGATGCCTTATCTCCAGAATGGGGAGGTGAAGACCTGCTTCAAGGGTTGTTGTGAGAACTTAACGCAATTACATACATAGAGGAAACTTGTAACTAGTCAAGCGCTGCATCAAGCAAGTTTTTAATATTAAGTCCTATCTCATGGTGAGCAATAGGGAATAGTCACATTCTGTTTCTACCTAGAAACTTTATTCAGCAGCCCAAAGGAGTTAGAGTTTTCTGAATTAAATTTGTAGACATGTCCATAAAAATATAAAGACAGGATTTTTTAAATGTACCTATATCCTTAATAAGAATATCTATATCCTTAACAAGACATTTTATTTGATTAGAGATCCAAATAGTTTTCAGATCTCTGGCCATCATGTTAGTCTCTCTCATTTTCTTTTTCATACACATATACACATCCTACAGTGTTTCCAAAATCCCCAGGGTGAAGGTGGGTGTATCTCACTTGGTCCGCATTCACAATTACTACATCATCCAAAGTTAGTGTATATACTTGACATACACTAACTAGACTAGACTAGTGTATGTTAGACATACACTAACACTGACTAGAAAATACATTTATGCTTTACATTATGTTGTTTTCAACTTTGAATAAGATTCTGGACTCACACTACCTGATTTTAAGATTTACTATAAGGCGATAATAACCAAAACAGTGTGGTATTCAAGACAGACCAAACAGATCAATGGAATAGGCTGGAGAGTCCAGAAACAGACCCATATATATGGTTAAGAGATTTTAAGAAAGGTAAAAAGATGAATAATTTAATGGAGAAGGGATACTGTTTTCAACAAATGGTACTAGAACTGTGCCTATAGGCAAAAATGCAAAACCAAAACAAAACTACATTCTATACATTGCATCACATACAAAAATTAACTCAAAATGGATCATAGACCTAAATGCAAAATTGAAAATTGTTAAGTTGCTAGAAAAAAAAACACAAAAGTAAATATTTGTGACCTTGCACAAGGCAAAGATTTCTCGGATATAACATCAAAAGCATGACTCATAAAAGAAAAAAAAAATTGAGCTCATCAAACTAAGAAATCCTGCTGTTCGAAAGACACTGTTAAGAGAATAAGACAGGCTACAGGAGTTGGGAGCAGGTTGGAGAGATGTTGGTCAAAGGAAACAAAATTTTAGTTAGGAGAAATAATTTCAAGAGGTCTAATGTACTATGGTGATTATAGATAATAACAATATTTTGCATTCTTGAAAATTGCTGAGAGTAGATTTTAAGTGTTCTCAAAAAAGTAACTATATGAGGTAGTACATATGTTAAATAATTTAGCCATTCCATGATGTGTATATATTTCAAAACAACATGTTATACAGGATAAATATACACAGTTTTTGTCAATTATAATTTTTTTATTGAGTTACATAAATAAATAAATAAGACAAGCCACAGACTTGGGGAAAATAGTTGCAAATTGCATATCCGATTAAGGGCTTGTAAAATATGTATATACATATATATATGTATATTTAAAATTTTTTTTTTTTTTTTTTTTTTTTTGAGACGGAGTCTCGCTCTGTCACCCAGGCTGGAGTACAGTGGCGCAGTCTCGGCTCACTGCAAGCTCCGCCTCCCGGGTTCACGCCATTCTCCTGCCTCAGCCTCTCCGAGTAGCTGGGACTACAGGCGCCCGCCACCACGCCCGGCTAATTTTTTTTTATTTTTAGTAGAGACGGGGTTTCACCGTGGTCTCGATCTCCTGACCTCGTGATCCACCCGCCTCGGCCTCCCAAAGTGCTGGGATTACAAGCGTGAGCCACCGCGCCCGGCCTATTTAAAATTTTTAAAAGTAAATAATAAGAAAATTACAACTCAATTACAAAAAAAAAAAAAAACAAACAGGCAAAACATTTAAATAGAAACTTCACCAAAAATGCAAAGATGGCAAATAAACATCAAAAAATGTTTAACATATTTATTTGTTGGATTAAATATGCATTAAAACCACTGCATATTTATTAGAATGGCTAAAATTAAAACAAAAATATTCTGACACTTCCAAGTGCTAGTGAGGATGTGGAGCCACTGGAACTTTCATACATTGTTAACGAGAATGCAAAATAGTCCAGCCACTTTGCAAGTGTGACCATTTCTTACAAAGATAAACATATACTTACCGTACTACTCAGCAATCACATTTCTAAGTAGTTACCTTAGTGAAAGAAAATTTATATTCACACAAAGGTATGTTCACAAATGTTTATAGCAGCCTTACTCATAACTGCCCAAACCTGGGAAAAACCTAAATGTTCTTCAACTGGGTAATGGTTAAACAAACTGTGTTAAACAAACTGTGATACAATTATACAATGAATACTACTTAATAGCAAGGAATGAATTACTGAAAAGCACAATATAGGTGAATTTCAATATATTAAGGTCAGACCCAAATGTTAGCATACTGTATTATCCTATTTATATGACAGGTTTCAAAGGGCAAAACTATAGAACAGAAAATAGATGAGTGATTGCCAGGGAATGAGTGTGGGGAACAGGTTGCCTGCAAACAGGTTTCACAGGGCAATTTTTAAAAATGATAAAAGTGCCCTATATCTTTATCATAGTGTTGGTTACACAACTATACATGTTTGTGAAAACCTGTAGAACTAATTGTACACTAGAAACTACTCCTTTTATTGTACATAAATTATACCTCAATAAAAAATGAAAAAAAGACAATGTTTATCATTCCATTTTTAAATGTAAGATTATGTTAATTATTGAATATAGCCTTGAGAGTACAGATACCCTTTTTCACTTTTCTCTGAGACAGTAACACAGCCCGGTATAAGTAGTCATGGGCATAGCACACAGATTGAGAACTGGTGTTACGGAAGTAGTGATATCCCTCCTCCTCTTTCCTGTGACGGCCTTTTGTAAACCATAGATTTCTGGACTAATTTAGTTGATGTGAATGACTTATTAACTGTCACCCATCCAACTTAGTGCCTGAAGTAAGAATCAGGTTGCCCGGAGTCCCCCAGGCAACAGAGGCACCTCAGCAGCATGCCTGGGCCTGACTTGGAGCTGAGCTGAGACCACAGCTGCTGAGTGCTGAGAATTCTGGACAAATGGGAGTCAGGCTCCACCAAGGAAGATGCTACTGGTGGGGTCAGTTTTAATGACACATATCCCTTTTAAAGCGATTTCAGTGCTAAGAAATAGAGAACTGACAAAAATAATAATATCTGACATTTATTGAGCATTTATATCCTTTTTTACACTATTATTTTATTTAATCCTCATAGTTACTTTTTGAGGTATATGTGATTATAATCTACTTCTCATAGATAAGAAAAACAAGTCATAGAGAAGCCAATTTCTCAAAAATCACAGTTAGAATATGGGGGAACTAGTATTTGAGTTTTGGCTCTAAGTTCAGTTCTCTTAACTGGGCAGAAAAAATTAAAAAGTCACTTTGGGGTTTTATTATTATTATTCTTTTAAAGTGTTCTTGGAGGTGACTGAAAAGCCAGTATAGCCAACTCTAATGGCTCCCAACCCTTATTATTAATGTCATTTAGATATTTATGTATACTTTAATTTAAAATAACTCCCTCGCCCTCCTCCTCTTTGTAACTGTTCATCTCTCCCCATGCACCAGCCAAATGGTGTGCCAGGCTGTGTTGCTAACACTTGCATAATAACTTAAGATCTCACAACCCCTCTATTTATCAAGCAACAATATTACTAAAAATAACTGCACTCATAACCAGAGAGGGGGAAACAAGAGTGGGGGAGAATCTAATATATTTGGAAATGTACAATAAAGAGCCGGTGGAAGGGCTTTAACTTTCTGAAGTCATAGCTTTAGGGCATTTGGAATAAAGAAAGGACCATTGGGCCATCATGCAGAAGGCTGCAGAACTTGGACTGACGCCAAGGGTAGTGAGATGGGACAGGGTTGTAGTTCTGTGTCACCAACATGTGGCACTTTGCAGCAGCAGCTATGACTTGAAGAAATAGAAAGAGAGGTGGCTGTCACGATACTGTAATACACGTGCTGAAAGGGAGCTGCAGGCACCCTTCTGGAACCCAGGCCAACCTCAGCTCCAAGTAATCAAACTCTCTCTTTTTCACATTGCTCTCAGGTCCCCAACCTAGACAATGGACACCCCTCAGAGGTCTTCCTAGAGGGGTAGCAGGGTTAGCATAAATGCTTACTGATGGGGTGTTTCCCCACACCATCTGAGGTAAAAAGTGGCAAGGAAAAGTGGCAAAGAGTAAAGCAGCTTTTTAGAGAAGCCCCCTCGTCCTCAAAGTTTGCAAAATACCATCAGCACTGCTGAACTCACGAACCACAAGAAAATGTTGTACATGGCTTTTATGCAGGCAGTTCTGTCAAGATACAGAATTGTGGGGGCCTGCAGTGTGGCACTGCCTCTTCCAGGTACAGCTTCAATGATTTTTATCTCAGCTTGGAACACAAAGTGTGTTCTGATACTAATACTGATAAAAGCATAAAGGCTGGCGCCATCTGCCATGGCAACTATCAAGATGGCAGATGCTTTTCATCAGCTTTATCTGAACTTTGCTTTAATGGGAATTCAGAGACTGTGGGTACGTTTTCAAAAAAAGGGGGAGAGACATTAAAATGATAGCACTCTGAATGGAACCAATTCATCAAATATCAACATATTCTCATCTCCTTTATCTCTCTTGTTAAAAAAAAAAAAAAAGGAGGAAAGAATCTTGTTCTTTGTTGTTGTTGTTGTTGCTGTTGTTGTTTGTTTGTTTTTGGCTTTCCTGTGTGTGTACCACTTCAGTTGTCCTGTGACTTTATCCAGAACACTCCGAGGGAGCTGACCCAGGGAGTTCTCTTCAGAGGGGGCTGTCACCTCCAAGCAGTCCTGACGCTGCTGCAGGCAGCAAATGGGATTTAAATATGCAGTCTCTGAGGGCGGGGCAATCAACAAAATAGTGTATGAATGCTCAGAGCCTACCACAGGTAATAAGAGACATTTTTCACATTAAAAAAAAATAGGCAGGGATGGGAAAGAAAAAATCATGCTCCAAGAGTGCTGCCTAGAACAGGCATCTATATTTTCTAAGTTTACAGTTTATATCGGGCACACCTCCCCATCATTCATTAGCCACAGTAGAACAGGACAATTCCTTACATCCAGAAAAGATGCTAATTGCATTCAGCCCATGAGCTTAGCTCTGTTGGCTAGGAAAGCATGATGGTAATAGCAGGCAGTGTACACGATGCTGTTCTGCTTCTCTGGTTTATTATATATTATCTTGAGAAGATATTTTCCCTCCTTGTTGCTTGTTAATTAAATCTATATTTTATTTATCTACCTATAAATATATTTTTGAGAATGTTTACTCAGGCTTTTATTATAAGTAAGATATGGGAGTTCAAATATATAAATATATGTTAATATTATTTCTGTATTTTTATTTCTATGCTTCTATGTATGTGTATATATACACACACGTGTGTGTATGTGTATACATACACATACATACACACAAACCATAGAAATACATATATAAAGCATAGGAATACATATGTATATATACATAAATGCATACACAAATTTACCATTTATGTGAATATACATATTCTCACATATAGCATAGTAATAAAATGAGCAGGAGCATGTGAATTCAAAAGCAACAAACATTTATAGTCAAAAATCTTTACAACTGCACAAATGACTACCAGGAATTGTGGGGAGCCCTTTGAAAAGAACTTTTTCAATCTGAAAAGAAAAAAAGAAAATCAAAACCAGAGAACATAAATTAAAAAAAATAAACTAAATAAAAAGAGCAGCACTGCCCTTTTATGAAACTTGAGCTGGACCACTGACCTCCATCTGGCTTCAGGGCTCGGGAAGACAGAGCAGAGAGCGTGTCCACCCCGCCCACTGGGTAGGGTAATCTAACTTGAGCTTCTCACACAAAGAGGGCTTTGTGACTATCCTCCTTTTCCTGATCATGACCAGGGTGATGGTGGGTTTTTTTCCTCAACATGAGCACAGGGATATTTTTCCCCTATAATTTCTTTGTACAAAGATTCACTCTCAAATATGTTTCCAATTTTGTTTATGTTAAAAACATAAAAGAAATAGCAGCATAAACAAGAGCGTGGCTGTTTGCTGGTGTGCTCTCCTAGAAATCACCCACGGTGTTCAGAGGGTGAAATTCTATGCCCTGTGAAGACGCAACAAACAGTTTTGCTTTCATTTTTAGTCTATCCAGTTGTCTACTTTTCAAAAAAATGATGGGCTATATTTTAAAAAACAAACAAAAAAAGGAGTTTATTTCAAACATCCTTATACATCCCTCAACATCTCATTTAATAATTTATAATTTCCCTTGGGCTGAAAATTTACCCTCAGCTCTCTCCACAGGTTCTCAGGTTGATGCATTATTTTAGGGGAAAAATAAAAGGCCAAACCCCACATTAATCATAAGGAAAAACAAGTTTTAATGGATCTTTTTATTATAATAAATGATTAAATAACCACTTAGTCCTAACAACTCAATTAAGTACTAAATAAACAAGTTTGTGTTTATAGAAGGAAGAAAAAAGGTAACATCGTGTAAAGGAAAATGCTATTACACACCGGGAGCAAATCTCTAGGAAGAGGACATAAATACAAATTTTATCAGAATGAGATGACGAAGAAAATACATGCTGAGGATGGAACAATAAAAGGCACAGTAAGAAGAAAGTGTCTCAAGTAGCAGAAAGCTTCCGGAAAACAGGGTTCAAACCCAGCTTAGATACTAGCTATGTGTTTTTGTACAGGTTACTTATTTTCTCTGATCCTGGAGATCTCTTAAAATTAGGATTGGTTAAAAATCCTTCCAATGACTCCCTGTCTTCCTTAGGATAAAGCAACAAATTGCACACTTTTAAAATAAAATGTAAAAAATTAACATAGGGTACAATGTATGACTACCAATGTTTTATTTTATCAAGTAAAGACATCAAAGGAGAGTCATTTTTTTTTATTATTATACTTTAAGTTCTAGGGTACATGTGCACAACGTGCAGGTTTGATACATATGTATACATGTGCCATGTTGGTGTGCTGCACCCATTAACTCGTCATTTACATTAGGTATATCTCCTAATGCTATCCCTCCCCCCTACCCCCAGCCAACGACAGGCCCCAGTGTGTGATGTTCCCCTTCCTGTGTTCAAGTATTCTCATTGTTCAATTCCCACCTATGAGTGAGAACATGTGGTGTTTGGTTTTTCATCCTTGCGATAGTTTGCTGAGAATAATGGTTTCCAGCTTCATCCATGGCCCTACAAAGGACATGAACTCATCCTTTTTATGGCTGCATAGTATTCCATGGTGTATATATGCCAAATTTTCTTAATCCAGTCTATCATTGATGGACATTTGGGTTGGTTCCAAGTCTTTGCTATTGTGAATAGTGCCACAATAAACATACATGTGCATGTATCTTTATAGAAGCATGATTTATAATCCTTTGGGTATATACCTAGCAATGGGATGGCTGGGTCAAATGGTATTTCTAGTTCTAGATCCTTGAGGAATCCCCACACTTCTTCCACAATGGTTGAACTAGTTTACAGTCCCACCAACAGTGTAAAAGTGTTCCTATTTCTCCACATCCTCTCCAGCATCTGTTGTTTCCTGACTTTTTAATGATCGCCATTCTAACTGGTATGAGATGGTATCTCATTGTGGTTTTGATTTGCATTTCTCTGATGGCCACTGATGATGAGTATTTTTTCATGTGTCTGTTGGCTGCATAAATGTCTTCTTTTGAGAAGTGTCTGTTCAAATCCTTCGCCCACTTTTTGATGGGGTTGTTTGTTTTTTTCTTGTAAATTTGTTTGAGTTCTTTGTAGATTCTGGATATTAGCCCTTTGTCAGATGAGTAGATTGCAAAAATGTTCTCCCATTCTGTAGGTTGCCTGTTCACTCTGATGGTAGTTTCTTTTGCTGTGCAGAAGCTCTTTAGTTTAATTAGATCCCATTTGTCAATTTTGGCTTTTGTTGCCATTGCTTTTGGTGTTTTAGACATGAAATCCTTGCCCATGCCTATGTCCTGAATGGTATTGCCTAGGTTTTCTTCTAGGGTTTTTATGGATTTAGGTCTAACATTTAAGTTTTTAATCCATCTTGAATTAATTTTTGTATAAGGTGTAAGGAAGGGATCCACTTGCAGCTTTCTGCATATGGCTAGCCAGTTTTCCCAGCACCATTTGTTAAATAGGGAATCCTTTCCTCATTTCTTGTTTTTGTCAGGTTTGTCAAAGATCAGATGGTTGTAGATGTGTGGTATTATTTCTGAGGGCTCTGTTCTGTTCCATTGGTCTATATCTCTGTTTTGGTACCAGTACCATGCTGTTTTGGTTACTGTAGCCTTGTAGTATAGTTTGAAGTCAGGTAGTGTGATGCCTCCAGCTTTGTTCTTTTGGCTTAGGATTGACTTGGCAATGTGGGCTCTTGTTTGGTTCCATATGAACTTTAAAGTAGTTTTTTCCAATTCTGTGAAGAAAGCCATTGGTAGCTTGATGGGTATGGCATTGAATCTATAAATTACCTTGGGCAGTATGGCCATTTTCATGATATTGATTCTTCCTATCCATGAGCATGGAATGTTCTTCCATTTGTTTGTGTCCTCTTTTATTTCATTGAGCAGTGGTTGTTTGTAGTTCTCCTTGAAGAGGACTTCACATCCCTTGTAAGTTGGATTCCTAGGTATTTTATTCTCTTTGAAGCAATTGTGAATGGGAGTTCACTCATGATTTGGCTCTCTGTTTGTCTGTTATTGGTGTATAAGAATGCTTGTGCTTTTTGCACATTGATTTTGTATCCTGAGACTTTGCTGAAGTTACTTATCAGCTTAAGGAGATTTTGGGCTGAGACAATGGGGCTTTCTAAATATACAATCATGTCATCTGCAAACAGGGACAATTTGACTTCCTCTTTTCCTAATTGAATACCCTTTATTTCTTTCTCCTGCCTAATTGCCCTGGCCAGAACTCCCAACACTACGTTGAATAGGAGTGGTGAGAGAGGGCATGCCTGTCTTGTGCCAGTTTTCAAAGGGAATGCTCCCAGTTTAGAATAGTCATATTTATAGACTTGTGTTACCCACCAACATTTCAAAAACAACAGTAAATTTTAACCCCCTAAAATAAGAAGACATAATAGTAGAATAAATAACAGTTATTTAATTTGAAGAAATTTAGTTTTAGGGAAACCTCATTACATTATCTTTATTTTTCTCATCACACCATGAACCAGTGACAGTGAGGACCACTGTTGCAATGAGAGCACCTAAGAGGAAATATATCTGTTAGTCAGGATAATTTAGCATATGCTGTAATAACAAAGTAACCACCAAAACTCATCACAACAAAGATTACTTTCTCATCTTTGCTCCATATTCAACTGGTGCTCTGTACTCCACATGGTCAGATAGTAGCTCAGACTGAAGGAGATTCTACTGTCTGGAATGCTACTTATCACCACGAAGCAGAAAGGAGATAGAAAAAAATCAAACATGAGTTTTCACTGCTTATGAGATTGCCTCGTGCCATTTCTTCTCTCCATTCTGACCATTTTTTGCCCAGAAAAACTCACATAACTCTGCCTTATGTGCAAGAGGATTAGAAAATACAGGAGAGCACTTAGAATGGTTGTGAAACATTATTGTGAGCCTGTGCTACAATAATCTAGTCTCCATCAGAGAAGTCCCCACTGAAGAGGTGAAGTTGAAACTAAGATTTAAAGGTCAGGTGAAGGGGAAGGATCATGGCAGCAGTGGAAGAAGGAAGGAGAACAAAGGGCTCCAGGCAGAGGGAATTATACATGTGAAGTCCCAGAAACAACAGACAGCATGGCACATTTAAGGAATTAAAAGCATATAATACAGTTAGAAGGCAGAGATTAAAGCAAAGGCTAAGGAGAGTCTGTAATTTGTTGCTTTATCCTAAGGGAGACAGGAAGTCATTGGAAGGGTTTTAAATTCGAAATTCACCTGTTTAATAATTTTTACTAATCAAGTCACAACTTTTATTTTCTGATGACCTTTCATTAAAGTAACTATAAATGATATATATATATATTTTTTTAAAAGCAGATTAGAGGGAAGTCATTATGAAATGTTTATGGAAGTAAAATATAACTTCGTATTCATAATTTCCTAATGGGATCAACCAAGTGCTAATCTGTTAACTACCAACTACTAATCCCTTTCAGGTTAGTGGCTTTTTCCATCTTGGTTGCCCACTAGAACCCCCTGGGAAGACTTTCAAAATCCCAGTGCCTAATTAAGGCAGAATTCCTTGGAGTGGTACCTAGCTAGCCACCAATAATTTTTAAAACTCCCAGGTGATTCCAATGTGCATCATAGACTGAGCGCTACACCTCTACAAGCTTTCAGGAATAGAGATTCTCAGTGGGAAATGGAAGTGGGAGAACACATATGAGAATAAACTGGGGCCTTTTAGGGACTACCCTTCACCCAGATTCTAAAGCACAGTGAGAGGTACTGTTTTTAATGACATTGTATTATATACCTCAGATATGTTGGAGGTATAGAAAAGTTGAGAACAACTGATGTGGAGTGGCACTGTTAAACAGAACTTTCTGCGATGATGTGATGGAAATGTTCTGTAATCTGCACTGTCCAACATGGCAGCCACCAGACACATGTGTCAATGGAACACTTGAAATGTGACTAGTGGGACTGAGGAAATGAATTGTTTAATTTTATTTCATTTTAATTAATTTCAGTTTAAATGGAAATAGCCAAATGTGTCTAGCAGCAAGTGTATTAAAAAGCATAGCTCTAGAGCCTTAAGCTAAAATGGTTGTCTTAGTTACATGTCACAAATACTACAAATGCATGTATCTAATGCTTAAAAATATTACATATAGAATTCATCATTTTTTTATAAAGTTTCCTATCTTCTAATCAAGATGTAAGTATTTTGGATGGTCTGTTCCTAATATTATCTGGCAATTCCTGCTCTCTTGACAGTCACATGTTGTTGAGCTGCCTGGAAGCTTCAAGGTCATCTAGTCTAGGACTGCAAACCCAAATGCCTAAGGGAGCCAGGCAGGTTAAATAAATGACTAAAGCAAGCCATTTGCATAGTAAACTCATAGAAACAGTCTTCCTTTCCACAAAGGGTCTCTTCCAATTTTCTTGAAATGTAGGGTCTCTCTGTTTATCTGCCCTTTTCTGTTTTTCTAGCCTAGTATTTCATCAAAAATCTGAAATCTGTAGTTTTGGCCCCTCATATAGGAAATGCAAAAAAGAAAACTTTGAAGATAGTCAGGGACCCTGAGATGGAAGAAGTAAGTATTTGGCTGAGGTGAGAAATACAGTAGCAGGACAGGGTTTTAAGACTGGAAGAGACTCTTGAGCTCTGGAAATCCAAGAGCTTCGGAAGAGCTACTTAACCTCATTATGCTCCAGTTTTCTCCTCTATGCAATGGGAGTATGTGCCTCCTTACCATGTTTACCTGAGGTCACAGGAGTAGCTAGTGCCAATTCCAAAGCTAGAACTCCCCCTCCAAGTAACCTCATTAATTTGCTTTCCATTAAACCCTTGCTAAGGCTTGTAATGAGCCAATAAAATCAGATCTGTAGGTATGTTTTGCAAACTATAAATCTCTATACTAATATTACTATTGTTACTACTTATCTAAAACAGCACACACTTAAAACACAGTCTTCAGTAAAATAAAAAATAATTTCAGAATATTTTTAACTTGGATGTCCCAAACTCTGCCAGCTTGTAAGTATTATATAAATATCCTGCATCAGTTAGAAATTATTTTTAGCTGCTAATAACAGAAACTGGATATAACAAGTGCTTCAACAAGACAGAAGATTATTTATGCTCATGAAAATGAAATCCAGAGGTGTACAGTCCAGGGTTGGTATGCAGGCCACCAACATATGGCTAATTCAGTCAACAACCGAAGAATTCCCAAAGACAACTTGAATTTTCTCATCTTAGAATACAGAAACTGGGTTTTTTAGAGGGCATTTTTTCTAATTTCTAGAAAGTCATTAAGATTCAGTTTTTGCCTGGCATGCCATTACGAGAACGTTTACTTTCTAGACACAGCTCTTCAACATGGCACCTTGGAGTAACAAAGAAGGATTATACCATGACACGATAAGAGTATAACCATAATCCAACCATTTATATACAATCTAACACAGTTGCCTAAAAATCTTTTACAGGTTGAGTATCCCTTATCCAAAAAACTTGGGCACAGAAGTGTTTCAGATTTTGGATTTTTCAGATTTTGGAATATTTGCATTATACCAATGTATTATGCACTCAGCATTCCAAATCCAAAAATCTGAAATCTGAAATACTTCAATGAACATTTCCTTTGACTAGCATGTCAACATTCAAAAAGTTTTTAATCTTGGAGCATTTTGGATTTTGCGTTTTCAGATAAGGAATGCTCAACCTGTATAATATTTCTGATTGCCTGATGATAGGCTTCTAGAAGTGGAAATACAGGCTGTTGATATGCATTGGCAAAATGCCATTAGGGAAGTTTGGAATCATTTTCATTCTCAACAGTGAGAAATGAGAGCTTCTTTCACCACAAAATTACCAAAGTTGAGGATATTCTACCTTAAATCTTTCCCCCAAGGTAGGGTATGAGGGAAGGGGAGGAATATATAAATAACATTGAAATGTTGTCTTATTTTGCACCCTTTGAATCATCACTGGGCAGTCATGAAATGCAGTTCAAAGAGTGTGATCACATTATTATGAAGATTGCTGTAAGAATAGCTCCATCTGGGCTGCCATAAAAGCAACTCCATAAAATGGCCGTCATCAATAAGACAAGAAAATCATTAAAATAAAACAGATTTATCAAAGTGCAAACTGAATGGTATACAGGGGGTCTCAAACATTTGTGTTCTTAAAAATCTTGCCTAGCTCATTTTGATACCCCTACCCCTCTCCCAGCACACACACACACACACACACACACACACACACACACCCCACAATCCCTTAGGAGTTATTGCATAAAAAGTTAAGTTGTTCTGACCCAGATATTTCTAGTCATTTCAAATTTGCTACAAAGATTTACTAACCAAGTTATTACAAGTCATTATAGTTTGTCTGATTTTTGAAACCAATTGGCACATTAGCTGACAATAGTTGATAAAACTGCTCCAAATTTCCAGTCACTTTGGCACTTCTGGAATGAATACGCACATCTAATGAATACGACTACATGGAGGCATGGTTTTAAACAAATATTTGCATTTTATCATTATTGCATGAATATATTTGAGAGAAGCAGAGTACTGATACAATGGATTGTGATTGGTCAATGTTATTTAGGCAAAACATTTAGAAGTTGGACATTAGTAATTTAAAGAGATGGAGAAAGAAGATTTGAAAGATGTTGGGAGGGTGTTAAAACATGCATTTGAGATAACTGGGAAGGGGAGAAGGGGACAAACATGAAGAAGGGCCAAATCTAGCAGAAGTAGCTAGGTGACAAGAAGGCAGTGAAATGGCATAAGATTACTTCGAACAGGCAAGTCCAGTTCAAGTTGTTGGAGGCCCTCAAAGGCAACAGTGGAAGGATTTATTTGATTAGAGCCATGAAGACTCACTGGAGGATTAACTCACTGAGTACCATGATCCCAGTGCCAGGCATGAAAAATTATTTTGGCAGCCACGTGCAGAATAATTTGAAGTGGAAAGAGACAGTGTATTAGAAGCGGGCAAGAAGAATGTTCTGGTAATCCAAGAAGTAAACCAGAAACTGCATGTAGTAGAGACATAGGGAAGAATTGGAAGACTCAAGGTGGATCAGAGGAGGGCAGGAAATATCACAGCAGCCTACAAGATAGGTACACTGAGGGCAGTGGTAATTTCTGCCAATGGCATCAACATGGCAATGGCCTTCATTGAGCATGGCTATTACTTCCTTGAACCCAGAAAACTTTAGCAATTTACTGCCTATGTCCCCTTATGAGTTCATTAGGGCTCTCTCATGTCTAAATGTCTCCAACTACTTCTTGAGTGTATTTATATCTTCAGCAGGCATAATTTCTCAGCGTAAGCAGTCGCCTATTGCAGGTGACTATTTGTGATCAAGGACAGATAGAAAGAAGCTGAAGATAGCCCTGAAGTTTACAGCTTAATGAGTCATTTGGATAATAAAGAAAGCATAGAAAGAAAAAGGAGTAGGGGAAAATTCCAGCAGCTGAAGAATAAGAAATGGAATCCTGGGTGCACAACCAGAGAATACAGGTCAACAACAATTATTGCATTATAATGGAAGGGGCTGAAAGAGAGTCTCCATTTGGAATGTAGCAAGAGCAGTCCTACAAGACAGATCGCATTAATATGAAAAGAATATTATTGAAATCAAGAAGGTACAACAGAGGGCAACCAGAATGATACAAGGACTCAAGGACCTTAATTATTTACAAAGGTTGGAAACACAGTTGCTCTACTTTCCTCTATTAAAAAAAGAAAATGTAAAGGGAATTCACTAAGAACATCCTCAATTCCAAGGTAGCAAAATAAAGGAAGATTTGCAAAGGCTAAATGCCAAAAAGAAAACAGAAAAAAGGGTCATGTACTTAAGCCCAGAAAGAACATGGTATTAAATAAGTTTTAGTGGGATTTCTTTACAAAGAGAGAGGTAAATGCACAGTGCAATCTACTATGCAGGTTCAGATGGCTAATACATATGTAGTGTTCATATATACATGTGTATTTATACAAATACTATATATTTTAAGGAGATAAGCATTACAAAGGAAAATAATTATGGGGTGCCACAATTGTAGACTCAGCTAGACTTACAGAGATTTCCTGTTCTAAAATTTCCTGTGTTCCATAGCCCTTCCATGTAATTTTCAATGTTTTGAGTGCCCATTGGCAATACAGACTAAACACTAAAACAACCTAGAATGATATTCAAGTGAAACATACAGGAAAGTAAATTTGATCTCGAGCTGTCAAAATACCACTTAAAATACAACATATTGACACTCAGTCAAACTATACACCCTCTGAAGAATACCTTCTGAGAAAGAAACCAAACAGAAATTGAAAACCCATTTTACCCTAGCCAGTAGATACCAAACCCACATCAAACTCACAGTGGACTCATATTTTTGTTCTGTATTTTGACTATAATGTTACCTAAACAAGCATTTGTTAAATGCTTATAATACATTCTACAATCTATTTTACAACATGAAATAAAACAGAGACATAACCCATGGTCCCTATTCCCAAAAAAGGAATCCTAATCCTGCCTTGTTCACAACTGTATCCCCAGGACTTAGGGCTGTGCCTGGTATTTGGTAGGTGCTCAATAAATCAGGAGCAATTAGGAGACATATCATTAATTGTTCATGGAGAAGCTACTAAGGGATAGGCTTTAGGAGTACATTCTTGCATTTAATATTCATGAAGATCCTGTGAAGTACATAGTATGTGCTCTATATACTGGAGAAACAAGGAGGCTAAGTTGTCATCTAAGGGCACACAGCCTGCAAGCAGTAGAGACAGGACAGAAGCCCAGACCCGTGTACTTCCCTCTAAGCCATGATGTGTCATATAATCTAGTTGTGAAAACAAGTATACATGCATGTGAAACAACGATAAGTGACACAAAATGCAACATACTTAAAAGCTAGGGCATATGGCCTGGACTCCATATGTTAGAGAGGTTTGGAGTAGATGAAGACAGGAGCGGTCAGGTACTTCTTAGAAATGGGAACATGAAATGAGCCTTGAATGATGAAAGGATCAGAGGGCAAGATCACCAAAACAGCTGTGTGGTTAGCTAGTGGAAAAGGGTAATGGTTCCCAAACCTGACTAGGAAAATTTGGATTAGGGTTGAAAAGAACGACTAGTATTAGAAACTGGTGTGTATATATCCCTAATTATAATGTATTTGTGATAGGAAGAAAGAAATGTTTTAAAACACTGTCTCCGGCCTCTTAGACTATTTCTTTCCACTTTTTTTTTTTTTTTTTTTTTTTTGAGACAGAGTCTTGCTCTGTCACCGAGGCTGGAGTGCAATAGCAAGATCTCGGCTCACTGCAAACTCCACCTCCCCGGTTTAAGTGATTCTCCTGCCTCAGCCTCCCAAGTAGCTGGGATTACAGGCATGCGCCACTACACCCAGTTAATTTTGTATTTTTAGTAGAGATGGGGTTTCACCGTGTTGGCCAGGCTGGTCTCGAACTCCTGACCTCAGGTGATCCACCCACCTTGGTCTCCTAAAGTGCTGGGATTATAGGCATGAGCAACCGTGCCTGGCCATCTTTCCACTTCTACCTGAGATTCCAAATGTCCCACATTAAAGAAGGAGTGGTAATTTCAAAATTTAGAGCAGTGCTTTGTGGTGCTAAAGCTATGCTATCCAAGATGGTAGCCACTAGCAACATATGGCTATGGAACACTTGAAATGTGACTGGTCCAAATTGAGATGTGCTTATCACTCAAATGGGTGAACTATTTCAGCACTTGATGCATCTGCTTTGCTAGGACTGCTGCAAGGAAGCCTTTTTATCACCAGCAAAATGACAATGAACATACAACCACTTGGTGTAAGTAGTTGCCTTAAAAAGCCCAAGCAAAAGGGATGGTGTGGGACAGAGTTAAAAGACCAACCACAGAAGGCAAGATGTGAAGGAAATCAGAAATTCAGTAGGTAAAAGTAATCGAAGGAGGTGACCACAAGAAATATAAGTCCTTTGAGACTCTCCATAGATGTTGGCCTGAAGCTTGTGAGGTGAGTGAGTTCACTGTCTTTCACCATATGTGAATGTGGAATCAGGACTTGAACCAATTTATTTAACTATTAAAGAACACACAGGGTATAAGGGCCACAAGACTGGAGTATTTGCGGAATGTCCTTATACCTGTATTTTGAGTCCTACCTTGATGAAATTCAGCTTTTGACCATAGGTCACTCATTTCATTTCTGTGCATCATTTCATGATTTTCAAAACAATCATTCTCTCATTTGATTTGCAAAAAAGATATGAAGTAGGCAACTATACTGTACCACTTACCATTCCCATCTTAAGGATGAGAAAACCGTGCCTCAGAGGACTTACATGATTTGGGAACTAAAACAGTAGACATATTCAGTGCTTTTCCAATTCTCCCATAGCCTTCTACCACCATCTATACCCTCAAGTAACAACAACAGAAACAATAACACACACACACACACACACACACACACACACCTTTACATGTATGGATTTGAATCCCAATGCTCAGTTTTATGTTAGAATCTCTATCTATTGTTTTCTTTTCTAAATTACTGTATTATCCAATTCTAAACACTTCTGGTAGAGTAAGAAAATACACTCCAGGAAATTGTCCAAAAAACTAAAGCCAAATTGAAAAATATTGTTTAAAAATACCAGCTAGATGTGTCTTACAGGTGTTTTAGTAAAGTGGTAGCCTAAATTGGGTGAACTATCTCAGCACCTCGGATCTGTTCCTTTTTATGGTGATTATTGCCCAAGGCAAAGATTTAAAGATAGAAGGACTGATTTAAAGTGTGTCTAACAGGAGGGAGGAAGTCAAACTTTTTCTTCCTTTATCAGCATGAAAATGAAAACATATGAAATGGGGGTAAAGAAACTTTCATTCAATGATAGATTAAAATTTTTAGTAAATACAGCTCTCACTTTTTGTTTTACACATACCACCCTCCTCCCAATATGAATCATCCACAAATCCCCTCCCTGATCCAAGGAAGAATGCCTCCAATTGTGTAGAAGTGATATAGGAAACTAACTTATCTTTATATGTTGTTATGTACAGTTGTTTGATTTGGTTGGTTTTTTAAATTTCTAATTTACACATGGACACAAGAATGCTGTGCTAACACTATTTTTAAAGCAATCATAACTAAGAAAACATGTAAAATCCCTACATGATTCATTTTTCATTGGCTATGTGGCAAAATATTTAGTGCTTTGGTTGAAGAGATAAGTTCTAGGAAAATACTAGGGGGAAAAAAGGAGTCATATGTTTCATTATCAACCAGTGGCAATTTTCACACATCTCCAGAAGAAAAATATGGGATATTTCTGAGATTCCCCAAGTCACCTCACACTAGCTCTTGCTACTCAAAGTGTGAGCATGAGCCTCACATGGGAGCTCGTTAGAGATGCAGGTTCTTGGGCTCTGTGTCAGACCTACTGATTCAGAACCGGCGCTTTTAAACAACCCCAGCTCCTTCCTACACACAGGAAACTTGGAGAACCACCGCTCTGGACAAATCTCAGTTACAGCACCTGAATCCTGACAGAGCAGAATTTTAAGTCCTAGCACCACAGCAACACTTGGGGTTAAAAATCACACATAAACTCTTCCGTAAAAACTTCAGAGCCCAGATAGCAAACATCTGTGACCCAACACAAAGCTGCGTGGAATTATGGCTGTCTGAAATATAGCACATAATCCAACTTCAAGTAAGGTTGAAATTCCGCAGAAGGTTCTCGAACTATTCTTCAGGGACAGACCTACATAAGCAAATGAACAGTCTGTCACAGCAGCTCCAAGCCAGAGAAGAACTTGGACCGGCCATTATTGCTTCAGTGAGGAAGAGTATGAGAAAGGGTGTGGACAGTCTCAGAACAGGAACAGGAATGAGAAGGGGGAGCAGAAATGGAAGCAGAAAAGTGAGAAAGCAGTTTACATGTCCTGGGGAGTCCATCGTAGGTCACAAACCTCTAGAAAGAGGAGAGAGGGAAGAAGCAGGAGGGGGTAAAGATGACATTTTGAGGCTAGGTGAGTCACATGGGCCCCACCAGGCTGAATGACTTCACGCCCCAAGGAATAAATGACTCTTTCTTGGCTCTCCTCAAAGATATGCCACAGCACATCATGAGTCACCAGCCCACCCTGCAAACTCCTGCCATTTCCTGCCAGCTTTTAGGGCCAGAGGACTTGCCCTCAGGCCATGAGTCCCATCAGCATTTATATGCCAATTCCAAAGCGGCACTTGTGGGGAAAAAAGGAGCCAATTTGCCTGGTTTACTTTAAAAGAATCATCTGAAGGTCTTTAACCTATTAACGATGCACTGACAAACCCTGAGTTTGTCATTATTGGAAGTGACGCTGGGGCCAGAACTGAGATTGCAGATTGATTGATTTTTTTAATTTACTATTTGTTCATGGGGAGGCTGGCTTCTTTATTGTGGCGGCACCTGCTAGTGCCATTATAGTTACAAGGCCTGTTGGAGAGGCTTTATGGTGAAG
Source organism: Homo sapiens (assembly GCF_000001405.40). NCBI lineage: Eukaryota > Metazoa > Chordata > Mammalia > Primates > Hominidae > Homo > Homo sapiens. The sequence goes on along the minus strand of NC_000003.12, from coordinate 18,098,758 downwards.
GCTTATTTCTATTATAAATACTGGTTGGTGTGGGTGGTTAATATCCCAACAATTTCTGTTATACTGGGTTCAATACAGTCTGGCCCACATTGTTAAGTCATACATATCATCCTTGCACACAAAAAAATGAAAAACTAAATGTTATGCCAAAATCAACATAATTAAGTTACAGAAGAAATATTATCCAAGTCAGTCCTTAAATTAATCATTAACTTCAGATGAAGAATTATTAAATTGAGCTCTAATAACTAGAAGTAATATAATATGAATATACTATAAATATATATATTTGATTGCTAGAAAACTACCTATCTCACACAAGCAACTCAGCACACATTTTCATTTGCTCAAAGAATAATTATACTATTCATATCCCAAGTTCCCAAATTCAAATTGATGCTATATTTATATATATACTACCTGCTAGCAAGTGTAGATTATATTTCCCTATACTAATACCTCAAAATGGGTTTTACCTTTGGAAAGTGAAGTTGCTAACCGCACAAAGTAGTCCAGTGGTTAGGAGCACAGGCATGAGGTGAAATATACTTAGACTCTAGTCCCTTTCTTGTCGTCAGCCCCTTTCCTGCTATGTAACCACGGTCTGGTTAATCAACCTCTTGACAGTTTATATTTCCTCATTAGTCAAACAAAAGTTTTAATAGCATCCACCATTGTTGTTGTAAAGACAAACTAGGCAATAGATGGCTAACTCAAGGTCAGGGTAAAGAAAGTACAAAATGAACCTGGAATATCTTTTTTCTAGAAAATATGAACATGCTTAAAGAATGATGGATACATGTGGGAGAACAACAGTCCATGTTCTAATCTCCAGACCTCTGAATATGTTACTTTACATGACAAAAGGGAATTAAGGTTGCAGATGGAATTAAGGCTGCTAATTAGCTGACTTTAAGGAGTTTATCCTGGATTATCCCAGGTGTGTCCAGTGTAATCACAAGACCTTAAAAGTAGGAGAGGACGGCAAAATAGAGATGAGTCAGACTGAGGCTTGATGATGCTAACCTGCTGGCTTTGAAGATGGAGGAAGGGGCCACAAGCCAAAGAATGTAGGCAGCCTCTAGAAGCAGGAAATGGCAGGGACACGTATTCTTCCCTAGAGCATCCAGAAGGAATGTAGTCCTTCTAACATCTTCACTTTTAAGCCCAGTGAAGCCAATTTCAGAATTCTGACCTCCAAAACTGTAAGATAATAGATTTGCCTTGTTTAAACCACGAAGTTCATGGCAACACAGTTATAGGAAACTAATACACTTGTCAAGCAGCTTACATATATACCTAGAGAGAGAATGATAAAACAACTGTTAACATTTGAGGAATCTGGATGAAAGGCATAAGGAAATTCTCTGTACAGAATTCAATTTTACAATATGTCTGAAATTATATCAAAATTAAATTTTGAAAAGGAGAAAAATAAGTTTCTGTAGGAAGGTGTCAGATCCTCAGCACCCCTCTCCTGCTTCACACAGCCAGGCAACTAACTATTCCTTCCTGGCCTTCAAAGGAGATCAGAGTTTTACTCTGTTAAGAAGCTATGACCTGGGACCAACATGCAAGCAGAGATAGGAAAAGAGGCCCAGTATTGGGAATTGGGAATTACAATAAATTCTACCTGCTAAGTGGTGGGTCCCTGCTAATTCTTCCTCCCTCCACTAAGCTTCAAAACAAGCAGCCAGTTTTGATGTCCCCACCTCCTACCCACTGACAGAAGTTTGAATTACTTCTCTCTGGAGAAAGTAAGCAGTCCTAGAGACAAGGCCTACAGAAACAGAAAGTCAGAGGCCCCCCCAGTGATAGAGCAAGGCCACTGCTCAGTGAAGCCCACAGGTTGAGGGAATTCACATGCACACACTGTGGTAGGCAACAATAACGGTCCCTCAGAACTATCCTGATCTAATCCCTGAAACCCGTGAATATGTTAGGTTATATGACAAAAAGGGTATTAAGGCTGCAGGTGGAATTAAAGCTCTTAATTAGTCAACTTTACAATAGGAAAACTATCCTGGATTATCCAGATGGGCCCAATGTAATTGCAAGGACCCTTACAAGTGGAAGAGGAAGGCAAAAGAAGAAAGAGAAAGACGTGACTATGGAATAGAGTGAGTTACATGATATGAGAAGGACTCGAATTGCCATCACTGTCTTTGAAGAGGGAGGAAGGAGCCATAACCCAAAGATCGCAGACAACCTCTAGAAACTGGAAAGGTCAAGGAAACAGATCCTCCCCTAGAGCCTCCAGAAAGAAAAGCAGCCCTGCCAGATGGGCGCGGTGGCTCACGCCTGTAATCCCAGCACTTTGGGAGGCAGAGGCGGGCGGATCACGAGGTCAGGAGATCGAGACCATCCTGTAACATGGTGAAACCCTGCCTTCTACTAAAAATACAAAAAAATTAACCGGGTGTGGTGGTGGGCACCTGCAGTCCCAGCTATTCGGGAGGCTGAGGCAGGAGAATGGCGTGAACCTGGGAGGCGGAGCTTGCAGTGAGCTGAGATCGCGCCACTGCACTCCAGCCTGGGCGACAGAGCGAGACTTCGTCTCAAAAAACAAAACAAAAAAAAAACAAAAAACAAAAAAAGAAAAGAAAAGCAGCCCTGCCAACACGTTGTGTGTTAGCCTGATGAGACCCATGTCAAACTTCTAGCCTACAGAATTGTGAGATAATAAATTTGTGTTGTTTTAAGCTTTATATCTGTGGTAATTTGTTAAGGCAGCAATAGAAAACTAATACACACACACACATACACACACACACACTCACACAGAGACAGAGAGAGAGAGAAAAAAAAACACAAACAATTCAGAAGGCAATAATGTTCCCAGAGAAATCAGTGGAGATATTACATCTATGAAACAAGAACAGGGTGCTCTTTATTTACTGTATTTATCTAACACTTATGCAGAACTTACTAAGTGCCAGGCACTGTACTAAGTGCTCCACAAATATTAAACCATTTAATTACCATAACAACTGTATGAGGTAGGTATTCTTATCCCTATTTTACAAATGAAGAAACAGGCACAGAAAGGTTAAATAACCTTCCCAAGATCACACAGCAGAGCTGAGTTATGAACATAGGCACTCTAGCTCCATAGTCCATTCAAGAATACTTAGGAATTTAAAATATAATGGCAGAAATTGAAAAAAACATTACTAGATGGGTTGAAATATAAAGTTGAGGCAATATTTTAGAAATAGATATATATAAAGAGATCAGAAATAGAAAAGGAAATATAAGAAACCCAGCAAATTCAACATCCAACTAATAATAGTTTCAGAAAATAAGAACAGAGAAAACAGAGAGGAAGAAGGTATTTTTAAAAACATTCAAGAACATTTTCAGAATAGCAAGCCATGAATTTCTATATTGAAAGGGCTTATAGAATACCCAGCACAAGAAATGAAACATAATTATTATCAAGACACATTGAAATTTCAAGACAGCCTATATAAAGAAGTCCTAAAGGGTTTCTTAGGGGCAATATAACAGATCTTATTTTAAAGACTGCAAAAATAATGGTATCAGATTTCTTAATGGCAGTGGTGAAAGCTAGAAGACAAAAATGCTGTCAAAATCTCTGAAGAAAATGTGTTCCATATCAGAATTACATACCCAGACAAATTATCAGTCAAATGTGAGATAGAATAAAGACATTTTAAGATATATAAGGTCTCAAAAAATTACCTTTCACATACTCTTTTCTCAGGAAGCTCATGAGGATATTATACAAGGAAACAAAATCAAAAACAGGAAAACATGGGAACCAGGGAACAAGCAATCCCAAAGATGATGGTAAAGGAAGGTTCCAAATAATAGCTGTACAGTGGCCTGTGGAGCAACTCACCCATACATAAACAGGAGGGTAAAGAGTTCTAGTCTCCTAGAACAAAAAATAAAAGTAACTGGTAGATTACTTGATGTGTTTCAGTAAACTGAGAGAAATGTTAATGTTTTTAAAGAGTTTGAAGAAATAATTAGTAATAGTTACATGGAAAGCTAAGTTTTTAAAAGAGAAGCAATTATTAACTGCAAGAAAAATCAAAAGTGCTATACATTTTTTTCGCCTGTAAACAATAATTATACTATCATAATAAAGCAAGTGCTGAAATTAAATTTTTCGAGGGCTTTGAAACAGGTATAATGAAAGGATGGGAAAGTGGAAGAGGTGTCATAGGAAACCCGAGTCCTCATCTTCCAAGGCAGGAAGTCAATAAATAATGTTTACAACTGAAAATTCAAGATACTGAAATGCAAACTTTGCATTTGAAAATATGAAGGTAAATAACAAAAGAAACACTGAAAATAGCTGAAGTGGTTATCTCTGGGGAGGGGGACTTCAAAATAGGAGCGGTTAGAGCAGGAAAATAGTATGTTCCATTATGAATTTTGTACGATTTGATTTTTTCTCTTCTTTTTCCCCTTCTTTCAGTTTGTTATACTATACACAAGCATCGTTTTGATAGTAAAAAATAAACATAAATGCCTTGAACAGGATTTGGTACATAGTATGTGCTCAATGAATATTTGATGCTGATGTTTTTGCTACTGTGATCTTTATTAAAGCTGCAACACTAAAGTGAGAATCAATTCATATTCTGCATGACAACCCTAAGATAAGTTCTTTTATACCTCTCTGTTTCTCCATTCAAAGAAAAAAAATACTTAATGAATCAAACTCTCGATAAGGTATGTGTAAATCTTAAAATACGCTAAAAATATTGAAATTCAATTCTCTAAAAACATATTGAATGTTTTCATTAGATGTGCTATGGTCTGAATGTTTGTGTTTCCCCACCACCCACCAAAAGAATTCATACATTGAAACCTAATCTCTCATGTGATAGTATCAGAAGGTGGCAGCCTTTGGAAGGTGATTAGGTTATGAGGGATCTGCCCTCATGAATGTGATTAGTGCCATTATAAAAGAGACATCAGAGAGTTAGCTAGCCCCTTCCACCATGTAAGGATGCAGCAAGATGATACCACCTATGAACCACAAAGTGGCCCTCACCGGACACCAAATCTGCCAGCATCTTGATCTTGGATTTCCCAGCCTCCAGAACTGTGAACAACAAACTTCTGTTGCTTATAAGCCACCCAATTGATGGTACAATATCGAGCATAATAAGACTGAGTGAGGTCACCCAGGAAATAGATAGAGGAGAACCAAAGATTGAGCTATGGATCATTCCAGCATTAAGGGGACGAGGAGGTAGAAGAAAACTGACAAATGGTCTATGAGGTAGTGGATTACCAGAATAGCATCTTATCCTGGAAACCAAATGAATGATGAGCAACCCAGTATCTTCAGATGCTATGCATGTTCAATTTTTTGTAAAAAAAAAAAAAAATGTATTATCATTGTTAAGAAAGAAGATATAAAGAGTAAATATCCTTGAAATTCTATTTAGGTAGAAGTAATCACAAAACATCTGAAAAACTACTCCCTATTATGTGTAAGTATTTATATAATAACAGTTCTGTATACTCACATATTTGCTATTATCTATTTTGTTATAGCAGCCCAAATAGACTAAGACAAGCACAAAAAAAGTTTAGCTAGCGGTGTCTCCTATTAAGTTGTCCCTAGAAAGCTTCAGATCTTATCTCTTCGTTTATTATTCATCACTCCATTTAGTTAAAATACAGAACACCGACTATGTGCCAGACACTATTCTGGCAAAGGATCAAATAAGACAACATTTTCTACCTTTAAGGAACTTAAATTCTATTTGGAGAGACAGAAAGAGATTTTGAAAACAGGGACAACAGAATTTGTTGACCAATTTTATGTGTGGGAGAAAAACAGGAATTAAAAGTGATTTCGAAATTATTGACCTAAGCAACTGGAAGTATGAGTTGTCATCAATTGATAGAGGGAAAGCTGGGAAGGAGCAGGCTTTGGTAGGAAGATCAGAGTTAAGTTTTGGATTTAAGATTGAGACGCCTATTGCAAATTCAAATTCAGATGTCAAGTAGGCAGTTGGATATACGAGTCCAAAGTTAAAAAAAAAAAAAGTCTTCTCTGGAGATAAGATGTTTTAATCATTGACATATAAGTCAGGGTTCAGTGCAGAACAGAAAAACCACTCAAAGTATTTGAGGCAAAGCTAACAAATTTGTTGGAAGTGCTGAAAGAACAAAATTCAGGGAACACCACTGGATTTTCTATTCTGAAGTCCCTCCATTATATCTGTAATCCAGAAGGCAAGAAACTGCTAACCCTTACATGCCTCACATCCATGAATTGGCAAAGAGACATGAAATGTGCAGCCAGCTGCTGGAAATGCTCATGTCTGTTGGAACTTGTATGTCAGGTAGAGCTGCCATAGAAAAATGGCTTCAATGTCTTTTCTGTCTTTCACTTCTCATATGAGTACTTCTTGTTAGCAGAACCTAAATTGTATTCATAGTTCAAGCCACAAAAGAGTCTTGGAAGTATAGTTTTTAGCCTTCCACCTAAAATATAGAGGGAGAATATAAAGGCAGACATTTGGGTGCCAAAGGACAACAGACAATATCGAGCATAATAAGACTGAGTGAGGTCACCCAGGAAATAGATAGAGGAGAACCAAAGATTGAGCCATGGATCATTCCAGAATTAAGGGGATGGGGAGGTAGAAGAAAACTGACAAATTGTCTATGAGGTAGTGGAGTACCAGAATAGCATCTTATCCTAGAAACCAAATGGGTGATGAGCAACCCAATATCTTCAGATGCTATGCATGTTCAATTTTTTGTTAAAAAAAAATGTATTATTGTTGTTAAGAAAAAAGATATAAAGAGTAAATATCCTTGAAATTCTATTTAGGTAGAAGTAATCACAAAACATCTGAAAAACTACTCCCTATTATGTATAAGTATTTATATAATAATAGTTCTGTATACTCACATATTTGCTATTATCTACTTACAATTGTATAGAAATGAATTATATGATTTTATATGATTTTATAATCTGCTTTTATCAGCCAATGTAACATGGCCATGTTTTCACAGTCAATAGATGTATATTTACATCATTGTTTATTCCAGGATGCATTGTATAAATATACTATATTTATATTAATATAACCATTCCCCTATTGATGGACATTCAAGTTGTTCCAGTATTTCAATATTATATGCAATATTGCAATGAGCATCCTTGTTAATATGATATAAAATTTTCGATATCTAAAGCTTCTTTCCATCAAATTAAATATTTGAGGGTAGAATGAATCCATTATATTCAGAAATGGTCACACAGCTGCAAAGCCTAAGAAAAGAAAATAATTTGGAATGAGATGATGTTATTATAAAATCTAGCTCCTGGTCTTGGTGTCATGAAGTTGAATAAATAAAATATATTCTTATACAGTTCATATCAAGTCACATGGGTCTAAAATTTGGTAACTATACCAGCACAGATGCCCTTTTGAAACTTATTATGCTATATCAACCTACAGTACTATATTTTTAGAACACTTAGAAAATCATTTTCAATAAGTTTCTTTAGCATTATAATTTGATAGTTAAATCAGTCATCAATGCTCTGTAGATATAAAATTAAAATATTTAAATAGAGTACAATTCCTACTGCTTGATTTTCAATGTCCACCAACTCTGGGTTGAGTATTGTAGGAAGCAAGAGGAAAATAAAAATTCATATTGTGCTTTACTTAACCATTTGGGCAGGCAGACTCGAAAAGCTTACAGACATTCTTGCACTGTGTTTATCATCCTCCAACAAACTATTTCACTAACAAAAAATTTATTGGGCATAGGGTGACTTGATATCTCTCCCTTTCTGTGTATAATATTAGCCACACTGTGTAGACAAACATGAGTATAAGTGTGAGTGTGAGTGTGAGCCTCTATAAATAGATACCCACACAGTCTCTGGATTAAGTGTACTATATACAGAAAGTGTGAGGTGTTATTGGTATGTAAAATAGATCTTAAAATTGTGAAGCAAATTATATCATAAGAACACTAGGCACCAAATGGTAAACAAACATAAACAAATAAGCTTTAAATCATTCATCTCTGTTTCCAAGAATATTAAATCTAAGTCTAAAGCCTTCCTATTTCCTTTCCCTTTTTGTAGGCTGTCCTTCCTTGTCTACATTTCTTGATATATGTTGGCTTCTTCAAACATTGTACAGCCATAAAAATCTCAAGGAAACATTTCACTACTTGACAGACCATTCTGAACTTGGCTGGCTCCAGGAGCCATGGGTGCCATCTGTTTACTACAACTCCTTAGGCATCCTGAGGGCTCTTTTTCCTCTACAGGAATGATATTAAGGGCTCTGGAAAAAAAGCCATTACTCTTGGGCCTCCCTAAACAGCCAAGACTCTCAAGGACCTTCAAGTTCCCAGGGCCATCAATGGGACTTTTTTAGAACCTGTCAGCTGTTAGTGGAGAAGGAGGATCAAACAAGAAGGCATAAATAGTTGCCCCTCGTTGAACCCTTAAGTCAGGTTCTTCAGAAAACTGATTCTGACACAAATTTTGGTGCAGGAGGCTTATTGGGTGTGTTTTAGAGATCAACACCTGTGGAGACATGAAAGAAGCAGAACATGGAAGTGGGAGAAGTTGGATTTTGATGCAGTTGCAGCAGAGGCCTCAGCCTATCCCACAGGGAGCTCTGGAGCAATAATGGCTCTTCAGAGTTGTCCCTCATGGAGGCAAGGGTATCTGGCCTTAGTGCCTTTACACTAAGGATGGATGTCAGTGGATGAAGGCTGCCCCCTAGGAAGGGGTGGAACCTGGAGTGGGGAGCTCTCTTCGGCTGAGGACAATTCCTGAGCAGAGCCTTAGCTGAAAGCCAGCAGCACCCATATTCCCTAGCAGTAGAGGGGTGAGTGCCCAAGTCCTTAAGGGAGTTGTGGGTAGTACACTAAGACATCCACTACACTATCCTACCCTCAGGAGTTTCCTGATGCCCCAGAAAGCCACCTCTAGAGCAGGACTTTAAACCTGAAGAAGTGACCACCATCTTTAGACATGGGAGAGTGGTAGAAAGGCAGTTATTGTAGAGCAGAGGTCCCTTTTGGCACCCAGGACAGGCTTCATGGAAGACAATTTTTCCACGAATGGGGTTCAGAGGAATAGTTTCAGGGTGACACTGTTCCACCTCAGATCATCAGGCCTTAGATTCTCATAAGGAGCACACAACCTACATCCCTCACATGCACAGGTCATAATAGGGTTCATGGTCCTATGAGAATCTAATGCCACTGCTGATCTGACAGGAGGTGAAGCTCAGGCAGTAAAGCTCACTCGCCCTGTGTTCACTTCCTGCTGTGTCTCTGGGTTCCTAACAGGCCACGGACTGGTACCATGGCCCAGGGGTTGGGGACCGCTGTTGTAGAGGAACCACCAAAGTTCAGAATTTCCCAAATGCAGAGCCTCAGCAACCACAGACACAGTTACCATGAAAACTGCTGCAGCAGGTTTTAAAAGGTTTTAAGGAGCATCATGAGATCTGTAGTGAGGTTGATCTAACTGAATAGATTTTCCTTGGAGACATGAAATTTTCCTTGGGTAGCTCATACCAGGATATAATCAGCACCATTTATACCTGAAGTTTCCTTAAATGTCTACACAGGTATTCTGTCCATATCCTTGAGCCCACACCTGATATCACAGGCAGTACCCACACATATCAACAGCTTCCTGCATCTTTCTACCTGAAAGTGCTCCCTGGCCCCTGGAATGCTGGGCAGATTGGAAGAGCTGGGGATTTAATACCCCAGAAGAGACCCTCAAATACTCAAGGATGGAAGTTGGTCTCCTCGCCTCTTGGTGACACAATTCCAAAACATGTCCTGCACAGAGGTCCTCTGTTGTCTACTCTTTCAGTCTTCTCATAATACACCATTTGCTGGCTCTCCTTTCTTCCCTGATTCTACCACTTTCTCCCTGGTTCCTAGGATTACCTCTTAATAAATGACCTGCAGCCAAATCTTTGTCTCTACATCTGCTTTGGAGGGAACCCAACTTAAGGGGATACGTGAAAGTTATTTTCTTCTTCAATGATCATCATCATTATGATGAAGTGTCTCGAAGTAGGGTGTAACTATATCCCTGCTGGGGAAAAGCTTTTGCCATTTCTTCACCTTCTTCTCCAAAAATTCTGGAGAGTAAATCCTCTCTGGGATCATTTTTTTCTGGCTCTTTACATGTAGAAAAGGATAGAGGGGTGAGTGGATACATAATAGATAAATAATGGATGGATGGAAAGATACACAGAAGATAGATAGATATAGATAGATAGATGATAGATAACATAGATGATAGATTAGATAGATGATAGATAGATAGATGTATTCTCATGTTTTTATAACTATTCTTGTCCATGTACCCAAGGTCTATAAAATTTCTCTTCAGAGAAAATTCTAGCAGTGTCACATCTTTTATTTTGGCTGGCTGCCATCCATCCCCCTCCTTCTGTGCACAGCATCTTGGATTCCATTTAAGGAAACGGCCCTACCCACACTCAGTCCCTGTAACCACACTGGAGCTGAGCTTCTTGAACCACAGCTCTACAGTTCATCCACAAACACAGGCTCTGCAACATCTCTCACCTTTTTGAGCCTCCTTCTCTGCCCCGTGGCTTCCTGTTGCACTTAAAATAAAACTCTGACTCTTTCCCTGATCTAAAAGTTTATGGGTGACCTGGATCTACCTACTTCTCTGACCTCATCACACACGCCTCTTCCCCCAGCTCACTCCAGCTCTCTCTTCTCACTCTTGCCAAGCTCATCTCTGCCTTAGGCCTTATCTGGAGAATTCCTTTCCCAAATTTTGTTTACCTTATGGCTGCTTCTTGTCATTCAGTTCTCAGACCAAATGTTACCTGGTCAGAGAGGGGCTCCCTGACCACATAATCTAAGGTAGCCAACCCCTTGTCACTACCATATAAGCCTGTCATATTTTAATCAGAGCCCATAACAATACAAAATTATCTTTTGGTTGATTTACTCATTTATGTCTGATGCCCCTATGAAAACATAAGCTCTATGAAGCATGGATTATATCATTCTTGTTCACTTTATTATCCTCAGCACTTAGAATAGTACCTAAAACATAATAGGTATTCAATAAAAATATTTAAAATAATAAATGAATGAATGGAGTATTTCCTGCTTATATATACATAGAAAACACAGGCTTTCAGAAACAATATAAAACCTCTACTCCAAAAAATATTGATCATTGTTTTTAAAGCACCCTAAAAATCTTAAAAATCTAAAAGCAAAAGGATTATATAAATACGGAATATAGCAATCATTAGTATGACTATTGGTTATCAGGTTTCAATTGTTATTCCAGATTGTCTAGGGCTGTAAGATCTAAAATTCCCTCCAATTCCAAACTTCCTTAATACCATGAATTTTGTTATCTCAGACTGAGTTACTTGTAGCTCCACAGTGTTAAAGTAATAACAGGCTAGTAATAAAATAATGTAATGACAACAAAAGCAAGAAGTTAATGTCGCTCTTTTCTTTGATTTGCAGAGGTCCTCTAGATGGGAGACTGAAAGGCAGCTGATTTCTGAGTCAGGCAAAGTCCATCATAGTTATGGATACTTCAAGTCAAATCAGAAAAATGTGCCATCCACGGTTACCCATGAAATATATATTGATAGATACTGCCAGGCAAGGAGGAGGGAGAAAAAGGTGTGCCAGCAAGGATATGTGACTGTGTTGTCTTAGCAGGACAAAAAGGAGCGAAGCCTGAAAGATTTAGCCCTTCAGAGTGACAACTTGGAGAGCTTGCTGTGATTTATTTGACAAGGAAGAGGAGGGTGACTCCCCTCCTCTACAGAATCAGCTCCTTGATTATAAACACTCAATAACTTTCCGGTTGAAAATGCATTTTCCCTCTTGCCTATACATTTCTGACGCCTGCTTTATTATTTCCTATTAGGAAATGCTATTTAATTCCATCCACAGCTTGGCGACCTTTGTGTGGCTTCCCCATTTAGGAAATTTACAAGTAAATCACCAAGAAGTATGTACACATACACTTATAAAATATACATGTGCTTGTAAATGAAAATGCACCAAAAGGAAAAAAAAAAGAAACAAAGCTACGTGCACTGCAAAAACCAGGCATATGTGCATAAGAGGTGGGAGGCAGGTGTTTGGGAAATCTTCACACCATCCCAATATTTTTCTAATGGTTTCCATTTTCAATGCAAGGGAGAATTTGGAAAATATTAGCCACTGTGGTGTGATCTGAGCGGTGACATGTAGCTGGCAACGTTGTGGGTGGTATCCCCCGCTTTTTTTCCTCTAACAAAGAAATAGGGTGAGTTTATTAAAGCATAAATGCCATTTTCATCCTGCAATGTTAACTGTGTGGCTGAGATCCCTGAGGTACAGAGGCAGTCAAAGCAAACAGCTGTGCCACCTACTTGCAACAGTTGTACGCCCACCACACGGCACTGAGGGGAGGAGCAGGTCAAAGAGAGCCATAAAGAGGATGGGGAACCTTGCTTAGCTCGCTCCACGTTAGCCCGAGGGAAAATCCTGCCCTTCGGAGGGTAGGTATTTTGTGTGTGGCTCAGAGCACAGAGCATTCTCTTGCAACTTGTCTCCTATAAACCACCTACTGCATTTTTATATTCTACAGTCACATAGACCAAAACAGTGTTTAGCAAATTAACAGAAAGCTAAATAAAAGACATATCACCCAACCTAGCAGGCAGCTTGTCGATGATCCTGAGTGGGGGGTGGCAGTAACTGTTTTGGTGGCAAGTGGTTGCTTCGCCATCCAAGTCTCTTTCTGGGGTTTAGGAAGAACAAGAGCTCTGGCCAAGCTGTTATTAGGTTATCTTTGCAGAGCCTAAGGGTGGCCCCATGCCTGCCTGTATCAACAAAGGGTGCAGTGGAAGAGCTCATGCAGAAGGAAACTGAGCACCGCTTTGCAAATGTTCCAGGGCAAAGAGATCTGCTCTCTCTCTCAGCTGCCTCCTCAGCCCGTGAGAGGTGGTGGAGAGAATACTATCACACACCCTCAACACCCCAGGACAACATTCCTCTCAACCTTTTCTGTGCTTAAGAGAAATTTGATCTTTCTCCCTTCCATGAAACTCTCTCCTACCTTGATTTCCTGGACACCATTCTCTCCTCCTTTCCCTTAATCACCTTCACAACTCTTCTTTCTCAGCAGGGCTGCTCTCAGACATTGGTGCTCTTCCAGTTTCTTTATTATGTCCTCTTCCCACTTGATAACACTTTTATTGGGCAATTCCCTTCTCACCCATGAATTACACTTCCATCTTTACGCTAACGACACCAAATCTTTTATTTATTTGCCCAACGTTGCTCTGACCCATATATATACAACTGCTTAGTAAATATCGTTACTGGACAGTAGAGGTCACAGAATTTCTATATCAGAGAGGTTTAGAAACAGTACTCTAAAGGGAAGGGGAGGGCTGGGCTTATCTTGAAACTACCTTTGCATAGCATAAACTGATTTTACTACAACTGTGTACATCATTAGAGAAGCCAACTAGAAGGTTAATTGAAACTATGAGGAGGCTATGACCCACAAGCCACCCTTTGGCACCACCACTGACATTTGGATGTCCCATATATAGGCTGAGTATTCTTTATCTGATACGCTTGGGACCAGAAGTATTTTGGATTTCGAATATTTTCAGATTTTGTAATATCTGCATTATACTTACTAGTTCAGTCTCCCTAATCTGAAAACCTGAAATCCATGAGCATTTTCTTTGAGCATCATGTTGGTGCTCAAAAGTTTCAGATTTTGGTGCATCTTTCACATTTTGGATTTTCAGGTTAGGGATACTCAACCTGTATATCCAAAACTCAATACAAACACATCCAAATCCCTCATTCCATTTCCCCTGTCCTAGGAAATGGTACCCTCATCTACCCAGTCATCCAAACTCCAAAATGGGCATGTCTTTACGTTTCTGAGTATCTCCTCAACATCCTCCCTCCAACATTTTACCCTGGGTCATGAAATCTGGGGTCAAACTCAGTCCTTTTTTCAGGGCCCTGCCCATCTAACCCAGCCTTCAACCTCCAGGGGCTTGGCCCTGGGTCTACCCTTGGCTGTCAACTAGCTGGGCTCTTGCTCCAAATCAGAAAATTATCCTGAACCACAATGATTCCTTTCACACACACACACACACACACACACACACACACACACATATATATATATATATATATATATATTTTTTTTTTTTTTTGAGACAGAGTCTCACTGTGTTTCCCAGGCTGGAGTGCAGAGTGCAATGGCACGATCTCGACTCACTGCAACCCCCGCCTTCCAGATTCAAGTGATTCTCCTGCCTCAGCCTCCCAAGTAGCTGGGATTACAGGAGTGCACCACCATGCCAGGCTAATTTTTGTATTTTTAGCGGAGACAGGGGTTCACCATGTTGGCCAGGCTGGTCTCGAACTCCTGATGTCAAGTGTTCTACCTGCTTCGGCCTCCCAAAGTGCTGGGATTACAGGCGTGAGCCACTGCACCCAACCTGATTCTTTTCCTTTCATATGATTGTAAGTATCATCACTGCCCAGAGAATTTTGCTACTGTGTCCTGCTCATTAGATCAAATGTTCTTTGGTACTGACCTTAGTCTAGAAGAAGCATCATTCTAGACACTGTCAAATGAACTCCCTTCAAGGGCTAGCTCTACAGATATGTCCGTCCAAGCTTTTTTTCCTTTCATATTGGCTCCCACTGAAGCCCCAGTATGTTCCTCAGCCAAGCTAGCTTCTCAGAGTTTTAAACAGGCTATATTAGTCAGGATAGGACAGGCAGTCCTGCTGTAACAAAGTTTAACACAACAAAGGCTTAATTCTTGCTCATGTCAGAACCTGAAGTGGATCAGATAGTAGTTGTCCTACATAACATCTTTTCAGATGGCAAATTGAGGATCCAAGATGCCTTCACTTTGCAATTCTATTGTCTGGAATACTTGTTCCCAAAATTGCCAAAGCAGGAAAAGTGAAAGCATGGAGAAGGTTTATCCCCTCTTAACTGCCTCAGACCAGAATTGACATGGCACTTCTATATGCATTCCATTGTTAAGAATTAGCCACATGACCCAACTACCTGCCTTGGGGCTGGGAAGTATAGAAGACTTGGATGTTTGATGAGCTCTAATAAATATTATTTCTGATATGGTTTGGCTGTGTCTCCACCCAAATCTCATCTTGAATTGTAGCTCTCATAATTCTCATGTGTTGTGGGAGGGATCTGGTGGGAGATAATTGAATCATGGGGGCAGTTTCTCCCATCCTGTTCTTTTGGTAGTAAATAAGCCTCACAAGATCTGACGGTTTTATAAGAGGAAACCCCTTTTGCTTGGTTCTCTCATTTCTCTCTTGCCTGTCACCAAGTAAGACATGCCTTTCACCTTCTGCCATGATTGTGAGGCCTCCCCAGCCACATGGCACTGTGAGTCCATTAAACCTCTTTTTCTTTATAAATTACCCAGTCTCGGGTATGTCTTTATCAGCAGCATGAAAACAGACTAATACAATTTCATAATTACTTCAAGAAGCTAAATATTATCTCCAGGGCCTGAAAGAGATAAAAACAACTTAGGTTGATCTAAGAATCATAGTTATCTACATCATAACAGTTGGCCAAGTAAAACAGAAGGCTGATTTGAGGATACCTCCATATGCAACTCATGCTTGGAAACTATTTAGAAGGCTAACTGACATATAGAGAGTCTGCTTCAGTAGATGTTCCTGATAATGAAATAATGCCTTGTTTATATTTAGGGTGAGACTGAGTAATTGGTGGCTGTCTGACAAACCAGCAGAAACCATACAGACATTCTGAAAAGTTCATTAAAAATACACATTTAAATATACGAAAATTACTTGTGACTCTTTTCCCGCCTGCAACATAATTAAATAAAACTTTATCTGACCATTTTACTTGTATGCATTATGAACTCCAACCAGTGCTCTCTTCTTCCCAAGACTTTAATAGGCCCTTATCTGTTTGTACTAATTGAGTTTTCTCATACTGCCACATGGGCAGTAGCTAAAAGAAGATGAAAAGTCAGATCTGATATGCCTATGGGATGGTGCTAGGGTTCCTAAAGATCTCTGAATGACCTCAGATCTTTGGGGCCTCAGATTCAAAATCAGAGGTTTGAAAATCTCATGCCTTCATACTAGATGATCACATCCATACACACACACACATTTTAAAAAAAAACCTGAAATATTCATAAGGGCCAGATGACTGCATGAATGAGTGGAACAGCCTAGGTGGAAAGCACATACACCATCAAGCTCTGCTTAATTCTAGTGAACAGCAGTGGTTCTCAAATGTAAGCATGCATCAGAATCACCTGGGTGGCTTATTAAACAGAGACTGCTGGGCCCCACCCCCAGAGTTTCTAACAAGTTCCTAGTTGATGCTGATGCTGCTGGTCTAGGAACTATGCTTTGGGAACAACTGGTTAAGAAGAAGGTGGGCTCACAGTATTGTCAAATCTTTTACTTTTTCAAGAGAAACTGGAAATCTGGATTGATATGTGAAATCTCCCCATTTTAAAAATCTTGGCAATGAGTTCAAAATTATTTTTAAAACACTGTGAGGCAGAGTGTCTAGGCTAGATTTTGCCCTTCATCTGCCTGTTCACAACTCTACCATAAGCCTTTGATCAAGAAATGACAAACACACACACACTCACACACACACACGTCTTTGTATGGGAAGGTGACATCTTTAATTTAGCACCCAGCTTTTGAGGACATATCAGCCAGGCAGAGGAGCCAAATAACTTTAGTAGTACATGAATGAGCAAGTATTAATGTCCTCTCATTCTTCCTTCCTATCCAACAGGTGACTTTGTCCCCTGTCACCCTAAAAGCTGCATTTGCCTTAAAGTGGATTACGACCCTTATAATTATATTAGCCTGACATTCCCAAAGTAAGCCTCATAAACCCTTTTAAATGTTGCCAAAAAACATATACTTGAAAGACATGGATCTCATTTGGATCAATTTTTTTAAATAGGAACTCCAGGAATTTCCACCTAGCACATCTTATGCACAGGTTTCTATAATGCTAAGTTCTGTGTAATTTCACAGGCAACAACTGGGCACTCTTGATGTGCCAGATGCTGTATGGGTATTGATGGTGCAGTGACGTACAGCCCCTGACAGCTCTGTCCAGCTCTGGGTTCCGTGACATCTAGACTTGGAAAGTTGGGAGGGCAAGGAGCAGAGAAGAGGGATGCATGCAGACATAACTCCAGGCTTCATCTGTTTTATATGCATTTGGGTTCCACTAAAGAATTTATTGGGAAAAAAGGTCTCTCTGGGTAAAAATTTGACCACTTATTTAAACAATGATTAAACACATCAAATATTATTTTTGTTCCTTCACTTAGATGGATCCAAACTCTCTGGACCATTCAGTTTCTTTCAAGATGGTTTAAACTTTGAAGGCCAAACCACGCAAAGTAATTGTTTCTAGTGTGGAAAACGCTGGGCTATTATTCTAACTATTCTTACCAGGCTATATAAAAATAGAACAGAATTATTTTTATTCCATTTGGGAGATGGAGAATGCAAAATTGTGATAGGCACATCTAGCCTGATGCTATCAGGATATATATTAATACACTTGCTCCAGGCAGAAAGTTCAAATAGGTAATGATTGTAATATGCATTTGGAGTGTTTGATTCAAGTAGTCCCAGGATTACCCTAGCATAGGATTCCTAACTCATAGACCTATTCTTGTGCCTAACTTAGGGGGGAAAATTGCCACGATATATATCTAAGAACATGTTGTGGCAAAATGTTTAATGAGTGAAAATACTGTCTTGTCTTTTAAAAAGGGGGTTTGATTAGTTCAATCTGAATTATAGAGTTCTAAATTACGTTGCTCTTTTTCATCTATTAAAATACATAATTTCTGTATAATGTTAGTTTTTATCTATTCTTTCCTCTAGATAAAACAACAGAGACTGAAGAAAAGGCAACTCTGGTAAGATTATGGAGTTTACATTCACAACTAGGTATTCTTATTACCTCTGCCTCAACATGTCTACACTCTTGTTTTAAGCAGAGAAATCTGCCCTTCATTGAAGTAACTCTGCTGAGGTGATAAGAGCACTGCAAGCAATATCTTTAAAACCAAGAGTCAAGTGAGTGAGTGGAGGGGAAACAGAATTGCATCAGCAAGTGTACAGTTCAGGGAATGTCTGAGAATAAATGAGCTGTCAGCCCTTTATACTTTTCAATATCAGAGACCAGTTGCTTTGTGCAGATGGAACTGTCTCTCACTGCAGCCCTCCCTCTTGGGCATGGGACAGAGAACACCTCCCAATTCCCTGGAGATATGCATTAGGAGGTGTGCTCCTAACTGAAGGAAGAACCAAAAGAATGGAAAAGGGCTGACTTTGGAAAGCTACAGTCAGAGGAATAAAGTTCCCTGAGGTTTGGAAGAGACACTGTATGAGTCACTGAGGCTGTTCTGATTGTATACAAGTTGGAGGAGAAGAAAACAGTGTCTATTGTCATCAGAAGATGTCCAGGGAGAAAAATCATAATTTGTAATGAATCTTTAACCTATTTAAAGTAATTAAAGATCTACTCCATATATGAGAGCCGGGCCTTTGTCTCTTTACTCTCCTAATTAGTCCCTTCACTGCCTGGTACTGGCTTTACCTACAGCAGATTTTGTTCTTCTCCTCTGCCTTTTTGATCACTGCAATGCTCATGATACCTCCTAGAATTTGCTTCCCGAAATGATGAAAGGGTGTTGCTTTTGGCACACCTCCAATTGTCTCCTTGCTTCAAATCAGTTCCTTTTTTCTTCCCTTCAAACTCCTACCCCCAATTCTTCTGTTTGATGAGTCAGCTAACATCTCCCCCCACATGGCTGTTAAACCTCCATCTTCTTAGATGTAGGAGAATACACTTAGACAGATTAGATATTGACGGCATTTTAAGGCAAAGAACTGAAACAGATCAAGAAAATACATGTCAATTTGGCAATTTCAAAATATAAAAGGCACACACCCCCGTTTGATTCAGCAATCCCACTTCTAAGAATTTATCCTACAGATAGAATCACAATGTGCTCAGAGACGTATGTATAATATATTGCAGTGTCTTGGCAATCTCAAAATTGGAAACAAGTAAAATGTCTATTACTAGGGGACTCTTTAGATAAACTCTGCTACCTAATGCTAAATGACGAGTTAATGGGTGCAGCACACCAACATGGCACATGTATACATATGTAACAAACCTGCATGTTGTGCACATGTATCCTAAAACTTAAAGAATAATAATAAGAAGAAGAAAATTGTGCAACCATTAAAAAGACTGGGGTCGCTCTCTCTGAAATAATTTGGGATGATCTTCAGGACACATGGTCAAATGAGAAAAGCAAGGAGTGGAACAGTATGTAAATAATAATAATGATAATTGTTTTAAAATAATTTATTTTTTAATAATTTATTATTTAAAAATAATGTCTTTAAAAATAAAAGTTTCCACAAAGTATGTTGCCTAAATGGCCTGCATTCGAATCAGTAAGAGGTACGGGGAATGCAGATTCCCAGGCCCTTGCTCCAGACATCCTGATTCAGAAGAGGTGGAATGAGGGCAGAATATGCAGTTTTAAGAAGTTTCTCTGGTGATTCTAATGTACACAAAAAATTTGAAAAATTCTGCCTAGGCTTTGCTGATGGCTCTAGTAAGTGCCAAGTGTTTAGGGAAGGTTTACGTCAAAAGTCCTTGTGATTGTCTTCCACATAGACTTTGGTTTCTTTTGCAAGATAAACCTTTAACTGACTGCTAAAAAGTTATCAAGTTATTGATGAAAGAAGCCTGTATGTATTGCCATGTCTCTTTGTTTCTCTTTTTTTCCCCTAATCTTAGTGGGGGAGTAAAGGAAAAAAAAAATTACTGTGTTCTAAGGGGCTACAAAGACATTTGAAATAGCCTTCTTTCCAGTGGGCATGCTGTTTTTAAGTCTTCATATTTCGTATCCAGTAGAAATTATCTGCCTTCCTCTGGACCTTGTTTCTGTTTTTGTTTGTTCATTTGTTTGCTTGTTTTTTGTTTCTTTGTTTGTTTCTTGAGACGGAGTCTCGCACTGTCACCCAGGCTGGAGTGCAATGGTGCGATCTCGGCTCACTGCAGCCTCCTTCTCCCGGGTTCAAGCGATTCTCCTGCCTCAGCCTCCCAAGTAGCTCGGATTACAGGCGCCCACCACCATGCCTGGCTAATTTTTGTATTTTTAGTAGAGACGGGGTTTCACTATGTTGGCCTGGCTGTTCTCAAACTCCTGACCTCGTGATCCGCCCACCTCGGCCTCCCAAAGTGCTGGGATTACAGGCGTGAGCCACCACACCCGGCCTGGACCTTGTTTTTGATCCATCACTTGATCTTTGTTTGGTAGGTCTCTAAATAACTACAGTTTTCCTTTATATATATAGTCACAAACTTAGATTAGAGGCTGTCAAATCCAGTTGTACATTGTAACTGCCCAGGGATCTCACCTCAAACAGACTGTCCTGGAGCTTAGGAATATACATATATATTATAAGCCTCCCAGGTGATTCAAAAATATAATGTATGTTCAAAGAATATCTCAGTAAGAATAGAAAAGAAAATTTTGTATTTCCCGGGGTTGTCCTCTGGGAAATAGAAGCAGAAGGCTAGGGTAGAAAGTGGGAAAGAGACTTCCATTTCACTTTTTGAAGTATTTGAACTTTTGAAACGTGAGTGAATCACTTCCACAAAAGCAAATACATTAATTGACAATAAATTAATGAATTAATATGACCCACAGAAAGCAGCATCATAAATAAGGCTTTTCTCACCATGATGGAGCCAAGATTTGATTGACCTCTGTCAGTCTAATGCTCCACGTAACACTTTCAGTGTTTCTGATTAAACCCTTCAACTGACTGCAACAAGTGTATACTGAGCTAGGAGTATCCTTAACACCAGTAAATGTCTGACATGCTAAGAATAGAGAATCTCAATCTGTGCTCCCTAAAAATCACAGCCTGAGATTGGGTGCTTTATTTGGAAGGCATAGTCCCAGGATAGGGAGAGTGAGGGAAAAGGGAAGTGAGACAGAGGAAGTTGGAAGAAATCCCAGGTAATATATCACTGTGTGGGCCACAGCTTCAAGAGAAGCCTTGAAAAGGACACTGCCGGTTGCTTGGTAGATAAAGGACATATCCAGACAGGCTTTGCAGAGAAACCACTCTCAGAAAGCCCGTCAGGGAGAGGAAAGAGAGAGAATTTATCTGCTCACCTCCCTCCTGTCTCCATCTCCGATCTTCAAAGTTTGAGCCATAGGGAGTTAACGCCCCTGCACTCTGGGCCAAATCACCTGCCCCCTTCAGCAGCCACTCAGGAAGCCAGATCTGACATGGTGTTTCCTCCACATTCAGAAGTGGTGGGAAGAGTCAGAGAGACTGGGCCAACAGCCTTCAGCCTCAGGCAACAGGACCCTATAGGCCCACGGGGAGTCGGGTAGCTATGGCAGCAGCTGAGACAGAGCAAGTGAGTTGAGGTACAGCAGGCTGATTAAGCCAAATGAATCTGATGAGACCAGAGAGATGTGTCTGCTACAAGGAGCAAGAAACGTTTTTGCTGCCAGGCGTGGTGGCTCACACCTGTAATCCCAGCACTTTGGGAGGCCGAGGCGGGTGGATCACGAGGTCAGGAGATCGAGACCATCCTGGTTAATATGGTGAAACCCTGTCTTTACTAAAAATACAAAAAATTAGCCGGTCATGTTGGTGGGCACCTATAGTCCCAACTACTCGGGAGGCTGAGGCAGGAGAACGGCTTGAACCCGGGAGGCGGAGCTTGCAGTGAGCCGAGATGGCGCCACTGCACTCCAGCGTGGGCAACAGAGCAAGACTTCGTCTGAAAAAAAAAAAAAGAAAAAGAAACTTTTTTGCCCCCAAGGAGTGTTGCCTAAAGAAAGAAACTGACACACCTCATAAAAATGAAAGTATCAAAAACTTTTAAAGAGATTTGCTCTCTATCAGTTAGCTTTCAGTGAATCATAAACCACTCTGAAATTTAGGAGCTTAAAACAAGAACCATTTTATTATTGGTCACAAGTCTGTGTGTTGATTGGGGTCTGAAAGAACTAGAATAGCCTATCTCTAATGTTTGGAGGTAGGGATGGCTGTCAACCACTGTTGGCTGTCAGCTGAGGAATTTCTCACCCTCCAGTAGGCAGGTGAGCCAGGCTTTTTCACATGAAGGTGATTACAGAGGAAAGTTCCCAAGGGTAGCAAGAAGGGGCAAAACACACTGCACTGGTTCTTTACATGTCTCCCCTTGCTGATGTCCCACTGGGGAAAGCAAGTTACGTGGCCAAGATGAAATTTGAGGGATGAGAAAACAGAATTCTCTTGGATAGAAGTGGCAAAGTTATTTTGCAAAAGGGTATGCATAGAGGGGTGGGAGGAATTTGTGGCCATTTTGCAATCTACCACAATCTATCAAGTACCCTGATAACTAGAAGTGCTCTCTTCATCAATACCTTTCCTAAGCAGGAATGAAGAAGACAGTTTTCTGATCACCTTTAGCACTGCCAGGTTAATTTCCTTATTTATCTACACTGACTATCTGGGGTGTTTTCAAAAAGAGACAGAAATCCTAAAGATAGCAGGCAGCTCTCACCCTTCTTCACAAGACCTTGAAAATTCACAGTTCAGTCATTCAACCAGATGTTCACAACACATGACCTCATGTTGAACTCCTTAGCAATAAAGAGTTTACAGGATGATTATTTACATCAGTATTATTACTTATGCTCATTCTTACTGATGGAATAACTAACATTCTGGCACTTTGCACAGAATTTTATGAGAAATCTATTGCAGTCAACCTAAAATGACTAAAATGCCATAGCTACTAAGAGCGCTGCTCCTTTTCATTCTGTTAAGAGAAAATAAGAATTGTTTTGATGCTCAATAGCTAGGCAAATACCTCAAGGTTTACCATCACCTTGAGAAGATATAGTAAGGTTAACACACTAAACAAAATCCTTCCTTCTAGGCACTAATTTCTTTTTCAATCCAGGTAAACTGCTCCCAACTGCTCAAGCCACAGCTTCATGGTTTCAGGAGTCATGCATCCTATAATGTGGTTCACTAAATCACAGAAGATGTATCTCACTCTTAAGCACCTTATTACTCTTAACCTTAAAACCAACTATTTATTAAATAATTATTTAAGATAATCATTTATCCTTAATTGCTACAACTGAAGTGATAGAAAATTTAAAACACAATTTAAGATCACTCCTAGGAATAATTAGTTACCTAAATAATGATTACTAACTGATGTGGTTTCTCACATCTTTAGAACCTTGGCCTTAAGCAGAATAATTTCACCCAAGTCTCCAATTTTGAGAAAACTTCTAGGGCAGTTTTCACAAAGTATGTTGCCTAAATGGCCTGCATTCGAATCATTAAGAGGGATGGGGAATGCAGATTCCCAGGCCCTTGCTCCAGACATCCTGATTCAGAAGAGGTGGAATGAGGGCAGAATATGCAGTTTTAAGAAGTTTCTCTGGTGATTCTAATGTACACAAAAAATTTGAAAAATTCTGCCTAGGGTTTGCTGATGGCTCTAGTAAGTGCCAAGTGTTTAGGGAAGGTTTATGTCAAAAGTCCTTGCTATTGTCTTCCACCTAGACTTTGGTTTCTTTTGCAAGATAAACCTCTAATTGACTGCTAAAAAGTTATCAAGTTATTGATGAAAGGAGCCTGTATGTATTGCCATGTCTCTTTGTTTCTCTTTTTTTCCCCTAATCTTAGTGGGGGAGAAAAGGAAAAAAAAAATTACTGTGTTCTAAGGGGCTACAAAGACATTTGAAATAGTCTTGTTTCCAGTGGGCACGCTGTTTATAAGTCTTCATATTTCGTATCCAGTAGAAATTGTCTGCCTTCCTTTGGACCTTGTTTTTTTGTTTCTTTGTTTGTTTTTGTTTTGAGACGGAGTCTCGCACTGTCACCCAGGCTGGAGTGCAATGGCGCAATCTCAGCTCACTGCAACCTCCTTCTCCCGGGTTCAAGCGATTCTCCTGCCTCAGCCTCCCGAGCAGCTGGGATTATAGGCGCCTGCCACCATGCCTGGCTAATTTTTTGTATTTTTAGTAGAGACAGGGTTTCACTATGTTGGCCAGGCTGGTCTCAAACTCCTGACCTCGTGATCCACCCGACTTGGCCTCCCAAAGTGCTGGGATTACAGGCATGAGCCACCACACCCAGCCTAGATCTTGTTTTTGATCCATCACTTGATCTTTGTCTGGTAGGTCTCTGAATAACTACAGTTTTCCTTTATATATATAGTCACAAACTTAGATTAGAGGCTGTCAAATCCAGTTGTACATTGTAACTGCCCAGGGATCTCACCTCAAACAGACTGTCCTGGAGCTTAGGAATGTATATTTTATAAGCCTCCTAGCTGATTCAAAAATATAATCAGATTTGATAATATACTTAAATCCAATCCTGTTCTAAAAACTAATACTAAAAATTACATATGATGAGCTCATAACAAAATGATTTATAATGATTTCTCCAGTAAGATATTTTGGCTCATATAGCCACTCCAAAATCCATACATAGAAAATTATATCAAACAAAGGATATACAGCTCAAGATTTCAAATGAATTTCTTACACATTCTTCACAAGTTAAATTCACATTCCATCAGGAGTAAGAAAAAGAAGGAAAACATTATTTTCTAGGACTCTACCCTTAGCAATAACATTATCTTCTACCTTCTCAAGATATCAGGTATGTTCATAGATTTTGTAATCAAACCACCCTAATCTCTCATTTACTTTTTCTATTGAATTGTGGAAAGTATTCAAATTCTCTCAGCCAATTTCCTTATCAGTAAAATAAAGATTTTACTCTCAAAACCTGTTAGGAATCTTTTGGTTGCCAGAAGCAGAAAATCCAATTCAACTTAAATGTGAAAGGAAGTTACTGGCTAAAAAACCTAAAAGTCATATAGGCTTTAATTGAGGCTTAATCTAGCTGATCAGTGAAATCAACAATGTTCCAGTTTCTTTCTCTTTTTCTTTATTAACTTCTTTGGTGTTACTTTTACCCAAGGCTGCCCCCACTAAGCAGATTCCATGCTTCCGCATTAATATTTCACATGATGGGTATGTCTCTCCAGATATTTCTACAGAAGACCCAGGATCCCCCAGAAAATTTCTCCAAGATCTAACTAGTTCAAATTGGGTCACATGATCATACCTGAACTAGTCACTGTTGCCTGGAGAATGGGATTTGCCACTTGACTTAAGTCAATCAGGGAACAACCTGGAGATGAGGATGAGATCTATTTCCCTCAAAGCACAGCGAATATCCAGGGGGTAGAAATGAAAATCTGGGTGCACTTATTAACAGAAAGGGAGAGAGAATCTGGGTGGCCTAAAACAGTGAATACACACTACCCTTCTACATAAGGATTTGTAAAGATTACATAAAGTAATCTGTATAAAACATTAATGGCTGGCACACACTCAATAAAAGTTTACTATTGTTATTACTACCCTACCCTCAGCATCCATTAATGGACTCAATGTCTGGTAATGTTATTAAGGCCTGAATATTACCCAGAATCTATGGGCATCTACTTCTTATCTGTGGAAATGAAGGAAGGGATGTCATGCTTAAATTCCATTGAAGCATGCTTTTCTTAAACACATACGGTTAACAGTAAATTGTTCAGAATGACAAGGTATGAAAATTCCAGGAAAAACCTATTGCTTGGCCTTACCTTCTCATAAAGCCACCTCTCACCACCAGAAAGGACGCTTTTATACTACCTCTAGACATACAATTATAGAGTTCCATCTGTCAAGATTGCATTCTGCAGCTACCATGAAAATGAGACCTGCATAATACTTATGTTGACTTTAACATCCTGTTCTTATAGACAAAGAAGGTGAAGAACTGATCCAATGTAGTCAAAATCCTAACTTCTGAAGTGCACTGTCGGCTGGTTGTGGTGGCTTATGCCTGTAATCCCAGCACTTTGGGAGGCCAAGGCAGGTGAGGCAGATTGCTTGAGCTCAGGAATTCAAGACCAGCCTGGGCAACAGGACAAAACCCTGTCTCTACAAAAAATACAAAAATTAGCCAAGTGTGGTGTTGTGCACCTATAGTCCCCACTACTTGGGTGGCTGAGGTGGGAGGATGGCTTGAGCCTAGGAGGCAGAGGTTGCAGTGAATGCAGTGAGCTGAGACTGTGGCACTGCACTCCAGCCTGACCCTGTCGAGAAAAAAAGAGAATGTCTTTGTTATCCATTCCTTTTCATTGTGTTTTTACACCATAATGAAGAGGATGGAGTATGAGTTGATGAAGGCAGGAAATGAGGGGGAAATTTAGACAAGTCATGACTACTGATGACCAAATATTCTGCTTAGCTGGCCCATTGAAACCCAAACAAATCTAAAACTACACTGAATTAGAAAAAAACAGAAATTCCTACCTGGATCCTCAGGGTATCTCTATGCACATTCTCTGCTCCAGCCAATTTGGACCTATTTTTTCTAGAAGAGAATTAAGTGGGTGGCAAGGTGTGAATTATATTCTTCTGCAATTAAGTTAACCACAACAAGGGCCCTAGCCTACATACACCTTGGTCATTTATTCTGGTTGAAAAGAGAGTGACTAAAAAGAAACAATTCTTGTGTCTGTTGCTGGCACCCCCAAGGGCTTGCTGTGTGGTTTTCACAAAAATTCTTTCATCTCTGTTTGCCTTTGTCCTGTCAGCCACAAAATGAGACAGCCTTCTCACACAAGAAATTATTTCCAAACAGAACATTCTAAATCAGTACTTCTCAACTGGTTGTACAATAGGAAAATCCAAGAGGGCTTTTAAAATTTTAGAGGCTGGGGCCTCATCCCAGAACTACTAAATCAACATATCTAAGGGAGAAACACACACACACATACATATAGAATATTTTCACCTCTAAGTCCATTTCAGATAAACATATTCATGGTTATAAATCACTATAAATATAATATAAAGGGCCCATGTGTTATAAAAATGTACATTCCATAAAAGAGAAATTCTATACATTTCTTATTTAACTCCTCTTAAAAATGAGCTAATCTGCTTTTAAATTCTTTTACTTTACTGCCTTCCTAAAATGGCTAAAAACACATTGAGAGCACAAATGGAGAATTCTAGAATTAAATTCATGTAAAAAGTTAAAAGCAATCACAGGAAGGATGTACCTTATTTACATGTTGCCAATAAGGTTATATACCTATCATAGAGGTGATATCACTTTACAAATGAAGACAAAGAAAACAGTAAGTAGGCTGTGTTTTCTCTTATTGGACTATATAAAATTCAGAAGAGCAGGCTTTTTTAGGAAAATCATATTCTTTTCATCAGAAAGAGAAAGCTGCTAAGACCAAAGAAAGAAAAAGAAAAGCAAGGGCATTAATTCTGACCTCCTAATTTAATCCAGATCTATAGTCATCTGGAGGGCAAAATATTTTTTAAATTAGTTACAAGGTGTGAAATGAGATAATTTCATTTCACAAAGCTTTACCTAGAACACAGTGAAAGGGGAACCCCAAAACGGGGGGAGGTGGAAATCTTTACCAACATTACTTAATGATGTGCTATACTTTAGAGACAGAAAAGGCATAAATAAGTAAATGATTGTTTCTTGAATCAATGTACTAGTTATTGTGTACATGAAAATTCTATCTTTTGGCCTGGTCTAAATTATCCACCCAGGTTTTTGCAAGCAAATTAGAAACAGATAAGCCATAAAAAATCAAATGACTATAGGCAAATATATTTTGATATGTACTCTTACAATGAAAAATTAGAACACTTTCCCAAAAGATTTCTTTATATTTAAGACCCCAGTTAGCCTCTCATATTCCAATCAGAAGAAAAGTCCTAGAGAAGAATAGTGACAACGTTATCTTCACCCGTTTACTTTATCAGTTTAAAGAAAAGCAGCAAAGGTGTATTCAACATATTGCAAATATTTATCACCATGCACTGGTGTGACTATTCATTCTTCTCCTTGGTCAACTAATCACTGTCTTTTATCATCCAGCCTGTGACTTAAATCTATCCAGCAGGAATTAAGCAAAGGTGGAGGAGCAGGCACAAAATAGAAAAGACAACTGAGGAAGAGTATATAAAATGTGACATTCCTGGAATAAAGAAGAGGATGGTCATAGAGCATCGTCTAGGTCATGTAAAACACTAGGTCAGCATTTCCCTAAATATGTTTCCTAGAATACTTGTCCCATGAGAGGTTCCACTAATAATAGGCTCTGTAGCCAAATGAGTTTGAGAAATATTGCATACTGTATCTCCCTGACCTCTCTTGCAGGTTTGCAATACACATTAGCACAAAAAGACTCGGGGAAGTCCTTCAGAAGACTGATTTACTTAGATTAAACCAAGTTACTCACAAATTTATTAAACTGTGGAACATTTTATGTGTATCCTGGCACCTATAAATAGTTCATGGAGTTGATATTCTGTAGAACACCTAGAAACTGCTTGAGGCAGCAACATAAGACTAGTGGTTGAAGGTAACCCAGAAAAAAATTAATGCTTCAGAGATTAGCCAAGAGGAGGGATTCTCATTGTTTTTCATTTCTGTGACAGACTAGGACATGTACATGGAAGGAAAGGGGCAATGCCATGTTCTCAAATGAGACTCCATGCATGAGATGAGTGCACCATTGAAAATTCAGCAATTCTCAAAATGAATTAAACTATAAGAAGAAGACAGCGATGATAAGGACACCACACTATCAACTACTTTAATAGACAAAATAGTCTTTCTGGTAGACAACCATGTCTAACAGAAATGTTAGAGTACTAATGTATGTTTGCATCTGGGATGTACCAGGCTTTGGGTGGTTCACTCTACATAGCTAATCTTAATCTCTGATTCATCATGACAATTCTAGTGAGTAAACATTATTATTCATATTCAAACATGGGGAAACAAAGCTTCAAACAGAGTAAGTGAACTTTCACTACCTTTTGATGTATTTGGGGAAGATGGAAGAATGTGGATAGGAAGAGATAGTAAGAATACTAGAAGAAAAGGAAGGAAAGGCCCCACCTTTGTGTAAGGAGGGATGAAAACAGTCATCATCTACTTAGGAAGGGAGCAAGGCTACAGAGGTTGTGGAGAAGTCATCCTGAGGCCCACCTCCGTGAGGGCTTTTGTAATGCACTAGTATAGCATCACTGGGTCTAAGTAATCCACACACAGAAGATGCTTATGCTACATGATGAGTTAATCTCAAATGTTTTCCTGCAGGGTCACTCTCAAATCTTCTGTTTTATTAGTGAGTCAAAAGAATAGTAAACAAAAAAAAATTCAAGACTTCCCAAAATTCACAACAAATCAAGAACAAACCCAGGATTCAATGGCTGATGAGATACTGGGCATGAAATCAGTTGGATTAGGTGGTGAGTCTCAGATTTGAGGAGTAAAGAACACACCTATGACAGACAAAGTAATCAAGAGAGTAAGTAGAGGGAGAGAAAAGCAATAAAAGAAAAGATGGCACAAGTAAGCAAGATGATATTTGTCTATACTCAATCTCCTTGAAATAGTATGCCTAAGGACAGTCATTATTGAATGAACCCTGTCTCCATTTATTCTTAGTAAGGAACATATCTTATGCTACCTCTCTTACTCGTATTATCAATAGATTTTGGTGTTTTAGCAAGTTACAGTTTCAGCTGTTGGAAAATTCAGAGATCTTTTGGTTACATAGGAGAGAAAATCCTGCTAAAAATGGCACAAGCTAACAAAATAAAATGTAATTACTTCACTGAAAAGTTCAAGAAAGAATGGCGGTTGGCCTAGTTAACCCCAGGAGCTCATGGCTCAAATTATATTGTCAGCTTTCTCTCTCTCTCTTTCTACTTGTGTTTCTTCCTCTCTCGGTCTTTCTTCTGTGTTGGCGTCATTCTCAAGCAAGACTTCTGACAGGAGGCCTCAGAAAGCCCCAGCTCCCATTACTCCTACAGCTATGAAATGAAGTGAAAAAAAAAAAAAAAAAGAAGGTTCTCTCTCTTAAAAATGCTAACCAAATTCCTGGCATGGAGTCCCATTACACCAGCTTGAGGAACCTGCTCATCCCTGCACCAAGCACAATGTCCAGGGAATGGGATATGCTGATTGGTCACGTGCTCCCCTGGAGCTGAGACGTTGGTCAGCACTTCCCAGAGCCATAGACTAAAGGTAGAGGACAGATTTTCTCCAAAGAAAAGGAGGGGAATGGGTGCCAAGGGCACAAAAATAACAGATGTCCATTACAGAAGACCAATGTAGTCATTTTTACATTTCATAAGGCTCAAATTTAAGCCACTTGGGCCTCAGTATCAGTTATCTAAATATATATATGTAAACACTGTGGAAACATAAAGAATGAAGCAATTTGTTATCCTTGGGAGGGGGGCAAAAGAAGCTGTGCCAGTCTTCACAGAGGACGTGCTCTTTGATCTGGGGCTTGAAGGAGGAGTAGGATTATGGCAGAGGTTATTTGTGCTCACAAAATATGCATGTGCTCCCCAACAGTTCTCAGCCTCCTTTGCATTTAGGTTGGAACCACATAACTAGTTCTGGCCATGTGACTGGTTCTGGCGAATGGACTTGGAATGGAAGTGACATGGGCAAAGGTCATTAAAAGCTGTATGCCTTATCCATTTCTCTTATCCCCTTTGGCAGAGTCTGAGGAAGTTGTGTGTTGAAATAGTAGGGCCTCAAGATGGAATCCTTGGGTTATTGCATGAAAGAGAGTCATCCAGTAAGGACACCCAACTCACATGGATCTTTGCATGAGTGAGAAAATCTCTGTTGTAATAAGTTACTGAGATTTAGGATTAAGGAAAGATCACCATACAACAAGATGTCTTTTCTATTTCTAGACTTTAGTCAGAAATTTTGTTTCTTTGTGAAAAAATGATCCCCCCTCAAGAGAAACAAGTAACAGTGTTTGCAGGTATTTTAGTCCGTATGTGCTGTTATAACAGAATACATCAGACTGGGTAACTTATAAACACCAGTAATTTATTTTTCCTAGTTCTGGAGTCTGGGAAGTTCACAATCAAGGTACTAGCTAGGAGGGTCAGTGTCTGATGAAAACTACTCCCTGTTTCACGGTGGCATCTCGTTGCTGCATCCTCTGGAGGGGAGGAATGCTGTGTCCTCATGTGGGGGAAGTAATGGAAATGCAAGAGAGTACTCCCTTCAACCCCAAGCCCTTTTATAAAGGTACTAATCCCATTCATAAGGGTGCAGCCCTCATGACTTAATCACCTCACAAAAGCCACACCTCTTAATACTATTGCATTGATGATTAAGTTTCAACATGAATTTTGGAAGAGACACCATCATTCAAATCATAGCTGTGGGCAATTCAAAGAAAAAGTAGGGATTCTAAGCTTAAACATGTTAAAGTTTACAGTGAGTTAACAGTATTAACTTTCTTAAGAATGGTTTCATTTATTTAGTTATATATCTTATTCATCAGCTATGGCTGTGAAACAAATCTGTCAAGAACTCATTGGCTTAAAACCACATTTGCTAACTAACCCTTAGGCATCTGAAGGTTGGCTGGGGGTTGGATGATCTAAGCATCTCTGCTCTGCATATCTTTCTTCCTCCTTAAACCAGTGAATGAGACATCCAGGTTATTTTCTCATGATGAGATAGGCACATGAAAGCAAATGAAAATGCACAAGGCCTTCTCAGGCCTAGGCCCAGAACTGATACACTGTCACGTCTTGTGCCATTAGCCAAAGCAAAGTCACATGGCCAAGCCCAAGTCAAGGGATGAGAAAATGCATTCTACCCATGACAAACAATGAAAGTGGTATGAATCTCAGGAAGGTAAAGATTTGGGACTAATAATTCCATTTACCCCTTAGGTATTTCACATCATGACATCAGAACTCATGGAGGCATCAGAAGACATCTATAAGGCCAAGCTATGATTGTCCTGTACTATGAAATCAAAGATAACTACCTCCAAGCTTCAGAATTGTGCTCATTTGGGACACTGAAAAGCCACAAGCATCTCTCTCAGCCTCTCTGGCCTTCTCTGTCCACCAACATGCTTTCTTATGTTATGGACTGCAGGAGTAGTTCAGTAGATCCCCCACAGATCAGAAGACTGTGTCTGTGTCTTTATTTACCCTGGTGACAAGCAAGGAGATGTAAATAGGCCATAAGGAAAGCTGCTTTTTCATTTGCACTACTTCATTCGTTTTGTATTTATAAGATATACAGCCCGGGAAAGCTATAAATAAGAGGCTAGAAACAGCTTGAGGGGCTGGTGATGGAATCACAAATCACCAGAGTTACATCTTCATTGGTACTCTGATATAGAACCTTTATAATTGCCAAAATATATTTATCTCTGCTCAGGCTACAAAATTTGTATATCACAAGCTAAAACTAAGTGACCTCAACTTTCCTAAAATTTCTATGAAGTTTCATATTGATAAGCCCATATCTGGGCTGGAGTGGATGCTACTATTTCTTGTCTTGCCCAAGGCAAAATTATCCATTCTGGTGCTTCTGCTTATATGTGTTTGCACGTGTCCTTTTTCTGCTTTTATCTTTATATAACACGCCCAAGTGAGCCAGAAAATGATAGGAGAGTTTAACCCCATTAATCTACTTACCCTGATATAAATTCTTACCAATTGAATTCCTTCATGATTTATAGCATAAAGTGGGAAAATATGGGGAAGTAGAAGGTGTTGACTCAAAAACATCTAACTTAAAATGCACCTAAGATTATCTGAAACTAATTCATTTACCTTCTTCATTAGAAAAAAGAAATGAACTTTCAGATAATCAAGCTGATGTTGTGGATTTGAAAGAATGAGTTGCACGTTTTGTTGTAAAGGGAAGCTTGGATGCCAGAAGATTTGATTTGGTAGAAGTAAGCAGTCAGAGGGCTCTGAATGGATAAAATCTGGATATGGCTCCCTAGTGGGGCACAGAGAGAAGTAGGGGCAGACTTGTGGCTAGAAAGAACAATCAACAAAAAATAAAATCTTCTGAGGGCAGAGACAATTTTATTTTCTTCACAAGGTTGGTCAGGCCTCCTCCTGAAAACTGGCTTCATACAGAGCCAGCACTTACTGAACAAGTGCTCTGAGCCAGGCATGATGCTAAGTGTGGGACATGCCTCATCTTATTCACTTTTCACAGTGGCTATTATTATGCCATTTCAGATCAGAAAACTAAGGCTTGGGAGAGAGTGAGTGACTTGCCCAAAGTCCCACAGCTAGTGCGTGGCAATGCGTGGAAGGTGAAAATGGGCAGGAGGATTTAACCAAAGCAGTCTGACTCTTACCTCAAGAATGTGACCACTGTCCTACATTTCCATAATTCTCTTTAAAGAAATGAAAGGACCTGGCCATCGAAGTGCTGAGAAAGAGGACCAAAAAAATAAATAAATAAATAAAACAATGGCAACAACAACAACAACAAAAACAAAAATCCAACAAATAATGAGAGAAAAATAATGCTAAACATGGAGTCAGGAAACTAATGGTTTAGTCCTGGCTCTGCCTTAATTATTTGAAAGACAAGACACAGGTCCTCTGGGCTCCAATATCTCACACAAAATGTTTACAAACAGCATAATGGGATGTTAACAGAGATGTTCTGTTGCCCAAAAGTTGGTGATAAGCCACATAGTAGAGGACAAAGAGGGGTCAAGTACCCCACATTCTAAAGATAATCATAAATGATTTGGTCTAGATATCTACACCAGGGATTACTAAAAGGCAGGCAAACAGGCGTTGCTACCTCCAATTATCACCTGTAAAATGCTGTCAGTGTTCCACCCACATCTCCTTGACATTTACCATTTCCACATACTCCTTCAGCTTTCTACAAAAAGAACCTACACATTTCTGCCTATGAGTTTTCTCCAACAACAGGAGCATGTTCAGCCTGTGCACAAAACAGCCTAGAAGTAGAGAGAGAGTCATTTCTTCTAGGAGCAGCCCTTAACCAAGAATGGAAAGGAATTGTCAGAAAAATAAACTAGCTTCCTTCCCTTCAGGAAATATCTCCACAAATTTTCACCCACTTTTTTTTCTCATTCTGAAATGTCGCCTTATATACTTGGGAAACTCCTTAAATTAGTCATAATAGGATTGACTAACTTGTAATTACAAGTAACCCTAAATCTCAGTAACTGTATTATACTGCAGTATATAGTAACCGTATTCATACTGCCATGCAGAAATGCCCTAGACTGGGTAATTTATAAAGAAAAAAAGATGTTTAATGAACTCACAGTTTCACTTGGCTGAGGAGGCCTCACAGTCATGGCAGAAGGTGAAGGAGGAGCAAAGGCATGTCTTACATGGCACCATGCAAGAGCGTGTGTGCAGGGGAACTGCCCTTTATAAAACCATCAGATCTCATGAGACTTACTCACTATCATGAGAACAGCATGGGAAAAACTCACCCCCATGATTCAATTACCTCCCACAGGTTCCCTCCGACAACACATGGGATAATGGGAGCTACAATTCAAGATGAGATTTGGGTGGGGGCACAGCCAAACCATATCAGTAACTTAAAAAAAAATCTCAGTATCTTACCACAACAGAGATTTTCTCACTCATACAAACTTCAATGTGAGTTGAGTGTCTTTACTAGGTGGCTCTCTTCCATACAGTAATCCAAGGATCTCATCTCAAGGCTCTGCTATTTCAACACACAGCCACAGACTCTGCCAAAGTGGAAAAGATAAATGGATGAGGTACACTGGCTTTTACTTTTGCCTAGAAGCTTGTCACTTCCATTCAAAGTCCATTGGCCAAAACTAGTCACATGGTTCCAATCTAACAGCAAAGGAGGCTGGGAACTGTTGGTGAGCACATGCGTATTTTGTGAGTGCAAATCACCTCTCACAACCCTATTCCTCCTTCAAGCCCCAGCTCAAAGATCACCTCCTCTGTGAAGGCTTGCATAGCTTCTCTTGCCTTCTTCCGAGGAGAACAAATTGCTTCGTCTTTTATGTTTCCACAGTGCTTTGATATATATCTCTGATTTAGGCTTCTCAGACTGCCTTGTAGTTTTGCTCTTCTATTATTTTGTGATCCCTGCAAAGGGGAAAAGCATGCTTGTTTCTTTTTCTAACCCCCATCACAGTGCCAGGGAAGTAACTAGGATTTAATAAATGTTTAGTGAATGATTGAATAAATGAATGAATGATGGCTTCATAAATAGATATAATCTTGTGAATTTCCTGCCATGTCTAATCATTGGGTGTGCAATCAACATCTCCAAGAAGCCATCCTTGACTCTTCTGATGTGGAAATGCTCCTTGACTACATTTCTCCTTCTGGGAATGGCAAGAAACCAAAGTCAGAGAAATAGCAGATAACAGTAAAACCCAGGATCAGGAGCCTTGAATTAGTACAGCAGGACTCAGATGCCAAACACAGGTCAGGAATAAAAACTGGACCTCTGGGCATTAACACACTCTCCAGGCTGTCTGCGCTGCTTCCCACTCCCCCACCAAATACATAGTGTGCCCAGCTCAAAGCCCCTAGGGCAGCTGGCACTTCCAAGCGTACCATCCAAAACTTCATAAGAAGACATGAGCTGAGCTGAGCTGATCCCCGACTGGCAAGAATAAATGAAGAAACTGGAGATTTCTCAGCTGAGGAGCCTTTGAGAAAAGGAAAAATTTAAGCTTCCTAAAATTCATCACTCTTGCCATATGCTGTGACTTTTCCATTCATACCAGCAATTGTGGGAATTTCAGCTTCTGAATATAACATTGAGAAATTAACTAAGAGTTTATAAATAAGTCCTGACTCAGAGCAGAGCCCTTGTTAACGTTCTTGAAGCCTGTGGGATCTAATGCCCCAGCCAAGGCCCTTGGAGAGTCCCCGCCAGAAAAGAGGCCCTCCTGCCCTTCCGTGACCTTGTTACTGCCCACCTTGCCCTTCCTATGATATCAGAGCTGGTACTCTCCAGAACTCTCAGCTTGTCCCAAAAGTCAAAATAGATCGTACCAAGACAATAGCTGGGAGAAGGATGTAGAAGATGGGAATGTGAGAAGTAGAATCAAAAGTTAAAAG
Source organism: Homo sapiens (assembly GCF_000001405.40). Classification (NCBI taxonomy): domain Eukaryota; kingdom Metazoa; phylum Chordata; class Mammalia; order Primates; family Hominidae; genus Homo; species Homo sapiens. Next base: position 18,062,571 of record NC_000003.12, on the reverse strand, counting down.
CAGAGGATAGTGCTTTGTGCTCTGGCCAAAGCAGGGCCACCCCCAGCATGTGTGGGGCCTCTGACTAAGCAATTTGAGTCACCCAGAATTCCTGTGTCAGCACCATTCTGGCAGCCTGGCCTCACCTGACCCTGCAAAAGACATACCACACCCTCTAGTATCAGCAATCATCTTGCCAGGGTCCTCTCCTAGAACCAGGCCCCCAGACAATCCCATAGGCACAAATCCTAGAGCTTCTCAGGGCATCTGGTCAACCACACATGGGAGTTAGAGGCACAGAGCCTTAAAGGGAGATATAGGAATCAGGCTCTGCTTTAGATACAGCCATCCAGTCCAGATTACATAATTCTCTAGACTGGCTACATGCTGTAATTGGGAGGCCCAGTGCAAAATGAAAGGGTAGGACTTATTTTAAAATGATCTGAAATTCCAAGGAAGTGGCAGCAGAGTATTAAACTCATGGGGCTCTTCTTAGCATGGGGCTCTGTGTGACTGCACAGGTTGCAGCTCATCAAGCCAGCCTTGACTGTTGGCCTTGGTTGGTTCCAGGCACTAGAGAAGGACTTAGAAAATGTCAAGGAAGGCACCACAAAGTGTTGGCCCCCTGAAACACAGGAACTGGGATGAGGTCATGCTTGTCTGACTCCAGTGAAATACTGGGCCAAGATTATAGAGATAAGGTGCAATATTCAAAGTGATTTACCACTATTTGTCCCCAAATCCCCAGATGTCAGGGAACTCATGATAGAAAATGACTAAGAACTTCATAATGCACTTACCCAGTAGAGTAATACACAGCCACCAAAAAACAATGTTTACAAGAGACTTCTAATAATATAGGGTAGAATTATTGCAATATAAAGTCAAGTGAATTAAATATAGTCACAATTATGTAAATATGTATGCATTTGAAAGAATACTAGTTTAAAATAGAGTATAATTTCAACAGTGGGTAATCCTGGGTGGAAATATTACAGGTGAGGTTTATTATCTTCTTTATATATTTCTACTTTCAAATTTTCTCCAATGAACAAAAATGAATTTTATGAGGAAAATAAAATTTCAAAGACATTAATGAAATATAGCTTCAAATTATAACTATGTATGGTACCTAAAGACATCTTCTGATGAGGCCTAGAAAAATTTTATTATGAAGTTTTATTACTGAAATATATGCTATTTAGAGTGTTCTTTCATTTCTAAATGGTAAGAAACATACATTATTTAAAATTTTTTAACTATTTAATGTTACTTTAAATAATACTAATTTTTATAAGCCATTTTTATATAATAATATTAAACACTAAAGGAAAAATCATATTTTGAGCACTTGGCAAGCCAATTTACCTAATGTCAACCTATCCTCCTCTGTCCCTTGAAGGGGGTCATATCGCTATTGTAAATGTAAAAACTATTGTCATCGAGAGTAGTTGAGGACCTGGAAGACAGGTATTTACACACACATGTAGCAGAGCAAAAATTTACATAATCTGAGGCATACTAAAATTATAGTTTTCTCTGTTTTTTCTATATCTGACCTTTATTTCCTCATGAGCTCCTTCACCCCATTTCCATAAAATTATTTTATGAGAGAAAAAGGGGAAGCTGATTTTGCCAGTTGGAGACTATTCAGTCTCCACTAGTTTAATACAGTCCATTTCAGATTTGCTCAGTATAAACTCAAATTTTTAATACCTTTACTTACAAAAGCTCAGTTAAGAAAAATAAAAGACAAGGAGAATTTCTTGACGATAATAGGAATATTGATTCCTCTAGATTCTACAAACCAAATCTTTGGATTAAGCAGATGTCAGTTAAGCTGGAGATGTTGTTCTGAAATACTATCAAGAGTTTTTGCTGCCTTTGCCTTGCTATTACTCCATTAACCTCTTTGAAGGAAGGCATAAGAAACAACTCTAAATGAGATTTATTTGGTTAATGTAGGGACAGTGAGAACCAGAGGTCAATTAGGAAATCAAAGATACATTTCTCTTGGGTATCTACCTGAAATAATTAATTTGTTTTGTCATATGAATACATTGACCATAGAAAGGATCACATTTTTTTCTCTTTGCTTTGGCTGCTAGGAAACTCAGAAACAAATGTATAGGTCAGCTTTAATAAGCGCAAATTTTATGCCATGCATTTTAGTTCACTAACTTTACATTTAATTTCAACTGCCTTTTCATTCCCTTATTTTTTTTAGCCTGAACTTTCTTCACTATTTAGTTTTTACCTGCCATCCTTTGTAAACCACTTCAAAATTGTTTTGAAACCATGAATCTCCCCTTGAATATCCAGCACTGTCACAGTCACAACAGCGCTCTACCTTAAAGGTTTCTCTTGTACATACTGCTATTGAAAGTTGTTTCATAAATGATGTCTTTCCCACTGGACTGTACTCCTTCAGAGCATAGGCTATGTCTTACTATGTGGCATCTGGCACATAATAAGCAGTTTTTAAATGTTTGCTTGACAGCATGAATGCAAGGGTGGGAGAATGCTTTAAAGATGATTGAAAAAATTGTTGTATTTGTTGCACATGACAGTTTGCTTTAAAATATTGTGATAATCTGTTATCATAAGATAGCTGTATAAAAATGGGATGAAATTTTAACATCAGATTTTTCAGTGCTACCCACAAAGTCTTGTTCTGCAAAATGATTGGCTGTAAACATGTTTGACGATCTTCATTCATTGTGAACGCAAACATGTATCTCCATGAGGCAGGTCCCATTGAATCTGCTGTCAACTTGAAGATCTTTCCTTCAAGTCACAAAGTCTTTAAGCAAAATGCTTTAGTGTTTGAGTTAGCACAAAACAAGCAAATCTTTTCTATGGGGAAGCTAGCTCAGTCTAAAAAATTATACTGAGAAACCCCTTAGTGACTGTGAAAGCCATCACCTCGGTAAGACCTAAATCCACAGCTTCTGTGCCCCCTAGGCTTTGTAATGGTTTCTAAACACCACAATAATAGTCGATGTCTTAGACTTTCATAATACTTTATAACCTCCCAAACTTTTACCAGGTACCTAATAATACAAAAATGAGAGCCATTTGTAAACACCACCATATGTCAGGCACTAGGTTGAGCACTTTACATACATTTATCAGGGAAAACATTGAAATTAATAATCACCCCTTCTCCCACCTGCAATGGAGAGTAGATTCCCAGGACCCTCTTTATATGCTGAGAGAAGATGATGGGTGAGGTTGCAAATGAGGAAGCTGATACAGAGCTAAATCACTCCCTGGAAGAAAAGGGGCAGAAAGTTCCAGGGGACTGTATAGGAAGGTGGTGGAGCTCAACCAGCCAAGGAGACAAGAAAGAATTCAGAAAGATGGTCTGAAGTAAGAAGAGAGGTGAGACCTGGAGAAGGATGTAGCAGCTGCCATAAGGAAATAGAAGAAATGCTTAAATGTGACAATTAAAATGTTTTGTGGTGCAATGTGCAACGTAGTCCCTTCTAAGAACTCTGCATAAAAAACAAAATGTGTGAGGAGTCTCAATACAAAAACCCAAGTGAGGTGTGTGAAAGGGATATGAATATGAAAACATGCCCAGGTTATATAGATTCACTGTTGAATTTATCTCTTCGTAAGATTCATTACTCTAGACCTGGTATCAGCAACCTACAGATAGCCTGTGGGCCAAATCTGGCCAGCCTGGTTTTGCAAACAAAGTTTTACTGGAATGCAGCCATTCCTATTCATTTTAATTATTGGCAGTGACTTATTGTTGCTACAATGACTGAGGTGAGTGGTTGTGACCGAGGTAGTTGTCTTACTTACTATCTGGCTCTTTACAGAAAGTTTGCCAACCTCTGCTCTCAATTTCCAAATAAGAAATATAGAAGGATCAGTGAAAGGGAAAATATTTTATCAATTAGGTTAATGATGTTGGAGAAATTTTAGTCTGCAAACCTGATTTTAAGATAAATTCACTGTTTCCTTGGCCAAGTTTTTCTATCTGTAAAATGGTATTAGTAATACACACTTCACAGAGTTATTGCGAGACTCAAATGTGAAATTATTTTTTAAACATGCTTTGCAATTCATAAACCTTAGAGAAATGTCAGGCATTGCTGATAATGGCTTAAAGTGGTTACTTTGTAAATAATAAACTCTATAGAAGCTTCAGGTTCTCTCAGAGAGAGAGAGAGATCCCTGGACAGGAAGTGGCTGAATAAAGGGCTTTGTCTTTCTACTGGACTTACAAGTACACTACTTTTTGCCTTAAAAGTTGTTATCAACAGTTTAGTTTGAAATTGTCCTCTGTGGGCACTTCTCATTTTCTTGAAGTCCATCACCTATGAAGTTCAATTCACACACAGGAATTTCACCAGACTAAGGAATAAATATGAAGAGGTAATATGACTATAAAGAAAACTATATGTGCCAGCAATGAAAATGAAGCCATCGTAGTGACTTAAGCATGAGAAGACTAATACTGTTTCAGTCTTTCAATGAATAAATAGTGTTCATAAAATTCTAATTTTTTTTAACTTTTGGAGTTTAACTTCTAGGTTGTGTGAGACAATGGTATTTGAAAGCAAACCCATAAATGCTTTTAAGACAACTAGAATATATCTCTGCATAACTGCCATCCATCATGACATGAGGCTCAGATGATCAGTTTATTCCTTCAGTCTCATGAAGGCTAACTGCCTTAAGTTCTATTGTGAAATACAACTGTGTTGCATCAACAAAGTCTTTAACGTGCTCCTATAAAAGATGATAGATCAAGTTAACAAGTGGGCAAGCAATTGATCCACCTTTCTCCAAATGACATTTAAGGGCTTATTTATTAGTTTTAGGATAGCTAAAATAGATAATTATACACTTCCACATAACCATCCATCTTCCCTGTTGCCCATTTGCTCCTGAAAGATACAACAGTCTCCTTGTTGATTTGTCATTGATGAAATCCATTTCAGTAAATTTCATCCAAGTAGAGGTTAAAATGTTATGCACTGCACTCTTCTGGTTGAGAGCATAAAATTTTCATCTCATAACTGATACAGACTTCAATTTGCCAGCCATCTAGCCGTCATCATTGCAATTATAGTTGCCATGTTTTTGTTACTGGGCTTGGAAAGAGAATAAATTGCACATTGTGGATTTGTCCTTAACTACTTTAATAAATTTATTTTTAAATGGTATTCAGAGACTACCTAGCGTATCTTTGATCTAAGGCATAAAAGATAAAAATTGTACAATACAAAGGGAACCCCATTGGACTAACAGACTTCTCAGCAGAAATCTTACAAGCCAGGAGAGACTGGGGGCTTATTTTCAGCATTCTTAAAGAAAAGAAATTCCAATGAAGAATTTCATATCTCACCAAACTACACTTCAAAAGTGAAGGAAAAGTAAAATTATATCCAGGTAAGTGATCACTAAGGGATTCACTACCACTAGATCAACCATATAGGAGATCCTCAAGAGAGTTCTAAACATGGAAATGAAAGAATGATACCTGCTACCACAAAAACACACTTAAGTGCACACTTCACAGACCCTATAAAGCAACCACACAATAGAAACTACAAAGCAACCAACTAACTTCATGACAGGATCAAAATCTTACATATCCATATTAACTTTAATATAAATTCCCCCCTTAAAAATCACAGTGTGGGCCAGGCGCAGCGGCTAATGCCTGTAATCCCACAACTTTGGGAGGCCAAGGCAGGTGGATCGTGAGGTCAGGAGATCGAGACCATCCTGGCTAACATGGTGAAACCCCGTCTCTACTAAAAATACAAAAAATTAGCTGGGCATGGTGGCGGGCACCTGTAGTCCCAAGCTACTTGAGAGGCTGAGGCAGGAGAATGGCGTGAACCCGGGAGGTGGAGGTTGCAGTGAGCCGAGACCATGCCACTGCACTCCAGCCTGGGTGACAGAGCGAGACTCCGTCTCAAAAAAAAAAAAAAATCACAGTGTCGCAAGGTGGATAAAAACAAACAAGACCCATCTGTCTGCTGTCTTCAAGAGATCAATCTCTCACATGTAATGACACACACAGGCACAAAGTAAAGGGTTGAAGAAAGATCTATCACACAAACAGAACACACAAAAAAGCAGGGGTCACTATTCTTATATCACATAAAACAGAGTTTAAACCAATAACAGTAAAAAGGACAAAGGGAATTACATAACAATAAAGGGTTCAATTCAACAAGAAGGCTTAACTATCCTAAATATATAAATAAACACACAACACCAGAGCATCCAGATTCATAAGCACTTCTAGACCTCTGTTAGTTCAATGTACACAAATCAATAAATGTGATACTTCACATAAACAGAATTAAAAAAACAAAAACCATATGATCACCACTATAGATGAGGAAAAAGCTTTTGGTGAAATCCAACATCCCTTCATGTTAAAAGCCCTCAGCAAACTAGGCATCAAAGGAATATACCTCAACATAATAACCATTTATGACAAAGCCATAGCCAGTGTCATAATGAATGGGTAAAAACTGAAAGCATTTCCCTTGAGAATTGGAACAAGACAAGGATATCCACACTCACCACTCCTATTCAACATAGTACAGGAAGTCCTTTCCAGAGCAATAAGGCAAGAGAAAGAAATAAAAGACATCCAAATAGGAAAAGAAGTAAAATTCTCTCTCTTTACTGGCGATATGATTCTATACCTAAAGAACCCTAAAGATTCCACCAAAAGTCCCCTGGAACTGATAAAAATCAGTAGCATTTTTATACATCAATAATATTCAAGCCAAGAGCCAAATCAAGAATGCAATCCCATTTACAATAGACACACACACACACACACACACACACACACAAACTAGGTATACGTATACCCAAGGAAGTGAAAGATCTCTACAAGGAAAACTACAAAACACTGCTAAAATAAAACAGAGATGACAGGAACAAATGGAATAGCATTCCATGCTCACAGTTTGGAAGAATCAATATTGTTAAAATGGCCATACTGCTCAATGAAATCTACAGATTCAATGCTATCCCTGTCAAGCTACCAACATCGTTTTCCACAGAACTAGAAAAAAAAAAATTCTAAAATTCGTATGGAACCCAAACAGAGCCCAAATAACCAAAGCAATCCTAAGCAAAAAGAAAGAAGCCAGAGGTATCCCATTACCCAACTTCAAACTATCCTATAATGTTACAGTAACCCAAACAGCATGATACTGGTACAAAAACAGACGCAGACCAATGGAACAGAATGGAGAACCCAGAAATCAAGCTGCACACCTACAGCCATCTGATCATCAACAAAGTTGATGAAAATAAGCAATGGGGAAAGGACTCCCTTTAAATGGTGCTTGGATTGCCTGCTACCTATATGCAGAAGAATAAAACTGGACCCCTTACTTTTCACCATAGACAAAAATTAAATCAAGATGGATTAAAGATTTAGATGTAAGACTTCAAACTATAATAATCATAGAAGAAAACCTAGGAAACACCATTCTGGACATTGGTCTTGGGAAAGAATTTATGATTAAGTCCTCAAAAGCAATTATAGCAAAAAGAAAAATTGACAAGTGGACCTAATTAAACTAAAGCACTTCTGCACAACAACAAAAAAGCTATCAACAGAGTAAACAGACAAACTACAGAATAACAGGAAATATTCACAAACTATGCATCAGACAAAGGTCAAATATTCAGAATCTATAAGGGACTCAAACAAATCAAAAGCAAAAACCAAACAACCTACTAAAAAATGGGTGAAGGACATGAACAGACACTTCTCAAAAGAAGACATATATGTGGCCAACAAGTATATGAAACAATGCTCAATATCAGTAATCATTAGGGAAATGCAAATCAAAACCACAATGAGATGCCCAAAACCACAATGAGACGCCATCTTACAACAGGCAGAATGGCTATTATTAAAAAATCAAAAAATAACAGATGCTGGTGAGGTTGCAGAGAAAAGGGAAGGCTTATACATCGCTAGAGGCAATGTAAATTAGTCCAGCCACTGTGGAAAGCAATCTGGAGATTTCTCAAAGAACTTAAAACGGAGGAACCATTTGACCCAGCAATCCCGTTACTGGGTATATATCCAAAAACAATCATTCTACCAAAACCACACATGCACTCATATGTTCATCACAGTATTATTCACAATAGCAAAGACATGGAGTCAACCCAGATGCCCATCAATGGTAGATTTTAAAATGTGATACATGTTATGCAACCATAAGAAAGAATGCAATCATGTCCTTTGTAGCAACACAAATGCAACTGGATGCTATTATCTTAAGTGAATTAATACAGGAACATGTATGTATTTGTAACTTACTTTCTGAGCTTTGTCATGCTTTTTGTATGTTCCTATATTAATGTACCACATGTTCTCATTTATAAGTAAGTGGGAGCTAAACAATGGGTACTCATGGACATAAAGATGGCAACAATAGACACTAGGGACTACTAGAGGGAATAGGGAGAGATGAGGACAAAAGCTGAAAAACTAACTATTGGCTACTATGCTCAGTACTCGGGTGACAGATTCACTTGTACCCCAAACCTCAGCATCATGCAATATGCCTAGGTAACAAACCTTCACATGTACTCCTTGAATATAAAAGTTGAAATTATTAAAAAAAACATGCATTTTAAAAAGTACAATAAATTTATGATGAATCTATATTTATAATGACAACTGTTCCTTCATATCTCAGAATTATCTTTTCTCAGGGAAATCTTTCAAGTGGAGACATTTGAATCATTTTTTAAAACTCGAAATAATCTTTTAGCACAATGAATGGTAGTTCCCAAACATGGCTGCCCATCTGAATAATCTGAGAACTACTAAAGATTCAGATTTCTAAATTCACTTGAACCAACCAAATCAAAATCTCTGGGGGAGTTGGACACCAGTCATTTTTATTTTTAATGAAGACCCCAGGGGCTCTTCTCAGCCAGTTTAACACAAGTCTGAGAACTGCTTTGGACAGCACCTGGTTCAAACAACACTAAATGACACATCTTTGTTCCAGAAGACTGACCTTGTACTGCTGAAGAAAGACAGCACATGTTGAACATGGACAGTTCAAGGGAATGACAAAGCTCAGACAGCAAGTTACAAATGAATCCATGACACCACTATGGATGAATATATAATTACATTAAAGTACATAAAAGATCAAAATAAAACAAGAGACGACTCCTGGTCTTGGGTAGTATGATTTACTATATAAAGATGTCAATTCTCTCCAAATGCAATTCCAATTGTTATTCTAAAATGTATCTTAAGGCCAGGTGCAGTGGTTCACGCGTGCAATCCCAAGCACTTTGAGAGGGCAAGGCAGTCTCAATTTGCAATCTCAAAGTGCAATCCCAGCACTTTGAGAGGGCAAGGCAGGTGGATCACCTGAGGTCAGAAGTTCGAGACTAGCCTGGCCAACATGGTGAAACCCTGTCTCTGCCAAAAATACAAAAATTATCCAGGCGTAGTGGCAGGCACCTGTAATCCCAGCTCCTCAGGAGGCTGACGCAGGAGAATTGCTTAAACCCAGGAGGCAGAGGTTGCAGTGATCTGAGATCGTGGCACTGCACTCCAGCCTGGGCAACAGAGTGAGACTCCATCTCAAAAAAAATACATAAAGAAAATAAAATTTATATTAAACACTGTTCATGAATAGCTAAGTCAACTTTGAAAATTAAGAGAAAAAGTAGGAGAGGGGTGCACTGACCCTACCAAATATTAAGACATATAATAAAAACATAATAATTGAGAGTAATATGGTACTGGTACAATAACAGACAAAGCTCTATGGAAAAGAATAGAGAATTAAGGGTATGAATTCAAGTAAGAAAATGATGGACAAAGTTAATAGACACATGACAGGCCAGGTATGGTGGCACACTCCTGTAATCCCAGCACTTTGGGAGGCCAAGGCAGGTAGATCACCTGAGATCAGGAGTTCAAGACCAGCCTGGGCAACATGTTGAAACCCCGTCTCTACTAAATACATAAATTAGCTGGGCGTGGTGGCAGGAGCCTGTAATGCACCATTTATATGCAGCAGTTACAATCAACAGGCATATGTGTACAGAGCTACATGTAAAGATATTAAAAACACAGTGTTGAACATAAAAGGAAAAAGTGAATAAGGTCTATAACACAATACCATACATGTAAAACTTAAAATCGATGTTTTAAAACAACGATACACATTTTGTAAGAACATATAGAAATAAAAGGATACACATCAATGATTTTAATGTCGTTGAGGGAAATGGGGAAATGGCAATAATTAGGAAGGAAGGATGGGAAGGACCTTGCACTACAAATGATGATAGTATGCTATGAAATGTGAAATATGAATAAATGAATTATCTGAATCTGATGGTGAAGAAAGAGAAATATATATGTGTATAGAAATCCTAAGCAACTGAGATCCTTTGTGAGGGTCTTTGCATCTGAAATTCTTATTAAACCAAAGCAGTTGCAAATAAAGGTAAATGTTAGTTTTAGCAAATACACATGGTATGTAAGATCACCCAGGCCTGTAAATCCCTTCCACCTTGACCACTGCATTCACTGAGAAGGCCCAGGAATTGTCTCATATTCCTTGCCCAGTGGCCTTAGAGCTGGAACCTTATCTTTCATCCCTCTGTTTGTCTGTGAATAAATATATACATTATTCTTGTTCTTTTAATTCTGTAACCTCTTCAGAGCAGTTAAAAATTATGTTAAAAACTCATTAACTTTGACGAGATATTGATGATGCCAGCGGTTAATTACGAGCCAGCTGGTGTTATGGCAAGAATTAAAAAGTTAAACGTTGGAAGTTTTTCTCTTTTTTTGTTTTTTAAAAGCCACACTGCATTCATATGGGGGATTGTCGAGACAGCATCACTCGCTGATGACTTTACAACACAGGTCAACAAGAGATCTGTGGACGAACAGATGAAATTGCATCCCCTTTACTCCATTACAGTACTGGCATCTTCCAGATTCTCCCTTGCTGAGAAAATAAAAAGTAAGGGCTATAAATTCCCATGCTTCATGGTGTTAACTGATTGCAAGCTGAGGTCAGAAAGACATTTCTCCCCAAGGAGTACTCCTGCACAATTTAGAGGCACTGTGGGGGTTCTAACATGCCTAAAAAGCATTAAGCAGTGGTCATTGTCAAGTACCAAGTAGCAAAATTTAGTATGCTTTCGGTTTGTGCTCACAAGGGAAGCCTGAAAGTGTTGAAGGGTCCCCACCTCCTCAAAAGTGAGAGCATTTTATAAACCTGTTACCCAATGAGGTGTTTCCTTTAGTAACCAATAAGGTATATTTTTTGAAAGAGAAAACAGATTTTAAGGCATAGTCATGGTTTTTTAAAAAGAAGGAAAATAAACTAAAAGAAAAAGTCTACCTTTTAATGTATAAATAAAAAGAGTATAGGATGGGTCATATAAAACAAGGATTTAGGGTGCTGATTCTGGGGTTCATCAAACCTCTCTTAAGCAGGAAAGTAGCCTGACTTTACTGAAACTATATAAGCCCCTCAGTCTCATTTGTAATATGGGCATTGTATTTGTACCTGTGTCATCAACTTTGTAATGATTAAATGAGATGACCCACATAGAATACTTAGTACCATCTGGGGAGTGCAGGAAACACATAAGAAAGATTCATTATTTATTTCCCAGGTAAGCAGTAGAATGCAGGACCTGGAATCAAACTGCAGCAGTTCACTTCCTGGCTTTGCCTCCTATTTCCAATGGCACTGGGTGACTTAGAGGGCCTTGTTAAGCTCAACCTCCTTATCAATAAAATGGGAGCAATAGAGTATGTATCACATAGTATCATATTAGGATTAAATGAAATAATCCATATAAAGCATTAGAGTATTTTGCACCTAGTGATCCCTCCCTAATGTTAGCTATTACTTATTGTTATTGTCATGTCTATTACTATTAATACTGTTGCTATATGAATAACCCTTTATTGATGCTAGTGGTAGCCAGTAGGAATCAACAAACTTCGTGGCACTTTGTAACGCACATAGAAAGATGCATGAAAATAGAGATATAAAATCACTCTCTCCAAAGCCCTGAAAGGGGTCGGAGCAGAATGTGAACACCTATTTTTAGAACCTTTGGTTCCTACTCCTCTGTTTAAGAACCTATATCTACAGCCTTCTCCCACCCAAGCCTCATCTTGTGGGGATGATGGGCAGCCTGTGAGCTGTGCTGAGTGGTTTTCCCACTAATTACCACTGCCTTCTCCTCCCCAACCCATCTGCAGCTTGCATTTCCCCTAGCCACGGATGGCCCAGTGTGCCGCTCCCTAGCTGAGAACCTAATGGTGGATCAGGCCATTATCATCTCTCACCCATCAGTGAATAATCATTATTGTTTACTCTCTTCTCTTTTTATGACGAGCACAGTTACCAAGACGGTTTTCTTTTCTTGTTTCCCATGAGGCTCTTTATTTTATAGACCTGCTCTCAACTTAGCACAGCTTTATTCTGTACAAGAAAACTACTCATCATTTAAGGATGTTCAACATAAAAAAGCTTTTCTTTTCTCCTGCAAATCAAAATGTTCAGCCCAAGCCTTACTGATCTTGACCCCCCTCACTTCTGTAAATACAAACCTTCCAAACTCATCTCAGAACATTTGCTTTTTTCTCTACCTATTCCATATGGCTTCTCTCTCCTAATGCTATTTCATTTTGAGAAACTGAAAGGAGGCGGGTTTGTGTGGGAAATGCCATGAAAAATGAAGCTTATTATATTGTAAATGCTAATTAGTTTGGAACAATGGGGCAAATACTTGCCCAAAAAATGCCTTTGTTTCCTTAGAGGTCATAGAAATTACCTTATCTTATTCTCCCACTGATGGCCTTTATATGCCTGAATAATTAAATACATTGAACCACAAACAATCTGTGTCTAAACTCAGAAATAAAAACAACCAATTACAGTTGGTTGAAAGATCATCCTAAATTCTTCCCAATTCTGTTCTCACTACGAATTTTTTGTATTTTCTGATTTTTTAAAATTGTGAGCATGTATGACTTTTACAATCAGAAAAAACCTTTTTAAAAACCCTTTATTAGTAAAGTTGAAAGAAGTAGACAGACAATCTCACTAAACCAATGCTCTGCTCTTCCCTGCTTTTCTGGATGTATTGGGGTGTGATTGCTAATAGCAGCGATGCCTGACTGTTTGTGTCATGGGCTGGATTTCGGAAAGCTTACAATGTAATCTCTCTGCCAAGAATCCAATATCACATTTTTAGCTTACTGTTTGGGGTCTCATGTTTTCGCACTCCAACTCTTGACTCATTGTATGTGTGTACGCACACTTTGTTCCAGACTGTCTGTCAGAAGAACACTTCTTCCTAAATGAAGAAAAGTGTTTCTGGTGAATGCCAAGATTATATGAGGAATCATAGTGCAGAGTTGCTATTTCTTTGTTCCTGCTGCTTAATTGCTTTAAAGACAAAAATCAAGGGCAAGTGTGCTACTAAAAAAACCTTTTGTAGGGCACCCACCACTTGTACCTTTCGAAAGATCACAAACTGCATTTTGCCAACTTTTGATCAAGGTGACAAATCTTGGCTCAGAAAAGAAATTTAGCGATGTGTCAGCCCATCAATAAGCTCTGAAGAAAAGTAATTCATTTTTAATGGAAATTGTGTTTACAAAATAGACTAGGTATATAACCAAACTCTAAGAGGAGATAACTCACCCTGGCAAATAGGCTGCATACCTAATAGAGTAAAATAAAAGTGAAGCAGAACACATTGTACTTACGAAAATTAAGTACATGCAACATTTTATAGTTACTACAACAGTAATTGTACATCATACAGAAGCTTTCATGTTCAGCCTTGATTTAGATTCAAGAAGCAGAAGATAAAAGTTGGGAAAGATGGAAAAGGAATGGAGTCATTATATTAAGTAAAATTTTATACTTATTTTTCAAAAATCTTTAGGCCAATACAAGCTCCTTTTAGTCCCTAGAATTTATTGGGTCTTTGCCAATTTCTAACCTCCACTGGTCTAACTACTCTTGTTCCTTAATAAGTGTTATTATTCCCATTATAGATATTATTAAGACATTTTCTAATTTCTTTTGTTTCTGTTCTTTAATCTGCATTTTACTATAATCCTATAAGCAAGTAGGGCAGAGCCAATTGGCAAATGCAAAAAACAAGGTACCAAGGAGCTCTGCTCCCTGCCTAAAAAGACTGGAATAATCCTTCTAACAACTCTGGGTACTCACTACCTCCATTTGCCAAAAGAAGAAACAGATGAATGATGCCACCATTTGACCTAATGAACTTTAGCTTTCCCAAATGTATTCAGTTTTTTACCACAAACTCAGAGCAAAGGGAATAAACAGAGTCCTTGGAAAAAAACACAAACAGAAGTCAAAGCCTTACTAATCTACAATAATTTTCAAGGCTGGAATAGCGAAAAGAGACATATATGCAGGATAACCAGTGAATATAATTGAGATCACCAAAAATGTTTGAAAATATTCCAAAGATTTAAGCAACAAGAACAAAAACAGAAAGAAATAAAAACTAAAAGAGTCAAAGCAGGAGTTTGAGGAAGGTAGATCTGAAATAAAAACCTATGGTGTTGAAAATAACACGATTATGAGTTTATGTCCTACTGGGGTCATTCATGCTCCAGCTCCTAGCTCCTAGCATATAATTGATGTTTAATCATTTTTGATGAAGAATTTAATGCATTAAGGTCCCCTCTCTCAGTGAATCTAGCTCTAGAAAAATAAAAAACATGAAAACAAATAATTGTTACAACATAATCTCGATAATAGCTATCAATTTTTGAGCACTCACCAGGCCTAAGATTCTTAAATGTATTAATTCACTAGTCACAATGATCCTATAAGATAGGCCATATTAACAGTCTCACTCTACAGATAAGTAAACTGAGGCAGAGAGTCACACAGATGGCAAGCTATAAAATTGGGATGAGAATCCAACATTGGTACCTGTTAGTACCACTTAGTGTAACAACACTCTGTGCTATAATGGGAGGATACTGTGTAAATCATGGCCACTGGCAGATTGAAAAAAACAAAGTCACAGTTATTCATTCCCCTGTCTTCATATTCTTCACAATTAACTTTGTATTTCCTCCCAGCAAGAGGTAGAATCTGTTTCCCCATCCAATGAATCTGGGCTGGCCTCATGACTTGCTATGGCCAATGAAATGTGATGAAAGTGACAGGTGTTTCAGTTCTAAGCCTAGGACCCAAGAGACCTTGCTTCTGTTCATTTTCTTGGGGCTCTGCCATTGCCATGCAGGCAAACCTGGGATAGCCTGCTGGATCATCATCACATGGAACATAACTGAGTCAGCTAATTAATCCCAGCTGAGGCCTAGAGATGTGAGAAAGTTTCTCCAAGATCAGCAAAGCCTCCTAGCTGACCGGCAGCTGATGGCAGATGCATGAAAGGGTACAGGTGAGATTAGAACTGCCCAGCTGAGTGCAGCCTAAAGGGCCAACCCATAGAAGCGGGAGCTAAATAGTTATTGTTTGAAGCCACTGTTTTAAGGTGGTCTGCTACACAGAAATAACTAAGTGATACATCCACTACATCAAAATCTGCTATGATCATGCTTAACTTTTTCAAAAGGCACATTAATGATCTGAGAGGGGAAATGTACCTTAGAATTGCCAAGATAAAAATATTTTTGGAAGGCCAATATGACAAACTGTTAAGGTCTTATGGCAGGACAATCTCAAAGACATAACCCAAATAAAGTGAGACAAGGGGCTGCATAGTTCCTGTTTAGTTATGTGGTAAACTGTTTCTAAAACTGTCCCCAGTAATCTTCAACTTCCCTTCAGAGTCTCCTACAAAGCTGCAATCAAGGTATCAGCTGGGTCTATTGCCTCATCTGAAAGTTCAACTAGGGGAGGATCGGTTTCCAAGCTCAATGTAACTGCTGGCAGGACCCAGTTTCTCAAGGATTGTTGGACTGAGGACCTTAGTTCCTCACTGGCCATTGGCGAGAGGCTACCCTATGTCCCTGCCATTTGGACCCCTCAGTAGGACAGTTCACAATGTGGTAGTTTGCTATTGCAGAGAAGGCATGTGAAAGGAGTCCAAGAGAGACAGTACAAGCATGGTGAAAGTCGCAGTCTTTTATTACCTAATCTTGACATTGATATTTCATCATTTTTGCCATATTCTATTCATTAGAAGCAAGTCATTGGGTCCAGCCCAAGCACAAGAAAGGAATTTACACAAAGGCTTATAAATACCAGGATTTAGAGATCACTAGGAACCAGTTTAGAAGCAGCCTACTATATAACTGAATTCCAGGAAATCATGAAGATGGGAATTTTGTAAACGGACTTGTGGATCAAACCTCAAAATGCTAGGCCACAGGAACCAACTTTTGAAACTTGAGGAAAGCAGTTTTTTTATTCAAATCAAACAGTGATCTTATTGTCCCAAAAGTATAACAAAGGGTGAAACTATAAATAAATTTTAAAAGGCTTAGGAAAATTCTCAGATGCTGGTTCTATAATGGAATATTAAAGGAGGGGGATGTAAGAACTATGTGCAGCCAATTCCTAATGTTTTCAGAGTAACATCAAGAAAGACAACCTTAGCTCCCTGCAAAATGTCCCTCAGAGGCAGGCAAGACGGACCATTGGCCTAATCCGTTGTGGCATTTCTTATATAGTTATGCATAACACTATGTGGGAATGCAATAAAAATTTAAACAAGGTAATAGAGTTCAACAAAATAGGAGGATGCGGCTTTTGAAAAATGGAGACATGGCATTCCTACATGGTCTTTAAGACATTTGATGTGCCAGTGCTCTTTCATATTAGCTTTATCCACAGAAGCTCTTCTAAATCAGAGCTTCAAAAAGCATGTCTTAGTTCCTCACAGAATTAAGGAGACAAAAACAGGGTTTTGTAGAGTATTACTGTTAAAGAGAGGAGGAAAATATCTGACTCCATGTGACAGGGCTCTCTTTTATACCTGCATTATGTTCAAGTGTTTAAAATGGCAAAGCCATCTATTTTGCCCTGAGGCAATGTCTAAGTAGATATTTTAGGCATACACTTGGGGTTTGGGGGGATTTGTTTTCCTCAAGTTTATAAAGACAAGAATGAGGATGGGTATATTCAAGGTTTATGCTTTACAATACACATAGTAGGGCAAATAAATGTTCCTTGCTAATGCAATAGCACTTAATTAGAAGATAAACATCCTCAGTAAAAAGAATGAATTTAAAAGTTTCTGCATAAGCAGAGTCTACATTTTGACGTTGTAAGAGCAGTAGTTTCTGTCAATCAACCTGAATTCTCTTTAAGCCTTAAACATATAAGTCACATTGAGAGGGTTATGCATTTCACAAGTGGATTTATATATAAATACTTTTGCTGGCTCCAGTTCAACACAACAAAAGAAGTCAAACATTAGTCTGTATTTGTATTTCTTTGCTGAAGTGTTTTGACATAAACTACACACAATCCTAGCTGAAAAGCAGCAGGCAGTTTGGAACTAACTGCTCCTCACACTTGCATTCTTTGTGATATGATTTTTTCCTACTTGGAAAATTAGAAAGCTATAAGTAAAAAGTTTACTCAAACTCAAGAGAAGAAATTTTAAAAGCAGCATAGCATTTTTGAAAACTGCTAGCTTCACACATAATTTACTTTCTACATCTCAGAATTCCTGTAAGTATTCAATTCCCAAATTCCAACTGCACAATTTATAGTCAGCATTTATATCTTTTGGAGACAGAACGTAATACATATTATATCTAGAAGTCACTCAGAATGCCCATTTCACCAATTCAGTTCTTCCAATGCAGAGAAAAGACATTCTTAGTTAAAACCACTAAACGCCCAGGTAACATTGCAAATTATGTTGGAGACATCTAAGAAAAGGAATATTTGAGGAAATTTTCATACTTACATATGTCTGCATAGAGTTAGAAAAAAAATATCTGTAGATGACCTGTATTAGTCAGTTGTTGCTGCAACAATGTTTAATAACAAACTAACAAACCACCCTAAAATTCATGAACTTGAAGAAACAATCATTTATTCTCACATTCATCAGCAGCATGCTAGCTGCCACTTGGCTAAGCGAGGTTGGAGTCCAGGCTCCAGTCTCCAGGGTAGGTTCAGATCTAATCCACGTGTCTTTTATGTTCCTTGGATTAGCAGTTGCCAGGGGCATGTGGTCAGCTCAACACCTCTCAATTTGAGACCCAGGCTGAAACAGCAGCATGTTATATGAGGCAGGTTGTCCTTCCTGGGGATCTCAAAGTGCAAAAAGGCAAACCTAACCATGGAAGCATGTGCAAAGTCTCCACTTATATCATATACACTAACCTTTCTTTGGCTAAAACATGATCAAGTCCAGAATCTAGGGATGGGGAATTATCCTTTGCCACAGTGAGGCCATGGTAATAAATCAGCCTTTCACACTACCATTTCTGGGTGTTATTACCAACCTTAAGTAATCAATGGAAAATTTCTGCTTTCTTCCAAATTGAGTATAAATTTACTGTTGTACTTAAAAACTAAGAACTCAGAGGGCATATTTAATCAAAATATTCTTATACTTCTTTGCTGTAAATCTGCATACAAAGGGAAATTCTATATTTTAAAAATGCCCATGGTTGTAAGTTTCATATCAAATATAAATTAATGAATATATAAATAAATACATACAGATATAGACACAGATTAAGTTTAGATTTAAATTTAGATATATAACTCTTTTACTATTTTCTTCCTCTTCTAAATTATTTAGTTGGAAGTCAACACTGCTATAATCTATACTGCATTAAGTCCTTAAAAATAGCTTATTATTCCAAAGAGAATAAATTTTAAACAAAACAACATGAAAATAATAAACCAAAAAATAAATGTTAAAATTCAGATTGCATTTTGCTAAAACCAATAATACAGCTGATATTTTTAGTCCCACTGAGACAGGGCAGCAGCTTCAACTTCCGTTAATTTGAGACTTTATATGACAACCCTAAGTCAATGGCCCAACACTCATACACTATTCCTCCAGAATCCTGGTTTGTCTAAACTCCTGTGACCTGATAAGCTAGAAACTGCTTTCGTCCAGATTGTACTCGTTTCTAAAGCAAATGTGTGAGGTTGGCACAGCAACCTCTGTTGCTTGCTTTCTCTGGAGCAAGTTATAAAAAATGTCTATCACAGTATCTGTTCTCTGATGGAGCATAAAAAGTAGTAACACAAACATTTATTTCCAGTCACTCTATAAAAAAGCCTCTCACGGTTAGTTTTGGGTGCAATCACATGTTCCTTTAATGTAAGTTGAGTAGACGGGTTTTGTCTCTTGCAGACTATATCCTCACAAACAATTTTGTTTGTGCACATTTTCCCTTTTGGTATATAACTTGACTGCAAATTCCTTCAGGTCAAGAATTATTCTCTTTGCATCCCTGAAAACACCGTATGCCATGCCTTGTATTTAGGAAGTATTTGATGAATCTGCCCAAATGAACTGAATCTTTGGATTCCACCTCCTATAAATCCATTGGCTTAAAGGAGTATTTACTAGTCTCTCGGGGAAGATAACAATTGTTCTTGACAGCCCTAGGTAAATTATGAAAAATGAGGTAAATTGCCAGAATAAAAGACCAAACTATGAGTCAGATATACTTGGGCTCCAACCAAAATGGCCAGGATAAACCATATTGGCTTCACAACAAACAAATGGAGTTGGACTTTGTCTTCTGTCTTAAAAGAGAATCTTTATTTCCACGAACACGTTTTGGCCGGAATATGAAGAGAGTGTGTGCCCTGGTGAAAAACTGCATTCAATAAAGCAGTGTTGGTTGCAAATGATTTTAGCCATGTAGTAAATAAAAAACTGTGAAAGCTAAGAAACTTAAAAGATACTATAGAAGCTATGTAAAATACATGCTTGTAAACTTACACATAAATTTGGTCAATTTGTTTAAGTAATGACAGTCAAATATCCAAATAACTCGGCTAAAAACTATTAAGATCTTTGTTCTGTGTTCAGAAAATAGCTTAACAAAATTCTTAAGGGAACTGAGTCTACAATGTGATTTTCGTGTAGCAATAACCCACGTAAACAGTGTTTCTAGCTTGTTTTCAGAAGTTCAAAAATAATTGTTAAAAAATGAATTCGCATGTTAAAGATGTGTATCATCATATACTAATTTTGTTTTCACTTTGTTAAAATACACACAGATAAGCACTAAAAATAACCAGATAACAAAGATTGTCATCCCATTTCTTAACAGAAAATGATTACAATTTAAACTAATGTTAAGTTCTTCCTCTCCATATATGTTACCTGACCATCAACCACTCAGAACACCATTAAAAGTCATCCATATAAAGTTATCCAATTAAAAAGTTTTGCTTCACCCATGCCCACACCCACCAATACCCATTTACCAATTAAATAAGCATTTGCCCTTTACACAAATCATCACCTGTCTGATTTTTTGGAATTAAAGTCAAAGGAATAAATTTTTTAAACTTTTTATTATGAAAAATTTTAAACATACATAAACACATTATACTAGTATAGGGTAAGGATTTTCTAACAAGGAGATCCTATTGATTTCAGTCTTATTTGATAGAACTATAAACAGAAACGTAACCTAGCATCCTATTCTCTTTTATGTCCCTGACACTGTTCTTCACTAGAATTCCAAACAGGGAGGAAACAAAAGATATTCTGCCTCCTCCCTGACTCCATTCTTGGATATTTCTGTCCATATCGTTTCCCATCCATCCTCAACTCAACTCAATCTCTCTTAACTCTATGAGGAATTTGAGAAAATTAAAAAGACCTCATTCATTCATTCGTTCACCAACTATTTGTAGTTACATACCAGGAACCGCAATAGGTGGTGGAGTGCCCACACAGAAGTTGGACATAATTTCTATCTCATATGGAGCTAATAGGCTAATGAGATAACAAAACTTAGACAATTACAAAAAGATGTGATAAGTGCTATAATGTGAACATACCACTTACCATTAGAGCAAAGAGGAGGATTCCATCCAGAGATGTAAAGTAGCTGGGTCATCAAGGAAGATTGTTCAGAAGAAGTAATATCTAATCGAAGACCTAAAAGATAATTAGAAATTAACCAGGTGAAGATACAGGGGAAAGTATCCAAGGCAGAGAGAATGGCATAGGAGAACTTACTACATCTGAAAAAAAAAAAAGGTCAAAGTTTAGAATGGTTAGAGCATAAACTTGGCGTAAGGAACAGCACGTTGAGGAGAGAATAAAGGAATAAATGAGGCTGGGGAGATAATCAGGGGCCAGTTTTTGCAGCATCTTGTCTTTCAAGTGAAGGGAGTTTATATTTTATCTTCAAGGCAGTAGGGATCGTATATGAAGACCATGACATGAACAATAGATTTGATTTTAGAGTAATCCTCCTCGCCATATGTGATGAATAACAATGAAGGGAGGGTGGAGAGGACAAGGAGGGAAGAGGGATATGTGAGAGGCTGCAGCAGTATTGCTGGTGAGAGATGATGGTGGCTTCTTCTAGAGTGGAGGGAGTGGAGATGGAGAGAGGTAGAAGGATTCACGGGTTACATAAAGGGGGAAGACAACCATTATTGAACAGTTGGTTCCTGGAGGAGAAAGAAATCATGATGCTCAGGTTCCTGCTTAGCCAACAGAGTAGATGATGGTATCATCTGTTGAGATAAAGAGCCCATTCTGGGCCTAAAGTCACTAGGATATGTCCAGGAGCTATGTTGGAATTAGGATGAACACAACTAGATTGGATAAATGCAGATCCTGGGAATCATCATGGAAGTTTGATGGTCATTTGCCTGACTATTTAAATGTGTCCCCTATTTGGACATTTGCCCCTTTACCACAGGCCACCAACCTGGTGAAGGGGAAAGGAATCCAGGTTAGGAATCAAGAAACTTGGATTCTAGTCCAAGTTCTGCCTCCAAGAAGCTGTGTGGCCTGAGAAAATCCCTTTTAGTCTCTGGGCTTCATTATCTGCAGAATAATATGATTAAAATTATCTCCAAGTTCCTTTTGGGTTTCAACATCCTATTGCTATGGTTCCAGTTAATCTATTCCCTGTTTATTGAAGTTTACTCTAAAAATAATTAGCAAGACATTGAACAAGAATTACCATAGGCAGTAAAGCTCCCTTTGTTCTTTGATATTAGTAATACCTTAAAAAATCTTTTTGATAGTAAAAAAAAAGTATCCTAGGTTGTTAAAATGACTATATTTTATTATTCTACAAGATATTTGGAACTGTATTTTTTAGTTTTCCTGCTGTCTTGCACAGCTACTGACCCATTTTGAAGAATCTGTATAACGCAGTACCTGAAATATAAATACTGAACCTGAATTTTTTAATCAGCTAAAAAACATCAATTAGTATTTGACTCGTCTTTAAAATTATTTTGCCAAGTATTTTCTAGCCTTATTTTTAATTACAAGAGGAAAAGAAAAGCTGTTTCCAACTTCTTTCGTTATTCCTTCTAGAAGAGCTATCAGGTCTTCTTTCTATACCCCTCCCTAACCCCTACCCCTCAGGAAGAAACATTTAATTCTTAGGAAGAAACTTAGAAACAGAAGCCAGTCATGTTTCTTGATAGTAATTTTCTTTGTTATTGTGAGTCCCTTACAGAAGATATATCTGAAATAGATTTGGAGACTGCTTTCTTCCACTGTTATATGGCCAATAGTAGCAATCCAAGTCAACAGGAAATGAAATAAAAGCATATTTGAACACCAGACTTGTATGTCCGATGGCTTCTAGAATATTTCCATTGGCTTGTCTCACTGCCACCTCACACGTTGGGACAGTGCCCAATGCATGGTAATAACAACAGCTATCATTTATTGATTCCTTAGTAGTGCCACCCACTGTACCAGGAGTTTAGCACACATATCTCAGTTTTCACATTAGTCTGTGTATTATCCCCATTGTACAGATGAGAAAAATTAAGACTCAGAGAGTTTCTTCCCCAAAGACCCTTCACGGGTAGAAAGTGGTAGAGCCTGGGGCTCAAACAGATGACATCCAGTGTCAGAGTCTGGACTTTAATAACTGGTCTGCATGGCTTCTACATAACCACTAAATAACTATTATTGTTGAAAAGATGAGTAGATGCATATATGCTGTCATCATTTTATCCCAATAAGCTTGTCCCAGTTTCTTTGCTTTGTCAGTCTCCTTTGCAATCCTATGACTACCGATAGCTTAAAAGTGTTTCCTGCCTGTCTTATATTCATCTGACACAACTTACAAGTCTGGTAATATTCTAGGAGCAGTACAATCTCTTCTCTCTAGAGTTTACATTCCAGAGTAGGAGATGGATAGTAAACAAGTAAATACATAAATCAACAAAGGACTTACAAATTGTAGAAGTGTTTTGAAGGCAATAAAACAGAATAAAGGGATAGAGAGTGACTGGGGGGAGATCTATTTTCCTTTGTCTTCTTGATATTCCCCCTATCTATTCTCACTGCCAGACCCCAGTAGATGTTCGGTTCTTGGAAACCTTATTACCATTGTACCTTCATACCTGTTCTTCCTTCCTCTAGGTTCTTTTGTTTTTTTTCAGTCTATCATGCTGACGTCTTTAGAACAACATCCCTAAATTGTCACTTTCACATATTGCATTTTGCTGTACATTGGGCTCAAACACCTCATTTTACACTCAAGTCCCTCCGTCATCTTGTCTCATCCTACAAATCTAAAACACTTTCCTTCCTTCATCCACAAGTGTCTCTGGAGCATCTCCTATGTGTTAACCATGACGCACTCCTCAACATAAGACATCTGGTCCTTTTGGCCAAGTTTCTCAAGTGCCCTACATACCCCATGCTCATTCCCACAAGCCTGATACCAGAATGGATTTTTCTGCTCTGTCAACCTATTAAACTCTCCTTGTCATCTACGGCCCAGCTGAAGTCTCAGTTTTGCAATTAAGTTTTCTCTATGCCATTCTACACTAATGTCCTTTTCCTTAAAAATCACATTAATTTTCATAGCTTTCCATTCAAGTACATTGCTTTGCAGTGCTCCCTAATCATTGTGTGAATGTGTGTGCTGTACACGTGTATGTGACTGAAGGCTGTACCTTTGTTCAGGACAATAAAACAACTCTTACATTGCTGTCTTATTCCTGAGTGTCAATGATCACAATAGCAGCGAAAATTTATTTAGCACTTAACATTTGCAAGGTACTGTGCTAAATGTTTTACACAGTGTAATTTATTACCCCTACAACAGTAGGGTGGGTGTCACCCTTATTACCCCCATTTGGCAGATAAGGAAACTAAGGCTTGCTAGATGAAGTGACTTGGATAGGATTACATTGTTAGCAAATAGCAACCCGGAATTTAAGTCTAGGATATGTGGTTTCAATGTCTGTAATCTAATCTCTAAGCCATGCTGCCTGAACATGACCCTCAGCATTATTTTATACTCTCATTCCCCAGCTACTTCCCAGAAAGACTCAAGACCCTTTACAGGAAAATGCCCTATGCTGGGGGTGGTGTGGTGGGGAAGAGAAAAGACGTATAACACCAGAGCAGGATTCTGCCTTCTGGGGGTTGTTACTGTAAGGACTCCAGGGGGAAAAGCCATGACCACCACAACTGACAAAGAGGTAAGCCTTCCACTGAGGAACTGGTAGGTAAGAAGTGAGAATATCTTAAAGTCACTGGACAGGACAGCAGTGAGAGTCGCTTTATGGTAAAGCTGACGATACACATCAAGAACCTCAGAGAATCACTCTCAACAGTAAGGGGACACAACGAACTCACTCGGGGTTCTCTGTGAAGGTCAGAGGACTTTTGATAACTATGCTGTAAAATAACTGGAAATAGAAGGAGATGTATTAGACATTTATCGGGGACAAAAAGTGAGCTGTTCAGCAGTTAAGACAATCCTTAATATTTTTTTCTATTTTTAAAATAGTTATTTTATAATGTAGTGTTTAATACTGAATTGGTTCTGTTCTCTGGGAGTCCCACATTAAAACATCTGGTATTTTGCATCTCAGTGTGGATTATTCATTTTCATTGGTTTTCCTCTGGCCGATTTTTTATGATTCCCACTCCCGCTGCCTTCCTACAGCCTTCTGTTATATATATATATACATACACACACATATACACGTAAAGCTATGTGGACACTGTGGAATAAGGCTACCTTTTCTAGGACTGGGCATTTTCAGGTTTGTCTATGACAAGATTGATGGCTGGGAGTGTGCCCAAGGGCCCTGAAGTCCCAGCCAGCAACTGCTTCACTGCTAGAACTTCTGTGGGAGATGGAAGTTTTCAGAGGACTAAATGGAGGAAGAAAAGGTGCTTCATTAACTTGAACCTACCTTTAAAATTAGATGGACTGGACTAAAAGAGGGAAAATTCGGTTCAAAGTGAGGAGAGTAAGTTATGGGTAATAACCATAATCAGCTCCAAAGGTGTCTTCACTGTAGAGACGACGCATTTTTAGAGTTTTAAAATCTTGTCAGAAAATGCCACATAATAATGAAAAAGGCCACACAGAAGCATCTACCAAGGAACATTGCTATCTTTTGATTTTGTTTGTAATTTTTGCTTGGGGCATGGGTTTTAAGTTGTAATTGTCTATGCCAGCTACATTTTTAAAAGTAAAATATTTGTAAAGTCTGTTGTTTTTTTTTTTTTTTTAAAGCACCACACAGTTGGAGTGTGAAATACAAATAAAAAGCTAAAAAATCGTATACAATAAAGATAACAATCACTATTCCAAAAATACAAATGACTATCAAGTTTAATGTAAATATCTCAGCAACTAAAGCAAAAAGGAATTTTAACCAGTTGTACAGTTCTGAATTTAATGACATCATCTGCCATGGAAAGAAAATTATTTCTACTTTGTTTTTCTTGAAAATTTCCTCATTGCCCTGTGATTTCCCACAAATACATGCACTTTCAGAGACTTAAGGGGTTTTTCCCCTTACTTCTTCATATGCAAATGCAAATATCATCCCAAGCATATTGCCTAGTACTCTGTAGTGTATTGAGTTCAGCATGTTGAAACTTTCTGGTTTTGATTAAAACACACACCTGAAAAATTCATGAATGTAATATATTTCCTTCAAGTCATTCCTAAATAGCTCATTCCACCATTACCAACATGTGAAAGTTATGTAATTATGTCCTGAGGAGATGAGGCTCAGCAGGGTGTAAGGTGATAGGCTTGAAGAATAAGTGTTCAAAGACAGCATCTTGCCCAAGAGCCATGTCCTAACACAGACACTGAATCCCAAACTACACCCATTTAGCAACCTTAGAATCAGCCTTCTCCAACTATATGCACTTCAATAGCATGCCTTGCCAAGGAGACAAAACCACTGTTTGTCTCTTTCTTTCATGCACTATCAAGCTTCCATGAATGACATGCTTTTGGTTTTTCCTTAGCTGCTTTTAATAGGTTTAAAACCCTGAGGGTGCTGATATATGATTATATAAACATTTTTTTCAAGATACACATTTTCTCAAGTCTAAATAAATAGCATATATTCAGTCTGTAATTGGCTTTTATCAGGAGCCATTCTCCCTCTCCCTTAAAAACAGTATGGGCTTTGTGGTTCTCACTCAAAGTCCTTAAAGAAGAAAAATATATGTATTAAAGGTACAGTAAGCTTTAGAGTCTTACATCGATTGTTCTCTGCCAAGAATCCCATTTTGAATGTTTTATTTTCCCCCCAAAGTTGTGTAAAGGAACAAAGTGGATATTATTCTTTAAATCTAAGTTTAAACAGCTTAATGAGTGGAGCCAATTGAAGTAAATCATAATTGCTAAACAGGATTAAGTTTACAACAGCCTTGTGAAAGTCTGCAGAAAAGCACAACACGAAAATAGCCCTAGACAACAGAAATGCATTTGTACGGAGCCGCTGTCCCAAGACTCCTTTCTCTAAAATGCCGGTATTATGAATCAATGTGTGTAAAACAGTAACCTTCGTGGGCCTGTGTTCTAACTTGATCCATATTATTTATGTTCCACACTTTATCATATAACTGGCAAAAATTTTCAAATAGTAAGACTCAACATGCCATCATCAGTGATGTACAATCAGGCTGAATTACTTTCTCCTGCATTAGTAAATTAGGGCAATCCCACCCAGTTGTACTCATTTGTCCACCTTTTGTACTACACAATTTTTCTTCAGACTAATGGATTTTATGCAGGTGATCAGAAGTTGTGGGTCTTCTTCTCAGTTCAATTAGCTAAATTATTTCTTGCCATTTCAAATTATAGCCGGAGTCTCCACAAGGCAGCAATTTTTAAAAAATGTAAAGTGGGATTATTTATGCTCAGATATCAGACCTGTAGTAAGAATAGCCCAAACCCTGATAAGATACAGAGAAGGAAAGGACAATAAGTAGGTGAACTGGAACTATTGCCAGACTGCCTGCCCAACTTTATAAGCCCTCTGCCCACAATGATCTACTTGCACTCACTTGCACTCTACTTCCAATCTACTTGGAATTTTACTAAGGCTCTAAGATAGAGCAAACACTTTGGTGCAAGTTTCTCAACAAAGCTTTGTCCAACCACTCTTCTGGCCAGATGCTCAGGAAAAAGGGGTGCTGTGGACTAAAAATTTGGGAAACACTGCATTTTACAAAGCTCATTAGCATATTAAAAGCTCCTAGAAGCCCTACATAAACTTTTAATTTCGTTAACTTAGCTAAACCCCCTGCTTCCCAAAATTAAGAGGACACAGAATCTCATTTTCAACATAACATCCCACAGAACCAATGTTCTGCCAGGATTCACTTTGGGAAACCCAATTTTAGAGTTCCAATTTAGCTTTCTGCTTATGTTGTCTTGACTGATTCAAGCTGGATGATATGTTGTAAATAATCCACTGTACCTTTATGGAGAGTGCCATAATCTCTAGAGCTTGGTGGATGGTTTGAGTTTTATGTAAGTTGGAATTTCTTGTGGGGCTTAAGCTACCTGCTAATTTTGAGATTGAACCATGCATTCACTGTTACATTCTACCTTAGTGCACAGAGTGAAAGGTTTTTGGAGTGTGCCAAGTTGACTTGTTACTGTAACTTCTACAAACACTTAATTTTTGCCCAACATTGAACCTCACTTGACTAGTATTAGGGTAGGCAAAGTGAATTATTTAATACTCCACTTGACTGGTATTAAAGTCTCCACTTGACTAGTATTAAGGTGACCAAAGTGAATTGTTTAACACTCACTCTCACTTTATTGAATCCAGGTCCAGGCCTTCCACAGCAAACAAACAAACAAACAAAAAACCATCCTCGATTAATTACACTAAACTTCTGATTTCCCTTTCTGTGGTCAAGTAACATCCTCAGAACACAACATCCCATCTAATCAGGTAATGTCATAGACCCTTAGCTCCCGAAATTCAGAAATCTGCAAAAAGTGTCTCCACCATCAATGTGATTCAGTGAGGACCTAGCATAATAAAGTCTTAGCTCCAAAATGCTAAGTTTTGCCAGAGCATATGGGGTTATAAAAGCAAATGTGTACTATGCATAATATTATGTCACATTATCGGGCACATTTTTTAAAAAGGCAACACCCACAGGTCTGAACAACTTCAGTTTTATGCAAATTCTGCATGCACTAAGACGTGCTTACTTGTCACTTTTTTGTTGTATCAGCACAGTGCCCCAGGGAGGAATCACATCTCACTTTGCTTTGCCATTATTAGTGTCTACCTTTGTAAATACTCTTCTCACTTGCTAAAGGTTTTCTGGCTCTACACAAGAGTTCTTCATTCACAATCTTCTTTTGTGACTGGCAGAGAGGAGATTCTGTGAGTACAATGATGCAACTCAATCCTCCTTGGGAATTCAATATGCTGTACCATTGATGCCCAACCCCACACGCTTTTTATAATCATAGCCATCATCTTTTTATTATGTCTTGGACTTGAGGAGGCCTGAAAGCAGATGTAACTCATGATGACCTGACTTCAATGAGAGAATGAACCAGGTGGCTAATTGTCTCTAAAACAAATACACTGATAATTAGCAGGAGAGCACAATGCAACAGAAGCCTAACCACCAACCTTTATTTAAGTTAAGCAAATGGGTGAGCAAATGATGCAGCTGCACCACACTTTGACAAGTTAATAAGGGAGCCATACTTCATCTCCTCAGCCACACTAGCCAAAGCATGCCCTCAGGACTTGGTATCAATGATACTAAAACTGTGAACTTGGGAAATTGTCAATGCTTACAGTGAAAACCCCTTGCCTGACTACTTGGTGGAGCCAGGGTTTAAGCTGTTAGATTTTCTCACCTATGGGACAGTGCAGGTCAAATCAAAGACAAAAGAAAATTGATGAGATCTCATCCATACACACTGGAAGTGCTATTAATTGCAGCTCTCTAAGAGTGCTAATTTAGTGACAAAATCATTGCAGATTTCATTTTTCTAGGGTTTAGCATTACTTGGCTTGGGTTAGCTAATGTCTAGATCAGGGTTCAGCAAGCTTTTCCTGTAAAGGGCCAAACAGTAGATATTTTAGTTTTTGCAGACTTTATGGTCACAACTACTTACCTGTGCCATTTTAGTGCAAAATAGCAATAGATAAGACATAAATAAATGGCTGGCTGTATTCCAATAAAACTTTATTTATGAACTCTGAAATTAAGTTTTATATAATTTTCACTTCAGAAATATTATTCATCTTTTGATCCCTTTTCAACTATTTACAAATTTGGTAAGAATACTTCTTAGATCCTGAGCCATATAAAAACAGGCTGTATTTGAACTATGAGCTATATAGTTTGCTAACCACTGGCCTAGATAAATGAATTGATCTTCATTTAAGGATTCAGAGATAACATGGGGTTATTCCTGTTTATTTGTTTCTTAGTTGCACAAGGGAATTCAGTTCATGAGAAAGAACTGAAGCCATAAGAAAGGGCTATTCAAATTACTCGGTTCAGTAAATACATATTGATAATAATCTGCTGTACAAGTCACAGGTCCTAACTAAGGGCCTAGACTCTCTGAAGTAGATTTTGATTCAGAGTTCCAGTAGCAAACGGATCAACCTTAGGGATCAGGCAAAGGGACTCTTCCCTGGATGATTTGTCAATAGGTATTAAAATACACATATTATGTGGCCCAAATTCTTCATTTCTGGGAATTTATCCTAACAAAATAACTAAAATTGTGTGCAAAAATTAAACAACATCAAGGATGTTTTTTACCTTATTATTTACAAAGGGAAAAAACTGGAAATACACAATAGAAATGTCAAACAGTGACATTGTTATTGTCAATGTTAAATAATAGGAACTTAAAGAATTTATGGTAATATTCTATAAAATGGATTATTATGTAGCCATTAAATGTATGATGCATAAGACTATCTATTATGGGCAGGGTGCGGTGGCTTATGCCTGTAATCCCCGCACTTTGGGAGGCTGAGGCAGGTGGATCACTTGAGTTCAGGAGCTCCAGACCAGCCTAGGCATCATGGCGAAACCCTGTCTCTACAGAAAAATACAAAAATTAGCCAGGTGTGGTGGCACGTGCTTAAAGTCCTAGCTACTTGGGGGGCTGAGGCAGGAGAATTGCTTGAGCCCAGGAGGCTGAGGTTGCAGTGAGCCGTGTTTGCACCACTGCACTCCTGCCTGGGTGACAAAGTGAGACCCTGTGTCAACAAACAAACAAAAACTACGTATAGTGAAAGGATGTTCATCTAGGAGAGCAAGCATGTAACAAAACAGTAAAGACCAAATGATCTCATTTTCACTTTTAAAATTGCAGAAAATATCTAGGAGGATAACTAAGGTGCTGGTTTGCATCACTGAGAGATGGTTTACGACTAGTCCTTAATTTCTTCTTCTTTTGTATTATATTTTCTTGTTATTTTCAATTCATTCATTCATTCAAACCATATTTATTAAGCACTTAACATATTCTAAAACATGTTTTTCTACAGTGGAAACATTATATTGTGTAATTTTTTTTAAAAAACTAAACATTTAAAAGAAGAAGTGATCCCCCAAAACTTAATGTAAGAATGTACAAGCAATTGGAGTGAATTGCATGGATGCCCACCTCATAGAGGAGATACTGAGGAAGACGAGGACCAGAGTGACTAAGGCAGACACAGCTGGGAACTGGGTCTAAGATATCTAAAGCTACATGGTGAACAACTGTTAGCCATACTGCAAGTACCTATGCCACCCTTTCTACTATCTTATGAAACCATTTCCCAACCCTATGAAGGGGCCAGTGGATAAGACACTAAAACAAGGCAAAGATCTAGCCTAATAATACTGTCCTATAATGCCCCCTTCTTCTGACAGAGAGAGTGAAAAAATGAAAGAAAGGGAGATTTGGGCAGTCTGCCTATTCAATCTGGAGACTGAAAAAAAAACAAAAAGCAAGTGACTTAATACAATATCCTCATCATGGTAGAGTCTAGACTGCACTAGATTGGGATAATTTTGACATCTTTTGTCAAGCATAAGTATTTTAAAGCACATACGGCAAAGTATCAGAATATGCAGAAGTAGAAATGCAAACATTTCCACGTTTTTCCCACAGACCTCTTTGACTTGCTGGTCTCACTGAGGTATGTATCTTTTTTTTTTTTTTTTTTGAGACGGAGTCTGGCTGTGTCACCAGGCTGGAGTGCAGTGGTGCAATCTCAGCCTCACGGCAACCTCTGCGTACCAGGTTCCTGTGAAATGATTCTCCTGCCTCAGCCTCTGGAGTGGCTGGGATTACAGGCACGTGCCGCCACACCTGGCTAATTTTCTGTTATTAGTAGAGACAGTGTTTCACCATGTTGACCAGGCTGGTCTCTAACTCCTGACCTCAGGTGATCCGCCCCCCTCAGCCTCCAAATGCTGGGATTACATGCGTGAGCCACTGCGCCTGGAGGGTATGTGTCTTTTCAGGCGCTAAGCCTAAATAATTGTTCTTCTGACATTCAAGAGGTCAATCATTTTCTACTGCTTCTGAGATTATACCTTTTGTGTGGTTCAGAAAACCATAGAGATAAGAAGAATTTACAGGGTTATTGGAAGATGAGGACATACAATCCCAAGACCATCATTTATCACATATTATTTCAGCTATGAGATTTTGTAGAAAACTCAGATATAGAACAATTGAATAACAATTGAGCCTGAATACTAAAGTGCATTGCTTTTAGTAAGTTCTCATATGAATTCAGACAGTTAGATGTGGCTTCAAACAAACTGATGCCTTATTGAAAACACAGAGTGTCTATTTCATTTTCTGTATCTCTCTCTTCCCATTGACATTGAATAATTCTCTTCCAGCCGCCTAAAATAATAGTTCTGGTGTGTAGCTGGCTGACAACCCAACATACAATCAAAACCATGCTGGCCAGATATGTGTAACTGCTTCTCAGCCATTGCTGATCCATCTGTCACTTTCCATACATTGGGTTGGAAAAAGTATTCAGTGAGCAGATAAAGTCTACCAAGCATGCATGCATGCATGCACACATCACACACACAGAGACACACATACTTATTTGCCCTGTATGGGATTATGTGGGCGTATGTATTTATCTAGAATATAAGCCAATATTTTTCAACAACAGTTTTATCTCCATTTACATAACAGTTTGTTGTTGTTGTTGCTTAATTTCAGAATAAGCTATCCTTTCTCCTCCTTCCAAGAAGAAAACCAGAAATGTTGCTTTCACTACTGCCATTTTTCAAAAGACCCTCATCTGTACTCCAGGGAGAACCAGGTTGGGGCACAAATATTTGCATCAGCTATTTTGGTTCTATAAACACTCAAAGGAGCAGCAATAGTAGGAACAAAAGAGAAACCTAGAAACAGTTGTTCTAGTCTTTAATATAACACTTAATATTTCCATTAATGTATGAAAATTCTCCAGATGCTGGTTATAAGTTGCATTGCTATTTTTACTTTTATTTTCATCAATAATAATCTCAGCTTTTATTGGGCATTTCTTTTCCAGAGAGCTCTAAGAAGTTTATGGAAATCATTGTTTTACCTTCACACCATCTTTGAGACATAGCCAAGAAGTAGATCATTTTCTACTTGAAAAGATAAAAAGAAATTGGTAGAGATGTCAGCACAGGGAAAGATAACTGGCCTGTCTCCAACCAATTCTCTCTCCAGTTATTGCCACTCTGGCAAACCATGATTTTTTTTTTTCCTTTTTGTTTTTTTTTTTTTTCCCCAAGATGACATCCCCCAGGCTGGAGTGCAGTGGCGTGATCTTGGCTCACTACAACTTCCAACTCCCAGGTTCAAGCAATTCTCCCTGCCTCAGCCTCCTGAGTAGCTGGAATTACAGGTGCCTGCCACCACGCCTGGCTAATTTTTGTATTTTTTAGTAGAGATGGGGTTTTTGCCATGTTGGCCAGGCTGGTCTTGAACTCCTGACCTCAGGTGATCTGCCCTCCTAGGCCTCCCAAAGTGCTGGGATTACAGGGGTGAATCATCGCACCTGGCCGATCTTTTTTAAAAGAAAGTTAGGTCATGTCTTTCTGATGCTTGCCCTGAGGGCTGCAAAACCTTGCCTGATCTGTCTGCTCTGAAAGCATATCTCCTGCCTCCTTCTTTGCTCACTATGCTCCTGTGTTATTAACTGCCCAGGGTTTGGTATCCCAGAATCATTTCCAGTGACAAAAATTCATGTAAGAGTCATTTATGTGGAAAGCTTCCAGAAAAAAACAATAGGGGAACGAGGAAGTGGAACCAGAAAGGGAAGGAAACCAACTGAGATGAAAAATCAAGCAAAGTCCCAAAGAGGACATCTTCAGCTCAATTCCACAGAGAATCTCTGGGAAGGTGACCCTCACTGGGAGCAAGGGAGATGGAGAATTTGTACCTCCACACCCATCAGTCATTGGGAAGGGGCTTCCCTGAGGGATATACATTCCGAAAGCTTCTAACTCTCAGGATTTGCAGGCAAAGTGAATTCTGGCACTCTGAAGGCAGCTCTCCAACAAGGCAATGCAGATGCTGCCACTGGGAGGGAAAGATACCAGATGCTAATAAATCTGAAGGGATATGGGCAGAGCCATGACAGTGCCTGCTACACTGGGCTTCTGTCCTAAAACACTCCATGGAGGTGTCATGAGGCCTCATCAAAGTCAGTTCTCCTGTGAAACTCTCTTCCCCTGGTCCTTTGCACAGGTGACTTCTTTTTCTTAAGATGGCCTCTGATTCATTTTCACCCCCTTCTCTCTCTTGTAAACGGAAGTGAAGCTATCTGTTTAAAGGAAGCTCTCCCTCAATCCATCCCTCCAATGCCCTGTTACATCCTTCTTGGCATTTAACACAATCAGTCATTGTTTGCTTACTTCTTGTCCATTGCCCCAGTGGAATGTAAGCTCTGTGAAAGCAGGGATAGTGTCTGTCTTGTGTCCACTGTATCCTGAGCACCCAGCCCAGCTTCTGATACCCAGGAGGCACTCACTCAACTGGTATTTCTTTAAGAAGTGAATAAGTAAATCATACTTTTTTACACAAAACAAGTTCATGTGCTCTGCTATGGATCGCAATTAACTTTAAGATACCTAAAAACAAACTTGGAAGAATAGAAAAAATTTTCACGGTATTAAAAGCCTAAACTCTACAGTGATATATCGATAAGCTAAGGCCAAAGTAATCCAAGCATTAAAAAAAAAAAAAAGGAAGTTAAAGATGAAACTTTCTCCTCTACGTTTAGTGGAAAAGTCAACAAATGGTAGAAATGAGAAAACTAAAAAAGGATTTTTGCGGGGGGATGTTTCTATTTTAATAAACCAGATTGTTTCTAAATTGGGTACGGGAACTTCTTTCACACATAATGTTTATTTTTAAATTACTCTCCCCCCTAAAAATAAGGTGTTTACCATGTAGGCTGAGCTTACTTGAGTTGTCTGTGATAGATGGATACAAAAACGGCCCCAATTTTTTTTCTCCTATATTCAGTGGGAGTTGGTTTTTCCCCCTTACTGAGAGCCATTTCTCACCTCTTAAATCCGGATAGTGTTTGCCAATAGAATGAGGTCAAAGTGGTAATGTTCCAGTTTAGATTCCAGGCCTCAAGAGAATTTCCATGCTTCTACTCTCTTGGAACCCGGCCATCACCATGTGAACACATCCAGACTGAACTGGAAGGAGAAGAGACCACAAGAAGCCAAGATGATATCTCCCAGCCATGACCATCCTAGACTAGCCAATCCCCCACTGACCACAGGACATGAACAAGCTCATTGAGATTGAGATTGGTCAAGCCCAGCCTGTATCAGTTAATCTACCCCGCAAACACACAGACTTACAAGGAGTAATAAATGTAGTTTTAGCCACTACAGATATTTGCTGCACTACAGTAGCTAAATGAAGCATTTCCCCCAGTCATTATGCTATAGAACCAGCCTGGACTTGAGTCTCACAACAGCTTTGGTGGATCTCTGTTTTGTGTATTTTTATGGTTATTGCAGTTGTGGTTTTCAAGTCAGCTTAATAAAAGTATAATTTAAAAAAAAGCCATCCCAGAATTATTTAGTATAAGTGATTAGCATAAAAAGCAACCTCAACAGGCAAGCTCTTTCAGAACAATAGCTCTTTCAAACCTCCAATAGTCTACTGAGGCTTAAAAGCAAAGCATTTACTTTGGCAAAAAAGATAAAAAATACACATGCCAAAATAAAATAAAATAAGGAATACTGTCTAGTTCTACTCCCTGTTATACCAATCAACCATACTCATTAAGACTTCCATACTTTCTTCTTAAGTTTATAAATAGTTAGTTATGATTTAATAGTAAGAATAGGATTAAGTGAATCATTGTTCATTTTTTTTTTAAGCTACAGTGGTATGTGGGATTTTTCTCTTGCTGTTGCTTTTACCAGATCATCTGCCATTTCATTGTCCTGCACAAAAATAAAAATCTAGGCACCTGCCAAACCAAAAGAAAAAGAGAAATAGGAAGGAGGGGGGGAGGAGGAAAGCTTTGTTCAATGTAACTGCTCATTGGCCTATATGAAAAAGAATAGCAAATAAACAACCTGCCACAAATTGAGGTGTATACGGTGGTATAGACCTTTAAAGCATATTTCAGTTGCCACAGTTACCATTTTGCAAAATAAAATAAAGCAACAGAATTGTCAAATGAAATTTTGGCTGCATTTCTCGTGGAGTTTCAATGCGTTTTTTTTTTTTTTTTTTTTTGACAGCCTTTTCTTCCAAATTTGGGTGTGATAGTTTCTGTTCTAATTGTATATTGTTCTGGGGAATGGCTCATTTTCTGATGTGTTTTTACTATATCAAAAACCGAAATTTTTAAATCAAATCATCCTTTCTTCTTCTTTCTTTTTGTCTTCTCCTTCAAACATGTATGCCTTTACATGTATTGTTTATTGGTTTATAATTGAATAAAGAATAGTTTCATTGCTGCACAAAGAGTTTTGGAAATGAAAAGTTTACCTCCTTATAATACTTAGAATCTATCATTTTACTTGCAAAATTTTGGAGTTGTGGTTCCCTGTGAGTTGTTAAGGCACCCTGTAAACTTTAATTTATCCAGTGTAAACCTTGAAGAATCCTGGATGAAATAACATGGATGAAATAGCAACAGACCCTTGTCTGATCTTTTGTCCTAGCCTTCCATGGTGAACATTTTTTTTTTTTTTTTGCAGTGCTTCCTAGAACCTATTTTCCCTTTCTCCTTTCCTAATTTCACTCTGAATTTTTGAGGCATGTGGTTTGGGCGGGATTGATCCCATTCCCAGTTGTATCCAGCCATGTGTTTGCTTAAGCCAATCAGTGTATCTCATCTGCTGTGTAACTATAAAACAAAACTGATAGATGCACTATTTGAGCCCAGTGTAAGTTCTCATCTGAATCATCGCCTCTGGAATGATCAATTGAAACCTCTAATAAATGCTATTTTCTTCTTTCGGCCAGTTTGAGTTGAGTTGTACACCATCAAGTATTATCAAAAAATTAAAATTTGAAACAGAACTACTGAAAGATAACATGGCAAACTTTGGAAATTAATGTGTTTCTCATTAAGAGTATCCAAGTGGGGTGGAACAGCAGAGAAGAAATCCAAGCATCATAGAAAGAGTTTTCTTCTAAAATTACTATCAACCCTTTTGCTCCTGAATAGTGAATCAAAATGCATGAAAGTTAGATTAATATAAAGCCCACCGCCTGTCTCACCCAGATGGATAGTAAAGTCACAGACATGGCAAGTATAGAGAAGCACCCAGATTCCCTTGAAATAATTAATGCACCAAATAATTGCCTCAGAGCCTCTCTTTGTTTTGCTACAGGAGTCTTAGTCTGTGGGAGCCAACCATGAAAATAGAAACCACTCTAGACACTCAACTGAGAAGTCAAACAGGGATAGGATGGCAACCCAGAAATTAGCAACTGCGTGAAGCTGGAGAATCCCTTAGTCAGGAGGTTCAAAGGGAGGAGGTATTCCTGGAGCCCAGGGCTGAAGGGGGAGATACCAGAACCGCAAAGGACCTGACCAGTGAGAGGTGGTGCCACAGAGGATGCTCAGGCCCCGCTAGTAACGCTGCAGGAGGTATAGAAAGGAGGAGAAATATCTTGGCTTTCCCCTTCCTCCCACACTCTAGTCTCTTGCAAGGGCCTCCTAGCAGCCACCACAGCCAAAAGCCCCAGACCAGAGAGCCTAGAAAACACAGTCTGTAGTTATCAGCTCATCTGTGATACAGGGCAGAGCAGGACAAAGGCAAAGAGTAAATCTGAGTCAAGGACCAGCACAGGATCTAATCCACACTGGGTGACAGAAGCACACTGACCTCAGCATACACAGGTAAGGGACAAAACCATGGGATGCTCTTTGTCTCCAACCACAATCAAATCAAAGCCAAAATTCAAGGTATTTGTTAAACTTAGTGCCATGTGTTCAATCAGCTCCTGCTTATGATTCATAATTGGAGTGTTCCATGCTTCTTGATCCCCTGCTCAGACCCTTCTTCTCTAGCAGTTTTCCCCATCTCACTAAACAGCAACCCCATCCTAACAATTGCACAGGCCAAAAATCTTGACTTATTTCTATCTCTCTCTGCCCCCAGACCACATCTGC
The DNA here is from genome assembly GCF_000001405.40 of Homo sapiens. Lineage (NCBI taxonomy): Eukaryota > Metazoa > Chordata > Mammalia > Primates > Hominidae > Homo > Homo sapiens. The sequence continues at coordinate 18,024,445 of NC_000003.12, read as the reverse complement.
CAGCAAAGTTCAACAGCTCTACCTTCAAAATATATCTAGAAGCTGAATACACCTCCACTTGTGGGGCTGCCATGCTGGCTCCAGCCACTATAATCTCTGCCTGAATCACTGCAGTCACCTTGTAGCAGGTCTCCTTGCCTCTGCTCTCGTCCCCCCTCACCCTACTGCACAGAGGAGCTGGGACAATCCTTGTAAAATGTGTTTGTTTCTGTCATGCCTCTGCTCAAACATCCATGACTCCCATTTCCTTCTGTGTATTGTAAGCCCAAGGAAATCTTTCAGGAACAAGACCTCTTCAAGTCCAGCAAATTTGTCTTGGATAATGACAGTGGGGACTGTCATTAAATCCATGAAATTAGGCTACAGTTTATGGTTTAAAAAACAGTTCTAACCATTTGTACCTGCAATGTTGTAAAATGCTATTCCATGTCCAGAGCACTGTTGCTGACACAGTAAATATTTGTTGAAAGGTGTAAATATTGAATGGGTAGATGGATGAATGGATTGATGGACGTATCAAGAATGTGAGATTAACATAGACCTGATTAAGTGGTTTGAGCTGATAGAATATTATTTTTTAGATTATTTAGATAGGACTTTGAAAGGAATCCATTCAAACCACGCTCTGAGTTATTTATAAAGTGAACTATGTTATGTAACTTATTTTTGTAAATCTGCAACTTTGTGAGTTTGGATAAAAATGGTTGTAAAGAATAAGAATTAACCCATGCAATATAGATATTTCCAAACCAGAATTATTGCCCAGAGCCAAACTCTACAACTTAACCAAGCTACCTTGAACAAAGTTTATCATTTAATGTGTGAGGCAGCCAATATCATCTTTACATGAATAAGTAAATTGAGGCCCAAATGGTTTATTCAATCTACTTTTTAAAGAAATATTATTGCATAACCACTGTAGGTTAGGCACCGGATAGGATAGGAATGATTTTAACATGAACAAAGCAGACATAAATGCTAGGCTCATAGGATGCTAGGAGAAATCAACTTTGATCAAATCACTATAAGTAATATGCGTACTACAAGTAGAGACAGGCAGAGCTGTGAGAAATGTAACAAAGGGAACAAACGAAGTCTAAGAGTTTAAGCTAGGACTTGGAGAAGATAATAGTGCAAACTCTTTTAGTGGTTCTCAAACTTCAGGATGCCTCAGAATCACCTGGAAGGTTTGTTAAAACACAGATTGCTGGGTTCAGCCTCAGAGTTTCTGATTCAGTAGGTGTGGGCTGGGACCTGAGAATTTGCATCTCTAACAAGTTCCCAGGTTGATACTGTTGCTGCAGTTTTGGGGGCTGCATGTTGAGACCTACTGAGCTAGGTAAAGTTGGAGACCAGAGGCTGGGGAAGTGGTCTTCTAGGCATGGGAACAGCATGTGGGAAGCCCCTGGTATAAAATTTTGGAATCAAAATAATGCCTTATATTATTCAGGATCCCAGCAACAAACGATGATACACTTAAGCCATATAATTTTGAAAAGTTTAATGAAGTGACTATTCACAAATCTTTAGGCAGAGATAAGGGAAATGAACCAAGGAAGAGATGCTAAAACATCAAAGGCTAGCAACAAAGGAGACTCTACCTGCCCTAAAACTCAGGGGCATGGGAAGAGATCAGAAAGGAAAACCAGAGAGAGCTGGAGCCCCAGGACAAAGCCGCCTCACGGGAGCAGTGACCCTTGGTAGGGAAAGGTAGATCTTTCCAACCTACAACCTGGCAGGGAGAGGTTTTCCAAACTCATTTCAGTGACAATGAAAAGCCAGAGGTCAAGGAAGCACAGGTGATGCTTCCCAGGAAGTCAGGCTTCTGAGGCCCAGAGCAGAAGGGAGAAACATGCAAAAGGGCTCGGAGGGGCACGCAGAGAACACCAGCATTTGCCATGGGCTAGAAGAGGCAGGCAGGCAGGACCTTGTGGAAGCCTTTGTAACCAGTTTTCTATTGCGATGTGACACATCACCACAAACTTAGCTGCTTAAAATAACATATATTTATCATCTCCCAATTCTGTGGGCGGGGAGTCCAGGGCATGCTCAGCTGGGCTCCCTGCTTCAGCTTCTCACCAGGCTGCAATTAAGAGGTGGAGTTTAACGAAGGTAGCATAAACACTGGAGTGACAGCCCACCATCTGCCATATTCTATTGGTTAGAAGCAAGTTGCAGGTCCCACACACACACAGGGGAGGGGATTAGACAAGGACACGGATAATAGAAGTCAGGATCATTGGCGGTTACCTTAGAGCTTCTCCACATTATCACCTAATATTAAAAACCATATTAAGGACTTAAGATTTTATCTTAAAGCCAATAATGTGAAACCATTCAAAGAGCATACTAGATTGAGAAGCTGCAGAATTAGATCTACACTTTAAGGCTCACGTTAGTTCTCAGACAGTGGATTACCAGAAAACACAGAGGGTCTACTTACGGTCACAGAGTTAGTTAGTAGCTGAGCCAGGGCTACAGCTCTTTGAGAACTACCATGCTTCAGTGTTATTACAAGGTCCCTTTCTGTTCCATAATGCCATATTTCTCTGCATCTACAAGATGATTAACTGTCAAATTTAATAGCGTAGCATCAACGTGAAGGATAGAGAAGTAACAGAGAGACTATTTTGGTTAGCAAATATTTGGACTTGGTCTTATATAAAATCTAAAACAAATTCAGAGTTTAATTTTTTCCCCTTTAAAACGTTTATGTGTATGGACTCTTTCTTTGGAAATAAAAGTTCTTTCTCCTGGACGTCATCTGGAGGGGTACTGGATCCCTCATGCAAGTGGAAGAACTCTGAGTTCACTCACCTCTCCCTTCAGCTGCTGGTCTACCTGGGCTCCCAGACCTTGAAGCAGGATCTAAGCCCTCTCACATGCTACAGGTAGGAACATAATTAGGTACAAGCTTTCTGGAAAGAAACAGCAAAATATGCATCCAGAGCCTTGCAGTGGTATATGCTGGCTCGCGAGAACCAATCATTTAATTATCAGGAATTTTCCAAGCCAGGCATTAAACCATTGGTAGCTTGAAATCAGCAATGGTTGGAATACTTATACTCTAGAAACTGGCGAATGCTACAAATCAGGGTGGGTTTTTTTTTTTTTTTCTGTAAGATTTTTGTTAAACATTTACCAGCACACCACTGCTTTAAAGTGTTCAAACTCTCAACCCTAACAACTCTACTCTAAGAAATATTCAGAGAAGAAAACAAATATTTACATATAAAAAAGTTCTTTGTAGAAAATGAAGTTGGAAATAACCCAAATATCTAAGAAGCAGCAAATTAAATGAAATGCTACGTAGCCACTAAAATTATATTTTTAAATCTATTTGATGACATGGAAAATTATTCAGCATATAAGGGGAAATGAGAATATAAAACTCCATATATAGTACAAGAGAAAATTTTTGTAGGGAAATAGTATGTACATATATACAGAAAGAGAATTTAAATTTTTTTAAAGAACTCATATAGTATCAGTGATATCTTTGGTAGGATAAAAGGTAACTTTTATTTTCTTTTTTATCTTTGTACATTTTCCAACTATTCTTTGATAAACATGTATTACATTTGTAATCAGTCAAAAATAAATACTATCCAAAAAAAAGTAAGGTCAGAAGAAACTGGAAAACATGAGCTTAAAATCAGCCAACATTTTATGCTTACCATAGCATTTGCTGCACCATATTGACACCTACCAATCAGAAATAGACTATATACTTTCTGCATCCCAGGTATAATAGGATGGTGACTCTGGATTGTATTGAGTCTGTTCTCTAAACTCTTAAGGATGTAGCCAGTTTTCAGAATGTAGCATAGAACTGCACTTCTGACCTAAAACCCATAAAAACAGTGAATTAAGCACTTAATTTACCACTTACAAGTCTAGCCCCCTCTTAACATCCCTTTCCAGGCCTCTCTCTTAGGAAGGAGCCTCACATTTTCTTGTAGAAACTGGAATGACACTCTGGCCCCAGCTCCCACTCCCCTCCATGACGGGCATGACTTATCTGATCAGAGAGTTAGGAGAGGCTCTTTTGGAGCCAGCCTGTCCAGAGGACAAGCATTCCACTCTGCTCTCTGCCTTGGGGGATTGTGCCCAACTCCCGCATCATGGGGGATGCCTGCGGTTGACCAGCTGTGCCAGTGACTGCAGGTAAGTGCTGATTTTACTGGTGAGTAGGCAAACCCACTTGGCCACAGATCTAACACATTCTCCAATCAAGTTTATTAGTAATCTAGGCAATATGATTTCCCCCTTCTCTAGGATCTATCTATTAATTCATCCCTAATTTAGGAGAATATAGAGATATTGGTTATTAGTCTCCTCTAATCTCCAACACAATCCATCGGTGTCTGTGTCAAGCAGAAACTGCTGAAGACAAGGGTGGTGTCTTATATTCCCATTTTTGTATTCATAGCACTTAGCGTGGCCATTTCTGCACATAAAAGTGCCCCATAGAAGATTGGGGGTGGAGGGGAGAAGAAAGCTAGTCAAAGAAAAAGATTCAGAATGCAATCTCTTTACCTGTTACCTCTTACGTCCTACTGAATTCAGTGAGAGTGGCCCTTCTCTCCGGCAGATTTTGGCCCGTTATTTCCATCCTTGGTTTAACAGTTGGTGCAGCATTTGTGGTTTAAACAATTTACAGTGATTGATGGGAACTAACACAGGTGAAATGGGGTCTCATCTGAGGAAAATCCTTAGTAATGACAGACAGGGGAGAGGTATGGTCATCTGTTCTTAATTATAGTCTGTCTTCTCTTGGCCATCTAGTTTCTCCTTCTCTCCCTCCTTTAACACCAATTTTAAATAAAGTGAAAATTTTAAACTGGGAAACATCTCTTCGTAGTCAGTATAACTTTCTGTTGCCTTGGCTGCAGCCCCCTGACTAAATCACTCCTGAAAGTCACACCATGTCTTCCTTCTCATCAATTGGTACCAATTAGACACCTTCTAGGTAGAGAAATAATTTACTTAACTGCATAAGAAAATAGCCACTTCTAGCCCTTTAAGAATTTTGGTTCTCAATTACCCAGCCTTACTTCTCCTGTGAAGTGATAATTAGAGTCTGGATGATAACTGGATTACCAAGGACATCTCTCCCGACAGTCGTTTAACACCTAATCAAGTGTTAAGGTCGTAAATTATGCATTTCTCAACAGCATTCAGACCCATTTGAAAACAATTTGAAACAGTTCAAGAGTTCCTAGATGGTCTTCAGTTTTATAGGGCTGTGAAGGGTCCTGCTTAAAGGAATTACCCGCTTAGAAGAATTACCCGGTTAAAGGAGTTACCCACTTAAAAGACTCAAACGTGTAAGGCTCTCTAAGTTCTTTAATCTGCTGCAGATCATTATTTTTTTAACTGACAATTGAGTACCCTCCCCTCCCACCACATAAGAGAAATTGGAGTGTTTCCCACAGTGTCAAGACGCCTCCCCAGGGAGCTCAGATAAAAAGATTCTAGAGAGAATTTGAAAGGGAGAAAAATGACTTAAAAAAATAAAGCCTTACAACTTTGTTTTTCTTATGACTTGTTCAAAAGCAGATGCAAAAATTAAAAGTTTGATACTGCAATACTGAAAACTACAGACTGTTTCTCATTTCTGGGTTCAGAGGGAAAAAACTATCCTAAGTGATTGGGGGTAGAGGAGATGTGGGGAAAGAGAAAACAGGGGAGTGCCATGTCTTGCTCTGCCCACCTTTAAACAAAACCAAGCATCCTGTAAGCAGTGGGCTCTTCCGATGACATAGACCCTATTAGAACAATTCAACCCCACTCTCACCACCATCAACCCCATGTCTTCAGTTCCACCAGAGACCTGAGTAGAAGTCCATGTCCCAAAAGGCAGCCATCACCATAGTCTCATATTTTGCAATAAAATTTTCCCCATCAATTGGTCTATCAGTCCCTCTGCCTTCCCTTCCATTCCTCACGGGCAGAAATGTGGATGTCTCTAAAAGCTCTGAGAGTCACACACATTTATGACAACATGTCTCTAACTCCCCTTTAATAACAACAGACACGCTTCTTTTGGAGCCTGAGAATCTGTTCGCATGCTCAATCTCTTCCTCTTGGAAGGAGAAATGGTATAATTGGAAGCAAAGATTACACCATGTAATTGTACCAAGATAAGGATCCATCTTTAGTCTAGCCCAACTCAATTAGAATATTTTTACTGCTTAATTTGATCTGAAGAGCCTCAGGAAAAAAAAAAAATCTATCTTCTTGGAGGAACAGGCAAAGCCTGACACATATGGTTTCTTCCCTCTTCCTCCCTTACTTGCATCTCAGTAATATTCCACGTATTGAAAAGATAAGGACCAGAAATCCAAAGTGAGGGCAGCCCTTTTCCATCCCTTCTGCTACATTTTAAGACTTCATTCATTGGAACAAGCTGAGTTATTTGTGTGGCAAATACATTGAGTCTCTTCAAAACAAACATCTTTTATTTCAGTATACTTCTTAGAAAAAGGAGAGAGAACAGAATTGGTGTAAGATACATAAAAGATCATTTTACCTCAGCCAACGTAAAAAACCTCTTGCCTGATCTCCTTGTTTAGCTTTCTAAATCAAAATATCCCATCATCATCACTCTCCTGATTAAGAGCCTGTGATGGGCATCCATGTCTAGAGGAAGGAAATCCAGGCACCATTCAAAGACCTTCACAGTTGGGCTCCTACTCACCTTTTCACCCTTACACTGTCATTTTCCCTCAAATAAACACAATGCTTCCATCATCACTTACATTCTGCAAATGGGTATGCACATTCTTGTCTCTTTGTCTTTGGTCCCACTGTTCCCTTTGTGTCTAATCTCTTTTCTCCACTCCTTGCAAAATCCTCTTCATCCCTCAAGAACTAATTGAAATGTCCTCTCCTCTATAGACCTCCTCTCTGAAGCTGATATAACATCCAGCACCTGGGTTCACCTGTCACTTTTAAATTCCTCTGTTCTACTTTTATCATAGTTTATTTGTGTGTGTTTTTCTCAAGGGATTACAAATTTCCTGAAAGCCATGATTATGTCTTCTAATTTATGTATACCAGTATCTGTAGCACCTTACCCGGCATAGATGTGTACTATCTATAAAGACATTCTAGAAAGAAATCAGATTTTCTCTTGTATTAAATGAGATTTTAAAATCTGTCTTTTAAAAATTTATGGATGCATTTTTATTTTGTTCAGACCCGAATTTCTGAACATTCATTCACATGAAAAGCTGCTATGCAAAATTCAGAGAAATGCAAGAGTTGGTATTATAATCAATTTTCTTCTTCCTTTAATCTTTCATATGAAGTTGTGTGTGTTTAGACATGTCTTCACTTGCAGTCATGTTTGACAGGGGTCTTTTGCTCTTTGTATGTCCCCAGTGTGTGTCACATAAACAAAAGTCCTTCTCTCACTGGAATATTGACAGAAATAAATCACTTTGCAAAGCAGACTCAAATGATAGTCTCCTGAATTTCGAAAAAATTTCTTTTATTGAGATGCTGAAAAAGTATATGATAAATTGTGATCATTAAAGTAGAGTAGTTAACATATAAAATCATTTAACTCAAAGAAAAGCAAGGTCCCAGGTGATGTACAAATTAGGTATATATAGAGCTGGAGCAACAAATACATCACTTAGGTGGTGTATTAGTCCATCTTGCACTGCTATAAAGAACTACCAGAGACTGGGTAATTTATGAAGAAAAGAGGTTTAATTGACTCACAGTTCTGCAGTACAGGAAGCATGGCTGTGGAGGCCTCGCGAAACTCACAATCATGGCAGAAGGCAAAGGGGAAGCAAGCATCTTCTTCACATGGCTGCGCAGGAGGAAGAGAGTGAAGGGGAGGAGCTACACACGTTTAAACAATCAGATCTCAGGAGAACTCACTCACTATCACGAGAACACAAGGGGGAAATCTGCCCCCATGTTCCAACGCCCTCCCATTAGGTCCCTCCCCCAACACTGGGGATTACAATTCAATGTGAGATTCGGGTCCAAACATAGTGCCAAACTATATCAGATGGGTAATGTTTCTGTGGAGTCCTCACTCTTGGACATTCAAGTCAAGGAGGACCATCAAGGCAAAAGCTCACTCACAAATGGTTGACAATCCCACCTCCAATCCCCCAGCCTACAGGTGAGATATAAGTACAGTGTTCATACTTCCCCTGTCCCTGCTCACTTGGGGGCAGGCTTTGTACTCAGGCTTTTTGCCTGCTCTAAATCCTGCCTTGGGACTGCTCTCTAGCCACAGCCTTTGGTCATCCCCCATGAATGGCCAGTGATCTAAGTTTATGGACGTCCCTGTGGATAGGCAAACCAAGCTGATATAACCTCCCTGTCACCAACTTCTGCTCCACGGTTTCTATCTTCCAGGCTCACAGATTCTGAAGGATCTCCAAAGTCTGTTCCTTTCTCTCTACATCCTAAAAGTTGTATCGGGTAATAATATAAAAATATCATGAAATATCATTAACAAAGTGAGGGAAGGCTCATGAATGCTGAGAGATAGGAACATGAGGCAGAAGTGGCCTCAGTCTCACAGAAGGAGGAAAAAAGACAGTTGGACGCAGTGTCTCACACCTGTAATCCCAGCACTTTGGGGGGCCAAGTCGGGTGGATCACCTGAGGCCAGGAGTTCGAGACCAGCCTGGCCAACATGGTGAAACCCTGTCTCTACTAAAAATACAAAAATTAGCCAGGCAAGTGGTGTGCGCCTATAATCCCAGCTACTCTGGAGGCTGAGGCTAGAGAATCGCTTGAACCTGGGAGGCAGAGGTTGCAGTGAGCTGAGATGGCACCACTGCACTCCAGCCTGGGTGACAGAGTGAGATTGTCTCAAAATAAAAAGAAAAAAGAAAAAGAGAACCCGGTGCTTAGAGCAGAGCAGAATATCTCACTAACCTTTGCCTGTTATCACAAGGGGATCATTGCTGTATAGCACAATCGTGTTTCCCTAGACGGAAACCCTAGTGGCCACCTTGACACCCTATGGCACTGTCTGGAAGGTTCACTCTTCTTTACCTGCCTAAAAGGATGCCCCCTCACCCCCACCAGTGACCTCATAGGGTGGCAGCTTGTAGCAAGGAAAGATGGTTGCAAAAAGGAAGAAGGGAGATGGGCCACTTCACGGTGTCTGCCCATGGATGATGTGCTATATGTGAGGTAGTAGATAGATACCATTAAATAAGATTAAATCTCAGAGTGAGGGATTTATTCCCATAAGGCTCAATTATCTTTAGAGCCTTATGATGAGTCAAAGCTAAGTGCCAGTTTAGTGCTACCAGGTCTTTAGCACCTTTCAACACTTGGAAGTTTCCCTTTTTAACAAAGTCAGCTGACATCAGACTCAGACCTCGATCAGGCTACTGTATGCAATGAGTCTTTTAATACTATTGTTTTAACATATTTAATTTTACAGTTATTTTATGTTTGTGGCAAGTGATACTTTCTATTCATTATGTTCACATGACTTTCTTTTCAGAATAAATTATTTAATATGAACAATGAATCAGTTTAAAGTGAAATAAAGTAAATAATTGTGCAGGCTTATATAATTATTGTAAAAATCAGAAACAATGACTAAAGTTTGGGAAACATCAGTATAATCCTCAAAACATGGGATAATGAGACTAGAGGACCTGGAGTAAAAATCCCATCTGTGCTCCTTTGTAATCTCTCTGAGCCTCAGTTTCTCACCTATGAAATGGGAATAAAGATAATATTCCACACAAGATTGTGGTTGGCCCAAGTGAGCTAAATATAGAAGATGAGGCTGAGTAAATCAGTGGGCTGGCACTCATTACAATAAGAAGGCATGACCAGTGCAGGCCAGTTAACTTACTTGTACACTACAGTATTATATTCTAAATGAGTGGTCTTGAACCTTTTTGGCACCAGGGACCAGTTTTGTGGAAGACAATTTTTCCATGAACCGAGGGCAGAGGAATGGTTTCAGGATGATTCAAGCACATTACATTTATTGTGCATTTTATTGCTATTACTGTTACCTTGTAATACATAATGAAATAATTATACAACTCACCATAATGTAGAATCAGTGGGAGCCCTGAGCTTGTTTTCCTGCAACTAGATGGTCCCATCTGGGGGGTATGGGAGACAGTGACAGATCATCAGGCATTAGATTCTCATAAGGAGTACATAACATAGATCCCTCACATGCACAGTTCACAATAGGGTTCACACTCCTATGAGAATCTAATGCGGCTGCTGATCTGATAAGAGGTGGAGCTCAGGCAGTACTGAGAGCAATGGGAAGAGGCTGTAAATACAGATGAAGCTACACTTGCTGGCCGGCCACTTACCTCCTGCTGTGCAGGCTTATACAGACCAGTAGCGGTCCTTGGCCTGGGGGGTTGGGGACCCATGCTGTATACCACGCATGGTATTTGGTTGTATTTGCCTCCCCCAAGAGACTATAAGCTCCTTCATGGCAGTAACCATGTCTTATTGATCTGTGCCTTGGAACATTGCTTCTCTGTAGTACAGATTTTATGAATATTTTTAAATTGAATTCAATTAACCAATTGAATGGATGATCTATTTGTCTTGACAACCCAGCAAAGATCCTTGAGATCAAAAAGTGTCTGCTGTATCACATACAACTATTAGTGTAGTCCTTTCTCAGTAAAAACTCACCGATTGATAACATATGCATCTCTTATCTGGACTACTGTGACTGTCTTCTGGTTTAGTCTTCCTGCCTCCACTGGGGTCCTCCCACAGTTCACTCTCCACATGGCAATCAAAGTGATCTTCCTAAAACACAAGACTGACAATGTTACTCTCCTGCCAAAAACCCACCTGGGGATAGAGTAAAACTCCCTAACACAATATACAAGGCCCTTAATTATCCATCTCCTACTTATAGCTTTAGTTTTGCCCCTGAGTATACCGTCTCCTCCAGCTAGACTGAAGCATTTTCAGGTGCCCAAAAGAGCTGCATGGTCTCTCAACTCACGGTCATTGCACCTACTCTTGCTTTCTCTGGAATGCTCTTTTCTTTCCTGTTTCTCTACCTGGCTAGGTTCCACTCATCCCTCTAGATGTCCCCTCCTACAGAAGGCCTTTCTGCCCTCTTCTGCACCAGGCTGGACATCCCTCACAGGGGGATGTGGGCCACGTGAGAAAAAGAGATATCCCTTACAACTTTCAATTCAGGCATCACATTGAATCCACCATTTGTAGTCTCTGCCTGCAATATCTCAGGCACCTGGCGGGTCTCTGATCACTGACAGCCATGAGGCCTCTTGCTATTGTTAAATTGCTGCTGTGACTGTGTGTCTTGTTGAAGTGATTCTCTCAAAGAAAAAAATTACACCGCTTATATAATGCCTGATCTTGTCAAGCTTACTTTCAGATTTGATTTTTTTAAAAAAACCTCTATAGCTCTTTTTATGTGAAACAGCTTCCATGGGAGAAAATAAAAGTTGAAAACATAATTGTATGCCTAGATTACGTTCCCATAGCCTGTAAAGCTTCCGACACTATGTGAGTGGCCCGTGAATTTGTGGGAAGGAAGGAAGGAAAGAAGGAAGATAAAGAGAAAATGTATAATAGGGCAGTAGAGAGAAAGAAAGGGAGCAGGAAAAAGCCAGAAGAGATAAAATTTTGTCACAGTTGCTGTTTATCTTCAGTAGCCCCACTGGATTTCACCCTTGCCAGCCTCTCCTTCTACCAAGCTCATTTGTGATGTTCTCATCTGACCACACTCGTGGCCACACCTTGGCAGCCCCATCCAGCCCATACTCCATGCAGTGTCTAGACACACATGAGCCTGGGCTATCTCTCCTCCTTCCCACTGGCTTCTTTTATAATCTTGGCTGGGGGGGATACAGGATGCACAATGGGCCAGCTGTCTCCTCTAACTCCATGTGCTTAATAAGGCTAAACATCTTTGAAATTTGAGGTAATTGCAGGGTTTCCTTAGGCGAAAAACCCCAACCAGACAGGATGTAGCCAACAGCATTTGAAAATGTTCAAAGTAGTTAACAATATTTTAAATTTAAGAGATTCTCCACAACAATTTGGAGTTTCAGTTTCTTCCCAAAATTGAAAGAACTGGCAACACAGGGCCAGCTCTGGTTGGATTTAAATAGAGCTGCTTCCTTCAGTGGTGGCACATGGTTCTCCCTCTAGTTTGCCGCAGACCCCACCCCTCCTTATCGTGCCCCAATATTGAAGCCAAGCATACCTTGCCATTTGTCACATTGCTCTCATTTTATTTGTACTATATTTGCCTTACACTCGACTATGTTTATTCATTAACATTCCCTGTGAAACCCCAGAGACCCTTGAGTGTGCACTGTGCAGACCAGACATTCTCCACACATGCAAAGCAGATGGCCACCTAAACAGGGCTCATCTCTTTAGCTCTGAAGAAGAGCCTGTGCTCTATCATTTGTTGCTGATAATTCATGCCCAAAGGAAAATAGGCAAGAAGAGTTCTTTTTTAATTAACCCAGAGTCTCCAAACATGACTTCCCGTTTGTCCTTTTTCTTGGCTACTGGCATTAGCACTTGCTATCATTATTGTTACCTGATCTCATTACCTCTCAGGCTCTTTACCTCCCATTGCAGCATTTGCCCTCAAGGTAAACCTGTTGCCCGCCCAAGAGATAATAATACTTATCAGGATCTTTTATAGTGTTCCTGGACCTTTTGGGATTGAACCACATTTTGCACACATAAAGCCCTCTATTATCACCACTATTGTCATTATTATTATTTGGGATTAGGCAGCCCTCTCAGAAGTCTTGCCAACCACAGGCAGATGAAACCCCAGAGCCTCACCTGGCCAGGCACAGTGACTGAGGCCGGACGCACCTGGCTGTAGGATGCTGGTTCAGCCTGCAAAGTCCTGGGCTCTTGCCAGAGAAGAAACCTGCCTTGAAACATTCACTCCTCCCTTTATGCAGGAAATAGAGAGAGTGCTGGAGGTGAGAAGGAGGCCTTTCCCAGGGAACTCAGTCTCCAGACCACGCTGGTGGATTATCATTGCTGCAGCAGTCCTCAAACCAGGCAGATACTTAAAGAGCCAGATTCTCTGTCTCTCTCAGAAGAGAGGGATGTACAATAGAGTTTGGAGTCAGAAGCTGAGTTCCCATCCCCACTGTCACTCTGTAACTCTGTGAGCCTCAAACAACTGATTGACTCTTCCAGTCTCTGGTTCCTCATTGGTAAAATGTGGATACATCCCAACTTCATGATAATACCATGGGACTTATATGTAAATAAATTTGAAATTATATATACAAGTATTTAGGTAAATATCAATTTATAGTGTCTGGTATATAGTAAACCCTCTATTAACTGATGAAGGAAGGGCCCCATCTCTATTCAAGCTTACTGCACCACCCAGAAGTTAACTGTTTCAGCAGTAGACCCGGAGTAAACAGACAAGATGCCCTCAGCAAGCAGAGGTGAATACAAACCTCTCTCACCAAGAGAATAATTCCCACTCAACAGCAGGCTGCCTGCCACCTGAATTCCTATTTCGTTTTTCTCCATCTCTCACTGACTACCAACCAAATGCCTTCCAAGGAAACATGAGCCTTTTCCTCTTTTTGATACACAACCTGTCCATCTGTGATACCCATTGGTCAAGTTTGCCCCAGCAAAGGGGTGGAGATATGGAGCATCAACACTGCTTTCTGATCCCTTCATTTTGCCCTTTTCTCTTCTAAATAAAAAAAAAAAAAAAGCAAGCAAACAAACAAAAATGAAACAAAATGCAAAGCAGCTTAAAACTTTCAACATTTCAAAACATTCAAAGGGGAATGTGTTGACCCAGAGATGAGCTGGGCATGAGAAGGGCAGGGATAGAAACAAGTCTCAGGAACACTGGAGCCAAGGAAGGAAATTCTGCCAGGACCCTCTCTCCATTACTTGTTTCTCCTTTCTGCACATCTGCTTCATTCCTTCTCACTACAGAGTGTCAGGAATCAGCTACAGCACTGCACAGCTTTGCAGTCATTAGAAAGTCAGTCATTAGAGAGACTGGCTTATACCCTTTTTGATACCAAATTTTAAAATCTGAGATAAAAGATTTGAGTGGCCAGCTTTGGTCAGGAGCCCATTCTTGGACCAATCAACTATGGCTGTGGTTACTGATGGTGTAGTTTGGTCAGGGACAAACCCCTAGACGAACAAATTGCTGGTTGGGATGATGAGCTCATGTCAGAAGATGGAAGCTGCTGTTGTAAGCTTGTGGTTGAAGTAAAGAGAAAGGAGGCCACGTATTATAGAATACATAATGGAACTAGATTATCTTTTTGCGAAACTTTCTAAGTTGCCAAACCATGAGCTTCTCAAGAATGGAAACTAAGCTAACGCATCTTTGTATTCTGGCCATGATAAGGACTCAGGAAATGTTTGTAGAACTGAATTGAAATGCATCTGACTAATTGTAAAGCTGTGTGTCCATCCTAGATGCTATGTGTCCAGAGAAAAACCAAAAGATCAGCTGCAGAAATGAAGATCCTACTTTGCCTGAGGGGAAATTTTCCACCAAACAGAATTGCCTAGAAATGTAAACAGAAGCATCAGGAAGCTAAGTACCCCCTTTTAATGGAGGCCTTCAAGACTAAGTAAATGATTGTCAGGGATGTTGAGGAGGATGTATATGCAGTCACCTAAATGCCCTTCTAAACATTTGATCTTATGATTCTGCAAACTTAGTCAAAGAAGAAAAATTCACCATGCCTAGACCAAGCTTCCCAGGACACCACAGAAAGGAGAAATAGCCACAGCAATACAGCCAAGGCTTCTGCTGGCCACATCTGAACATATGCTTTGATGTGATCCTAGTCTTTCTTCTTCCTAGTGATGCTGGTCGTGGAGATGAATTAAAAGGACTTCCTCACCTCCATCAATGTACCTGCCTGTTTATAGACGAAAATGTGCCCAGTTTAAAATGCCCTCGCTCTTGTTTTGTCCCAAGATATGAGACTTCATTTAACTGCATCTAGTGTACAATGAATAAATTGAAACTATATGCTATTTGGGCATTATTTCTAACCTGTTTTTCACCGAGAGCTCCCTGATAAGTTGGTATCTTTGATTTTTATTAGCATTTTCACTCTTATTTTCTCATACAAAATTGAGCACACTTGAGAGATTTCCTTAAAGGGGATTTTCCTGAATCACCAGCCACTATAATGTGATGACAGGACCAGCATCACCCCCATGACGCAAGCCTACGTGGGAAATCCTGGGCAAGTACAGGAAGGAAGGTCTCCTGGGATATCTTTTACCAGAAACTGGGGCATTGGTTCTCAGAGAAGAGCTGTGGTGGTATGCTAGAGCTAGGTCATATTAGCTTATGAAAGCCAATTATTCAATTTTCAGGAATTTTGTGAGCCCACTGTTAAACCATTGGTAGCTTGAAATCAGACTTGCAGTATTTATATTTTGGCAAGTGCTACGAATCAGGCTTTCCAACATACCACCTCCCCCAACCCTTCCCCTAGTTTAACGACATTAGTTAATCAACTCTGGTCACTGCCTCTTTGCCAAATGACAAAACTGACCCTGGCAACAATACTTAGCTAAAGCAGTCAATGCTTCTTACAGTTCCACCAGGCAACAGGGAATCTTGTTTTTCTGGCAGTATTAATAGAGTCATACCTAATTTTGTAGCACTTTATGGATATTGCAGTTTTTACAAATTGAAACTTTTTGACAACCTCGTGTTGAATAAGTCTGTCAGCACCATTTTTTCCAACAGCATCAGCTTACTTCATGTCTCTGTGTCACATTTTTGTAATTCTCACAGTATTTCAAACATTTTAATTATTATGATATCTGTTATTATGACTGTAATCAGTGGCCTTTGATGTTACTACTGTAATTGTTTTGGGATGCCATGAGCTGTGTCCACATAAGATGGCGAACTTAATCGATAAGTATTGTGTATGTTCTGACTGCTCCACCAATAGGCCGTTCCCCCCTCTCTCTCCCTCTCTTCAGGCCTCCCTATTCCCTGAGACACAAAATTGAAACTAACCCAGTTAATAACCCTACAATGGCCTCTAAATGTTCAAGTGAAAGGAAGAGTCACGTATCTCTCACTTTAAATTAAAAGCTAGAAATGATTAAGCTTAGTAAGGAAGACATAATGAAAGCCAAGACAGACCAAAAGCTAGGCTTTCTTGTGCCAAAGAGTTAGCCAAGTTGCAAAAGCAAACTAAAAGTTCTTGAAGGAAAATAAAAGTGCTACTCCAGTGAGTACACAACTGATAAGAAAGTGAATCAGCCTTATTACTGATCTAGAAAAAGTTTTAGTGGTCTGTATAGAAGATTAAACTAGCCACAACATTCCACAAGCCAAAGCCTAATCCAGAGCAAAGTCCTAAATAATAGAGTAGAATCTCTTAAATTTATGAAGGCAGAGAGAGGTCAGGAGACTGCAGAAGAAAAGGCAGAAGCTAACAGGATTGGCTCATGAAGTTTAGGAAAAGGCCATCTCCACAACAATAAAGTGCAAGGTAAAACAGCAAGTGCTGATGGAGAAGCTGTAGCAAGTTATCCAGAAGATCTAGCTAAAATCATTGATGAAGGTGGCTACACAAACAACAGATTTTTCAATGTAGATAAAACAGCCTTCTATTGGAAGAAGATGACATCTAGGACTTCCATAGCTAGACAGGAGAAGTTAAGGCCTGGCTTCAAAGCTTCAAAGGACAGACTGACTCTCTTGCTAGGGGCTACTGCAGCCAGTGACTTCAAGTTGAAGCCAATGCTGACTTATCATCATTCCAAAAATCCTAGGGCCCTTAAGAATTATGCTAAATCTACTCTGCCTATGCTCTGTAAATGGAACAACAAAGCCTAGATGACAGCACATCTATTTATAGCATGGTTTACTAAATATTTTAAGCTTCTATTGAGACCTATTGCTCAGAAAAAGATTCCTTTCAAAATAGTACTGCTTATTAACAACGCACCTGGCCAACCAAGAGCTCTAATGGAGATGTACAAGGATATTAATGTTGTTTTCATGCCAGATAACACAGTATCCATTCTGCAGCCCATAGATCAAGGAGAAACTTGACTTTCATGGCTCATCATTTAAGAAATACATTTCATAAGGCTGTACCTACCATAGATAGTGATTCCTCTGATAGATCTGGGTAAAGTACATTGAAAACCTACTGGGAATAATTCACCATTCTAGATGCCATTAGTAATATTCATGATTCATGGAAAGGTGTCAAAAGATCAACATTAATAGGGGTTTGGAAGAAGCTGATTCCAACCTTCATGAATGACTTTGAGGACTCAAGACTTCAGTGGAGGAAGTACAGATGTGATAGAAATAGCAAGATAAGTAGAATCAGCAGTGGAACCTGAAGATGTGACTGAATTGCTGCAATCTCATAATATTTTCACATATAAAGAATTGTGTCTATGGATGAGCAAAGAAAATAGTTTCTTGAGATGGAATCTACTCCTGGTGAAAATGCTACGAACATTGGTGAAATGACAACAAAGGATTTAGAATATTATATAAACGTAATTGATAAAGCAGCAGCAGGTTTTAAGAAGATTGACTCCAATTTTGAAAGCAGTTGTACTGTGGGTAAAATGCAAACAAACAGCATCGCATGCTATAGAGAAATATTTCCTGAAATGCAGAACATTTTATTATTGTCTTATTTTAAGAAATTGCCTCAGCCACCCCAACTTTAAGCAACCACCACCCTGCAATCAGTAGTCATCAACATCTAGGCAAGACCCTCCACTAGCAAAAAGATTACAACTTGCTGAAGGCTCAGATGATCATCAGGATTTTTTAGCAACAAAGTATTCTTAATTAAGTTATGTACATTTTTCAGACATGTTATTGCACACTTAGGCTGTAGTGTAGTGTTAACATCACTTTTATATATATACTGGGAAGCCAAAAATAAAAACGTGTGATTAGCTTTATTGTGATATTTGCTTTATTGCAGAGGTCTGGAACTGAACCTGCAGTATCTCTGAGGTATGCTTGTATTAACATTTATGTTGGGTCTCTTCTGCGGTTGATGTATTGATTCATTATAGTGGACATAAATATGTAGTGTTGTGTCCCGTTGTCTTGAACATATCCCCCCATATTTTTTCTAGGACTTGTATACTATCTTTCTCAATGGTGCTAAATGAGAAAGAGAACATGAGAAAAAATGCCACCTGTTTTTGGACTGTAAGTTTTCTTTACATATAAAGTACTCTACTAATGTCTAAGGTTTCCTAGATTTGTCAAAAACAAGTTTAAATGGAGCAGAGTGTTAGTGGAAGAAACATGAGAGGCTGATACATGAAGTTGGACAAGTTATTTAACTTATCTAAGCCTCAGTTACTCAATCTAAATGGAACTTTTAATTTTGGTTTAGTGAGTTATGTAAGAAGGGGGAAAATGTATGAAAAGTGCCATGTAGCATTCAACCAAATATTGATTGATTAGGGAAATCTGTCTTTGGGGGAAAGCCAAGTAAAAAGAACATGCCAGTAGTCTTGACTTAAAAATGTTTGGAGAATTAACCCTCTAAACCTGTGCTGACACTTCAGAG
Source organism: Homo sapiens (assembly GCF_000001405.40). Lineage (NCBI taxonomy): Eukaryota > Metazoa > Chordata > Mammalia > Primates > Hominidae > Homo > Homo sapiens. The sequence continues at coordinate 18,005,858 of NC_000003.12, read as the reverse complement.
ATGGGCAGTCAGGAGTTGAATGTTGGTTCAAACACTGGTTGAGGTGGAGCCAAGATGGCTGAATAGGAACAGCTCCAGTCTACAGCTCCCAGCGTGAGCGATGCAGAAGACGGGTGATTTCTGCATTTCCAACTGAGGTACCGGGTTCATCTCACTGGAGAGTGTCGGAAAGTGGGTGCACGATAGTGGGTGCAGTGTACTGAGCACGAGCCAAAGCAGGGCAAGGCATCGCCTCACCCAGGAAGGGCAAGGGTTCGGGGAATTCCCTTTCCTAGTCAAAGAAAGGGGTGACAGGCGGCACCTGGAAAATCGGGTCACTCCCACCCTAATACTGCGCTTTTCCAATGGTCTTAGCAAACGGCACACCAAGAGTTTATATCCCGTGCCTGGCTCAGAGGGTCCTACACCCACTAGCACAGCAGTCTGAGATCAAAGTGCAAGGCAGCAGCGAGGCTCGGCGAGGGGTGCCCGCCATTGCCAAGGCTTGAGTAGGTAAAGAAAGCGGCTGGGAAGCTCGAACTGGGTGGAGCCCACTGGAGCTCAAGGAGGTATGCCTGCCTCTGTAGACTCCACCTCTGGGGGCACGGCATAGCCAAACAAAAGGCAGCAGAATCCTCTGCAGACTTAAATGTGCCTGTCTGACAGCTTTGAAGAGAGTAGTGGTTCTCCCAGCATGCAGCTGGAGATCTGAGAATGGACAGACTGCCTCCTCAAGTGGGTCCCTGACCCCCGAGTAGCCTAACTGGGAGGCATCCCAAAGTAGGGGGAGACTGACACCTCACATGGCCGGGTACTCCTCTGAGGCAAAACTTCCAGAGGAACGATCAGGCAGCAACATTTGCTGCTCACCAATATCTGCTGTTTTGCAGCCTCTGCTGCTGATACCCAGGCAAACAGGGTCTGGAGTGGACCTCCAGCAAACTCCAACAGACCTGCAGCTGAGGGTCCTGTCTGTGAGAAGGAAAACTAACAAACAGAAAGGACATCCACACCAAAACCCCATCATACATCACCATCATCAAAGACCAAAGGCAGATAAAACCACAAAGATGGGGAAAAAACAGAGCAGAAAACCTGGAAACTCTAAAAATCAGAGCACCTCTCCTCCTCCAAAGGAACACAGCTTCTCACCAGCAATGGAACAAAGCTGGACAGAGAACGACTTTGACGAGTTGAGAAAAGAAAGCTTCAGACCATCAAACTACTCTGAGCTAAAGCAGGAAGTTCGAACCCATGGCAAAGAAGTTAAAAACTTTGAAAAAAAATTAGACTATTGGCTAACTAGAATAAACAATGCAGGGAAGTCCTTAAAGGACCTGATGGAGCTGAAAACCAAGGCATGAGAACTACGTGATGAATGCACAAGCCTCAGTAGCCGATTCGATCAACTGGAAGAAGGGGTATCAGTGATGGAAGATCAAATAATGAAATGAAGTGAGAAGAGAAGCTTACGAAAAAAGAATAAAAAGAAATGAACAAACCCTCCAAGAAATATGGGACTATGTGAAAAGAACAAATCTACATCTGATTGGTGTACCTGAAAGTGACGGGGAGAATGGAACCAAGTTGGAAAACACTCTGCAGGATATTATCCAGGAGAACTTCCCCAACCTAGCAAGGCAGGCCAACATTCAAATTCAGGAAATACAGAGAATGCCACAAAGATATTCCTCGAGAAGAGCAACTCCAAGACACATAATTTTCAGATTCACCAAAGTTGAAATGAGGAAAAAATGTTAAGGGCAGCCAGAGAAAAAGGTCAGTTTACCCTCAAAGGGAAGCCCATCAGACTAACAGCTGATCTCTCGGCAGAAACTCTACAAGCCAGAAGAGAGTGGGGGCCAATATTCAACATTCTTAAAGAAAAGAATTTTCAACCCAGAATTTCATATCCAGCCAAACTAAGCTTCATAAGTGAAGGAGAAATAAAATACTTTACAGACAAGCAAATGCTGAGAGAGTTTGTCACCACCAGGCCTGCCCTAAAAGAGCTTCTGGAGGAAGCACTAAACTTGGAAAGGAACAACCAGTACCAGCCACTGCAAAAACATGCCAAATTGTAAAGACCATCAAGGCTAGGAAGAAACTGCATCAACTAATGAGCAAAATAACCAGCTAACATTATAATGACGGGATCAAATTCACACATAACAATATTAACTTTAAATGTAAATGGGCTAAATGCTCCAATTAAAAGACACAGACTGGCAAATTGGATAAAGAGTCAAGACCCATCAGTGTGCTGTATTCAGGAAAACCATCTCACGTGCAGAGACACACATAGGCTCAAAATAAAGGGATGGAGGAAGATCTACCAAGCAAATGGAAAACAAAAAAAGGGAGGGGTTGCAATGCTAGTTTCTGATAAAACAGACTTTAAACCAACAAAGACCAAAAGAGACAAAGAAGGCCATTACATAATGGTAAAGGGATGAATTCAACAAGAAGAGCTAACTATCCTAAATATATATGCACCCAATACAGGAGCACCCAGATTCATAAAGCAAGTCTTTAGTGACCTACAAAGAGAGACTCCCACACAATAATAATGGGAGACTTTAACACCCCACTGTCAACATTAGACAGATCAACAAGACAGAAAGTTAACAAGGATATCCAGGAATTGAACTCAGCTCTGCACCAAGCAGACCTAATAGACATCGACAGAACTCTCCACCTCAAATCAACAGAATATACATTCTTCTCAGCACCACCCCACACTTACTCCAAAATTGACCACATAGTTGGAAGTAAAGCTCTCCTCAGCAAATGCAAAAGAACAGAAATTGTAACAAACTGTCTCTCAGACCACAGTGCAATCAAACTAGAACTCAGGATTAAGAAAGTCACTCAAAACCGCACAACTACATGGAAACTGAACAACCTGCTCCTGAATGACTACTGGGTACATAAAGAAATGAAGGCAGAAATAAACATGTTCTTTGAAACCAACGAGAAGAAAGATACAACATACCAGAATCTCTGGGACACATTTAAAGCAGTGTGTAGAGGGAAATTTATAGCACTAAATGCCCACAAGAGAAAGCAGGAAAGATCTAAAACTGACACCCTAACATCACAATTAAAAGGACTAGAGAAGCAAGAGCAAATACATTCAAAAGCTAGCAGAAGGCAAGAAATAACTAAGATCAGAGAAGAACTGAAGGAAATACAGACACAAAAAAATCCTTCAAAAAATCAATGAATCCAGGAGCTCGTTTTTTGAAAAGATCAACAAAATTGATAGACCGCTAGCAAGACTAATAAAAAAGAAAAGAGAGAAGAATCAAATAGATGCAATAAAAAATGATAAAGGGGATATCACCACTGATCCCACAGAAATACAAACTACCATCAGAGAATACTATAAACACCTCTATGCAAAATAAACTAGAAAATCTAGAAGAAATGGATAAATTCCTCGACACATACACTCTCCCAGGACTAAACCAGGAAGAAGCTGAATCTCTGAATAGACCAATAACAGGAGCTGAAATTGAGGCAATAATTAATAGCTTACCAACCAAAAAAAGTCCAGGACCTGATGGATTCACAGCCGAATTCTACCAGAGGTACAAGGAGGAGCTGGTACCATTCCTTCTGAAACTATTCCAATCAATAGAAAAAGAGGGAATCCTCCCTAACTCATTTTATGAAGCCAGCGTCATCCTGATACCAAAGCCTGGTAGAGACACAACAAAAAAAGAGAATTTTAGACCAATATCCTTGATGAACATCAATGCAAAAATCCTCAATAAAATACTGGCAAACTGAATCCAGCAGCACATCAAAAAGCTTATCCACCATGATCAAATGGGCTTCATCCCTGGGATGCAAGGCTGGTTCAACATATGCAAATCAATAAATGTAATCCAGCATATAAACAGAACCAAAGACAAAAACCATATGATTATCTCAATAGATGCAGAAAAGGCCTTTGACAAAATTCAACAACGCTTCATGCTAAAAACTCTCAATAAATTAGGTACTGATGGGACGTATCTCAAAATAATGAGAGCTATCTATGACAAACCCACAGCCAATATCATACTGAATGGGCAAAAACTGAAAGCATTCCCTTTGAAAACTGGCACAAGACAGGGATGCCCTCTCTCACCACTCCTATTCAACATAGTGTTGGAAGTTCTGGCCAGGGCAATCAGGCAGCAGAAGGAAATAAAGGGTATTCAATTAGGAAAAGAGGAAGTCAAATTGTCCCTGTTTGCAGACGACATGATTGTATATCCAGAAAACCCCATCATCTCGGCCCAAAATCTCCTTAAGCTGATAAGCAACTTCAGCAAAGTCTCATGATACAAAATCAATGTGCAAAAAGCACAAGCATTCTTATACACAAATAACAGACAAACAGAGAGCCAAATCATGAGTGAACTCCCATTCACAATTGCTTCAAAGAGAATAAAATACCTAGGAATCCAACTTACAAGGGATGTGAAGACCTCTTCAAGGAGAACTACAAACCACTGCTCAATGAAATAAAAGAGGATACAAACAAATGGAAGAACATTCCATGCTCATAGGTAGGAAGAATCAATATCGTGAAAATGGCCACATTGCCCAAGGTAATTTATAGATTCAATGCCATCCCCATCAAGCTACCAATGCCTTTCTTCACAGAATTGGAAAAAACTACTTTAAAGTTCATATGGAACCAAAAAAGAGCCCACATTGCCAAGTCAATCCTAAGCCAAAAGAACAAAGCTGGAGGCATCACACTACCTGACTTCAAAATATACAAGGCTACAGTAACCAAAACAGCATGGTACTGGTACCAAAACAGAGATATAGACCAATGGAACAAAACAGAGCCCTCAGAAATAATACCGCCTATCTACAACCATCTGATCTTTGACAAACGTGACAAAAACAAGAAATGGGGAAAGGATTCCCTATTTAATAAATGGTGCTGGGAAAACTGGCTAGCCATATGTAGAAAGCTGAAACTGGATCCCTTCCTTACACCTTATACAAAAATTAATTCAAGATGGATTAAAGACTTAAATGTTAGACCTCAAACCATAAAAACCCTAGAAGAAAACCTAGGCAATACCATTCAGGATATAGGCATGGGCAAGGACTTAATGTCTAAAACACCAAAAGCAATGGCAACAAAAGCCAAAGTTGACAAATGGGATCTAATTAAACTAAAGAGCTTCTGCACAGCAAAAGAAACTACCATCAGAGTGAACAGGCAACCTACAGAATGGGAGAAAATTTTTGCAATCTACTCATCTGACAAACGGCTAATATCCAGAATCTACAATGAACTCAAACAAATATACAAGAAGAAAACAAACAACCCCATCAAAAAGTGGGCAAAGGATATGAACAGACATGTCTCAAAAGAAGACATTTATGCAGCCAAAAGACACATGAAAAAATGCTCATCATCACTGGCCATCAGAGAATTGCAAATCAAAACCACAATGAGATACCATCTCACACCAGTTAGAATGGCGATCATTAAAAAGTCAGGAAACAACAGGTGCTGGAGAGGATGTGGAGAAATAGGAACACTTTTATACTGTTGGTGGGACTGTAAACTAGTTCAACCATTGTGGAAGTCAGTGTGGTGATTCCTCAGGGATCTAGAACTAGAAATACCATTTGACCCAGCCATCCCATTACTGGGTATATACCCAAAGGATTATAAATCATGCTGCTATAAAAACACATGCACACGTATGTTTATTGTGGCACTATTCACAATAGCAAAGACTTGAAACCAAGCCAAATGTCCAACAACGATAGACTGGATTAAGAAAATGTGGCACATATACACCATGGGATACTATGCAGCCATAAAAAATGATGAGCTCATGTCCTTTGTAGGGACATGGATGAAGCTGGAAACCATCATTCTCAGCAAACAATCGCAAGGACAAAAAAACAAACACCGCATGTTCTCACTGATAGGTGGGAATTGAACAGTAAGAACACATGGACACAGAACGGGGAACATCACACTCCGGGGACTGTTGTGGGGTTGGGGGAGGGGGAGGGATAGCATTGGGAGATATACCTGTTAAATGACGAGTTAATGGGTGCAGCACACCAACATGTCACATGTATACATATGTAACTAACCTGCACGTTGTGCACATGTATCCTAAAACTTAAAGTATAATAAAAAAAGAAAAAATAAATATTGGTTGAATGTTACATGGCACTTTTCATACATTTTCCCCCTTCCTATTTAACTACTATGACTTTTAAAAGCCCAACTTTTGGGGTGCTTCCTCTTCCATGCCCACAAATAAATACTCTTTCCCCATGTTTTAGGAGTAACAAAAAGAATGAAAGAGAGTTTCAAAAGTACTATAAGATCTTTGGCACGAATTTATGTAGCTTCTCCCTCCCCGCCAAAAAAAAATTTTGAGCATACTTTACAAATTCTGTTCCTAAAACCATCTGTTATTTGGGGAAAGCCAGGTTAAATGAACGTGCCAGTAGTCTTGGCTTAAAGATGTTTGAAGAATTAACCCTCTAAATCTGTGCTGACCCTTTAGATATGGGCAGTCAGGAGTTTCTGGTAGTTCCTCATAGCTGTACAATTAGAAACCTGGAATTCAGTGGAAGTCTAAGTCAGCTCTTGACTGGAAAGATTTCTGTCCCTTTCTCAGCCACTACAAAGCCTTACAATATGAGAGATCTTAGGGAGAGTGGAATCTTGAAGCCCATCTGATAAATAAGCTGCAGACCCAGGAGAAGCATGTTGAAATAATATTAAAGAAGTTTTCTATTCTTTAACTATAGCAGAGTGATAGGAGGCCTCTTGAGGACTGAGGAAATGCGGCACTGTGGTATCCCAGGATACCTTTCTAGTCACAGAAATCAGGATTCCTTTCTAGTCACAGCATTATCAGATTTCCAAAACATGCAGAAGCCATGGAAGAAAGTTCTCTGGGTGGCTTTGAAAACATTTCATTCAAATCTGAGGCAGCAGTTTAGTGCCTTGAGTGGTCATCCTTCTCAACCCCAGCCTGTGCAAGCCTGGAACTTGTACATGAAGTGGCAAAAAAAGATAAAGAGTGAAGTTCATAACTGCTGCTATCTTGAAAGTTCTCATTGTTCTTACCCTTAGGCATCAAACTGTCACTGGTTTTGCATCTAAAGAGAATGCCAGATAGACAAATTTCCAAAAGCTTGTGTAGACATTGTAGAGAGTTTTTCCTACTTATGGAATTAAAATAATAAAGACATAACTCTGAAGAAATTAGCCACAGTCCAGTCCCAATTTGCCCTATGTGTGTCTAAGTGTGAGCACTTTAATGACACATTGGCTTAACTTCTCCAGGGTGGAAATACTGAAGCGATTATGAATTTTGCCTTCTTAATGCTGACAATCACCCCGGAGCAAGGACAAACCTTAGCAAATATCATTTTTTTTTTTTTTTTAAAAAAAAGCCTCTTCATAGTACCAAGGAGCATGGGAAAATGAGAAAGGGGATCATGAAATTCTGCAAAATGAGGTGCTTGATGGGTATTTCCTGGTTATAAGGTGTTGTTTATTCCATCCAGTTGAGACATATGGGGATGCCCACAAGGTGTGCCCTGAGACTTGGTGATAATTGCAGAGTGGCTACAGGCCAGAACCTCAACCTCAGGTAAGAGCCAAAATTATATAGCTAAGCACCTATTAATCAGGATTAACCTCCAAGGATGCCAACTCTGGAAGCTTCTTCACAAATAAGCATCTTCATGTACACTTTAAAAAGAAAACAAAACACTCATTTTCTCAGGTGGAGTCATCTGGCCTGGTAGCTCCGGAAAAGATATTTTAGCCCCATCATGAAAATAAACCAGTCAACGCCCTAAAAGAAGTTAGGGTAGGTCGAATGAGACCCCACAGCCCTCCCCATGGGCCTGTACCTGAAGCCTGCTTTTCTTTTCTATGAGTTTCATGTTTCTGGGAAACCTGTGCTTGTGGCAAAATCGGAAGGTATCTCTGTAGGCAAATAGAGAATTGAGGTCATTTGACACATATTTAGGCCAAGGAGACATTTTTATTTCAATTACCTGCTTATTTCCAGAAAAGAGAGGAAAAATAAATTAGACTCTACTAGATTTAGAAATAAATTTTGTTTACATACCTCTAAATGTACTTTTGCCCAAAATTCATTTTCTCCTTTCCCTATTTGCTGAGGGGCTGAAGATGGCCTGAGGCCAGGCAATACAGCAGAACCCTCCCCTGAGACAAAGCTTAAAAGAGTGCAGGAACCCTGTGTTCCCAAATATCATGAACAAGTCTGGAGGAACACACAAACCTAGAGGATGGGTCCATGTCGCTAGCAAACACTTGGATATTTTCTTTGGTTTATAGCCTATATGTTTGGTCCATTAGGGTGTTCTAGGTGAATGGGAGTCCAAGCAGCAGAGGGTTTTCAGAGCTCTGAAAGTCCCGAATATTTTAGGAATTTTCATTTCAGTTTTCCTGTGTCTTGGCAGCTAGGCCATTAATAAGAAAATGGATGCTTAGACAAGTTGGACAGTTTGGAGGTAAAAATTCTCCCAAAAAGAAAATGATAGACCTTCGGATGGGCAGCTATCTGTAGGTCAATACTTTGAGGGAACTCTCTGAGCTTCAGGCTGCCCATATATAATAAGGAAACCAGAGTTTGTTATCATATAAAGGAAATGCCTTGAATTAATTTGCAAATGTGTAAATTGGATAGTTTAGGAGAATCTACTCTTGTTTTAAAGTATTTAGATGACTGCAGTTTTTGAAAAAAAAAAAACTCATAGATGATCATAAGGAAAAAACTCTTATAGAATATACCTATAGCATACAGTATAAAATATCTCCTCTAATCACAGGGGGAGATGTATGTAAATACAAAAATATATAATAATTTGCTTGATCAAAGTTACTCTACCAAGATATTTTCTGGTCTAACTTACATAAAACACATTTTATGGACACCTGACTTTTATTGTAATCTTTCATCCAAAGTAAAGATGAATTTTTACTGAGCTCCATGTCTTAAAATTATAACTCTTCATTTTGATCAGACTTTGTAGTATACATAAATTAGCAAACATACACAGCATCTTGCTGTTAAAAACAAGTTGTTTTAATGAAAACATAACCTGAAAATCAAGCAGTATTTTTTGGAGGGAAAAGACATTGGTTGAAACAGCAGTGTCTTATTGACATTAAAAACAGTTGACATAACTCTGCAAGGATGCTGAAATTTAACTTTTGTATGTTTTTATTATACCCAGAGTATCAAAGATAACAGAATTTATTCATAGAATGGCAGTCATTGAATTCAGTTTTCTGGTACAATTTTCTTCCCATATAAACTCATAAAAAATGTGATGGGTGAGCCATTAGGAATGCTTAAAGCAGCCCCTGATGTATGCCCACACAGAAAGAACAGAGAGATTGCAAAATGTTTATGCCTTTTACATTTTTTACAGTATTAATAAGGAAACACTGTGATTACCAATCAGAAAAGACTCCAGAGTGCTGCTTGTAAAGTGCACCATTATAAAGATTTATATCTGTATCTGGGGAGTAATGTGGAGCATTGATATTTTAAGGAGCTCAGTTCAAAAATCTCTTTATTCAATGAAAGCCTGGGAGAGTGAAATATCTTTTTTCTGTGACAGAAGTGTGTGTATCGAGGTTAGTTTATGATCCATATGGTAGGAAGAAATAGACTTGGTCCCCCAAATATTCACCAAATACTTGGCAATGGATTACAAGGTAGCTATGGAACTTTTTGGCAAGGCTATCTATCACAATTAGAGGTGAAATGGGTATAAGATTATCTGTTCAATGCCAAATCCTGCTTTGGTTATCTCCTGACCTAGGGCCTGTTCTGTGTCAAGAGTATGTAGTATGTTAGCCCCACCCAGAGGCCTCCAGCCCCACCAGTGCCAATCTGTCTTTCACTCTCTGAGAGTAAATGTTTTCAGCCATCTAGAGACAGCAAATAAATCTTTAGGAGGAAATGCCCTATATTATTCCAAGGTGCTTCTATCAGCATCTAATAGTTGGTATTTTGAAAGTAAATACCTAGAGAAGACACATTTTCTAGTTTATAGCTGTAACCTATATTCATTTTCCAAGTTTCCTAAGCAATACTCATGCAGAATTTTTCAATCAGTTTCACTACCTCTGAACCCAATATGTAACCTTAACATGGCAGTGTTAACCCACCTTCAACCAGAACCTGTCCAAAATAATCTATGCTAGTCATAATACATTCTGACGCAAGTACCAATGGTTAGAGTTTTATTTGTCTAACTCATCACTGAGTCCAAAAGTAGGGAGGCCAGGGCAGATGCAGCAAATCAAGGAAGGCCCTAGGATTCAAGCTTCTTCCATCTTACAGCTCCACAATTCTTAACATGCAGCTTTCTTCTTACTGATGGTAAGATGACTGCTGCATCTCCAAGCATGACATATGATCAAGCAGGAAGAAAAGAGATAAGGAGAAAGCAAAGAGCAAGATGCCTTCTCTGCTCCAGGCATTGTCTTCCACATGGGATGGGAAGCTCCCATGACCACCCATAGCTGTCTGAGAAGTCAGATTTTGCTTGTGTTTGTTAACTGGACATAATAACACACCAAATAAAATCAGGATTCTGCTAGAAAGAAGAGTAAATACTAGGTAAGGAATGAGTTGCCATCAGCCACAAACATCATTTTTTAAACCTTCAGAAGGAGATTGTTTCTGATGTCTAAAGCTGTGCTGTCCATTACAGTAGCCACTAGTCATATGTAGCTATTTCAGTTAATTAAAATTAAAATTTAGTGCCTTAGTCACATAGCCACATTGATGTGCTCAATAGCCACAAGGGGCTGGTGGCTACCACATTGGATAGTGCTGGCCCAGAGCCTTCTTTCCAAGGAAATGGATGCCTATGTCTTCTAATTCCCACGTTTCAGTTCAAGGCCATTTTTCTTTGCCTTTGTCTTCAATGGAAAAAAATAGCAAATCATCATTCTTTATGTAAAAGTACTTAAAAATCATTGCATCCCCACTATATGTACCCTTTGTCTTAGCTCAGGTTTTTCCAAAAGCTGAGGGCAAGAAAAAAACTTGAGGGCAGGTAGTTTATATGAGAGGTGCCCCATCATCATCATCATAAAAAAAACAACCCAACTAAATAAACAAACAAACAGGAAACAGGAGTGAAGGAATGAAGAGAGTGAGACTGGGAAAAGGAAAACTCCTTAAAGTGGGTTACTGAGGTCCCTGCTGCAGCCAGTAAGGGCTCAACTCCTCTAGGACCTCTGAGAAACATGCAAAATGCCTCCCAGAATCATCTGTTCAAAGCACAGAAGGCTGGAGCATATGTGCACTAGCTCCCATACCTTGTTGGTCGAGGGTTGCCCCTGGGATGTTAACTCCCCTCCCTTTCCTCTGTCTGTATGTACTGGCTGAATGAGCTTCTACAGCCTTAAAGAACTCTGTCAGGCACAGAAGTGGGTGGAAGCCTGCATAGAACTTACGGAGGCGCCTGTCAGCGTGCACAGCGCTATTCATCAATGCTACGGCTGATATCAGGCTTGGATCTAGGACATGGGACATGGCCAACCAAGATCTCTTGCTATGCTCCTCCATTCTCTGTCAGTGACTAATTTTTAAGCTTATTTCCCTTTATAAAGGATCTTGGTCCTACTCAATCCCAGTCGGTTGAGGAGCTCATGAGTTCACCAATAGACATGCAGCCATTTGTTAGCTATGATTACTCTTTGTACCATTCTCTTTCTCCACCATAAATAGGATTAAGAGCTTAAATCATTAGGCAGGGTTTTTTTTTAAAGCAGCTACTGAATTATTGTCCCTTACAAAATATATTTTATATCAATGTGTTTGGGGAATTAGATGTGATTTTCCTACAGAAACAACAAATGCCTCTCTCAGATCCAAACATTTACCCTGATGCTGCTTAGGGCAGACAGCCTGCACTGGGCTGTGATTTGATGGATTCCAGACATGGATCCTCTCCAGAAATGATTCCACCCGTTCATGTGCCTCAGCCCAGAAGACCACCATTAGGGGGCTACACTCTGGTGTTGAGGCTTTGCATCGCCAGGGTGCCCTATTAATGGCAACTACTTTTGGAGACGGTATACACTAAGCCCATGTCTGTTGCCATTGCATGGAATGGGTTCGACATATGGCTTTATGATATAACAGGTGGGAGCGGTCCCAAAGAGCTAAGTTTATGGTGAGAAACTTGATCATGAAACACAGCAAAAGGCAGTAGACATCCCAGAGCCACCTTTGAAGGAAGGCTCCTTGCCTACACACCCCCACCTTCCCACTGCTACCTAGGGACAGGAGCACTGATAGATGACACCAAAGGCAAAGTGTCATTATTTTGCTTTGAGCCAAGAATGGCCTTAGGTAAAGTTGGTTAATTCATTCATTAAATATTAATTGAGCATCTACTAAGTGCAGAGCCCAGTGCTAAACTCCAGATACCTAGTGATCACCAAAACAAACATGGTCCAGACCTTGAGGGGCCTACAGTTCTAATGGGGAAGACATTCAGAACTCAAGCAAATAAATAGGTACAAAGTCTAATGAGTGCCACAAGAGAAAAGAACAGGGTCCCGTATGACCTACTTTCTGAGAAATGACACCTACACAGAGGCCTGGAAAATGGGTTTCAGGGAAGAAAAAACATTCCAAGGAAAAAAAAGTTTATCTAAAAAGCATGTGGATCTAGGAGGAGCTCAGGTGTCAGTGGTATTGTGGGCAGGATGGGTTTGAAAAGAAAGACGCTGGCTAGGATACAAAGGACCTCACTGGACATCCATCACTCTTATTTCACAATTCTAGAACAAAATGCCACATTCCCAGTTTTTCATTTCTACTTGGGTAATTCTCATGTACCCCCTCTTCTTAATAATCGTAACAATAATTAAAGTTGTATGGCTCATATCTTGTGTGACCCATAAAGGGCTTTCACATTAGCATTTATTTATTTACTATTATTAAGTATCAAAATAATGTTATTTAAGCGAAATGCCAGGAATTTTGGGTTGATATCTCCATTAATTCTCAACACAACACTTCATAGCAAGAATCATTACACCTCATTTTACAGACAAGGAAAACAAAGCTTAAATAGGTTACGGGTTGACCCCAAGGTTGCACAGCTAATAACCCAGGTATATCTGATTCTGAAATCCATGCTGTAGACCAGGAGTTAGCAAACTACACCCATGGGCCAAATACTGCCCACCACCTTGTTTTGTTAATAAAGTTTTTGGGAACACAACCATGCCCATTCATTTATGTGTTGTCTATGGCTGCTTTCCATTACTATGTCAGAATTGAGTACTACAGTCATAGCAGAGGCCTAATGGCCCATAAAGCCTAAATATTTGCTATTTGGACCTTTATAAAACAAATTTGCTAACCCCTGCTCTAGACAGGACAGGGGCTTTTATGCAAAGATTCTTGGAATCCCCTAGAGATAAATCCCTTGAAAGTACAAGTGTCTGTTTACCTGTGCTTTTTTTTTTTTCTGAGAAAAAGGTTTATGGCTTTCATCAGGGAAAAAAAAACTTATGGCTTAAAAAGAATAATAAGAGCTCAATTGAACCAGAAAATGTTTTAGAACAGTGGTCTTCATAGTGTGTGTGGTTCCCATATTAGCAGCAGAGGCATCGCTGGAACTTGTTAGAAATGCAAATTTTTACTAAATAAGAAATCCTAGGGCTGGGGCCCAGCAATCTGTTTTTTAACAAGCACCACAGCTGGTTCTGAAACTCACTTAAATTGAGAGCCTCTAGACCAGGGTTGTCTAGTCTTTTGGCTTCCTTGGGCCACACTGGAAGAAGAAGAAGAATCATCTTGGGCCACACATAAAATACACTAACACTAGCTGATGAGCTTAAAAAACAAGCCACAAAAAAAAAAACTCTCAATGTTTTAAGAAATTTTACGAATTTGTGTTGGGCCCCATTCAAAGCCGTCCTGGGCCACATGTGGTCCCTGGGTCGCAGGCTGGACCAGGTTGCTCTAGACTAACATTAAAAAGTCAAAACTCAAAAAACCAAAGTCAAAATGTTGAATGCCAACACATCAGAAGTCTTTGGCTTAACCATGATTTATTTCATTTTATGAAGAGAAAGAAGACACAGAAAAAAAAAATGGCTTATTTAAACAGATACTTGAAGTTGCCATCTTCTCCATTGCCTAAAAACTGTGGCTTTTAAACCTAAACATCTAAGTTCATCAGAGATTTGAAATTCAAGGGCATTTCACATTTGGCTTTCTTGCCTTTCAACACTGGGCTCTCATTTAAGCTGTTCAGACTGATTGTTAATGGCCAACTAGGGTAAACCCCTTTGCAGACGCCACACTGTGGAAAACATACTAGCGACCACCATCTGGCCCATTCCTTTTTAGTGACACAAGTGACAAAATGGTCAAACATAAAAATTCACTGCCTCAGAACTAGAATTTTCCTCCAACAAACTAGCTATCATGCGTCTGCCTATCCCTGACACTGTCTACAAACCCATTTTTGGTCCAGACCTGGATGGCTCCCCTCACAGCCCCTCAAACCATTCCTCGCGCTCTTCTCTTAACCATTTGTTCATTTCAGAGCCGTTTCTTTCTGGCTCTGAAATAATTATTGTTACTTTAGAGACAATAGTGAGATTGCTGTTATGGTGGTGATGGTGGTTTTTAAGGTTATAGTTTTAAATGAAAACGTGATTATCTGGGAGATTCTCCACAGTTTCCATTTCTATTGCTTTCTCTTAAGTCTTAGGACTGCCTGTTAAGAGTAGCTTTTTCCTCTATGCACTGAGGCCATTTGGGGGAAGCCTTGCCCTTGGTTTGAATGAACTCACCCAGAGAGATGTGTACCTACAGATGAATGCAAAGTTAAGCGGCTGCCCAGTCCAACCATAACTTCAGAGCATTGTCTTCCAGCTCAGAGCCCCATGCAGGGTTTTTCATTGTCTATACCACTCCTGCAGTGATTCCAGAAGTTTCACATAAACCTATCCTACACCTGCATAATTTAATTATTATATCAATATTTAATTACCCTCCACCTGCATAATTTAAATCAATTTTTTTTGCTTGTTTTCTCCATTTGGAGCTTAGGACATATAAAGCAGGTGTGCTGATGTTGAATGTGGCACTTTCTGGAAGATTCCCTCTGTAGCATTAATAAAACTTCACTGCCTGGAAGCAGAAAGGAAGCATTGTGTTTGTGTAATTAGTGCAGGTAACCCTGGTCTGGTAAGGACACTTTTGGTGGTTAACGGGGATTTGGTTTGTACTTGCCCACAACCAGCTGAAGAAAGTAGACTGGTCTAAATAATTACTTTCATTCTTCAATTGTTTCCTACATTTTATGTTTACTCACTCTTTCAGTGCTGTTTTCTCCTTTTCTTCAGAAATCCACTAAAATCACTATTCCTGAAGAAACTCCACTGCAACCAAATTCTCCACTAAATGGAGGAGGAATAACAATAGGAAATAATAATACCAAATAGTGCCAGGCACTGTTCCAAGTGCTTTACATTGATTAACTCATGTGATCTTCAAAACGACCCTGTGAGAATTTGAGTATCACCCCCATTTTACAGATTAGGAAACTCAGTTTAGAGAGGTTAGGTAACTTGCCCAAAGTTATACAACTAGTAAATAGTGGAGGTGGGATTTGAACCTGAGCAGTCTTGGTCCAGATGTCATGTTCTCAGCCACTAGGCTCTGCTACCTCCAAAAAGGACTCCTCTGCCTTCTTTTACAAATCTGTTCTTTGGCTGTAAGCAGTATCTTCCTCCTGAACATGAGAATGAGCTCTCCACTGGGGTTCCATGAACCACCTGCAACAGGAACTGAAGTGATCGTTAAACATGTTATTTTTCGATCCACTCTCCAGGACCAAAAATGTGCTACTGAATCAAAATGTTCAGGGTGGGGCCTAAGGAATCTGCATGATTACAAGCTTCAAGGCAATCTGGTGCCTACAAAATCCATACTGTTCAACTTAGAACCACTGAGCAAAATTCAAAATTTTCTGAGTTTTGCCACTTACTACCTGGCCCCATATCACTTCTATGTGTCTTCAATGTCTACAAAGTCTTCTTCTGTTTGAAACATTTCTTCTGGACAAGCTTAAATCCACAAGCTGGAAGCCCCAATTGTGGTATAACTTGGAGTGTACCCCAAAATGCGCCACCCCCACAGATGAAGCCACGGCACTTAGAATGTTGTGACTCAGATTCTCAGAGGCTTTGCCCATCTGAGGAGTGTTCCTGGGAGAAGCCCCGGACCATTATTAGCTAATATCAGCATGTTATTTCGAAGACAGGCTTTAGAAGTGGGAGAGAAGCAAGAACACCAGGAGAAGGTAGGCAGGATCCAGAGAAAGAGAGAGGTGGGGGAACACAAAAGTCCACATGGCCCACTCCATCCATGATTAGCCAGGATCCCCATGTTTCTCATCTACAGCAGGAGCTACATTTCTGTGAGTCATCAACTTGAGGGAAGAATTTCTATGTTTATAACAAGGGGGGAAGCAAAAAAGGTGTTCCTTTTTTCTTTTATGAAAATTAGAATGATACGACCACATGGATGAACCTGGAGGACATTATGTGAAGTGAAATCTGCGAGGTACAGAAAGGCAAATACAGCATGGTCTCACTCATATGGGGAATATAAAAAAGCCGATCTCACTAGAAGGAGAGAGTAGAATGCTGGCTACCAGGAGCCTCGGTGGTTAGTGGGGAAAGGGGGATGGGGAGCAGTTGGTTAAAGGGTGTATAATTACAGTTAGATAGGAGGAATTTTTTAAATATCCAGAATAGGCAAATATATAGAGACAGAAAGTGGATAAGCAATTGCCTGGGGGTAGGAGTGAGAGGATAGGCTGGGGGCTTGGGGAACAGAAATGGGAAATGACTAGTAAAAGTCATGGAGTTTCTTTTTTGGTTGATGAAAATTATCTAAAATTGATTGTGATGATGTGTGTACAACTCTGGAACATACCAACAGCCATTGGATTGTATACTTTAAATGGACGAATTGTATGATATGTGAATTATATATCAACAAAACTGTTTTTAAAAAAACAGAATAAAATATGGCTTATTCTTATCTACAGGCCCACCTCTAACATTTAAAGGGCTTGAAGTGGAAGCCCACATACCAAATGTCCAAATATTTACAAATTATAAATCAAGTAAGCAAGCCATCAAATCAAATATATATTATGTTCTTGCCTTGACAAATATAGCTACATAATCACCTAGAAAGCCACCCTTGCATTTAGAAACCTGCAGGTCCTCAGGACGCTATGGTGGAACACAGAGGTGAGAGAAGCACAGCTTCTGGATTCTGACCCATGCCTTGCCCTCATTTCTTCCAATCCCTGCATTTATCTTGACCACAAGGGCCAGCATACATAGATACAGGCATATAAGTCTGCAGGTCCAAGGTCTGTCCACAGCCCCAAGCAAAGAGCCATCCCATGGCCACCTCTCAGAACTAATGGTGCACACATCAGTGAGATGGTGAGATAGTTCTCACTTCTCTTTGAGAAGAGAAACCCAGGAAAGAGGCCCACCAAGTCCTGGAGATGCATATGGACCACTCAGGGGTATATGAGCAGAAAAATCCAAGACCTCAGATTATCCCAAAGAGTAGTCTAAAAGGTGGGCCATGAGTTGTGAGTGGGCACCACCCTCTTGGCCCTGCAGACCTTTTGCCATATAAAAGAGGAGCACAGCCCAGAGTGGGGTTCTCTAAAGCAGTGCCACTCAGTGTATGGTCCTCAGACCAGCAGCATCAGCATCACGCGGAAGATTGATAGAAATGCAGACTCTCAGGCCCCACAACAGGCCCCACCCCCACAAAAACTCAGAGGTGGATTCCAGGAATTGAGTTTTAACAAGTCTTGCTGAATTCTGATGCATGCTAAAGTTTGAGACTCACTGCTCTGATAAAGCATGAGGCTCAATGCCAGTAGCACCTCACCCCCAACCCCTTTTCCCAGGTCAAAGACAATATGGCTTATACATATTTTTTCTTTCCTGTAGGCTCATGTCACAGGTTCCATGGACATCTTTCCCAATTACCTTCATCCCACTGAATATTATCTGAGATCCATATCACATGTCACTTTCAATGCTTACCTACACCTCCAGCTTCCCCACCCCATAGCACTAAGTAGCTCTCTACTGTCAGATATTCTTAATTTCTGTAGTTATTTTGCTTTCTCTTTTAAATTTCCAGGAACTGCCCTCTTCACCTTTGGATGCCTATCCCAAGGCCTTGTGGAGACCACAGACTCCATAACACATATTGACTGGAATCAGAAAGAGGAGAGAGGAAAGGATCTGCAAAGAAAAAGAGAAATGTAGATTGAGCAAAAAGGAAATAACTTTCCTTTCACCCCAGAATCCTCTGGTTTTTTCTCCTCTCTATCCCTGCTTATGCAAAAATAATTGGCTTCCATTTGAGCTGTGCCATTTTCAAGCCATGTGACCTTCACCAAGTTATCAAAACTTCCTGAACCTGTTCCCCCACTTTGCAAAAAGTTAGATGTGGTGAGTCTGAACTAAGGAGGTGTTTATGAAAGCATTGGTTAAATAATAATCTCTCAAAGAAGCCTAGCTTTCCTTCTTAAGGCCAAGAATTGCAATTGTGTGGTAAGGACACAGAGCAGGCATAAACATAGTTTGGCAGTTTAAGACCACACAGATCCACTTAGGAAAAGGAGTGGTTTCTTGAGGGCACAAAAGCTGCAGACATTATGTGTCAATGTGTCAACGGGACTCAGGTTCAGGAGCAGATTCAGATCTGTAAGGCCTTAAAACTTAAACAATTTGGAGGTGTGAGGTAAGGCTCATTAAGAAAAGAATTCTTTCACAAATTTTGCAAAAAGATATAACCTTGTGAACTCAGTGTTAGGGCCCTCCTGGGACTTACAAGGGGCCTGCGCAAGTGGGAGCCCTGAAGCTTAAGCTTCATCAGCTTCATGATATCTCCATCTCTGGCCGGGTCTCAAGACAAAATTGGGAGGTCTGAAGCAGATGATACAGACTGGCAGCTAGATTGGACAGCAATAAAAAGAATTCAATGTGGCCCATATCCTTTTTTTCATCTTCCCTTTGGTCTTGCCTAAATGGAGGTTTCCCTTCTCCTTTTCTAGAAAGGTCTCTGAGTGTGGGTGAATTCTTTTTCCTTCACCTGTCTCCAGTCAGATCACATCACTGTACTCACTCATCACCTCCTTAAATCCCCAGGGGCAGCACTCTTTCTTGGCTGCTTCCTGACTGATTTGACTCCAGATTCTGCTCAAACTTGTCCCCATGCCTGTGGCTAGAAAAGCGGCCAGAAACCAAGAGCCCCATGTTTTGCTCCCCTAGTAGACAAGGACTCCTTGAATCCCTAGGTCAAACCGCTGGGGCCTCTGGGTCTTGATTTCTCACTCTCTAAAGTGGCATGGCTCAATGGGCATTTCCCTTATACCTCCATCCTCAGAAGTCCTATGAACTGACAGGAGATGATAGATGAATGAGGTCATGCTTTTAATAGACTTGGCACTCGTGAGTGGAAATGCACTGTTTAATTACAAGAAAAATCTATTCTCAGGGCTAAGAGTTCACTTATTTTTTTTAAAATAAAAGATTCTGGGGACAAAGTAAGCAGAAGCTTGTATGTGCAGCACTCAGCATTCATGGCGTGAGAAATGTTTATCAAAGAAGAACACACTGAAGTGTGGTAAGAACAAGGAAAGAAATAAAAGGAAAGTGAGATCATTATCAGGTTTACTGACACTTAAAGGGAAAAAAAAGGAAAGAAAGAGACAGAGGTAATCCTAATAAGAGAAAGAGAGAGGGCAATCCTAATGAGAGAGAGGAGAGAGAGAGAATCCTAATGAGAGAGAGACAGAGGAGAGAGAGAGAGGGCAATCCTAATGAGAGAGAGGGGAGACAGAGAGAGAGAGAGAGAGAGAGAGAGAGAGAGAATCCTAATGAGAGACAGAGGAGAGAGAGAGAGAAGGCAATCCTAATGAGAGAGAGAGAGAGAGCAATCCTAATGAGAGAGAGAGAGAGAGAGAGAGAGGGCAATCCTAATGAAAGAGAGAGAGAGAAAGAGAGCAAGAGAGAAGGCAATCCTAGTAAGAGAAAGAGAGAGAGAGAGAGAAGGCAATCCTAATAAGTGAGAGAGAGATAAAGAGAGAGAGAGAGAGAAGGCAATCCTAATAAGTGAGAGAGAGATAAAGAGAGAGAGAGAGAGAAAGGCAATCCTAGTAAGAGAAAGAGAGAGAGAGAGAAGGCAATCCTAATAAGAGAGAGAGAGAAGGCAATCCTAATGAGAGAAAGAGAGAGAGAGAGACAGACAGAGATAGAGAAAAGGCAATCCTAATAAGAGAAAGAGAGAGAAGGCAGTCCTAATGAGAGAAAGAGAGTGAGAGAGACAGAGAGAGAGAGAGAGAGAGAGAGAGAGAGAGAGAGAGAAGGCAATCCTAATAAGAGAGAGAGAGAAGGCAATCCTAATGACAGAAAGAGAGAGAATGAGGGCAATCCTAATGAGACGCAGAGGGCAATCTTAATGAAAGAGAGAGAGAGAGAAGGCAATCCTAATGAGAGAAAGAGAGAGAGAGGAGAGAGAGAGGGCAATCCTAATGAGAGAGAGAGAGAGAAGGCAATCCTAATGAGACAGAGAAGGCAATACTAATGAGAGAGAGAAGGCAATCCTAATGAGAGAGAGAGAGAAAGAAGGCAATCCTAATGAGAGAGAGAGAGAGAGAGAGAAGTCAATCCTAATGAGATAAAGAGAGAGAGAGAATCCTAATGAGAAAGAGAGAGAGAGAAGGCAATCTAATGAGAGAAAGAGAGAGAGAGAAGAGAGAGAGAGGGCCATCCTAATGAGAGAGAGAAGGCAATCCTAATGAGAGAGAGAGAGAGAGAGAGAAGGCAATCCTAATGAGAGAAAGAGAGAGAATCCTAATGAGAAAGAGAAAGAGAAGG
Organism: Homo sapiens; assembly: GCF_000001405.40. Classification (NCBI taxonomy): domain Eukaryota; kingdom Metazoa; phylum Chordata; class Mammalia; order Primates; family Hominidae; genus Homo; species Homo sapiens. Next base: position 17,984,863 of record NC_000003.12, on the reverse strand, counting down.
CAATCCTAAAGAGAGAGGAGAGGAGAGAGAGACAGAGAGAGAGAACAATCCTAATTTGAGAGAGAAGGAGAGAAAGAGGAGATAGAAGGCAATTCTCATAAGAGAAAACAAATAGAGGAAAACAGGGGCAAAAGTTTAAATTCAAACAACATTGTTAGAAATGTGCCACCCTACCTACCCCAGCCTTGCCCCTTCTTTCTATTAATTCAAACTGGGATTATAATATTCTCTGAAATTCACAGCTTAATGAAACTGAGCCCCAGGGAAGCAGGTCCACTTATGAGAGACACCAGAGCCAGTTTCCAGCAGAGATGAGATTAGAGCCCAGTCTCTGGACCCCTGTGGAGAGATCTTTCCACTATACGGTCCTACTATATAAAACAAACCAGCCTGAACAAAGTCTGCTGATATGCTAGTTTATTAATTTCAAGTATATATGATGCTGGCATTGTTAGAATTGTCAAGTGTGAAACCCTTAAATTCTGCTTTTGATAAAATTTATTTGTAATTAACAGCATTCCTCACACAATTCATCAACCTACAGAGTTTTGTGCAATAGGTAAAACATCTTCTCCCTCTAGGAGTTTATAGTCTAAACTGAGGAAACAGAACCTAGACACATCAAAAGCTGACAAACAATACAGACAAGGTTAAGATTTGGTGATGAAGAGTCCAAGGAGATGCTGGAAGAGTTTGGGAGGAGAGACATCCTGGAGGCTGGAGGAAGCAGGGTTTAAGCTGGGCTTGAAGAACTAGTGAATTCAGAGAGGAACAATGAGACTGCATGGCCAGCATAAGGAACTATATGGGTAAAGACCTGGAGATAGGAATCATGGGCTATAGGGACAGTGACTTCACCAATCTGGCTAGATTACAGATGGTACAAAATCAGGATGCAAGGATGGAAAGAGTTTGTGGCCAGAATGGGGAAGGCAAAGTTAAATTTGAGCAAAACGAGAAGAGATTTATCCTAAAGGCTAAAGCAGTCATTGAGATTCTGGTAATGGCATGATGAAAATGTCAGAATTAATCTGGCTGTGGTGAGCAAAAACGATTCTAGTCTAAAAGATTTGAGGGAGGGAGATTAGTTAGAAAACTTTTCAGGTGCGAGTGGATCTGAAATAGGTTAAACATGTCCCCCTAACTCTTGTTTGTATCATCACTTTAAGCCGAACTCTTCTTGATAGATATGGGGAAAGGAAACTTCAACCACATCCCAAAGACCAAAATAGAGGCATCCTCATCTATCAGGAGTCACAGTCATTAAAAAGTTAGGTAATGTCCAGTTTGGAAGGGATATCTTCTCCAAAATTCCCTTGAGCAGTATTTGTGTTTAAGAAAGAAGCTAAAATTGTCACAACAGTAATGAAAAATGGGGGTTGTGGGGGTGACTGGAGTCAGAATTAGCACCATTTGCAGTCTGACCCCAGCCTCCAGCCCCTAAACTCCCTCAATACTAACTGCTGCCTCCAGGCAGAGCCAAGAGGAAATCCACAGCCACAAGTGGCTGTTTGTTTGAGCCTGGTTGGCGGTTCACCGGGACCAGCCGTAGTCCTTGCACAACCACAACTGTCAGTTGAAAAGAGGAGGAAGGACATCTGGGGGGCTTCAACCTTAAAATAAGATCTGTGAACCCTTGCAAAAAACCACCTCCTGTGCAAGCTGCCTCTTAATACATTTTTATTACTCTTGGCTTTGGACTTCTGCACCTCTGCAGCTAGTGAAGCAAATACATGAGTGGAATATGTTGAAATGGAATGTTTTATCTCTACTATATTTTGTGTTTGTGCGTGTGTGAATACACACAAGAGTAGGGTGACTAATTCACAGGAAGCCTTAAAGAAAATGCCAATTGGTACTTGCAATGGGGAAAAATATTGCTGAAATTTAGTTTACTCTTTGAAAAAGCCAACACATTGTTTGTTTCCCTAAAATGTCGGTCTTTTCACCCACCAAACTTTTGCTTATGTGTCTGTCTCTGTGAACATTCTCCTTCTCTCCACTTATTGAAAGCCTCATCTTTAAAATTCCTTCTCTCTGTCAGCTTCCTCCTCCCAACCTTCCTTGGACCATGGGAGCCCACATGGCAAACTTCTATAATATTGCTAAATAAACCTCCATAGTAAGTTCCTATTGTATGCCCAACACTTTGCCAGGCATCAGGAAAAACAGGTTTCTGCCCTGAAGGAGTTCATAACCCATTACAAGAAATAAATCCACAAACAGCTAGCTAGCCCTAGTCAAATGGGCCCCGTGATCTAATGGGTCACACATATTAAACATTAGCCTCAGTGCGTGGCTACAGCCTTCACTAAGGGGGCAGTTTTAAGCAGCTCTGTTCACACCATATGACCCTGTAGTCCTCCAGTTGTAGCTGTTTGACCAGTGAAGGGCAACAAAGCCAAGGATAGCCAATTGGTAGGCTGGTCAGCAGCCTATGAAGTGCCTGGGCCTAAAGCAGTCTCCCCACATGGGGTTGAGCCAATCAGACACCTGTTCTTAGGAACATGGCAGCAAGAGTAAAAGATGAAAGGTCATGAGGTAGAAGGAGGCAGGACAATCATGATGGGTCGGGAAGAGCCAGCAAGAACCTCTATAATAGTAAATATTTGTTGAGTGCCTACAATGTGCCAGACTTGTTATAATTATTCCCATTTTATAATAGAAGAAAATAAGACAGATGAAGCAATTTCACATTTTGGGGGTCTCAATTCAAACATCCCCCCCTCACACAGACCACTCTATCTAAACCAGCTTTCCTCTCCCTCTACCAGACCCTCCTAATTCACTGTATTTAGAACCTCACTACTCAAAGTGTGGTCCTAGACCAGCAGCATCAGCATCAACTGGGAACTTATTAGAAATGTAGAATCTCAGTCTCCACCCTGGACCAACAGACTCATCCATAATCTGCATCCCAGATGATTTGTTTCTACATTAAAGTTAGAGAAGCACTTTTTTAAAGTAATTTTGTATTACTTACATTACTTTATATTGCTTATGACAGTTCTCTTCCTCAATAAGACTGTGGGTTCCATAGGGGCAGGGTTTTTTCAAAACTTGACCATATCACCTCTGTATTCCCATGTGCTAGACATTTCAAAACTACTAGCTTAATGAATAAATGATTTTGCCCAAATTCTCATTGCTAATAAGTAGCTAATAAATAGTGGAGTCAAAATCACTACCCAGGACTCCGAAATCTAATTAGGTGGCTTCCTGTTTGAAGTACTCATTCCCCCAGCTCTGGGAGTGCAGGAGACTGACAGTCTCAATTAAGCCCCTCCCTGGGGTGCCCTCAGCACCCCACCCATGGTTACAACCCCTTCTCAGGGGCAGCCTGCCTCCAAGGACTGGTGGATGGGGAACATACAAAGACTCGGCCCCTCTTCCCTCAATTTAAGACAACTTCAAAGAACCATCACAGCTCCAGAGCTCCCCATGGGATCAGCTAAGGGCTTTGTGCTACTGCATTGCAGGCCAACTTCTCCTTCCGTGCAATCCTGTTTCCTTCACTTCCCCACAGGAATCAGTCCCAAGAGCACCACCCTTAAAATTTTCTGTACCCCCATTTACATCTCAGAGTATGTTTTCAGGAAACCCAACCTGAGATCAACTGACATACACAAAGAGGTGGAGTCACATTGATGGTGGGCTCCTCAGGACAGATGCAGGAGCTCCTGCCAAAAAGCTGCCTGGAATCATTTCCAGATTGCATGAGGGCCAGTTCGTCCTCCTCTGGAACTCCATGACACCCATCACCATGTAAGTGAGCTTCTATTCCTACAATAAAAGTGACTAAGCGAGAGAGGTATGAGGAGGAGACTGTGAAAGTGCAGAGGAATTGCAACTGATTTTAATGCAAGGGATAAGAGAGACTTCTAATTGTGTAAGTATTGTCTCAAAAACAAGATTTTAAAGTCAGGCTGCAGTGTAACTTAAAAAACACTAGGCAAGTAGTATACATGTGACAAATACTTAACAGACCATAAGGCACCAAAAACAAAAGCCTAAATATCAAAAGTAAAGTATAAATAAAGGAAAATGAATGTTTTTCTCCCACTGAAGGCATGAATTAGCATTTGCATTTAGCCATAAAGTATACAACACACTTTACGTAATCTGATGTGGTAATCTTAGCATTGGAAAGTGGGCGAATTGGCCTCAAATAGTATCCAAGAGGGTTTTTGGTGACTGAAATATTTAAAGCACCTACAAATTGGTCCCATTCAATAGTCCTGAAGGCAGGGTTCCAGAGAGAAGGAAAACAGTTGAGAACAAGACTGATCTCTAAATAGTGGTCCAATTTCAACCATCTGTCAATGGTTGTGTTTTCTTCTGAGTCTTTGAGACACACAGGACTTCCAGTTACTCTCCTACCTAAAACAACTAAAACATGGAAAAAATACATGAAACAATAAGGATTCAGACATTGAACATCAGGCAACAAAGAGCAATGACTCCTGAAAGACAGAAAACAAGTGAAGTGCCCCCTACAATTGTCCCAGTTTACTGCCTAAAGAAAGATTCTGGGCCATGGTACAGGGAGGGGAAATCCAGGCAGGGTCCAGTGGTCTCCCTGAGTTCAGGAGACAGAACTGGGAGTCTACAGAAGCCAGGGAAGCTAGAATTCATAGGGCAGACTGCCCGAGAGGAGAGTTCTGTATAGACAGAGGACTCTGAAGATCTGCAGAGGGTCCCCTGGAGTGTTCATTTGAGACTAACCAGTGCATGTGTGTCCAGAGATTAGAGGAACTAGTGCCCAGAGCTTCAGTAACAGGGAAGAATTAACCCTACTTGAAGTGCAGCTCTCGTTCACCTAAAAAAGCTTAAAAGCCAGATTTGGAAAGATAAAACTAGCTCTGAGTAATTCAACCACATCTCAGAACAACGCTCAAAAATGTAGAAATATTCACAAGGTAATATTCACAATAATAGGCATCAAATTAAAAATTACCAGGCACACAAAGTAGCAAGAAAAGGCAACCCATCTGGGCCAATTGAAACTGACCCACAAATGACACAGATGATAGAATTAGTAGACAGAAACATGAAAACAGATAGTATAACTGCATTTCATATGTTCAAGAAGCTAGAGAAAAGATTGAATATGTTAAGCAGAGACATAGAAGATAACTTTCAATAATCAAACTTCTAAAAATGATGCACAATGGATGAAGGCATGAGGTCTGCACTAAGAATCCTCAGAAGTCCTTGTGCTTTTCCCAGAATAATGAAAGCTCAGCTGGTATCCCTCTCTTCCACCCCTCCATCCCTGAGTGGAAACTTACAGAGCTGCTATTTTGGCACTGTTCAACAAAGGAGACGCTTCTGGCTTCCTACAAAGTTTGGAGCTCTGGATAGTATGAAGAAAGATCAGCTGCCACAAAGGGGCAGCAGTTCTCTTCTTGTAAGGCAACTGGTGCCAGGCACAGCAAGGGATGGGAGGCCAGGGGACATGAGTTCTGGTCCCCTCAGCCTCCCTACCCCAGCAGCTGTGTGACTTTGGGCAATATATTAACCTCTCTGAACCCCAGTTTCTTAATCTGTAAAATAAGGATGATAATGATGATCATACTCATTTTGTAAGATTTTCGTGACAATTCTATTGCATCAAACAAGGAGATGCATTTGAAAGTTCTCTGTCAAGTCCAAATATTGGTACTTATTTTTGCATACCACAAAAGCCAGGAGATATGTACCAGCATTTGTGGGCATGTTACATGTTCTTCTTTCTCAATCCCCAGCCCCACCCCCCAAAATCTCTTAATCATGTTTATCTTTTTATCAACATGCTTCTGACATTCTTTGGGGCTTCTCAGTTAATAGCAAATAAAGTAAGAGCAAGTAAGGCATTATTTGAAAAACTAAGAATGGGAGAGAAAATTTAAAAGCTAACTATTCTGGTTCTCTATTTTGTGTAACAACCACTCATAACTGAATAGTGTGAAACAGCCACCGTTCCATGATGCTCACTGACTCAGTGTGTTGGCTTTGGGACTGCAGTGGGAATGGCTTGTTGCTGCTCCATTGTGTCTGGAGCTGCACCTGGGAAGAATTGAACTGCTATGGGTTGCAATCATCTAAAGGCTTTTTCTCTCACATATCTGCACCTGAACTAGGATGACTTGAAAGCTGGACTTCGCTAGGACTATCATCCGGAGCACTTACACGAGGGCTTTTTGTGGACTGGGTCTTTTCACAGCATGACAACTGGATTCCAAGAAGGATGATTCAGAAAGTACAACAAGAGGGAGAATTGTAAGAGAAACAGGTGGAAGGTATTGCTTTGATTTTCTGCCCTTGACAGTTCATCATTAGTTGAAGCAGTTACAAGCCCACCCAGATTCAAGGGGAAGGGACAAGGCTTCCCTTTCCAGCGGGAGAAGGAGCAGAGTACTTGGGGCCATGTTTTAAATGTGCCGCACTTGCTATCTAAATTCTGCACAGCAAAAGTAATATTAACGCTTATTCAAGTTTTCAGAATAAATGATTGTCAACGATGCTATCTTTCCCTAAATTAGTCTAGTCCAAGAAAACCTCACCTTCAGTAGTCCAGTCCTCTGGTTTATCTGGGCCATCATTTACATTCATCATTTTGTATCATCACTGAGGACTACAAATAGCATTTTATTGGCAACCATGAAAATTAGGCCTGGCTTGTCAGAGCATAACATTCAAACGCTCCCTCAAAATTATTAATAGGATGGAATCAATTACAGAGTTGCCCTCTGACCTTAATTCAGATGATCCTAGGACACCACCAAAGAGAATTTTTTTTCCTGAAGCAAAATGAAAATCTCAGAAAATTTTAACTGATAATGTGTTTGTATTAGAATTCCTAGTCTGAAAGAGGTTGCTCCAAAGAAAGTTGAGATTAATAAAAGTATGCATAGAATAAGAGACATAAGTAAAAACAGGCCTCTTTCTGAAGGGATTAGGTTTGATGCTTTTCAAGTTTTACAGCAAGAATGACAAGCCTGGTATGAATTAGAAGGACTCAGGCTTAATATTTACTGTGGGATAACGGGAGTGGTGTTAGGATGTAAACATGTCCGAAAAGTTAGCACAAGAGCTTGGGGAAAACTCTGCCTTCAAAAACATGCCAAAGTTGCTTCTAAAAGTTAAGCTCAAGTCAATGGCTGGAGCTGTTACAACCTGGAAGGACAGTGTTGAGAAGCCCTGCTCATTTGGTTTGGTTTGAACAAAAATTGAGCCTTTCATTTAGAAAGAAAAAGAGAATCACCAAAAGTGACAGTCCTTGTGAAAGGAAAAGAGTAGATTCCAGGCTCCTGAATGATGTGAGAAGTAGCCACACAGCTGCCTCTTTTAGCAAAGAATTCATGACACCTTCCAATGGTTTATTTATACATAAAGTGTGCGTGAAGAACAGAAAGGTAGCTCCATGCAGTGGTTGGAAATGAGGCCCTGGAACAAATCCTGGATTTGAATTCTAACTGCTGTTTACTAACTGTATGACCTTGGGTAAAATTATTTTGTCATGTCTCCTCTAAGATTTAGTATCCTCATCTGTAAACGTATATAAAAACTTAACATAGTGTATAATTCATTAAAAATAGACTCTAAATTCTCATTTTTATCATTATGTTTATTTTCTTACAGTTTCTATTAGTTTCATTTCATAATCCATGCATAAGATATAAAATAACAAAAATCACCCATAATCCTGCCATCTAGAAAACCATTTTTGTTGATATTTTAGTATATTTCATTTAGTCTTTCTACAATGCATTTTCTCTATCTGAGATCTCACGAAGGATATACCTTTGCATGCTATATATTTCCCTTCTGATCATAGGATCAGTATTTTCCATGTAACTAAAAATCCTTGATGAGTATTCCTTTGGATGGTTGCATAGCCTCCCACTGTACACTTATGTAACTCTCTTAACTATAACACAAAAATCTCTCTGGGGAAAAAAGTAAGTTTGTGTTCTTTTCTTTGGGAGAGAAGAAGCTAGGAGGCACCTGCATTGCAGGGGTTGTTTGTGCTGTCTACATACTTAAGAAGTGATAGGAGTAAGGGATTTGAGGCATAAGGGCATTAAAATATAGCCCTAGATCTGTCCACACAAGGAACATGGTCTTAGCTACTAGTCCAGTTTTCCAGATTTCCAAGCATGAATTTCTACATAATTTCCTCAAGAAATCACAAACCTCTGACTTTCACAAGGAAATGATTTCAATTTTCTGATTTCCACTTAAGTATCTCCTGTTACTTCTTACTTCTGAAAAGGCTTTTTTAAGAAAATATAAGAAAGCACGGTTGTTGTGGTTAAAAATCGCCTTCCTGCCCGTCACAAATAAAGCTATTTTCTTCTCTTTCTTAAGTGTTCCGAGAAATCAGCAGGTAAATAGGGAAGATATTTATTAATAAATATATGGATGTTCTGCAATTGCCAGACATACATGAACGAAGCTGGGAGTTAACATATATCTATTTCTGCTCACACAATGCAATCATTAGTTGGGCTGGCTTTTGTTGAACAATTTTAAAGCCTTGATTTGTCCATGTTTGTTTTAGACATCCTTGCCTAAACATCTAATGCTCCGTAGAAGTGCTTCCTACGTTTGTTATTAAAGCTTCTTACACTCTGGTTTGGGGTATGTCTCCTTCCACAGGCCACCAAGACCAAACAGAAAATGCCTTGAAATGCAAACAGTCCCTGAATTATTATACCTATTACTTTTTATTAGTAGTAAAAACAAAAAAGAAGCAAGAAACAGTTCTATTTATGCAGAGCAGTTAGAACATAAATAATAATAAAATGCTAAAACTATAAAACTACTTACATGATATTAATTTAATTCTTATAAAAAGTAGGTTTAGGTATTGCCTCCATGTTAGCAAATGTGGTACATTTTGCTTTCATCCAATATTTATAACCAAAAACATTTTGGTTTAGGAAATAAAGTAGAGATAAAAAATTAGTCTTTGAATATTGGGCTTTGACTAGTCCCCTGCTGCCCTTTATTGTATGTTTCAGTAAAATACAGTACATCTTGCTGTTTTATTTCATTGTTTGTGGCCCATGCAAAATCCTATTGTCCAGCTGCCCAGCATAAATGAACAACAAATCAGAAGAACCAGAGAGACACTTTAACTGATTAAACTGGGTCTGGAATTTTCCTTTTACTGCTAAATTATCATCTTATTGCAATTATTTTTACACATTTTGATTATTTTTACATATTGTGATTATTTCTGCAAAATTCTAGGGGAGATGCTAGTCAGAGGGCCAAGGCTATAGTACTCCATCTTAAAATCCTAAGCCCAATAAAGAGTCCAGCTTTCATATTCTAAAGTTGTGTTTTTCTCTCTCTAAAATTATTTAAATCAGCTGATTAATGGAGCTTGAGTAACTAGGCCTTTTAAAAAAAATTTTACTCAGGGCTCATCACTTTACTTTTTTCGTAAAAGTTCTTTGAGCTGAGGAATTCTGTCATAAGTAAAGTAACATTTCATTTTGTCACAAAACAAAATAGAATAATGACATAATTCAGCCAGGCGCTGTGGCTCACGCCTGTAATCCCAGCACTTTGGGTAAGTGGATCACCTGAGGTCAGGAATTCAAAACCAGCCTGGCCAACATGGTGAAACCCTATCTCTACTGAAAATACAAAAATTAGCCAGGTGTGGTGGCACACACCTGTATTCTCAGCTACTTGGGAGGCTGAGGCAGAAGAGTCACTTGAACCTGGGAGGCAGAGGTTGCAGTTAACCAAGATCACACCATTGCACTCCAGCCTGGGTGACAGAGAGAGACTCTGTCTCAGAAAAAAAAAAAAAGAAAAAAGAAAAGAAAGAAAAAAAAAGAAAAGAAAAAAGAAGAAGAGAAAATACCCTTGCTACAATTAAGAATCTCCTTCAGAGGTACCTGATAAAGCAGACTATATGACTTTTGAAAATTAAGAAAATATAATGTTTCAATGAAAATCATAGATATTTCTTTATCTTTATCATAGATATTCTTTATCAAGGCCAGGTGTATACAGACAAAACAGAAAACCAGAGCCACCATGTATGGATGCACAAGTTGTACACTGCACAACTCCAGGGGAAGCCATTTATGGAGATAACCCTGTGAATGCTGCCTTGGTTAAATCTAATTTTGCGCCTTCTATTCAGGAATGGGTCTCCAAGTAACTTAAAACAAAATTTAGGACCAAATATTTTTACAAATGTTGCTGAGTCAACATAAATCAACAGATATGTATTAAGTCCACTGTGATGAATTTTACTGGCTACACATAAAAAAAAATAAAAATTTTGCATTAGTGGGATTGCAAAGAAAAACAGTTAAATTGCATGTAGAATTTTTAAACTATATAAGGGAACAATTTTCAAGCACTTCAGGAACATTCACTACCAACAGACAATTATTGTCCTGTCACATATGGTCATTTTCCAGATGTAATAGTGAATCTGGCCAGAGCTCCCTCTGCCTGGTTACAGTGGAGTAGCTGTTCTTTGTACTTGAAAGTAATAAAGTGACATTTCTTTTCAAATATTGTACTACTCACCTCTGTCACCAATTTAGACTCACCTTTTTTTTTTTTACCTCACATCAGAATTAATAAGGTTTAAGTGCATCTGGAGGAGGGACCCACATATTTACAGCTTCATTTCAATGTATAATAGAAGAAGATAAATTCAGACAGCAAACCAATTCCAATGGCAAGTTTTTACTTACAAGTGCCATCTCTACTGAGTTTATCAGAGTCTCTTCTTATTTAAAAAAAAAAATTGTCACCTGCTAGATTTAGGCATATATTAAAGACATCTAAATGATTAAACTGCAAGTGATCTACATATGTTAGTATATGGTGGAGAAGGACTTCTGATTCTACTCTTTAGCTACTTTTGTTTCCTTGGACCTAATAACCTTGCCTTGACTATGCCTGATGACAACTGCTCAATCATATATTAGGATCAACTTAAGATGTATTTTGTAAGGGCAAAGCAACTCTGTTTACCGTGATCGCGCAGGTCAAAATCTTTCTTTATATATCCTTACCAGTGAGCACACACTTGCACAGAAAAAGCCAGGAAAATTCAATCCCCAACTTGTGTACACACAAACAGGCATTCAGATATTTGATCTGAGCTTGTGTTGAAAGTAAGAATTCCTCTGCAGAAAAAGCACCCCCACCCCCACCATTGGCATATTTGTGACATGGGAAATTGCTGGAATTCTCAGATTGCTAAGGTGCAGGCAAATGATTAACACGTCTCCATAAATCACTGCAGATTTAGGATTTAAATACATACGAAAATGGCAGGGACTCTTGGGTCTTCTATTTATAAATGCAGTCATTCTTTTCTTTCCTTCTTTTGCTTCTTCCCAAACCCCTCCCCTTTGGATCAAAGAGAGAATTCCAAGCAGACTGAAAAACAATGGTAAATGTTTGCATTGCTGAAATTCACGCTGGTGCCATAAGTGGATTTAAGGCGGACTGGGCTCTATAAACAAAATAAAAAGATGGCATCCAAATGAAAACATGTAAAAAGGATACTGGGAGAAAAATGCTTCAGAGAAGCAGTCTGGTTAGTTGTAAAATGACTTTAAATTAGGCTTTAAAAAGGATTGCTAAATCTTGACACATATATGAGCAGCTTATTATCATGCAATTGTGCAGTAGTTGCTTGATCTTGTTACTGATTCGTCACATATGAATAAATGATTAATTACCAGAAAGGCTAAAACAGAGTAGAGTGAGAGTACTGAAGCTCACCCTGAAAGAGGGGCTTAAACACGTTTATTGCCCTTTAAGTGCATTTCATTAAGGCCAATTAAGGACTTTCATGTCTTATTAGAAAAATGAAGTAGATTTATGAGGTTTTCGTAGGTTGTAAATGCTGGGGCTAGCAGATACAAAACTGAGTAGAAATGTGGTAGTTAAGAGCTAAGAAAATATATACAAATGCTCCCAGAAAGCAAATATTTAATGGCAGTAAAAAGCTGGTTCAACATGAAGGTGATCTTTAAATAAAAGAAAGGGCATAATTTTTATTTCCTCTCGTCTACTCACTATAAACTTAGGGATTTGTGCATGGGAAAGGTTTCTCTCTGCAGTTCAGAAACCTACTTCAGGGTGGGAAAAAAAAAAGCTAACCCTAAAATGACCTGACAGCCACAGAGTCTTTTGTCAAAACCAAAGTATACACCAGTAAAAATGCTCTTTCAATTCTAGAGTGAGAAACACATTTTTGAAAGAGAGAAAGCTTGAAAGTAAATCCAGCACTGACATGGTTGTTAATAAACAAACAGTAAGCAAAATTCACTGGCAAGGGCCTAACTTCCCACTTTTCTGGTCCTGTCAGATGGTGTCAGAACCTTAGCCCAGCCAAATGGTTACTATACACCCTGGATTTCCTTGATTCGTTTTCAAGGAAAATTACCATGACAGGTTAGCAAGCATGTTCTGTTGCCCTTTGGGAAGGATTATCACCCCAACACCATTCTAGCCATGGGGTTTATCTATTTACTCAACATTCAGATGGCTCCTTTACTCTTTCTGTCTCACACACACACACACACACAAATACACACACTATACACCACACACACACACCATACCCACACACTACACACATACATATCATACACACATACATACACACACACCCATAAACACACACATACACACTATACACACACCACACACACACACACACACACACACACACACAAAGACTTAGATAATATTTCCTCAGGGGACTCGTGCAACTTTTTCAAATGCAGGAAAATGCATTTATGAATGCTTGGTAAAATGCACATTTTTACCTTGCACACCATTATGGAAAGCCTCAACTGTTTATCACATACCCTCTTGGATAAATAATTTAAAACCACATGAAACTTCTTCAAGAAAATAATCAGCTAAAGATGTACAGCCACAACTTTTTAAGCTCAAATCTCTCCTCCTTTAAAAAATGAATATTGGCAACTCAGTAGATTATGTCTTCTTGATTTTTAAAAAAAATACAAGAGAAGTGCTATACAGCACATGAAAGATGTCCAAAACTCACCAACAGTTTTTCAAGACACACATATTACTTTAAAATGGATGCCTTGGTTTTGCTTGTTTAAAACCTATTTACTGCCACAGAAAAGACTGAACATGGAACTTTAGCACTTCTTCAAGAGCACTGACAAATTTTTCTGCTGAGAACCTTTAAAATGGTATTACTAGAAGATCTAACAGCAGGAAATCAGATTAACTGTGCTGTTTCTGAAGAAAAGATGAAGAGGTGGTGGATGATATTTATAAAGGTGGAAGTTGTGAAACTGAAGGTAAAGTCCTACAGGCACATCTCTGTCAAAAATAACAACAAACACACAAAACAGCAAACAAAATATTAATTTCAATGTCTTTAGTGTAACACTATTTTGTTCTGTGAATTAGATTTTCCAAACAAATGATGGCCTGGACAAAGACCTAAAGCAACTAGCCATGTATCTGTTCAGACTCTGCAAAGAATTTTATTGAACTGAAATGTGATGAGCATCTGTCCTTGGTGATTTATTCCAAACAGCGGAGATGTTATAAAATGAACACATTACAACTCCTGCTATAAAAGAGAAACAAAATGATCTTTTAGTTAATATCCAATCAAACTTCAAGACACCTTATGGAGCACAAGGATTTCATGGGATCATTTTATTCCATTGCACCTTTCTCCGGAACGCTAAAATGGGATTAACTTAAGAATTTCTAAAATGCAGAGCTAAATGTGTGTATCCAGTTTTGGGTTTTTCCAGATCAACAGATGTCACTTTATTTTTATTTTTATTTTTATTTTGACAACCCAAAATGTAAGCCCGGGCTAGGGTGCTAATTACCAATAAGTTCTTATTAAAGAACCAAGAGTGCTTTTTCTGAAAGTTCAATACCAATTTGGGCCTCAGGGTCACTGAGTTACAAATAGGAGTGGAACCTTTTCAAGTTCAGGATTGGATACATTTTGTCAGGCAAAATAGACTATTTCTGGGAGAATTGCTGCCTAAAAAGAAAAAGAAAAGAAGTTGGGTTTAAAAGCCTCCCAAAACTTCTAGTATGAGAGTTTTATTCCATAAAAGAATTTTCAGATGGCTTCTGTACAGATGAATCCCAAATAGATTAATACCCATGAGATAAGCATAGGGACATTAAAATTATAAATCACACCCCAATATTTCCATAATAGCACAGTTTGAAATTGTCAGATAAATAAGACAAGTTTTATCTAATGTAGCCAATTTATTTTTAAGGAGTTCATTAAAACTAGGGAATTAAACTTTCAAGTGGTGAAAAGGTAATTTCTGTTTATACCCAACACAGAAAAAAGTCTCAAATTATTAGAGTTTAGAATAAAATGAAGTTTTCATATTAGGAAAAGAGAATAGTTTCTATTGAATCATAGAGCTAAATCTGCCAAACACAAAGAGCAGGAATGAGATAAAGAAGGATTTAGCACATTCAAGCAGAGCTGGACAATTTCAGATTCGACATGGACTCATTTCTCTCTGAATTTTCTGAGTTGGTCGTCCATAAATCTTTATTGTAATGAACAGGCTGCCAAGTCTTGCCCTTTCCTTCAGGCAGTTCAAATTCTAATGAAATCCTATCTATCTATAGATATTATTGGGCATGCTTGGCATACCTTGAACATACTGTCAGGCAGAGCTTTGTGGTGCCACTGTGGGGTAGACAGTTTTGAAATAGAGGGGTGACTTTAAGGAAGCAGGCATAAGTCTGATCAGTCCTTGTAGATCTCAGACTATGCTTGGAAAAACCTACAGCTCCGTTTCAAGGCAACTAGCAGTTTTCAGAGGTGGAAAGCTCTGGGCTGAAAGCAAAGGTCACAAACTACCAGCCTGAAAGCCGGATTTCAATCACATATATGTTTTGGTAGGGTTGCACAGTGCTTTTAAAACTGGTAAGCCATTATTAAAAAATCAGGAGGTTGTTTGTTTGTTTGTTTCTGGCTTCTTTTGAAAAATTGGAAAATCTGAAACAGTGGTCCAAGCTCCCTATGGCAATGGCCAGCTCTTTCTCTAGCATCCGACCCATGCTTCCAGTCTCTATCATCTTATTAGGGCCTGCTTCTCACGTGTCTGACCCTTAAGTTTGGACCCCAGGCTTACAGTCTCTGAGCCCTTTCCTCAAATCCCTTAAAATCCTCATGCGTCTTAGTTCAATGAACTGCTAACCAGAAATAAATAAGAAATGAGAGGTGCCTTGTTTAGGAACTATGTGAGCTACCTAAAAGTTTATTACAAAATAAAATTCTGAAGATTGACTTAGCAGATTTTTAACCCCTTATGCTAGAGATCAGAGAACTATGACCCATGGATATGCCAAATCCTGCTGCTGTCCAGTTTTATAAATAAAGTTTTATTGGAACACAAGCATGTTTAACTGTTTGCATATTGTCTGTGGGTGCTTTACATTACACTCCTTAGAGACCATATGACCTGCAAAGTCTAAATATTTACTATCTGTCCTTTTACAGAAAAAAAAAAGTACCAGCCCTCGCTTTATACTCTAGACTTAAAGATGGGATCGCATTTCTAGAGCCAATGAATGACGCTGAAGCTCTGCTTAATGACTACTGCCCCTTCCCAGGGTGCTTTGCATCTGCTAACGCCATCTGCATGGATCAACTGTTTATTTTCTGTGTGGGCATGGCCACATTTTCAAATCCAGAGAGTATCCATTTAATGGATCTATTTCCCCAGTACCTATATATCGTAGGTTTTTAAATTCCCTTTGGTGGCCACCTCAGGAGATGCCTATTTTGTTGGTAATTTACGAACTGGCTATATCTCAGCTTAATTTTCTAAAATAATACATTCAGGGGGATAAACCTGAAGTCTATCCTGCCCACGGTTTCACTGAGCAATTTTAATCATTGTGTGCCCTGTCTGGCACCATGTTATTTGTAGTCCAAAGTGTCTCCATAACACAGTTTTTTCTGCCTCATTAGAAGCAATATAGTCAATAAATCTGATGGTCACCCAACGAGATAAAAATGATGCAGCTCTAAAGATTGATGAGTGGTATTCTTCCCACCCTAGCCTATGGAAAATCTTAACACTAGCCAACATCTATTTAGGTCTGATTCTGTGCCATACTTTGTGCCATGAATTTGTCATGTAACACTGCCAGTAGCTCCATGAGATAGGTACTGTTATTTCTCCCATTTTATAGAGGAACAAACTGAGAGTTTACTGAAGGTCAGGAATTTAACAAAGAGCAGAACTGAGACTAGAATTCAGATCTATCTGACTTGACTTTCACTGAGATTTCATGAAGCTGGAGAGACTGCCATTGGGAGCCATTGGGACAAAATCCTTTTCCAGCTGCAGAAATTGAGCAATAAATAAGCATTCATCTAGACAGGATGACAGATTTGTGATTTCAGTCTGAAATTGCTCAAATTCCTGATAGGTCATTTAAGACATTATGCTTCGTAAAGCAAAGCACCTTCTATTTTGCTGTAATTCATCTTTCTCTTTGAACTGTGTCTATAATTCTGATGCAAAAGATTCTAGAGTGTAAACAAATGTCAGAAGGCTCTCAGATGTAAAGATATTCCAGAGGTATTTCTGAATTGCCTTCATTTATACTTAGCTTACCTTCTAGTTGGTGAAGTTCTCAAGTTGATTTTCACTTCCTAGGCAAGCACGAGGCTTCCTATTACCAGCAGAACTATCCCTGCACCCCATCAGGGGGCAATCAGGCTTATTGGCTTCCTCCTCCTACCCTCTCCACCTCTACTAGCAGAACATGGTCCAGTATTCCTCCCCCACTGAGGGAAGTTTGGACCCTAGACTTACAGTCTCTGAGCTTATTTGTTGACAAATACTATAACTATGTTTATCTGTCTATTTGTTGACAAATACTATAAATGTTACTACCTCTTGTGACCTGGAGAACCCAGCCCCCGCCCTCCCGGCCTGGCCCCGCTACCTTTTGTAAGTCAAAAGTCTCTGGATAAGGATGTGGGGCAGAAATTTAGATGAATTAAAACAGAAAGAAGAATCTTCTGGAAATTCTCATGTTGCTGGGGTTATTTGATTTTTTGTTTGTTTGACTTAATTCAGAAGCTTTCCTCTCAATAAGAAAAACAGTAAAAATTTGTGTTTGAGATACAAGATTTTGTATTTCACTTCACATCTTCCTACCTGTAAAAAAATGTTCCCATTGCACAAGCTTTCTTACTAACAATTACTGGTAATTTGAGAGAAACCCCCTTTTTAGCGAGGAGCAGGCACATCGTCTGAGCAGTCACCCGGGGAGGAATGTGTCATAAAGGCACATTCCTCATAATCAAGGATAATTCAAAAGGGAAACAGTGATCGAACATCTATGAGAGCCAACAGAAGCCTAATCCTGAGCCCAGCTCTGCAGACGGGGACACAGGCTGCTGCAAAGCCAGGGCAGATGCCAGGGAAGGGACCAGCCACAAACAGAACAGAAGTCCAGTCCAGAGCTTGGCATCTGGGTTCTTCAGCTGCCAGCCTTGCCTCGCGAGTAGCCACAATGTTTGGCTCCTGTGCAGAAAACAACAGAGGATGAGGCTAAAGAGGTCCATGCTCTGTCCTGCCAGCAACAGGATGAGGCAGTGCCAAGAGAAGACTGCAGTGCCACATGGGTGCCAATGTGCCTTGGAACGGCTTTTATATTTTCTAAAGGGACAACAGAATTCCTGCAAAAAGAAAAAGCTGGATCCAACCCTCAGAACTATTTTTCCCATTTTCCTCTCAAAAAAAAAAAAGAAAAGAAAAGAAAAGAAAAACCCTGCTATTCCTGTCCGCAGTCCATTTTTTCACAAGGTTAACATGGCCAGGTCTCCTTCTGCTTCTCTTCTATGTCCCATATCCTCACATTAAAACCAAGCTGGCAATTTGTTTAATACTCATTACTAACCTTCTGATTATAACTTCCCTATTATTATTTGCTTTTATTTAGTTTCTAGAAAAAAATCATCAATAGAATGTGTGGAATGGGGTGGGGGATGCAGAAGGTAATGGAATAGCCTGAGATATCATATGGGTTATGAGTTGAGTAAGCCCTTTCAACCCTGGGGATTTGTAGTAGGCTTTAAAAGACCTAGTCTTCTATTTATAAGGCAGTATTGTTGTGGTTGTTCAACTGGGAAAACTGTGACAAAACCAAAGAGGTAAGATGCCAGCATTAGTAAAATCCACTACCTAGATATTATAATTTCTTGAAACGTCAGAGATTAGAAATAAAAGAGTAGAATCCTTTTGTCCATTCACATGAGGTGAATGAAGAGGCAGGAAGAAGAAAATAAAGAAGCCATGGAGGACACAGAGACCCTTCACTGTGGTGGGGCTCCTCTTGCCTTACTCAAATTAATGCGCAGACCTGTCAACCAGAAAAACTCAAGCACAGTTTATTTTTGGTAAGAAAATACAAAACCTCTTGTCCTCATGGAGATCTTGATTTTGTCACTTCATGTCTTGTAGAAGATGGGTAAACTTGAGGATGTTATATGTAAGGCTTTCAAGATAAAAAGGAAGGACATTTTATTTACTAATATTACTAGGCTTTCATTTTCCCATTAAAAATGCAAATTAGGCTCAGCACGGTGGCTCACGCCTGTAATCCTAGCACTTTAGGAGGCCAAGGTGGGCAGATCACGAGGTCAGGTGTTCAAGATCAGCCTGACCAACATGGTGAAACCCCGTCTCTACTAAAACCACAAAAATCAGCCAGGTGTGGTGGCAGGCACCTGTAATCCCAGCTACTCAGGAGGCTGAGGCAGGAGAATCGATTGAACCTGGGAGGCAGAGGTTGCAGTGAGCCAAGATGCCACCATTGCACTATAGCCTGGGTGATAGAGTGAGACTCTGTCTCAAAAAAAAAAAAAAAAAAAAAAGAAAAACCCAAATTAGTAAATACTAAGGTCAAACATTAACATCTTCTTAATTATTCTCACATGACCTCTTATGTTCTAAAGTTTGTTCAGCAGAATACCTGAATGATTGATAAATAAAACAGGCACAGGCCTTCAGCATTCTAAGTGCAATTCTTACATAATCTGGGGGGGGAAAAAAGGCTTCTCAAGGTAATTGTAACTATCTCACTATTCCCTAGCATGAAGCAAATACCACACTCCACTCATGACTCTAATTTTACTATTTTTCTTCTAATCACAATGCTTTTGCTTGAATTATTCCCTTTTATCAGGCTAACTTTCTTCACCAACATTCTTTTCAAGGCTTAGCTTCAGTTATGAAACTTTACAAGGACCTTTCTTTTTCTCCAGTTCATTCATCATTCATGGTTTCTACCACAGTTCTCCGCATTGATTATACTGCCTTGCAATTTAGTAGTTGCCATGTAAGTATTATTTAAATGATGGTGGTCACCTTGAAGGAAGGAAGGGGTCATGACTTCTAGTTTTCTTTATCATGGGCTGGACCCATGATAATAGTGTGTCATTTTAGAAAAAATAACTTGCTTTTCAAATTAAAATTTATCTCCATACAGATTTTAATCTCTATATGGATGATTAAAAAAATAAAGTTTTGACAAGACAAGCTTTACATCTCTGTCAAAAATTAATATTTTTATGGTGAGTTAATATCATTTATGGGGCACCAACTATTAATACAAAAGGCTAGGGTTCAAAGAAGAGGGACCCTATGTTCAAAGGAGCTAAGTCTAGAGCAAGGAGCACAATAACAAACACTTGTGACTTGGTCCCACATGTTTACTATGAAGAAAGGACACAGGGTTGGGTGCCTCACTGGGTTAGGTGCCATCACAGTTTCTGGAATCTCTCCCAAATATTATTTCATAGTTTACTAGTAGGATTTTTAATCTTTAATGGCATACTAAATTCTTTTAAGCAACATATTTGAGGAAAAAACGCTTCGAAATGTTTTTCTGGGGAGTTCCCAGAGCCATTGTTCACCTGAAAGTATTGCTTTACTATCAGAGAAAGAAAAAAAAAGAACTCAAGAAAATCAACATCAAATGCTAATTTAATGCCTGTCTTGTCTGGGGACTATGACTCTTAAATGTTTAAGGAGTTTTTATTTATTTTATTTTATTTTAATAAGAACATTATTTTAAAAATCAACCCCAGTCTGCAAACTTAAAGGCTACCACGTAGAACAAAGAGAATAAAAGAGAAACAGAAATTGGCTTAAGGACTTTCAGCAAAACCAACAGAAAGATTTATTCAGAGATGATATAGCAATGACATTTTATGTCAGATGTCAACATGTCAAAAATAATTGTGTTTTGTTGCAATAATGAAATAAAATCCCTTCTTTACTTTTGTTTCTTCATAAATGCATATACCACATAAAGCAAGCACTTCCAAAATGTGCCATTCTGCTTACAAACAATATTTACTCTTCTGATGTAGTTTGGATACCTGGTGTTAGAAAAGAGTTAAAGGCCAGACAGTCTTTAACTGCCAATGGAAAAGCATAGCCAGTTGCTAGGTGGAAAGAGACCTTTAGCTGAGTATTGCTCACTCTTCTTTTCTTACCTCAACTGTCTCCTAACACCAGTCCTAACCACAACCCTAACCCACCACTTAGTGGTAGAGACATCTGTTTCACAACAGTTGAAGAGAAGATGGCTCTTTTTAAAATGTACAGTCTACTAACATACTAAGGCATTGCCACTCATAATTCATATGCGTCCTTTTGTTCTTTTACAAGACATTTGTTAGAGGTTGAGTAGGCACAGCCAAAATGGCAACTGAAAGGACCAGTGTGGGGAAACCCATTAAATGTAGCCAAAACAGGATGGCTATTTCAATCCATAAGATCCCTCTTTTCCTAACTGATTATTTCAGTCTTTTGCACAGGCCTTTTTCGTGAGTGAAAATGAAATTCATATACGTACTTTCACCAAGAAACAAAATGGGGCTTTAATGAAGAAAAAGTTTTCTTGCTTTTCAAATTGGCCCGCTGTGGATTTTAGCTCTCTGTGTATCACAGGAAATAAAGCTGTAGGCAAGACAAAGATGTTCACACCTCTGCCAAAAATTAATATATTTTTAAATGGTAAATTATCATCAAAAGTTTTATACATATTAGTGATGGTCTGACCTCCAACTGTTCACAGCCATGTCCAATCCACACACACAGAAGGAGAAAATCTGTCTACTATGAATGTTCAATTTGTTCAATTCCCTGTCATGTCTTTTCAGCTGCTAATGCTGCTCTGTGAACAGATAATGACTTTAATGGGAAAGGAAAACCAACAGGGATAAACTACTTTAATTTTTGGAGGTGATAATGTGTAACTTAGATATGCTTTACCATCACGTTTACCAGAGTATATATACGTGTATACAGTGTTAAAGCAACAACCCACTTCCGGAAGTTGATAGCATTTCAAAATAAAGTCTTCTGTTATTTTGAAAGTAGCATCTGCCATATTAGAAAGGGAACCTCTTCCAACTCAACTGAACAAACATTTACTGAATACCTACTATGTGCTAGGTTTGCATGTGTTGAGGGTTTTTGTGTGTGTGTTTGTGTGTGTGTTGAGGGTTTGTGTGTGTCGAGTGATGGCAGGAACTTGCAAAACCAACATAGTGAGTTTGATGAAATTCAATTGAGAACCTAAAAAAGTGCCTTCCAATCCAGTTTCATATTCAAAATACAGGACAATTAGAAACCATCCTGAAATCTATCAAAGTGCAAGCCAAGGCTAAGTTACCAATGAGAAGCTGGCCATTCCATCACATTTCTATATGTTCTTTCTCTAGAATCCTTTTTATTGCAACAGAAACAGCAAAAAGACCTCAGACAGGAAAAATGGAGGTCTTAAGTCACATTCAGTCCCATGATAATTATAACCCCAGCAAAGACAAAAAGGGACAATTGACCAAGGGACCATCCCTACCCACAAGGAGAGTCAAAACAACAGAGGTAAGACCTTTACAGAAACCAGGTTAAAATATGCACATTTACGTCCTACAAAATCTTAACTTACACATCACTTGGTCTTGGAAATTGTGAAGGGTTTCTCCTCTGAACAGAATTTTTGTTATTACAAAATGTATACATTAGAAAACTAATTCAATAGCCCTCATTTTAGGCTTACATTTATAGAAATTTCAAAAATTATACATTTACAGGAGTGTATGAAAGATCACTCACCATGTGCATGTGGCTGCAGGATGCCAGCCCCCTGGTTCTCCTAGGTCACTGGTGGTAGCTTTTTCTCCATCTTTTTGCTTGTTCCTCCCCTTCTCCCCATTGGAGTCTCCCAGTGCTCAGTCCTTGGTCTTCTTCTCTTCTCTACACACATTCACTCCCTGAATTTTAAATACCGCCTCTATGCTAACTACTCCCAAATTTGTACCTCCTCCCCAGAGCCCTGTTCTGAACTCCAACTGCCTACTCAATATTATCACTTGTGTGTTTAAATTCGACAGGTCCAAAACTCTTGATCTTTTACCCCAAACCTATCTCACCCATGGTCTTTCTATCAACTGGTAACAACTCCATTCCTCTAGTTGTTAGTAACATAACTGATGCCTCTCTTTCTTTCAGAAGCCATGTCTGTACTGTTAGCAAATCCTGTTGGCTCAATCTTCAAAATCTTTCTGGAATCCAGTCACTTCTCACCACCTCTACTGCTACTAGACTTAATCAAAACAATCAATAACCTGGGTTATTGTAACTGCCTCTTCATAGGTCTCTCTACTTCTATCCTTGCCCCATGCCTGTTCTCAACACAGCAGCCAGAGACATCCTTTTAGAATGTAAGTCAGATTGTGTCGTTCTTCAGCTCAAAATTCTCCAGTGGCTCCCACTTCACTCAGAGGAAAAACCAAAATCCTTATAATAGCCTACAAGGCTTTATACTTTGGCCTCCAGCTGCCTCCCTAAATTCATCTCCTCTCACCCTCTCACTTTATTCCCACCACTTGGACTCCTTAGGACCTTAGCACATGCTGTTCTCTCTGTCTGAAATGTTCTTTTCCCAGACACCCACCCAGCTTTTGTATCACTTTCTCAATAAGGCCTAATCTATTCTATTCAAAATTGCAACCTGTCCCTCCCCACTATTCCACCTTACTTTTCTTTTTCCATTGCCATATGACCTTTCACCATACTCTATAATTTATTTATGTGGTATGCTTATTATTTAATGTCTATCCACCCCTTTAGAACGTAAGAACTACGAGGCAGGAATCTTTATTTGTTCATTTCATGTATGTATCCTCAGCACCTAGAACAGTGTCTGGCTCATAGCAGGTATTCAATACATATTATTTTAATGAATTTTATGTGATAAATGTATATTGAATATTTAAACTATCTAGGCACTGGTCACATATTAATAAATCATCTCCCCGTTCTATGGAGCTAATATCTTAGTAGGAAGAGAGAGATAATTAACAAGTAAACTAATAAATAAGATAATTTCAGATGGCAGTAAGTACTGTGAAAAACAACCAGGGTGATGTGAAATTGTGGATGGGCAACTTCAGATGGAATAGTCAAGGAGGTCTTCTCTGAAAAAGTGACATTTGTGTTGAAATATGAATGATAGATGGAACTAGGCCACAAAGATTTTGGAAGAGAACATTTTAGGCACAGGAGACAGATCAATAAAAGATCTAAGGCAAGGATATGATCGGCCTGTGAAGGAAGAGAATGAGAGACAATGTGGATGATGAAAGTCGGTGTGGAGGATAGGTGGAAGGTGAGTTTGAAGAGGTAGGCATGGCCAGGTCACATAGGCCTTGTGTACCAAGTTAAAGAGTTTAATTTTATTCTTGTATAACATGACTTGATTGATACTGTAAAAATATTATTCCAGTTACTTTATGGAGAATGAATTGAGGAAGAAAAAGAGTGGAAACAGAGGCTGATTAAGAATCTATTGCAAGATGGGAGTCTTCCACTTCTGGCAATATGATGGCTTAAATATTCTAAGGGAAAAAGATGGTCCATTGCAAAATACCTTCTGCTGAATATAGTACAATAAACTTGTTTTTAAATACATTATTGAGCTCACAATAAAATAAAGGGAAATCACTGGGGCAAAAATAAAATAAGATTAAACAAAGAATTGAAATCAGAGTGCTAAGAAAACTTGGTAGTCAAGACAGTCCTGGGGGTAAAAGTCAACATGTGAACCTAGAGATGTGGAAATCAATGGTCTCCACCAAAATGAAAGACTAGGCCACAAGACTGAACAATGTAAATAAGCTGAATTCAAACCCCTACATAATAATTGGACCCTCAAAGAGGCCACAATCTCGATGAGAGGATGATCTAGAAAAAAAGATCTACTTGCCTGCCCCAAAGGAAGTCATTAGAAAAAGCTGTCTCACCCAATCTTGGCTCCAGATATAAGAATAATTTTATTTATAATTTATATTAACTGTACAATTAAGGAAATTCTAAACTGAGAACACAAAGTCAACACAATGACCCATACGTTAAGAAATACTGAAGTAAAATTACAAAATGACACTATAGAGAGAACATCTTAAAAACATCCAGACAGAAAAGACAGAACACTGGTATAGGTCATTGCATTGAACAGAATCATGAGAAAGATACTGATTAAATTTAGACTTTGTAAACTTGGTTAATAGTTAAAGGCTGATCACTAACCAAAAAGAAATGGAATATAAATTCTAAACTAATAGAGGGGAAAAATTAAGAAAAAAATTTAAATAAGAAGAAAAATCGAATCTAGGGGAAAAACAGGATACACTTAAAAACAGAATGAAGACAAGAATAAAAAAAGTGCTATATTATCAATAAAATTACAGTAAATCAAACTGGAAAACAGAAATTTAGCTCTATGTTGTTTACAAGATATACACCTACATGCACAGAAATGGAAAAGTGGAAAATAAAAGCATACAGAAATACGGCAGACAAGTGCTGATCAAAAGGAAGAATAGCCATATTATATCATATCACAGTCCTTAGGGCAAGAAAGCATTATTAGGGATAAAAAATTGACATATAGAAAAAGAGAGACCGACAGACAGACAGAGACAGAGACAAGAGTGTATACATATATCTCAGACCAGAAAGAGAAAACGATTAAAAAATTTATTGTACCAAATAAAATAGCCTTGAAATACATAAGATTACAAGAAGAAATTAATAAATTCACCATTCTAATAGGAGATTTTTAAAATTTATCTTACTAATTAAAAGGTCGAAATTAGTAGAAATATAGATTTGAATAGCAAAATTAACAGGCTGAATTTAATGGACATTGAAAGAACCTTGCTCCAATTAAAGAATGCTATTATCTTCAACACATATAGAGCATTTACAAAAATTAATCAAGTATCAGGGCACAAAGTATTAATAAATTTCAAAAAAATACGTATCATATATTCCATACTCCCTCACCAAAATGCAATATCATTTAAAATATATTAAAAGAATAACTTAAAATAGTATTTATTAACATTTAAAATATACTTCTAAATGCTCAGAGATTAGAGAAAAATAAAATACAAATTTTAAAACACAAGTCAAAATAAATGAAATGCAGAGCCATTTTTTAAGGTCTATAATAGAAAAGCAGAAAAGCTGAAATTTAGTGAACAAAGTGTCCAAATTAAAAGTTATAAATACAAAATCCATGAATTAATGAAGTAGAAGAAAAAATTTTAATAATATAAAATAATCATTAAAAGTAATTCATTAAAAATGAGACATAATATTAAACAACAAAATGAGAAGTTGATTTTTTAAAATACTAATAAAATAGTCCAATTTATGGTGAGATTGGTAAAGAAAAAAGAAGCACAAATAAACAATATTATAAATGGAAATGGGGTTACAAATTCAGACACAGAAAATTTTTAAAAATCAGGATATCCTGAACAGTATTAGGCCAATAAGCAACAACTTAAATGAAGGGGACAAATTCCGTTAAAAATACACAACTTAATAAAACTGACTCAAGAAGAAACCAAAAATATCAATAATCTAGTTAACCTTTTAAAACACCATAGTTAAAAAATCTTCCACCAAAACCCACCAAGTTTCAGATTGTTGAATAGGTGAACTGTCCTAAATTTTCAGGGAGCAACATTTTTAAGTTTATACAGTGAATACAAAAAGAAGGATCATTTCCCAACTCACTTTATGGAGGTAGTATTATCTTGATATTGAAATTATACAAGGCCCTGATAGAAAAGGAAAATGCAGGCCTATATCACTCACAAATATGGATATAAACTTTTTAAAATATTAGCAGACTGAATCCGGATCTATAATTTTATTTGAAGTAACTCATCTTAATCAAGTTAGGTTTATCCCAGGAATGCAAGTCTGATTTAGTTATAGAAGTCACATAATCAATCACAATAAAAAATAAACAAAAGATAAGAATATAAGATAATCTCAGTGGATACAAATATTTCAACAAAATTTAAAACCTATTCATGATAAAAATTAGTAGCAAGTCAGAAAAGCAAGGTAACTTCATTAAGCAGAAAAACAATGTCTACCAACAATCTACAGTACACATAACATGTAAAATATTAGAGTCACTGTCTGTGTTTTATTGTTTTTGTTTTTTGTTTTTGTTTTTGAGACAGTGTCTCACTTTGTCAGCCTGGCTGAAGTACAGTGGCTCACTCATAGCTCACTTCAGCCTGCAATGCCTGGGCTCAAGCAATCCTCCTGCCTCAGCTTCCCAAGTAGCTAGAACCACAGGTGTATGCTACTATGCTCAGCTTTTTTTTTTTTTTTAATTTAGAGATGGAGTCTCACTAGATTACCCAGGCTGGTCTTGAACTCATAGCCTCAAGCAATACTCTACTCCTGCCTTGGCCTTTCAAAGCACTGGTATCTGGGATTACAGGCATGAGCCACCATGCCCAATCTAGAATCATTGTCTTTAAAATTAGAAAAAGAAAATCCTCTATGGTGGTTCTAGTCAGCAAAGTATGAAAACATTAATATTTTAATTTAATAAAGTATATAAGTTTAGAAATCAAGAAGAGAAACTATAGTAATCAGCATATGATAGGATTTTTTACATAGAAAATTCAAATCTACAAGCAAATTATTTTTAAAGCTAGGTTTAATCAAGATAAAATCTTAATATACAAAAATTAATTACGTTTCTATAAACCAGCAAAAACATAAAATGTAATTTTAAAAAGATCATTTATATACTAAAATATTTACAGATAATACAATATCTTAGATTTTCTTCAAAATAATATGGGATAAGAAAAGGGTTAGGGGTATAGATGAAACACGATAGGCCATGTAATGATAATTGTTAAAGCTGGTTGATGAATAAACCAAGTCCATTACACTATTCTCTCTATATTTATATACTTGAAATTTTCCATAATAAAAGTTTTTCAAAGATAATACAAGTACTAGAACAAAACATGGGTTAAATTCTTTATAATCTGAAGTGGGAAAAACTTTTCATTTGCCCACATAAAACAAAACAAAAAACAACTTGCATAGCAAAAATAAGGACAAAAAACAGAAAACACCATAAGTACAGTGAAAATATAAATATCAAACTGGACAAAAAGAATTTGTAACAAATCACAGACAAAGGGCAAATTCTCTAACATACAAACAGCTCCTCCTAAAAGTTGAGAAGACTAATAATTCAGAAGAAAAATAAGTACAAAACATAAACAGGCAGGTCACAGAAATGAAAAGATGTTCAACCTTGCTTATAATAAGAGAAATGCAAATTAAAACTACTGTGACGATCCATTTCTCACACATCAGATTGGGAAAAAACCAGATCATGACGACATGATCTGTTGGCAATGCCATGGGAAAATGAGCAGTCTCCTATAATAGTGGTGGAAACACACACACACACACACACACACACACACACACACACACACACACGCTCCCATGGGGATAAATTTAGCAATATTAACGAAATATCATATACATATTTAATCCAGCAGTGCCACTTCTAGAACTCTAGCCCCAAGATGCAATGACAAAATGTAAATAGCATGGGCACAAAGTTATTGATTGCGGTGTTATTTTCAATAGCAAAAGAGTAGAAACCACCCAAATTCCATTATTGGAAGCTGGTTGGATAAACTATGATAAATCCACACAACACAGTATAATGCAGCCCTTAAAAAGGAATAAGTTGTAAAAAAAGAATAAGCTATCATCTGTAAATGTTGATATGGGATTATATCCATATATATATTATATCCATATATATCCATATATATTATATCCATATATATATACACATATATATATAGCTAAACAATAAAAGGAATATGCAAAAAATTATTTATGGTTTATTATATGCTATTTTCAGACTTTATTGTTATTTTATTCTTACTCTAAACATATCATTGTGCAAAAGAGAAAAAGGTAAATAAAATTTTTATATTGCTAACTTTTATATTTTTGAAAAGAAACAACCGAAGGGCAAATTTAAAATTAATTTTTAAAAATGATTACCTATGATGGAGATAGGAAGGACATGGAGGGGATAGGGACAGAAGCTGGAATTCTGTGAATACATCTGGTTATATACTTTTGACTTTGGAACCATATAAATTAAAAAACAAAATTAAATCAAAAAGAAACAAAGCCTCAAAATCGAAAACTAACTGAAAGAAATGAATCCAACTAAATATCAATTTGCTGACATAACTACTCACAGAAAAATTTTACTTCAATTAACTCTAAAGTCAAAGTACTCTATTTTGAGTGCTCCTCCCTAGTAGGATATATTCTTAAAACAAAAAGAATCACAAAAAAATCTTAAGTTGCATTCAGTAGACTCACTGCAAATTGTAATACTGGTTTTGTTATTTTGAAACTATTAATATTATATTGTAGAATAAAGCAAATAATTGTGCCCTTATGAACCAATGTTTTCATGTAAGAAAAAAGGCATACAATCAAAATTAAATTAAACTCCATAAACTGAAATTTAGGTGAGAAAAAAATCTCAATTTTTTTCTCTTCCAAAAATACATCTGTTTTCTAGTTCTGTCCACATTAAAGACTTAGAAACAATGACAACCCAAAAGCCATGAGCAAACACCCCTAGCACCCAGAATTAAGGCTTCTAAATACCAGTTGCCACAAAAGGAATCAGGGCATTTTAGAGAAATTACTGCCTTAAACCTTGGGGCAGGAAAAGTATAATACAAGATTAGCTTGGGACATCTTTTGTGTCAAAAAGGAGGAAAGGGAAGGGAAGGGAAAGGGAAAGGGAAAGGGAAAGGGAAGGAAGGAAGGAAGGGAAAGGAAGAGAAAGAAAGAAAGAGAGAGAGAGAGAGAAAGAAAGAAAAGAAAGCAAGCTAGCTGTAAAAGACTAATGAAGTCATCTCAAAAGGACACAGTAGCCAACTTGAAAGGGCCCCCACTGGACTAAGATGGTACAATTTGAGCATGAAAAAGAATAATAACCACAATAGTTGAAACATATCAAATATATAAAAATTCATAATTCATAACGATATTAATAGAAACTCATAAGTCACCACTGTAAGTTCTAAGACACCTACTAATTACTCTGAACATTAATTAATAACTAATCATTTATTCTTCCCTTTCATATAAATTGTATTTTCAGAGTAACCAAATAATGGATAAAAGGAGAACTTCTTATATAAAGAAAACAGAAGGAATGACAGAATTAGATAATCACTATTTTTGCACTGCTTAATGAAATAATAGAACAAGACAATAATCATCAATGAATGCTGTGCTGATGATTCTCCCTCAGTCCCTCAGCTCTGTTATCTGCCCTTTCATGGACTCCTCTGTGCCCCAGGCATCTGACCTCAATCAGCTGCCTCACATAGGTCCCTACCCAGTTGGGTTGAGCCAGAGGGAAGTACTGGCAGGGGATGGAGGGTGGGAGGAGAGATTAGTGTTATTCCTTTCACTCCATTGCAAGCTCAGTGCTGTGCTGCTTTTCCCTTTGACCACGGCTCCCTTCAGGTGGCCCATCTCCCAACACTCCAGCTCTTACTTGGTAACAAACTTCTCTCCCTTTACCTCTTCAGGCTTAGTAAAAGTAGCAGCCCCCGAGGTAGACATACATATAAAGAATCTGTATCCAATCCAATTGAGCTTCTGGATCTAACTCCCAGTTTACAGGAAATATGGGTCATAGAGGAAGAACTTAGATGGTGCGACAAGGAAGCAAACAGTCAAATCCAAACTGTAGTATATACTATACAGGACAAATAACCTGGATGCTTCAATAAATCAATTAAAACATGATAGGAGGATGTATAAGAATAAAACTTTGAGGACAAGCAACCAAAGGCAACATGCAGACTTTGTTTCAATCGTCATTCAAACAAACTAGCCATGTTGAAGACAATCAAGGAAATTTCAACATTGACTTGTTATTAGATGATATAAAGGAACTGCTAATTGTGTTAGGTATGACAATTACATGGTTGTTAGGATTTTTTGAAATCCTTATTATCTAGACATGAATACTGAAGTATTTGTATGTACAATAATATAATGTCTGGGATTTGCTTTAAAATATTCCAGGAAAAAAAGAAAGAGAGGATAAATGAAACAAGATTGGCATAATTATTATTATTGCATATTAAAAACATTAAGATACCACATTCAAGGGCAAGGAAAATGTACACAATCATACAAAGAAATTTCACAATAGATGTAAAAGACCTTGATGGAGAAAATTATAAAATTTTAAAGGCATAAAAAGGCCTTTAAAGACATAAAAAGGCCTCCCATAAAAATGGGAGACTGAGGCAGGAGAATTGCTTGAACCCAGGAGAAGGTTGCAGTGACCCGAGATTGCGCCACTGCACTCCAGCCTGGGTGACAGAGAGAGACTTTGTCTCAAAAAAATAAAATAAAATAAAAAATAAAAATAAAAATCATTTCTAAAATGAACAAAACTTAAAAGTAAAGGCAGAACTTTAAAGCATTTAGAAAAAACACATATGCTATCTAAATGACCTTAAATTTGGGAAAGATTTCTTTAAACATATATAAAAATCACAATTCATAAAGTAAAAGATTAATAAATTTGGCTCCATTAAAATGACGAACTTCTGTTCATCAAACGACACCATAAAGAGAATAAAATATAATTCACAAATTGGAAGGAGATATTTGTCTCATATATAAAACAGAAAAAGATCAGTATCCAGAATATATAAAGAATCCTTATTAATCACCAAAAATAAAAAGAAAATTGAACAAAATTATTAGTCAGAATAGTCTCGGCTATGTTGGAACAACAAATGAACCTAAAAATCTCAATGGATTAAAACCTACAAAAATTTATTTCTTGCTCACTCATTGTCTACTGCAGGTTAAGTGACTCTTCAGGGCAGCTGTCCTTTATTGGATTCAGCAATTCAAGCTATTTCAATCTTATAGCTCCATCATCTCAACATAAGCCTCCATGGTCACTGTGTCAGGAGAAAAGAGGGTTAAGATGTCACACACCAACTCTTAAATGCTCTAGCTCCTCTCACAGCTCATTGATCAGAAAAATTCATATGACCCCACCTAATAGTAGGGAGTCTGGGAAGTTTGAGGAATCACATAGATAATGATGAGCAGAAATTCCTCTGGGATAGACAGAAATTTCATGGAAGGGGGAACACAAATGGCCAAAGAAAGATGTGGGAAAGTTTTCAAATGTAATACGGGAAGCAAAGAAAAAAAAAATCATCATTTGGAGGAATAGCTATTCCTCCAAATTAGCTAACATTGAAAAGTTTGATACCACATGTTGCTGACAAGAGTACCAAGCAACAAATTGTCATGTAATGCTGATAGAAGTGCAAATCAGGGAATGGGTATGGGTATGGTGGCTCATGCCAGTGCTTTGGGAGGACAAGGAAAGGGTATTAAGACTCTGTCCCTACAAAAAAAAATTAAAAATTAGTCAGGCACAGTGGCTTGTGCCTGTAGTCCTAGCTACTTGGGAGGCTGAGGTGGGAAGATGGCTTGAGCCCAGAAGTTCAAGGCTGCATTAAGCTATGATTGCACCACTGCACTCCAGCCTGGGTGACAGAGAAAGACCCTGTCAAGAAAAAAAAAAAAAAAAAGGAAAGGAAAGAAAGAAAAAAGAAAGAAGGAAGGAAAGAAGCAAAAAAAAAAAAAAGAGCCATGTCTAAATTCATCTTTTAAGTTAGAAATTTTGCATTGTTCCTTTGACTCTGTATTAGTCCATTCTCATGCTGCTATAAAGGTGATACCTGAGACTGGGTGATTTTTAAAGGAAACAGGTTTAATTGACTCACAGTTCTGCAGGGCTGGGGAGGCCTTAGGAAACTTACAATCATGGCAGAAGGGGAAGCAAACACATCCTTCTACACATGGCAGCAGGAAGGAGAAGTGCAGAGCAAAGGCAGGTAAAGCCCCTTATAAAACCATCAGATCTCATGAGAACTCACTCACTATCACGAGAAAAGGGCAAGAGGTAACCATCTCCATGATTCAATTACCCCACACTGGGTCCCTCCCATGACATGTGGGCATTATGGGAACTACAATTAAAGATGAGATTTGGGTGAGCACACAGCCAAACCATATCATTCCACCCCTGGCCCTCCCAAATCTCATGTCCTCACATTTCAAAACACAGTGATGCCTTCCCAACAGTCCCGCAAAGTCTTAACTCATTCCAGCATTAACTCAAAATTCCAAGTCCAAAGTCTTATCTGAGACAAGGCAAGTCCCTTCCACCTATGAGTCTGTAAAATCAAAAGCAAGCTAGTTACTTCCTAGATACAGTGAGGGTATGGGCGTTGGGTAAATACACCCATTCCAAATGTGAGAAATTAGCCAAAACAAAAAGGCTACAGCCCCTATGCAACTCCGAAATCCAATAGGGCAGTAATTAAATCTTAAAGCTCTGAAATAATCTCTTCTGACTCCATGTCTCACATCCAAGTCACTCTGATGCAAGAGGTAGTCTCCCGTGACCTTGGGCAGCTCCATCCCATAGCTTTGCAGAGTACAGTCCCCATCCTAGGTGCTTTCATAGCTGGTGTTGAATGACTGTGGCTTTTCCAGATGCACAGTGCAAGCTGTTAGTGGATCTGCCATTTTGGGGTCTGGAGGATGGGGCCCTCTTCTCATAGCTCTACTAGGAAGTGCCCAAGTGGGGACTCTGTGGGGGTTCTAACCCCACATTTCCCTTCTGTACTGCCCTAGAAGAAGTTCTCCATGAGGGCTCTGCCCCTGCAGCACACCTCTGTCTGGACATCCAGGTGTTTCCATATGTCCTCTGAAATCTAGGCAGAGGGTCCCAAACCTCAATTCTTGTGTTCTGTGCACCCTCAGGACCAACACCATGTGGAAGCTGCCAAGGTTTGGGCTTGCACACTGAAGCTGTGGCCCGAGCTGTACCTTGGCCCCATTTAGCCACACCTGGAGCAGCTGGGACACAAGGCACAAAGTCCCTAGGCTGCACACAGCAAGGGGACCCTGGCCATGGCCCACGAAACAATTTTCTTCTCCTAGGCCTCTGGGCCTGTGATGGGAGGGGCTGCCATGAAGGTCCTTGACATGCCCTGGTGACATTTCCCCATTGTCTTGGTGACTAGCATTTGGCTCCTCATTACTTATGCAAATTTCTACAGCAGCTTGAATTTCTCTTCAAAAATGAGTTTTTCTTTTCTACCATATTGTCAGGCTGCAAATTTTTCCAAACTTTTATGCTCTGTCACCTCTTGAACACTTTGCTGCTTAGAAATTTCTGCCACCAGATACCCTACTTATTTCTCTCAAGATCAAAACTCCACAGGTCTCTAGGGCAGGGGCAAAATGCCACCAGTCTCTTTGCTAAAGCATAACAAGGGTCACCTTTGCTCCAGTTCCCAACAAGTTCCTCATCTCTATCTGAGGCCATGTCAGCCTGGACTTTATTGTGCATATCACTGTCAGCATTTGGGGCAAAGCCAAAGTCTCTAGGCAGTTTGGAACTTCCAAACTTCCACACAGATTTCTGTCTTCTGAGCCCTCCGAGTCTCTAAGAAGTTCCAAACTTTCCCACATTTTCCTATCTTCTTCTGAGCCCTCCAAACTGTTCCAACCTCTGCCTGTTACCCAGTTCCAAAACTGCTTCCACATTTTTGGGTATATTCACAGCAGCACCACACTCCTGGCACCAATTTACTGTATTAGTCTATTCTCATGCTGCTATAAGGACATACCTGAGACTAGGTAATTTATGAAGGAAAGAGGTTTAATTGGTTCACAGTTCTACAGGGCTGGGGTGGCCTCAGAAAACTTACAATCATGGCAGAAGGGGAAGCAAACATGTCCTTCTTCACATGGCAGCAGGAAGAAGTACAGAGCAAAGGAAGTGAAACCCCTTTATAAAACCATCAGATCTCATGAGAACTCACTCACTATGATGAGAACAGCATGGAGGTAACCACCTCCATAATTCAATTACCCCCACCCCGTCCCTCCCATGACACATGGGGATTATGGGAACTACAATTCAAGAATACATTTGGGTGGGGACACAGCCAAACCATATTAGACTCCTTGGACTTCACCCTTATTTAATACCTTATATGTTTAAAAGTATTTTGTTGATCACCTTGTCATATTTCTCTGCAACAAAAATACATTTTTAATAAATTAAAATGTATTTCTTTCTTTATGTTCAGCCTCAGGAGACCAAAGAGACAGAAACAATCCAAAATGTTATCGACAGGCAATTGTACAAATAAATTGTGTTTACTCACATAATAGAAGACCATGCAACACTGAAAAATCAGTGAAATAGTGCTACATATATCGACATGGATAGATTTCAGATACATAATTTTAAAGAAAGAATTAAGTTGCATGAAAAGTATGTAAGACAGACATATACCTTTTGTAAAAAAAAAATAGAAAGGAAGAAATAGATCATTGATAAACAGCTATGTAATAGAACTTTAACAAAAGGCAAAGCAATGATAAACCAAAATCAGAACGGTGATTGCTTTACTCTTAGGGAAGGTGAAGGATGGGTTTAGAACAGATGAAAGGGGGCTGCAACAGTATTTGCAACATTCTCCTGCTGAATTTTGGATGTTTATTTTACTACTCTTTTGTGTTATTTCTACGCCTAGGATTTTTTTTAATGTTTTTAAAGAGGAGGTTAGTAGCTATAAAGGTCCAGACCAACCCGACCTAGAGAGCCCTCATCATAATACAGGTGATGTGCCTGGGGATGTCATGTAGTCTTCATATCTGGGAACACTGACCTTGCTGCCTAAGCAGTCAACGTTGGGAGGGACAAAGAAGAAAGGAGACATGGTCCATACATTCAGATCAGTCTTTGCTAGAGATTCTCACATCTGAGGCTTAGAGTTTGTTATCTGGTAGAACTGAAACTTTTTCTATACACTTCTTCATTTCCACATTTGATTGACACTATATTGGCACTGTTAAAAGAATAATCTCAGACAAATTAAATTTAACAGAGTTGAATTGAGCAAGGAACAATTTGTGAATCGAGCCGCCTCCTCAGCCAGAGTAGGTTCAGAGAAACTCCAGCACAGCCGCATGGTGGAAGATTTATGAACAGAAACAGGAAAGTGATGCACAGAAAGTGGAAGTGAGGTATAGAAACAGTCGTTTTGGTTACAGCTTGACGTTTGCATTATTTGAACACAGTTTGAACAGTTGGCCCCCTTTAATTGGCAAGTGGTGATTGGCACAAGAGTAGATTACAGTCTGTTTACACTTCCATCTAGGTTATAGTTCACTACGTACAGAGAAACATTTAGGCTGAACTTAAAATACATAAGAAGGCAGTTTTAGGCCAAACTTGATTCAACAGCTTTTTTAAGCTCGTTTGTCCACATGGGAACTCTCCCGACTACACTATCATTTCCCATTACACAAACTTTGATTCATTCATTCATTTATTTATTTGATGTTTATTGACCTCCTATGCCACACCAGATCCTGTGAAGAACACAGAGCAGGCTGTTCTCTTGAAGCCTACAGCTTATAGGAATTTTAGTAAAAGAAATAAGGATTATTCAAAAGAAAGAGCAGAGGAAGGCAGGAAAAGAGTAGGGAGAAAATGATGGCAAGTTTCCTGAGAACAGAAGGAAACACATGAACATGAATAATAAGGATTGTACTTCTTTATGCCAGAAGCCCATCCTGTTTTACACACTTTTCTCTACCTAGTCCTTCAGCTTGGTTGGGTCCTCAGCATTTAAGACATTCTGATTTTCAGAGGCAGTGAGAAACGAAGGAGGACCTAGTACCTGCCACTTGACTCTGGGGACGTTTTTATAGAAGGACCTCTCACCATTTGTTTTATTTTCCCCCAAGGGTCTATTCTCTATCAGATCTACCTTGTAACCTTTTTTGGGCCATGGAATACTAATGAAGCTTATGGACCCCTTTTTAGAATAATGTTTTAAATGCATTAAATAAAAATATATATGATTACAAAGTCACTAATTAAATTAAAATGCAGTTCTATCCATTACCTCCCTGAGAGAGGACATACTAAGATAATAAAACAAAAAAGGGGAAAGCAAGACCTGTTCTTCAGAATGCTTCCACAAAAGATAATTGGATAGGGTATAGTGATTTAACTGAAGACTAATGTATTTGCCTTGCCAGACAGAGGAATAAACTAACTCAGGAAAACTTGATTTACAAGTGAAGTGGCTGATTGTCTATTTCCTAATATAGTGCTGTAATCAAAAATACTCAGTGTTGTACTTTGACAGTGTTTCATTTATCAAATGTTTCCAGAATATCCAATCCATTTCTTAATTTCTGTTTACTCTTTCATCATCTCCCCCCATGCACCCTTGCCTCATTCCAATCTTTGATCTAAGTCTAAGATGTTGACAGAGAATTTAGCTTATCCTGCCTGGCTGCACAAGTTTCTGCCACCTCCCTATTAATGAAGCAAATAGTACTAGAAAGAGATCTAGTGTAAGTATTGTCTATGTGAACAGTAACTGTGGCACTGGGAGCCTAGTAGAGTGCATGTCTAATCATTCATGGTAATTCATCCACTAGGCTTGATGTAGGGAGCAATGCTTTTTGGCAAGCCAAGTCTTACACCCAGTACAACTCAGCATCTTTACAGAGAACTATTTGACAGAGGTCTATAAACACCCAGGTGATTAAATGTGGTGGTCACTGTACCATCTCTTGATTTGGGAAACTCCCCAAACAACTCTTTAATAAAAGAGAAGGGTTTAAATATCTCCAGACCTGGGAGGCAGAAACACCTTGTTGTCTATTTTCTCTTCTCAGTAATTGCCCTTTTTTCCCAAAGAACTTAAATCAGCTAGATTTACCATTATAGTATAGTTTCAGACAAAATTATGATATTCCTTGTGTCATGATATCCTTTCTGATAATTGATATCAATTCACATAAATATTAAAATGCATTACCCTTACCCTTCCAAATAAAGACTCAATAATATTCTCTCTCTCTGTGCATGTCCCTCTAATCTCTCTCTCTCACAGACACACACACATATACACACACACACACACACACACACATTGTACCTTTACCCAGCACTTTCTCCCCCTTTGCATCTCGGAGTACAGAGAGGAATAAAAAATTAAAAATATTAGATATTGCCTTTTGACTTGACTGCTAACACAATAAAGCAGCATTGTAAACTGAATCATGGGAGTCTGCTGTTCTTATTGCTCTCTTTGCTGGTATTACTTCATGGATATTAGAACCCTTAGGGATACTGGAATATGAATAAAGATTTTTTTTAAATCAGCTGGGTTTTTTTCTTGGTTCTGTTTCTAAAAATAATGCAGTTTGCAAAAACAGAAGGTTTGGTTTATAACACAAACAAAATTGTTACATTCTGAATGGGTTGTAAGTACCTGATTCTTTGCCTTTTTACTCATCCCTGCAAAAAAAAAAAAAAAATCTGCAAATCCATTTGCTAACCAGCTGTACCTCTGTGCGAAATAGATAACAACCTGTGCAAGCCAGGGTTTGCTGTGAATCGGTGCTGATAGGCCTGAATCTCATAGCTTTTTTTAAATGCTAATGACAAGAAACATTTCCGAAGCCAAAACGCTCTTGTAGATCTGTCTTCCTCTATTATGACTGATATTTGCTTGTAAGTACATAGAACACTTGTTCCCTGTCCCTTATCTGCGGTGCTGCAGCATGCTGACCTACATACCATTCAGCACAATATGATGCACAAACATCTTCTATATAATTTTTCATTTTCGACTTAAAAACAGTAGAGGCAAAATAGGATTGCTGCAAATCTAACAAAGAGATGGCATTATTTCCAAATAAAAATGTGCATTTTTCCAAAGAATTTATTTGTCTAGCAGCATGAAGTTCATACATAGCAAGACTGGGTAAAGAGTGTTGAATTGCGATTAGGAAGGAAGGACTTAGGGAGAGAAACAAAACCCATCTTTTCTATTACCCAAGAATAATTAAACTAACTTATTTCTCACCACAATTAAAAGTTCAGCCTTTCTGAACCTTGTTTTTTCAGTGTCATGAAATGAGGCAGATGTAATAATGCCAAAATACATGCAATAATAACAAAGGACTAAGGGTAGAAAGTGACACGAGTAGCTGCAGAGAGGGAAGAAATAATCTATTTTCACACCTGCTATTGTCAGAGCACTCCAAACCACGCCATTTATCTTTTTCAAATTTCTCGCTGCTATAGCTGCCACTTTGTAGGTCCTCTCCACCACTGATATGATACTTGGGTTTTCAGGAAAACTGTGAATAGCTGTAGTTGAAACCTTTAGCTTGTGGTTATCTGATGACCTAGCCTTCTTAATGCTCTGGGAGACCATTGTAATTGCAAATACAGTTGAACCACGTAAAAAGGAGAACGCATTTCTAGGACAGGGCCACAAAGGAGACCAGCAGAGGCACCAGCAAGGTCAAAGAGCAAATAGGGTGACTGGCCAAACTGAAAACCCCTAATTAACTTGGAACACAGCTGCAAGTCTCCACTTACACCGCCTTCCCTTTACCAACTGAAGAGGTGGCTTAGGAATGCACTAGGTTTAATTTTTAATGATCAGCTGTCTTTGTTTTCCAAGTTTGATGTGTCTAAAACAACTGGAAAATCCCCAAGTAAGATAAAAATGGCTTGGGTTGTGGCCCAAATGACCTCTTTTCTTGCACTTTAAGTAAGTTATTCTGTTCCCTAATTATTTTAAGGAAGTCTGAGTTAGAAAGCTTCAACACTTTGCCATCACTGTTGGGTGTTAACAAGTTGTAAGCATGAATCACATTTCTGAATCATTATTTTGTGGATCTCTAAAAGTAAAGCAACCCTTTATGACAAGTTAGCAATGATTTAAGTTTGACCAGCTAGAAGCCTCCCTTTTAAAAATCCACATCAAAGATAAAATAAATTTCCACACTTTTTGCAATGTTAGAGTTATTTTGCTTAATTGTTTGCACCAGCCAAATTTATCCATCAGCTGCCAGATCCCTGCTTATTTGTGAGTAGTGTTAACCCAGCATTTTACAATTTTTATGT
Source organism: Homo sapiens (assembly GCF_000001405.40). Lineage (NCBI taxonomy): Eukaryota > Metazoa > Chordata > Mammalia > Primates > Hominidae > Homo > Homo sapiens. Next base: position 17,945,341 of record NC_000003.12, on the reverse strand, counting down.
GATATGACAAACAAAGCACTCTGCCGAGAGCCTGGAGACCCAGGGTTCATTTTAGCTCTACCATGAACTAGCTGTGTGACTTTGAGCAACTCACTTGACCTCTCTGAACCTGTTTATCTGGGGTTTGAAGTAGTTAGATGATAAGAACGCTTCTGGCTGTAAAATTCTATAATTGGCTTCCCATATCCTTTTCATGTGGGACCACTTATCTCACCACTGTTGGCTCACATTAACTGCTAAATACCATAGAACAATTTTCTAAGTGCTTATTTCAGATGATACCAAAAGCTTTTGGAAAAACCTGATCTTTTGGCATTACCATAGATATGCTTAAGTGATAACCAGTTTCTACTTTACTATACATTGCTAATAGCAACAGTATACTCCCACATAAGTTCCATAGGTCTAACTTATTAATGGTCTATGCTAATGCAATTTCCAGAAAGTATGTTGTTATTAAATTTTCTGGAATTTCAACACAGCAAAACAACATATAACTGCTTGATAAATTACTCTGAATAGATTTAGTAATTTGTGTAAGGGTGGCTCTCATTTCTGTAAGAAGCCTAAATCCATTTAAAGTTAATTTCTAATTTTCTTATATTTATGTCATTCAGAAATACACTACTGGTCCAGGAGCAATCTTTCCAAAACCCAAGTGGACTATTAATTTTGTTTGGGTTAAAGCATAAAATTTTAACAGTGTACAGAATCCACAATTTGCCAATTACTCTTCACACTCCTTCTAAATACAGTCTATGCATTTTTTCCTCCTAAGACTAAGATTTTGTGTAGCATCTCTGCTTTTTATCTTAAATACAATAGATGGTTTTATTAAGCCACAATTCCTACTAAATATCAAATTAACATTAAAATTTTCATGGACTAAGCAATCTGCATTTTATATTGCTTTTAATGATTTGGATGAAAACATAGTGAAAAATTCTGGGTCCCTTTCTTTGAGCTTATATTTATAAAATACACCCAAATGAAGATTCTATTTCCTCATTGTCATCATTATTTAAAAATAAGCACCATGTTGTTGAATTCTGTCTGAGAGGATGCTAGGCACGCTAGGTAGAGCCATTTATAGTTATTATAGCTGCCCCATGAAAGATGAGAAGATGACAGTAAGATGAATTCATCCTCACAGAACATACAGATTATGAAATATAAGCATCAGGTAGAATTTCTATAAGGAATATAGGAAAGTGGTAAATTTTAAATGCTATGCTCTGGTAACAGCTTTAGGCTTCAGTGAACAGTTAATTATACACACACGCACACCTCAACATACACACCCCAATGTACATTCAGCACAGCAATACAGGTAAGTGACTTGAAAATTACTCACAAACACACATTCATATTCTCTGCTAAGGAATAATTTCTTAAAGAATTTTGAAAGTCCATAATTAAATTAGAAAGGAAATTAGATGACTTATTTTTACTTTGTTTTATCCAAAATTATTTATTTACTTAACATTTATTGAACTCTTACTGTGTGCCAAACAGCATGTTTTCACTAAGTTCAATATAATTCATGAGAGAATAAAATATCCTCAAGGAAGAAATCACAGTGATTCCTAAGGTGCTTTCATCATAAAATTTGCAAAACAAGCAAAATGGATAAGATATTGTTAATAAAATATTTTAAATCTGAGTTTTAAAGCAAAGAAAAATTAAAGAGATACTACCTTAACAATTTTTTATACTGCCACTGAAAATATTTCAGAATTTTATCCCAGGCATTTTTTTTTTCTGTAGTAAACAGAACAGAACTTAGCTTTCCAGTGCATTTAACTGTGAAGATGCAACTAATCTGGTAACTCTAGATTATCTGAAGGTAGATGATCTAAATCATTGTCACACTTAATTCCCTACTGGTCATGAGGTAATGGAAAGGTAGCTAAAAAGAGCATGGTCCAAGAAAGGAATGTCAAAACAAGTGCTATCGGCATGGCCATTAAAGTTGCATTTTCACATCATTTCAATTTGGTGTCTTTGAGTCTGGAGCTATCACACCAGGTGATCTCAGAAACACTCCCCCTCCCACAGGTATACTCACGAAGCTTAACCTGGGTTAGTCTCATCTATAGCCAGAGTGACCATTTGCTCAGGACACCACAGTTTACTCCTGTTATCTCAGCATAATTATTGATAGCATCCATTTAGTTTTAAAAAGACCCTGGTTAAGGATAATTACACAAGCACCTTATCCATAACACAATCTATGATTCACACCCCAAGCCCTGCTTTAGAGCAAATTCTAGTCCTGACTCAGCACCAGAAATGCATCAGTCAGCGAAGTTGCAAATTCCTGCTGGAATTATGATCTTTCAACCCTATGCAATGGACATCGTTTTTTGAAGAAACAGGCTAAAGAGTCTACTCTGTCTGATTCATGGATATGGCCTATAGACATACAGTCTGTCAAACCATAGCTTTCCTCCACTTGTACCCATTGAATTTGTTAAAAATCCCCAGGATCCAGTTAAGGTCTTTTGGATTCTGCACAAAGCCTGACTCTGCTGCAAACTTCTTAAGAATAGAAAATGTATCCTATTCACCTTGTTATCTCCCAATGCCTTTAGCACTCACCCTTATTTGTAAGAACCACTCAATAAATGTTGATGAAATGCCTGGAACATTTAGTTAAAACACCTGGATGGTTGGCCTTTCTACCCAGCCATTTATCATCATGTAGATCCAAAGAAATCCAGAAAATAGACAAATGCCAGGCCAGTGCATGTTAGTGGGGAGAAGTGCACAGGTGCTCATAGAAAGAAGTAACAGCCACACTTAAACCATTGCTCCCCAACCCAGTAACTTCTCAATCTGTCTTCATGTTCTTTCCTAAGGCAACTAATTGGCTGCTTCTACAACCCGAATATTCTAGAGGTAGGAGCCAGTTCTTCCCCAAAAAAACCATCAACGAAACAGTTGTTTCCACCTGGATCTCTTGGACAAATAAAGTCAGGTTTCAAGACAGAATTTTGCTAAAGAAACATTAATGATTGATGCTCCATCCTGCCTTAACTTGTATAGCATCTCAGGAAGTCTTGGCTCCCAGGAAAGGCTATCATGGTAAGTGAGAATAGTGAGGGATGCAATAGAAGATAATGGAAGAGTTTAAAATAATCTTTTGCTCATTCTGACTTTTTTTAAGTTGAGATTTGTTCACAAGTTATTAGCAAGAATTGCAGTATTTAAATAAACCTCATAAATTGTGCTGAAACATTCTGCCTCAGTTTTTACATTCTCCAGTTTTAATTTGTGATTTTTTTTCAAATCACAACTTCAGCACATTTGTAATTTTTTCTCCAGCTCACCCAAGCAGACTAAATAAATGCTATGACTATGCCTAATGGAATGATTTTTATGAGCCTACCACATGAGATGGAATCAAAACTGCCCTATATTTTGGTGTTGTCTGGTAAGGAAAAGGTTTTCTACAACATCCATTCATCTTTGAAAAAAATGGATTTCAAGTTAGAAAGAAGGGATATAAAGAATTGGGCCCTGGAATCCAGACTCTACAGTAATAAACATGTTCTTTTGGAAGGTTTGTGTCTGGGAGCCTTCTCTTTTCATCGGCCAATATAAAAGTTGTTTCAGCAAGAAGTAGGGAACAAAGGAAGACTTTCATTTACAAAAGAAAGTTTAATGGCACAGTGTCTGTGAAGAACTTTTATTTATGCTGCACCTGGCATTATTTTTTAACTATCTGTGGAAAGGAGTTGCCTGTGCCAACATAGACAAGAAAATATGTTTATGTGCTGGTTTCTATAACCAGCACATAAACTTTCATCATGTATGTAAGAACCCACAGCTCCCATCAGCTATGCCAATTTTTACTGGAGGACTCTAGCAGAGAGAAGGCACGCTTGAATTACATATGGGAGTGGGGCTGCCTCCCAGTTTCTCCAAGTAAAGGATGGTCACTAGGCACTCAGGTCTGAGCCCTCTGCAGTGTGTGCCAGCTCACCACTCAGTTAACAAACCTCAGTGCTTGCCCATCTCAGGGCAAATATTTTTTGAAACAGCCTTGTAAACAGCAGATAGATAAAAGCTGAGTTGAAGAAATCTTTTAATTTATTGCATAGCGCCTCCTGGTCATGGCAAGATTTTGGAGTTTTTAATTATAATATCTCTAACTTCATTATCTTTCCTTTTTTTTTCTTTAGTCAAAGAAAATATGATCCAGGTATGTAGTGTATTGCTCTCCTAAAGAGCGCAAGTCCAGTTGTCAAGATGACCTCATTCAGATAGAGGGAAACACACAGGATTGGGAGTCCAGGGCTCTAGGACCAACTCAGCCATGACCTGGCTGCCGTGTTTCTTTGGACATGTCACTTCATCTTCCTCTTCATCACAACATCCTCCTCAATACAAGAATTTTGGCTGAGATCATCTCAAATTTCCATTCCAACTCTTAAAAAATGAGTCCACGATTCTCTAAGATAAGCCTAGCTTTACTATCATGCACATTTTAGTTGAAAGTGAAAAGTTTATTTCTGATTCATGTAAATGCTAATTATTAAGGAAAAGAAGGTTTTGAGCTACAAAACCTGCATCCTCTAACCATCAGCACCAGTAAATCTGCAGGCCCAATATTCTGCCATGCTCAGAAAGATCCAGATAGAAAGCTAACTAGGTATGAAGACAAAGTCTGACAAAGACATCCAGTGGCAAGTTATATGCCAAATTCGCTCTCAAGGAAAAGAAGAAAAAGAAGACGCTGTGTTTAATCCATACTACAGCCTCCTACAGTTCAAAATGGGGGTTGGGATTAACCTCTAGCTCATTTTAAATTAAGAAAAACATAATCTTTTGAAACATATGAAATCTTAAGTAAGCATCATTTCTGGTTAGATATGCTTTACCACAAAGAACCCAGAATATAACTCCAACATTTGAGGTCCCAAATATTAAAAGTTAAAAGCTATAAAAGTACAGCTTTTCCTTGTGATTTTCAAACTTTTAAAACCCAGCTTAATCTCTCATGCTGACAAGCCTATAATTTGTAAATGGAAATTATAATTTTGCCCCTCTTCCCTAAAATCCTAATCTCTCTCCCCTTCTACCCACTCTCCATTTCACTGCCAATTTCCTGGCTTTCCGATTGCCACAGCCCCAACCAGGTCAGCCAAGAGCAAAACTGAATATACCACCGAACACTGAATTGCAGGAGTGTCCATAAAAGCTTGTTGCATAGGGCAGTGAAGGAACAGCTTCCAATTCCAAAAAAAAAAAAAAAAAACCACAAAAAAACAAAAAAAAAAACTCTCTTAAAGGGGCAGCTTGCAGGAGAGCGGCACACATCCATTTTTGGGACATGCGTTCATTCATTCCCTCAGCTGCCAGTAGTCATTCACTCCAAATGGAGCTCAAGCATTTCCTGGGTACGTAGGCCACAGTCTGAGCATGTCAAAGCTTTTCTTTGTCCCTGGAGCTGTTAGCTACGTTCCGAGTTTCTATGCACCACACACTTAGTTGAAGCTGTGTGGGGGTGAGACAAAAAAAGAAGTCCACAGATGTATAGTTAGCTTTTATGTCCTGTAGGGATACCCTTGAAACATGTTTAAAAATGTCAGTCAAGACATCTGGTCAGCTGTCCTAATCCATATTGGGGTTTTTAGGCTACTGTTATGCCCCAATATGCTTTGAACATTGCCAATATGCTTTCTCTGCAGAAGCAGCAGTATGTCCCCTTTGGTTTCTCAGTTCATCCCCACCATTGGTGTTTATAGTGTCACGTACCGAGCAAAATGAAAAACCACATACTGTATCTCGTGTGTCTGGCTAATGAAACGGGTCGGACAAACCTTGTGCAATCAGGGACCGGGGCCGATTGGCTTAGGTCGGGTCCATCTTGCAGACTGCAAAAGAATCAGCTGTCGCCAGTGCCATGCGGCAGATGGACAGTTTGCATCGATTTCCAGGCAGGCGCCAAACCCTTTAGAAGCTTTGGCAGCCCAAGCACCATCAGGCAGCAGACTTTGATGTCCTGCAGATGGCTGCGGCAGCCATCTTGCCTTTGCATCCTGAGAGGCCCAAGTCTTACTTTCAGGCAGCGTTCACTCTGGCCTAGTCCGGTGGTCAGCCAGAGAGATGCGGCCCTGATCTAAGAGGCACTTGCCGCTAGCCAGAACCTTCCACCAGCTTCTACTTCTACGTGGATAGCAGCTAAAATGTTCTTTCTTTAAAAGAAAAAAAAAAAGAAAGAAAAAAGAAAAACACCACACACACACACACACACACACACACACACACACACACACACACACACACCTGGTCTGATTCCTCCTGACTCAGATTTCTGGAGGTAAATATGCCCTCCCAAGTTACTACTAGTCCAACCCCTAGACGGTAATTGTTTTTCTTCCCTGGTAAGTGAAAGCTTGTCAAAACCTTTCACCACATAGACTTCTGCGTAGATGACAGGGGCACCCAGATGTCCGTTTAAACCCAAACAAAATCACAAAGAGAAAGAGAGGAAGCAAAACTATGGGTTGTTTCCTTCTTCCCCCAAATTTCCTGAGGTAAGTAGTGCCTGTTTTCTCCTTCCCCGGTCACAAGTTTAGCCCCCAGACAGTCTTAGGCTCCCTTTTACCCTGGCATTGCCACCCAAAGTGGCAGCAATCGGCTAATTTCAGAATAATCAGAATTGCAAATTGGAAGGTTTTAAATTTGGTGTCCATTTTAAGACCCCCTCAGAGGTCTGCTTCATCTGGGTCTGACTTCTCCTAAGCCCTAAAGCAGAACAAAGCATTGTCTTCATGGTGGTCAGACTAATCTTGTGCCATGAATAGCCCAGAGTAATCTGTGGAAAAGCTGAGCCTGGAGGTCTTCCAAACAGAGCCCTCGCACATTTGGTAGAAGCAGTTAGGAATTCTGACTGGCACTATTAGTGAGAAGTCATGTCACTGCACCGTAGAAGCAAGAGTGGGTCTCTCTTGCCCATAAGCTCAACACAGAAATTTCTACTTCCCTCCACCCCCTTGGTAGAGCAGGGCAGGCAGAAAGAAGTTTAGAGCAAATGGCTGAAAAAAATTAAAAACAAATTCAGTGAAAATAAATTCAATAATGTGTGATTTCCAGCCACTCAAAAGTAATAGAAATATTTGGTAAAAATATATAGATATAAATTACCAATTAATGCAAACTGGTTAAAGCCAGTAAATGGAAAAAAATAAAAAGTTAATTAGAGCTTTTTGAAGCTTTGTTATATATACATCATTTGCAGGTGCTACAAAAGTGAAAAATAACCATTATAATTACTAGTATTCAAAGATTCATATTTTTCCCATGTAATTTATTTAGGATTATCAGTTTCCTTGTAGTTATACAAAAGGCCTGTCAAGGTGTTTCCCACGTGTTTGGCTCGTGTGTGTTCCAAAAACAAGCCAAAATGCTGTTGTATTTCACCCAGTACAGGGAAGCTACTCTGAGGGAAAAAAAAATGGGCCAAGTTTTACCTGGATCTCTATCTTGGTTAAATTATCTTACATATGATTTAATTTTTTTTCTTGTTCTTTCTGTCTTTATCTTTCTCTCTTTCTTTGTTAAAATACATCTGTGTTTGTTGACTGCCCCAGATTATATCTAAGTGAGGAGTGGGTGTACTAGCACCTGGTATAGTATATGTAGCTTAACAATACGTATCATTACATTATTTACAGCTCATTTTATGTTATTCAATAGTAAACTGCAAATTAACCCTTCAAAAACCAGTCAAAGAAAATGCTCCGTTAGGCTATCCAGTGAAAGCTTTTGTTCCCCAGCAGAATTGTTAAGAATACATCTATAACTGTATTCATAAACACAGAAGTGTGTTCATTACAGCAGGGATGCCCACCAGAGCCAGCTAATTCCTCTCTCAGGAAATCTGTTTCATAATGATATTCCTTACTACACCACACTTGTACTTATGCTGATAGCACAGGTTATAAAAGGGACTTAGGACGGGAGTCAATTAATGTACTGGCTCTTTAACCTCCTTTATTAGAGTACATTAGGCACCAAAGGGACTCAATGTTATGCTGCTGGCAATAGAAACACCCAAGCGATAACATTTCATGCCGTCTCAGCCCTGTCTTCAGTTCACAGGCATACACATCATGATCTGACCTCATTAGGCACTGATTCAGCTGCAGGTGAATACAGAGGGCAAGACTGGTAGAAGTGGGTGCCAAGAAAGTATCTTTCTTGCACCTGGGAAAAGAAACGGCCATCACCAAAGCTGACCTCAGGGTCCATGGTAATTTTCACCCTGACTCTCTGATAAGCTGGATCTTCTAGATCAAGTTCTACTAACTTTTGCCTACATTTGGGAGAACTGAAGCTCAGAGAGGCAAAACAACTAGCCTAAAAGTCGCTCAGCTTGTTAGGAGCAGAACTGAAACTGGAGAATTCAGAGTTCCTGATTCCTAGAAGGGAGCTCCCACTCCATCTGCTGATGCTTTTTCAATACGAAAAGCAATCATTAATAAGCAATTACTAAAGACTCAACTCAGGGAAGGGAAAGTAATAGAAGTATAAATATAAATAAGTTTTAAAAGATAGGATTTTAAACTGGATTGTGGGAAAGAAAATACAAGTTTCTAATATTTGGTTTCTCTTTTTCTCCTCTAATTTGTATTAATAGGGAAATCAATGTATGTGTTGGACCAAAATTGAATGCATTTTTAATAATGTGGAGTTTTCTAAAAGAAGGAGTCAGTAAAATTTGAGGTGAGAAAGAATCCTATGTTACTACACTACCCAAATACTACTGCTAACCTTTAAAGAACCCAACAATGTCTCGTTGCTGAATTAATCAGTCTCAAGATTATCAGCAATTTAGCTACATTTTGTTGGTAATTAGCTTGATAAATTAAGATCTGCAATAGAAAACATGACATCTTATTGTTCCCAAGGTTTTATGGTATTTTTCTAAAAACAGCAGCTTTCTTTTAAAACATTCATTTCTATTGCAAGGAGACAAACAGCAAAAAACCCAAAGTTTACCGAGTCTGGCTCCAGACAACAACAGTCTGCCCCAGATCCACTGGGCAAAATATCAAAGATTAGCCATTCATAATGCAAACTTCAAACGTGTGGTTTAAAATAATGTTCAAATCTTAGGACTGTGGGCAGTGGCTTCTAGACAGTAAGAAACTATGAGTTCAATTCCTTAATATTCTCTTTTCTTTTCTACAGTCATGGAACAATGAGCTGGTGAAGAAATATTTTGAAAAATGGTGGAACACGGAGAGATGTTTTCATGTTTATCTGAATGGCTCTCTGTGTATTAAGAGTGCAAAAATGGCAAATTAGAAGCTGGGCTCTTTTTCATCAAAACTGTCCACAAACAAGATGATTTCTTGGGGCTAATTTCCATTCAGGGATAGTGAGAGTTATTTTAAACGACCAAAGCCATTTCAGAAGGGTAAGAGCATGTCAACATGTCCACAGGGTCAGAACTGCTCGCTCTTAAAGACTTGAAACGCACCAGAAGCGCTGGTGATACAATTCTCTCCCTTTCACAATGAATGGAAATGAGAAAAGGTATCTTCCTCCGAAACATGCTAAAAATATAGCAATTACCCGATACAGATGTGGTGTTATAAACTCCTATTCCAAAGCATTCTGTTTCAGCCATGATTTCCATTGCAGAAAACTGTGCTAATAGAAACATCCCTATTAATCTGAATTTGAGATATTTCATACAATGTATATTACCTTTCTGCTGCCTGCAACCTTCTGCCAGGTTTTTTTTTTCTTTTTAGGAGGTGCTTTGAGGGGACCATACCATGAGAACAATACACAGCTGCTGCTGTATACAGATATCTAATTGTCAATATTGTGGAAATTCTACAGCTTATTACGTGCATTCAGTCTAATTCTGGGCAAATTGCCAGTCACTTCAGGGACAATCAAGTGAGCCACATTACACGTGGTACAGCATCACAGCTTTAAGATACCCGGCTGTTTTGCCTCTGGCCAGAGAATGTTTGTACCAGTGCTACCGAGTGAAGGGGGGTAACTACAAATAAAATAAAATTTGTATTTTTTCAAGTGGGCTGCATTTCAAGCCCAGATGTTAGTAATGAAAGATTCAATTTAAGGATTTAAATTACAAATAAATAAAGTATGAAACAGATGTGATTTTTAAGGAAGTTCAAATTATCCAGGAAGAAAAATATCTCTGTGCATGACAAAGTAATAGGGATTGTCTTGAAGAATCTGTTGAAAACAATCTGCTAAGCGCAATTCACCCTTAGGACAGGATTGGTTTGGAATGGGAAGGACTGGTGGAGCTTGTCATTAAACAAAAATTGTGTTTAATAAAACTTTATAACCGTGATTAATCCTATGAGGCCCTAAAGGAGTTTGCAGTTTCTGATAAACACATTTTCCTTGTTTGCAATGGTAATGATATTTTGAAGTGAATGGAATAAGAACAAAAAACTCTAAGGGTAGAAAAAGGAGTGTTTGGCAGGTACCACCAAGGCAGAAATTACAGGGACATGTAAGAAACAAGGGCCACCCATTAGGAAACTGCTTTGATGTGTGTGTGACACATATACCTAAAGATGGGTGTAAATATTACTGAGAAACAAAGCTATTGAGCAGGCAGTAATGGAGCACATCTTCATTTATACAGACAAGCTAAGGCTTTTTTAAATTCTAAGTTGATCATTAGGTTTGCCCATCAAAAGGATGACAGTGATGTAAGACACAAGGTCTCATATTTGGAGACTATTCTATAAAACCAAAATCAGAAAGGACCATCCAGAGCTTCTCTGTCTAGTACAGTAGCCACTAGTCATATGTGGCAATTTATATTTAAATTTTTATTAATTAAAATTAAATAAAATGCAATATTCCACTTTCTATCATGTTAGCTACATTTTAAGTACTTAACAGCCACGTGTGACTAGTGGCTACCATATTGGATAGCACAGATAAAGAAGAGTTCCATCACTGCAGAAAATTCTACTGGACAGTGTTGCTTTGGAGCAATGGGGGAAGATTAGATTTGGACGTTAATTTGGAATTAAGGGTTCAATTCTTAGTTCTCTTTTTTTCTAGCCTTGGGGAATTGTGCCATTTGGTTGTCCTTCATGATCCTGAATCTCAAGCACACCTGTGTGTGTAGACACACACCTACATACCCTGATACTCAAACAAGGCTGACGAAGATAGTGATTATAATAAACTGCATGAGCCCCAAGGAAAAACCAAGCCACAAGCCCAGCTCTGCTGACCTGATCTCTCACCGCCTGTCAGTCATCTCCAACAAGTGACTGAGGACAAACACCACCAGAATCTCATTCTCGATGTATACGCATCTTAAGAGTGCTGTAGCACGGACAACCAAACTTTTGGTAATCAAAAGGCTACAAAACTAAAGGATTTTATGGGGAATGTGGAGGTGGAGACTGCAAACTGCAAAACAATAGGGCTTTAATGAGAACACCAGTTCAGGGGAAAAAAGCGTTAATCCTTTGACATATAAGCTCTAACAATTGCGTAGTGTGTGGTGGTAGGGAGAATCTTATCTCCTGGGCATCTCCCCTAGTGACAAGTTAGCATCCTCAGAGTGCCAGCTCGCACACAAACCCACCCTGGAAGAACAGCACAGCTTCTTTGTGCACGGGGCATCCTCCCTGTGCCACATGAACTTTTTCTGACTCCTTGGAACTGCCAGCAGCCATTTCACTTGGATTCTGGCTGTGACAAAAGCAGCACTGACTTTCTGGCATCAGATGGAAAATGTAATTTTACAAAAAATTGAAAGTTGAAACCTTTCAGAAGTCAAGATCCTTCAATATGTGCCAGAGTAATTTTTGAAAGACTTTTATAAGGTCTTCAAAGTCCAAGAGCACTTTCAAAATGTTTACGTTTTTCTCTTATAGTAAAATAGATGCCTTTCCATCATCTCTCACACAGACTTCACCTCATTCTCTGTTTGTTGAAGGATTTTTGTTTCACGAGTCACACATATTTCTCTATCAAATATATTAAAGTAATCTCAGTACTGAAAGAATCCTACGATATTGGAGCTAAATGGGACTCTAGAGACGGTCTAGCCCAGGGTCCACAAACAACCAGGGCGTTCATGAAAGGGCTGCAGCAAACACATGAATTTTCTATAGTATATAAAATTGTGTATGGAAATTTTTGTGAGAAGACGATCCATAGCTATTATGAAATCATCAAAGACCAAAGAAACATAAGAACCATTGATCCAGCCTATTATAAATAAGAAAACTGAGGCTTAGAGAAATGAAGCGACCTTCTGAAAAGTCATACCAACTACTTTGTAACTCACATCAGACTAAGAAGTCTTGTCTAGATTCATAATCCACTGCAATTTCCACTAAAACAATTGCCTATTATTTCTTCTTGCCTACAGGTAATCCACATGCCAAACTGAATTTAAAATTCCTGGATTTATTGTAAGACAGAAAAGCCAAAAAAAAAATCACAAACGAGAATTTTGGATTTCAAGGAAATGTTCGATTGTAGGTGTGTTGTGTTCTGTGTTACTACCACACTATCTCAATTAGTTACCTACATTGAGGGAAATTTGGGGAATTCAATGTTGCTTAGGAAAACTTAGCTTTTTGCCCTTCTCCAAATTTTAGAACTATTTTAGAAAGATTACCCACCACTAATTATTTCCTAGAGATGTAATATGTTTTTTAAAAATAAATTCATTTACCGAGTTCTGCTATATACATTAAATTTTGGATGTAGATAAGCACGTGGATTATCAGGAAATGCATGTGTGTTAAGATTACTTGCTTACCAGAAATGTTTAAGAGGTTAAGGGGAAAAAGTATTTGTTTTTTAATTGAAGTTTTTAAGACATTTAATGTGCATTTATTTCTTCTGCACCATGCTGATTAAGGGTTCAGGTTCAAAACAGATGAATGTGGACTTAATCTTGGCCCCACCCCTTACAATCACACAAGCCCTGTGACTTTGCACAAATTACTTAATTTCTCCAAACCTCATCTTTCTCATCTGTGCAGTGGAGATAAAAATAAGAGTGACATCATAGAATTGTTTTAAAACAATAAGTTCAAGGGCTTTGCAAAGTGTATGGCACAGAGAAAGGGCTCAGTAAGGGTTAGTTCATAATTACAACAAATTTCAGATGCCAAAGATCAGACATTTAAAAATGTATAAAAAGATAAGTAAATCTATCATAGTGGGTTGAATGGTGCCCCCCACCGAATAATACATCCACATGTGACTCCCAGAACCTGTTTTTACAAATAAGGTTTTTACAAACCTTATTTGTAAAAATGGTCTTTGTGAATGTAATTAAATTAAGGATCTTAAAATGAGATTATCTTGGATTATCTGGATAGGTGCTAAATCTAGTAACTGTCCTTATAATATGACACACAGAGGAGAGGCACATGGCAGAAGAGGAGAGGGCTATGTGAAGATAGAGGCAAAGGTTGAAGTGATGCTGCCACAAGCCAAGGAACACCAGGAGCCACCAGAAGCTGGAAAAGGCAAAGAAGGAATCTTCCCTAGAATCTTCAGAGGAAGTGTGGGCCTGACAACACCTTGATTTTGGACTTCTGGCCTTCGGTACTGTCAAAGAATAAATCCTTTTGTTTTGAGTCACCAAGTTTGTGGTAATTTGTTATAGCAGCCACAGGAAACGAATACATCCATTATGCCTTACGTGAAATTATATGCATTATTGATACACACATAATCTACCACAGTACAAAATTGGGATTATTTTAAGTGGATCTCACAAATAATAAAATATTTGATTTATGTTTAACAAAACTAGCAAAATGTTAACCAAGGGACCTCGCTCACCTTGTAGGTTTCCTTGACTTTTAGGTCTACCTTTCCCTGGGGCTGCACCACAGTTTACACAGTACACAGAATGTATGGGGTCATTTCAGAAACTCACCCTCTTCTCCACTCCCCTGGTTCCTGTTATCTTGTTCTTCCTCAGTGACAACAGACTTACATGAAGTGTGTCAGTCACTTGGTTTCACAACAAAGAGGGGAACAAGCAGTCAGTCAGACCCAGGGATGAATCCATCAACCAAATTCAAGTGGCAAGCTAAGGAAAGGAAGGCCCAACAAAGGCACATGCTGATTAAGTCCTGCAGATGGAATTGTTCTTCTGCCTATTTTAATGTTTCAGAATACTAAGAGTGGTGCTCAGAAGAAGAAAAAAAAGTGTAAGCAATTCAATTTCACTCTATTGCAAGTAGGTTAAATAATAATCTCTCCAAGAATGTTTACTGCCTATAAAATGGCATTGCCCAAACAGTACTCAGAAATGCCACCTCAATATCCTCTTCAACTGTCCTTCAACTAAGGTAAAAAAAAAAAAAGAAAGAAAGAAAAAAAGAAAAAAGAACATTTCCTTTCAGACATGTATGCTGAGGTAAAGACTTTTCAGTGAAAATGGTCAAACCTGTTTTGTCACCTGCCCTAATGACAATGTGATCAAATGCATGGCCAATCAGATCATGTTGGTGCTTGGCTCCTCAGATGCCTTTGATGGAGTCTGTGTCCCTGCCCCCCAGCTTCTGTCTTCTTCAGTCCCAGGTTGCCAGTTACAACTGTAACCATCTCCAGGGGAGTACTACCCTTCGGAATCCAGAGCTGCTTCACTTCCCATGCTAAAGCTAGAAGCTCCTGGGGGTCTACAAGAGCTCCTCCCTCTACCCTCACCTCCCACCCACCCAACAGTCAGCAGCCAGTCACTTGCCCCATGTCACAGAACATCCTTCAGTTCAGGCCTATATTAGTCATGTGGAATGTCACATGACTACAGAGCAATGTTTCTGCACCTGCACATCTAATTACCCTAGGAGGCTTTTGGGTATTTTAATAGAAATAGGTGATTAATAGATAGGTAGATAGGCTGGATGCAGTGGCTCATTCCTGTAATTGCAGCACTTTGAGAGGCCAAGGCAGGCAGCTCACCTGAGCTCATGAGTTCGAGACAAGACTGGGCCACATGGCAAAACTTCATCTCTACAAAAGACACAAAAAATTAGCCTGGCATGGTGGTATGCCTATAGTCCCAACTATTTGGGAGGTTGAGGTGGGAAGATTTCTTGAACTCCAGAGGTTGAGGCTACAGCGAGCCATGATCAGGCCACTGCACTCCAGCCTGGACAGCAAAACTGTCTCAAAAAATAATAACAAGTAGATAGATTAGAGAGAGAGAGACATACAGACAGACATTTATCTTCGATTATATAAAATATTTGTCCTCTGATAGTAAATTTCATCCTTAAAGCAGACGAAAGCCTGATGAACAAGGTGATGGACTAAGTAAGCCAAGTAACCCTGTCTTGGTCCAAAAAGGGCTTAAGTAAGAAAAAAAATTAGATAGATTATCTTATGTGGCTTATAAACTAGCTCTGAGAAACACTACAAAACAAACATTCAGAACATTCCAGACAATCACAGGACCCCCAGGACTTCAACACTTTTCTTGCTAAGTGTCTGTTAAAAAGTCTGTATCCTTGATTCTCAGCCACACTTTGTGTGAGTCATGTTAACATGCAGACCAAATCTATATGCCATTCTCAGGAGAATGCACTCGATGAAGAAGGCTCCTTAAAAGTCTTCTCCTGTAGATAAAAAAACAAACAACAACAAAAAACAGAGTTCTCAGTCCTTGTTGCTTTTTGGTCAATAGAACCATGTGGTTTCAAATCAGGAAGGAAATTGCCAATGGGATCAAAATAGTACGGGAGACAGATAAGAGTGCGATAAAGAGAAAAAAAAAATTACCCTCTGAGAGAACAGCAGGCAGAGAGAATAAAGTAGATATTGGAGAAAGAGGTAACAGAGGAGAACAAGCACCAAGCACTGGACAAAGTCAGGAGTCCTGGGTTCAAATTCTGAAATTCTATCCTACTAATTTATTCAAGTCATTTCTCCGACCTGAGCCTAGATTCCTCACCTGCACAGTGAGCATAATAACACTCACTCTCAGGGCCCTGAAGATCAGTTGAGATAAGGAATGTATAAATGTTAGTGAACTGTAAACACCAGGAAATGTTAAATTTTTTTCATTATGATTAAAAAGTAATATTGTTTGAGTATGTGTAGCCATCCCTACCCCCATGCCAATGCTACCGCCTACCTGACAAGGAGAATTCCCCCTTCTGTTGTTCTCCTTCCCATGCCCTGCTCCAGTATCTGTTTAAACACCTTCTGTGAAGAGTTCATCTTCCCCCAACTAGTTCCCTGAGCTTTTTGGATGAAGAACTGGGCGGGGGGAGTAGAGAAAAGATAAGCAAGAAGAAGAAAAAAAAAAGAAAGAAAAATGACTAAAGGCAATTTAAATAACAAAGTACTGAAAGCGAGAGAGAGAGAGAGAGAGAGAGAGAGAGAGAGAGGAAGATGTTGGAGGTAGAGGAATTTCTAAGTGATTTGAGGTGAGAGGCACCGGAATGATTGTAAAATGAGAGGGTTGATTGAAAAGAGCTGCTATGGACTGTTGTATTTTGGTCTTACTGCAGATTTCCAAAATTCAAATAGAGAAGAGAATTCCTTTTTAATAACTTTGGCTTTGAAAATATGACCCTTGAACAAGATGTGGCTTCCAGACTGAGCCAGGTGGAAACCCAGATTTATAAGGGTTATAAACTATAGCTAGTTGGACTGAGCAGTTTGAACTTATCAAGGTATAAACATGAAATTCTTTTATTTTTCCGGTAACTACTACCAACTGTGATCACCAAACCTCCCAATTTTTCCTACATATTGGTGGACATCCTTAATGATACTTCATCCTGATTCCATAACTTTACAATCACTTTCCATTTAAAAAAAAGAAATCCCTTTGGGTTACTAAGAGATAGTCTGTACTACTTAAGAACTTGTGTTCAATTCAGAATTTTCCCACTGCCCCCATACACTGCAGTAGTCTGCAGACAATATTATCTGCTCTGTCTTTCCTATATCTCCTTCTTCCTTACACTTATTCTTCTTTTGTCTCCATGGGAAGGAGGAAGAGAAAAGAGTTATTTCCTTTTGTGGCTGCTGTGGCAAATTGGCTGTCTTCTTCATTGTTGGCCAAATGCACTATTTCCTTACATGAACATCCCCCAACTGGGGCTGTTCCTGGATTAGATGCCTGATCTGTCTCATGGTCCACATAGTCCACGTGCTCAGTGAGGCAGACAGAGGTCTCCTTTGGCCCCATTAAGGAACTGGGGGAATCCATCCCTACCATTCTCCCTTCCTTAGTGGTTCCTGAAAAAAATGCAACTGTATCTTCCACTGACACCCAGCAGCTGCTCTCTAATGCATGAGTCTCTTTGCCTCACACTGCAGAGATCCCCCAAAAGAAGCCTCTAATATGATCTATTCTCTGTATTTCCAGTTCTAAGATCTGTAGTTGTGATGATCTATCTTCAGTATCACTGAGAAATTAGGAACTCAAGAAGGCAATTCATTTCCTCCCTCAGCACCATCATACCATCTCCTTGCTCTACTCTGCCCCTGTGCTTTTCCTTCACTTAGTATGGGGGAAGATCAGCAGCTCCAGTGGGTTGGCTGGTACCCAGACCAGGAACAAGATGCTAGTTCCTTTCTCTCTCTCACCTTCTGAAAAATAGACCAGGTGAATACCTGCCCACCAGAGAGGACAGATGAGTGTCTTCGTCCATCTGTGCTGCTTTAACAAAATACCTCAGACTGGGTAATTTATAAACAATAGATAAGGGCTGCTCCCTGCTTCCAAGATGGCACCTTGTTGCTGCATCCTCCAGAGGGAACAAACACTGTGTACTCGCATGGCAAAGGGACAGAAGGGCAAGAGGGGCCTAAACTAGTTCTCCCCAGCCTTTATAAGGCACTAATTTGTTCATGACAGTGGAGCAAACTACATTTCCCTACTCCTTTGCCAGGTGGCTTATGATTACAGATAGAAAGAAGGAGGGAAGAAGAAACTTAGCTCTCGGGCTTCCAGCTCCAGTCTGCATCACTCCAGCGGTAAAGGACAGCTATGGTTCCAAATTCCTGATTCTTTTGGCACTCATGTTATCAGCCTTATCACACTCCCTCAGAAGTACTCGTAGCAGCCATACTAGTGCTCCATTCCACCCCCATGATTCTAGTATCAGCTGGCCTTCCCCTTTTGGCTGTCTGAGTGCCAATCAAGCCTTCCCACCTACACTGTTGGCTGTGCCCTCCTAAAGCTCAGAGCACCAACCAGCCATGCCTCCCCTAGAGATCTGAGCACCAGGCTCTCAAATCTCCCTTTCAAGACTTAACCACCTGCCCTGCAGAGGCTTCTCCTCCAAGCTTCCAACTTCTGGTAACATTTCCTCTTCCCTCTCCAGTAATGCCTGAGTTTCATCCCCAGAGATCCTTGGTCTTAGGTATGGCCTGGGCATCAGGATTTTTAAACACACTATTATGCAGCCAAGGTGGTGAACCATTGCAACAGGCATTGTACAAATAATGAGAAAAGTTTACACAGATGTATCCACATTTTATCACACTGGCTCTCTAAGACCATCAGCACATTTGCAAAAATGTTGACTACAGGTAAGGTAGAAGCACGGATGGCTGTGTAATTAATTAATCCTTGAAGTCAGAAGTTAGCTAATGAAATTGCACATGCCCAAAACTAACTTAGGGACTATGCAAGACACAAAGAAGTAAAAGACATGGTTTCTGATCATAGTAGTACTGTAATTTAGTTAGAAAAGTCAATATTAATAGTCACAAAGAAAGTAAAGAACTATGCAGAGACAATAAGGAGATACTTTATTACATAACACAACAAGGGTAGTTTGATTTACCTCTCTGCTCCTCACGCCTCATCACAAGAGGTGAACACACTTGCTTCCACCTACAGGGCTCAAATTAGACTGCAGGTGCTCTGCATCAGAATCACCAGGGTTCTCTTTAAGATTCTCAAACCCCATTCCATTGTCTCAGTCAGTGAGGCCTAGAAATCTGCATTTTAACATACTCTGTCAGGCACCATGGTTCATGCCTGTAATCCCAGCACTTTGGGAGGCTGAGGCGGGTGGATCTCTTGAGCTCAGGAGTTCAAGACCAGCCTGGGCAACATGGCGAGACCCCTGTCTCTAAAAAAATAAATAAATAAATAAATAAAAATAAAAAATAAAAAATAAAAAAAAACACTCTCCAGGTGATGCTGATAGATGTAGTTTCCAATCATACATAGAAAATAAAACTAGTTTAATAATTTACTTCATGCCATTTTTCTTTAGCAATCAGTGCCCTGTATCTGTATCTGGGGTCCAGGCATTTGGCATCCCACCCCATTACTCCTCCTCCTTGCCTGAGCTCCTGAGTTTCTCATAGCAAACCATTTTACTGGCTGCAGTACCAAACCACTTCTGCAAGACTTGACCAAGAATTCTACACTGATCCCAGCTCTAACCTCTGCCCTCAGTACTGCTGACCTTGGATTCTTCCAAGCCCACAATCCCCTAGAGCATCCTGCATGCCTCTCACCTGCTTACCTTCCAGCCAGCCTAGCCTCCATGTGCCTAGTCTTGCCTCAGGCTCACAGCAAGGCTTCTTCCTGCCATATGGGCTAACATCATCTGAGCTGCCCTTTCTGGAAAGTGGGCCTATGTCTGCACCTGGCAGTTTGGAACACAGTGAAGTTTAATTGGCCATCATGGCAACCCAAACCCATAATCTTAGGTTCATCAATTAAGAGCTCCAAGTTAATCAGCTAAAAGTAGGAAAGCATGTTCGATAATATAATAGAAATGGCCAAATTTTGCCTCCTCCCTGTTGTGGGGAGGGGGGGCAGTAGAAATTGCTTATAGGCTTCATGCAGTTCTAAATAATAACAATACATGGGTATGGCAGTTCGTGCTTCACGAAACCTCTCGTGCATTTCACCTCTGTTGATTCCTTCAACAATTTTGTAGGGGAGGCCATGCTGCTATTTTCATCGCCACTTTGTGACTGAGGAAACTGACGCCCCATGGCTACCTTTGGAAGACTTAAGACCCTCCGGAGGGCCCTTGGGTGATCAACTGGCATTCATCTGGGTCCATATAGCGCTACAGCAAGAATGAGGAGCACCAAGCATATGCCAGACATTTTATACATATTATCCTTCTCCATGCCCCCCTTCCCCAGCTCATTTCTCTCCAGCCACACTGACTTCCCTGGTGTTCCTCCAACATGGCAGTCACCTCCTGCCTCAGGGCTGTTACCCTTGCTAGCCTCTGTGCTTGAGATGATCTTTCTGCAGGTATCTGCATGGCTGGGTCCCTTCCTTCTTCTTTCTTTCCTTCCTTCTTCCTGTCTTTAGTCAAATATCTCATTCTCTGTGAAGACTTCCCTAACCAACCTAGTTAATTAAAATCCAAACTCTCCACCACCAATCCCTACCTTTTCCCTACTGTTTGTTTCTCCATAGCATCTATTACCATCTGACATACTTATTTATGTACTTTATTGTCTATCTCCTGCACAATAGCATTTAAACTTCATAAGCACAGATTCTTATCCAGTTTGTTCACTGCAGAGTAGGCAGTCAATAAGCATTTGTCGAATGAATAAATTATATCATCTAGCCCTCAGCATCCCTGAAAAATAAGTGTTACTAGTTCTACTTTAGAGATGAGGAAACTGAGATGAAGAGAATTTAAGTAACTCGCCCTAAATCTAGAGTTGCCAGACCTAGCAAATAAAAATACAATATGCTCAACTAAATTTGAACATCAGATGAACAATAAATAAAAATTTTTAGTATAAGTATGTTCGATACAATATTTTAGACATAACTTACACTAAAAAAATGCATTGTTTATCTAAAATTTAAATTTAACCTGCCAATCCTATAATTTATCTGTAGCTCTACTTAAATCACACTATAAGCAAGAGACAGAGCTGAGAATCTCACCCACGTTTCTACGACCCCAAATTCCTGCCACAGTCTCTCATTCTGAAAAAAAAAAAAAGTCACGCAAACACAGGCCCATCCATCCTCACAAAGATCGCCAATGAAGAAATCAGCTCTACAGGCCTTGCCAAAAGTTTTGGTTGTAGTCTCTGATACAGCGGTACCTATTCAACACAGGAAAAAAAGCCCATTTTATCCTCCTAGGCTGTCAGTCTTAGAGCTTTCATAAGCATTAAATTAATTTAAAAATCTAGAGCTCCTCAATGGAATTATAGTCCTCTAATTCAGTTGCCAGTTACTTATTCTGTATTAATAATCCCGTTCTATGATCGGCCATTGGATATAGAGGAGTTGATCTCATAAAATGTTAAAGTAAACTGGTTTCATTCCCAAGAGGACCCAGTGTGACAGAACATATAACAGAAGATTGACAAGAAAATATTTGGGGAGCCAGGACATTCTCTGGAGCAGCATAAGATATTTAAATGACTGATTTGGAGTGAGGTGATACTTCAAAGAAAAGAATGGCTGGCATAAAGAAACTTTTCTGTGAATAATATCCCTCAACCAATCATGTAGGGAAAGTAACTAAATCTAATGATGTTTAGCTTCATCATCCCTCATTTAGATTTTCATTAGCAAATATTTTTCCTCACCATTACCAGAAAGCATCATTTTCTAAATAGGAGGCTGATGATAAACATGAGGTATTCAAATCTTAGAAAAAGCAGAGTTTAGACCTCATGATCTTTTGAGTAACTTTAGGGTCTTAGAGTGTTTCTAGGACTTAGACCTAGTAACACTACAAGGCCGTAGACTTGCTCTAACCAGTGTGTTTAATAAATCACCAACCTCTCTGCAGACCCAGCTGAACTAGGACTGATGCACAGAGGACTTGGGAAGTCATTCTGCACATCAAGCAGAGGGTGGGGTGGCCCACAAGACACCTTCTATAGAATTAATCACATCTTGCTTTTTATGAGCCCACAAATTAGTTCTACAGATGCTGGTTTACTGTGAAGACATTTGAGTGATTCCTCAAGGTAAATTACAAGTTCAGAACCTCTCATAAACTATATTTTATTAATTCTTAGAACATTCCCATGACATATAGAAGATGCAGTAGCTCTCATTATCTTCCTATCATATTTTCCTCGACTTCTAAAAGCATGCATGCGCACAGACACACACACACACACACCCCACATGGTTACATGCAAAACTCATATTAACCCATCTAAGCTTTTATCCCCCTGGTAGGGTGATTATTCAGGGATGGGCATGTGACTAGGGATGGACCAATCAAAGCCTTTCCCTGGGGTAATTCTAATTGACACTACTGAGGGAGGCCTCTTGCCTCTTAGGTCTCAGAGCTAGAAGGATATGAACCCAAGGCTAATGATAATCATAATTTTTGCCATATAAAGACAGCTATCTGCCATAGAAGAGAGTGAAACCAAGCAAAGGCAACCTGGACAGAGAAAGAGAGTGCATGGCAGAACCGGGTCCCCTGGGCAAGTCCCAGGCTCCAAAGTTGCCCAGTTCCTACTCAAGCTCTGGATTCAGGCTCTGTTAGCTGATCCTGCATCCTTCCAATGGAGCCCTTTCTTTTTTTTTTTTTTTTTTAACTTAAACTAGTCTGAGCTGAATTTCTCTCCCTTGCAATTAGAAGAATCCAGACTTACATATAGGGAGAAAATATTATTTCCATTTTATAAATTAAAAATAAAACCTAAGGCACCAAAGGTTATGTGGCTTGGCCTTATCTGTGAAAATAATGTTAGACTTTGAAAGTGCTGCTACCCATTTGAAAACGAAGGCTTACAACACACCTCTCCTATAGCAGCGACTTTCAGAGAGTTTGCAATTCACTGTAAGAAATACATTTTATGCTATAATCCAGTATATACATATGTGTGTGTATGAAACAAAAATTTCACGTAATAGTTGCCCTTATTAAGTGTGATGCACTCTTTTATTTTCTTTTATATTTCCCTTTTTTAAATGTTGTTTGTTACCCACTAAATTGATTTTACCTCCCACTAAACTGATTTCACAACCCACTAGTGGGTCCAAAATTGTAACTGTTTAAAAATTTGTACTATATCCCTTTTCACAATATAATGCTAATTAAATAAAACTTCTCCCCACTATAAGTTTCCCTTAAGTGAAATTCAAGAATATGTGGATTTGTTTCTGTATTCATTTGGTTTGAGCATATGTAAATTCCAAGTCATCCTACTAGAAACGATTAGAAAAACAGAGATTTGGAGGATAGAAAGAGAAAGAGGAAAAGCAGTAGAGCCTAAAAGTAGGATTTTGCCATCAAGTTAGCAGAGAGATAAAGGGACGGAGTTTATACAATCCCAACCTTGCCTGAAGTCACCTCCTATGTCTATCCTTTTCCATTTAGGTACTGAAAAGACATCATAAGTTTAACATATCCAAATCAGAGCTTTTGGTTTTCCTCCTCCTTCTCCCCTTGTCTTCTGAACTCACTGTGGCACCACTATTGAGCAGAATATTCAAGCCAAAAGGCACCTCCCCCAAAGTTCTGCCTTCAAAACATATCCAAAATCCCATCAGCACTTCCACTGAGAGTGCCTACATTGGGGCCATAACCCTTTTTCACTTTGACTTCTACAGTAGCCTCCTATGCTCGCCCCCAATCCACCTGCATTAGTCCATTTTCATGCTGCTATAAAGAACTGCCCGAGACTTGGTAATTTATAAAGGAAAGAGGTTTAATTGACTCATGGTTTTGCATTGCTGAGGAGGCCTCAGGAAACACAATCATGGTGGAAGGTGAAGGGGAAGCAAAGACCTTCTTCACAGGGTGGCAGGAAAGGCAGAGAAAAGCAAGCAAGAGCAGGGAAAACTGCCTTATAAAACCACCAGATCTCATGAAAACTCACTCACTATGATGAGAACAGCATGGGGGAAACCACTCCCATGATCCAGTCACCTCTCACCAGTCCCTCCTTCAACACGTGGGGATTATGGGGATTACAATTCGAGATGAGATTTGGGTGGGGACACAGCCAAACCATATCACCACCATGCTCCCACAATCTAGTCTCTACAGAGCTGCCAGAGTAATCCTTCAAAAATCTAACTTAGATCATGTCACTCTCCACTTAAAACCCTCCAAAGTCTTCCCCTTCACATTTAAAACAGAACTCAACCATCTTCCCATGGCTCCCTCTTATGTCTCCAAACTCAATTTCCTCAGTTCTCTTCATCATGCTTCAACCATCTTGCTCTTCTTTGAATATACCAGTGATTCCTACCTCCAGACTTTTATAATTCCTATTCTTTTTAACTAAGACACCCTTTCCCCAGATCTCACTGCCCTCAGGTCTCTGCTTAAATTTCCTGTCCTGGAAGAAGCCCTCCTGAGCACCTCACCTAAAGTAGCCCCTGCCACTGAGAGTTCTCTGTCCTCTCCCCATTTTAGGATCCTTCATTGCACTTATCACTACCTTCAATTATACAATGTGTTTGTTTGTTCATCATCTGTCTCTCTCACTAGAATGTAACTTCTGTGAAGGCAAGTGTTGGCTGTGAATCCCTCAAGAAACCATCAAATTTAGCTGTTGATCAAGCAAAACCGAGGGTATTGCATACCAGTGCCTTAACAAAAACTTAGTAGCATCTCAGAAGGGAGAAGTAAGGGCAGGATATTTTAAGGCTTGGTGATTCCATTTAAGACAGGTATTTCAAATATATATATAATTATTATTATTATTATACTTTAAGTTCTGGGATACATGTGCAGAACATTCAGGTTTGTACATAGGTATACACGTGCAATCAACCCGTCATCTACATTAGGTATTTCCCCTAATGCTATTCCTCCCCTAGCCCCCCACCCACTGACAGGCCCTGGTGTGTGATGTTACCCTCCCTGTGTCCGTGTGTTCTCATTGTTCAATTCCCACTTATGAGTAAGAACATGTGGTGTTTGTTTTTTCTGTTCCTGTGTTAATTTGCTGAGAATTATGGTTTCCAGCTTCATCCATGTCCCTGCAAAGGACATGAACTCATCCTTTTCTATGGCTGCATAGTATTCCATGGTGTATATGTGCCACATTTTCTTTATCCAGTCTATCATTGATGGGCATTTGGGTTTGTTCCAAGTCTTTGCTATTGTGAACGGTGCTGCAATAAACATACATCTGCATGTGTCTTTATAGTAGAATGATTTATAATCCTTTGGGTATATACAGAGTAATGGGATTGCTGAGTCAAATGGTATTTCTGGTTCTAGATCCTTGTCACACTGTAAGACAGGTATTTCTTTTTTTTTTTTTTTTTTTTTTTTTTTTTGAGACAGGGTTTGGCTCTGTTGCCCAGGCTAGAGTGCAGTGGCACAATCTTAGCTCACTGCAACCTCCACCTCCCAGGCTCAAGCCATCCTCCACCTCAGCCTCTTGAGTAGATGGGACTACAGGCACACCCTGTCATGCCTGGCTAATTTTTGTATTTTTTGTATAAGTGGGGTTTCACCATGTTGCCCAGGTTGATCTCGAACTCCTGAACTCAAGAGATCCACCCGGCCTCCCAAAGTGCTGGGATTACAGGCTTGAGACACCATGCCCAGCCAAGACAGGTATTCAGTGGAGGGATCCTGATTGAAATTTAGTCATTTGTGATATAATAGTTTAGGATTAGTGGACACAGTGGACAAAGGTTTCAAAGTGGTCTTAAAGAGTAAACAGTCATTTGATAACCTAGTTCAATATTGTTCAGGGAAGGCCTATTATTATTCTGATGAGACCTAGTTTATTGGCTTATTATTCAGGAAAAATAATGAATTTTTAGAAGTTCTGGAAACAATCCATTTATTTGCAAGTTTATCTTCTGGACAAAAATTTTCTGGACTAGTAAATTCTTGTTAATGCAGTCTTAGTTTTTAATCCTAGTAAATCGTGTGACTGTATATGATTTCAGTTCTCACAGGGAAATTCTTTGTCTAAGTTAGTAACATAAAGTGGTTAGAATCATGCCTGGCACATAATAGGCACTCAATAAATATTTATTGTTGTTGTTCTGTAGTTGTTGTTGCTAACACTCTAGTGGAAAGTTCCTGTCAGGCACACAATAAGTATTTGCTAATTAACTATTAACAGTTGGAAGGACAGAAGACGGAGCTAAATCAAATGTGTAAGATAGAGCACCTCAATGGAAGGGTCCTGCTGTCTCCTTATGGGTTCTGACATGGAGTTATTTGGGCAGGGGTATCAGAAAGAGTGTCGGAGAAATTATCTGCCACAGCGAGCCGAGTGGATTAAATAAGGAATCTTCAAAGCTTTCCCCTCATCAGGCATCTTTGTGCTGTGGACCATGATGGGACCCCCAAGATGGAATCAAAAGTTAAAAACATAAAAAGGCAAAACTGTTGAACTCTCCAATAGGAGACTATATGCGGGATGACTTGTTCCTTCAATACACCTGCAACAAAGCAAACAAGTTTCCACAGTCTCATTAAAACTGCAGTGGAGAGTCTGCAAGTTTTCTATTAAGCAAGGATGGTGAATGGAAATTGATTTTGCACTAATAATGTAAGGTGTGTAAAATGCTATACATAAGGTCAAAGTATAATTTTTATAGTTGAAAACATGACTCTCATACAAACATAAAATGAACACCTGTCAAAGATTTATTAACTCATTAATGAGGGAGGCAGTATGAAAAATCTACTTCAGATAGCATTTTGAGGAATGGGGTATTTATAGGCATTTAAAAAGAAACGTTAGAATTATATTGCTAGATTGGATACAAAACTGATTAATGTTCCACAGGGCAGTAAAAGCCATAACCTTTGGGGTTATCTTTGCTACTGGACAGAAATTATTTGCATCTCTGCCATACAAAATCTCCAAGTTAACACATAACTTCACAGAGCTTGAGCCCATAATTAATAGTAAATAGCAAAATCAAGCAAAGGTACATCCCCCAATATAATTAATTACCCTTAGGTGGCCTCGTTAGACAATGCCCTTGTAAGACATTGAAAGGACATGCCTTATTTACAAGCTTTGGAGAATTTTTCTTAACAATATTCTCATTTTAATTTGTGTAATTTACAGATGCTTTCATAGATTCTCTCAATCCTGATCCCCAACTCTATAGTGCCCATAAAGTCATGGTTTTTGGCTCCTCCAAATTCTATTATGGAGGAGAAGTGGGTTTTTTGTTTGTTTGTTTGTTTGTTTTGGTCCATGTTTTGTTATTTCCCAGGAATGTCACCCTCATGATAGAAAAGGATCATGGCACTTGTGTTTCCCTCCTTCCCCGGACTGCAGGCTTCTCAAGGATATGACCAGGTCAGTTCAAAAACTTCAACATTTCCTTCCTCAGCTACAAATTTCTACCATCTAGAGATGTTTGATACATACTGGGAACACAATAATGATACCTAGATAAAGGAATGAATGTAACTAAAGGAAAAAATGTTATTGTTAATCAGGAAACAGTTATGAGGTAATATAACAGTTTAACACACAGGTCCAGCCATGAAACAGTTACACAGGAAAGCTACAGTTCAGCTGGCTGAACCTGGCTGAGCCCCAGAGCTGCAGGAGGACACGGTTCTTTTAGGACAAATCAGCCTATAAGGAATGGGCTTTAGGGTAAGGCAAAGATTGCTACAATCAGCATTTAGCCCAGAAGATACTTTCTTCTGCTACCTCAAACAACTGAGATCTGTAAAATCCCAACCACCACACTTAGGGAAGGATCCTAAAAGAGAGCTGCAATGGAGAACTGATTCTCCTGGGGTTTTATTTTTGTTTTTCTGTCATAAAAGAATTTGCTCTATAAAGAACAAAAACTGTAATAGAATCTGTGTGTATGTTATACTATTTCAAGGTTTATTTAAGAATTTGAGGTGGATTAAAGTAAAAGATAATCCCCAAAAAGGTATTTTTAATAGAAATAAGTGGTGTCAAAAAGTGAAGAAGATGTGGTCCTGTACTGGAAACCTAGCACTAAGCATCCTGGTAGCCAAAGCTAGAAGGAAAATTTTACAACTTACCCAAACCTTATTTTCTAATAAGGAAACATACCAGAAGAGAGAAATGTTTCACTAGCACTGAATTATATGAAGAATTTATTTTACAAACCCTTATATAAGGACACTAGATAGGTCAAAGCCTTTAACACGGGTGTTACAAAACTTGAATTTATGCTCTTTATATTTCTGTATTTTTAATTGCTTACTAAAAGCTAAGGCCATAATATTATATCATATAACACAATGTCCTGATATGTAGCATTTGGGTGGCCTAACCAGATATAAGGGGATAGCTTAGAGATTCTGCAGACAAGTTAGCAGATCTTTTGGTTTATCCACTTCAGACATCAATTACTTGATCTGCACTTTGACCAAGGTGGCCAATTCAAGACTGAGATGTGTTTATATCTCAGTACTCTATGCATTCTCTGTGTCCAACATGGTGACTGACACATAATAGGTGCCCAATAACTACTTGACAAACAGCACTAGTGAGTGTTAAACAGCGCTTTGTAATGGAGAGTGGCTAGAAAGCTGTGCAGCAGCAAAGGTGGGCTTGAAGAAAAGGACTCCTATTCTAATCTGGATAGGAGTGTCACTTTTTCTCTGCCTGTGTTAGTGTATCTAACACTTCTCTTCTGGCTCAGACTCATAAAATGATACCTTTATCCATAATTTTAGCAAAATATGGAAGCTAACTGTTCAAAACCTGCATATAGTTTATTCCTTATTAGGAGCTTAGTTCTTGTCAACAAACCCTTTGCCATTCTTCTGGTAAGTAGTGAAAGGACTTTTTCTTTGACTATACCTGGGAGTTCAATGGATGTCCCTACAGTATTCTGGCACCCTTACTGGTGGAATGGGTAACAAGGGCTTATAGCATTAGGATCCTTATTCAGGAAACTCTGATAATACCAAGGTCCAGGTGATGTCAGTCACCGAGTTCATAAAATGATTGGTTGGACAATCAAAACAGCTAGCTATCCTGGGAGTTCCTTGTGCTTTCCCTAATCCAATTCATCTTGTACATGCATGCAGACTGAGTTTCTGAAATATCACTTTGATCATTTTGGTCAAAAACATTCCACATGGGGATATTAAAGACAAATAAAACAAGAGAGTTGGAAACAGGAGGGCAGTGAGGAGGACATCCTTCAGGGACCACCTACCGTTACTGCCTATGGCAAGGCTAAACAGCCAGTAAACTTCTGGACCACAGATGGATCAGAACACAGGCCAAACCCTTTGGGACAGGAAATCGCGGTTCTGAAAAACACACTCTGGTGTGCATCCTCCTGCTCTACCTTTTTCTCAAACATTCTGGAGAGGCAAAAAAGGCAGAGTCTTCCTGGGAGTGTATCAGTGCGATGAACACACCAATGGCAAAAATGCCATTTGTAGAGCAATTTATAGTATCGGATATAATTACCACTTCATTCTCACAACAACCCACCTTGTAGACATTAAGACACTGATCTAAAGCAATGTGTCCCAAACTGTCCCTGCTGATGGACCACTTTATTTTTCTGTTTCCACACTAGCCTAAGAAGTGCACTAGAAAGCCCCTTAGACAAATTCCCTCTCTTTCTCTTTCTCTCTCTCTCTCACCTTTCTCTCTCAGCATTCTGAGACAAGCCATTCATACAAGAAACATAAAATGCCTAATTATTTTTTCAGAGGGGTATAAGAATATACAGCAGTGCCCCCTTATCCGTGGTTTCACTCACTGAGGTTTCAGCTACTCATGATAAAGTGCCATGAGTCCAAATATATTATATGCAAAATTCCAGAAATAAGCAATTCATACGTTTTAAATTGCATGCCATTCTGAGTAGCATGATGAAATCTTACACCATTCTACTCTGCCCCAACCTGGACATGAAGCATCCCTTTCTCCAGTGTGTCCACACTGTATATGCCACCCGCCTTCATAGCTGAGTCACTCAGTAGCTGGCTCAGTTATCAGACTGACAGATCACAAAAGAAGGCAAGGATAGTACAATAATATATTTGAGATAGACCACATTCACGTAATATTTATTATAGTATATTGTTATAATTTTTCTACTTTATTACTAGTTGTTGTTAATCTCTTACTGTGCCTAATGTATAAATTAAACTTTATCAAAGTATGTATAGGAAACAACATAGTACATATAGGATTCAGTACTATTTGCAGTTTCAGGCATCCACTGGGAGTCTTGGAATGTATCCTCTATGGATGCAGGGGGACTACTGTATCAATAAATCACATGGGATTGTGACATAAAGGCAGCTTGTGTATCATGTGTTTCATTGAGTTTATATATATAAATATATATAAGTTCCTATATATTTATATATATTTACATAAACATATAAAATATATAGTCCATAATATATATTACATATTAGTATATATAAATATAGATATAAATATATATTCCATAAGTATATGTCATATATATTTATATATAAATAAATTTATTAATGTATATATATGTATATGTATGATTAAAGAAAGGCCAGTCCTCGGCACACAGGTGATTTGGTTTCTAGGAATATATTAACAGTTTATTCTGATTACCACTCTACTGATCATCGTAGAGATTGTGAACTTATTTAAAAGCATTACCCACTTAGGTCCAAGGCAATTTCCAAACGAAAGCACCCCTCC
Organism: Homo sapiens; assembly: GCF_000001405.40. NCBI lineage: Eukaryota > Metazoa > Chordata > Mammalia > Primates > Hominidae > Homo > Homo sapiens. Next base: position 17,914,759 of record NC_000003.12, on the reverse strand, counting down.
ATTCCAAACAGAACTCCGGTGCCTCCTCCTGCTTTGAGTCTGAGATACCATGGCCCTTTTCAATTTTATGCCATGAGCAGAAAAGTTCTTATGTTCCCATCCATTCCAAAGGTCATCCAAGCCATTCAGCATGTTTTCCTTCAGCAGGTGGAAGAGGCAGGGTGTGCCTCCTAACGCAATGGTTACTTCTATCCCACATTTGAACAGTTCTCCTCTTTTCACCAAAGCTGTTTTCTCATTGTCCTGGGCTAGTTTATATTTATGATATCTGAATAATGGAATGTGAATAGGAGAGATACATGTTTCACCTCCTGACTGGCACCATAAACCTCTCTATGCCTAGTCATTCATATCATTCTCCTCCTCCAGCAGCCTCAGAAGCCATGTGTTGAAGATGAAGGAACCACAAACTAGAGAACCCAAAACCCCTGAATCTGTGGGTTTTGGCCACATTCACGTGGGATTGGGCCATTGAGATTTGGGGGTTTGTCTGTAATAGTGGTTAATGCTACCTTTGTCTGGTATAGCAGCTGATGGTACCTTAACTAATATGCCTTCATAATCAAGGGTAGTAGTTATTTTCCCCATCATTGTGCAAGGTTGGCCAGTTATTTGGAACTCCTTTATAAATCAGTTCTTGTCATGATCCACTCAATGGGTCTGCTCTGTATCTATTCGCTCATTTAAAAAATTATAAATTGAGCACCTACTATGTGTCTTCACTGGGCACAAGTATGATATCTAAAGGTCCCTTAAACTGAGACCCAAGAGGGACAATTCTTCAAATTTGGTTCTATGGTAACTAGGTTATATCTATAATTATTAAAAAGAATACACCTGTTGACTCTCTAATGCCTGCCCCATTCCTCCTCACTACCCCACCTGCCTCCACCCTTACATCCCTATGTGCCAAAGTGGAGATGCAGCTTCAGGCTGCATGATTTGGAAGACAGAAAAAAAGTTCCCTGGGAGGTTGTCTTGCTCACTGTCAATTCAGATTCACAATTTACAGGGACTTTGATCAGGGAAGAAGCCATTTCCATTGTGCTCATGACAACAGAAACACAAGGAATGGAAATGGTTTGTCTTTGTAAAATTAAGAGATTTAGATTCCTTTTTAATGTGATACACCATGTAACTCCCTCTTCTGGGTCCTCAAGAGACACTCGCTAAACCTCAGGATTACTTTTTAAGGTTCTTTGAAGTCTGGTTTGTTTCTCATTCATGCATCTCAGCACTGAGACAGGCCTTAAGGGAGGAGCAAAGGGGCCCAGATTCTTATAATACATCTGAATATGTTCTCATAATAAATATAGAATTGACATGTGCACCTTATTCAAGATTTAACCCACAAAGAGGCCTGTTCCACCTCTGTCATGTTTCATCACGCATTTGCCTCCTAGCTGGATATTTTGCAGTCTTTGCAGAAAGTTTAACTGTTTAAACCTTCTTCCCGAGCTGAGGCAGCTCCCTGGCATACTATCACATTTGTTTACTTGAAATGGAAAGTTGGGATTTGCAAGCCTATTTTGATTTGATTTTTTATAAGTAAAAAATTAAACTTAGATGAACATAACCCAGTATATTTTATTCTTTCCTGCTCCTCACATCCAACCTGTGGTCCCGTTTCTCCAAGGAAAGATTCTTTTATTGTCCCCATTGTCCCACCCATACTACTCCCTTCTTCACTGTTTATAAAAACACTGCTGGGAAATTAAAACAAGAAATGCTTTTTTCCTAAAAAACTAAAGTATATCTGAGCTTAGGCAAACGATGCTGTTTTAAATGATATTGGAAACTCAGAACCTAGTAGAATGTTTTGCAGGCACTGTGTGAATGGTTAATTATGATGATGGAAAAGACAGAGAAACCCACCTACTCATCAGAAAAAAAAGCAAAGAAGGAAAGCCTTCTGTTTACAGACTGCAGACACAGCTCAGGGACTAATGCTCGCTCTGAATATGGATTTCAGGAAACTTCAAATCACCCTTCATCTGCAGGATTTAAGCCCCCAAGTCCAGGACATCTATTTTTCACATTTGATTTGGGTTGGGACCTGGGGCTGAAATCAGATATCATTACCCCTTCTCCCCACTACACTCCCCTGCGCCTCTGTAACTCTGTTATTTCTCCTATTAATATCTCATCAACATCGGGCAGGTGCTTCCTGTAGGGAGGTTCTTCATTAACAAGTTGTCAGTGGGACAAAGAGTCAGATTCCCACTGCTGAAAGAAATTGGCATGAGACCCGGCAGGAGGAGGCAGAAGAGCAGACTGCGAAATGATTACACTTTCTGTCGGGTCTGTCTTCCTATCAGACTTTAATTTGGACTCACCTATCTGACTTCCGAAAACTTTCCTGTAACTTCCTCCTTAAGCAAACATTTGCTCTCAAATTAAATCTATTTTTATGCTCAATGTAATATCTGAATCAGCAGTTTTTAAATACTCAATATATCTTTAAATGCCAACAGACAACAAGTATAGCAGGTGTTTAATTGTGGTTTAAAGATCCACATTGTTCACATTTTACAATCACAATTAAAATTAAGCAATAACACCAAAGGAGTTCCGGTATACAGCAATAATACTTACCCGTATAGTGAAATTGATAAGGATCCAGATATAATGATGCCCATTGTAGTAACCCTGTGGTGACTGATTGCTATTCTGCTGTTAGCAAACAACCAAGAAATACTTTATTTTTTCAGAATTATCAATTTGTTTCTAGGGTATGTGAACAATGGAAACCTTAAGGGAGAATGCAATAGTTAGTGAGGTATTAAAACAGTTATATAACTAATAAAAACACTAAATCAACTTAGATATGCAGCAGTGTGTCATTTCCATTTTAATAAAAAAGTACATTATTCTCTTCCCGAAATTACAAAATTTTATATTTTTTAACTCCGTGCCAACATATTTGGAAAGTAAAAAAGTCATAAATCTATGGTTTCTGGAATTGTCATTTATGTGATTCTCTAGTCCTTAAAAAAGATACAATAAAAACAGGCATTTTCATAAAACAATCGATTTGAAAAATTATTTGCATTCGTTGCTTGCCATTTTTTTCTTTGGGAGGGTGGAAGAGGGAGCACAGGGACTTATAACTAAAACAATTTGATTTTCATAGCATCCCTGTATGCTGAGCATTAAGATCGCTAGATGTGCCTGCTCAGAAACGAGGTGAGCTGGGACACTTTATTGACACATCCTTTGCTTGCAGGCTGCATAGTAACAAAAGCTCAGGCAGAGGGTCAGACTCCTGTTCAGTAAAATCCAGGCTTGAGCTAGATGGAAGACAGTCGGGAAACCAAGCCAGGGCTACAGCAGGCTCTCTTATTTGTAGGCCTGAGCTGCCTTAGAACTTGTGGTTCCAAATCTGAGCAGAGCTGGCTATATCTATCTTAAATCAAGAAATTTAGGTACACACATTTTTCTTGTCTGAAAACATAGAGACAGGCTTATCAACAGGGGCCACAGGATGGTTTCCAAGCACCCTTGACAATTCTCATGAGTTTATCACCTGGGTTGCTAGTGAACATCTTCCCACAGGCAAGAGCTAAAAGTAACTCTTGAAAGAGCTAGATGTAGGACTTTAGAATTACCAGATCATTTGAGAAGACCTGAAGAAAGAGGAAGAAGCAAGAGGAAGAAGGCCAGAACTAGAAAGAACTTGTGAATTCATCCATGGCACCGAGTCTCATTTTTCCACCAAAGTACCCCTGGAACAGTGGTTTCTGCCCTGCCTACATGTTAGTATCCCAAGGGGAGCTTTTAAAAAGATGACTGATGATAGATAGATAGATAGATAGATAGATAGATAGATAGATAGATAGATAGATAGATAGGAGATGGTCCAGTCAAAGCCAGTTGAAAACAAAGCTCTGGAGACAGGGTCAGGTCCCTTGTGGGTGATTCTGACACATGAATGCTTAGCACCAAGGAACTTGGAGATGGGATCTTATTATCTAAAAATGTGTGCACATTTTGTAATTTGATTCAATAAAGCATTTAGTTTTGTTAATGATATGGGTTTCCTTTTCTTCTAAGTATTCAAGTCAAATCAATGAACCAGGAAGATGTGCCATAATCATCCTGTGATTGATTCTACTCCTGAGAGTGTTATGAATGCCAGAGAAGCAAGGCTCTAACTCAGCATAAATGAAGAAACTGAGGCTCAGAGAGGTAAAGTCCCTTGGGACTTCTGAGTATTCTGTACCATCTGCTCCTTTGTAGCATACATAAAGGGCAACTTAGTGATGAAAGACTCTGGATTCCTTTCAAGAGAACATAAGGAAATATGAAATGGCTGGAAAGTCTGATAAGAGAACACCATAACAATGGCAGTTACAATTTACTAAGCCCCTGCTAAATATCAGAAATTTGCATATTCATGCATTCATTCTGCAAATTTTATTTGCTATTAGTACAGGAAAGGCACTGATCTAGCCACCTGGGATGCAACAGATATCAACGTGAGACATGATTCCTGATTTCTTGGAACTTCAGGCAACAGGGGGAAAATGGCATTAATCAAAAATCATAGTAAGAGGGAAATAATCAGGCCCTGTGGTAAATGCTCTGAAGAGAATATGATTCCACAAAAGCAACAAAGAAAGCTGATCGATACAGTAGACTCAGGAAAGGAAGGGACACGTGAGCTGAGAGCACGAAGAATGAATAGGAGTTCACCAAGTTGTGGAGATGACAGAGTGAAGAAAGAGCATCCCTCACAGAGAGAACAGTATGTGCCACTGCTCATAAATGCTCAGCGTGGACAAAAAAAAAAGAAAAAAAAAAAGCATTAGAAGTTGTCTAGTTGCACCTCCATGTGGATCACATGTCCCTCTGCCTCACACCAACAGGCATCATGCTCAGGGGCTTGGACTGCAGAGTCTACCAGTGCTGAATGGAGGAGGCCAAGGGAAGCTTATTCAGACAACAATTAATCTGGGCTCTGAGTGACCAAATGTAAAGGAGCAGCAAAACAGGGAGGAAGAGACAAACTATAGAACAAATAAAGCAGCCAGTGCAACCCTAGAATCTACATAGAATTTTCCGTTTCTTTTAAACAACTTTTTATTATATCATGAGGTTTTTAGCTGCACCTAACAGAAAACTCAACTTAAAATGCTTTAAGCAATGAGGATATTGTATTATTTCACACAGCACAAGTTCCAAGGAAGAATGGTTCCTAAGGTGTTTCATTCAGAGGTTCAAAGAAACCATAAGAACATTTTTTTTCCTCTCTGCTATTCTTAACTTGTTAGCTTTGTCCTCAATGAGTTTCCACCATGGTCACAAGGCAGTAGCCACAATTAAGGGTTCTACCTGCAGACAAAATAACAACCAGCCAGAAGAGAAGGGGTTATTTCTTGCTTGTGTCTCTTTTTCTCAGAGAGGAAGTATTTTCCCAAATGCCTCTGCACCAGCAGACTTCTCCTCAGATCCCAGTAGCCAGAACTGGGTCACATGCCCACCCAACCATAATAACAGTCTAGGGCAATGAGAAGACCTCACATGGCTTAGACTATACAGGATTCACTCACAAGCTTCGGATAGGGTCACCTGAAAGGCAATTATCTGAACAAAATTGAAATTCTGTCAGCAAGAAGGTAGGGAGATGTTATTTGAGTAACCAGTAGTGTTGCTTCTCTCCTGCTTTACTTGCTCAGAAAAGGCCCCGCCTTCTGGGCAGCAGGAATTGAGTGGCATCAGGCTCATCAATGGTGTTCCTGATTAGTTCTGTGTAGTGTAAATAAAGCAATAAACAATGGGTAGGAAGAGGACAGTTTGACTTTGCATACCGAATCTCTTCATGCTGGGAGGAAGAGAGCAGATTCAAATCCTAGGCAGGCCTCAGAGGCAACTGTGAAGAAATTATCAGACTTTCAGTTGCATCCCTTGCACTCCAGTGCCTCGGTTAACCTGCCCACACATGAGGGTCAGCAACAGCCTTAAACCCAAGGACAGACTTTAGATTATTCTAAAGTCCATTATCAATCAGTGGGATGAGAATTATCATGCAACCATTTGGCACATCTTTTCCTCTGTTGCCATCTCAAGGGACCAGGGTGAGCTATAAACATTAATTAGGAAAAACCCATGACACTCTTGAGACGATAGCAGGGTTGGAATCACATCCGCCCATCTCAATTAGCTCAGAGGACAAACAGGCCACCTAGCATCTTTCCTGGGGCTTGGTAACAAATGACATTGAGGCTCAACACCTAATGGATGATTCACAAACCACTTTCCAACATAAAAATGCAGCTGAGTTGCCAACAAGACCACCAGCAAACCAGTGGTCAGAGTGTTTTGATAATGTTGTATCCCCTGTTTCTGCAGACATCTTCCTGCTCAAACTCCCTTGATAATTCCTATAGGGTAATTCTGGAGTTTCTGGTAAACAAGTATTATAAAGTTACCCATGCATAATATAGTATGACATGGAGGTTAAAGGCAAAGGTTTAGAAATCAGATATGGGCTAGAATATCAGCTCTGTTACTTACTAGCTGTGTGACCTACTTCATCTCTTCAATTCTCAATTTTCTCATCTATAATATGAAGTCTTTTAGTGAGGTTGTGAGGACTGAATGAGAGATTGACATAGAGAGTATCTAACATACAGTAAGTACTAAGTAACCACCAGGCTTTATGATAGGCGAGGAGTCATGGCATAGATAATTCACCAAGGAACAGGACAAATAGCACAAGACATGTGGAAAGAAGTAAACTTTCAGAAAACCAAGATCCTAGAATAAACAAACTATAGGGTCACAGAGGGGTTAAAAGAGGCCTCAGAGACAACATAGAACTACTTTCTCATACTGCGCTCTAGGCTTAGTGGAATCTTCTAGTTTCCCAGAAATTTAGAGAGGTTAACATTCCTTGAAAATGTGTAGAGGCCCATTCCACAGTCACAGTATTGTAAACAAACCCTTGAATCCCACAGTGTGACATTTCTCACCACCACCACTCTTTAAGGTTCTATTCACGCACCCAACACACATTGGGCACATGGGCCAGGTGCTATAGCAGAAACTTCAAGGGCCTGATGGTTTAGATATTTGTCCCCTCTAAATCTCATGTTGAAATTTGACCCCCCAATATTGGAGGTGGGGCCTAGTAGGAGGTGCTTGGATCATGAAAGGTGGATCCCACATGAATGGCTTGTTGCCATTCTCGAAATGATGAATGAGTGAGTTCTTGCTCTATTCTTTCCAGCAATAGCTGGTTGTTTAAAAGAGTCTGACACTCCTCCCTCCTCTCTTTCTTCTTCCCTCTCTCCCCCTGTGATCTGCCCACACTGGCTCCACTTCCCCTTCTACCATGAGTGAAAGCTTCCTGAAGCCCTCACCAGGAGCAGATGCTGACACCATACTTCTTTTTTTTTTTTTTTTTTTTTTTTTTGAGACGGAGTCTCGCTCTGTCGCCCAGGCTGGAGTGCAGTGGCGGGATCTCGGCTCACTGCAAGCTCCGCCTCCCGGGTTCACGCCATTCTCCTGCCTCAGCCTCCCAAGTAGCTGGGACTACAGGCGCCCGCCACTACGCCTGGCTAATTTTTTGTATTTTTAGTAGAGACGGGGTTTCACCGTTTTAGCCGGGATGGTCTCGATCTCCTGACCTCGTGATCCGCCCGCCTCGGCCTCCCAAAGTGCTGGGATTACAGGCGTGAGCCACCGCGCCCGGCCGACACCATACTTCTTATACAGCCTACAGAACTGTGAGCCAAATAAACGTCTTTTCTTTATACATTACCCAGTCTCAGGTATTCCTTTATAGCAATGCAAATGGACAAATAGAGGCCCCAAGCTCAGCATTTTACATGTATAATTTCTTGTCCTGACGATGACCCTAAAGATAAATACTACTTGCCCCATTTAAATGTAAGAGTACCATCCAAAAGGGTGGGTATAGCTCAAAAACACAGCTGGTGAGTTTTAGAGATCAGATGTTGACCCCAGTCTACCTATGTATTGCGACAAAAATGCTACCAAAGAAACTACCCGAAATGTCAGTGGATTAAACCTACATTCATTTATTTTCAGAGATCTGCAGCTCAGCCCAGGGACACTTGGTCTAAGCTGGGCTTGACTCAGGGTGACTCTGCTTCAGCTGTCTCTCTTCTTTCTGGGAGCATCAGGCTATCTCAGGCATGTTGTCCTCAAGGCCAAGGCAGAGGCCCAGAAGAGCAACTCCAATTGTGCAAGCGTCTTTGAAATTCTTGGTCACATCATTTATGCTAACATTCAATTGGCCAAAGAAAGCTACACAGACAAACTTCAGGGGCAGGGGAATATATTCCACCTCTCTTAGTGGGAGAACTGCAAAGTCCTATGGCAAAGGGATGAAGAATTGGAGCTATTCAGATAATCCACTACAGTCTGATTTCAAGGCCTCACATTTTCTTCTATCCCAACCTTCCAAATAAACATTTGCTGGTAGGAGTTTAACAACAGGAGATGGGCAAACCAAAATTCTGACATAAGAGTGGCATCCAGTGGCCAGGGGTTAATTTGCAATAAGCCACAACTGCAGGCACCCAGATACAACCGTTGCTGGCTAACCACATCCCAGTGGAAGTTCAGCAGACCACAAGAAATGGCAGAAACCAGCCTGGGGTCTGGCAAAGGAGAGAATTCAGCCAACAACAAGGACAGATGGCCACCCTCCTCCTGGAAGAACACAGATGCCTCTTGAGTTTTCTTCACTGTTGGTGTTCACATCCAATCAACTCTATAAAGTCGTTAATAGCTCTGTGCCAGTCACTCTGAGATAAGAGAAGTTCAAGGCCACCATTGTTTGGTTGGGGAGATGTATCTAAGACATGTGACATAATTAGAGAATGACAAGATCACTGAGTAGGGAATTCTGTGATGCTACTGCAAATTGCTGTGATGCTTCATTGCAGTGATTCTGAAAGTGGACCAGCACATCAGCATCCCCTGGGAATTTGTTAAAAATGCTAGTTCTTGGGCACCACATCAGACCTCCCGAATCAGAAACTCTGAGGGTGGAGCCCAGCTATCTGTGTTTTTACAAGCCCTTCAAGTGATTCTGAGAGCCTCTGTTTCCAAATACAGTGAGACCAGAGAGGGCATGAGGTTCCACAAGGCAAGTACAACTTCAGCTGGACCTTGAAGGAGCTCGCTAGTGCGAGAGACTTTGTACACTGTCGACCCTGAAGGCAGAGAAGAAGCCATGAGAGTGACTCACTTAAGGACCAGTGAGTTGTATGTCTGGATGGAGGAAAGGGAGATCCTGAGTGGTGGGCAGGGGCAGAAACAAGATCAGCCAGATCAGGAGCAGTGAGGTTGAGGACAGTCTTGAAAAATGAACATAAAAATGCTTGGTCTTGTTGCAATATAAGATTGAAGATTTTTACCCTGAAGAGTGAAAAGGGTAGGGAAGAGGAGAAACAGAGAGAACAATTCCCCCTACTACATCCTCCAAGGCTGGGACTTTCTTTTGAAAGGTGTTAGAGGGTATAGTATGAAAGCAAGAGCCAGATGTCCAAAGAACAATTGAAACAACAGTGGTCAGATGGTGAGACCCCGAAAGGAGTCAAAGGATGTCACCTTCCTTAAGGGTCCCATGCCCCTTCCTTGGCCCTTAGTCTCACCCCATCATCTGCCCCATGACACCCCTATCATGGTACAAATCACCGGGGAAGGAACTCAAAGAAAAAAGTAAGGCAGCAATATGAAGACTGAATCGTAAGTGTGATCGACATTTCAGTTTTAGAGGAAGCTTCTAAACTTTCCTTTGAAAAAAATGCCTGAAATGGCCAAGGAGAAGGAGTAAATTTTTTTTTTTAATTAAATTTTAAAACCTTCACCAAACCTAAAACAAGGTTCATGGATGTCAATAGGTTAAATTCCTGTCCCCTGCCCAAATTCAGAACCAACTGAAAAATAGATACAAAAATCAGGTAGATGGAGATCAAAATGCCCACTTTATTAATACATATACTTTATACATAGCATTCAATGTTTTTTCTGGTTGTTGTTTGTTTATTTGTTTGTTTGAGATGGAGTCTCGCTCTGTTGCCAGGCTGGAGTGCAGTGGCATGATCTCAGCTCACTGCAATCTCTGCATCCCAGGTTCAAGCAATTCTCCTGCCTCAGCCTCTGGAGTAGCTGGGACTACAGACATGCGCCACCACACCTGGCTAATTTTTGTATTTTTAGTAGAGGCGGGGTTTCACCATGTTGACCAGGATGGTCTCAATCTCTTGACCTTGTGATCCGCCCACTTTGGCCTCCCAAAGTGCTGAGATTACAGGCATGAGCCACCGCGCCTAGCCTTATTCAATCTTTAGCTACTGATAATGCATTCCAGAATTAGATACACTTGCCCACCCATGCCACAAACAGGCAAGATTGAAGAATGACAGGCCTACACAGTATGGAACAGAGAAGCAGGATAGAATGGGTGGTCTCTGCAGACAGGCTCCCAGAGAGAGAGAGAGAGAAAAAAAAGGCTGAGACTCTTCTATCTAGATCAGCAACTGCACTGGTCACCCTTCTCCCTGGAGAGGAATGAATGAGTAGGCAGAGGGAAGCCAGGAGAGTCTCTAACGAAAGCTCCTCCATCTAGAAACTGAAACTGGGGATAAGCATTCCCCTGCATGGTGCCAATTACATAGGAATTTCTGCCAGATACAGCCACAGAGAAGACCATACATCCAAATTATTGACTATCATATTGCCATTAATAAAAATAAATCAGGGTTTTCTACTGACTTAGAAAGATTTCCACAAATTAATATTGAATAAGAAATCAAGATGCAAATATTTTATAAATGACTGAAAATTATGAGTGTGTGTATTCATACATGTATATTGCTATATGTATTTGTGTAAAGATAGCCCAGAAAAAAATAAGGAAGGATACATGGTAGGTTGTTATTGTGGGTTATGTTTTGGAGAAGAGAATAGGAGAGGAGGAGGACAAAGAGGAAGGAAGGAAACAAAGGAGAGAGGGAGGGAGGAAGGAATGAAGTGTGCTTGCTATAAGTTCATTTATCCAATTGTTTATATGTGTAAGGAATATTTTAAAAATAAAAATTTTTAATATTTGCATTTATATTTTTCATACATTGGCAACCAAGGAAATGGTATCATGGAAACTGCTGTCTATGATCCCCACATCCTCTCAGGTCCCTAGATAAGATCATTTTTCAGTCTTGTATCTCCTGCACATCCCCTGAGCCTCATTCCTAGGGAAGTTTAAGATGTATTTACTTGGGTGACTCAAGTAACTCTGTATGGAGTCAACTTTGCTGCTAGAGCCTGCCCTAACTTTGTACCTCTGTAGTAGGATCAGGGTTCAGCCTTGTATTAAATATTGCATCCCTTCCTCTTCACCAGATTTTAATAATATGAACCCTATCTTGCTTCTCCTGGGCCACATTCCCCGCCTGGAACCAGCACTTTAGACATAAGACCCTTGCTTGGTTTAAATAGGAACCATTCCCACGGAACCAGAAAGTTAGACCAAAGTTCCAGTTGACATCAGTATGTTACGGCCATGCATGATCCCCCAGACTCTTCAATATCACAACCCAACCAGTGTCAAGAAATCCACCTTACCTCCTGCTGGGCCTCCCTGATGCCATCTTCCTGACAAAGACTGAGCTCTAATCAACAGTGGTGATAACTATCTTATTCACCACCATTTCTCAGTCCCTAACCCAGAACTTGGCACATGGTGGACCCAAATACTAATAAACAAATGAATTAATGTATGAATAAACTATGTAACATCAGATACTCTGAATAACAGATCCAAACCCCTGAACATATTCCCCACACCTACCACTAAGCCTGCTCTCCTAAATTCTAACACTACCTCAGTAAACACATCTAATTTTCACATCTCAGATGCTTCTGATTTGAGCTGATACTCTTTCTTCAGACTTTTCATCTTGAAAGAGAATATAATTATCAGAGAAACTGAGTTGGGGACTTGGGGTGATGGGGAAAAAATGATGGATTTTGTTTGGATAATGTCAAAATACAATAGACATCCAAGTGAAGATGTCCTCTTATCTGGTAGTGAACAGAGGAAAGATAGAAATATAGATTTGGAGGATCTCAAAGATGGCAGAAAAAGTCACAAGGAATCATTGCAGTCTCTGACTAGAGACAAAGAAACAAATACTCACCTATGTCTGATTTCTGCAAATAGCCCAAAGTCCCAACTAATCTACTGGCAGTGGCTTTGATAAATGCCTATGCTGTTCTCTATAGATTATCTGTTTATAGGCATCTGTTGGCTGTCCAACTCACTGGTCGCTCTTCTTGAAACTAATAGAATTTTAAATCCCATGACCTGGCCTTCTTGCCAAACCAAAAGATTGCATTTGAGTATGTTTTTATTTTTGTAACATCTACCAACATTCACCCTGACCTCCAGAAATCATATTATTTTCACTATATGTAAAAGAAAAAAATGCATTGACACAGTTGTTAGTACCTGAAATCACACAGAAAAACAGCTTACTAAATTCAATTGCACTTTCTTTGACTCTCTCATGTCTCTTTTGACCTAGCGTCTTGAATAACAGTGCTATATCTGTTTCACTTCTCTCTTTCTATACAATAAATCCCTTGCAGGCAGGAAATACTACTGCATTGTCTAGTGTTGTTAGAGTGCCTGCTTTACTTGCAGGATGGAAGAATGAATTTTTTTTAAAAGATTAGTCACTGGCTTTTATCTCTCAAGCTCTAGAAGAACTACAGATAATTCAATTTTACTAGAGGCAGCAAAGTGTTATTTTAAGAAAAACTGATCTTTGGAGCAGAAGGTTTGGAAATTATACTAGTCTCTTACTAGTTATGTGACCTTGGCCATGTCATCTAATCTCACTGAGCCAAAATTAACTCATCTGTTTAAAAAGGTTAATTATACATGTACTTTCTACCTTGCAGGGCCATTGTGGGAATAAAATGAGGTAACATGTGGGAAGTCATTTTCAAACCTGTATGCTATAGCTCTTCTTCCTCCTTGTCTCCCTCCTCTCCTCTCCCCTCATCTTTTCTAAAGATGAAGTATTGCTATGTTGCCCAGGCTGGTCTTGAAGTCTTGAGCTCCAGAGATCTGTCCTCCTCGGCCTACCAAAGTGCTGGGATTACAGGCATGAGCCACCATCCCTGGCACATTCATACAGGGTATTGCTATGTTGCCCAGGCTGGTCTTGAATTCCTAGGCTCAAGCAATCCTCCTGCCTCAGCCTCCCAAGTATCTGGGGCTTAAAGGTGCATGCCAATGCATTCAGTTCCCATTCATGATTTTAAAAACAATGTCTTATCAAGCCAGAAAGGGCAGTTCCAAGGGAAGGGAGGTTCCTCAAAATTATAAAGGTCATCTACAAGAAAATCTATAGCTAATATCATACTCAACAATGAAAGACTGGTTTCCACCTAAGGTAAGAAACATGACAAGGATGTCAATTCTCACCACTCCTACTCAACATTGTCCTGGAGGTCCTAGCCAATGCAATAAGGTAAGAAAAAGAAATTAAAGGTATACAGTTTGGAAAGAAAGAGATAAAAGTATCCCATTCACCAACAACATAATTGTCTATATAGAAAATTCCAAGAAACTTTTTTAAAAAATAAAAAATAAAAAGTTTCTATAATTAATAAGTGAACTTAGCAGGATTGCACCATACAAGCTCTACACAAGAAAATCATATTTCTTTTTCTGTAAGCCTCAGTTTTCTCATCTGTAAATTAGAGAAAATAATAAAATTTGCACTAAAACTTAATTTTAAGAGATAAACAGTTAATGTATGCAAATCATTCAGCATAATGCCTTGCATATTGTAAGTGCTTGATAAAAGCTGTCACATCACTATTATTAAATACAGGAAGGCAGATATGAAGGCCTGTGAAGTTGATGTAAAAGAGAACTATGGGTTTTGTGGACTAAAATTTCAATATGAGATTAGTAGATCTAGCTACCAAAAATAGCTAAGGCAATCTTAGGACTGCATTCTGAGATCTCCAGAATAAGGACATATTAAGCACACATATAAGACCCTCAACTTGAGTTCTGTGTTCAGTTTTGAATGCCATATCTTAACAGGTACATTGAGAAAACCAGGAGGATAAAGGTTTAGGAAACTATGCCATGACGACAGCAAATAAGGCTGAATGGCAGTGGCTTATCTCCATTGCCTTAACAGTTGGCTTGACAGTTACATGATAGTAGCCCACAAATATGCAAAGATCTGTCATATGGTATGAAGATAGACATTCTCCAGAAGACATTCTGTGACCAGAAGGTAGCAAGTATACACTTATTTAAATATAATATTATAAGTAACAATGAAAGATCCTCCCAAATTGGGCTGGTTACCTTGTGGGATGGGATGAACAGAAATATGATCCCCATCTTTATAAATAAGGAAAATTAAGACTAAAATTAGGGAACTTGACCAAAAGCTCAAAGCTAGCCAATATACAACCATGATTTAAATCTTGGTCTTTTGCCTCTGTATCCAAGGATTGTTATGGTCAATCGAAGAGTGGGGCTAGGACTGGAGTCCACAGTTTCTGGCTCAGCTATTTAGTCAAGTGGCCTGGGCCTCATGAGTGAGAAAGGTGGAAGCCAAAATGCAACTGTTTTGAAGCAACTTTCTAACTATGTTGGAGTTAGTCCACAGTGCTAAGTTTAAATGCAGAAAGGTGCAGAATTTAACCATCCAGCTAGTTAGAGCTATCCACCAAATGAATGTGGGATAGGGTGATGGGGTGTGAGCAGATGCTATTGATGTTTTTTGCCGAGTGTTTGAAAACCCACTACGAATATTGATGCCAAGAGCTTGTTGCTGGCTTTTAAAAACAAACAGAAGATGGAACAGCCATTTTTTTTCTCAATACAAGATACTGTTAGCCAAATACAGAATTTCAGTTTGGTTAAGAAACACAGGTCCATCACACATTTACTCCTATTGTCAAAATGTGGTTGTTGATGCTTTGGAGAGCGAACTCTCCTGAAAGTGTCATAGTAACCTCAGCATACAGAGGCCCAGGCGGCCAGGCCATATGTGTGATGATGCCGTGTCCTGACAGCTGAATCAGCCAATGAATGAATTTTTAAATAATTATTCAATCTCTTCCAACAGAAGCTCATTAGCTGCTACCATTGTCACCCTCTATCTTGCCAATGAATTGACTTTTCAGTTCAGTAAAAGCTTAGAATTTTCCTACTCATGCAGGCAGATTAAAGCTCTCAACTAACTCAGGTGTAACTTATTTAATTCACCATCCAACTAATTACTGCAGATGCAGATAAACCAGGCTAACAGGAAAGAATCCACCTCCTAAAACAAAACAAAGAGCAAGTAAGCATGTTTCTCAATACTCAGCAAAGGCTGTGTCAGATGGCAGACATTTTTTAAAAACAAACAAAAATATGCTCCAATGACTTTGAAAATCAATGAATTATAAAGGGAAAAAATATAGCATGGTCTTTGTGCATTTAGGATCTACTTGGTTCAATTTTGAATGTCATTTAACAACAGAAGTACAATCAACTGTTTTAGTCAAGTAAAATTTGAATTCTCACACAATTTCATTTTAAACCAAGTATTTTTTATTACCAAAGAATAAACTATGTAGACTAGAATCAAGGACATTTTTAATGTGCACTCTCTGCCCTTCACAGAAGTTAACTTTGAAATGTAAACTTAATTGCATGTCTTTTACTCTAAATAACATTAATTGGATGTATTTTATTTTAGTAAAAATGTATGTTTTGAAGGGAGATAACAAAAAAAATCAGACTTTGTTTTGACAGGTCATTTTCTCAAAACATATATTCAGGAAATAAGTTATTTGAGCACATGCTCTGAAAACAATAGAGAACCAATCTTAAATGTCTTGTTAATTCATTTTTTCATTTACAAATGTTATAGACTGAATAAAAGTAAATGGTGCTGGGAAAATTGGTTAGCCATATGTAGAAAGCTGAAACTGGATCCCTTCCTTACACCTTATACAAAAATTAATTCAAGATGGATTAAAGACTTAAATGTTAGACCTAAAACTGTAAAAACCCTAGAAGAAAACCTAGGCAATACCATTCAGGACATAGGCATGGGCAAGGATTTCATGTCTAAAACACCAAAAGCAATGGCAACAAAAGCCAAAGTTGACAAATGGGATCTAATTAAACTAAAGAGCTTCTGCACAGCAAAAGAAACTACCATCAGAGTGAACAGGCAACCTACAGAATGGGAGAAAATTTTTGCAATCTACTCATCTGACAAAGGGCTAATATCCAGAATCTACAATGAACTCAAACAAATTTACAAGAAGAAAACAAACAACCCCATCAAAAAGTGGGCAAAGGATATGAACAGACATGTCTCAAAAGAAGACATTTATGCAGCCAGAAGACACATGAAAAAATGCTCATCATCACTGGCCATCAGAGAAATGCAAATCAAAACCACAATGAGATACCATCTCACACCAGTTAGAATGGAGATCATTAAAAAGTCAGGAAACAACAGGTGCTGGAGAGGATGTGGAAAATAGGAACACTTTTGTACTGTTGGTAGGACTGTAAACTAGCTCAACCGTTGTGGAAGTCAGTGTGGTGATTCCTCAGGGATCTAGACTAGAAATACCATTTGACCCAGCCATCCCATTACTGGGTATATACCCAAAGGATTATAAAACATGCTGCTATAAAGACACATGCACACGTATGTTTATTGCGGCACTATTCACAATAGCAAAGACTTGGAACCAACCCAAATGTCCAACAGTGATATACTGGATTAAGAAAATGTGGCACATATACACCATGGAATACTATGCAGCCATAAAAAATGATGAGTTCATGTTCTTTGTAGGGACGTGGATGAAGCTGGAAACCATCATTCTCAGCAAACTATCGCAAGGACAAAAAACCAAACACTGCATGTTCTCACTCATAGGTGGGAATTGAACAATGAGAACTCATGGACACAGGAAGGGGAACATCACACACACCAGGGCCTGTTGTGGGGTGGGGGGAGTGGGGAGGGATAGCATGAGGAGATATACCTAATGTTAAATGACGAGTTAATGGGTGCAACACACCAACATGGCACATGTATACATATGTAACAAACCTGCACGTTGTGCACATGTACCCTAAAACTTAAAGTATAATAAAAAAAAAGTTTTCTAACTTAGCAGAGAATGGTATTCTTGCCTATGCAAGAAAATCTCCATACAATATTATTCTATTTTATTAGTAACTACTACACAGTAACATTACATTCATGATACTCCTAGTAACCCATCACATGAAATGATTTTGGAAATATTTTATAGCCTCATTGTACAATAACTACACCCCTTTTTGAGAAGTATGGCCAAGGATAACATCCATGGGCAATAGAGAAAAGTTCAAGTACTCACTCCACCATTCACTCTGTGTGTAACCTCAGCAAATCCCTAACTTTCTAAGCATCAGTTTCTTCATCTGAAAAGTAAGAGTATCACTGCCCTTTTCTAACATGTAGCACAACTGAGCAAAAATAAGCCTTGATTACCCAAAATTCCATTAAAATAAGCAGGGTGTTGGAAGACTAGCCATTAAAATCTTGACTCATTATCAGATTATAGAAGCTCATTCATTCTAGATTTCTACATACTGTATAACAAAACAAAAGGGGATGCTTGAAATTAGCATTGTGTGATAACCTCAAAATTCTAAACCAGATATCAGCCTCCAATTCTTGAACTCTCTTTCTCTCTCTCTCTTCCTCTGTCTGATTCTATCTGTGTTTTCTTGTGCAGGTAAAGTCAATAGGCTCAGTTATGGGCCAGTGAAAGAGGTTTGTTTTTAAACTCTCTTTGGTTTAAAGTTGCTTCCGGCTTGGAGGAAGAAACCATCAACAACAACAATCCATTGCCCTGGAACATGGATGCCAGGACCCTTCCTGGAGAACCTAATTTAAAATTTCCTCAGCAAACATAACTCATGATATTTCCCAAAATGTGTTCTCCAAAGTTAAATCCCAAAAGGGAAACTAAGAGAGAGGAAAAAAAAAAAAAAGAGGCTCAATGATTAAATTGTTTGGAAAACTACATTTTTAAAACTTTTTTATGCCCCTCATGGAAATTCTTAGTTCTTCTTAGTTTAAATGAACAAATATTTGAAGAAAATAAATCTGTTTAAATTTGTTTAACCTAGTATTTCTCAAACATATTTGACTTTGTTCTCATGGTAGCTGTTTAGAAATCCCAATTTAGAGGAAGGCAAAGCAAGATGGCAGACTAGAAACCTCAACCGATCATTCCTCCCACAAGAACGCCAAGTTAACAACTGCCTACACAGAAAAAGCACCTTCACTAAAAACAAAAATCAGGTGAGCACTGGCAGTACCTGGTTCTAACTTCATATCACTGAAAGAGAGAGCCACTAAAGAGATAGAAAAAACAGTCCTGAATCGCCAGTGCCATCCCTTCCCAAGCCTGGCAGCAGAGGAGTAGTGGGGAGAGTTTCTCTGGGTGCTGGGGAAGAGAGAACACAGCAATTGTGAGGCACTTAACTCAGTTTTGTCCTGTTAGAGCAGAAAGAAAAACTGGACCAAACCCAGCTGACACCCACCCACAGACAAAGCATTTAAATTAACTCTAGCCAGAAGGAATTGCCATCCCAGCAGTCCGAACTTGAGTGCCTGCAAACCTCGCCACAGACGGCTGCAACACTGTGTCTCCAAGCAAATTTGAAAGGCTCTCTAGGCCATAAAGACTGAAACTCTTGGGTTAGTCCTAGTGCTGAACTAGGCCCAGAGGAAGTGGACTGAGGGGGTACATGACATACGGAGACACCAGCTAGGGCAGCCAAGGGAGTGCCGGTATCACCCCTCCCCTAATCCCAAGCTGTACAGCTCAAGGCTCCAAAAGAGACCTCTTCTTTCCACTTGAGGAGAGGAGAGGGAAGAGTAGGGAGGACTTTGTCTTGCATCTAAGATACCAGCTCAGCCACAGCAGGACAAGGCACCAGTCAGAGTCTGAGGCCCCCATTCCAGGCCCTAGCTCCCAGATGACATTTCTAAACAAACTCTGGGCCAGAAGAGAACCCATTGCCTTGAAGGAAAGGACCCAATCCTGGCAGCATTCATCACCTGCTAACTGAAGAGTCCTTGGTCCCTGAACAACCAGCAACAATACCCAGGTACTACATTGAGGGCCTTGGGTGAGCCTCTGAGACTTGCTGGCTTCAGCACTATACCAAATGTGGTGGCTGTGGGGCAAAACTTCATCTGCTTGAGAAAAGCAGAGGAAAAAGTAAATGGGATTTTGTCTTGCACCTTAGGTAACAGCACAGCCACAGTGGGGTAGAACACAAGTGGGCTCCTGGGGTCCCCAATTCCAGGACATGGCTCTTGGATGACATTCCTTGACCTCCCATTGGCCAGAGGGGAGTCTACTGCCCTAAAGGGTGAGTAATGAGCCAGACAGCATTCATGACAAGCTGACTTAAGAGACCTTGGGCCTTAAAGGAACATCAGCAGTAGTCTGGCATTACTCCTCATGGCTTGGGGTGGCAGTAGCTACAGGGTGAGGCTCCTTTGCCTATGGAAAGGGGAGGGAAGAGTGGGAAGGAATGCATCTTGTAGTTTTCGTGCCAGCTCAGCCACAATACAATAGAATACCAGATAAACTTCTAAGGAATTTAGCTCTTGTCCCTGACTCCCAGAAGGCAGTTCTGGACCCACCCAGGGACTGGGGGTCATTGCCACCATGAAAGGAAGGACACAGGCCTGGTTGACTTTGCCACCTGCTGACTGTAGAGCCCCAGGGCCATAAGTGAATATAGGCAGTTGTCATGGAGTGGCTACAGCAGGCCTTGGGTGAGACCTAGTCCTGTGCTGGCTTCAGGTCTGACCCAGTGTAGTCATAGTATTGGTGGCCACAGGGGTGCTTGTGTCACTTCACCTCCACCTTTAGCTAGCTCAGAACAGAAAGAGAGACCCTGTATGTTTGGAAGAAAGCAAGGAAAGAGAACAAGAGTCTCTGCCTGGTAATGCAGATCTCTCAGATCTTGTCCAAGACTAACAAGACAGTACCTCAAGTCTGCAAAAACCACAGTGTTACTGGGCTTGGGGCGCCCCCTAAAGCACAGCTTAGACCACAACACACAAGTCATTTCAAATATCTAGACAGCCTTCACAAGAAAGACAGCTATAAATAAGCCCAGACAGTAAAGACTACAATAAATACCAAACTCTTCAATACCCAAACACAAAAGAACATCTACTAGCATCAACACCATTTAGGAAAACATGGCCTCATGAAATGCACTAAATAAGTCACCAGGGAACAATCCTGGAGAAACAGGGATATGTGAACTTTCAGACAGAAAATTCAAATAGCTGTCATAAGGAAACTCAATGAAATTCAAGGTAACACAGAGAAAGAATTCAGATTCATATTAGATACGTTTAACAAAGAAATGGAAATAATTAAAAAGAATCAAGTAGAAATTCTAGAGCTGAAAAATGCAATTGGCATAGTAAAGAATGCATCAGAATCCTTTAATAGCAGAATTAATCACGCAGAAGAAAGAATTAGTAAGCTTGAATACAGGCTATTTTAAAATACACAGTCAGAGGAGACAAAAAAAGAATAAAACACAATGAAGCATGCCTACAGGATCTAGAAAATAGACTCAAGAGGGCAAATCTAAGATTTATTGGCCTTAAAGAGGAGGTAGAGAACAAGATAGGGATAGAAAGTTTATTCAAAGGAATAACAACAGAGAACTTCTCAAACCAAGAGGAAGAGATCAATATCCAAGTACAAGAAAGTTATAGAACAGCAAGCAAATTTAATGCAAAGGAGACTACTTCAAGACACTTAATAATACAATTCCCAAAGTTCAAGAATAAAGAAAGGAACCTAAAAGCAGAAAGAGAAAATAAATAAATAACATACAATGGAGCTCCAGTACATCTGGCAGCAGACTTTTCAGTGGAAAACTTACAGGCCAGGAGAGAGAGGCATGACATATTTAAAGTGCTGCAGGAAAATAACTTTTACCCTAGAATAGTGTATCAGGTGAAAATATCCTTCAAACTTGAAGGAGAATTAAAGACTTCCCCAGACAAACAAAAGCTGAGGGATTTCATCAATGCCAAGCCTGTCCTACAAGATATGCTAAAGGGAGAACTTTAATCAGAAAGAAAATGATATCAATAAGCAATAAGTAATCACCTGAAAGTACAAAACTCACGGGTAATGGTAAATACAGAGAAAAATACAGAATATTATAACACTATAACTGTGGTGTGTAAACTACTCTTATCCTAAGTAGAAAGACTGAATGATGAAACAATCAAAAATAATAACTACAACAACTTTTCCAGACATAGCCAGTACAAAAAGATATAAGTAGAAACAATAAAAAGTTGAAAAGTGAGGGAGTAAAGTTAAAGCATAGAGTTTTTGTTAGTTTTCCTTTTGCTTGTTTATTTCTTTGTTTATGCAAATAGTGTTAAGTTGTTATCAGGTTAAAATATGGGTTATAAGATAGTATTTGCAAGCCTCATGGTAACCTCAAACCAAAAAACATACAATGAATGCACAAAAAATAAAAACCAAGAAGCTGAATCATATCGCCAGAGAAAAATCACCTTCACTAGGGGAAAACAGGAAGGAAAGAAGGAAGAAAGATAAACCAGAAAACAAATAGGAGCTAAAAATAAAAACAATTGAATTCATGGACATAGAGAGCAGAAGGATGGTTACCAGAGGCTGGGAATGATAGTGGGGTTGGCCGGCGGCTGCGGCTGGGGAGGAGATGGGGATGGTTAGTGAGTATAAAAACATGGTAAGAATGAAGAAGACCTACTATTTTATAGTACGATAGGGATAGGGTGACTATAGTCAATAATAACATAATTATAAATTTTAAAATAACTTAAAGAGTGTAGTTGGATTGTTTGTAACTCAAAGGGCAAATGCTTGAGGGGATACTCCATTCCCTATAATGTGCTTATTTCACATTACAGGTCTGTATCAAAACACTTCATGTACCCCATAAATGTATACACCTACTATGTACCCACAAAAATGTTAAAAATAGAAAATAAAAACAAAATTTTGAAAAAGAAGTCTCACTTTAGTATTCCACCAAACACATTTAGGAAATTCTTGTTCAATTACTTGGTGCCCAGTATCACTTGAACCACCATCACATAGCCACTATATGGATCAAATGACGGTTCCCAAGGGAAAGAGTTTTTCAAAGTTACAATGTGTTTTGGTGATGATTCAGGGAAATTTAACAAACAAAAGGAAGACAAGCAAGAAAGGAAGTCTACATCAAAATATGAAGACTCTCAGCTATTATATGCTAAGCCATTACAAGGGATAGGAACCTACCCGGAGACTTAAGCAAATAAGGACATGTAGTAGTTCATGTATCTTAAAAATTCAAAGGTAGATTAAGCTTTGTAATGTAAATATTATTACCAGGCCTCTTATTTTCCTCTGTGTTAGCTTCATTCTCAGTCAAGATCCTTTTCTATGGCAGTCTCTGACCGCTTCAAACTAACAGTCTATCAGTTCAGAAGCCCCAGAAGAAAGAGCCCAACTTCCCAAAGGTCTAGCAAAAGTCCCAGACCTGACTTGAATTGAACCAATTTGGATTACCCACCCATTCCCGAAACAATTTGTGTAGCCAGAAGAGATGAAATAAGGGATGGAGGATGGGCCTGGCAAGAAATGGTTCACCAAAGGAATCTTAGGGTGATGTTACCAGAAGAAAGTGGAATAGATGCTGGGTAAACAAAACAACCTGGGTATCCAGAATATCCATCAAAGAAGGCCTGCCTGTGTGTATCTCCTTGGTATATAGAGACCATAAGACAATACATTATCTACTAAGTCTCTCTGCCTCATGACGCTGTCCTGCATCCAGGACTGCCTGTGCAGACTTCCACAAGAGGAGAAGCACAGGTTTGCCTAGGATTAAAGGCCACATGAAAGATAGCTATGCCTCTTATTCCAGGCTAGGAGGCCAGAATTGGATGTGTTTATCAGGACACTCATGATGCTTAGTCATGATTTTTAAGTAGTCTGAGCCATGCTTCAGGCATGTTCTGTAGGGGTAAGTGATTTTATTGTCAAAAAAAGTAACCTGCTGACATACATTAACGACGTGTGTGTGTGTGTATTCCTTTGTACCCTTACAATGAATTCTGAACTTCTATCATCCCATGAACCAAAGAGAAAATGACAGATGTTATTTTTTGGATAATCTGCTGTTCTGCTGAATGCTTTAGAGATTCTGAAGTTTAATCTTAATGTAAAATATTCTCTTATCATAAGGTTCCAGTACTGGGGGGAAGGGTAACTAAGTAATGCTGTGTAGTAAAAGAACATGGACTTTGGAACTAAATATATCTTCATCTATTCATTCAACACATATTTGCGGAGCAATTAAGAGGTGCCAGATATTATTCTGTGTGCTATAGATAGATACATCAGCAAACAAAATACAAAAATGCCTGCCCTTGTGTAGATTACATACTGGTGGGACTTGCATTCAAATTTCAGGTAATCAACTTGATCATCAACTAACCATATAAATTTGAATTTTTTCATCCGTAAAGAGGAAATGATAATCCCTTGCTTTTAGATGAAAAGTAAGAACTACATAGGATGATGCAGAACATGTCTCTAGCATGTCATCTAGGACACGGGTCCCCAGCCCTGGAACCTCAGACCAGAACCAGTCCTAGGCCTGTTAGGAACCTGGATGCACAGCACTAGGTGAGCCGAGGGCAAGCGAGCATTACTGCCTGAGCTCTGCCTCCTGTCAGATCAGCATTGGCATTAGATTCTCATAGGAGAGTGAACCCTATTGTGAACTGCACATGAGAGGGATCTAGGCTGCACGCTCCGCTCCTGATGAGAATCTAACTAATGCTTGATTATCTGAGGTGGAACAGTTTCATCCCCAAACTCTCACCCTGAGCCCACCCTGTCTGTGGAAAAATTGTCTTCACAGAACTTGTCCCTGGTGCCAAAAATGTTGGAGACCGCTGATCTAGGACATAGCAAACGTGCAATAAATGGCAGCCACTCTTGTAGCTATTATTCTAGTCTGTACAAATGGTTGAGTACCCACAAAAGACCTAAAGTAATGTTTTTGCAATAAAAAGAGAGTACACAAAATTAGATCTAAAAATCATAAATGAATTTTCCCAGTAGACAAAAAACATTGATAGTCATAATGTTTCTTTATGTTATTGAGATAGTAAAAACAGTGTGCAGAAACAAACGAATGAGAGGCAGAAACAAGAATCATCAGCCATCAACATTCTGGAACATTCACTTTTTAGGACAGTCCTCTGACCTCTGCTTGAACCCACCACTCTTTGCTGTCCTGTGATTTTTCCATATAGTAAATAGCATGTTATTTCGGTTCTGCCTGGCTGTTCACATCAAGAGTAAATAATCAGAGAACTCAAGGTTTAAAAAGTATGGTTACTCTAAAAGAAAAAAAGTGAGAGAGAGAGAAAAAAAATGATACCATAAGAAAACTGTTTTTCATGGCCACATAACCCCAGCAATAGAACACTAATGGTCGTTAAATACTATTCTAATCCTACAAGTGAACAGATTATTGAAAATTTCAAAGTGGCAGCTTTGATTTGAAGATTCACCTCATTGACTATCTAATTCATTCCTAATGACATAATCATTGGTGAACAGTAAACGCAATTCAGAGGGTCAGAACTCTCCTATTAGTCATTAGCTTTTATATCCAGAGTGCTATTTTACTACTGAGCCTTGTATTTTACTATTTAAAAGAAGAAAGTATCACGATTTTTAAGGTGATGATTATTAAAGTGCCGCCACAAACTGCACATGGTTATTATAGCACAAATAGCTATTTGAGACACACACAAAATACATTAAATCTGTTTCACATACAAGAAAATTTCTCAAATAAAACTCAGCTAGAGATAAATTAATTACCTTATTATGTTCCACAAGGAAAACAAGTGTTAGATACTCTGCTGCATTGTTTGTGGTAAGCAATCAATATTTTACTGTCTAACCATATTTAACTTTACATGTATATTTAAATCCCTTTCTACTAGGAATTCTAATACAATACTCTAAGCATAACTCATGGCCATATTCAGGTGAATTAAAGATTCCCTGAAATACACAACACGAAGGAAATAGTATTTCATCTGCATCTGTTTCTCTTATTTATTACCTAATCCTTCAACCCCCAATTCTCCCTACAGTTCTTTATTAATTTAAACAAAATACGTTCAATTGGACTTTTCTTAGTAAGGCACAAATCTGTACACTTACCCTATCACAAACCATTAATAAAAACCAAAAAAATTATATATAGTGAATACTTATATCAAAATCGGTTTCAAAAATGTTATGAGACTAATTAAAGAATTGTTCTTCCTTGTACTAGGCTCCTTTGAAAGGTTTGCTTATAGATTCGAGCAGCTCAAATATTGATCTGTTTCCTGTATTCTGAAGATGGATGGGACAGAACTGTAGTGTTTGGCTTTGCTATAGTTAACCCGAAAGCCTTTTAAATGTGCCTGAGAAATTAGTAAGTGGCAAGTTCAAGAGCTCTTTAAACATGGGAAATGTCATCATACCTACTGTTTGTTTTTTTTAATTTAAAATTTGTGATCAATGCCTCTATATTTCAAAATCCAATCATGGAGCTAATGCTAAAGAAAGCATAGTGGTGAAACAGAAAACATGCATAATGATGATGCTGGGTCCATATATATATATTAATGTGATGAGTCCTAGGAAAGGGGAGGAAGGGAAACCTGCCTTTTTTGTCAACTTGAAGTTACTGGACTTGATTTATCTTATTTTGCAGTTTATAAGATTAAAGAGTAATGTTCATTTTGCCCTTACATTTAATGTTTAAATTTAATAAATGTTTTCATCTTCGTGTCCATATGTCTGCTACTTCCCTTTCTCAAAATTTCAAAGTTGAATATTCTCTTAGAGCTTATTTCTCAGTAAACTCTAAAATTTACACTAACATTGTATATTTCCAAGGGTTGCCCATGAATTCTCAGAGTAAATCAATAAGTCAATGTCCCTTATTGTATCCATCCCAACAGTGCACAGAACCCTCCCCTATCTCATCTGGAGAGACACCAAAGAAATGAAAGGCAAGGTTTCCATCTAATGAGGTTGAGTGGACTTGGCACCCCAATATGAATGAAAACATTTATCCAATCATATTAGTAAAAATGGACAAGTTATTTGATGAACAGGATAGCTCTGAGCAATGTCATCATATAATATTAATTATCATATTTTATAACCCCCAGAGGCAAAGACTGGCCCTTTTGCAGATTTTTTTCCCAAGGGTTATAAAGTTCTCAATCTAGCACTTTTTCAAAAAAAATTAAAGATATTTTTATTGGAGGAGTAAAAGAGAAGTGTGGAGTTTAGCCAGGGTGGGAGGTTACTCTTTCTCTTTTTCCATGTCTAAAAACATACAGGTACAGATTATGCCAAAAAGCATTCAGTAATAATTCATTCTCAATCCTAACCTAGGCAATGCTCACAATTATCAGATTTTGTAATTCAAAAATAACTGTAACATATTACGTAAAATTGAGTTCTTCTGAATTCTCAACTATCTAAAATTTTTAGGAGGAAAGTGACCCATCAGCAGTGTTTTTCACGGCACTTGAAATAATTTCTCAGTCCTTTATCCTTTATTTTACAGTAAATTTTTCTTTGTTTGCAATAACTTCAGCAATGAAGATCGTGAATAAGGGAAAATGCATACCTTAAATTGGAATCTCTCATCATCCTTTGCCAAAAAGCCTCTAACATCGGACCATATTCTATGGACTTCTCACTTCCCACCATAACTTTCCCACCATAACTCTCCATCTCTCTATAACTCACCATCTCACTATAGGCTCTCTAATCTGTACATAATGGCAACCCTTAATATTTCCTCACTTTGAATTAATCCAATTAATTTTAACCCTTTTCTGCCCCATCTGGTTTAATCCCACTTTGCTAATAAGTAAGACCCAGATATTGCCTGAAAAGTTATAATGAGTCCCGAGAAATGTCCAGGTAGGGTTCTAACAAATTTAAAATGAGATGCAACTCATTTGAACCATTTTCATAGAGCTCAATAAAAAAAAAAATCACATCACAGTCAAAATTGTATCGGTAAGTTATTACTTCAATGCTCCATCTATATCTCTTGGGATCGTTTTTGAAGAAATGCTCTTGAACTACTGAAACACACTTTTATGCATTCTAATGACTGAGACGTTCAGGAGTATGAAAGTCCAGCTCTTTTGCCATACGTTTTGGAAAAGCTGCAGTTGTAAAACAAGAATTGATCGTCATAAAAAGGAATAATCAGAAATAAGAAATTTTGGCAATTAAAAATATAATTGCCATAAAAAATTGATAGAAAATATAGGGGGGGTGGAAGAAGAGAAAATATCCCAAAACACTGAGAAAAAAAAAAAAGAAATGGGTAACAAACAAAGAATCAGTTGAGGAGATCCATGAATGAGATACAAGAAGAAACTAAGAAAATAAAGGAAAGAAAACATTGGAGGCAAATTTCCACAGCTGAAAAATGACAGAAGCCATGAGATTAAAGGCAACCACAAAGTGCCTAACAGGATAACTTTAAGAAGAGCCATCTCTAGGGATAATTTGACATTTTGGATCACTGAGGACAATACGAAGATCCAAAAATAGTCACCTAAAAAGAACAGGTTATCTATATAGGAAGGAGAAGCACAAAGGCATCAGACCTCTCATCAGCAACATTAGCTGCTAAAAGACAATGGAGTAACCCTTTAAAGTTATGAGTAGAAATTATTTTGAACATAGAATTCTATTCATGCCAAAATAGCAAGTAAAGGCAAAACAAATACATTTTTAGACAAAAACTTTACCTCCATCAGTCCTTTGTAAAAAGTAACTTGAGGCTGTAAACAGAAACACAAGAAACAAGAAGACATGGAATCTAAGAAATGTTATTTCTAAAGCAAAAATTCAGTGAACCCATACCCCAGATGGAGAGCTATGCAACAGGACTAGAGTACGGTTGTTCCAAAGTAGAATGGGAGGCCAGGAGGATCCAAGAAAAATGTCTTCAAAAAGAAAGTATATTTCATTGCAGTCATTTTAAAATAAAGGAGCAGGTTGAGCTTAGCAATTAAATTCAAACATATGTTTTTCTCATGGTGAAGAGAGGGAAAGAATGTCAATGGAAGCTCCAAGAAAAATGACTAGTATCAGAAAAAAATTATTCAAATATTAAACAAGTAAAATATGGCATGAGTTTGAACAATTAAGCTGGGTAAGGACATTAAAGTGGAGAGAAAATACATGTAGTGGATATTTTCACTGAGTGGATATTCACTGTATTGGATATTTTCACTGATATTTTCAAGGCTGACTCACTTATCGCCCGGCTGCTGGTAATAGCAGATGCTGACTGCTCACATCTTTGTTCTTTACTGGGAATTTCTCTCAGCCTCAGGGAACTGTCTAGCCCCAAGGTTTTGTTCCCTGTAGGATTGTCTAAGATCTCGGTTGCAATCACCTTGCACATCAGCTCCTTCCTCTGCCCAATCCTGCCTTCCTTACAATGTCTCCTTCCTCAATTCCTTGCAATCTTTCCTTTCTCACTTCTTTGTGAGTGATCTCCTAAGAGCACTCCCCATGCAATTCTCCATCTCAGAGTCTGTTTTCAGGGAACCCAATCTAAGACACATGTGTAAAGTCACAAAGGTGGAAGGGGCATGCGCATTCGGAAGATTGCACACAATTCTCTATGACTGGGCAAAGGATTCATGTGGAGAGGTAGAAAGAGAGGAAATTAAAAGACATGTTATTTTTGAAGCAAAAATTCAATGAACACGTATCCCAGGTGGAGAGCTATGCAACAGGAATAGAGAGTAGTTGTTCCAAAATAGAATCGGAGGTCAGGAGGATCCAAGAAAAATATCTTCAAAAAGAAAATATATTCTTTCCTTTTACCAGTGAGTGAAGGCCAGTGAGTGGTGAAATATGAATACCACACTATGGAATCTGCATGCAAAGCCTAAGCTGTATGACCCTGATTAGTTAATCTCTCTGAACCTCAGTGTCCTCCTCTGTAAAATGTCCAAAAAATCATCGGCTCTTGTGAGAAAAATGAGATAGTGTCTATGAAAATGCTTTGTGATGAGATTCAAATGTAAATTATTATTAACAGACATCAGCCTATAATGTTTGAGCATGGTTTCAGGCCTGATAAAGTAGGCTGACTATGAGTCTATTTATAAGAACTAAGAGAACATCATCCTAAGGGAAAAGGGAATCAGATATGCATGACAGTCTGATAACAGTGGTTATTGGAGGAGGGAGTGATTCTGAGTTATGAGTTGTCACCTGGATTTGCTTACCCTACCCTCACTTTCCTCCACCCCCATTCTCCATGAAATTCATTGTGTTTGTGGTGATGGGGGATGGGGAGAAAGGGAGGGAAAGGAGAAAGAATCAGGGAAGGAAAGCCATGGATGAGAAAAGGGACAACTATTGCAGTAGAGCTCTTTAAGACAATTGGCACAAACAGCCCTGCTTCATGGTATAACCCAAAACTGGGAGAGAAACATTCTATCTACTTCTGCCAGGAATATCATGTGGCTCTGGCACCCTAAGGACTCCAGAAAGTATGAGGCCCCATTGCCACCTAAGAACTCCCATGCATCAATGGTAGTGATGCTCAGCAACAAAGGTGGAACCATAAAGGGCAGCTTGGCTGTGGGCCCAGTGAAATGTCAGAGGGGTGGAGGCCTAAGCAGAAGGAGGCAATGGAAGAAATGGTAAGAATATGGGGGCCATATGTGGTACTCATCAGAAACTATGTGGGACTCTCAACAATAAATGCAGGACCTTTTCCAGAAGTAAAGGTCTTGCAATTACAGATGAGAGGAAAACCAAAGAAATATGTGTTGTTACTGTTAATGTCATGCCATTTCAACCAGGACTTATGTCGCCTAGGGAAACATAATAATTACTATTATTATTTACCAGATAATAGCAATCTGTATAAGAAAATGCCCTTCATTTCTTATTTATCATTGCCTAGCCTAATCCCCTGCAAAAATAAATTTATGACTACTTCATTATATCAGGTTTTCCTAAAATTAGAACATAAAAGATATTACATTAAGGCCTCACTAATGGCACATCAGGTTCACTATCAAAGGATGACTAGTGAATTAAGTGAAAGTCCAAAGATGCTGGAATGTCCCAGAAGCTCTCAGACATCCATGTGTATCATCTATAAATGTATCTAAAAATTCCTCTGGAATTGATAATATTTCCCATCTGCAACATCTCCTTGCGGGGGTAAATGTCATATGCTACTACCCTTTGGGTGAACAGCGTATCTCTCCCTGAGCCTGTCTGTCTACAACTCTAAAGAGTGTTATTTATCATCAAGTGTGTCTTTCCACAAGGCATACTGGGTATCCACATTTGCTAATCATTCACAGCATGCCCTGAGCTGCACTAAAACCTGGATCAGTTTCTCCTGTTCAGCTGTAGTGGGTTACAGCTGATGTGGTACTTCCTTCTTACTGATGTTGCTGACAACAATGCGCATTGACCTCTGTTATTAAAAAAAAAAACAAATAAAATTTTGTAATCTAACCATATTCCCTGCAGATTCAGAGAACACATCGAATTATTCATCTCCTTATCAATAAAGTATTTGTCTGTCCCAAGCAGAACTTCTGTCAGTGAAGTCTCATCTGTATTGTTCTTGACTAGACATCAGGATTCACTCGAGTTTGCAGTCACTCTTTTCAGAAAGTTCAGATTGAAAAATAAGTAAATAAATAAATCATAAATTTAAAGTTTGGAGGATTGTTTTTGTTTTTAGGGTCTAAGGGGAGCTTTCGAATAATTACATAAACCAAAAATGTTTTTAAAATAACATTTTCTACGTCTTTTCTTTTTTTTTAGCTGAGAAAAGTCCTAATTATTCGTTCCCCTTTAACACGTCTTTGCAAAAATATCCGAACTAATTTCTTGCAATAAGCACAGCTAAACTCATGGTTCTTTTCAGGTTTTTTTTTCTCTTGCTAAAAATTTTCTTAAATGTGGAATAATATTATTGTCCTCAACTGTAACACGATCTATTTCTCTGGTGTCTTTTAAGCTGTTTATCATTTGCTTCTCTATTTCAGATGGAATTAATCTTCTAAAAACAGATTACGCTCTAAGATGTTTTACAGCTAAAAGCTCCATCAAGACTTTTTCACAACTTGTTAATGGAACAAAAAGCAACCAGGTAACTGCATTCCAGGTGCTGTAATAAATGCTTACCACTGCATTCGTTGAAGCCATCAGTGTTGTTTCACAGACATCTAGGAAGCCTTTTTGTTTCATATATCATTGAAATATTCAGGACCTTTTGTATGAGCCAGAGATATTCTTAGAGTGTTTAGCATCAATAACAATGAAAACTGGCATGACAACATCTTAAGCAATCTAAAATATTATATGGGAGTTCCTGCCTCCCTTTCATTGTAGGGCTACTAAAAATAAATTCATTTCATCATCCCTCAACCAACACACACACACACACACAACCACCACACACACTAATTGCCACCGCTTAGGCAATTTATTACTTTTAGGGCTAAATTCTGCCTTTTTCTTTGACAGAGATACTATAACTAGATTTAACACATAATGAAAATTTTAAATTTCAATTGACTTATACCCAGTGGATCTAAAACATAAATTAATTGAACATATTATGCATTATGTGTGACTTCAACTCAGAATATTTTACAAGGGAAGATCCTGCTCAGCGACAGCTTCTTATTGGCAAAATAGATAAGTTCCTATCAAAGGAAATGAACTTGGCCTTAGTGAGACTCATTTCTTTACTTCAAGTTGATCAGGCCAAGACTCTTGAAATCATCCATAAGTTCTCTCTTTCTTTCACACCAACAGCCCTAGTTTAATGTAACCAGAATCCATTGTCTCCCTATCTCAACAGCCGCCATCTGATCCTAGAGTCTTCAAGCTGGTCTCCCACCTTTCCCCTTTACTCCTCCATAAACTATCCTCTACCAAAAGCCAGAATGTTCCTTTAAAAACAGAAGTCAGAGCCGGATGCAGTGGCTCACGCCTGTAATCCTGGCACTCTGGGAGGCCGAGGTGGGTGGACTGCTTAAGGTCAGGAGTTTCGGGCCAGCCTGATCAACATGGTAAAACTCCATCTCTTGTAAAAATACAAAAATTAGCCCATCATGGGTGGCAGGTGCCTGTAATCCCAGTTATTCAGGAGGCTGAGGCAGGAGAATCGCTTGAACCTGGGAGGCAGAGGTTGCAGTGAACTGAGATCACCCCACTGCACTCCAGCCTCAGTGACAAAAAGAGAGAGACTCCATCAAAAAAAAAAAAAAAAGTCATACCATGTCATTCTTCTGCTTCAACATCTCCAGTGGCTTCCACCTCACTATGAATAAAAAGCCAAAGACCTTATCATGGCCCAGAAAGCCCTTCATGGGCTAGGACCCCATTGCCTTTCTGACCTCATCTTCTATCACCCTTTCCCTAACTGATTCCAATCTAGCCACACTAGCTTTCTTTCTGCTCCTCAAATACTCTATGATACCACCTCCTATTCTTTCCTCACGCTCTTTGCACTTGAGATACCCTCTGCCAAGAATAAATTTCTGCCAGATATCCATCTGGTTGGCCTTCTCACTTACTTCAGAACTCTGCTCAAGTAGCACCTTATCCGAGAGGTCTGACCACCATAGAAAAGAGTTCATATAACAGATCCAATTTATGTGCCTCCTCAGATTCATTTGTCCTACCTGTTCCCAGACATCAGCCATTTGCCCTACTTCCTAGATGGAGTAGCTCCACCAAATGCAATTAAAGCTCTGCAATTCTTGTGATCAAACCCCTGGTTGACACCTTCATCTGCTCATCTCTTAGCTCTGCTGGCTGAGTCGGCTTTCCCCGTGCAGAGAGAGTCAGCCCTCTATAGCTCCTGAGTCCAGGTCCAAACCAACTTGGCCCATGAAGGTTCCGGCCTCCCCAGTAGCTTCCCAGAGAGACCAGATAACAAAAACCAGAAGTGGAACATCGTGTTAGGGAAGCTTTGATCAGTGAGAAACAAAAGGTGGGAAGAAAGCAACATAAACTTCTCTCCTTTCCTCCCTCCAGCAGACAGTTTTAAAGCATAAAGCTCCATATAGCCTCTCTGGAAATGTCCTTAGTGACCAAGCAGCCAACTATTCCTTCTGGGGCTGTGACCAAATGCGCCACCTTTTATTTGCTTCTCTGATTTCACTGCTTTATGTTCCCTTTTCCCCTACCTTTGCTGCCCTGGAACCACATCTCCTAAGATTTTTTAGGACATAAGGTGTATCTCAGGCTCTGTGTTTTAGGGAATCTAAGATATGCTTACACCCGCACACACACAATCGGGCTATACTCAAAACCCTGATCCTGCTTTATTTCTCTTCTCTGTTTATTACTTATCTTTGTGTCTATTGCCACCAGTAGAATGTAAACTCCATGACAGCAGAGACTATTTCTTTTGCTCACTGCTGTTTTCCAATGCCTGTAATGGTGACTTGCACATAGTGGGCATTTAATAAATATGGGTTTAGGGTCAGGCACGGTGGCTCACACCAGTAATCCCAGCACCTTGAGAAGCAGAGGCAGGGGGCTTGCTAGAGGCCAGAAGTTTGAGACCAGCCTGAGAAACATAGCGAGACCTCATCTCTACCAAAAAAAATATTTTTAATTAGCTGGGCAGAGTGGCATGCACCTGTAGTCTTAGTTACTCAGGAGGCTGAGATGGGAGGATCACTTGAGCCCGGGAGTTCGAGGTTGTAGTGAGCTATGATCATGTGACTGCACTCTAGCCTTGGTGACAGAGGGAGACCCTGTCTCTAAATATGTGTGTGTGTGTGTGTGTGTGTGTGTGTGTTTAGACAATGAATAAATGAGAATTTTGTTTGCCTGTGTGGAATTATGCACCATTTTACATTCAAAAAAAAGAAACTTAAGGAGTTCAGGTTTTTATTCATGATCTACTTTTTTATGTCAATGTTTCCACATGGAATATTTCCTGATCTTCTCACTCTCCTAAATTTCACCTAACTTCATTGGTTATCTCTCAACTCAAAGTTCAACTCCTCTTAAAACCCACTTTCCCTAATTAGGCTCCCTAGTAACGTAAGTATTTCCTTCCATACCAGTCATTTTTTTTCAATCCCCCTAGATAGTGCACATACACCCTTAAGAGTATACTTTATGCATTTTACCCATTCTCACAGAACTGCATAATATCCTAAAATAGATTCAGAATGTTTTAGCCCTTTCTCTACCACACACCTCCTCAGAGATACACACAAGGCTGTTCCATCCCACATCCAAACCCCTCTTCCTAATCCGGTCAATAATAAGTACTAATTGCTGAGCACATACAATATGCCAGACAATGTGGTAGGCATTTGATCCTCACAAAAACCCTGAAAATTATAAAATACCTTAAAACTCACTCATATTAAAGTGTTTGGGTCTTACTATATTCTCCTCTGAGTTATTAGACTGGATGAAGCTGACTTAGTCAACAGAAATGAATCAGTCTGGCACAACTTTATTCATCAAGGAGCAAGTGATTCCATGGGAAAAGCAAGCCTACCTCTTCCTCATACTCCTCAGTTTACAGTCCTGCCCAAATCAGTAATCCATGGCTTTGTAACTCTCCTGGAATGGCTTCATGAGAATACATCCTGTCTCTTTATGTAATTTAAAGCTCCTTGAGATCAGACATGTATTTTATTTCTTGGTTGTTTCTGGAAAACTGTATTGTTTATTGAATCTATTTACTACCCAATCTATTTACTACCCCTAGTATAAACTCTTGATCAAACACACTATAAGATAAAATCAGTAATAAGAAATTGGCCTTAAAAATTCAAAATTATCTAGAAGACCATTTAAAATATGGATTTAGATATATTTTCATTAACAGTTTCATCCTATGTGTATATTGCATCTTGACATATTGGTTAATGATTATAGTATGCATATACAGAACTGTGCTTTAAAATAATGGTAATGATAACATGAACCAATCACAATTAACAAACTACTTCAAAAATAAGAAAAAAGAGAAATAATATACTCTAAAACATAGACACAAGCCTGTGCAATTTTTCAAAGATGTTTAAATTAAGTAAAACTCAACCCTTTACTTTAAAAGCTTTCACTAAACATGTAAAGTTTCCTTTTTTTTTTTTTTTTTTTTTTTTCAGACAAAATCTCGCTCTTGTCCTCCAGGCTGGAGTGCAATGGCGCGATCTCGGCTGACTGCAACCTCCGCCTCCCAGGTTCAAGCAATTCTGCCTCAGCCTCCTGAGTAGCTGGGATTACAGGCACCTGCCACCACGCCCGGCTAATTTTTGTGTTTTTTTAAGTAGAGACGGGGTTTCACCATGTTGGCCAGGCTGGTCTCAAACTTCTGACCTCAGGTGATCTGCCCACCTCAGCCTCCCAAAGTGCTGGG
This sequence comes from Homo sapiens, assembly GCF_000001405.40. NCBI lineage: Eukaryota > Metazoa > Chordata > Mammalia > Primates > Hominidae > Homo > Homo sapiens. The sequence continues at coordinate 17,879,136 of NC_000003.12, read as the reverse complement.
ATTACAGGCATGAGCCACTGCGCCCAACCGTAAAGTTTCCTTTTAACAGTGAAAATCAAAAGGCTACATTTTATTATGAAATTCTAATTTTTTGCTTTGGTGAATGTTAAAATAATACATTCAAAATAATTTGGTACAAACTAAAATGGACACCTTTGTCAACAAATACAGGATTTTTTAACCAGTTTAAAATCTTTCAAACAAGGAAGTTCAGTGGAATTGGAATCCATTTTCATAAGATTTATAGAAACCATTCCTGAGATTTTATTTTTAATCAAGAATTTGGACAAATTCTACTGTTTTACAAAGTTTGTTATGTAATTTGAATGGGTCCAAATATTTCTTTTTTACCAAGTCTCAGCATATGATTTTCACTAGGTTGTGTTTCAATAATAAAATGTATGAAGAACTGTACTTTTTTCAAACCGCCAAAGGTAAAATATGCAGATAAGATGTATTCCCAGGAGTAAATAACTTCTTTAACAGTAAAGCTGTGTAAGTAACAGAGCGACTCCCTTGACCAAAATTTTAAAAGGATTTGGCTAAGTTTCCTGAAACAGATCACATGTGACATCCTGCTATATACAGGCAACCATTTGCAGCTAAGGAATTGAAGCCAGAAGTGCACAAAATACTGCAAGATGTCATCAGTTTAGTTAATTTTATGTTTTAAAAAACTTTAAAATATAGTTAATTTAATTGTTTAAAATAAATTGAGAGAATAAATTAACCTCTCAATTTATATTTACTTATGGATGTATTTTCTACAGCACAGAGGTTTGCTTGTGGCAAAGTATTAAAACTTAGAACTAAAAACATATATTTACAAAATAGACAAGTGTTCCAAATATGCTAACCTTGTCTGTGATGATAAGGGGGCTATCCATAGCATGCATGCTACCTCTCAAGTATTTTTTTAATATTAATAAACATGGTGGAGCAACTGGCTTGAGCGATTGGAAACAAGATGCAGGACCCCAACGCAGACACTGAGTGGAATGACATCTTACCAAAAAGGGTATCTTGCCCTCCAAGGAAAGTCTGAAAGAATTGGAAAATGAGGTGGAAGAGGAGAAGCGCATCCTCCAGCAGTCAGTGGTGACAACATATAAAGATAGGGCTTTGAAAGAGCTGGAAGATCATGAAGATGAGTTTAATGAGGAGGACGAACGTGCTATTGAAATGTACACACGGCAGAGACTAGTTGAGTGGAAAGCATCTAAACTGAAGAATACATTTGGAGAAGTTTTGGAGATCTCAGGGAAGGATTATGTTCAAGAAGCTACCAAAGCCGGTGAGGGTTTCTGGGTCATCTTGCACCTTTACCAACAAGGAATTCCCCTCAGTGCCCTGATAAACTAGCACCTCAGCAGACTTGCCAGGAAGTTTCCTGATGTCAAATTTATCAAAGCCATTTCAACAACCTGCATACCCAATTATCCTGATAGGAATCTGCCCACAATATTTGTTTTCTTGGAAGGAGATATCAAGGCTCAGTTTATCGGTCCTCTGGTGTCTGGTGGCATGCACCTGACAAGAGATAAGTTGGAGCGGAAACTGTCTGAATCTGGAGCAATTAAGATGGACCTGGAGGAAAACCCTAAGAAGCCGATTGAACACATGTTGCTGTCCTCAGTGCGGCGCTCTGTCCCCATGGGGAGGGACTGCAATTCTGAGGGTGACTGAGGCTGCAGCTGCTATCACATGCTGAACTGTCCTGTAACAAATTGTCTGGATTTTTAAAAAAAAGGAAAAAGCAAGAATGAATCCTTCTGGTTTTTAGCTTTGTATAAATTATGTTTCAAATCTTTACATTTTAGAAATAATCATTGCTGGAACTGTTAACATTTTTTGGAACTCTTTTTTTTTTTTTTTTTGAGACGGAGTCTCGCTCTGTCGCCCAGGCTGGAGTGCAGTGGCGGGATCTCGGCTCACTGCAAGCTCCGCCTCCCGGGTTCACGCCATTCTCCTGCCTCAGCCTCCCAAGTAGCTGGGACTACAGGCGCCCGCCACTACGCCCGGCTAATTTTTTGTATTTTTAGTAGAGACGGGGTTTCACCGTTTTAGCCGGGATGGTCTCGATCTCCTGACCTCGTGATCCGCCCGCCTCGGCCTCCCAAAGTGCTGGGATTACAGGCGTGAGCCACCGCGCCCGGCCTGGAACTCTTTTAATTATAGTATTTCCTCTAAAAAATTAAAAACAGCTATTGGTATGGCAAGAATAAAAAATAAAAAAAACTTATCCCTTCAAGGTGAAAGTTAATGTTTCAATAATGAACTAGAAATTTTTTTTTTTTTTTTTTTTTTTTTTTTTTGAGACGGAGTCTCGCTCTGTCGCCCAGGCTGGAGTGCAGTGGCGCGATCTCGGCTCACTGCAAACTCCGTCTCCCGGGTTCACGCCATTCTCCTGCCTCAGCCTCCCGAGTAGCTGGGAATACAGATGTGATTTAGATGCAAAAACAAGATAAATGCAATCATCATCAATTTTTTTAAATCTCCTATTAGTACATTCTAAAAAGTTGGAAGCAAGATTTTTAAACCAGTTTAAAATTATTCTAAACAAAAAATTTCAGTGGAATTTGAACGCATTTTGATAACAATAAAACAACAGTAATATTGCCTAATTGTCTGTAAGAACTACTGATTGACATCAAAGAAGATGGAAATCTACTAGCCAAATTTTAACATAAGCATTTTCAAATTTGGTGAATGGGAATTACTTAAAACAGCCAGTAAGGAAATTCTTCCATTTGGATTTATGCGTCTTTGTGAGACATGTTTTTTAGTTGCAAAAACCATTACAACAAAGTGCTGAAAAGCTGAATTGAGAAACACATTTGAATGTTTTAACAAAAGCCAAAGAATTTTTTTAACAAAAGTTTGTAAAATAGTGATGCATACTCAAATATAATTATAATTTTAGTGAGAGCAAAAACTTCTGTACTATTAATAATTTAAATAAAAATAAAGCTATGATTACCATTAGCGTAGCTTTTTTTTTTTTTTTTTTTTTGAGACTGAGTCTCACTCTGTCACCAGGCTGGAGTGCAGTGGCACGATCTCGGCTCACTGCAACCTCCGCCTCCCAGGTTCCAGCAATTCTCCTGCCTCAGCCTCTCGAGTAGCTGAGATTACAGGTGCATGACACCACACCCAGCTAATTTTTGTATTTTCAGTAGAGACAGGGTTTCACCGTGGTGGCCAGGATGGTCTCGATCTCTTGATCTCATGATCGGCCCGCCTCGGCCTCCCAAAGTGCTGGGATTATAGGCATGAACCACCACACCCAGCCAGCTCAGCCTTTAGGGTTATAATTGGTATAGGTTTTATGATATACATAATAGATATTGACATGGTAGTTTGTCTATAACTTACAAATGAGTAAAAATACAGTGAGGATACACACTCAAAATTCTTCTACTAATGGGACATGCAAACAAAACTTTTGGAAGGCAGTGCTATTTGTGATGTATTTTGTGAACCCACAGCATCAGTGTAACATGTGACATTGTTGGAAATGCAAATTCTGGGGCTTCACCCTAAACCTACTGAATCAGAATCTCTGGGAGAGGGGGACAGGAATATGGGTTTTAACAAGATCTCAAAGTGATTATCTAAGGCATGATACAGATCAAATCAAAACACTCCTCTTTAAAAGCTGCCTGCTGCTTATGAAATTGAAGCAGCCTTCTCACCATATCATTTAAAGGCTTTCCAAATACAGCCAAGCCTCCCTTAATACAGCCAAGCCTCCCTTAATGGCCTGTGTCCATGACTCCTCACCACGTTGGAAGCCCCAGGTATTCTTGGGTGCACCCTTCTCTTCTCTCCTCTTCTTCACCTGGAATTTCTCCCCAGTACAATTACGTCTGCTTAACCAAAACCTTTACAATATTTGATGCCTACCTCAAAAGTTACCTATTCTAAGAAAACTTGCAGAATCTTAGTGAAAAAAAAAACCTATGTATTTTTCCCCCATTCTTTTTTATAATGCCCATGGCATCTTTTTTGTTCATTTCTCCCTGGACTGTATTGCATCATGCATTATAACCATTTGCGTACTTATCTAATTCCTTCTAAAGATTGTAGGCTCCTAGAGAGAGACTTGCTTAATCTTTCTTTATACCCTAGCTTAGCACGGGCCTGGAAGGCTGTAATTGCTAGATACAGAATTGAAATAAAATTCCACAACTGAGCTCAGCCCACACTGTCTTCTTCCTTTATCATTCTATTGGGGACACTACCTCATCATGAAGAACCTGAATTTCTTGAGAACTTTCCACATACTTGGGTCACTCACTGGCTTTCTCTTCCCCTCAGATTGCATTTCTGAGTTGCACAATCTCTTCTGATCACTTAGTCATGATTGCAATTTAAACACTGAAAGCAAATGATGATTTAAAAAAAAAAAGCTTGCCATGTTTGAGGTCTTACCAGAGCCAGATACTGTACAAAGTGCTTTAGATGATTATCTCATTCAGTCCTGACAAAACCTCTATTTGATGGACATATTACCACTCCCATTTTACCAGATGAGGAAACTGAGGTGCAGAAAGGGCTACTAGAGTAGTAAGGCCAGGATTGGAATCCAGGCTGGCTGACTACAGAACCTGCAAAATCAACCTCTCCATTACCCTGCTAAGAATAGAAGATACTACTCCACAGCCATCCTTATATTAAATCCAATCCCTAGCCCTCCTAACCACATGAAAAAGCACATGCATTAGAGTCAATCTTGATGACAATATAAAAACTATGATTTTACTATGTAAATTCAATTTAAATCTAGATCAAAGAAATCTAAATTACTCTTCATTTAGGCTGTAATCTTATATTCCAAAGCTTAAAGCTTATAAGAAAGCTTTATCTAATTTAAGATTACTAGCTCAAATATAAGTACAGACTTAATACTACTTTTCCTCTAATCAGTACAAAGAGTTCTATTCTTCCCATAGTAAAATATGTCATAGAACTTGAACTACTAGGCAATCACTATCTTTTCTTTATAAGAAAAAAAAGCTTTTGAAATATGTACCATAACCTCTGAAAAATACAATTATCCTCCCAAAGAAATTAGGCATTTTTTTCTGACAAAAACTATGGGCAATTGATCTATAGTTCTTTTCTTCCTCAAAAAATTATTGTATATTGTGTAATGATCATTATAATTAAAAATTAAGATGGCTTGCAATAATTCCACCATTATTTGATTCAAAATCTTTATAAAATATTGGCATTTTCCAACATTTATTTTTCCTGTCTATGTTCCATTTAAGGCCAAATTTTCAAACCCAGCTGCCAAATTACACATATAATTACTGCATTTGCGCACAAAAATGTGATAATTGCTTACACAATTTCAGAGGCCAGCTTGAGGCTCCTTTCCAAATTTGTTTTACATGTACAGTGCGGTGTATGTAGTTTTATATGAAAATTGGAAAAGTAAAATTCATGATTTGTCTGGGTGATGTGTGAAAATGGATACAAAATAAAGCCTTTCTATAAATGCCTGGGCCTGTCTTCATATTTTCTCCCAATAGACCTTTACAAAAGTCTTATAGAGCAGCTCAAACTTCAGCTAGTGTTGGAGCAATGGCAATGAAAGGGGATGATGCCTGGTATAATGCCTTAAATAGTTCAGGTGCCCATTTTGTTGATCGACATATTGTCATGAGGCATTCTTCTGTCTATAAACTGCTCCCATCAACCTGGGCAAGAAAGATAAAGGTAATATAAGGCCCGCAATCATACAGTCAGCCAAGATGACGCCAGCCTCAATAGGGCAGAGTAGTTGAGCACTGGTGGCTGGGGATTTACCCTTCCAACTTTGCCTGACAGTTGATTTTACAGCTTGGCAAGCATGCACTATGGATATAGATCACAGTGGGTATTCCTAGTGGAAGCTTTGGTTCAAGAAAAGGCAAAGAAACAAGACCTAGCTAGTCATACGCATTAGTGAGATGATCTAAGATATTTGTGTTTCAAAACAAAAGTGGGTGGAAAATTATGGCCAGTTGCACATGAACCAATACCTATCCTCAAAAGATCTACTTTCCAAACTCAAGGATTATGAATCTGATCTCTATTACCAAATATCTGACTACAGAACTGACCAGAAGCAATTAGGTCAGAAGCCTATTAAATACTGAAGGAAGTTCTATTTGAGAAATCTCCAGCTATTTTCCATAGAGGTTATACTAATCTACATTCCCACCAACAGTGTAGAAGTATTCCCTTTTCTCAAATAACTAACAACCCCCCTCAACAACCCCCCTACTGGGCATCTACCCAAAGGAAGAGAAATTGTTATATCAAAAAAAAAAACCTTCATTCTTATGTTTATTGTAGCACTATTCACAATAGCAAAGTCATGGCATCAACCTATGTATCCATCAACAGATGATTGGATTTAAAAAAAAAAAAAAGGTGCTATAGAGTGCTTGCAGCGCGCAGGCGCAGGGCTCTCTCCTTTTGTCAGTCGGCAACGCCTGCGGGGCCAGTGGCTCTGTGACAGCGGCGGTGGCTGGACTCTGGCGCAATGAGCGGCTTCAGCACCGAAGTGCACACCACACCCTTCTCCCTGTAGTACCGAGTCTTCCTCAAAAATGAGAAAGGACAATATATATCTCCATTTCATAATATTCCAATTTATGCAGATAAGGATGTGTTCCACGTGGTGGTTGGAAGTACCACGCTGTCTAATGCAAAAATGGAGATTGCTACAAAGGACCCTTTAAACCCCATTAAACAAGATGTGAAAAAAGAAAAACTTCGTTATGTTGCGAATTTGTTCCCGTATAAAGGATATATCTGGAACTATGGTGCCATCCCTCAGACTTGGAAAGACCCAGGGCACAATGATGAACATACTGGCTGTTGTGGTGACAGTGACCCAATTGATGTGTGTGAAATTGGAAGCAAGGTATGTGCAAGAGGTGAAATAATTGGCATGAAAGTTCTAGGCATATTGGCTATGATTGACAAAGGGGAAACTAACTGGAAAGTCATTGCCATCAATGTAGATGATCCTGATGCAGCCAATTGTAATGATATCAATGATGTCAAACAGCTGAAACCTGGCTACTTAGAAGCTACTGTGGACTGGGTTAGAAGGTATAAGGTTCCTGATGGAAAACTAGAAATGAGTTTGCTTTTAATGCAGAATTTAAAGATAAGGACTTTGCCATTGATACTATTAAAACCACTCATGACCATTGGAAAGCATTAGTGACTAAGAAAATGAATGTAAAAGGAATCAGTTGCATGAATACAACTGTGTCCAAGAGCCCCTTCAAGTGTGATCCTGATGCTGCCAGAGCCATTGTGGATGCTTTACCACCACCCTGTGAATCTGCCTGCACGGTACCAACAGATGTGGATAAGTGGTTCCATTACCAGAAAAACTTAATGAGATTTCTCTGGAATACAAGCTGATATTGCTGCATCGTATTCATCTGGATGGGAAAAGTAGTAGCTTTTCAAAGCTTTAAATTTGTAGAACTCATCTAACTAAAGTAAATTCTGCTGTGACCAATCCAATATACTCAGAATGTTATCTGTTTAAAGCATTTTTCAAATCTCAACTAAGATAACTTTGAGCACATGCTTAAATATCAAAGCAGTTGTCTTTTGGAAGTCATTTGTGAATAGATGTGCAAGGTGAGCACACATTGGATGTATATGTTACCATAAGTTAGGAAATAAAATTATTTTGCTGGAAAAAAAAAGTGGCATATATACATCATGGAATATTATGCATCCATAAAAAAGAATAAAATAATGTCTTTTGCAGCAACATGGATGGAGCTGGAGACCATTATCCTAAGTGAAATAACTCAGAAACAGAAAATCAAGTACCACATGTTCTCACTTATAAGTACCTCTGTAAACAGAGGGTACACATGGGCACAAAGATGGAAATAATAGACACTGGTGAATCCAAAAGAGGGGAGACTGGGAGGAGGGTGATGGTTGAAAAATTACCTATTTGATATAATGTTCACTGTTCAGGTAATGGCCACACTAGAAGCCCAAACCCTACCATATGCAATACGTCCATGCAACAAACATGCACATGTACCCTCTGAATCTCTGAAAACAAAAAATAATTGAGGGACATTCTTCTGCCAAAGGCACCCCGAAAGTATCATATTATCCTCCTCAATGGCTAGTTGAAATAATCATAACTAACATTTCCTGAGCACTCAATATATGTTAAATAATGTTCTAAGAATTTTGCATGCATTCATTTCCTCTTTGCATGCTTACTAATTTTAAGAGGTAAGTACTATTATTGTCTTTGTTTTACATCTGAGGAGACTGAAGCACAAAGAGTTTAAGAAACTTGTTGAATGTCATACAATTAAAAAGTCCCAAATCCAGTATTAGAACCCAGGCATACAATTAAAAAGTAGCAAATCCAGTATTAGAACCCAAGTATACAATTAAAAAGTAGCAAATCCAGCCGGGCATGGTGGCTTACGCCTGTAATCCCAGCACTTTGGGAGGCCAAGGCGAGTGGATCACTTGAGGTCAGGAGTTTGAGACCAGCCTGGCCAATACGGTGAAATCCCGTCTCTACTAAAAATACAAAACTCAGCTGGACATAGTGGCACGTGCCTGTAATCTCAGCTGCTCCGGAGGCTGAGGCAGGGGAATCACATGAACCTGGGAGGCAGAGGCTACAGTGAACCGAGTGTGTGCCAGTGCACTCCAGCCTGGGTGACAGAGTGAGACTCCGTCTCAAAAAAAAAAAAAAAAAAAAAAAGGTAGCAAATCCAGCATTAGAACCCAGGCATTCTGACTGCAAAGCCTTTACTCTTAACCCTAATAGCATACTGCCTCCCAGATGGAGCCAAGGAAAAGAGTGGGCAAAGTATAGCTTCCTAAATAGAAGACCTTGAGCAGCCAGCATGACCATCCAAAGAATTCACTACTGGAATCTAGTCCCCATTACTTCTGTCCAGCAGGAATGATACTGTCATAGACTAATGGCCACTGTGGGTTGTTTCCCACTCTTCTCTTTTCCAAATGGGATTCTTTTTTTAATTAAAGTTATCCTGTTCTTTCTTCATCAGTTTATATGGATTGTGTTATAGATGGATAACATATTATTAACGAAAGTCCCTAGACTATGAGACGTTTCAGCCAGACATGAAGGAGAGGATCCCACATCACCCAGAGAATCAAAAGGAACTTGGAGCTAACATACTAAATCTTGAGTTGTTTCTAGTAGGAAAACATAGATGTTTCTGAGAGTATGGACAGGAAGAAGGATTTGTATGGGTACTGGACAGCCAGTACCCATTGGTAAATTGGTAATTTATCCAGCAACCTATTCCCCCTTTCTAAAAATATCTACCTCTTTCTCAGATGGTTCATTGGCTTTGGGCACCTGAACCTCATGGCCAGTCCAAGAAATGAATGAGTCCTGATTAGTATGCGAATCAGAATAATCTTACCTTATCCTCACATCGACCTTGACATGACAACTAGCTTAAGAATGGTCAGTAACCCAATCCTACACCAATCAGTACATAGTACCTATTCACCATGATTGGTTCAGTTTAGTCCAAACAATGCAATGAACAAGGATTTTGTTCACTGGTTGGGGGAAAAGGTACCACAAAATCAGTCATGGAATGAAGCTGGACCTGGGTAGTAGAGTGCAAGAAGAAAAAAATACTAAAACTCAGTCCTTGGTGATATCACTGAACTAGATCAACCAATAGTGAAACTCTTCCAACTCCTGGACTTCTGAGCCAGTAAGTCTCCTTTTCTACTTAAGCCAGTCTGAGTTTTGCTTTCTGTTAATTAATGGGTCCCTGAGTTCAGCAGAGGGTCTCAGGGGCTGAAACCAGACTCTTGAGGGAGCTCCAGCCTCTTCCTAGAGGTGAATGTCTCTGGAGATGGAGCAATGGAGCACTCCTACAAGTGCTAGAGAAACTATAAACTAAATTTAGTTTCTGCTATAGAAAGGAATTTCTCCTGCTGAGATGAAGTAGCATCATTGGAGTGACATTCAAAGGAACAAGCAGCAAAGCTAGAACAGTAAGAAACAAATCCCTTTTTCCTCCTCCAACCTTGGAGTCACCCTGAAGTGCCTCCTGTTAGCAAAGCTTAACTGGGATCAGCTTGCAAAGCAGAAGTGTGGTTTGTAGAGTCCCAATTCTACCATCACAAAGCAGGGGGCAGATTTGGAGCTTAGAGATAATAACTTAAATACTATCACAGAGCAGTTCATTTTTACTGTGTGGAGGAGGAACGCATAGTCAGACTGTCAGAGAAGAGAAAAATAAAAATAATCCAGTTCCTACATCTCCCATGCTTCTTACACCACCACCTATAAAAGCTTTTTGAACACTGTGAAGTATCATTTAAGGAAAGGTGCTACGGTTATTATTTCTTCTGGGTGACAGATTTGAATAGTTCTTCCCTAACAGCTTGGGTGTGAAGAGCTGACCTGTTGACATCTCAGCAGCCATATTTGTATATGAACTCTTACTTGCCAGAAATATCATAGTATTTCTGTTCCGACAGAAATGTGAGAATGCTTTTTCATCAAGAAACATCCTAGGCATTGTGATTTTTCTCCATAGATATTTATGGAGCCATCATTTGAACATCTCTATTTTCTCAGGGTGCTGAAGGAGAAAATGTTGATTATAGAATATTCTGAAAATCACCCAGTGTGTATAAAGCTAATAAAAAGACATATTGTGGTCATGGTAGGAGTTTCAAAGAGGTAATAATTGTGGCTTCACTGTGCCTATGTGTTTGGCAGTCTTTCTTTTGTATAAAATGTCCGTTCGTTCCATTGTCCACATCTCTGTTGACTGAGTTAGGACAGATTTAATAAGAAAATTTATATTCTTATGCCAATTTTGGCAGCTCTAATGACATAAAAGTCTTTCTGATGTTTTTCCTAGGGCAGTCAAAAGCAGTGGTCAACCAGAAACAGCGTTTAGAAACTTTCTTTAACTGCCAGATTGGAAGATCGCCTTAGACCAGTGCTTTAAACTCCAGTATTTCTAAATGAGATCTAAAGGATAGGTATATCCTTTAGGATATAACTTGATGGCTTATTCTGGAAAACTTCTTCAGGATAATTGGGGATGTGCAAATCAGAGGGGAAAAGTGACAATCATCTTAGCCTCTCACAAGCCTAGAAGTGACATAAAAGGGAGAAAGAAAAAGAAAGAGGCAAACCTATTTCTAGATCTAAGGGTTAACCTAAACCTCTCCCCAAAAAGGAGAGATAATTTAAAGTGGTAAATGCAACTCAGTCACTAAGCAAAGTCATATCACATCCATTCAATGTCCTCCTACACATGTGTAGTTCACAGAATGGAAACATATAATAAACGCCTGAGAATTTAAAATGCTTACTTCACAACTATTGCCCAAGTGGCCCATGTTTGGTTGAGAGGTCATTAAACAGGGAGTAATAATTAAAAGTGTGGGCTCTTGGACTGAGTTGCATAAATGCAAAACTGGGTGTTTCTTATTAATAAACTCTATGATATTGGGTAAATTATTCAACTGTTTGTGCCTCAGTTTCTAATTTGTAAAATGGGAGGATAATATGCCTACCTCAAATTGATTGGGAAAAATAGAATGCCACAAAAATACAGTGGCTTAAAGATGATACAAGTTTTTTTCTCATGTGGCAGCCCCCAGTGGATCCAGTAGTGGAGAGGTTCTGCTCTACTCATCCATTCACACACCCATGTGCCCTCCATCTTGTTACTCTACCCTCCCCTAGGTCATTGTCCTCATCTTCTTTGTGGAGGTTGGGTCATAGAATTCCAGCTCAAAGGAATGGAAATAGAACACTGGCCCAGGACAAAGGGATTTTCTTTTAAGGAGGTGACCTATAGTTGCACTCACCATTTACACTCACATATTGGCCCTAACATGTTCATGTGCTTCAAAGGAAGCTGGGAAATATAGTGGCTAGTTGGAAGGCCATGTGTCCAGCTCTATTGTTTTGAGAAAAGGGAGAAATGGATTTTAATAGGCAAGGAGAGTCTGTCATCCTACCTCATAAGGTTGCTGTGAAGTAAATGAGATAATGCACTTAGAAGAACTGAGACATTTAGTGACTGTTCTATAATAGCTAAATATTGGTATTGCCAGGTTAACAAGCTCCTCTTTCTCCTTGTTTCAGGTACAATTCCCTTTTTAATGTTAGCCATTTGACTTTCTTTGGCCAATGAAATGTTCATGGCAGTGACGAGTATCGTTTCTAGACAGAAGGATTAATAGTCGGTATGCCATTCACCCTGTTTTTGTGTTTGTTTTTGTTTTTGTTTTGTTTTGCTTTCCCCTGCCATGGTAATCATGGAAGCACTTGTCAGCCTGGATCCCTGAGTAAATATGATGAGAAGGGCCACCTGAAAACTCACAGATATGTAACATGAACAAGAAGTCACTGAGATTCTAAGATTGTTTGTTACTGCAGTGTAACCTAGCTCATCTTGACTAATACATGAGGGCCCTGGGACATCTGTCAGAGAAGGAATTTTAGAAGGCTCCTTCACCTTAGAGTTTTGGAATGTCAATTAATATCATTAAAAGTAAACATGAAAACTGGCTGATAAGCTTATGCATCCCTTAGCTATTGTGAAATCATAACTGATTAAACTGAGATACCATAGGTGTTAATGACTATGTATGCAAGACAAACCAATCTACGTGGGCTTGATATTATACTATAGAAACACGTTCATTGATTGCAAAGGTCTTCCTTCCAAGACTGCATCTGAAAGCAAACTGACATTTAGAATCTTCTGATTCACCTCCCCTGAAATAGAGAAGATTGCCATCTGGCCACAGCTGTGAAAATGCCAACCTCAAGGGATAGGTCCTGAATGGAAATTCAGGCCCTGTGAAATTTTTTCATTTCCTTAAATTTAGATTTTAGTATTTCTTCCAGATGAATCCAATATTAGCAATTCAAAGAATATCATGTAGCTGTTAAAGGTTGTATTCACCTGCAAGAACCTAGAGAGCAGATAGTGTAAGTAGCTTGTTAGGATGATAGACATAAAACCATTGCAGCTATTACTTATGATCGTTTACCACATTAATTAGCAAAGTATTAAGTGTTCTACCCACATAACCTCATTTAATCTTCACATCAGTCTTTTTAAGGCAGATACTACTAGTAGTCCCACTTTACAATTGAGGAAACATGAACTTAGAAAAGTTACATAGACATTTATTTTCTTGCTCATGTTACATGCCCATGGGTTATGTAAAATGACTAAAGTCAGCAGTCCATGAAAGACGTAATTGGAATGTGAACTCAAGCATATGACTCCAAAGCCCGTTTGTTGAGCCAATAAGCTGTACCTCCAAGTGAACATAACAAGTGTTAGAACTGAGATTCGTACAAAGATCTGTGGGAGCAAAGAAACAGCAAAGTACATAGATTAATCAAGGAAGGATTCATTGAGAGTTAGATTCCTATTTGATAGGAATTGGCCACATAGAAAAGGGGGGAGAACATTCTAGCAAAAGAAAAAAGTTGTACTTCTCCTAAACAGCTGATTTATTATTAGTATTATAGTCACTGTGACTCTTAAAACTAACCAAATTTCCACCTTTACATTGGCTGCCAGGGAACTCACAGTCACATTTATAATACTTCTTCAGCAACTATATGGAACCTAATGATGTAAGCATTTGTATAGTGACCAAACCTTTATCAGAATTCCACACCCACTTTTTCTCTTTACCCAATTTTTTTTATCTTTTTATGTTTTATCCTATATTATTATAAATCTTTTATAAGTATCCTCAGATTCAGATTTTTTTGGAACAATGAGGCATATATATAAATAAATTCATTAATAAGAAAAATAAATGTTTTTCTTTTTCTAACGTCTTCCTCAGATTCATTTTGTAACCATAAAGCAAAAACATAAATAAATAAATAAATAAATAAATAAATAAATACAGACAGACAGACAGTGCTTTTCCCATAACAAGGCCATGAATTCCTAAAATATAGAGCATCCATGTATCAGGCTAGCAAAACTTCAAAATTTAATAATACCCTCTGTTGGTAAGGCTATGGGGAAATAGGCAATCTCATATAGTGCTGGTAGAAATGTAAGTTAATAAACTTATGGAAAGCAATTTGGTAATAGCTATCAAAATTAAAAATTCATAAGACCACTGACCTGGCATTTTCTCATCTAGATATTTATCCTAGAGATACACTGGTACCCATACAAAATGACTATGTACAAAGTTAATCTCTTCAGCCTCATATCTAATAACAAGAGACTATGAAGCAAAATTAACATCCAATAAAGGAATGGTTAAATAAATTACTTTTTTCAGTTCTCAAATGTTTTTAGATCTTTGAAATGCTCATGGTATATAGACACTGGCCTACAATGTACAACGATCAAATTGGCCCTAACAGAGCCAATAAGCTCAATCTTCATTCCATTTTACCACAGTGCCTTATTATACTGCTAGGTCACTTTCTGCTGCATATAAGGAAAGAAAATAACTTGCCAGTAAATAAATATCTGCATTGTTTTCATTCATTCAATGCATTCATTCATTATCTATCAAATACTTACAGCACCTACTCTGTGCCAAGTACTCTAGTAGGCATTTTTTAGGTCAGAGATCCAATATGCATATATTTACAGACCACAGGGATTACTGACTGGTAAGAAATGAATTAGAAAATTCATGCAGAGTCAGAGCAAGATGGCCAAATAGAAGCCTCTACCGATTGTCCCCCTCGCAAGAACACCAAATTTAACAACTATCTACACATCATAAGATGTGCAGCACCATCATAAGAATCAAAAACCAGTTGAGCAATCACAGCACCTGGTTTTAACTTGACATCACTGAAAGAGACACTGAAGATGGTAGGAAAAATAATCCTGTATTACCAACAACACCACTCCCCCATCTCCCAGTAGCAGCCGCACGGCATAGAGAATCTTTGTACTTGTGGGAGGGAGAGCACAGTGACTGTGGGACTTTGCAATAGAACTCAGTTCTGCCCAGTCACAGCAGAAAGCAACACCAGGCAGAACTCTGCAGACACCTACAGAGGGACCATTTAGGCTAGCCCTAGCCAGAAGAGAATCGTCCATCCCAGTGGTCAAAACTTAGGTTTTGGCAAGCCTCGCCACGACAGGCTAAATGGCTCTGGGGTTCTAAATAAACTTGAAGTCTAGGCCACAAGGACTGCAACTCCTAGGGAGGTCCTAGTGCTGTGCTAGGCTTGGAGTCAGTGGACTTAGGGGGCACATAACCTAGTGAAACACCAGGTGAGGCAGCCAAGAGAGTGCTTGTGCCACCTTTTCTCCAGCCTCAGGTAGTGTAGCTGGCAGCTCCAAAAGATTTTTTCTTCTGCTCAAGGAAAGGAAAGGGAAGAGTAGAGAAGATTTTGTCTTTCAACTTGGATACAAGCTCAGTCACAGTAGGATAGGACATCAGGCAGAGTCCTGAGGCACCCATTCCAGGCCCTCGCTCCCAGATGACATTTCTAGACATACCCTAGGCAAGAAGGGAACCTGCTGCTTTGAAGGGAAGGACCTAGTCCTGGCAAGATCCATTACCTGCTGACTAAAGAGTCAGCAGTGGTAGCCAGGTGGTACTCACCATGGGCCTTGGATGAGACTCAGAGATGTGCTGGCTTCAGGTGTGACCCAGCACATTCCCAGTGTGGTGGCTACAGAAAGAGACACCTGCTGGAGAAAAGCAAAGAGAAGAGTAAAGGGGACCTTGTCTTGCAGCTTAGGTGCCAGCTCAGCCACAGTGGGATAGAGTGTCAAGTGGGCTCTTGGGGTCCCTGATTCCATGCCTTGGCTCTTGGATTGTATTTCTACACCTGCCTTGGGCCAGAGGGGAGCCCACTACCCTGAAGAGTGAGTCTGTTAGGCCTGAAAGCATTTACAACAAGCTGACCAAAGAGCCCTTGGGCCCTAAGTGATATTCAGTGGTAGCCTGGCAATACTCCCCACAGACTTGTAGTGGGGGTGGCCATAAGGAAAGACTCCCCACTGCTAATGGAAAGCAAGGGCAAGAGTGGGAAGGACTTCATCTTAGGACATGGGTGCCAGCTCAGCTGCATTAGAATAGAGCACCTGGTAGATTCTTAAGGTTTCCAACTCCAGGCCCTAGGTCCCAGACAGCATTTCTGGGCCCACCTGGGGCCAGGGGGAACTTTCTACCCTGAAGGGAAGGACACAAGACTGTCTGGCTTTGCCACCTGCTGATTGTAGAGACCCAGGACCTTGAGCAAACATAAGCAGTAGCCATATAGTGGCTACAACGGCCTTTAGTGAGATCCAGTGCTATGTTGGCTTCAGGTCTGACCTAGCAGAGTTGCAGTGGTGGTGGCCACAGGGGTGCTTGTGTCACCCCTCCCCCTAGCTCCAAGAAGCTCAGCACAGAAAGAGAGACTCTGGTTATTTGGGAAAAACTTAGGGAAGAGAATAAGAGTCTCTGCCTAGTAATCCAGAGAATTCTTCTGGATCTTATCCAAGATCACCAAGGTGGTGCCTCTACAAGACTGCAACAAATACAGCATTACTGGACTTGGGGAGTCCCCTAATGAGGATATGGCTGCAGTGACCAAAAAGATCACAACACCAAACTCCCTTCAAATACCTGGAAAGCCTTCCTAACAAGGATGGGTACAAACAAGCCCAGACTGTGAAGACTACCATAAATATCTAACTCTTCAATGCCCAGACACAGATGAACATCCACAAGCATCAAGATCATCTAGGAAAATATAACCTCACAAAATGAACTAAATAAGTCACCAGGGAACAATCTATAGAGACAGAGACATGTGACCTTTCAGATAATTCAAAAAAGATGTTTTGAGGAAACAAATTCAAGATGACCCGGAGAAGGAATGCAGAATTCTATCAGATAAATTTAACAAAGAGATTGAAATAATTAAAAAGAATAAATCAGAAATTCTGGAGTTAAAAATGCAATTGACATCTTGAAGAATGCATCAGTCTCTTAATAGCAGAATTGATCAAGCAGAAAAAAAATTAGTGAGCTTGAATACAAGCTATTTGAAAATACACAGACAGAGGAGAGAAGAGAAAATAAAAAAAATAAAAAAACAATGAAGCATGCCCACAAACTCTAGAAAAGAGCCTCAAAAGGGCAAATCTAACAGATACTGGCCTTAAAGAGGAGGGAGAGAGAGATACGGGAAGAAAGTTTATCCAAAGGGATAAAAACAAAGAACTTTCCAAACCTAGAGAAAGATATCAATAGCCAAGTAAAAGAAAGTTATAGAACACCAAACAGATTTAGCCCAAAGAAAACCACCTCAAGGTATTTAATAATCGATCTCCCAAAGGTCAAAGATAAAGAAAGGATCCTAAAAGCAGGCAGAGAAAAAAAAAACAACATACAATGGAGCTTTAATACGTCTGGCAGCAGACTTTTTAATAGAAACCATACAGGCCAGGAGAGAGTGGTATGACATATTTAAAGTGCTGAAGATAAATAATTTTACCCTACAATAGTATATTGGGTGAAAATATCCTTCAAACATGAAAGGGAAATACAGACTTTCCCAGACAAACAAAGGCTGAGGGATTTCAACAACACCAAACCTGTCCCACAAGAAATACTAAAGAGAGTTCTTTAATCTAAAAAAAAAAAAAAAAAAAAAAAGGATTTTATTGAGCAATAAGAAATTATCTAAAGGTAGAAAACTCACTGGTATTTTTTGGAGGAGCCAAGATGGCCGAATAGGAACAGCTCCGGTCTACAGCTCCCAGCGTGAGCGACGCAGAAGACGGGTGATTTCTGGATTTGCATCTGAGGTACCGGGTTCATCTCACTAGGGAGTGCCAGACAGTGGGCGCAGGTCAGTGGGTGCGCGCACCGTGCGCGAGCCGAAGCAGGGCAAGGCATTGCCTCACTTGGGAAGCGCAAGGGGTCAGGGAGTTCCCTTTCCGAGTCAAAGAAAAGGGTGACGGACACACCTGGAAAATCGGGTCACTCCCACCCGAATACTGCGCTTTTCCGGCGGGCTTAAAAAACGGCGCACCACGAGATTATATCCGTCACCTGGCTCGGAGAGTCCTACGCCCACGGAGTCTCGCTGATTGCTAGCACAGCAGCCTGAGATCAAACTGCAAGGCGGCAGCGAGGCTGG
Source organism: Homo sapiens (assembly GCF_000001405.40). NCBI lineage: Eukaryota > Metazoa > Chordata > Mammalia > Primates > Hominidae > Homo > Homo sapiens. The sequence continues at coordinate 17,860,961 of NC_000003.12, read as the reverse complement.
GGGAGGGGCGCCCGCCATTGCCCAGGCTTGATTAGGTAAACAAAGCAGCCGGGAAGCTCCAACTGGGCCCAGCCCACCACAGCTCAAGGAGGCCTGCCTGCCTCTGTAGGCTCCACCTCTGGGGGCAGGGCACAGACAAACAAAAAGACAGCAGTAACCTCTGCAGACTTAAATGTCCCTGTCTGACAGCTTTGAAGAGAGCAGTGGTTCTCCCAGCACGCAGCTGGAGATCTGAGAACTGGCAGACTGCCTCCTCAAGTGGGTCCCTGACCCCTGACCCCCGAGCAGCCTAACTGGGAGGCACCCCCCAGCAGGGGCACACTGACACCTCACACGGCAGGGTACTCCAACAGACCTGCAGCTGAGGGTCCTGTCTGTTAGAAGGAAAACTAACAACCAGAAAGGACATCTACACCGAAAACCCATCTGTACATCACCATCATCAAAGACCAAAAGTAGATAAAACCACAAAGATGGGGAAAAAACAGAACAGAAAAACGGGAAACTCTAAAACGCAGAGCGCCTCTCCTCCTCCAAAGGAACGCAGTTCCTCACCAGCAACGGAACAAAGCTGGATGGAGAATGACTTTGACGAGCTGAGAGAAGGAGGCTTCAGACGATCAAATTACTCTGAGCTACAGGAGGACATTCAAACCAAAGGCAAAGAAGTTGAAAACTTTGAAAAAAATTTAGAAGAATGTATAACTAGAATAACCAATACAGAGAAGTGCTTAAAGGAGCAGATGGAGCTGAAAACCAAGGCTCGAGAACTACGTGAAGAATGCAGAAGCCTCAGGAGCCGATGCGATCAACTGGAAGAAAGGGTATCAGCAACGGAAGATGAAATGAATGAAATGAAGCGAGAAGGGAAGTTTAGAGAAAAAAGAATATAAAGAAATGAGCAAAGCCTCCAAGAAATATGGGACTATGTGAAAAGACCAAATCTACGTCTGATTGGTGTACCTGAAAGTGATGGGGAGAATGGAACCAAGTTGGAAAACACTCTGCAGGATATTATCCAGGAGAACTTCCCCAATCTAGCAAGGCAGGCCAACGTTCAGATTCGGGAAATACAGAGAACGCCACAAAGATACTCCTCGAGAAGATCAACACCAAGACACATAATTGTCAGATTCACCAAAGTTGAAATGAAGGAAAAAATGTTAAGGGCAGCCAGAGAGAAAGGTCGGGTTACCCTCAAAGTGAAGCCCATCAGACTAACAGCGGATCTCTCGGCAGAAACTCTACAAGCCAGAAGAGAGTGGGGACCAATATTCAACATTCTTAAAGAAAAGAATTTTCAACCCAGAATTTCATATCCAGCCAAACTAAGCTTCATAAGTGAAGGAGAAATAAAATACTTTACAGACAAGCAAATGCTGAAAGATTTTGTCACCACCAGGCCTGCCCTAAAAGAGCTCCTGAAGGAAGCGCTAAACATGGAAAGGAACAACCGGTACCAGCCGCTGCAAAATCATGCCAAAATGTAAAGACCATCGAGACTAGGAAGAAACTGCATCAACTAACGAGCAAAATAACCAGCTAACATCATAATGTCAGGTTCAAATTCACACATAACAATATTAACTTTAAATGTAAATGGACTAAATGCTCCAATTAAAAGACACAGACTGGCAAATTGGATAAAGAGTCAAGACCCATCAGTGTGCTATATTCAGGAAACCCATCTCACGTGCAGAGACACACATAGGCTCAAAATAAAAGGATGGAGGAAGATCTACCAAGCAAATGGAAAACAAAAAAAGGCAGGGGTTGCAATCCTAGTCTCTGATAAAACAGACTTTAAACCAACAAAGATCAAAAGAGACAAAGAAGGCCATTACATAATGGTAAAGGGATCAATTCAACAAGAAGAGCTAACTATCCTAAATATATATGCACCCAATACAGGAGCACCAAGATTCATAAAGCCAGTCCTGAGTGACCTACAAAGAGACTTAGACTCCCACACATTAATAATGGGAGACTTTAACACCCCACTGTCAACATTAGACAGATCAACGAGACAGAAAGTCAACAAGGATACCCAGGAATTGAACTCAGCTCTGCACCAAGCGGACCTAATAGACATCTACAGAACTCTCCACCCCAAATCAACAGAATATACATTTTTTTCAGCACCACACCACACCTATTCCAAAATTGACCACATACTTGGAAGTAAAGCTCTCCTCAGCAAATGTAAAAGAACAGAGATTATAACAAACTATCTCTCAGACCACAGTGCAATCAAACTAGAACTCAGGATTAAGAATCTCACTCAAAACCACTCAACTACATGGAAACTGAACAACCTGCTCCTGAATGACTACTGGGTACATAACGAAATGAAGACAGAAATAAAGATGTTCTTTGAAACCAACGAGAACAAAGACACAACATACCAGAATCTCTGGGACACATTCAAAGCAGTGTGTAGAGGGAAATTTATAGCACTAAATGCCCACAAGAGAAAGCAGGAAAGATCTAAAATTGACACCCTAACATCACAATTAAAAGAACTAGAAAAGCAAGAGCAAACACATTCAAAAGCTAGCAGAAGGCAAGAAATAATTAAAATCAGAGCAGAACTGTAGGAAATAGAGACACAAAAAACCCTTCAAAAAATTAATGAATCCAGGAGCTGGTTTTTTGAAAGGATCAACAAAATTGATAGACCGTAGTAATGCTGTGTTTGTTGCAGTCTTGTAGAGATCACATGGACACAGGAAGGGGAATATCACACTCTGGGGACTGTGGTGGGGTTGGGGGAGGGGGGGGAGGGATAGCACTGGGAGATATACCTAATGCTAAATGACAAGTTAGTGGGTGCGCACCAGCATGGCACATGTATACATATGTAACTAACCTGCACAATGTGCACATGTACCCTAAAACTTAAAGTATAATAAAAAAAAAAAAAGAAAACTCACTGGTAATAGTAAGTATACAGAAAAACACAGAATAGTATAACACTGTAATTGTGGTGTAAAAACTACATATAGGTAGAATAGAAAGACTAAAAGATGAACTGATAAAAATTAAAGAAATTAAAACATACAACCAGAGACAATCACCTTCCCCAAAAGGAAGACAGGAGGGAAAGAAGGAAGAGGAGACTACAAAACAACCAGAAAACAAATAACAAAAGGGCAAGAGTAAGTCCTTACTTATCAATAATAACATTGAATATAAATGAACTAAACTCTCCAAAGGACATAGAGTACCTAAATGAATTTTTAAAACACTGCGTGATCTGTTTCCGACAAGAAATACATTTCACCTATAAAGACACACATAGGCTGAAAATAAAGGGATGGAAAATAATATTTCATGCAAATGGAAACCAAAAATGAGCAGGAGTAGCTATAGAGTAGCTATACTTATATCATACTAAATAGATTTCAAGACAAAAACTATAAAAACAGGCAAAGAAGGTAATAATGATAAACTGGTCAATTCAGCAAGAAGATATAATGATTGTAAATATATATTCATCCAACACTGGAGCACCCAGATAGATAAAGCAAATATTATTAGAGTTAAAAAGAGAGATATGCCCAAATACAGTAATAGCTGGAGACTTCAACACCCCACTTTCAGCATTGGACAGACATCCCAGACAGAAAAATCAACAAAGAAACATCAGTCTTAATCTGCACTATTGACCAAATGGACCTAATAGATATTTACAGAATATTTCATCCAACTGCTGCAGAATACACATTCTTCTCCTCAGCAAATGGATTGTTCTCAAGTATAGACCATATGTTAGGCCACAAAGCAAGTCTTAAAACACTCAAAAATTTGAAATAATATCAAGTATCTTCTCTGACCACATGGAATAAAAATGGAAATCAATAATAGGAGGAATTTTGAAAACTATACAAATACATAGAAATTAAATAATATGCTCCTGAATGACCAGTGGGTCAATGAAGAAATTAAAAAAGAAAATTGAAAAATTTCTTGAAACAAATATTAATGGAAATACAATGTATCGAAACCTGTGGGATATAGCAAAAGGACTACTAAGAGGAGAGTTTATAACTATTAAGTGTCTACATCAAAAAAAGTGTAAAACTTCAAATAAACAACCTAATAATGCATCTTAAAGAATTAGAAGAGCAAGAGAAAAATCAAACATCAGTAGAAGAAGATAAATAATAGAGATCAGAGCAGAAATACATGAAATTGAAATGAAGAAAATACAAAAGATCAATGAAATGAAAAGTTGGTTATTTGAAAAGAAAAATAAAATTGACAAATCTTTAGCCAGAATAACTAAGAAAAAAAGAGAGAAGACCCAAATAAATTAAGATCAGAAATGAAAAAGGAGACATTACAGTTGATATTGCAGAAATTCAAAAGACTGTTAGAGGCTACTATGAGCAATTATATGCCAATAAGAAAAACCTAAAAGAAATGGGTAAATTCCTAGACACATACAACTTACCAAGATTGGGCCATGAACAAATCCAATATGTGAAGAGACTAATAACAAGTAAGGAAATCAAAGCTGTAATAAACAAAAATATCCCAGTAAAGAAAAGCCCAGGACCTGATAGCTTCACTGTTGAATTGTACCAAACATTTAATGAAGAACTAAAATCAATCCTACTCCAACTATTCCAAAAAATAGAGCAGGAGAGAATACTTCCAAACTCATTCTATGAGGCCAGTATTATACTGATAGAAAAACCAGATAAAGACACATCGAAAAAAGAAAATGAAAGGCCATTATCCATGACAAATATTGATGCAAAAATCCTCAACAAAATACCAGCAAACTGAATTTAACAACATATTAAAATGATCATTCATTGCAGGCAAGTGGGATTGATCCCAGGGATGCAAGGATGGTTCAACATACGCAAATCAATCAATGTGATGCATCATATCGGCAGAATGAAGGACAAAAACCACCATGTGATCATTTGAATTGATGCTGAAAAAGCATTTGATAAAGTTCATGATAAAAAACTGTCAAAAAACTGGATGTAGAAAGAACATATCTCAACATAATAAAAGCCATATATGACAGACTCACACCTAGTATCATGCTGAATGGGGAAAAACTGAAAGCCTTTCCTGTAAGATCTGGAGCCAACAGGAATGCCTTTTTTCACCACTGTTATTCAACATAGTACTAGAAGTCTTAGCTACAGCAATCAGACAAGAGAAAGAAATAAAGGCATCCAAATTGGAAAGGAAGAAGTCAAATTATCATTGTTTGCAGATGACATGACCTTATATTTGGAAAATCCTAAAGCATCTACAGGAAAACTCTTAGAACTAATAAACAAATTCAGTAAAGTTGCAGAATACAGAATCAATGTGCAAAAACCAATAGCATGTCTATATGCCAATGGGAAACAATCTGAAAAAGAAATCAAGAAAGTAATACCAGTAAAATAAAATTAAGTACCTAGGAATTAATTGAACCAAAGAAGTGAAAGATCTCTACAATGAAAACTACAAAGCATTGATGAAAGAAATTGAAGAGAACACCCCAAAAATGAAAAGATATTCTATATTCATAGATTGGAAGAATCAATATTGCTAAAATGTCCATATTACCCCAAACAATCAACAGATTCAATCCAATCCCGATTTTAAAAATGACATTCTTCACAGAAATGGAAAAAACAATCCTAAAATGTGTATGAAACCACTGAAGACCCAGAATAGCCAAAGCTATCCTATGCAAAAAGAACAAAACTGGAGAAATCATATTACCTGACTTTAAGTTATACTACAGAGGTATAGTAACCAAAATAGCATGGTACTGGCATAAAAATAGACATATAGACCAGTGGAACAGAATAGAAAACCCAGAAACAAATCCACACATCCATAGTGCATTCATTCTTTACAAAGATGCCAAAAATTTACATTGGGCAAAAGACAGTCTCTTCAATAAATGGTGCTAGGAAAACTGTATAGCTATATGCTGAGGAATGAGACTGGACCCCTCTCTTTCATCATATACAAAAATAAAGCCAAAGTGAACTAAAGACATAAATATAAGACCTCAAACCATGAAACTCCTACTACAAAAAAAATTTGAGAAAACTCTCCAGGACATTGCACTGGGCAAAGATTTTGTGAGTGATACTCCACAAGCACAGGAAACCAAAGCAAAAATTGACAAATGGGATTACATCAAGTTAAAAAGCTTCTGCACAGCAAAAGAAACAATCAACAAAGTGAAGAAACAACCCACAGAATGGGAGAAAATATTTGCAAACTATTCATCTGACAAGGGACTAATAGCCAGAATATATAAGGAGTTCAAACAATTCTATCAGAGAAAAATTTAATAATCTGATCAAAAAATGGGCAAAAGATCTAAATAGACATTTCTCAAAAGAAGACATACAAATGGCAAACAGGTATATTAAAAGGTGCTCAACATCATTTATCATCAGAGAAATGCAAATCAAAACTGCAATGAGATATCATCTTGCCTCAGTTAAAATGGCTTATATCCAAAAGACAGGCAATAACAAATGCTGGCAAGGAAGTGGTGAAAAGGGAATCCTTGTACACTATTCATGGGAATGTAAATTCATCCAACCACTATGGAGAACAGACGGGAGGTTCCTCAAAAAACTAAAAATAGAGCTACCATATGATCCAGCAATTCCACTCCTAGGTATATACCCCAAATAAAGGAAATCAGTATATTGAAGAGATATCGGCACTCCCATGTTTATTGCAGCACTATTCACAATAGCCAAGATTCAGAAGCAACCTAGCTGTCTATCAACAGATGAATGGATGAGGAAAATGTGGCACATATACACAATAGAGTACTATGCAGCCATAAAAAAAAAGAATGAGATCCTGTCATTTGCAACAGCATGGATGAACTGGAGCTCATTAAGTGAAATAAGCCAGGCACAGAAAGACAAACTCCACATGTTCTCACTTACTTGTGGGAGCTAAAAATTAAGACAAGTAAAATAATGTGGACAGAAAATAGAAGGATTGTTACTAGAGGCTGGGAAAGATAGTTGGGGGAGGGGAGTAGAGATGGTTAATGGGTACTAAGATAGAAAGAATGACTAAGATCTGATATTTGATAGCACAACAGAAGGACTATAGTCAATAATTTAATTGTACATTTTAAGATAACTAAAATAATATAATTGGATTGTTTATCACACAAAGAAAGGGTAATTGCTTAAGGTGATGGATACCCAATTTGCCAGTGATGTGATTATTACACACTGTATGCCCGTAGCAAAATATCTCATGTACTCCATGAATATATATATCTATTATGTACCCATAAAAATTAAAAATAAAAAAACATTTTTAAAGAAAATCTGTGGTGTGTACAACTACTAGGCATAAATTTCAGATGTAAGTCAAGCAAAGGCAGAGAATTAATTCAATCCTTTATTTCTATCATGAGAGTGATGATGTAACTTGAGAAGAATTCAATCTAAATAGTTCAAAATTATGTAATTAATTACATTTGTTTTCAATTTCAATTACCAAGTGATCCAATGCCATTATCATAATATTTGGAAGACATGACAATAGTGGGTTTTTGGAAGCTAAGTTCCTGATGCTCTATCAGCTCATGGCCCTAGTATAAATTCAACTGATATTGGGCAGGAGGTGATTAAATGGAATGTCCCAGTCTACCACTCCCTGCAGAATGTTTGATGGTGTTACAGAAGTGACATGCTTTCCAAATCGAAAGAATTTGTATTCAGTTTATACTCCAGTAAGAAGAGATCTGTTCCTGCAGTAAGAATGCTATATTGCAGAAAGAATACAACCACCAAAGAATACAGTTTGTAGAGATAGTACATAAGTATCTCTATAAGTGCCTAGGTGGGATTTTGATAGTATTTTGGTGGTATTATCATCTGGCACTCAGGAACTCATTTATTCGGCAAACATTATTGAGTTCCTATTATGTGCCAGGTACTGTGTTTGGCATTAGAGCATACGGGAGTAAACAAAACAAGCATGATCCTTGCCCTTAAGAGTGTGGGAGTCTAATAGCCTGACTCTTTCCCTGCTGGGTGCCCCTACCATGCTGTGATATGCCTGCATCAGCTACACGAAGAAGTAGTCTGTTATTAGCACCTTACTGGTGCCTAATGCCCCAATGCACAGCCTTATAAACGTGGGTTGGACTGCTCATATTAGGCCAGATGCTGAGATTCTGCCCTGCTTCCAATATGTCTAAGCATTGTACATAACACAATCAAAAACAATAAGGACTACCACAATACTCTGCACTCTATGATAAACCAAAAACAACAGGCTCATATTATTAGTTATCTACATTATAAATTAACCTGAAATTAAGTAGCTTAACAGAAAACATTTATTTTCTCACAGTTTCTTTGGGTCAGAAATCCAAGAGTAGCTTAGGTGGGTGGTTCTGGATCAGGGTCTCTCATGAGGTTGCACTTACATTTTTGTCTGGGGCTGGAGGATCCACTTTCAAGGTGGCTCACTCACATGCTTGATGAGTTAGTGCTGGTTGTCTGTAGGAGGTTTCAGTTTCTCACCACATGATCTTCCCATAGGGCTGCTTGAGTGCCCCCTTGACTTGACAGCTGGCTTCCTCCAGAGGTAATGATCCAAGAGCGAACAAGGTGGAAGCTACAATGCTTGTAATGACCTAATATCAAAAGTCATTCACCATCTCCTCTGCCACATTCTATTATTTAGAAGCAATTCATTAAGTCTGGCCCACAATCAGTTGAAGAGAAATGAGGCTCCACCGCTTGAAAGGATGTTTTCAAAGAATTTGTAGACAGATTTTTTTTTTTTTTTTGAGACAGGGTCTCACTCTGTCACCCAGGCTAGAGTGCAGTGGCGCAATCTCAGTTCACTGCAACCTCCACCTCCCAGGTTCAAGTGATTCTCCTGCCTCAGCCTCCCAAGCAGCTGGGATTACAGACTTGAACCACCACGTTCAGCTAATTTTTGTATTTTCTTAGTGGAGATGGGATTTCACCACGTTGGCCAGGCCCGGTCTCGAACTCCTGACCTCAAGTGATCCGCCCACCTCAGTCTCCCAAAGTGCTGGGATTATAGGAGTGAGCCACCACGCCCGGCCTGTAGACAGATTTTAAAACCACCATGATCATCTTGTATGCTTCTAGTCCCTAAAATAATAAAGTCGTTAATGGTTCCTGTAAACACATAACTCTAACGAAAATAATTTTATCTCTAACTTTGCCTAAGCTGGTGTCTAAAGATGTATCATGACCTTTGTGGATATAATCATGTGAGCAAATTGCTGTTTTTGTCATAGATTAATAAATTATTGGTAACTGATAATTTAGCAGTTTTTCCTCTAAGTAATAGTTATGTTTTTGTTGTAATTGACTAGCCCGCCAGTCCTTCTGAACTCTGACTCCCTTGCACTCTTTGCAAGTTAATTTTCTTTCGTTTTCTAAATATCTTGATCTCTGAGCATTCCTTTGGCAATGTGTGAGTAGAGCCTTCCATCTCTAACTTCCATTTCTTCCTACCAGCCACACAGAGGAAGAAAGTTATGAGAAATGAGAAATGAGATGGTCCAAGCAAGAGCAGAGAGTGGCAGGAGTCTTCAGAGGGCAATCTAGGCTGGCCCAGTTCAGAGACTCTTCTAATCACACTGATTTCTCTTAGTGAAGGGAAACTGGGAATTGGACTCAGAACCTACAGTATATACTTTATCATGCATTGGATAAAACATGATGAGAAAGACATCTATAGTTCTCATTACAAAATTCTCAACAAATCCTTTTGTTGCCTTCAAAGTTAAAAATCCTTCCAAGAAATATTATCTACTGTTGTATGTCCCTGGTAGTCCTTCCCCAAGCTAAGATTTTGGTGGTCAGAGGGGGCAAACCACAGGTAATAAATACCAATCATATTCACATATTCATATTCATCTTTTAATAGTCTTTCTGTGTTTGGAAGAATTCCCATATTATGAGTCCCACTTCCTCAATGGAGTCAGAATTCAAATTCCAAGCCTCCCTGCAGTTAAGACGCAGGCAAACAACCCAGGCTCCCCCAAGGGTCCACTCAACAGACACTACAACCTTAGATTTCAACTCAGAAGCATTCATGAGGAAAGAGGCTCAGTGTAAAACTTCAATTTTTGCTGGTACAGTGGTGCTGGAAGCATCTGGTTTTCAGTGGTGGCAGCAGCAGTTTCTAAGTTTTGCAAGATTTAGTGCCTGGCCCAGAAGTAACCTCTATGGAATGGCAGCAGTGATGAAGATGTAGGTTCCTCTTTTGCAAATGAGGCAGCAGCAATGGAAGCAGTTTCCTTATCAGGCATATCCTGCAGCATATTTTTTGTCATTGCTCAATGCTGGCCTAGCCTCAGTCCTGGCTCTCCAGCTATCCCAACAATTCTTGGGCAATCCAATCATCTTTTGTTAAGTCACCCTCTAATTGCTTGCAGCTAAGATTCTTAAATGACATACCAGTTGAACAGCCCCTTCACAATACTTTGCACTCAAAGTATTGTGTAGGCTAATCACTGTCATTTTTCTGAAGGGTCATACTCCAGTGTCAGGTAGGCATTCAGGCTATAACAATGCTGCCCACGTAAAGATTTTTCCCAAGTGAGGGAGCATTTTTTCCACAGGCCATTTACAAGTCTAATTAAATAACTCCAAATTCTCTGGATCAATTTGACATTGTTTATTAGCAACATTACAGTTGATACTTTATAATACTTTAATAAGCCCTAAAGAAAGTCTGATATGGTTTGGCTCTGTGTCCCCACCCAAATCTCATCTTGAATTGTACTCCCATAATTCCCACGTGTTGTGGGAGGGACCTGGTGGAAGATAATTGAACCATGGAAGCAGTTTCTCCCATGCTGTTCTCGTGGATAAGTCTCACAAGATCTGATGGTTTGATAAAGGGATACTCGTTTGACTTGGCTTTCTTTCTCTCTCTTGCCTGCTGCGAGGTAAGACATGCCTTTTACCTTCCGCCATGATTGTGAGTCCTCTCCAGACATGTGGAACAGTAAGTCCAATTAAACCTCTTTCTTTTGTAAATTGCCCAGTCTCAGGTATGTCTTTATCAGCAGCATGAAAACAGACTAATACAAAGTCCCAAAGCCTTGACTGTGAGCCTAAAAAGCAATGGCCAGGTGCTTTCCTCTCCCAACCAGCTCTATCCCTGAGTCCAGAGCACCAATTCCCCAAGTCCCCAGTGGCAAGGGAGGGGACTTTAGTAAGAGGAAAGAGATGGAGTGGGCCCTGCCATGACACTCATCCAGGCAGATATTCAAAATACTTAACCACTGACATAACTCAGGAACATCCCATTGACACACACCAGAAGTTTTTTGGGGTTTTTCGTTTGTTTGTTTGTTTTTTGAGACAGAGTCTTGCTCTGTCACCCAGGCTGGAGTGCAGTGGCGCGATTTTGGCTCACTGCAAGCTCCGCCTCCTGGGTTCACCCCATTCTCCTGCCTCAGCCTTCAGAGTAGCTGGGACAGGCGTCCGCCACAACATCCGGCTAATTTTTTGTATTTTTAGTAGAGATGGGATTTCATCATGTTAGCCAGGATGGTCTCGATCTCCTGACCTCGTGATCCGCCTGCCTCGGCCTCCCAAAGTGCTGGGATTGCAGGTGTGAGCCATAGCTCCCGGCCGACACACACCAGTAGTTTTTAATACTAAACTCATACACTTTACCTTATTTATTTGTTTATGGTCTGCTCTTCTCTAGACTGTAAGCTCCATAAAGGCAGGAATCATGTCTGTTTTTGAAACCATGTCCAACACTTGACATAATTCCTGACATATTTATACACCTAATACATAGTTGTTAAATGTATGAATGGATAAATGAATGATTCATTTGTTAACATAATGCTTAAAGTATACAAAACATCTTCCCACCTACAGTTTTCTTTGATCCTCACAGCCTCTCTATGGTCCAGAATTACCTTCCCTAATATGCAGAGAACAAACAGAGCCTCTGGGAGGCAAAAAGGTCAGCCTAAGATTATTCAACTACTTAGTGACAGCCCAGCTCTTCTAATTCCCAGCCCTGATCTCTTTTCATTACCATCCTGCCTTTCATTTCAGTTTCCCTTCAGGTTTCTTTTTCCAGCCCAAATCATCTTCTGAAGGGATACTCCAAATTCTTCTGGCTGCAGGCATGTGCTTTCAGCCAAAAGACTTAATAATTTATACAACATGCAGTGGAAAGAGAAGAGGAAGGTCAACTGTAAAAATATACATACAGGAGTGATGCATATTTGTCATAGAAATCACTACATAGTCTAAATACAACTCTTTTCATATCTAATTGCTATGGAGACCCAGAGTATATGTATTAGTCTGGATATGTTTTGTTTCTGAGTAACAGAAGTTAATCAAACTAATTTAGGCAACAACAAAAAAGTTGGTTTTGGATGGACATTGGACATGTAATCCGTGGAAGCGTTGACCAATCAAGTCACAGATGGGCAGGGGAGTAGGAGCAGCTGAGCCGCAGGAAGAAATAAACCAGAGACTCAAAGGCCACCTGGAATCTCTTTTTCTCTTTCTTGTCTCTGCCACTTTCCATGGGCCACCTTCAATCACTGTCACTGTAAAAAGGCTCCCTCTGTACGGCAAGTAACGTGGCAATAAAAGCTCCTGTGCTTTCTAGTTAAACACCAAGACATTCCATAATGGTTGGCTCTTGTCCTCAGCCCCAGTGTGAAAAATACCAGGGAATTATTCACAGTAATAGATTGAAATTGTTGGCTTCCATTTTTGTTGCCATGGTCTCACAGAGGTAGAGCATAACATCCCCTACTCCCAAGTGATGTTGGGTACTCAGTCATGTATTTGCAATAGCCAATGAAATGTGGGCGAATGTGACAGTATATGATTGCCAAACCTAAACCTTAAGAATCACCGTGTATTTCTACTTGCCCTCTTACAGTTCTGCCACTGCTTGGAGAGATGCTTTTCCCAGGTAGCTGCTGCTTCTCCAGCCTGGACCCCAGAATAAGTATAAATTGAACAGAGCCACCTCAGCCATCTGCAGACCTGCAGCATGAAGTAAAGCCAGCCCAACTGACCCTCAGACCCATGAGTGAGAATAATTGATTATTATGTTAAGCCACCAAGTTCTGTTATAGTTTTGTTAGACTGCAAGATCTAGCTGATAGGCCAAGTTTTGTTAAATGACCACCACCCCACCAATAATCTATGACCAGGCATGTGGTCGTGAAAAAAAACTACACCTTCTGCACAAATCTGGTGTTAAAAAAAAGAAGAAAATGGTTCTTAGAACAAGGTCATGGCAGAAGTAGGGAGGATAGTGGGCACACAAATCAACAGGGATGCAGAGTCTAGAATTTCTGACCTGCATCTGTTTTTATCCTTGTATTCAATATACATGCCATCTGTGGATCTTTATTTTTTTTCTCACCTGAAATTCTCCTGCTACAATTTGACAAAGCGCTTTTCTGCAGTTGTTGAGATTCAAAGAAGACTTCGAGGAGGAGAAAGACTGCGTGGTTTCAAGCAAAGAGTTAATTATTATGAGTGGGGAAATGGAACTAAGAGGTGAGATGGAGGTTGGAAAGGACCGGAAGCCAAGAGACTGGGGTAGAGTGACACGTCATACATAAACACCTGACCTGAGGCAGCACCCATGCTGTGGTCTAGTCTTTTTCACCTTTGCTGCATCCTGTGGCATACCCTGGAAGAGTTCTTTAAGGAAGAATGTTGGAGAACCCATTGAAAATTGTACCAAGAGAAGGCAAGAGGACTGGGGAGCACAAAATGGCAGCCCTCACTGGTATTTTTCCTTTTTCTTATAAACCACTTGTATGTCTTTCCTTTCTTCTCACATCACCACTGACAGAACTGAATGGAAATTATAAAAAGAATATTTGGAGATTATATATGTTCTACCCCCTCAGTTATAATAGCTTGTTCTTTAAACCAGAACTTTACTGCAACATATTACTAATCATTTGGGGGTTTGAGTCCTCTATTTGAAGTGTGCCACATGTCCTGTCAAAATAACTTCTTATAGCTGTGTAACAATTGTGGGTGGCCTGTGATCACCTTGTCAGAGTGCCTTTACACTCAGAGCCAGTTGCCAGATTCCACATTACTTACTTCCCGGCCCTCCCTCCCCACAACTTATGCTCCTTCTATCATCTCTTTTCTCTCTCTCATTTTTTTTTTTTCTGGCAGTTGCTGGGCCGAACAGCAATTTGCAGTTATTTATGCAGCTTAAACCCTATTGTCAACATCCTTATCCTCAATACACAACCATTCCAGTGGTGTGAGTCGAGCTTTTGGGGAGGGAGCTGGGCTGAGGTTAACAGAAGCAAGGCTTCCTGGGCTCCTCAGCCAAAGCACACATTGTTGCTGAGCTGCTTTTTCTCCTTCTCGCCTCTATTTGGGGTGGATTTTCATTTGGAATTAAAAACAGATCACAGCTTGCTGTTTGTTTGCTATTGTCAGGTCAGACCCAGTACTCAGGGAGAGGGTGGTATTACTGTGTGCATAGAATTTTCTTGGCAATTTAATAAAGATGATGGAATTTGTCTGCGTTTGTACAGCACCTTCCCTCCTGGGCTCTCAAAGGCCTCCCAAAACAGAAGTTAATCCTCGCAGCAGCTGGAGAGGAAGTCAGGTATGGCATGGGACATTGTCCCCCTCATTGCCTCAAGCCCATTTTGGAGGGTATAGTTCAGGTAGAGCAGGTGAAAGCAAACAAGAGGAGGGAGATGAAGGTTGACACTTCCCTAGAGGATCACAGATGGGATGTGCTGCTTATAAAAAAAGTATCCCCTCTGGGTAGATAATTTCAAAAACACACCCCTTCCTCTAGACTGACATAGCCTTGTGCCAGGGGACACAGCTTGGTGAGTGGAATGGAATATGGACAGGATTTAAGTACCCACTCATACCAGGCACTTTTATACATGGCACAGCTGCACAAGTTGGCTCTTACATCCAACGAAGTGAACTAGGCTTTTGTACTTAAGGTCAGAATTTTGTCAAAGCAGCTAGGTATTTCCCCCATTAAACTGCTGACCAATTGAGCAGACCATCGATGTGTTAACATCTAAGTCTAAATAATGCTTTAGACCTCTAATAGTCTTTGCAAACATCCTCTCATTTTTTAAACAAATGTTCATTAAGCCCTTTTATTATGAACAAATCACTAGCCCCCTCTCAGAGGTTAAAGCCCTTTGGGAAGACAACAAAAATTGCAATAAATATCTGTCGATGTGGTAGGCAGCTTTTGACATGGTACCCATTGATCCTCACCCCCTGGTATTGACACTATTGTAAAATCTCCTCCCTTTGGGTGTGGACTGGACCTAGTGACTAACACATTCTAGCATATTCTAATGAAGAATACAGCAAAGGTAGTGGGACATCATTTCTGTGATAAGGTTACAAAAAACTGGGTAATTCCATCTTGCTAGTACTCTCTCTCAGTAGAACTTTTCTCTCTTGTCTTCTCACTTGCTCGCTCTGATATATCAATCTGCCACAGTGTGACAGACTCTATGGAGAGGCTCACATAGCAAAGAACCAAGGGGAGCCTCTGGCCAATGGCTTGTGAGACACTGGGGGCCTCAGTCCAAGCACCCACAGAGAATTAAATTCTGCCAACAACCACATGAGGAGACTAGGATGTGGATCCTTCCCAGTCAAGCCTTGATATGACTGCTGCCTCCTCACAGAGCCAGAAGACCCAGCCAAGCCACACCCAGATTTCCCACGCACAGAAACTTGTGAAATAATAAAATATGTGTTCAGTCACGACATTGTAGGGTAATTTATTATGCAGCACAAGGCTATAATCACAGGGTTGTAATCGAGGAATTAGCCAGGACTGCAGTCATCTCAAGGCTCCACTTCCTTGAGTGGGGAACTTGAGCACTTCTAAGTTCATTCACCAGGTTATTGGTAGAATTCAGCTCTTTAAAGGTTATTGAACTGAAAACTCAGTTTCTTGCTGACTGTTGGCCAGGGGGAACCCTCAGTCCTTTTACCACGTGAGCCTCTCTGTAGGACAATCCACAGCATGGAATTCATCTTCCTTGACAGTGAACAAGTGAGAGTGCGAAAGAGGTTGAGCAACACAGAAACCAGGGTCTTTTTGTAACCTAATCTCAAAAGTATTATCACATCCCATCACTTTTGCCAAGTAACTAGGTCCAGCCCACACAATGGGAGAGGATTATACAAAGGCATGAACACCAAGAGGCAAGGATCATTGGAGGCCATCTTTGAAGCTGCCTACCACACCATCTCTATGACTCCTCACCCATCCTTCTCCAGGGCCTCACCAGGCCTTGAGGATTCTCTTGGTTCCACCTCCTCCCTGTACACTGTGCTTATCTGTACACAGCCTTTGTAACTCATGCTTGAACTCTAGCAAAGCCTCCTAATGAGCCTACCTACCTCTTTCTGTTCTCCTAGCTGATACCCAGAAAACTGGTTGATATTTCTAATCACATTGTATTATGTCATTTTCCTATTCAAAAATGCCCACTGGCTCCCAAGTTCCTCTTCTATTTCTCAATCTAATGGTGTTAGGTCATTTTTGCATTGCTATTAAGAAATACCTAAAGGCCGGGCATGGTGGCTCACACCTGTAATCCCAGCATTTTGGGAGGCCGAGGCGGGCAGATCACCTGAGGTTGGGAGTTCAAGACCAGCCTGGCCAATGTGGTGAAACCCTATCTCTGCTACAAATACAAAAGTAGCTGGGCGTGGTGGCGCATGTCTGTAATTCCATCTACTTTGGAGGCTGAGGCAGCAGAATGGCGTGAACTTGGGAGGCGGAGCTTGCAGTGAGCTGAGATTGCGCTGCTGCACTCCAGCCTGGGCAACAGAGCAAGGATCCATCTCAAAAAAAAAAAAAAAAAGAAAGAAAGAAAGAAAAAGAAAAACCTAAAGACTGGGTAATTTATAAAGAAAAGAAATAATAGAATTGGTTCATGATTCTGCAGGCTATGCAAGCATGACACCAACATCTGCTTCTGGTGAGGACCTCAAGAAGCTTCCACTCATGGCAGAAGGCAAAGAGGGAGCAGGTACATCACATGACAAGAGCAAGAGCAAGAGAGAGAGAAGGGAGCAGTCCCAGATTCTTAAACAACCAGATCTCACATGAACTAACTGACCAAAAACTCATTTATCACCAAGGGAATGGTGCTTAACCATTCATGAGGGATCTGCTCCTATGATCCTATCATCTCCCACCAGACCCCACCTCCAACACTGGGAATCACATTTCAACATAAGATTTGGAGGGGAAAACATCCAAACCATATCAAACTCAATGTACTTTTGCTACAGTACTTATCTTACCACTCCCCTCCAGCCAAACAGGTATACCCACTGTCCCTCAGTCATAGCTAGTTGATGCACCTTTCCATGGCTTTGCTCACGATGTTTCTACCTGGAATATTCTCCCCTGTCACTCCACCTATCAGAATTCTCCCCAGTTGTTATGACCTAACAAGTCCTGTCTCCTTCCTAAAATTTATGATTCAGTGTCCTGGGTATAGCGGTCCTGGGTATAGCTGATAGCTTTGTTTGATTACTCTGGGCCCAAATGTCCTCTTCCTCCTACTGATCCTTTTTTTTTTTTTTTTTTTTTTTTTGAGACGGAGTCTTGCTCTATGACCCAGGCTGGAGTGCAGTGGCTCGATCTCAGCTCACTGCAACCTCTGCCTCCCGGGTTCAAGCAAATCTCCTGCCTCAGCCTCCGGAGTAGCTGGGACTACTGGTGCCTGCCACCATGCCCTGCTAATTTTTGTCTTTTTTTTTTTTTTTAGCAGAGACGTGATTTCACCATGTTGGCCAGGCTGGTCTTGAACTCCTGACCTCACATGAGCCACCCATCTCAGCCTCCCAAAGTGCTAGGATTACAGGCATGAGCCACCGTGCCCGGCCCCTACTGATTCTTTAACCACCCCCCTACTCCTCAAATCTCTGATATGACACTTACCATAAACTATCATATATCATCTCACATCATAGTTTGCAGTACTAATTTTAAAAATAATGTCATCAATATATGCATATTGAGAGAAGGAATAAAGCAAGTTTAGAGTGAAGGTCCACACTGAGATGTCTAGTTTGGGGAGAGTAGAATCTACCATAAATCTTGACCATAGTCATTGTATATTCTAGAGCTGTCCTACTAACCTTTCCAGGGTTCCATTTCTTATTATCCTGTCTTCAGTGACTCATCATTATTAGCGCAATGAAAGTACTACAATGTACATTATAAGCATGGAATTCTTAGGCTTCTCAGACACTATTTCTTAGCTTAATGTAGAATGTAGTGGAAAGAGAGCTCCTTTTGAAGTTTAAAAATAGGGAGGGGTAGGGGAGATTCTAATCCCACCATGCTTCTCTGAGACACAAGAGAAAGATGTAAGAATGGCCATGAATACAGGTATGTGTGTGGGTGTACAGTTGTGGCACATGGTAAAGTTGCTGATGGCCTACATATTCTCTGTGATATATATACACTACACAAGGAGTCATATAAGAATGAAATAAGAGCTCAAGAAAAGGGGGAATATTTTTGATAAATTGAATTGGTAAGTAATTAGAGAAATATTCAAAGGCTGAAGTTTCGATCACATACTAACAGACAACAAAAATTAATAATTACTGATCTCCTAAGTACCTTAGATTATGTTATTCTATCTAATCATCACAACAACACATTTTACAAAAGAGAAGATGAAGGCCCAGGGAGGTTAAGTAATTTGCCAAAAGTCACACAACCAGATTACAACTCCGCCCTGGATGATTCCAAATCCGATGCAACCCCATCTTTGGGGCATTCAACCTGGGAGATATGGCCTTGCTCATGTTTAGGAGACATTATACTACTTTGAATTGTTATCATTGGATGTAAGGCAGCCTATGTCACTCTCCCTAAAATGATTCTATGATCTTTTAGCAGCTATGCCAATCCAATCTGTGCTGGTAGGAAAATCATCCTTCTATACATCTCCAAATGAAATGAAGTGCAGATTAGCCAAACCACCAAGAAAATTTAATTGTAAAGGGAGGTATGGGTGGTAGGATTTGATGGAATCATTCCATACCAGGTGTTCTAATGTCACATTCTTCATTATCTTGAAGAAAAAGCCTTCAAATAGATTCCTTTTTTCTTACAGGTTGCCTTCAGACCCTGAAAGAGATTTTCAGGAGAAATTTCAGTATTCTATATCAAAAAAAAAAAAAAAAAAACATGTTTTCTGGAAATGCAAGAGAATATAAGGAACAGCTTCATCTCAAAATTTGCAAAGCTTGCCTCAAAGCCATCTCAAGGTAACTGCTTAATTGGTGCTCTTCTTGGGCTTTCTAGAACATCCATTAAAAGAATGTCCAATGATAGTGTCTAACTCATGTATATATTGACAGTAGCCAAGCCCACCTCTCTGACAAAGCTGAGGGTCCAAAGTCAGGATAATGCTGAAACTGCACCAATCAAGGACTGGGAAGCGTGGGCTGGGGAACCGTGAGTGCGGTCTGTGGACAGACGGGGGCAGCAGAGAGCTGTTGGAGAGGTGCGCATCAGGCAGCTTCCTAGGGGGCGAGTGTTTCTGGTCAACTTGGAGACATTGACAGAAAGACCCAGCTCCAGCGTCAGTAACACAGCTGAGGGATTAGCCCTGCTGAGCTGTCTGTCTGGAATCCACAAACAGAACCTACCATTTTCCACACCGTGGTCAGAAACTTTTATAAACCTGCTCCCCGATATGTCATTCCCCTGCTAAAAAGGCTAATCAATGGCTCCCCATTGCTTGAAACACTTTTTCAAGCTTTGATGCGCATCAGCATTACTTGGAGGGCTTGGTAAAACACAGCTCATTGGGCTCACTCCCGGAGTTTCTGATAGATTAGGTCTTGGGTGGTCCTGAGACTTTGCACTTCTGACATTCCTGGGTGTTGGTGATGCTGCCAGTTCCCACTGGTCCAGAAACCACACCTGGCAATCCACTAGCTTAGGTCATATTTAAGCTGCCCACTCTCGTCCTCTCCAGCTTCTCTTCTAGGCACTCACTCCCACGGGCATCCCCCACTCCCTCACACCCTCTGCTCCACCTGTGAACTTCCTTCAGCCCCGCAAGGGAGTTGTGTTTCCCTGCGCCTCTCGGCCTATTCACATGTGCTCTCTCTGCTGATACACTCTTCCTCCATCTCTTCATCTGGCCAATGATTACTTATCTTTAGGTCCCAAGTAAGAAGCCTCCCTCCTCTGAACTCTCATCATGCCCTGTACCTCTCACCTCACACTGTGTTGTAAATGACCCTTGTGTGTCTGTGTCCCAGCTAGTATCAGCCTGGGGAGCAGGGGCTGACACACATCTATACCTTTGGAAATTCAGTCGCTAGGCTCATCTGGATTCTTGACTGTGCACAATAACCATGTTACATTTCTCTGCTTGCCTCCCTCTTCCGCTCTCAAAGACTATTTCAAACCATCTTCATTTTCCTCAAATCTCTAACCTTCACGCCTACTCTATCACACTCAACAGATGGCCTTGCCTACTCCTTCACAGAGAAAATAGAAGCCACCAGACAGAAACCTCTCAACTTCCCGCACCAAACCTACAAACCCACCAGCATCTGCACCCACCCCATCCCCCTGACCTCCTGTTACAATAGAGGAGCTGCCTGTACTTTCTATGGCTGTCTGAAGCCAAACCCTCCAGCTCTGCTATGGTTTCCTCCTCCTGCTTCCTCAAAAACTCCCACCATCAACACACCCTCTTCACGGTAGCTTCTACTTCTTTCTCTTCCCTGATTTTCTCCATCATTTTTAAAACATGTGCAACTCTCTCTTCTATAAATAACCACCCCCCTTAGGCCCTATGTCACCCTGTAACTATCCTCTTTTTTCTACTTTGCTACTGCACAGCCAAATATGTTTAACCTCATGATTTCCATTTTCTTATTTCCTACTCTCTCCACAAGCCACTTTTCCTCAAAAACTATTCTCACAAGGGTCAACAAACACCCTTCTATAGCCAAGTCAAATAGACACCTTTCAGTTCCCATTCTGTTTGACGTAGTTGACCCCCTCCTACATCTGGACGCTCCCTCTTTCCTTACCTTCTGTGACATCCCAGCCTCGTCCATCTGGCCATTCTTCCTTTAAGGCCTGGTCCTCCTAGGACTTATAAATGCTGGTGGTTTGTGGGGCTCAATCCTAGACCTTCTTGTCTAAAGTCAGCCTGGATAACTGTATCCATTTCCTTCAGTTCAGTTACTATACGCTTACCAAGCAATCCCTTTATTGGAGAGGTCTGTCTCTTGCTCTCTGCTGTCCATGTTTACATGACCAACCGCCCAATCTATGTATTTTCTTTGACATCCCACAGGTCCCTCATACTCCACTGAACTTAAGATCTTCCCCCAAAACTGCTGCTTCTAGTTGCTCTTTATTGAAGCAAATTGCCTCAGAGGATACATCCTTGACACTTCCCTCTGTCTCCTGCCCCATATCTCACCAAGTCCCAATACTTTAGTTTCACCAGCCTCTCTCCATGTCTTCCCATACCATAACCCAAGCCACCATTCCATCTCTCCCAGACTGCGGCTACAACCACCGGCCTCCTTGCAGCATCTCTGGCACCCTCCAATCCATTCCTCCCTCCTTATGCTAGAGGAATCTTTCCTTAAAAAACAACTCACTTCCCATTCTTGCTTAAACCCCTCAGTGGCTGTCCAATACCCCTGGGATAAAGTTCAGTCTTGTCTTGCCCCCTCACCCACACTGGTCTTCTTTCAGCACCTTCAAAGCACCAAGCCCTCAGCCATCAGGGTATTTACACATGCTCTTCTCTCTCCTATAACGTTTGCCCTCACCTTCTTGTTTGGCAACCCTCACCCATCCTTCAGGGCTCAGCTTCAGATTTTCTGGGGGAAATTTCACTGACCCTCTGACGCTCATCACAATTGTGGCTAATTAATTACTTGAAAATTTGTTTTATGTCTTTCTCCCCCTCTAAGCATCATACAGGCAAAGAGCAGATCTTCACCTGAGCCCCAGAAGTCAGGGCTGCAGTGAGCCACGATCATGCCACTTCACTCCAGCCTGGGCAACAGAGTGAGACCCTGTCTCAAAAAAAAAAAGATTGGATCTTTCTCCTCATTCTCCACTCTCTGTCATATCTCCACTACGTTTCACAATGCCTGGCTTGTAGGTAGCTGATGACGAATCTTTGTTGAAAAAATGAAGAACAATTGAAAGAAAAAAGATACCATAATTTGAGATTTGACATTTCTTAGACTGGTTAATAACATCATAACTAATATTTCTCTAATGCTTTCTATTTGTCTTGCACTGTCTCAAGTGTATTACATTATCACAAAAATCCTGTGAGGTATGATATTATTATTATCCCCATTCTACAGTAGAGGAAACTGAGGCACAGAGAGTTTACAAATTTTGCCCAAGACACAGACAGAGATAGTAAGTAATAAACTGGGATATAAGTCAAAATAGTTTGATCTACCTACTGTGTCCTTAAACACTGTGATATACTATCTCCAAGATCTCTTTAGTATGTGCAAGGAAGACAGCTGTAGGTGTTGGGCTGTGTGTATTATTAAGGTTGCTGTTACAGAGAAAAGAAGACCAAAAAAAAAAAAAAAAAACCCAAACCTCAACACATTAATGGTTCTCAAAATTTAATGTGCATCACAATCACCTACAGAGATTATTAAAGCTCACATTATGGGACCCCACCACCAGACTCAGTAGCTGCGAGGGGTGAAGCCCAATAATTTTTATTTCTAACAGGCTACCCAATGATGCTGATGCTGTCAGTCCAGAGACCACACTTTGAGGAGCACTGCAATAAATAGATAAAGGATTTCCACAAGTTTTTTCAATCTTTAAAAATACAAAATACACTTCCCCTGAAATCTGCCCTTCTATAATAATTAAATAGAAAGGAGAAAGCGCTCAAGAGAAAATTTTAAAATGCAAACAAAATTGAATAGGGTTAAAGTGATGTTTCAGGTTCCTCATCCACTGGACTCTCCTCTTTTTATCCTTCAGCCCTCTTTACCCACATGCTGTGGTATGCACCTCCTTTTGAAGAGATAAAAGTATTTGCCTCTCACAGGTGTGTTACCTAGCTTATCTTGGTTAATGCTCACGACAAGTCTGTAAGATCGCTATTATTATGCCCATGTTAGAGATGAAAAAACTGGGACTCCAAGAAAAAAGTTAAATCACTAACCTCCTAACATCCAAAAGATAGAAAGTGGCTGAGCTGCGGCTCAAATTTAAGTTGATGTGACTCCAAATTCCTTATCTTTTCCATTAATTGACACTGCCCTTCATATTCTCATCTACCTTTTTAGTTCTGCTAAACATGCAAATAACAAAAAGCAATTTCTCCCACACTCATATAGAAAATGTCAACTGAAAAACACAGATCTAAATTCATCTCTCCCAAACAATATGCTTTTAATGTCTCTTTTTTTGTTTACTTTTCCTTGGAAGCTGATTGTTATTCATTTCAAATGTAGAGTGAAAAAAACCTCAAGATCTTAAAGAATTATTAGAACCTCTCTAAGAAGCAGATAGCACCCCAAAACAACCACGGCATGGTTCGTCTTTCTCCAACCACCTGACGGTACTGAATTTTATCGCCTTCCTGGCATGGCTGAAGAAGCTTTTAAAATTCCACTGCAATGTTGTGAGGCCATACATCCCCCAGGATTAATCACAAATATTTTATAAAGATGAAGTTTCGTTATATCTTTGTTCTTTGTATCTTGGCTTTTGTTAGCGCATTTTAATTACGATCTGGTATCTGCAATAAACAGTAAACATAAAGAGCTTTGCAAAAATGTATTAGACTGTTTGTTTTCACACTCTAATGCATATTTGCACAATTTTACCATGAAAAAAGGAAAACATGCTAAGCTCTTGGGCTCTATCCCAAATGTCCTGGAATAGAATCCGGAAATTACTAAAAATGCAACCAAACCTCATCATATTCCAGCAATTAACCTAAGAAACAAGGGTCCATTCTCTGTATGAAAAAAACATTTTTGAGGGGAGAAATCTGTGGCGGAGAATGCTTCTCGATAATGCACGTATCGCATTCTCCAAACCTGTTTTGAAATTTGGACTATTTCCCTTTCAGGCTAAAAAAGCTTAATAAACAAATTAAGTTGGGTAATGTTTTATTTTTCTCTTTCAGAGTGTTAAGAGAGCCTCTTCTACTAAAAGAAGACAAGAAGGACTGCTAAGCATAAAACAAGGAATAAAATAATCACATGTGGTCTCATTTTTAAAAGTACCCGGGGATTAATAATCTTACTGCTAAATAGTTGTATAGTAGAATGAATTATTATTACAACAGTAGAATCTCGGAGAATGCTGATGACAAAGAACAGTTTGGGGGGTTTTATTTGAACATATCCTAATCAAAAAGTGGCAAAAACTTTAAAAATCTCCAAATGTGGCTCTTGTGTACAATTATTATTGATATGACACCTTGATAGTGTTTGAATGCGACACAAAATCATAAAAGTGCGAGCAATTCCGAGGCATAAAGTGGTTTTTCCTTCTGTATCTATCCCTTAATATGTTTCCACATAAAACACAGGATTAAGTAATTTATTTTGTTGCATGATTTATTTATGGACTGAAACACAGCAAACAACAGATAAAAGGCAAAGTCCCAGGCATCAACTTAAAAGATAAAAATCATTACATTTTATTAGAGGGAGACATATAAAAATGCCAACATGAACTGTAAAGAAAGGAAAAGTGTTAGCTCAGAGGTCCCAAGTCTAAGTTATGCTTGGGGTTTCTAACTCCCCCTTTGGGGGAATAATATGCCTGAATTTAATTAGAAATCTGTTTTTTTAAGATTAAAGTTGTGAAAAAGTTAAAAGGTTGGATCACACAAAAATAAAAATGACTCTGAGGATCTTAGGGAATTTGAACTGGTAAACTTAGATTCTATTTCCTGCCAACTGTTTGCAGGAGGATTAAGAGATGTACAAGAATTATTAGTTTTAGATAAAAGCCAGCATTTTATAAAGCAATTAATTTTTCATTAGTTCCACATAATTTTGGCAAAAATAGTTTTGTTCCAATAAAAGTATTAAATTCCAAGAGGTGAATCTAAAATATAGCCATTAACTTCACATTAACTTAATCAAATTTATAGTAGGCTAAACTACAGGCAGGAAAGCAGTAATAGTTTTTTACAGAATACATTATAATTAAAAGGAAGAAATTATGATGAAAAATAATTTTTTAAAAACAGGTAATAAAACTTCTAAGTTTCTAAGTATGGTTATGCATTTATTTAAAATCATTTTTCTATAATGTTTCTTAAGTATACACAATGAATAAAATAAAGTCTACCTTAAATTTTTGCATAGGGTTATCTTAGAAATACCAGGATGTTGTTTTTATCATAATAAATTTATCTTAGGCCAGCTGCAGTGGCTCACACGTGTAATTCCAACACTTTGGGAGACCAAAGCAAGAGGATCACTTGAGGCCAAGAGTCCAGGACCAGCCTGGGCAATATAGAAAGACTCAGACTCTATAAAAAACTTAAACAATTAGCCATGTCTGGTGGTGAATGGCTGTAGTCCCAGCTACTTGGGAGCCTGAGGCAGGTGGATCACTTGAGCCCAGGACTTGGAGGTTGTAGTGAGCTATGACTGTACCACTGCACTTCAGCCTGGGCAACAACAGAGCAAGACCCTATCTCTTTTAAAAAGAAAATTTTATTTTATGTTGCAATAAATAAAATATACTGCAAAGCTTCAAAAAAACTTACTAGTGGCTTGGCGCAGTGGCTCACACCTGTAATCCCAGCATTTTGGGAGACTGAGGCAAGTGGATTACCTGAGGTCAGGAGTTTAAGACCAGCCTGACCAACATGGTGAAACCCCATCTCTACTAAAAATACAAACATTAGCCTGGTGTGGTGGCAGGCACCTGTAATCCCAGCTAGTCGGGAGGCCGAGGCAGGAAAATCGCTTAAACCTGGGAGGTGGAGGTTGCAGTGAGCTGAGATCACGTCATTGCACTCCAGCCTGGGCAACAAGACCGAAACTCTATCTGAAAAAAAAGAAAAAAAAAAAAGAAAAGAAAAAGAAAGAAACTTACTAGCACTAAAAACTTTATTCACAGAGCAATAAACCATCCTTCCCAATGCTAGAAGTACCTTTCATGCATCCACAAAATTCCATGCAGATAGATAGTCCATTCACCCAGATTGCTGGAATGTCCTCACTTCCATTTTGAGGGCTTCAACAACAAAGAAATCTAGTTGATTCAGTATAAGAGATATCAAAGTTCTGGCCAGAAAATATTTCTTGTCTAGTCCACCTCCAAATACACCTCAATGAATACCAGTCCCCATCTCCATCACCACCAACCTGCTCCAGCCCAGGATTACCTCTCTCCTGCTCACTGCAATTTCTCCTACCAGTTCTCTCAACTTTCACTCTTGTCCCTCAGCCTAACTCAGTTTCCAATCTGTGGACAGAAAGTGCTTGTTAAAAATGTAAATTGAGACCAGGAACTGTGGCTCACACCTGTGATCCCAGCAGTTTGAGAGGCCAAGGCGGGAGGATTGAGATCAGCCTGGGCAACGTAGTGAGATCCCATCTCTGCAAAAATAATTTTTAAATTAGCTGAGCATAGTGGTGCATGCTTGTAGCTGCTTGGGAGGCTGAGGAGGGAGGATCCCTTGAGCCTAGGAATTGGAGGCAGCAGTGAGCTATCATGGCACCACTGCATTCCAATAAACCAGTTAATCAGTTCATGTCACTCCTAAGCTGAAAACTTTCCATTGTCTCCCTGGCACCTTGAATAAAATTTAGCTCTGTATCTTGGCCTACAGAATCATAACTTCTATTCTGAGTAACGCTCCTCCTTGCAATCAAATTAGCCCAGCCCTGCAAAGTTCCTTCAAGCATTCTACAGCTGCTTCCACCCTGAGTCATGCACCAGGCACCAGGTAAATGCTGAATTCCCATATCACCACCACTTTGGTTAAGACATTTGCCCATGTTCTTGACAAGATTTTCTGTACATCTTGTTTTCAGATTTACTGTCTGGTTGTATGCCGCTCTTCGCCCTTTGGATTGAGTACCTGATTCTCTCTTTATGCAGGATCCTGACTTCCCCTCAAGCACTACCTTATTACATACCCTGCCTGGCTCAGCACAGGCCTGAATACTATACATGGAACACTGCTCAAATGGAAGGTACATTTGCCTAGTTTATACTAGCCCTATGTGAGCCCAGGGAGGTAATACACCATCTCTAGCACTAATCTGTTCTGTAAAGATTACATGCAAACTCATATTGTCTCCCCCAGCAGGTCATTAGGTCTTCTGGGGTAAGTAATTTACTTATTTAGATTGTGTTCATGGAGCGCTGAGGACTCAGCAGATGTCATACCCAACATGGGTTCAGCTCAGGACATGGTGGAACCTCATGAAGAGTTGGCTCAGAGAGAGATGTTGAAGCAGGACGAGGGAACCAAACTAGAAGGCAGGTAGGTCATTCATTAATTCAATTACTATACACACAGCATCTTCTATATTTTGAGGGCTGTGCTAAATGATGCAAAGACAGAAATGAAGAAAACAGAGCTATTTACTATTTATTTCTTTCCAAATTCTTGGCTTCACATTATCCCCTCATTGCACATAGTATGTGCACACACATATAAACACTTTTGTTTCTCTGCTCAGTATCTTTAAGTTTGTTGTAAAAAGAATACTGGATCATTGTCTCTATAGAAAACCCAGGAGACACAATGGAAAACAATGAGAACTAATAATAGAATTCAATTAAGTGGTAGATTCCTGGGAAAATGTACAAAAACCAATTAATTCCCTGCATACAAACAATAATCAAATAGAAATTATTTCCATTCATAATACCAATGAAATGTATACAATGGCTAAGAATAAACCTAATAAGAAATATGTATAAAGAAAACTCAATGAGGCACATAAAAGAAGTCTTGTGTGATTTGAATGGAACACAATATTGTGGTATCGGAAAACTCATTATTGAGGTATCAAGCGGCCCCAAAATGATTTAGAAATATTACGTAATGCCAAATAAAATTCTCTAAAATTTTTTGGAGTAAGACGAAATCATGGCCATATCAAAGGATAAGTAGAGAAGAACACCCAAAAAAGAACTGAAAAGAAAACTTGTGTTAGTTTTCTATTGCTGCGTAATAAATTACCACAAGATTTAGCAGCTTCAAGTAACAAACTTTTATTATTTCAGTTTCCGTGAATCAGAAATACAAGCATGGTTTAGCTTGGTACCTCTAGCTCAAGTTCTCTCACAAGGCTGCAATCAAAGTATTGGCTTAGGACTGTTGTCTCACCTAAAAGTTCACCTGAGGTAAGGTCCATTTCCAAGCTCAAGCTCACATGCAGGTTGTTGGAAGGATTCAATTCCTCCCAAGCTGTTAGACTGAGTGCCTCAGTTCCTCACTGGCTGTTGTCACGATGCCTCCCTTACTTAGCTCCTTGCCACATGGACTTCTCTACAAAGCAGCTCACAAGGCAGCTGGATTCCCTCAAAGCAAGTGAGAAAATAAGAAAGAATAACCAAGATAGAAGCCGTAGTCTTTTTTGTAACTTAATCTCAGGAGTGACATACCATCATCTTTACCACACTTTATTCACTAGAGAGTCACCAAATCCAGCCCACACTTAAGGGAAGATTACCCAAGAACATGAATACCAAGAGTCAGGGATCATATGAGGCCATCTGAGAGAGTGTCTACCCAATAATATAGGGGAATTTGTACTGGAAGCATCAGAACATACCATGAAGTGAGACTAATTAAAACAGTACGTACCTGATGGCAGAATGGACATAATGCAATGGAGCAGAATAGAAACCCCAAAACAAATAAAAGTACACATAGGTAATTAGTACACTAAAATAATGATCTCCAAATCAGTGGGAAAATGATAAATGATTAATCAAATTATGCTGAGAAAATGGGTTATCCATTTGGGGTAAAAATTATTTACTGGATCCTTACCTCACTCCATAACTGAAATAATTTCTAGATATTTAAATAGTTAAGTACATGCATTTGGGAAGGGACATAAATGAATCTCCAGTTCTATCAGTAACATTCTACTTCTTAAGCTGGGTGGGGGTACATGGCTATTTGTTGATAATAGCAAAACTTTTAGCTCACCACACATTGGCACTGTTACTACATATATGTTAATTTATACTTCAGAATTATCTTATAAAGACAGTTCTATTATTTTCCCTATTGTAAAATAAGGAAATTAAGGCATAAGATCTTACAGCTTGATGATTCATGCCTATTATATTAGTCATCTATTGCTACATAAAACATTACCTCAAAACTTAGTACAGTCTTAAACAACAAACATTTATTATCATACAGTCAGTTTTTGAGAGTCAGAGATTCAGGAGAGGCTTTGTTGGATGGTTCTGCCTCAGTGTATCTAATGATATTGCAACTAACATGTCAACCAGAACTATAGTAACCTGAAGACTTGATAAAGCTGGAGGATCCACTTCCAAGCTTACCTATGTAGCTGTTGGTCTGAAGCCTCCATCAGCTTCCTTGCTAAATGCTGGTGGGAGGCCTTAGCTCCTCATTACTGGACCTCTCCACAGAGCTGACTGACGTCCTCATGGCACTGCAGCTAGCTTCCCCTAGAGTGAGAAATCCAAGGGAACAGGGGAAAGAAACAGAGAGAGAAGCCTCAATGTCTTTTATGACATTGTGTCCAAATATACACTTCATTATTTTCATAACATTCTACTCATCAGAAGGGAGTGGCCACATTAAGCCCATATCCATGGGGAGGGGAATTATGCTCCATCTTTTGAAGGGAGTAATGTAAAGAATTTATGGACTTATTTTAAAACCACCACACCCACAAAATCTGGCTTGAAGTCTGTGCTCTTAACCGTGACATATATAGTCATGTGTTTTGGTCAATGGTGGAATGCATAAGATTATAATGGAGCTGAAAAATTCCTATTGCCTAGTAACATCATACCTTTCACAGCCATCATAACATGTAGCACAACTATTTTTATGTTTAGATACAGAAATATTTACCATTGTATTACAGTTGCCTGCAGTATTCAATAAAGTAACATGCTGCACAGGTTTGTAGCATAGCAGCAATAGGCTATTCCATAGAGCCTAGGTATGCAGTAGGCACTAACATCCAGGTTTGTGTAAGTACACTCTATTATGTTTGCACAACAACAAAACTGCCTAAGTACGCATTTCTCAGAACTTATCCCCATTGTTAAGTGACACGACTGTACTGCCTCTCTTACGTTATTCACACCAATTTCTATATGTGAAATCTTTCATAATACTTTAAAGGTTGAATATAAAAATTAAAACCATTAAATGAATCATGGGCAAATATTTTTAAATGCTAGTATGGATAAGGTTTATCTAAGCATGACATCAAAAGTAGGAGCCAAAAAAAATTGGAAGATATAACTATATTAAAAAATAAAAATGTCTACATATCAAAAATCATCACCAGCAAAGTTAACAGTCAAACAGAAAACTTTAAAACAATATTTGCAACATATATGACAGATGAAGAGTTCCCACTCCTCAATATCACTAGGGTGCTTTAAAAATCACTCAGAAAAAGATAACTACATTAACTGAATAAGAAATTGGCATACATAGACAAGAAGAAGAAATGGTCTGGACAGGGTGGCTCAGACCTGTAACCCCAGCACTTTGGGAGGTTGAGGTGGGAAGATCACTTGAGCTCAGGAGGCCAAAGCTTCAGTGAGCCATGATCATGCCACTGCATTCCATCCTGGGTGACAGACTGAGATCCTGTCTCTAAAAAAAGAAGAAGAAATAGAAAAGACCAATAAGCATGTGAAAAAAAATCAACTCATTCAATCTTTAGTAATCAAAAAACAGCAATTAAAAATGAAATCGGCCAGGAGCAGTGGCTCACCCCTGTAATTCCAGCATGCTGGGCGGCCGAGGCAGAAGGATCAACTTAAGGTCAGGAGTTTGAAATCAGCCTGGCCGACATGGTGACACGCTATTTTTACTAATGATACAAAAAAAAAAAAAAAATTAGCCGGGTGTGGTGGCATGCACCTGAAGTCCCACCTACTCGGGAGGCTGAGCCAGGAGAATGAACCTGGGAGGCAGAGGTTGCAGTGAGCCAAGATTGCGCCACTGCACTCCAGCCTGAATGACAGAGTAAGACTTCGTCTCAACAACAATAAAAAAGAAAGAAAGAAAGAAAGAAATCTGTATTTTCTGTATTTTCTTTATAGTTAGCCAAGATTGGAAAAATTATGGTATTTTCAAGATCTGGAGGGAGAGGGAATTTCATATATCCATTACGTGTATAAATTGGTACAAATTCTCCAAGGAAGTTTTTAATATATACCAAAAACCATAGAGCATGTATGCCCTTTCACATAGCAACTTTGCTTGTATCAATCTATCTTAAAAACTAATTGGACAAAGATGTATATATAGAGATGCTCATCACAGCATTTTTTACTATACTCAAAAAATGTGAAACAATCTAAACGTTCACACGCTGAAGGTTTTGTTAAATAAATTATGATGCCACTGTGAATGAAGGAATATGATGCCATTAATGTTTTAGAAGTGTATTTACTGACAGGAGGAAATTCCTGAGGTTAAATTAATAAAAGCCATATTCAAAGACACATATAACATGATACAATTTTTGAAAGAAAAAAGTTTGAACTATATATGCACAGAACATACACTAATAGTGTTAAAATGTTCTATAGAGAAAACTGTTACCAGCGTTATCCTTAGATGATACAATTTGGAATGATTTTTTTTTCTTTATTTTCATCTATTTATTCCTGTTTTAAAAATACTATCTATGAAATAAGCCTAAATTAGAAATCCTAAGTTATCTCTTCAGCGACCCCTCGGTCTTTCTCCTTTCTCCCTCACTAAGTGAATAAATGATAGTAGAGACTGGAACCTGTTATCACCAGTTAATAGTCATTAACCCTCTTACCCCTAGCACAGCCTCTGTAATTTGCATAATAAAGAATTGAGTCTAAAATCCTCTGTCCAGGGATCTACAGCCACTTTCATGAATATAAGTGTTCTGATTTTAAGTTAGAAGAGCATTAGGCAGCATATCCAAAATGTAGATATATTCACATTTAAAACAAGAGATCAAAAACTTACCTGAATATGAGCCTGTCTTACGCACCCAAAAAACTCGCAGTAGCTTTTGCCAATGTAGTCTATCATTATTCAAAACTGTATCTGTGTCATTTGCCACTGTCATTTTAGAGATGATTCAAAGTTTAATTTTGAATATGAAAAATTCGTAGACTACATACACAGGTCTATAATTAACAGTTAATCACTCATATTGAAAGTTAGCCAGGGACAAATAGACAATCCATTTATATCTCTATGTTCTAATGGATTGATGTTTTTAATTAAATTAGTGAAATTCTGGCAAAATTTCTATCAAGAAAAACAGAGTCCAAGAAAACAACTAGCCACTTTTTGATATAAAAACAGAAGCTGATATTAACTTCAATATTTTTAAAAGTCAAAAAACTATATAATTTGCACAGTAATAATAAAACATGTTTTGAAAGGCAATAGTCAACAAAAAACCACCATTCACTTTTCAAAAATAGAGTATTCCTAAATTTAAAAAGCAAGAAAGAATTTTCAATACAGTGGGTAACTTTTAAGAGAAAGATATTCTAAATCTTAACTGGTAAGAAAGAATAAGTGAATTTCACTTTCTTCTATTCCTTAACTAATAAAATCCCACAAACTCTTTTATTCCTATAAGGTAGCATATACCAGATCAAATTAACATATATTTACAAAGACTTTGGAAAATATTTGATTAATTTATGTATCTGGGAAGAGTTTTTTGGGTCACTTGCTAATATTTTCCTATATTATCACTGATTATCTTTGAAAGAGTAGTGTTGGCTGAACGGTGTTTGTCCTTGCAGAATACTGAAGAAAAATTTCATCCTTTTAGAGCTATCAGTTCCCAATGAGAACCAACTCCCTGATGCTACTAAATAAATAATCAAGTTATAGCATCCAATGTCTGATTCAGCACTTGGCTTAATGAGTTTTAAGGTAATGTTAAGTGCTTTGAAATCTTCAGAGAGTAGAAAAGATGTTACACTGTTTCACCAATCTGGAACATAACATGATTCTATTAGAGATTGATATACAACTACTGATTGTCATATTTGCAATTTGAACTTTCTTGCATTGCCTACCTGTATTTGATGGAAACAATTAAGGGTTTTAGGAAATACAGAGATAACCAAGAATTATATGGGACACATAAATATCTTGAGGGTGATACTTTCTATTGTTGATGTTTAATACAGGCTTGCTGCATTAAATTGAATAGTATTGAACTAGTATTTAAAAAGAGGCATATATTAGGTAGCAGAAATGAGCTAAGCATCAGAAGACTGGGGTTGTTGTCTCAACGTTGTTTTCATTATTGCTGAAACCACTGGCCAGTTACATACTCGGTCTGGGCCTCAGTCTTCTTGTCTATAAAATGATAGCTAATGAGAAAATCTCTAGCTGCAATTTTCTTGGAGCACATGAAAGCCTGTTAAGAATGGCCTGTCCCTGAAAATGTCTAAATGGGGTTGCTTGTGTTACAATGTAGGGGCTCTTCCTTAGAAATTCCAGCCTAAGAACCCCCAATCTATGAGAACTCCAAGCTCATACATTGAGAAAACCACATTCTCTCCCAAGGAAGATAAAACAATCACCTTCAAATATTAGTTTACCTCAACTAATGACATACTTTGTTCACAGTGCCTCTAGAAGCAAACCATCAGTTTGGTCCAGAGCTTACCTAATATGAGCCAAAGAAACTTTTTTAACTGAACATATCAAAGATCCTCATCCTCAAGCTATACCTAAGTTCCGAAGAGCTAAAGTATGTGAAAAATCAAAATAAAAGGCTTTCAGTAATGACTTAGCATAACAGCTTCTTCCCTTTTCAATATAATCAAGAATCCATTTCACAAAATTGAGCTGGAGATTTTATTAAAATCCATTCTGATTTCACTCTTAGTAGGTCCTACTCCCCTGAGATAAAAACACTGAGGACCATTTCTTTGAGATATTGGAACCAGGCAAAGCTTTGTCTCTCCTGAGGCAAGAGCACACTTCCTCTGTTCCAAGGGCTGATTTGCAATTTATCACCTTCCCTCTTACCCAACATGCCAAGGAGTTTAGACCCAAGGTTGAAACTCAGTCACAGCCGCCATGTGAATAATTACAGTTAGCATATTTTCCTCATTCCTTTGTCTATATTATGCTTTTCTATTTTATTAATTTTGTTGCTAAGTCATTTTTTATAAGTCATTGCAAATTCTTTTGGAAAGAGGTGAAGTACAACTAAATACAACTGTAAAATGAGCATAACATATAAAAATTACAGTCTATATCCAAAGCACAACATCCTTCACCTCCATACAAGGATATGAAAATTAAAAGTGAACTTATTTGGAAGTGAACAGCATGATATCAGCAAAATTTAGACAAGTAAGTAATTTGTTTATTAGCTGCTTCTTTGAGTGTCTCAATTCATTTTGCTTTATTAATCTCTTGGGGAAATTGAGACCTCTCTGAACACTTAGAGTGCTCAATTAAATTAAGTATTTGGTAGAAATACATGTTACTAATTTTTAGGTGTGCATCTATCTTCAAAGTGAAGTCAAAGTTAGAACCAGAGCCTTCATATTAGGTTGATACAAAAGTAAAGGAAAAAAACCGCAATGACTTTTGCATCAACCTAATATTATTTAGGGGAATGTTGGCTGCTGAACAAAGCCAAAATGTGTAAAGACAGAGTTCAAGTTTATTTTATGCTCACCTGCGAGTCTAAGGGAGTCTTTCCTAGTTGGCAGGCAGAGCTTCTCTATGTGGTGCTTCACTACCTGAGTTGCTTTCTTCTTTGGATTCGCTATCTCCTAGGGCTTCCAGCTTGCAGAAAGGGAAAGAAAACATAACAGCACTGGCCTGAAAATAATAGATCACTCCCACTCACACTCCGTTACCAAAGACTGGTCTAGATGCATAGCAAGAGATGTGGGGTGAGGAGGTTAGGAAATCAAGACTGGGAAATGTAGTGCATGGCTGGATGGCCAGTTTCCAGTAACGACTCTGTACAGGTCATCATGGAAAGGGGCACATAAATTGGTGTGGGCAGCTTGCCCTCCCTGCTACAGACTCATGCCTTCCACCAACTCTAAACTCTCCATCCTCCTACAGGGGCAAACAAACATGGAGTGATAATTTGACAGGATATCTTGGTCCGTGTCAGACTAGGTTGCTGGCAGAGAAGAGCTGCTGGTAAAACGCAGTTGAACAGAGCCAGGAAGTCACACCAAAGGTTGAAGAGTCAAGGAGACACCAGCCCTGAGATCATAAACTAACATTCGCCTTCTATGCCACTGAGTCCATAGAAACCAAATAAACTAGAGATTCCAGGACAGACTCAATCTCATTTTCTTTTCATCAGTGAAGGCTCTTTGCTCAATGTGTTGCAAGATATGATACCTCTGAAAGACTTCTTAATAAATTTACAAATCAGAAAGTTGCCTGTGTTAAGCGATATATCCTGATGTTTATTTAAGAAATATGGTTATCAGCTGAGTTCTGGGTCTAGCTCAGCCAACAAATAGTTGTGTAGCATTAAGCAACCCAGTTTACCTCTAGATAGCACTCAGATTCTTCATTTTTAAAAAATCGAGGAATTGGACCAGATGATTGCTTATATTCAACTAAGATCCAACAGAAAATCTCTGCAATCTGAGTTGTAATATAAAGCTAATTCAACCTGAACACATTTTTTTTTTTATATGGAATCTCACTGTGTCACCAGGCTGTAGTGTAGTGGCACGATCTTGGCTCACTGCAACCTCCGCCTCCCAGATTCAAGTGATTCTCCTACCTCAGCCTCCCAAGTAGCTGGGATTACAGGCACATGACACCACGCCCAGCCAATTTTTGTATTTTCAATAGAGATGGGGTTTCACCATGTTGGCCAGGACAGTGTCAATCTCTTGACCTCGTGATCCTCCCACCTTGGCCTCGCAAAGTGCTGGGATTACAGGCGTAAACCACCACGCCTGGCCAACCTGAACACATTTTTAACTTAGTAGATTATGTTGTGACATCGAGATTAAAACAAGTTATTATAATAAATGGATCCATTGAATTTTGAGCAAGTAATGTTTTGGTAAACCCAAACATTACGTAGAATGGGGGCTATTCTTTCCAAATATCAAACTTCATTTAACCAAATACCTACTTTAGGTTAATTAAGAAATTGCTGTGTGATAAAGGTAAATACTAGTCTTTACCCACTGGGTGTTTTTCTGGCCAGTTAGAATGCCTTTTGGTAAACAGCTGAATGCCTAGTTTGGCAAACTAAATCATTATGTAGTTACCCAAATGGTAACTTCCATTTGGGGTCTTCCTTAAGCTGTGACCAAGCCAGGGAGCAGCTACAGCAGGAAAGTGTGCCACCTTCACCCCCTGCCCCAGCACCACTTAGTAGGGGCCACGGTTGGAGCATTATACTAGGCACCTCTTCAGTGTCTTCATCAGAGTTCAGTGTCCATTGTGTCTCCCTTGCAAATAGCCCCAAAAAGAATTATCCAATATCTGCCTCTCAACTTAAGAACTGAATAGCAACATACCTGGCTTTTGCTTAATTTCATTTCCAAACCTCACTAGAGAAAAGGCCAAAGTGTTTAAACTTTATCCTGTGGGTGATGGAAAGTCTCTGAAGTATGTTAGTCATCAGAGCAACATGCTAACACTTTGTATTTTGCTAAGATTGTTATTCTGGCAACAATGTGGAAGATAAATTATGGGCCACAATGAAAACAGGCAGCCAGTCAGGAGAGAACTGTGAGAATTAGTGCAATGTCAGTTCCCATAGACATTAGGACAAAGTTTCTGGCCAGAAAACTGCACTCCCCCACCCCCATCCCACAACAACCTTCAGCAGGTTCACAGGCAACAAGGAATTTTACACAGACAAATGTTCCTAATATGTACATAGATGCTTCTAGGCAACAATGCCAGTTCTGGTTGTATTTATAAAATGTATAGAGCTCGATGAGGATGCCTTCCTTTTTATTGATTACTTTAAATTACACATTACCTGGATTGTCTTTTACTAAATACGATTTAGATAAGCGCTTCTCTATCTATGGGTAAGGATGAAGTTTTATGTTTTCTTTTTCCAATATGTCACAGACTGAAACACTTGTCAAATATAATAATAATATTATGATAAATTATTAGAAAAATAAAATGAAAAGCAAATAATACAAAATACAAACCCTTTTTCTAATTTTATTCAACAAATATAAAACAAGCCATTCAAATTGCTCTCAAAGTTTCTGGATGCTTTCTCTCAATTTTTTTCACAGACCAGTAAGAGTTTGCAGACTGGGACAAATCCACAGATCATACTGTGGGTAGCCCTGGTCCAGATGGGCATAGCAAGAGCTATAGAAGCCTGGGAAAATTGATAACCTCACCCTGGACTCCCCTAGTTCCCTATCTAAGAAGAAACTGAACAACGCTAGTACTAAAAGCATTAGACAGAAGTGGTCAAAGTCCAGCTTTATATCACAAAACAAGTTTTACAACAAAGCAACGTTTTTATTAGATTTGGGTCGTTGAGGCGTTTCTCTCCTACATCACTTTGCTTTCAGCAACCACTGAGACCAATAGTTAAACATGTTAGCACTGATGAGCAATGCCAGAAAAAATATAATCAAACAAAGTGACTAAATTAATAATTTATAGGCTAACAACTATGTGAAAATATAAGGCATGTGGAATTAAATTAGAAAAAATGTCATCCAAATTAGAGTGTGTCTCAATTAAATTAGATTCTGTAACAGTGTTGTAACTTTAGTTAAAGC
The DNA here is from genome assembly GCF_000001405.40 of Homo sapiens. Taxonomy (NCBI): domain Eukaryota; kingdom Metazoa; phylum Chordata; class Mammalia; order Primates; family Hominidae; genus Homo; species Homo sapiens. The sequence goes on along the minus strand of NC_000003.12, from coordinate 17,822,918 downwards.
CAGTAGCACTACAGTGACCCTATCATCACTAACGGTAACCTGACTTGGAGCATATGTGGTATATTTGAAGCACTTCATAAATGCTTATGTGAATGCTTTACTTAAGCTTCAATGATAATAAGATTCTTCCCAGGTTTCTCTTTACAGTGTAATAATTATATTTATTGAGCATTTGTTCCACTTCAGAGACATTACCTCTTTAAATACATCCCCAACAACCGTATAAGTATTATATTCTCCCATTTGAAAGATGAGAAAAGTTAACATTCAAAGAAGGTAAACACATGCTCTACTATATCGTTTCTGGATCACCAGCTTCAGCCAAGCTTTTGTCGAAAGGCTGGAGAGTATTTGGCTGGGATTGGTTTTTCAACTTTGAATGGGAGGGAGATATGCTAGTCCCTGATCCTCACTGGGTAATAAAAGCCCTAGCAAGGTGCCACCATCCAGGGCAGCTCTATCTCTGTACCTATCAGCCTTTTTAAAAACTTTTTATCTTGAAATAATTTTACACTGATAGAAAAGTTGCAAAAATAATACAGAGTTCCCATATACCCTTTAGGGTATTAGTTTTAGTATAATATCAAAAAGAAGATCCATAATTATCTGAAATGTTAATTCCCCTAATGTTAACATCTTTTTTATTATTATTATACTTTAAGTTCTGGGATACGTGTGCAGGATCTGCAGGTTTCTTACACAGGTATACATGTGCTATGGTGGTTTGCTGCACCCATGAACCCATCATCTAGGTTTTAAGCCCCACATGCATTAGGTATTTGTCCTAATGCTCTCCCTCCCCTTGCCCCCTACCCCCTGACAGGCCCCGGTGTGTGATGTTCCCCTCCCTGTGTCCATGTGTTCTCATTGTTCAACTCCCACTTATAAGTGAGAACAGGCAGTGTTTGGTTTTCTGCTCCTGTGTTAGTTTGCTGAGAATGATGGTTTCCAGCTTCGTCCATGTCCCTGCAAAGGACATGAACTCATTCTTATTTGCGGCTGCATAGTATTTCATGGTGTATGTGTGCCATACTTTCTTTATCCAGTCGACCACTGATGGGCATTTGGGTTGGTTCCAAGTCTTTGCTATTGTGAATGTGTTAACATCTTATGTAATCATAGTACCATTATCAAAACCAGGAAATTAACATTGCTACAATACTATTAATTAAGCTACAGACCTTATTCGAATTTTGTCAGCTTTCCCATTGGTGTCATTCTTCTTGTTCCGGGATCCAATCCATGAGCCCACATTTGCATTTAGTTTTTATGTCTCCTCAGGCTCCTCTAATCTGTGGTAGTTTTTAAATCTGTCTTTGTCATTCATAATCTTGACATGTTTGAATGGTACTGGTCAGTTATATTATAAAACGTCTCTCAATTTCAGTTTGCTGGACGTTTTCTCCTGTTTCGATTTGAAGGAAGAATACCACAGAGGTGATGTGCCCTTCTCAGTGCATCATGTCAGGGAATATAGGTTGATAATATGTCTTCTTATTGGTGATATTAACCTTGATGGTTTGATTAAGGTACTGTCTGACAGCTTTCTCCACTGTAAAGTTACTACTGTTTCCTTTATAATAATATTTATTTTAATAAATATTTATTTGAGGGGAGATGCTTGGCAATTATCCTGCCAGCCTTTTAACTTTGACATGTCATCTTATTAATTTCATGATTTATGACACTGACATCGGAGTCACTGTTTATGTAACTTTTCAGAAGAGGTGGTTGGAATAGACTATCAGAGAGTGCACCTACTCATTGTTGAGAAGAAAGAACAGCCACTAGAGGACTGAGGAGCAGAGAAGCAAAGTGAGAAAGGCTCAACAGAGAAGAAATGAAGCCCTTCAGAACCCAGTAAAGAGACTATGAGCTGTCTCCCATGCATTGTTCAATATCCCCCTTATTCTTTTTAGTAATTTAACCCCCACTCACCCTCAAGTTTTAGCAAGGCACGTGGCCTTCCAGCTAGAAACCACATTTCCCAGCTCAATGTAACCTTGTAACTAAGTTCTCAACAATGGAATGTAGGCAGGAAGTACTGGGTGCACTTCATTAAAAGGAAGTTTCTTACTCTACATTCCCTTCTCCAACCGTGACCCTAAAACAGTGCTTCTTAAATCAGTTTTGTACCTATTTGGCATTCAAGTGAATGGTCCCCTGAGACATTAACAGAATGATGTTTAAAATACACTTAAAGATAAAACAGATTATAAAGGAAACCAAACATAATGGAATACCATTATATAAATATGTTTAAAATAAATGTACCACATACTACTATATGTATTTCTTCATTGATATATTAATTACATAACAAAATCTAGTAAGGGGTTCTAACAACTAACATGGTTTTAAAGGAGTGCTGAGTATAAATGGTATCTTAAGATCTCTGCAATAAGTGTAATGTGCTGTAAAAATGCCTGTGGTGTCTATTGTTGACAAAGTCATTAGTCCTGCTAATGCTACTATGGTTTGTTGCCTATAATTGAAGGAAATGCTACATTTCTATTAGAGGTTTTCCTACCTAAATTCATAGACATTCCAAATACAGAAACCCACATTAAGAATCCATGCCCTAGAGGATGTCTGGGCATGACAGAAGGAATCTGAGACCCTGGAGGACCCATGGAACAGAACTATCTGCCTGCCCTGACCTCCCACCCCAGTGATCTCTGGACTGTTACTTAAAACGAGGGAATTTCTATATTGTTTGAACCACTTCATACATCTCTTTTTCTATGCATATCTCTTAGTTACAATAGCTGAGTAGTACTCTAACTCAAGGGTTCTGAAACTTTTTGGTCTCAGGACCCTTTTTACAGTCTTGAAAATAATTAAGGATCCCAAAAAAACTTTGTATATGGGTTATATGTATCAATATCTACCACATTAGAAGTTAAATCTGACTTTTTATTTTTTAATTCATTAAAAATGACAATAATAAAACTATTACATGTTAACCCAAATAACATTTTTATGAAAAATAGCTATACTTCCCAAAACAAAAAAAAATTAGAAGAATAGGCATTGTTTTACATTTGTTAAAATCTCTTTAGTGTTTGGTTTAATAGGCGACAGCTGGATTCTCATATCTGCTTCTGCATTCAATATGTTTTACTATGTTGTTTTGATGAAGTATATGAAGTATATGAAGAAAATCCAGCCTCACATATATATAGAGATAGATAGATAGATGGATAGATAGATAGATAGATAGATAGATAGATAGATAGATAGATAGAGGATAAAAGGTGGAGTATTTTAACAGCCATTTCAGATCATTATGGATCTTCTTTTTTATATTATACTAAAACTCAACAAGTAGTTGTTTTTTAAAAGTTAGTGTAATATGGAATCTAAAACTATACCAATGAAATTTTTAAACTCTGTTAACATTAAAATCTATTATTTTATCTTGCACTTTGAATGGATCTTTTACCCATGCACAATTTTGTGACATCATGAATTGGTCATTTGAAAAATATTAGTTCACTGAGTTATGTAGATATTCCAGATATTAACACATTTCATTATATAATATTTAAAATTCACATTGGTTAATATCACCATGGATCTCATCAAAAAAGTTCTTAGTATTTGGGCAACTGTCAAGCTCAGGATGGTAGATACAAGTCTTTCAAAATTATAATTTTCACTTGGAAGCTCAAATGTTATCATTAGCAACAAACACTGTCAGTTGTTTTCCTGGAAGTGACAAGCTTACTTGATTTTTGTAGAAATGTCTGTCAAATACCATAGGTTGTCTATCAGTAGTTCTTTCAAGTAAAAATGGTTTTCCATGAAAAAGCAACTAATTCAACTCACAAGTCAAACAATGCCCAATTACTTTATATTGAGACAACCATCATACTTTGATATGCAGCAGAAGTATGCCCAGAAGTACGCAATTCAATTATTAATTTCTACTGCTTTATCAAAGACATTTGTAAATAAAATGATTATTGTCTGTAAGTGCATGGCAGTGAAGAATATAATCACTACTAGTACTTTTGGTGCCACTGCCTTGATTTGTGCTGAGGAACCAGCAATTTCACCTGTCATTGTTCTTGTACCATTGTTGCAAATGTCAATACACTGAAAAACACAAATAAAATCTAGATATTGTGAAGATAGTTTGATCTGAGGAACATCTGAAAGAGTCTCAGAGACTCATAAGGGCCCAGGGATCTCACGTTGAGAATTGCTGCTCTAACTAATGTAACCCCCAGGGCCTAAAGCAGGTGAGAAACTGGATGTGGACTGCTTCAGGAAAAGGACCACAAAGTGACAAGTGAGTCAGTGTGACTGTTAATGCCCTAAACCATGACCTCAGGGCCAGACCAGGCCAATCCCTAGTGACAGGTGACAGCGTGCTGGCAGCCCTCGCAGTCCTCGCTCGCTCCCGGTGCCTCCTCGGCCTCGGCACCCACTCTGGCCTCGCTTGAGGAGCCCTTCAGCCGGCCGCTGCACTGTGGGAGCCCTTCTCTGGGCTGGCCGAGGCTGGAGCCGGCTTCCTCTTGCGGGGAGGTGTGGAGGGAGAGGCATGGGCAGGAACCGGGGCTGCGTGCAGTGCTTGCGGGCCAGCTAGAGTTCTGGGTGGGCATGGGCTTGGCGGCCCCGCACTCGGAGCAGCCGGCCGGCTCTGCCAGCCCTGGGCAGTGAGTGAGAGGTGACAGCATGCTGGCAGCCCTGGCAGCCCTCGCTCGCTCTTGGCACCTCCTCGGCCTTGGCGCCCACTCTGGCCACGCTTGAGGACCCCTTCAGCCTGCCACTGCACTGTGGGAGCCCCTTCCTGGGATGGCCAAGGCCGGAGCTGGCTCCCTCAGCCTGCTGGGAGGTGTGGAGGGAGAGGCATGGGTGGGAACCGGGGCTGCGTGCAGTGCTTGCGGGCCAGCTAGAGTTCCGGGTGGACATGGGCTTGGCGGGCCCTGCACTCGGAGCGGCCCGCCAGCCCACCGGCCCTGGGCAGTGAGGGACTTAGCACCTGGGCCAGCAGCTGTGGAGGGTGTGCCAGGTCCCCCAGCAGTGCTGGCCCACCAGTGGGCCAGCACTCGATTTCTCACCAGGCCTTAGCTGCCTCCCCACCGGGCAGGGCTCGGGACCTACAGCCTGCCATGCCTGAGTCTCCCAGATGCCCCCCGCCCTGCAGTGGGCTCCTGCGCAGCCTGAGCCTCCCCTAAGAGCGCCGCCCCCTGCTCCACAGCACCAGGCCCCATTGACCGTCCAAGGGCTGAGGAGTGCCCAGGAATGGTGTGGGACTGGCAGGCAGCTCCACCTGCGGCCCCTGTGCAGGATCCACTGGGTGAAGCCAGCTGGGCTCCTGAGTCTGGTGGGGACTTGGAGAACCTTTATGTCTAGCAAGGGGATTGTAAATACACCAATCAGCACTCTGTATCTAGCTCAAGGTTTGTAAACACACCAATCCGCACCCTGTGTCTAGCTCAGGGTTTGTGGATGCACCAATCCGCACTCTGTATCTAGCTAATCTGGTGGGGACTTGGAGAATGTTTACCTCTAGCTAAGGGATTGTGGATGCACCACCAATCAGCACTCTGTATCTAGCTCAAGGTTTATAAATGCACCAATCAGCACTCTGTGTTTAGTTGATTTGGTGGAGACTTGGAGAATCTTTATGTCTAGCTAAGGGATTGTGAATATACCAGTTGGCACTCTGTGTCTAGCTCAAGGTTTGTAAATGCACCAATCAGCACTCTGTGTCTAGCTCAGGGTTTGTAAATACACCAATCAGCACTCTGTATCTAGCTAATCTAGAGGGGATGTGGAGAACTTTTGTGTCTAGCTCAGGGATTGTAAACGTACCAATCATCACCCTGTCAAAACGGACCAACCAGCTCTCTGTAAAACAGACCAATTGGCTCTCTGTAAAATGGACCAATCAGCAGGAAGTGGGTGGGGCCAGATAAGAGAATAAAAACAGGCTGCCCAAGCCAGCAGTAGCAACCTGTTTGGGTCCCCTTCCACGCTGTGGAAGGTTTGTTCTTTCACTCTTTGCAATAAATCTTGCTCTTGCTCACTCTGGTTCCACACAGCCTTTATGAGCTGTAACATTCACCACGAAGGTCTGCAGCTTCACTCCTGAAGCTAGCGAGATCATGAACCCACTGGGAGGAACAAACAACTCCAGACGCGCCACCTTAAGAGATGTAACACTCACCGAGAAGGTCTGCAGCTTCACTCTTGAGCCAGCGAGACCATGAACCCACCAGAAGGAAGAAATTCCGAACACGCCGCCTTTAAGAACTGTAACACTCACCACGAGGGTCCGCAGCTTCTTTCTTGAAGTCAGTGAGACCAAGAACCCACCAATTCCGGACACACTAGGACGGCAGAAAACTTGCTCCACTGGCTGCCCCTGAGCAGGCTAGCACCTGGGCCTCATTAAACTCCCTGACTACTTGTGTCAAGGCATTATCGAGTCAGGAACAGTTCTTGAGTTTATAGTATGGAAACCTGGCCCTCATTTTTCTTATTGTTTTGTCCACATAGCATTCCCCTTACCCCACTTATTTTCCAAACTGCTCTATTTTCTGAAAGTGCTCACATCGCCACCTCTGTCCAGGTGTTTTTCAGTGGGATGAGTAGGGTTACAGCATGAGCCAGCACTCAGCTGTAGCTAATCAGTGCAGAGGTGGTTCCCCAGGATCAAACTGTGTCCAAACGCTTGGGATTGCAAACCGGTCAGTCTCCGTCCAGGCGGCTGAAGATATAAGCTAGAAACCAGTTATTCCAACTTGGCATGCATCAGAATCACTTGGAGGGCTTGTTAAAATACAGACTCCTGGCCAGGCACAGTGGCTCACGCCTATAATCCCAGCACTTTGGGAGGCTGAGGCGGGCAGACCACCTGATGTCAGGAGTTCAAGACTCAGCCTGACTAACGCGGAGAAACCCCGTCTCTACCAAAAATACAAAATTAGCTGGGCATGGTGGTGTGCGCCTGTAATCCCAGCTACTCGGGAGGCTGAGGCAGGCAAATCACTTGAACCCAGGAGGCAGAGGTTGCAGTGAGCCGAGGTCGCGCCATTGCACTCCAGCCTGGGCAACAAGAGTGAAACTCCGTCTCAAAAAAAAAAAAAAAAAACAAACACAGACTCCTGGTCTCACTCCAGGTTTTTTGATTCAGTCAATCCGTGGCGGGGCCTGAGTTTCTTCATTTCTACTGATTTCCCAGGTGAGGTTAATGCGCTGCCCCGGGGGCTGCACTTTGAGATCGATGAGATTTGACAGTTCCAGAACTGTCAGGGCTCAAGGACATGATTCACATCACACAAATCTGTCTGGAGAGATACAGAGATGGAGATAGATAGCTACAAAGAGAGGGAGAGGAGAATGAGCCCTATATGCGAAGATGAGATTCACAAAGACTATCCTGGAAGTTTTCAAGGGCTGCATCCAGTGGTTTCTGAATCCCAGCCCCATGCCCGTCCTTGGAGTAAATGAAATCCTCTGGATCTTTATAATAAAATTTGAGTTAAAAGTGACTTTCTGCCCCATTTAACCCAGAATCTTTTTAACAGATACACCTTCACAGAATAAGCCCCAAATAAATGGCTTTTCTTTGAATTTCTATTTGGAGCCATAAGTCAAGGCAATGGAAATTGAATGGATGGGGAGGCCTCACGAAGCCTCTCAGACACCTGGAGCCTCAGACAAAAGCTGCATCAAAGTGGCTAGTTTGTGAAGATATCCTACAAATACCAACAGTATTCCCAGCCACAACTCAGAGGAGAGCATAATGAATGGGGAGTTCGGCTCTGGGTGAGAATGTACTGGTTTGAACCTGGCTGTACTTCTTGCTAGCTGTGTAATTGTGAGCCAATTACTTAAACTCTCCAAGCTTTATTTTCCTCATCTATAAGGTAGGGATGATGATACGATCTACCTTGTAACATCTGCTGTGGTTTGAATGTTTGTGTCCCCTCCAAAACTCATATGGTGAAACTTAAATCACCAATGTGATAGCATTAAGAGGTGGGGCCATTAGGAAGTGTACAGTGGAGGGGCAGAGCTTATGAATGATATTAGTGTTCTTACAAAAGAAGTGCAAAGGAGCCGTTTGCCACTTCTGCCATTTTTTCCCTTCCATCTCTTCCACTCTGTGAGGACACAGCATTCACATCCCCTCCAGTGGATGCAGCAGCAAGGTGCCATTTTGGAAGCAGACAGCAGTCTTCACCAGACACTGACCCTGAACTTGGACTTCTAGGCCTCCAGAACTGGGAGAGATAAATTTCTATTGTTTATAGATTAACCAGTCTCTGGTATTTTGTCATAGCAGCAGGAATTGACTAAGACAATTTCCTGTGAAAACTAAATGAGATATGTAGGGCAGTTTAGCACAACATCTGGCACCTGGTAAGCTCTTGGTAAATGTTGATTGTGGCTATTTTTGTCCCTGGTGTGTTCTAACTGTGATCTTATATCTGCAGAATCAAATTTGTGAGTCTGGACCTTGTTGCTCGTTCTCTGGATTTGGCTTTTGTGCTTAATCTCTCCAGGCTGCTTTTTTTTGGTTTGGTTTGGTTTTTTGAGATGGAGTCACCCAGGCTGGAGTGGAGTGGTGCTACCTCGACTCACTACAACCTCTGCCTCCCAGGTTCAAGCGATTATCCTGCCTCAGCCTCCCAAGTAGCTGTAATTACAGGCACCCTCCACCATGCCTAGCTAATTTTTTTTTTTGTATTTTTAGTAGAGATGGGGTTTCCCCATGTTGGCTGCACTGGTTTCCAACTCCTGACTTTAAGTGATCCGCCTGTCTTGGCCTCCCAAAGTGCTAGGATTATAGGCATGAGCCACTGTGCCCAGCTCAGGCTGTGTTATCTCATGTATAACTCTTTATCCCAGTACATGCTCCAAGGGATCTAGCTGATAGTTTCACCAGGAGTTAATTCAGGACACCAAACCACCATGGTTGCTAATTCTATCTGCGGCTGAGACTCTTTAAGGGAGTGTCCTAGCCCCCACCTTCTGGTCATGATTTCCAAGGCCTGGGAACCAAAAGGTGGAGCTTGGCAAGCTGGCATGAGTTAGCTCATGATGAAGTACAAAGATGATAGAGGAAAGGGGCATTGGAAGAGTTCCCCGAGCCTAGGCTCAGGTGTTATTGTGGCTTCTCATTCAGCATCCATGGCTTCAGGTGTGGTCATCTTGGATCAGGTAAAGAGTCTGATAGGAGGATAGACTCCACTCCTGTCAGTTTAGACGCTCACAATGCCAGATATTGTCATCACCTGCCACTCAACCATACTGAAAATCCATATCTGACTTCAGTTTCTTGTTTTCAGCTTGCTAGGCCCTGTATCCCAAGAATCTAGGACATCCACACTTTCGTATTTTAAACACCAGATCATAGGACCAACTCTTGCAGTAGGCCAATGTTGACATCCTAATAAGGGGTGGATTAGTCCGTTTTCATCCTGCTAATAAAGACATACCCAAGACTGGGTAATTTATAAAAGAAAGAGGTTTAATTGACACAGTTCCACATGGCTGGGGAGGCCTCACAATCATGGTGAAAGACAAAGGAAGAATAAAAGGACATCTTACATGGCAGCAGGCAACAGAGCTTGGACAGGGGAACTTCTATTTATAAAACCATCAGGTCTCGTGAGACTCATTCACTACCATGAGAACAGTATAGGGGAAACCGCCCCTATGATTCAATTATCTCCACCTGGACTTGCCCTTGACGTGGTGGTTACTACAATTCAAGGTGAGATTTGGGTGGGGTCACAGCCAAAAACCATAGCAAGGGGCAATGCAGAAATTTCTGTTAACCCAAGTTCTAAACCCTTTGGATATTTCCATCCATGACCTTCATCTCCATCACTCTCATAAACGGTAGACTTGGTAACCAATAGCTCTATGTTCTCTGGAACTCCTTGCCATAACTGAAATGTAACCCTCCTCCAGGAGCAGTATCTCCTTGACAACCTTCCCTAATTGATGTGTAGATTATCTTCCTCCTCTGAGGCTTTCCCATTCAGCCATTTATTCCATGGTTTACATTACTATCTATATATTGATATCTACTCCATCTTTATTTCCATCCTATCTTTTCTTCTAGTCCCCAGACTTGTTGTATTCCTAGCTGTCTTTGGAAATCCCTGAGGTTGTCCCATAGGCACCTTGAAATGAATTTCCAAACCAAAACCTCCATTAGTATCGTTGTAAACTTATTTTTCTTCTTATGTTCTTTATTTCGATACATGGCCACATAGCAAAGAACTGAGCCCTGCTACTAACAACTAACATCAACTGGCCAGCCAAATGAATGAGCCTTCTTGGAAGTAGATCCTCCAGCCCCAGTCAAAACTGCAGAAAACCACACAACCAGCCAGCATCTTGATTGCAACTTCATGAGAGACTCTGAGCCAGAAGCATGCGGCTAAGCTGTTCCTCATCTCTAAGCCACAGGAACTGTCAGCGAACAATTTTTTTTTTTTTTTTTGAGATGGAGTTTCGCTCTTGTTGCCCAGGCTGGAGTGCAATGGCATGATCTCAGCTCACTGCAACCTCCACCTCCCGGGTTCAAGTGATTCTCCTGCCTCAGCCTCCCGAGTAGCTGGGATTACAGGCATGCACTACCACACCTGGCTAATTTTAAATTTTTAGTAGAGACGGGGTTTCTCCATGTTGGTCAGGCTGATCTCAAACTCCCAACTTCAGGTGATCTGCCCGCCTTGGCCTCCCAAAGTACTGGGATTACAGGCATGAGCCACCGCGTGTGGCCGGCTAACAAATTTTTATTGTCATTTTAAGCCATTAACTTTTGAGGTAGTTTGCTATGCAGCAGGACACTGTGATAGTGGTGAAGATGAGATGTAATATCCCTGCCCTCATGAGGCTTATAGATAACCTATGCTCTAGTCATTCCCTCATTCACCTTATCACAGTCTACCACTTCTCATCAAAAAATTGCCCAAAAAAAATCAATGGGGAGGGATTATTCAATACTTCAGCCTCACAGCTCCTTGACCTCCTCAATTCCTATGATATGGGTCTTTTCTGTTTTAGCAGCTCATTCCTGTGATCATGCTATGGTCTTGTCATGACTCATAACTGGGCCATCTATAAAATTTTCAACTCAAATATATTACTTTTTTACCACAGTGACTAGTTTTCCCACTTGGTTATTTCCCTACTCTAATGTCCTTAAGAGACTCAAGCCTAAAAAGCCTTTTTTTACCCCAATCTACTAACCCCTTCCTGATCTTGTTTCTTTCTTTACTCAAGCCAGATCCCATAGTTCATCACATTAACCGCCTTTCTGCCAATACTCTCACTTACCCTTCCATTGTGTCCCCAGACTTGGATATTTTCCCATCAATATAGCTGGAGCACACCTATGAGTGCCCCACTTATATTATTCAGCATTTGCCTCAATCCCCCAAAGACCGCTAAATACCTGTAACTCTCTTGCTGATATCTTTTAGCTGGCCATGGGTGCAGGCTTAGCCAGACCATGCAGGACAAGTCAGAAGTATTAAGGAGTTAACGCCCCTGGAAGCAGCCCTCAGCCAACAATGGATGAGACGTTATGGAAAATACCATGTTCTGCAACCACAGTTGATTCTTACCATTGATCAGAAACTCTTCTACTTGTGATGGTCCTCTGCTTCTCATTTTCCAGCCAAGGAACGCCCCCCCTCACAGGCCAGTGGGAACTCTTTTAAATTCATTTTCCTATGCTTTTCCCCTGCCTAGAAAAAAATGAAAATTAAAAAAAAAAAAGAAACAGAACAGCCTTTCTTGCCTCCTTTTTCTTACCTCTTTTCTCATCCATTTCAAGGAAAATTTGTCCCTTCTCCTACCTATCTTTCACCTGGATTCTGGATCCCATTTCCTCCCCCTGTACCACTAGAGGTCTCAAATCACCCTTGAACTGACACATGCAATGGAAATTTACCAATTGTCATAGGAACTTACTTCCTTGCAGCATTTGATGTAGTTAATGACTCTCTTCTGAAACTATTTCCTCCTTGGTTTTTATGACATTCTTCTCTTATAATTGTCCCTCTACAGCTCTGAAAACCCCCATTCAGTGTTTCCACTAATCAGACAACTCTAAACATTTCTCTTCAAAGCCCCACTTCTATCCCCATTGCTACTATGCTAGTCCAGAATGCCACCATCTCAAACTGAGTTTACTGAGTGATTCTTCTACCTGCCTTCTCTAGCCCACTTCGCCCTCCTGCCCAAATTGATTCTCTGTCAGGTCAATGCCCAGTTTAAAATCTATCAGTGAATTCTTATTCGTTGGGCCTGATGAATGACAAGGTTGGTAGCAGAGATAAGAGGTACTAAAACTGGTCCCTTCCCTCACTCAGCTCTGCATAGAAGATGTGAGATAAATTTCCACTGGGGAGTTGCTTCCTTGGAGAAATCTACCACAGTTTTGGTAGATTGAATACCACAACATTTTAAATAATCCTATCTGACTTTCTAATGCAGCAGCAACAGAATTATCCTTTTGTCCTGCTATCTTACTCCCCTCTAAGCCCTAAGCCCTGCATATCAGCTGTACCTTTCTGACACTACTACCCCAAGATTGATATTTAACATTACGCTGTTTGTGTCTTTTAAGCCTGCAAGCAGGAATCATGTGCTACACACAAACATAGGTGCAAAAATAATAATGAAAGTTTATCTTTTTCCTTTGATTTTGGCCACGAGGAATCTCAGAATTAAATTTGTTTTTCAACTTAATAACTGTCTAAAGTCCCTATCTGTAGTATCTATAAAATTTTGTTCTTATTTTCCATTTATGTCTTGTTCATAATGTATTTTCTGGATTTGCCCCCTGATGTATTAGTTCTCTATTGCTGCAAACCAGTTTACCACAAGCTTAGAAGCTTAAAACAGCATACCTTTATTATCTTTGTTTCTATGGGTAAGGATTCTGGGTACAACCTAACTGGTTTTGCTGAAGTTCTCACAAAGCTGCAATGAGACCCTGAGCCAAACCAGTTAGATGTCATCCATACAGCATTCCTTTCTGGAGCTCAAGGTCAAGTCGGCGTTGACAGAATTTGGTTCTATGTAGTTGCAGGACTGAGATCTCCTCTTCCTTGCTGGCTGTCAACCAGAGGCTTCTCTCAGCTTTGTGGAGATCTGCATGGTTCCTTGTCACATGCTCCCTCACATATGACAGCTTACCTCTTCAAAGCCAGAAGGAGAGCCTCTCTAGTCTGCAAAGACAGGCACTTTTTTAATATAACATGATTATCCTATCACTATCCTATCACTTTTGCCATATAGTGTGAACTAATCAAAAGAGTAAGTATACCATTATATCCACAGATCCTGCTCATACTCAAAGGGAGGGAATTAAACAGGGCATGTAAACGAAGGGGCAGGAATCTTAAAGGCCATCTTGGAATTCTGCCAACTGCACATAATATTAAGTTTTTATTATGTAAAGTTTTTGCATAATTTTATTTTCTGAAATCTGTCTCAAATATCTTGGGAAACAAATTACATAGAAATTAAGAAAATATAATGCATTGTATGGTAGACTTATTCTAAAAATAGCCTACCCTAATTATTATCTTCCCTATATCCATACCTCATGCAGTGTGACTTTGAAGCTCATCACAGAATTCTGAGATGGTTTTATGTCTTGCTTTGGCCAATAGGATGCATCTGAGGTGACAGTGTGAGAGTCCCAAGCCTAAGACTGACAAGGGTTTGCATGTTTCTGCATTCTTTATCTTGAAACCATACCACAGCTATGGCAACAAGCCCAGTTTTGCCTGCTGCAGAGTGACATACTGTATGGAGCAAAGACAAGGTCACATCTTGGCAAATCCTAGACCAGCCAGCCCCTAGCTGACCTACCAGCTGACCACAGACCCATGAGTGAACCTAGCCAAGACCAGCAAATCCTGTTCCCAATAAGCAGAATCTCCCTGTCATCCCATAAACTCATAAGAAGTAATAAATGTTAACTCTTTTAGGCTACAAAAATTGGGGTTTTTTACACGGCAAAAGCTAACTAACGTATGTGGGAAAATGCAATGAAGGACTTTGTGTAGTGGAAGTAAAGCATCCTTAAAAGGTATAATTAATTCACGCCCTCAAATTTCCGTGTTTCATATCCTAAATCACTACTGATGATTATAGAATGTTTTCAATCTGTGTATCTGAGTAATCTTCATTTGAAAGACTGATGTGTGACCTGAAGTCCTTTCTACAATGAATAGAGCAATAAAGAGATAGAGAAATCAAATAGCAAAATAAAGAAATTTGCTGTGCTGTTCTAGACACAGCTGCCCTAATAGAGAAATGTGCAGTTTCTACTTTCCTTGCAGTTTTTCAGTACAGAATTACTTTAAAATAAATCCCAATGAAAGCAGTAATCAATTATGTCAAGAAGAAAACAAAGTTTGATCTGAAAATACTAACAGAATCTAACATTTTAGAAATAAATTACCATGTCATGTCCTGTGGCAACATTGTATCAAATTGCTTAAAGATAAATTGTATAATCAACTCCTGAGTCTCTGCATGTGGCTTATCCTTTTTTGTAGATTATCAAAGGCAAACATTTAATTTCAGGTTTTTATCGCTCTTTTTCTCCACCTTTTTTTCCTCTTATATTTTTCTGCTACCTTTCTTTCTACTATCAGTCACAGTATGCTAAAAGAACAGAAATTTAGTGAACACAATGGTAATTCACTTACTCTGTATCATAGAAGAATAAGGTGTTTGATATAAGTAAATTTCAAAGTTAGCCTAAAAGTTATCCAAACACCTTTGCTAAAAAAACAAAAACAAAAACAAACAAACAAAAAAAGAAACCTATGACAATTCTGGTATAAATATTTCTAAATGTATGTTATAGTTATATTTTCCTTTCTTATTAAAGACTGTTCTTCTTTCCATAAATAAATCTTTGTTGTACAGCATGCTTTAACAGATTTAAAAGGATGAAAGGTGAATCAAAACAGTATTCCAACCTCAAGTGGCTTACAATTGAAGGAGGTAGGATGGATAATTAGACATGTACACAGATGATTCTAGTGGTAAGAATCACAAGAATGGTAAAGACAAAGTGATAAATAAAATACTGAGTTTCTCTAGTGACAGTAGAGAAGGTTTTGTTAGGCTGGATCTTGAGGGCAAACAGGCTGGAACTAGGGTGAAACAAGTGAGGCACTTGCCCCACTGCAAAATTTAAGGGAATACCAAAAAACCCAGTAATCAAGATATGCCATATTTTGGTGCATTATTTTAAAAATAAAAAGTAATGCAAAAATATTCATAATAAAATGTCAAAATTTTAAAAAAAGACAATCGATAACAGTATCATGCAGTCATATTACAGCCTGAGGCAAAAGGACAAACCAGTAAAAGGTTATTTGCGTTGGTGACTAGAAGACAGCCTAATAACTAGAAAGTTATATCATTTTTAAAATGATATTACACTCTACTGTGAGAAAATAATGGTCCACTCCAAGAGATTATAATTTTTGTCATTGCTTGCCTCTTTCTACAACTTTGTGTGCCACACCCTGAGTAGAATATTGAGGAGGTAGATTACATGTCTATGATGATTTGCTGATAGGAGCAGATATTGGCCTCATGCACTTTCTCTCCTAACCAATTAGGATTTAGATGAAATCTGAAACCTGATCTCAACCATAAAGTTGTAAATCTAAATATTGGGTCAGAATTATACTGCTCTAACAATTACATTAATGAATTTTTTTTTCTATACTTTTCTGCTAGAGACAGCTCTCTCTAGACAGCCTAAAGAAGGCATCTGCCTTGGGGTAAATTAGGATTGTTAAACAGGAATGCAAAGAGAAAGAAAACTATAATTTGGCTTCTGACTTGGACAGTAAGATTCTCAAATATGCAGCAAGACTTGAAAAAGAAAAGGCATTTCTAAATTCCCTTATCTCCTTCCTTTAATTTATCCAGAAAATAACTGACTAAATAGAGCGTTTTCCATAGTGAAGATAAGTACCCTGTCTACCTCTGGCCAAGGATGTGGGGCTTGATACCCTAGTAAGAAGGGTATGATACATAGAAAGTGAAATGCCCAACGTTTGCTGCTTCTGACACAAAGAGATTTAGGGAGGAAACAAAAAAGGAAACAAATAAGCTCCTCTCTGAAAATGGCAAGTTTCAGATTTGGGGGGAAATGGAAAGACCAGAGGGGGATTTTCCAAATTCAATTCTAAGGCACAGGAGGACATTGCCTCAAAGGTTTTGCTGGCTCTAACTTCAGGGACGGTCCCATTAAAATCAAATAAGCACATGGGTAGGCAGAGTGAGAGCCAGGGTTCAGCTTTTCTGAGTCCAAATAAGGTGTGGAGAGAACGTAAAAGTACCCCCAGTCCAAGGGGAGACAGAAAAGGTAACTGTGATGAAAGCCAAAGAGATTTCTGGAACCCACCATGGCAAGGAACATGATCACCACATCTCAGGGACCATGTGGTAGACTGCTAAAGCCATAACCAGTACAGGATGTGGTAGAGACTTAGTGTGCCAGCGTGAACCGTGGTAAGGCAAGTAAACAGGTAGGCATGTAGGGTACACAGGCTATACAACATATGGAAGACTTTCTTTTTTTTTTTTTTTGAGACGGAGTTTTGCTCTTGTCATCCAGGCTGGAGAGCAGTGGTACCATCTCGGCTCATTGCAACCTCTGCCTCCTGGGTTCAAGTGATTCTCCTGCCTCAGCCTCCTGAGTAGCTGGGATTACAGGCACACGCCACCACACCCAGCTAATTTTTGTATTTTTAGTAGAGATGGGGTTTCACCATGTTGGCCAAGCTGGTCTCGAACTCCTGACCTCAGGTGATCCACCCACCTCGGCCTCCCACAGTGCTGGCATTACAGGCGTGAGCCACTGCACCCAGCCACATATGGAAGACTTCCTAGGTCCTGACCAAGCCAGAAAAGATAGGACTCTCAGTACACAAGCTGTCACCTTCAGCACCTTCTATAAGTCAGTCTATTCTCTTGGCTTACATGGTAAGAGGTGACTATGTAGACAGAAGACAATTCTGTAAAGACTAGGAAAGCCAGAAAACACCAGGGAGCAGACACTCTCAATGCTCTCCCCAGATCCCCTTGGATCACTTTTATAAGTTCTGTGTGTCCATTTATGTTTGTTTTTGCCTCCAATGCCCACACCTGAGACTATTCTTTGGAGCTGGGCCTTCAGGCTATTGGAGCAGCTTTACTTACCTGCCTTAGAGCTAGAAGTGTCACGGGAGGGCTCTTAGGCAATGATTGATGGGAGAGTGAGTGAGCTGTGTGGAAGGAGCAGGAAAGCCCAGTCTTTTCATTTCAAGTTCTCAAGCTGGGACTACCTTGGGAAATAACAAGATTATAGCACTCTCCTTCAGGGTTAGGTTGAAGCTACCATTCACCTGACTTTCCTGACATTGCACCATTGCTTGGCTGGCTCCCTGTCCATGTCCAGCTTCTTCTATTCTCTCTCTCTCTTTTTTTTTTTTTTTTTTTTGAGATGGAGTCTCACTCTGTTGCCCAGGCTGGAATGCAGTGGTGAGATCTCGGCCCACTGCAACTTCTGCCTCCCAGGTTCAAGAAATTCTCCTGCCTCAGCCTCCCAAGTAGCTGGGACTACAGGCGCCCACCACCACACCCAGCTAATTTTTGTATTTTTAGTAGAGATGGAGTTTCATAATGTTGGCCAGGCTGGTCTGGAACTCCTGACCTCAGGTGATCCGCCTGCCTCGGCCTCCCAAAGTGCTGGGATTACAGGCGTGAGCCACCGTGCCCAGCTGCTTCTTCTATTCTCTTGGATCCTTCTATTTGTTACTGTTGCTCTTGTTCTATTTGAGCTTCTGGAGATGAATGCCCAATTTATTTATTTTTATTCTTTTCAATGTAATAACATTTAAGTCTATGAAATTTCCTCTGAGTGCAGTTATGATGTAATGCTGTGAGTTTTAATATACTATTCATACAGTCTTATGTTTCTACATATTCTATAATTACCATCTTGATTTCCTCTTTGACCTAAGAGGTAAACTGGAAGACTATTTTATAATGTTCAAGTGTTGAAGTTTCTATTTGGTTAAGTATCAATAGATATGAAAACACATATCCCCATAAAAGCCTGTATCTGAATGTAGCAGCATTATTTATAATAGCCAAAAAGTGGAAACAACCCAAATGTCCATCACTGATTAATAGATAAAAACGAAATGTGGCATATCGATAGAATGAAATATTATTTGGCAATAAAGGAATGAAGTGTTGATACATGCTACAACATAAATGGACCTTGAAAACATTTTCCTAAGTGAAAGATGCCTGTTACAAATGACCACATATTCTATGGTTCCATTTATATAAAATGTCAAGAATAGGCAATTCCATAAATACAAAAAATAGTTTAGTGGTTGTCAGGGCTGGGGGAAGAAGTGAATGTGGGGGTGGCCGCTAATGAGCATGGGGCTTTTTCTTGGGATGTTGAAAATTATAAAATTAGACAGTAGGGATGGTTATACAACTTTGTGAATATACTAAAAATCACTGAATTGTAAACTTAATTTTATGTGACATAAATTATATTTCAAGAATCCTGTTATGTAAAAACAAAAAAAAATACTGTTGTAGCACAAATACTTTAAAAATTAGTTGCTCCTATATTCATATAATCTAAAGAAAGAAGTAGCCAGAAAAAAATGTGTAGCTGGAGAGATAGCATTTTTTTGACATTTTTTGGACAGAGTTTTAAAAAATATAACATACATACATAAAAGTGCAGAAATGCTGTGAACAACTTGTTGAATTTTCACATGATGACTAGGTTAAGATACAGGACTTTTCTGTAACCTGTGGCCTAGAAGTCCCCTAGTACTCTCTGCCAGGACCTGGTTCAGAGTATTTCTTTTTTGTTTGTTTGTTTTTGAGACGGAGTCTCGCTCTGTCGCCCAGGCTGGAGTGCAGTGGCACAATCTCGGCTCACTGCAACCTCCACCTCCCGGGTTCATGCCATTCTCCTGCCTCAGCCTCCCGAGTAGCTGGGACTACAGGCGCCCGCCACCACGCCCGGCTAATTTTTTGTATTTTTTAGTAGCGACAGGGTTTCACCGTGTTAGCCAGGATGGTCTCGATCTCCTGACCTCGTGATCCGCCCACCTCGGCCTCCCAAAGTGCTGGAATTACAGGCGTGAGCCACCGTGCCCGGCCCAGAGTATTTCTTTAAAGAATCCTAACCTCAAGGTCTGCTTCTAAGAAATCCAACATAAGACAGAATGGATTCCAGGATCCCTTTACTCTTCCCTCCCCTCAAACCTCCAAATGCCATATTTAAGAGAGGAGAAGAAGGAAATCCAAGAGGCTAAGCTTTACCCTAAAAGATTATAATCAGAAGTTGTCATGTGAATGGACTCAGTGACTAAACTCAAAGGATATGCCTAGAACTGAAAAATATTGAAATAGCAACCAGCAAGCGGACATTGTCACAGCTACTCTAGGTGTTGGGGGACCATGAGAAAAGCTACTGCCAGTTCCCTGCATATCTGATGCCATCTGAGTTCATCACGTAACCCCTCCAGAGAGATACTCTATATACAGCATGGAGCTCAGTGACTGGCACATAGTCATGCCCACTGAAGTGCAGTTATTCGCCACTGCCTAGCGCTGTGACCCCAGATAAGTAATTTAACCTCCGCTGGCCTTTGAGTCTCCAACTATATAAATAAAGGAGGGAAATGCTGAATGAGTTGTGGTTTTCACATCAATGACAATGTAATTGTAACTGGTTCAAAGAACTTCCACTTTCACATCAGATGGGGCAAATGGTTATTCTTATTTATAACCAGTACAATGTAGGTTCTGGCCCTTGAAGGACTGTGATAAACTCCCCTGTGACAGGCTTCCATAAAGCAGAGAAAGGGGTCAAGTTCCACTGTGGCCATATGCTATCTAAGACTGTCAGGGTAACCTTTGAGAGGCAAATCAGTCCCTTGCTGGAAGAATATGCCTAGACGTCCCTTTAACAATAAGTGAAACTCTCTATTCTTTGAAAAATACATGAATGTGTTCAGCTTAAACCAACAGTCGGAGAGGGCTGCTTTAAAAAATCTGATAATCTAAGATGCTGCAGTGAAGGGGGTTAGGTAAAAAGAGACTAAAGCTAATGAATATCATGCTAGTGAGCTTGTTCCCACAGTTTACTATTCAGCCTTGACACTGTCAAAATTTACGGGATGATAAAACCCACCTCAACAGAAGAACGAATTCAAAGTTCCTTTGCCTAATACTGAAGATCATTCATGATCTGGTTCTTCATTCTCCTTCAAAGGCATTTTCCACCAATTCTGTTGGCTGTTAGGTAATTGAATATTGCTCTGCTACTCCATCAAGAGAGCTCCCATGTTTTTGCACCTGCTATTCTCTAGCGTGAACTTTTAATCTACTTCTTATTTAAGAATTCCTATATTTTTTAAGAGTTAGACTCACTTAATAGTCAAGTAGATTGGATCTTGGGTTTTTTAAAATGCAGCTAAAAAGACAGTTTGTGTGATAAGTGGGGAATTTGAATATGGCCTGGATATTAGATGAAGGAAAGAATTGCTAATAGTTTTATGGTTATGTAGGAGAATGTTCTTACTTTTTAGTAAATGCACATAAATTGTTTAAGATAGAATGGTTGATGTCTATAACTTACTTCTAAATGGGTCATAAGAAAAGTACACAGAGAAGATAAAGCAAATATAGAAAAATATAAACAATTTTTGAATCTAGTGATAAGTATTGAGGTGTTCACTGAATTGGTTTTTTTTTCAACTTTCCCTTATGCTTGAAAATTTTCATAATAAAAAGTTGGGAGGTGAAGGGAATCAAAGTAAGTACCTGGTGTTATCCTAAACCAAATATAAGTAATATGTGAATTTTCAAAAAGTTACCTCAAATGTCATCTCCTCAGTGAAGACTGTCCTGACCTCTGAATTTGGGGGCCCACATCTTACCCAAGCACTAGTACTTGTCGCAGTGTAGGGCATTCTCGTTGACATATGCAGCAGAATAATTTGTCAACTTATTTTTTGTGTTTGGTTCTCACTATTTTTTTCCTCTCTGACTCCCCAGGAACAAGCAGGACTCAGGAGAGTTTCATCCAAAGTGTCAAACTTTGGGAAGGTGCCTTGTTGAACTGTAAAATCCTATCACAAGTGTATTTAGTCAAGTTACGGGTACAGAAAATTACTGTATTAGAGTTTGGAATACCCCAATACTGAAAACTCGAGTAATCATATATAGAAGCTTCATGAAAAGAGTGGTGAGCAAGACGAGTCTTGAGATGTGACATACAATTTGGATTAGGAGAAGGTATTCCTGAGAGTATAAATGGTTTGAATAAATATGGGGGAAACAGAATAGCCAAAGTCTGTTTGTATCAAAATGAATAGAATTCATTAATTCATTCAGCAACTGTATTCCTACCCACCGTGAATAAAGTAATGTGCTAGGGACTGAAGATATAATTGTAAGCAAAATAAACAATGCCTGATGTCCTCAATTGGGGTATGAAAAACCTCAGGGCTATGGGCCAAATATAGCTCACTACATTTTTTTGTCAAGTTTTATTGAAACACAGCCACACTCACTTGTTTACATTTTGTCTGTGACTACTTTTGCACTACAACAGCAGGGTTGAGTAGCTGCAACAGAGTCTAAAATATTTACTATTTGGTCTTTTGCAGAAAAAAATGCTGACTCTTACCCTAGAGCACACAGCTTTATAGGGAGACAGGTATTAGTTAAATAACTATAAATAAATTAAAAATGCAGCATTGATAAGGGCCATGAATGTGAGCTATGTGGTACCATGGAAGCACACATAATAAAGGAATTTGACCTAATAGGAGCAATAACAGAAGATTGATTACATAGTTTAAAATTGAGGTCAAAGCTAAAGGATAAGTAGGAGCTGACCAGATAAAGCAGAAAAATAAGAACTCATCTCAGAGAGACAGAATATTACATGTAGAGGCTCTATAGGAATAAAAAAGCTTTACTGTGGCTATATTTCAAAGGGTGAGGGAAACATGGTACAAGATGAGAATGGAGAGGAAGGCAAAGGCCAGACCATGGAGGATTTAACAAGCCAGGTTGGGAGATTGTCTTTAAGCTTAGAGTAAATAATCCTTTTATGTGTTTTAAGCAGATGAGTGATGGGATCTGTTTTACTCTGAAACATCACTCAAAGTTCATATGGAGAAGAACTAGGAATAGTGTAAGAGTGTATATATGTAGACCAGTTAGGCCACTTTGGTAGCTCTCTGTGTGTTAAGTCAGCCAATCTGAAACTATATTTCCCATGTGATTCTTGGTACTGTTGGCCACAAGAGACATTGTGCATGAGAAGACAAAAGTGGAGCAGCAGCCTTATGTTTTAAGCTCTGAGGGTCAGCAGCAGTGTGGCAGCTCATACTCATTGTTGCTAATCTGCCAGCTCACCTTACTGGCATGCGGCAGTGCCAGGACCCACAGTTCCTCCAGCTCCCATGAGATCTCCTCCCTTTGGGTCTGAGTCCTGGGCCAAGTGTACATGCAGCTTCAATAGAGAAGAGTACTGGCCTCTCCTGTAGGCCCCCTACAGCATTGTGGATGGAGAAAGTAAAACATAGAGAGACGTAAGTTCTATTTTGTCCTCATAGGATCCATTTTGTTCTCAGTTTATCCTCACTTTCCTCCACATCTAGCTTCTCTTTCCAACCGCCAGCCTGAATGACCTAAGCCTTGGGACCAGCACCAACAATTGCATATGGTCTAACCCCCTATAATAAATCTGTTGTTGTTGTTGTTGTTGAGACGGAGACTCATTCTGTCGCCAGGCTGGCGTGCAGTGGCATGATATTGGCTCACTGCAACCTCCACCTCCCCGGATCAAGCAATTCTCCTGCCTCAGCCTCCCGAGTAGCTGGGACTACAGGCGCCTGCCACCACACCCAGCTAAATTTTTGTATTTTTAGTAGAGAAGGGGTTTTACCATGTTAGCCAGGATGATCTTGATCTCCTGACCTCATGATCCGCCTGCCTCAGCCTCCCAAAGTGCTGGGATTACAGGTATGAGCCACTGTGCCTGGCCTAAATCTTTTTTTGTATATCACTGTGTTTCTGCTTCTATGGTAGAACTCTAATACAGGGACTGTTGCAGTAGCCTAGATAAGAGATGATGCTATCTTGAATAGGGTGATGATGGCAGATGCGGTATATTTTATTTGGCTCCTACCTCCATTTTCCTTCCACGAGAGAAGACTGTACAGCTCTGCCTCGATGCACTCAGGCATGGCTTTGTGACTTGCATTGGCTGGTAAAATGGTGGAGGGAGGATAGTGGTATTTCACAAGAACATTTCTGAACAGAAGATCCAAGATCCAACAAAGGGCTAATTGTGTTCTTTGTTGTCTCTGCCACACCACCAGCAATGTTCTAGAGAGAGGCTGCTCCATCAGCCTGGGTCACAGAGTAAAAACAGGCAGCAGAGCACAGCTGACGTACAAACTGAAATGCAGTGTGAGCAATCGTCATTGTGGAAATGTAGTGTGGCTTTTGTCAATTAAGCCATGGATATGGGGAAGTGAGCAAATTCAAGAGCTACCCCTACAAGTAGAAGAACTTGATGGATTGGATGTGAGGTAGAGTGAGGTGTCAAAGATGACTTCCATAACTGGATAGGTGCTGGAGCAATGCACTGTGATCACGGATATTGCAGAGGATAGAAGAGTTTGGTAATCAACAATGTTGAATTCAACTAAAAGCCATAGAATTGTGGAAGCAAATGTGACAGGAGAACAGAATAAGCATTTTCATGAGCCATACTGAGGAGAGCTGAGAGCCTGGAAACTCCCCATAACCAGTACAATGGCAGTGGACCAGCAGCAGGAAATGGGAAAAGGGTAAGATAGGCAGGCAAAGAATAATCCTGGGTAGGTATGTGTAAGGCAGCTGGGCTGGTCCAAGCAGCCATTACGATGATAACACAGGGCATCTCTCCTCTGGCCAGTTAAGCCTGGCAATAACCATCTTGAGTTAAGGTAAAACTGTCCCAGGCTGCATCTAGGGACCACAGTCAGCAAATGAGAAGGCTTCAGCTATGGGGCTGAGGTTCAGAGACAATGTGCAAGTCCCTGAGAAGTCTGGTAAAATCAGGGTCCCCCTGTCTTTGAGGTTTGAGTGGCAAAGCAAGTTACCAAAACAGGGATTCAGGCAATGAGGAACAAGATAGGACAGTCATTGAAACTTGCAAACAGGTTGTGCATTTAGTCACAGAACACAAATTAAAGAAAGGAGAGACCAAAGCCAGGGAAATAGTCCAGACATGGTGTTGAGTAGTGGCAAAAATGAGGGAGTAAGAGCTATTATGAAAGAATTAACAGAATGAATAGATAATCCAATACAAGTGGTAAGGAAGAGAAAGGGTCAAGGATGGCAAATGTTCTGAATTCTGTAGGCAACTGCATTGTGCTGTCTTGATACTTTCTTGACTTGGTAAAACTGGAACTATATTTCCCAGCATTCTCTTTGTGTGAAGTGTAAAAGGCAGAAGCAAAACAGCAAGTATGCTTTTTACCCCCAAAGGTCAGTGTGGGGTGCTGGACACTGGCAGTTCATGCACCTTGCCATTGATCTGCATGGGGCAGCACCTGACTCACAGCTCCTCCAGCTCCCCCCAGTGTCATCCTTCAGCATCTCTGAGTACTGGCCCAGTGCAGTGTAGTTCCATGTAAAAGGGCACCAGGGTCCCCTGCAGGTCACCCACAGCAACACCAAGGTTGGACTTGGTAAGAGATAGATTTGGGTTCCAGTTCACCCTCACATATTTCAGATTGTCCTTTCTTTTGTCCACATCCATCTTTCTCTCCTGATAGCTGATCAGGTTGACCTATTAAGAGTTCAGGCCCTTGGCCGGGTGCAGTGGCTCACGCCTGTAATTCCAGCAATTTGGGAGGCCAAGAAGGGCGGATCACAAGGTCAGGAGATCGAGACCATCCTGGCTAACATGGTGAAACCCCGTATCTACTAAAAATGCAAGAAATTAGCCGGGCGTGTGGCAGGCACCTGTAGTCCCAGCTACTCAGGAGGCTGAGGCAGGAGAATGGTGTGAACCCGGGAGGCGGAGCTTGCAGTGAGCTGAGATCGCACCACTGCACTCTAGCCTGGGCAATAGAGTGAGACTCCATCTCAAAAAAAAAAAAAAAAAAAAAGAGTTCAGGCCCAGCTTCAGAGTTAGAGCATCAGCTTCTCTAGACCACCAGCTCCCACAACTACGCAAGGGTAACCACCTTACTAAGTCACACACAGTGGTTCTGTTTTTCCCATTGATCCTGACAGAACATGCATCTTAAAGCCTCTTAGGTGCTGATAGTACAAAGCCTTAATGTGTGGGTTTACTCTATCTTTTTAAAGAATGTTCTTCATTACAAAAGAAAGAGGTGTGTCTAAGTGAATTGACATTTTGGAAAGTCACAGGTATTATGGTTGGGAAATATATGCCCATTTACTATTTATCTATTAAGGCAATCCTTATTTAATGACATATATATACATATGTTATTTGCTTAACTTTTCTCCTGTGAGTCGCACAGAAGACCTTAACCAAGGCCTCACAGTGAGTTTAACCAAAAGTACAGAAAATGCAATCAACTCCCTTTTCCCGGTTGAGTTTGTATCTCAATGCAAACATGATCCTCAAGATTTCCCTTTGCAACCCCACAACCACTCTGAGTTCCCTACCCTCAATTAGAAACAGAAGTAAAATGGCCAGGTTAAACGCTGGCTTCTACTTCTCCTTCAGGAAATTCCTATTTCCTTTATCTTCCTGTGATGCCCAGTGCCCCCTAGTTGTTCCAGTGCCCTACCATCAACACCAGAGTTTCATACAGTTTACGTTTCTCCCAAATGGCTAAAGGTGTAACATGGATAGTTAGCACGCCCAACATTCACCAACTTGGTGTATAATACCATCTTACCACTCTTATATTGGCACCTTGAAGCCTCTATTTGTCAAATCAGATGAATCCAATTATTTCCAGTTATTTCCTGATAGGTGCAGAGAAATTCACTTACATTCCAGAGACAGTCCTGCGGTTTTTCATTGCTTGTTAATGGGGCAGAAACGCAAATACCTTACCAAGATATCTAATAAAATAATTTGGGCCAAGGTGTTAAGAACAGAAATAGTCCAGGCAGGTTCAGTGAGGTGATATCCTGGGACTATGGCCTAGGGCAAGCAGTGAAGGGGAGAGAGAGGAGGTCATCCAGTCATGAATATATTGGGCTTAATTCCAAGAATATACACAGAACTCCTGCAACTCAACGACATGAAGATAAACAATCCAATTAGAAAATGGGCAAATAACTTGAACAGACGTTTCTCCAAAGAAGATACACAAATGGCCAATAAGCACAAAAGATACTTAATATAATTAGTTATCAGGGAAATACAAATAAAAATGACAACAACACACCACTTCACACTTATTAGGATGGCAGTAAACAAACAAACAAACAAACAAGAAAATAACAAGTGTTGGCAACCATGTGAAGAAATTAGACCATCAGACATTACTGGTGGGAATGTAAAACAGTAAAGCCACTATGGAAAACAGTTTAGCAGTTCCTCAAAAGATAAACAGAATTACTATAAGATCCAGCAATTCCACTTCTAAATATATATACAAAAGAGTTGAAAACAGGAACTCAATCAGACATTTGTATGACAAGGTTCATTGCAGTATTGTTTACAAAGGCAAAAAGGTGAAAACAACCCAAGGGTCCACTGACAGACGAATGGATAAACAAAAAATGGGATATATCCCATATCTATACAATAGGAATTATTAATCCATAAAAAGGAATGAAATTATGACACATGCTACAACATAAATGGAACTTTAAAACATTATGCTAAGTGAAACGGGCCAGACACAAAAGAGCAACTATTGTGTGACTCACTTGTATGAGAAATCTAGAATAGGCAAATTCACAGAGATAGAAAGTGGATTAGAGGTTGCCAGGAGCTGGAGTGGAGTGAGAGGAAAATTGAAAGTTATTGGGTACAGAGTTTCTGTTTAGGTTTTCAAATTTTTTCTTTTTCTTTTTTTTCGAAATAGATAGTGGTGATGGTTGCACAACATTGTGAATGTAATTAATGCCACATAATGTAAAATTGGTTAAAATGGCAGGTTTTATGTCTCCTACCCCAAAATATTTAAATCCATGAAGCCAACAACTTCATTTACTATCTTCTCAAAATTTCCATTGTCAGACAAATGTCACTGAAATTAATAGGAAATGTGCAGTTCCTGTTGATGTGCATAAGGAATGGATTATTAATTTACGTTAGAGGCCAAATAAAAATGTTATCTAATATAAATATTACCACCATATGGCATTAATTCACAAGACAATTTGCAGACCACTTCTGATTTGGAATCAGGCTTTACAGACCACCCATCTAGGAGAAAATGTATTATGAAACATAGATGTTCTGATTCTAAAAAGATGGATTTCTATTTCCCTTCTGATTTAATTATAATTATCTTTTAGACAATCTTATATGTGGATTTATGAGAGCTGAGATTAGTTTTCAAAAAGAAAATAAACATAGAAGAAAATGTGACCTTTGAGTAAAAATTCAATTTAATTTATTATTGTTTATAATTATCATTTTAGCAGAAAAATCTGCAAGTTCTGGCGCTCTCATGTTTTTATATTATTAACCAGGTCATCATAATATAGATTATTTAGATACTGCCAATAGATTCCAGTAAAATTTTGAAACATGGGAATACAGGTAACATTTTTTTGAATCATTGGTCTTTTTTGATGATGAATATATATTTGATCATGCAAAAAATGTATTTAGCAGCCCATTAGAAATTCAGATACAGAAATTCTTTTCATTTGATCATGTAGAAATGGACTAATACAGATAATATGAACAGAGAAAGATAAAAGACATCATGTTGGATATTTAATAATCCACTACTCAGATAAAGTTTTCTAATAGCCATTAAAATGAAAATCAAAGAATATATAAATTTTAATTTAGCATAGCATTGTATCACATCATAGCTTACGAGAGGTTTCCAAGGAATCTAGAAACAGATAGATTACTGGTCACTTATTAAGAATTTGGAAATGCCAAAGATACAGAAAACTTTATTGCCTCAAAAAGATTAAAAAAAAACAAAGAAGTTAAATTCCCTGTCATAAAAACCTGAGGAAGAACTGTTATAAACTTAGGTACTTCTGAATAAAACTGCAGTTAAGAAAGCCAATTATTTTCATAGGGAGAATGAATTTTCCTATGATAATTCAAATAAAACTGGTAAATGAATAAATACCTTAATAAAAGGGTAAGAGAAGGCTCAACGTAAGAGCAATTTATCCAAAACAAGGGGACATAATGAAAAAAGTTAAGGAATATCTTTAAGGCATATTATAAGAGAACACAAATCTAAAAACCTGGTAAATGTGGTTTAGCTTTAGAAAGTTTGGAAGAAGGAATTTTTTTTCTTCTTAAATGCAAATTTGTTTAAAGATGAACAATGACATCAGTAAGATGGTTGAATAGGAGTTCCCAACATAATTCCCTGGCAGAAGCATCAATTTGAACAACTACCCACAGTAAAATGCTTTCACAAGAGCTAAGGAATCCAAGCAACAGAATATACCACTTGCGTGGAGCACAGAAATAAAAAAAAAAAGATGCACTGAAGAGGGAAGAAAAGGACAGTTTTACATTGAGCAAACATGCTACCCGTCTCCTAAGGCCGAACAGCACCGTTTGGAGAAAGCTACTTTCTCTCTCCTTTGCATGGCAAATGGAGAGTGAAATGAGCACCAGACTTTGCTGCAAACCCCAGCACCAGACCCTCTTCAGTGAACCTTGGCAATAGGCCAGCTCCTGCAGTCTCAGGCTTCAGGCCTACCCCAGCACCAGGACAGTATTTATGGTCCAGGCTGCAGGCCCACCTCTTGGACTCTGACTCCTAGGCTTCCCTAGAGCCAGACCAAACCCCATAGCCCCAGATTCCAGCCTGTCTACAATGGACTGAGGCTCCAAGCCAGTGCCCACACGCAGGCTAGAGGCCTACCCCAGTAGACCTTGGCACTGGACCAGCCCCAGGAAACCCAGGCTTCAGGCCCACAGCTGTGGTCTCAGGCTTCAAGCTGGTCCCCATGAACACAGGTGCCAGGCCCACCCAGTGGATCCTAGTGCCAGGCTAACCCTGGTGGTCACACAACCCAGTCCATCCCTGCAACTCAGACTGAAGACCCACCTCAGTGCCAGGTCAACATCCTTGGAACTGGGCTTCAGTCCAGCCCCTGTGGACATATGGTCCAGGAACACAGTCATCAGGTCCACTCCAATGGACACCAGCCTGAGGTCAGCTGCCATGGACCTAGGAGAATCAATGGGCCCAACCCATGAATGGAGGCACCAGGCTGGCCTCCACAAACCCAAATGCCAAGTACATCTGCCCACTAACTTAGTCACTAGGCCATGCCACTGAAAAAAACAGCAGCAAGTTCACCTACGGACCCCACCAGAGGACCGTTTCAGAATCTCTGCATGGGCTAACTGATGAAGGGTATTCCATGCTAAAGCCAGTCTATATAGACTGGAAGAGGTACTTACTTTTTCAAATGCACAGACACCAGTGAAAAGTCACGAGGATCATGAATAACCAGGAAAACACAGCGTCACCAAAGAAACAAAACAGAGCACCATTAACCAACTGAAAAGAAATTAAGATCTGGCTGGGCATGGTGGCTCATGTCTGTAAGCCCAGCACTTTGGGGGGCCAAGGTGGGTAGATTGCTTGAGCTCAGGAGTTTGATACCATCCTGGGCAATATGGCAAAACCTTGTCTCTACAAAAAATACAAAAATTAGCCAGACATGGTGGCATGCATCTGTGGCCCCAGCTACTCAAAACACTGAGGTGGGAGGATTGCTTGAGCCCAGGAGGTTGAGGCTGCAGTGAGCCATGATTGTGCCACTGCACTATAGTATAGCCTAGACAACACAGCAAGACCCTATCTCAAAAAAAAGAAAAAAAGAAGATTTATGAACTGCCTGATAAAGAATTCAAAATAATTGTCTTAAAGTAGCTCAATGAAATATATGAGAACACAGATAGACAGCTAAACAAAATCAGAAAAACAATGCACGAACAAAGTTAGAAGTTCAACACAAAATATAGAGAACATACAAAAAGAACCAAAGGAAAATACTGGACTTGAAGAATAAAATGATTAAACTGAAAAACTCCATATCCAGCTTCCACAGCAGACTCAATCAAGCAAAAGAAAGAATCAGTGAGCCCAAAGACAGGTCATTTGAAATTACCCAGTCAGTGAGGGAAAAAAAAGAAAAAGAGTGAAGAAATTCTGGGAGACTTATGAGACAACATCAAGTGAACCAATTTTTGCATTGTGGAAGTATAAGAAGTAGCACAGGAAGAGAGAGGGGAGAAAGCTTATTTAAATAAATAATGACCAAAATTTTCCCAAATTTGAAAAGAGAAATGAACATCCACTTCCATGAAGCCCAAGGACCCCAAACATTAAATATAAAGAGATCTTCACTGGCACACATTATAATCAAATTCTGAAAAGTAAAGACAACAAGAGAATTTTGAAAGCAGAAAGAGAAAAGTGACTGACCACATACAAGAGAACATCCATTAAACTATCAGTGGATTTTTCAACAGAAACTTTGCTGGCCAGGAGAGTGTGGAATGATATATTCAGAGTGCTAAAAGGAAAAAAGGAAAACACTGCCAACCAAGAATACTATATACCTGGCAAAACTGTTTTTCCAATATGAAGAATAGATAAAGACTTTCCCAGACAAACAAAAGCTGTGGGAATTCATCATCACTATACCTGCCTTATAGGAAATGCTACTGGGAGTTCTTTCCATTCAAATAAAAGGATACGAACTAACATCATGAAAACTTATTAAGCCAGGCACTGTGGCTCACACCTGTAATCCCAGCACTTTGGGAGGCCAGGGGAGCAGGATCACTTGAGCCCAGGAGTTTGAGACCAGCCTGGGCAACATAGCAAAACCCCATCTCTACAAAAAATAGAAAAAATTATCTGGGCACAGAGGTACTCACCTGTAGTCTCAGCTACTCAGGAGGCTGAGGTGGAAGGATCACTTCAGCCAGGAGGTAAAGGCTGCAGTAAGCTGTGATTGCACCACTACCTTCCAGCCTAGGCAGGGAGGAAGAGAGGGAGGGAGAGTGGGAGGGAGAGAGGGAGGGAGGGAGGGAGGGAGGAAAGAAAGAAAGAAAGAAAGAAAGAAAGAAAGAAAGAAAGAAAGAAAGAAAGAAAGAAAGAAGGAAGGAAGGAAGGAAGGAAGGAAGGAAGGAAGGAAGGAAGGAAAGAAAGAAAGAAAGAAAGAAAGAAAGAAAGAAAGAAAGAAAAGAAAAGAAAAGAAAGAAAGGAGAAAGAAAATATAAAGCTTACTGTAAAAGCAAGCATGTAGTCAAATTCAACATATTTTAATACTATAATGGGGGTACATAAATCACTTTTAGCTCTAAGATAATGGTTAAAAGACAAAAGTATTAAAAATAACTATAGCTACAATAACTTGTTAATGGATGCATAATATATAAAAATTGTACATTGTGACATTTAGAACCTAAAATGTGGAGGAAGGAGAAGTTAAAGTGTACACTTTTTGTATTTGGTCAAAGTTAAGTTGTTATCAGATTAAAATAGTCTGTTATAACTATAAATTGTTTATGGCAAACACATAGAAGAAAACCTGTGGTAGGTGCATGAAAGATTGAGAGAAAGAAACCAAACCATATAACCAAAAAATATCAACAAATCATAAAGGATGATAGCAAGATAGGAAAAACACCACAAAGGAACTACAAAACAGAAAACAATGAGCAAAATATCAGTAGTAAGTTCTTAACCTATCAATAATTACCTTAAATGTAAATGAATTACGTTGGGCATGGTGGCTCATGCCTGTAATCCCAGCACTTTGTGGGGCTGAAGTGGATGGATTACTTGGGGTCAGGAGTTCGAGAGCAGCCTGGCTAACATGGTGAAGCCCTGTCTCTACTAAAAATACAAAAACTAGCTGGGTGTGGTGGCACATGCCTGTAATTCCAGTTACCTGGGAGGCTGGGGCACAAGAATCACTTGAACCTGGGAGGCAGAGGTGGCAGTGAGCCAAGATTGCACCACTGCATGCCAGCTTGGGTGACGGAGTGAGACTCTGCCTCAAAAGAAAAAAAAATAAATGAAATAAATTCTCCAATCAAAAGATATACAGTGGGTGAATGGAAAACAAACAAACAAACAAACAAAAAACAACAGATCTGCTCTCTTCCTCCTCCTCCAGCCATGAGAAGACATGCCTCCTTCCTCTTCACTTTCTGCCATGATTAGTCTGAGGAAGATGGCAGATAGGAGACAGGGCTAACATGCAGCCCCCATTTAGATGGACAGAACAGCATGTGGAGACTCACACCATGAACTTTTGCTACAAGAACCACCATGGGAATATACTAGGAAAACTGAAAAAAATTCACAGATCCTTTGAAAGAAGAATTTGAATGCTGCTGCAAATTCCACGAGACAGGCAAAAAACTGTGAGTTCCCGAAGAGTGAGAGGGGGAAAAATCTGCTTCTGAACACACATTCCCACTGTGGAATCTGAAAATTCACATCACAGGAGAATAATTTAACCTTACCTAGAGCTGAAACCGATTTAGGGAGCCACATGAAATATGAAAGTAGAGGCAGCAGCAAGAAGAGCCTTGTAGGCACTCGCAGCCTCCGGCTGGAGCCCAGGGAAGCCAACCCTGAATAATATCACACAGGGTCCCTTGGGAAGGCAGCCAGCAGAATTAAGGTGGGGTCACAGGATGAAAGAAGCTTCCAACTGAAATTCATAGTAATTTCAACTGGGCACAAATTTTCTTGAGCAGAATCCAAAGGGCAAATGAGAACTGCTGCAGATATGAGTACAGGAGCTGCCACTGAAAGTGTGGGCAATACAAAACCAATGTACACAAATCAGTAGCACTGCTGTACACCAACAACAACCAAGCTTAGAATCAAATCAAGAACTCGATCCTTTTTACAACAGCTGGAAAAAATAAAATAAAATAAAATACTTAGGAATATACCTAACCAAGGTGGTGAAAGATCTCTACAAGGAAAACTACAAAATACTGCCGAAAGAAATGATCAATGACACAAACAAATGGAAACACACCCCATCCTCATGGATGGATAGAAACAATATTGTGAAAATGACCATACTGCCAAAAGCAATCTACAGATTCAATGCAATTCCCATCAAAATACCATCATCATTCTTCACAGAACTATAAAAAACAATCCTAGGCCAGGCACAGTGGTTCACGCCTGTAATCCTAGCACTTTGGGAGGCCAAGGTGGGTGGATCACCTGAGGTCAGGAGTTCAAGACCAGCCTGGCCAACATGGTGAAACTCCATTTCTACTGAAAATACAAAATTTACCCAGATGTGGTGGTGCACGCCTGTAATCCCAGCTACTCAGGAGGCTGAGGCAAGAGTATGGCTTGAACCAGGGGGTGGAGTGAGCTGAGATGGCACCACTGCACTCCAGCCTGGGTGGCAGAGCAAGACTCCATCTCAAATAAAATAAAATAAAATATAATGAATTTAAAAATTTAAAAATTTCTAAAATTCATATCAAACCAAAAATGAGCCACATAGCCCATGCAAGACTAAGCAAAAAGAACAAATCTAAAGGCATCACATCACCCAACTTCAAACTATACTACAAGGCCATAGTTACCAAAACAGCATGGTACTGTTATAAAAGTAGGCATGTAGACCAATGGCATAGAATAGAGAACCAGAAATAAAGCCAAACACAGCCAACTGATCTTCAACAAAGTAAACAAAAACATAAAGTGGGGAAAGGACACCCTATTCATCTAATGGTGCTGGGATAATTGGCAAGTTTCATTGGCCAATTCTACCAAACACTTAAAGAAGAGTTAATGCCTAAAAAACACTGCTGAATGAAATCAAAGATGACACAAATGGAAAAATATTCCATGCTCATGGATTGTAAGAATCAATATTATTAAAATGGGCATACTGCCAAAAGCAATCTACAGATTCAATGCTCTTCCTATCAAAGTACCAATGTCATTTTTCATAGAATTAGAAAAAACTATTTTAAATTTAATATGGAACCAAAAAAGAGCTGTATAGCAAAAGCAATCCTAAGCAAAAAAAACAAAGCCAGATGCATCTTATTACCCGACTTCAAACTATGCTATAAGACTAGGGTAATCAAAGCAGTATGGTACCAACACAAAAACAGACACATAGACACAAAAGCAGACACACATTTACCACCATCTGACCTTAGACAAAGTCGACAAAAATAAGCTATGGGCAAAGGACTCCCTATTCAATAAATAGTGCAGGGATAACTGATTAGCCATATGCTGAAGAATGAAACTGGACTTCTACTTTTTTATCATATACAAAAATTAACTCAAGATAGATTAAAGATTTAAATATAAAACCTCAAACTATAAGAGTTCTAGAAGAAAATCTAAGAAATATTATTCTGGACATCAGCCTTGGGGAGGAATTTAAGACTAAGTCCTCAAAAGCCATTGCCACAAAAACTAAAATTGACAAATGGGACCTAATTAAACTAAAGAGCTTCTGTATGGCAAAAGAAACTTAACAGAGTAAACAGACAACCTTCAGAATGGGAGAAAATGTTTGCAAACTCTGCATCCAACAAAGGTCTGATATCCAGAATCTATAAGAAACTTAAACAATTGAACAAGCAAAAAACAAATAAAAAATGAGCAAAACATATGAACCCCATTAAAAAGTCAGCAAAACATACGAACAGACGCTTCTAAAAAAAAGACATACAAGTGGCCAACAAACATACGAAGAAATGTTCAACGTCACTAATCATCAGAGAAGTGCAAATTAAAACCAGAATAAGATGTACCATCTCATATCAGTCAGAATGGCTATTATTAAAAAGTAAAAAAAATAACAAATGCTGGCAAGGCTATGGAGAAAAGGGAACACTTACTTACTGTTGGTAGCGATGTAAATTAGCTCAGCCACTGTGGAAAGCAGTTTAATGATTTCTCAAAGAACTCAAAACAGAACTACCATTTCACCCAGCAATCCCATTACTGAGTATATAATGAAAGGAAAATAAATTATTTTACCAAAAAGACACAAGCACTCATATGTTCATCACAGCATTATTCATAATAGCAAAGATATGGAATCACCCTAGGAGATCATCAATGGTGGACTGGATAAAGAAAATGTGCTACATATACACCATAGAATACTATGCAGCCATAAAAAAGAATGAAATCCTGTCCTTTGCAGCAACATAGATACAGCTGGAGGCCATTATCCTAAGCAAATTAATGAATTAATGCAGCAATAGAAAACCAAATACCATATATTCTCACTTGTAAGTGGGAGCTAAGCATTGGGTACACATGGACATAAAGATGGCAGCAATAGACACTGGTGACTACCAGAGGAGGAAGAGAGGGAAGTGGGACAAGGGCTGAAAAACATCTCTTGGGTACTATGCCCACCAGCTGGCCGATGGGATCATTCATACCCCAAATGTCAGCGTCACCCAATATATCCATGTAAAAAACCTGCACATGTACCTCCTGAATCTAAAATAAAAGTTGAAAATATATTTTAAAACGGAAACGTTAATGCTAAAACTTCTCAAACTCTGCCAAAAAATTTAAGATGAGGGAATACTTCCAAGTTCATTTTATGAAGCTAACATTATCCTGACACCGAAGCCAGACAAGGATACTACAAGAAAAAAAAAAATTACACACCAATATTCCTGATGAAAATAGACGTAAAAATGCTCAAAAAAAGACTAGCAAACTCAATTCAACACCACATTAAAAAAGTTCATATACTGATTACATGGCATTTATCCTTGGGATGCAGGGATGAGTCAACATACTGTCTTTGTCTGTGCCTCTATAACAGAATACCTGAGATCAGGTAATTTATAAAGAATGTGAATTTATTTTTCACAGTTCTGGAGGCTGAAAAGTCCAAGCTCAAAGTGCCAGCCTCTGGTTTCTGATAAGGGCCTTCTTACCGTATACTCTGGGGGGAAGAAAGCTGAGTCCTCATGTGGAGGAAGGCAGAAGGACAAAAGGGATGAATTCCCTCTGTCAAGTCCTTTTATAACCCCATTCTCCTAACCCAAACTCCTCTCCAAAGGCCCCACCTCCCAGCACTGGTGCACTGGGGATTAAGTTTCCAATATTCGCATTTTCAGGGACACATTTAGATCATAGTACATACGCACATGAATAAGTGTGATATACCACATTAACAGAATGAAGGACAAAATCATACGATCATCACAACAGATGCAGAAAAAGCATTAGTAAATTCAATATCTTTTCATAAAACTTTTAACAGGCCAGGTATGGTGGCTCATGCCTGTAATCTCAGTGTTTTGAGAGGACAATGCGGGAGGATTGTTTGAACCCAAGAGTTTGAGACCAGCCTGAGCAATATAAACAGACCTTGCCTCTAACCAAAAAAAAAAAAAAAAAAAAAAAAGAAAGAAATTAAGAAAACAATGCCACTTACAATAGCACCCAAAAAAATAAATAAATAAAATACTTAGGCATAAAATTAACCAAGGAGGTGAAAGTGTATACACTGAAAACTATAAAAGATTTGTTAAAGAAATTGAAGACACAAATAAATGTGAAGATATCTTGCATTCATGAATTGGAAGAATTTAATATTGTTAAAATGTCTATATGACCAAAAGCAACCTACAGATTAAATGCAACCCCTATTAAAATTCCAATGGCATTTTTCACAGAAATTTTTTTTTAATCTTAAAATGTATATGGAACTACAAAAGAGTCTGAATAGACAAAGCAATCTTGACCAAGAACAAAGCTGGAGGCATCACACTACCTGATTTCAAAATATGTTACAAAGCTATAGTAACCCAACATCATGCTACTGGCATATAAACAGACATACAGACCAATGGAACAGAGTAGAGAGCCCAGAAATAAAGCCACACACTTAGATTGGTCTTTGACAAAGGTGTCAAGAACACACAATGGGGAAAAGACAATCTCTTTAATAAATGGTTCTGGGGTCAGGCCTGGTGGCTGACACTGGTTATCCCAGCACTTTGGAAGGTTGAGGCAGGAGGATTGTTCAAACCTAGGAGTTTGGGGCTGCAGCGAGCCATGAGCATGCCCCTATACTCCAGCCTGGGTGAAAGAACAAGACTGTCTATAAAAAATAATTTTTAAAATTATGTTTGGAAAACTAGATATCTACACATAGAATAATGTAATTGAACCCTTATTTTACACTAAATTAAAAACTCAACTTGATATGGATTAAAAACTTAAAATCTGAAACAGAAAATCTACTAAAGAAATACATTTGAAATAAGCTTCTTGACATTGGTCTGGGCAATAATCTTTTGGCTATGACCCCAAAAGCACAGGCAACAACAGCAAAAATAACAAATGGTATTGCATCCAACTAAAAACCTTCTGCATAGCAAAGCAAACAATAGCAAAGAGACCACCTATAGAATGGGAAAAATATTTGCAAATCATATATCTGATATGGGGTTAATATCTGAAATATATAAAGAACTCAACTCAATAGCAAGAAAACAAATAACCAGATTTTTTAAACAGGCGACGGTTTTGAATAGATACATCTCAAAAGAAGACATAAGAATGGTCAAGAGATATATGAAAATATGTTCAGTATCACTAATCATCAGTG
This sequence comes from Homo sapiens, assembly GCF_000001405.40. Classification (NCBI taxonomy): domain Eukaryota; kingdom Metazoa; phylum Chordata; class Mammalia; order Primates; family Hominidae; genus Homo; species Homo sapiens. The sequence goes on along the minus strand of NC_000003.12, from coordinate 17,785,040 downwards.
AAATGCAAATCAAAACCAGGATGAAATATCATCTCATACCTGTTAGAATGGCTATCATCAAAAAACAAAAGATAACAAATATTGGAGAGGATATGGAGAAAAGGGAACCCTTCCACAATGTTGCTGAGAATGTAAATTTATTCAGTCATTAAGGAAAACAGTTTGGAGAATCCTAAAAAATTAAAAGTAGAACTACCATATGATCTAGAAATCCTACTTCTGGCTGTACATACAAAGGAAATGAAATCAGTATCTCAAAGAGATAGATATCTGCACTTTTTTTTTTTTTTTTTTTGAGATGGAGTCTTGCTCTGTTGCCCAGGCTGGAATGCAGTGGTGCCATCTCGGCTCACTGCAAGCTCCACCTCCCGGGGTCACGCCATTTTCCTGCCTCAGCCTCTGGAGTAGCTGGGACTACAGGGGCCCACCACCATGCCCGGCTAATTTTTTTGTATTTTTAGTAGAGACAGGGTTTCACCGTCTTAGCCAGGATGCAGATATCTGCACTTTCATGTTCATAGTAGCCTTATTCACAATAGCTGAGATATAGAATCTACCATTGACCAATAAGTGGAAAAAGAAAATGCAGTATATATTTACAGTGGCATATTATTCAGCCTTAAAATAAGAAGGAAATCCTGTCATTCATGACAACCTGGTAAACTGGAGGACATTAGGCTAAGTGAAATAAGCCATGCACCAAAAGACAAATACTGCATGATCTCACTTACGTGTGGAATCTTAAAAAGTTGACCTCACAGGAGCAACGAATGATAATTTCCAGGGGCTGAAAGGGTTGGGGATATGGGGAGATGTTGGTCAAAGGGCATAAAGTTTCAGTGATGCAGGATAAATAAGTTCTGGAGATCAGCAGAGTGATTATAGTTAATTGTGTTGTATACTTGAAATTTGCAGGAGAGTAGATAGCTCTTAAGTGCCCTCACCACAAAAAAAGATGGTAACTCTGTGAGGTAATGGATATGTTGATAGCTTGACTATGGTAATCATTTCACAATGTGTACGTATATCAAGACATCATGTTGTACACTGTAAATATACACAATTTTTGTATGTTAATTATAATACAGTAAAACTGGAAAAAATAAAACTTTTTAAATAATAAGAAAAAAATGAAAGTGTCTGCTTACCGTGAAATTGCACCTATAGTATCACTCAAAATTTTGGAGAGATCTAAAATCAGACCCACAGTTTCTGGTGACACATTTCAATATTATGAAGTGTTCACCCCATTTTGAAGTCAATGTATTCTATTAACTTACGCCCAAATCAATTAACTGCATTAGTCAAGACTCTCAATGACAAATCATAAAACTAACTTCAGTCAGCTTAAGCAAACTAGCAGCCTAGTTTGATTGCCATGGCTTGGGAAAACATTCAGAGCAGCAGGTGCTCAGCATATGGACTGATGATCTGGACTCACCACTGCCTGGATTTGCTTTCCCTTTCCATTTGTCTCCAGTCTCTGTTTGCCTCTAATGTCTGCATCCATCTCCAGTTGGAGGGAATGAAGTTAAGACAAGCCAGAGTTAAAGTAATAAGAAGCAAGAAAAAGAACAAGAGTGATGAAACTGGCCCAATTGTTCCATAGAACTGATGTTTGGCCAGGCACGGTGGCTCACACCTGTAATCCCAGCACTTTGGGAGGATGGATCATCTGAGGTCAGGAGTTCAAGACCAGCCTGGCCAACATAGTGAAACCCCATCTCTACTAAAAATACAAAAAATTAGCTGCGTGTGGTGGCAGGCACCTGTAATCCCAGTTACTTGGGAGGCTGAGGCAGAAGAATCTCTTGAACCCAGGAGGCAGAGGTTGCAGTGAGCCAAGATCATGCATTGCACTCCAGCCTGGGCAACAAGAGCGAAAATCCATCTCAAACAAAACAAAATAAAACAAAAACAAACAAAAAAAAATTATGTTTATGGTTTCTTTGAATAAACATAGAAATAGACCCTCCCAGCGTTGAAACTTGACAAGGTTATATTTTTCTTATCTGAGTTCCTGTCTCAGGAAACCAAAAATCAAGCCTCCCAGATAGAATCAAGGAACTGAAACTTACCAGATCACCACATCTGGACAATGAGACATGAGACCTCTTGCCTATCATGATTGCCTAACTGATCACCTTCTTCCTGTTGACTGACTTCTCTTCCTTACCCCTTCCTAATTCCCGTTTTCCTACATGGTTACATTTCTTCCCTGCTACATAAACTCCTAATTTTAGCTGGTCAGGGAGATGGATTTAAGACTGATCTCTCATCTCCTCAGCTGCAGTACCCAAATAAAGCCTTCTTCCCTGGTAACACTTGTCTCAGTTGACTTTCTGTCTGGTATAGACCAAACCCTTGGCATTTCAGTAACAGTGAAAAAGTGTCTATATGGCAAGGGAGTCCCTAGTTTTAAGCTCTTAGATTTCCAGAATCATGGTGGTTCCTGAACCACAGTGATTCTTTTTCTGGTTCTGTGGGCTACTGCTACATCCTTCAAATGAAGTCCCCTTTTGGCTTAAGCTGTTTTGAGCTGAGTTTCTGTCACTTGTAACCCAAAAAGTCTGTAAACTTTTTTTAATCAGACAAATCCACACTACTAGAATCTACCTCTCTGAATAGTGCTGATGTGTCCGGAATTTATTCCTTCCAGTGGGTTCTTATGTCGCTGACTTCAAGAATGAAGCTGCAGACCTTCGTGGTGAGTGTTACAGCTCTTAAAGATGGTGTGTCTGGAGTTTGTTCCTTCAGATGTTCAGATGTGCCTGGAGTTTCTTCCTTCCAGTGGGATCATGGTCTCGCTGACTTCAGGAGTGAAGCCGCAGACTTTCGCAGTGAGTGTTACAGCTCTTAAAGGTGGTGCATCCGGAGTTGTTTGTTCATCCTGGTGGATTTGTGGACTCACTGACTTCAAGGAATGAAGCTGCAGACCCTTGTGGTGAGTGTTACAGCTCATAAAGGTAGTGCAGACCCAAAAAGTGAGCAACAGCAAGATTTATTGTGAAGAGCAAAAGAACAAAGCTTCCACAGTGTGGAAGGGGACCCGAGTGGCTTGCCACTGCTGGCTGGGGTGACCAGCTTTTATTCCCTTGTTTGGCCCCACCCATGTCCTGCTGATTGGTCCATTTTACAGAACGCTGATTGGTCCATTTTACAGAGTGCTGATCAGTGCGTTTACAATCCTTTAGCTAGACACAGAGCGCTGATTGGTATGTTTTTACAGAGTGCTGATTGGTGCATTTACAATCTTTCAGCTAGACACAGAGCGCTGATTGGTGCATTTTTACAGAGTGCTCATTGGTGCATTTACAATCCTTTAGCTAGACAGAAATGTTCTCCAAGTCCCCACTCGACCCAGGAAGTCCAGCTGGCTTCACCTCTCAATCCCCCCTCTAAACAGGACACCCCAACTGCAGTTGGGAATTGGACAATGACCGCTCTAGCTACTTCCTGCTGGATAGGGGCAAAGAAGGGTCCCTGCAATTGTAGTGTCCTTCAGAGGGGAACTCTTTAGGCCAGTCAAAGGGCCAGTGGGTTGGCCCAGGGGTCCTTAGTAGAAGTTGTTAGTTGAGCTCATTTGGGGTTCCATTTGTAAGACCATCTGTAGCTTGATGGCCTCGATCCTAGAGGAAACAAATTTGACAAGGAGGTTAGAAATACAGGGCTGGAAGGCGAGTAATAGCAAGATGGCTGTCACGGGACCTAGAAAGGGGAGAAGTCATGTCACCCAACTCCAGAGGTTGGTATAAGAGTTTGAAAGGCGTTGTCTGATTTCAGAGGCCTTTTCCTGTAAATGCTGGGCAGCATCTCGTACTATCCCTGACTGGTTAGTGTAAAAGCAACACTCTTCCCCTAAGAAGGTGCAAAGTCCTCCTTTCTCAGTAGTGAGGAGGTCTAGGTCTCAGCGGTTTTTGAGAGTCACTGCTGCCAAAGGGTCTATTTGGGATTGTAGAGTAAGGATAGATTTTGTTATTTCTTGCAAACTGTCTGAGAAATCCTTTGAGAGTGTGTGGTAGTAGGATAATGAAGTAGATAAACTGGCTATTCTGGATCCTGTAGCAGTAGCCATTCCTATCCCTATAAGTAGGAGTATTAGTTGTATGGCTCTGTGCTGATGGACTTGAGCTTTGAGGGGCATGGATAGGGTCTGATTTCCACAAGATTAGAAGTTAGGATAATACATGTTACACTGTTAACTTTTAGCAAACTTTACTTTTGTTGAAAACCTTGTAAGTCTGGGATTTCAATTATTCTTTGCTATTAATAAGGCATTGTTCAGTCCATATTAACTTAGAATTGGTATAGATGGCTCCTTCCTGATTCTCTAAGTACTTTAAGGTTTAGCTGAGTGCTAACAGCAGACCAATTATTAGGCAATTTTCCTAACTCTGCTTCTATAAGAGTTTCCTTATCACTTACTGAATACCCATTGTGTCTTTTTTCCTTAATCACCCAGGAGGAACCATCTATCATCCTGTCCTGAAGGGAGTTCCTCCTAGGTCTGGTCGGACCTTTGTATGGTAATTAATTAAGATTTAGATCCCCTGTTAGGAAGCCTGCTGGGTTAAGGATTTTTGATAGGAAGGCTATGGGTTGTCAGTGGCCTCAGTGCTTTTGGGCTACGCCCTTGTTTACACTGACAACAAGGTGGTATTGGAGTGTTATAGAGTTACAGAGAAGACCTTCAATTATCAGTTATAGGTTTTAAATTTACCCTGGCTTTTAAAGGAATAGGGTACACTGCTTTTTCTTTACTACTTCCATCTCTCTTTCTTTCTCTTTGACTTCTTCTTTGTCTCTCTCTTTCTCTATTTCTGACTTCCTCTTTGTCTCTTCCTCTCTCGCTTTGACTTTCTGTCTCTCTTTCTCTCTCTCTCTGACTCCCTCTTTGTCTCTGTCTCTTCTTCTCTCTCTGACTCCTTCTTTGTCTCTGTCTCTTCCTCTCTCTGACTCCTTTGTCTCGGTCTCTTCCTCTCTCTGTCTCCTTCTATTTGACTTCTTTCTTTGTCTCTGTCTCTTCCTCTCTCTGTCTCTCTCTTTGAGCCCTTCTTTGTCTCTGTCTCTTCCTCTGACTCCTTCTTTTTGACTTCCTGTCTTTCTCTTTCTCTCTCTCTCTGTCTCTCTGTCTCTTCCTCTCTCCCTCTCTCTCTCTCTCTGACTTTCTGTCTCTTTCTCTCTTTCCTTTCTGCTGGTCTTTCCCTGCCTCTGCCAGCCACTTATGCTGCTGTTCTCCCCTCTCCTTCCCCTTTTTGATGTCTTTGGCAGTGTAAGACTGGCACCTCCTTGTGGTATTTAATGGGGATTCCCCCAGAGGTTAGGAGCTCCTTTTCTTTCCATATTGCAGCATGGGCATGTAGGATTAGATAAGCATACTTGCTACCTGTATACACATTTATTCTTCTTCCCTTTCCCAGTCCTAAGGCTTGGGGAAGTGCCACTAGTTCTGCTAACTGGGCACTAGTCCCTGGGGGAAGAGGCTTACTTTCAAGTACTGTTGCATCACTAACTATGGCATAACCTGACCTTCGTATCCCATTCTCCACAATGAACTTCCATCGGTGTATAGGTTAAGGTCAGGATTAGCTAAGGGGACTTCTAAGAGATCCTCTCAGGCAGCATAAGTCTGGACTATAATTTGTTGGCAGTCGTGCTCGATTGGTTCCCCATCCTCTGGGAGAAAAGTGGCAGGGTTGAGGGCCACACACGTGCATATTTGAAGCACTTGTCCTTCAAGGAGTAGTGCCTGGTATCTAACCAGGCAGTTGTCTGATAGCCATAAACTTCTTTTGGCACCTAGTATGACATTTATATCATGAGTAGTCCAGACAGTGAGATCCTTTCCTTGTATTATTTTGATAGCCTCTGACACTAAGACAGCCACCGCTGCAACTACCCGTAAACAGTGAGGCCAGACTTTGGCTACTACATCAATTTCCTTACTTAGGTATGCCACTGGTTGTGGGGTTATCCCATGAGTCTGAGTAAGGACCCCAAGAGTTATTACTGCTCTCTCTGTGATGTATAAAGAGAAGTTTTGTCCTGTGGGAAGACTTAACGCTGGAGCTTGTACTAGGGCCTGCTTTAAGGTTTTGAAGGCTGTTTCTCCCTCTGCTTCCCATTCTACTAGATGAGTATTTGCCCTCTGGTTCTCCTTGATTAGAGTATAGAGGGGCCTGGCTATCTTATTGTATCTGGGGATCCATAGTCGGCAAAAGCTGGTGATTCCAAGAAACCCCTGCAACTGTTTTAATGTCTTAGGGTGAGGATGAGCCAGTAGAGGCTGTATTCATTCCTTGCTGAGGGCCCTGGTCCCTCTGGCTAAGATTAGGCCTAGATATTTGACTTGCTGTAGGCAAACCTGGGCCTTCGACCTAGATGCCTTATACCCTTGATTAGCTAGAAAGTTCAAGAGATCTACAGTAGCCTGCTGTCATGAGGCTTCCAAACTGGTAGCCAAAAGTAAATCATCCACATACTGAAGGACCAGAGTGCCTGGACTTGAGAAGTGGCCTCGATCTTGGGCCAGTGCCTGACCAAATAGATAAGGGCTATCCCTAAACCCTTGGGGTGAGACCATCCACATAAGTTGGGACGTGTGGTCTGTAGGATCCTCAAAGGCAAAGAGAAACTGTGAGTCAGAGTGCAGGGGAATACAGAAGAAGGCATCCTTGAGGTCCAGAACAGTGAACCATTCTGCTTCTTCTGGTATTTGAGAGAGCAGGGTATAGGGGTTGGGTACAACTGGATATAGAGGAATTACTGCCTCATTGATGAGTCTAAGATCTTGCACTAGTCTCCACTGACTGTTCAATTTTTGTACTCCTAGAATTGCGATGTTGCAGGGACTGCTTCATTTCCTTACCAAGCCTTGAGCTTTTAAATGTTTAACAATATCCTGTAATCCTTTATGAGCTTCAGGCCTTAAGGGATATTGCCTTTGATAAGGAAAAGTGATGGAGTCTTTTAGCCTGATTTGGACTGGGTGGGGATTTTTTGCCCTTCCAAATTGTCCTTCCAATGCCCGGACTTCAGGGTTGATTCCCTCCTCAAGTAGGGGACAACAAATGTGTAACTTGTTCCCCATATTCATGTAGATAATAGCTCCAGCTTTGGCTAATATATCCCTCCCTAATAAGGGTGTGGGACTTTCAGGCATAACAAGAAAGGCATGTGAAAAGACAAAGTCTCCCAATTACAACTGAGGAGGTGGGAGAAATACCTGGTTACAGGCTGTCCCAGGATTCCTCGGATGGTAACGGACCTTGAGGACAGTCGTCCAGGGCAGGAGATTAACACTGAGAAGGCCATGCCAGTGTCCAGGAGGAAGTCAATTTCCTGGCCTTCAATGGTTAAACATACCCGGGGCTCAGTGAGGGTGATGAAATGAGCTGGCGCTTGCGCTGGGCACCCTCAGTCCTGTTGTTGGATCATCTGGTTGGGGGCTTCTGGCCCAGAGAACCTTTGCCCTTTGGGGAAGTGTGCCTTCCAGTGATTGCCTCAGCATAGCGGACGTGGGCGAGGGGACAGCTTGTTTCTCATTGGGCAATCTTTTTTAAAATGTCCTTGTAAACCACACTGATAACAAGCCCTACTGGGTGATTAGCCTGCTCCATTTTTTGTCCTCTCTAAACCACCAAGGTTTGTTTGTCTGAGGGCCATGACTAAGGCTGTGGCCTTTCTCTGATCTTGCTTTTTCCTTTTTGGCCTGTTCCTCTTGGTCCCTATTATAGAACACCAAGGTTGCCAGGTTAGGGCCCAGGGCTCACTTTTGGAGCTTTCTCCTGATATCTGTGGCTGATTGGGTAATAAACTTATCTTTTAGGATCAATTGACTCTTGAGGGAGTCGGGTGACAGGGCAGTATATTTCCTTAAGGCCTTCCATAGCCACTCGAGGAAGGCAGAAGGATTTTCTTCCTTTCCCTGAGTTATGGTGGACATCTTTGAATAACTCATGGGCTTTTTACTAATTCTCCTTAGTCCTTCTAGAATACAGATCAACAGATGTTTGCGACTCCAGTCTCCATGATCTGAGTTGAGGTCCCAGTGGGGATCCATATTGGGGATGGCTTGCTGACAGGTAAAGAATTTGTCCCTTTCTTCGGCTGTCATTCTGTCATTTACTTGACTAAGATACCAGGTATCTCCAAACTCTCAGGCTGCAGCTAAAGCCACATTCTTTTCATTAAAGGCCAGGGTTTGATCTAACAATAGCATGACATCTCTCCAAGTGAGATTGAAGGTTTGCCCTAGTCCCTGTAGGACATCTATGTGCCTATCAGGATCATCTGAAAACTCCCCCAGGTCTACCTTGATCTGCTTTAAATCAGAGAGGGAGAAGGGGACATGTACCCCAGTTGGGCCAAATTCCCCTTCCCCTACAGCTTGAAGGGGACATAACCAATAGCCTGGGGGTTTCTGTGGTCCTTTGGAGATTTCTTTGCTTGTTTCCTTCTGGGTGGGGGAGATTAGAGGAGGCTTATCATTAATAGGAAGGAGAGCTATAGGGAGGCTAGGATATGGAGGTAAGCTGAGATGTCCTCCTGTGGGATGTAAATTGCAAGCTTTGCATAGTTGTGGATTCTTCTTCAATGAAAAGAAAGCTTGGACATAAGGTATTTCACTCCATTTGCCTTCACTTTTACAGAAAAGGTCAAGCTGCAGGATAGTATTGTAATTTATACTTCCCTCAGGTGGCCATTTTTCTGCATCAGAGAGAGAATATTGGGGCTAGGCCATGGGGCAGAAAAAAATGAGCTGCCTCTTTTTCAGGGTTTGCAGGTCAAATTTGTACCAATGGCTTAGGATGCATTTCAAGGGTGAGCCTGTTGATTTCTGTTTCCCATCTGAAAGACAAAACCACTCATGGTTTTGGTTTGTTTCCCCCCTGCCCAAGAATCTGCAATGGTCCCTGGACCATGCTGATCAGAATAGTTGTGCTCACTGATGCAGCAGCAGAAACACCTCTTGCCCAAGAACCCGCAACGGTCCCTGGACCCTGCTGATTGGAATAGTTGTGCTCACCGACACAGCAGCAGAAACACCTCTTGCCCAAGAACCCACAATGGTCCCTGGACCCTGCTGATTGGAATAGTTGCACTCACCGACGCAGCAGCAGAAACACTAGTTTTCCTCCTAGACCACAAGGAGGACTGAGGAAGGTCGGATTTAGTGGTCCTTACTGATGCATTCTCAAAAACCTGTTAGAGTCCTAAGTGTTTTCTCCTGTTAGTATTGGGACCTTATGCCCATCCTATAAAGATGTTATGCCCCAAAAATGAAGTGGAGGGCCATACCCCGAGGGAGGGAAGGGATCTCCAGGGTTGGAAGTGATGCTTTTTGTCCTCACTCATATGAATAGGAAGAATATAATTTCTGAGGCTCCCCATATCCTAGCTTCAGAAATAGCCCTTGTTAGGCCTTCTTGTCTGAGGAAGGATCCTAAAAGGTTAGTTGGTGTCCCCATCTGACAGGGCTTTGGGAAAAAATTATGTCTTTCTGATTGGTGAGCCCGGGTGCCTAAAGAAGGTAAGAGAGTCCTGAAGTTTATACTAGAAATCATTCTTACAGGAGAAACTAGAAAAGCACCAGAGACAGGGAGTGGTTTTTAGAAGCAGGACTAGCCTCAGAGAAAAGAGGTGAGAGGAAGTTTGTCTGACAGGCGTTAGGACCCAGGAGGCAAGGGCAGGATAGATAGGATAGATGGCTGAGTCTCACATGGACGACGTGACTTTGAGAGTTCCACTCATGGCTGCAGGGTTAACCAACTTGTTGTCGGGACGCTGGAGCTGAATGGCTTTCCTCTCTGTCGACCCATGGCTCAGCCCAGAAGTACAGGAAAAGTAGAAGCTGGTTCCAGGCAATCCAATGCTCCCAACTCTGAAGAGTCAGGGGCTGTTAGAGAGCCCTTTCCCAGAAAGCCTAACACCCGTGTCTTTAGTCTGGTGGCCATGCTAGTCGCTTTTAACTGGCTGACAGGTGCCCAGTATTTAGCCCCCAAATTCTAAGGAAAAATAGGACAGAATAGCAAGTGAAAGGGGTCCAATGGTACTCACCACTTGGCGATAGGTGATAGTCCCTTCGTGGTCACCAAAATGTGTCCAGAATTTATTCCTTCTGGTGGGTTCTTGGTGTCACTGACTTTGAGAATGAAGCCACAGACCTTTGCGGTGAGTGTTACAGCTCTTAAAGATGGTGTGTCTGGAGTTTCTTCCTTCCAGTGGGTTCGTGGTCTCGCTGACTTCAGAAGTGAAGCCACAGACCTTTGCGGTGAGTGTTACAGCTCTTAAAGGTGGCGCATCTGGAGTTGTTTGTTCCTCCCAGTGGGTTCGTGGTCTCACTGACTTCAAGGAATGAAGACACAGACCCTCATGGTGAGTGTTACAGCTCATAAAGGTAGTGCAGACCCAAAGAGTGAGCAGCCGCAAGATTTATTGTGAAGAGCGAAAGAGCAAAGCTTCCACAGTGTGGAAGCGGACCCAAGCAGGTTGCCACTGCTGACTGCAGTGGCCAGCTTTTATTCCCTTGTTTGGCCCCGCCCATGTCCTGCTGATTGGTCCACTTTACAGAGCACTGATTGGTCCATTTTACAGATGCTGATTGGTCCATTTTACAGAGTGCTAATTGGTGTGTTTACAATCCTTTAGCTAGACACAGAGTGCTGACTGGTGCATTTTTACAGAGTGCTGATTGGTGCATTTACAATCCTTTAGCTAGACAGAAAAGTTCTCCAAGTCTCCACTTGGCCCAGGAAGTCCAGCTGGCTTCATCTCTCAAAATGACTTGTGGAAATGCCTTTAATTTAATATTAAGGGGAAAATCAGAAAAAAAATGGCCACTCTACTATGTAGAAATATGCACACACACACAAACACTTGCAGTAAAAAAATGCTCACAGTGGGACAGGCATGGTGGCTCACACCTGTAATCCCAGCACTTTGGGAGGCCAAGGTGGGCAGATCACAAGGTCAGGAGATTGAGACCATCCCGGCTAACAAAGTGAAACCCCATCTCTACTAAAAATACAAAAAATTAGCCAGGCGTTGTGGCGGGCACCTGCAGTCCCAGCTATTTGTGAGGTTGGGGCAGGAGAATGGCGCAAACCTGGGAGGTGGAGCTTGCAGTGAGCCGAGATCACACCGCTGCACTCTAGCCTGAGTGACAGAGCGAGACTCTGTCTCAAAAAATAAAATAAAATGCTCACAGTGGCTACCTCTGGGTAATGAGAATAATGAAGATCATAGCTTTTTTTTCTTTATTTTTCACTGCATTGTCTGTATTTTTATAATAAGTATATAATACTTTATAATCAGAAAACAATTTTATACAAAGAAAGTTTGAGCAATAGCATCAATATTTTAGAAAGTTACAATGGGGAGAAAAATCATTGATTGTGACAACCAGATGATCATTGGTGACAGTTTTAGCAGAATAATGATGATGGAAGCTACTTTAAAAATATAAAATATTTCATACATATAAAATGATTTAAAGAAATAGAACAATATTAATATGGTTGAAACCATCTGTGTAGTTCCCTCTAATAACATTTCCCTTTTTTCTCGGCAAGAAGTAGATGTTATTCCAAATGTTGTGCTTAAAGCCATATTTTGGATAGTTAAGTGAGCGGGTATTCAGAGAATGGAGGCTGGGACCCTGGAATGCCCTTTCGTGATTTGGTGGTAAAGTGGAAGAGAACAATAGAACAATAGCTTGAGGGGAGTACAGAGTGGAGAGAAGGTTTGTAATTTAGAATAGAGCAGAAGTGAGCATGTTTCCAGCAGAAGTCAAGGTAAGGATTAAAGATGCAAGAGAGATGGGAAGGTGTGACTAATAAAATCTACTCTCAAAAAGGCCAGAATGGTTGAAATAGGCATTTTGGGGAGAAGTGCAGCTACATCCCTGAAAGATTCATTCTGGTCATTAAAACAACTCCATTATTCAATTTAATGGGTGTATTTCCCTTGTCCTTCAGGGTAAAATACAAGCTACATTAAGCATAAACCTTTTTTTTAATCAGACAAATCCCATTGGAAATTTTACAAAAAGAGAGAAATGGTTAAAACTCGACAAAACATTAACAGAACATACAGAGAGAAAAATGTTGCTGCAATTCCTTGAAGAATTGAACTCTGTAAAAGAGAAGATTTCTTCATTTTTATTTCAAATAGTTCCACATGCGTACATCAATTTGTGGTCCCGTTTTTACATTATTATTGAAAATGAATAAAAGAGCTACTTGGCTGTTCAAGTTGTTACTCTATTTTTCTCAACAAGATTATGCAATAATACCTACATTTTTAACCAACAGAATGAATTGGGTTATGGAACAAATTATTCACAGAGATAGGACTCGCTTCATAAAAGGTAGATGCTCATGAAACAATATGAGCAAGGTTTGAATGTTATTAGTTGCACCCCAAATATTTCATTCCCAGTTCTGATGACAGTGAAATACACTGAACCAGCATTTGATAATATTAAAATGGCTATATGCTTTTGAAGGATTTAAAAGATTTGATCTTAAGAAACTATTTATAATATTCAATCGGTATGCCTCCTCATATACACCTTTGAAAGAATTTATTAAAATTAATCAGCATTAGCCTGAATTCTTATTTAAAGAGTAGGGTAATCCAGGACAGCAACTGTCTCCATAACTGTATTTGCCTAATATTAAATTGCTTCATACATGTTTTAGGCGAAATAATAATATATTAAGCTATTATGAACTCAGGTAGCATCTAATTACTTGTCACTAAAAATTATTTACCAGTAAAAAATACTTTGAATTCTCTTCCATCTAAAAAAAAAACATAAGCAGTATATAATGTCTTTGATTCTGAGAGCTATCCCATGGACATATATTTGAGTCTCAATATTTTATGATTAGACACAAAATGTCACAGAACAGATCTCCAAAATTATTTTCAAACTGGTTCACTTATGAAACAGTCAATGTTATTCATATATAATTTTCATAGAATATATATTTGTTAAAAAACACTGAAATTTTTCCTATGTGGAATAATATTATTTTTCTTATTTTAATAAACATTTGGAAAATATATTAAAGTTGTTCTCTATTTACTACCATTGCTCTTGGGTAAGTTACCAAACCTCAAAGCCTAGACTAGCACCCACAAAGAATGCTTATCCATAGCTGTCAGTCATTCACTGGTAGGTCCCACCCAGAGACCCACTGATAGATCATCACACCCATAGAAAAAAGTTAGTTATCATTGACCATGAAGGACTTTGTGAATGTATACTAATGACCAATAATCTTCCACTAGAGTTTCTGATTCCAGTATGTTTGGGGTAGGACCTAAGAGTTTGTACTTCTTTCTTTTCTTTTTTTTTTTAATGCTATACTCCATGCCAAAAGGAATTTGTATTTTTAACAAGTCCCGGGTGATGTTAATGCTACCGGTCTAAGGACCACACTTGGAGAACTACTGATATAAATAATATGCCTAAATGCATAAATCTCTAGGACACATATGCAATGACAGTACCATTGACTTGACTTTTGATGACTTCTCATCCACAAATACAATAAGATTTCTCTGAGTATCTTGTTCTCTTAGTTATGCCCTAATGTTTTTCTCAGCCAGGATGACACAGCAATTTTTGATGTCCTAAAGGACTTACAATTCAGTGTAGGGTACTTGTTATCTCACTCTCTTCCTCTCTGCAGTTGACCAAAGACCATGGGGAAAACCAGATGTCATCTAGCCTCTGATTAGACAGTCCCCTGAAATGGGGTAAATTTGTCTCTTTTTTATGAATAAGAAATCATGTTTTGTAGTAGACTCTAATGGCATTTCCTGCAAGGAGAGTCTTTTATTCCCTTAATATGAAAGAAAATTGTAGTCTATTAATAAGCAAAAGGGATGACTCTAAAATCAACAATGTAGTGAAATCAATAGACTAAATGGAAGTTTTGTGGAATTTGATATCTTTATTAGGCAGATTCCTGAAGGAAATACAAGCCTTTTTAGATATTTTAAACAGATGTTTCATATAGATAATCAGATGTTTGCAAAATCATTGAATGAGTTGGAGTATCTGGCATCAAGAAGTCTGATCTAGGAATCAGAAAGCCCTTACCAGCACTGTCTCTCAGCACCCACAAATCTGGTGATTAGATACTGGAACACCAAATCTGGCCACCTCAACTCCTAGGTGAATGTCTCCATGACTTTGCTCTTTGAGAGAATAATATGGTCTTTACTTTATTTCTGCCTTACAAAGCTAAGCCATGTGCATCTAACTGACAGAATCCAATTTGTATCCTGAACCCTAGTTTTAGTTTTTAGATTTTTCAGCCCCTGCAGGACACTAAGTTACCCTAAGTTTAGGGATGGACACAGAACAAGCTGATACACGTGCTGATACATTTCCATGACAATTATTCACTACCATGTGAGAAGGTCTATATTTGTCCCAGTTATTTCCTGTTCCCACTTGTCCTTCTCCTCTAGCGTGCATGCACATTCACATACACACAGGCATACATACACAAGCAACACACAAGCACAGTGAGGTATGTTCTACCTTCCTTGTTTCTGTGAAACTCACTGTCATTTGGGTCCCAAATCTTTGCATTAATTTTTATTATTTTCATAACAAAGTTTCCAAATTGCAGGAGACATAGGTCATCTAGGCCTGTCCTCTACTTTAAAGATAAGGAAGCTGAGGCCAAGAGGCAGATGTCTAGTAATTGGCTGAGTAGGGAGCAGAATCCAGTACCACTCTTTCTCAATCCTATTCACCCTCCATAAAACATGTAACTCTGTCACTGAACTCTGTTGATTGTTCTTTTTAGGTCCCTTATTGTCATCTCTTCATAGTGCCACTATCCTAGTTCAAGTCTTCAATACCTCAAACATGGATTCAAGCAAGAGACCCTGAGATTATCTTCCTGCCCCCTGCATCTCTCCACTTTAATTTGCTCCACATTCTGACACCATCTTCATTCTCCTAAAAATTCTTCACTTTGATCACTAAAATGGCAATAGATGTTGCTGACAGAATGAAGTTCAAGTTTTTAGTCTGGCCCACCAACAGCCAATCCCCACTATCTTATCCAATTTCACTCTTGTATAGGATTGGGACCTTAGCCACTTAGTGATAGGGTATGTCCTGTAAATCACCAGGACAAATCAAGAACAAGAAGTGGTTAAGTATTAGGTCAAAGACATAATTAGGAGTCAGATTTGATCTTTTGTTTAGATCAAGGACTGCCAATCAAAATATGAAAACTTAGAATAAGGTACAATTCAAGGCCTCTTAGCAGAGTTATGAAGCTGAATGGTAATTCAGCAATAAATGGAGCAATAAATAAGTAAATGGTGTTTTAAATCAAAAGGCCTAAGTTTTATTTCAAGTCCGACACTCCCTATATGACTTTGAAATCCATTACTTAACCTCTTTAAGACAATTTCCTCATCTGTAAAATAAAGACAGTGATAACTACTTAGTAAGGGGTGTTGTTGAAAATAAATGAAATAACATGTATGAAATAATTTTGGATAGTATCTAGCATATATTATTAATTCACTCTTTTTATTATTCCTTCATTCCTTTATTTATTTATCTACAAGGTACCAGGTGCTAATCAAAGTGCTTTTTAGATACTACTCAAGAATGCAGTGAGGAATAAAATATGTGAAGTCTCTGGCATTATGGAGCTTGCAAACTAGTGGAGGAGGCAGACAATAAATAAATGAACATAAATATAATTACATAATTACAAACTGGGATATGTGCCATGAAATTAAAGAATAAAGTGGCATGAGAATGACCGGAGGCAGGAGGGACCTAATTTAAATTGAGGTGGTCAGGGAAGGCATCTCTCAGGAAATACCATTAAAACTGAGGCATGAAGGAGAGGAATTAACTAATTGAAGAGTAAACAAAGAGTGTGACCAGTAAATGCTAATTATTTTCTGCATCTGCACTGTGGATGATAGCCCCTTTAGTTAATCTTTAAGTGGAAATATGAAAGCCAATACCAAAAATGATGGCTGAAAGAGATGAAAGCAGTCACCTTGAAGGTGAAGAAGAATGAAGAAAGATCAGTGATGTTCTGCAGCTGGTTCACACTAGCTCACAAGAGCTGATGGTGCACATCTCTTCTGTCACATTGGTAGATTGAAATTGGCCCTGGATGGAGTATTTACAACATGGAAATCAACATACATTACAAATGAAGGGTTTTTTTTTTCTCCAGAGAGCTCGTTGTTAATTTTTTTTAATTTTCAATTTTTGTGGGCACATAGTAGGTGTATATATTTATGAGGTACATTAGATGTTTCGATACAGACATGCAATGAGAATAATCACATCATGGAGAATGGGGTATCCATCCCCTGAAGCATCTATTTTTTGTGTTACAAACAATCCAATTATACTCTCAGTTACTTTTAAATGTACAATTATTATTGACCGTAGTCCCCTGTGAAATACCCATTAACCATCCCTACCTCCCCAACCCCCACTATAGTACACAGCCTCTGGTAACCATCATTCTATCCTCTATCTCCATGAGTTCAATTGTTTTGATTTTTAGCTCTCACAAATAAGTGAGAACATGCAATGTTTGTCTTTCTGTGACTGATTTATTTCACTTTACATAATGACCTTCAGTTCCATCCATTTAGTTGCAAATGACAGCATCTCATTCTTTTCTATGACTGAATAGTACTCTGTTTTTGGTTGTTAAATATTGGCCAGTACACCACTGGCAAAGGCCTTCCATACTATTTGATATTTTAAACTATGTCCTTTAGTAAAGACAAAAATTAAATTAAAAAATATAAAAGACTGAGTGCCATGGCTCATGACTGTAATCCCAGCACTTTGGGAGGCCGAGCCGGGCAGATCACCTGAGGGGAGGAGTTCGAGACCAGCCTTAGCAACATGGTGAAACCCCATCTCTACTAAAAATACGAAAAATTAGCCTGGCGTGGTGGCGCATGCCTGTAGTCCCAGCTATTTAGAAGGCTGAGGCAGGAGAATCACTTGAACCTGGGAGGTGGAGGTTGCAGTGAGCCAAAATCGTGCCACTGTACTCCAGTCTGGGCAACAGAGTGAGACTACATCTCAAAAAGGATAGATAGATAGATAGATAGATAGATAGATAGATAGATAGATAGATAGATATTTAAATACTGAATTAGAACATAAAATTTTATTATTATTATTATTATTATTTTTGAGACAGAGTCTTGCTCTGTCACCTAGGCTGGAGTGCAGCGGTATGATCTCAGCTCACTACCTCCTCCGCCTTCAGGGTTCAAGCGATTCTCTTGCCTCAGTATCCTGAGTAGCTGGGATTACAGGTATGCACCACTACACCCAGCTAGTTTTTGTATTTTTGGTAGAGACAGAGTTTCACCATGTTGGTCAGGCTGGCTTCAAACTCCTGACCTCAAGTGATCCGCCTGCCTTGGCCTCCCAAAATGCTAGAATTACAGGTGTGAGCCATCGTGCCTGGCCTAGAACATGAAATTATTTTAAACTATGAATAGTATATCAGTCAGGGTCCAGTCGGGAAAAAAGAAACCATGCTAAGTACTTCAAACAGAAGGCATTTAATGGAGAGAATTGTTATACAGGCATTTAAAGATTGAGGTGGGAGGCTAAAGTAATTTGAAGATTAAAAATGCCAGGGAAAGTTATCACCTCTAGGGCTGGAAGAACAAACAGGAACAGATAACATTAGAATATGAAAGTTCTAAGGGGTTGTAAGATTGGAAGGGACAATTCCATACAACTGATACTCAAATCTATGAGGAAGAAGTGCAGCCAGGTGGGCGCGGGAAGGCCAAGGAGACGGGGCTGGAAGACAATGGAAATGGTATTCTGGAGATAGTGTGAAAGGTGCTAGGACAGTTGATGAAGGGTGGGTGGGTGGGTGAGGGATTGTGGTGGGACTGCTGCTCCAACAGCATGGCTGCTGCATGTACCTCTGAGGGGCAGTTGCAGGACTGGCTTTGGAAGCGCCACAAGAAGCCTGCAGCTATAGTTATAGCTGTCCTCTCCTACTGGAAGGAGGCAAACCTGAGCTGGAAGCCAGGAAAGGGTCCATTATCCCCTCTTCCTCTCCTCCACTATTCCATCAATGCCTCCTTTTGGTAGAATCTCTCTGGAACTGAGCTGGAAGATGCAGTTGGAGTCCCAGTCTTACAGGTGTAGAGCTGAGAAAAATAGACAATGAACTGGCAAAGTGGAGGTGTTTGTTTTCACAATTTATAGTTAAAATTATATGGGATTGCAAGGACTGGTTCACAGGCTAAGTTGTCAAGGTATATTTTGCTGTCAGAATAGTCAGAAGAGTCTTATGAGCCTGGTGGCAAACAGGCTGGGAAACAATTCTCCATGGGTCTCTTGTATTTCTACATGTCTTATGAGCAGGGGCACTGGCAACTTTTGTTATCCACAAATTTTTCAAGGATGTTCGTATAACAAACAGCCTTGGAAGATGGATATAATACCTCCCTCTGGAACAGACGGGAGGTTTGTTTGCTGTCCAATATAATAAATACACTGTTTCCCTCCTGGGCAAAAGTTAGACAGATTTTGCTTGCGTGAGGCCTAAAGAAAAAGATTACAAAACATTGGGGTTTCATTAAGCTGTGGTTCTTCAGCTAAGATACAAATTCTTGCATATGCAGCCACCTGATTTCTTCAGTATCACTCCCATGGGACTTGTGGGGCAAAAGGAACCTATGTGGATATGACGCTCGTGCTATTTTTGTGTCACGATTAATAAAGTCCTTTGTCTCTTACCCAGAAGTTCCCCGGTTCTATCAACATCAGTGGCAGGCTGACCTGTTTGCTTGCAAGTAGGGTACATCTCAGATCCTTCCGTTTTTGACAGAACCTTCCATTCAATTCATCAGACGCTTTGCTGTGAAATGATTGCTTACCCAGACTTTGTGGACATGTCCAGTGTACACAAGATGAATTCTCGCTGCTCTCAAGCAATTCACTGTGTAAAAGGAAAGAGGTGCTTTCCCACCACCCTCCATCACCACCACCATCACCACTTATGCCATCACCACCACTAATAACCCTATCACCACGACCATTACCACCATTGGCAGAGAAGAGAAACTGATTCAAGTCAGTTACCATATGTCTTTCTGCTGTCAGGCTTCTAGAATATAGTTAATAAATGTTTATCTGCCATTGTCTTCTTTCTTGCTGCTTTTCCCATTTGGGTTTATTCTTTGCTGTACTTCTAGTAGAGTTTTGGAAGGGGAAAATTGTTAGAGGTCTTCAGTCTTATTTGAGCAGAAATGCCTAAACTTTTACTTTCTTTCCTTTTTTTTTTTTTTTTTTTTTTGAGAGAGAGTCTCGCTCTGTCGCCCAGGCTGGAGTGCAGTGGCGCGATCTCGGCTCACTGCAAGCTCCGCCTCCCGAGTTCACGCCAGTCTCCTGCCTCAGCCTCCCGAGTAGCTGGGACCACAGGCGCCCGCCACCACGCCCGGCTAATTTTTTGTATTTTAGTAGAGACGGGGTTTCACCGTGTTAGCCAGGATGGTCTTGATCTCCTGACCTCGTGATCCGCCCGCCTCGGCCTCCCAAAGTGCTGGGATTACAGGCGTGAGCCACTGCGTCGGGCCTAAACTTTTACTTTCTATCAGATGTGCTTATGTGTTTTTTTATTTGCATACATACTGATGAGCTGTAATCTTCAGGGTCCTCCCTTGCAAAAAGACAGCTGTCTGGATGTTATTTTAGGAGTAAGAATGGTATATAAACCTTCACCAATAAAACCTTTCTCAGAAAACTTTTTTCTCTTTGGAGACTTGTTAGCCATCATTAACACTGGCATCCAAATGGGCTTTAGGTCTTTTCGATAAGGAGGAGAAACCAGAGACCTCTATTTGTCATCTTGAAAGATGATTTGCAATAGAGTACCTCCTGGAAGAAAGGGCTGAAGCTGCGATCTGAAGATACCACTGGCCTAATTCCCAATTGTACATAGGGCTGGCAGAATGTTTTTTCACTGAGCTGAGGCGTGTATCTCTACAAGTCTCGAAATTTCCAGGAAATAAATAATGTGTTGAACTCAATAATCTTAATGAAGTTTGAACTATTTCTGATCCATCCCTTGCAATGAAGACAAAAAGCACTGCTTCTGCATCTTCTGCCCGTTAAACAAGATTAGTTTACCTTTTCACCAGCTTAAACGAAATAGCAACTCAATGGTCCTCCTAGGACTAACCAAATAAGAAAATAGTGCTCTAATCAATGTTACTGCTTAGGCTTAATAGTTTTCTGATATTTGGTCTAAATTTTATTGCTGTTTGTTGAGTATCTCTTTTTAAGCAATTCTAGTTGCCTCTCAATTATGTGCATATGTTTCATGTAATATATCTCCTTGTAGTAGACGGGTAAGGGGACACTGAGAATGACATCGGTTACTGAGTTTTTCTTGTTATTACAATCAATGGTTTCTTTATGATCATTTTGTTAAACTAGGCATGTATTATATTTTTTATTTTGAGTTCAGTGAAGTCAGTGCTGTTGCACTTATCCCCATGTTCAGAATTTTCCTCTCATCTGATGAGAAAGTTGATAACAATGTCTTTTCATCAAGGTGCTTTTAAGGTAATTTTAATGTTTTTGTTTAACATGGCTCAAAGAGCAACCCAAAAAATCAAGATACAGATGCTGATTAAAACACATGGCTGTCTGCTTCCCTGCGTGTTGGCCCTATGCCTGGAAGGATTGTGCACCAGCAGGTGGATAGGATTGTGGCTGATACACCTGACGTGAGAATGGACTATAATGAAACCCAGGATGCACTCCAGTAAAAATCAGGATCTTCATGTCTTTGACTAAATCACTTCAGATCAAGCATCTATTATGGCAGAACTAACTATGGGTTTCAAAATTAAAATAAAGAAGGACTTCAGTGTCATTATGCTATTTCCACACATTGTAGGAATTTTAGACTTGGGGGATGATATTGTGAAAATGAAGAAAAGAAAAACCACTGTGGTAGATTGACTGCACAAAATGACTCCAATTCTTTACCCCTTCTTTGCCATATCACTTTATAGTGCCCTCCCCTTTGAATCTGGCTTGACCAGGTAAATTGCTTGAGCCAATAGGATATTATCAAATATGGTGCAAGCAGAGGCTTGAAAGCACTTACTTGTCTCTATGCACTCCTGCACTTCTGCCACCACCATGAGAAAATGAATGGGCTAGCCTGCTAGTGGATGAGACACATGCTCAGTCCCCCTGGTCACCTAGCCAGCAGTAGCCAACCACCTGACATGTCAGTGAGTCCAATCTGGACCAGAGGAACTACCCTACCAAGCCCAACCTAAATTGTGAATCAACAAACTAATAAGCTAAATAAATGCTAATTATTTTAAGCCACAGAGATTTGAGGTGGCACCACTGAGCATTATCATGGTAACTAACAATTCATACTACTACTGTCCATTTCCAAAAACATTCACCGTGTGCCTAGCAGGCTCTGAGATGATGCAAGCCTGAGTTAGGCATAATAGTCCTTTCCCTCAACATGCTTACAAAGTAGTACAAAAGACTTGTAAACAAATAACATCAATGAAAGTAGTGCTAAACATAAGCACAGATGTAATGCTGTGAAACATTACTCAGTTTCAACAATTGTAAAGAATCCCTACAATGTGAAAATGTATTACATTACAAGGGGTATGTATGCATATATAGACATATGCGTGTTGCCTGCATAATATGGTACACAGAATCAGGGATACCCACTCAAACTACCATAGCAAATGGTATGTTTACTGGTGTCAATGTGGGTGCTTACTGGTCTGATGCCTAAGGTTCATAATGTTCACATATCTGCCTGTTTGGGATGGAGGGAAACCTTCCTTGTCAGCTTGAGCCCCAGTCAGGAAGTCACTTGCCCTTTCAATGGGAAGGAAATAAAATACCATTCACCTCATCAAGGTTTGTGCAAAACTGTAAAGAAAGGGAAATAACACACAGGCAGCTGACCGGCAAATAGAGAAGGATCCAATTAAAAAGAAGAACTGAAGCATTGTTGTCTCGTACCTTGCTACTCAAAGTGTGCTCTATGGACCAGCAGCATCAGCTTTACCTGGGAACTCATTAGAAATGCTGTCTCAAGCCTTGCGCCAGACACAATGAACCAGGATCTTCATTATAACAAGGACCCCAGGTAATTCTTACCCACATTACAATTTGAGATTAAAGTTTGAGAAGCACTGGTGTAGCCCAATTGAGCTTCAAGTGACCTTACCCAAATAAGAAGATATGGGAGCACCAAATGCAAGCCTCCATTTTTTTGCGTGTGTGTGTGTGTGTGTGTGTGTGTGTATGTGTGCATTTTGAGACAGAGTCTCGCTGCAACACCCAGGCTAGAGGGCAATGGTGTGATCTCAGCTCACTGCAACCTCCGCTTCCCAGGTTCAAGGAATTTTCCTGTTTCAGCCTCCCAAGTAGCCAAGATTGCAGGAGCACACCACCATATTGGCCAGGCTGGTCTCAAACTCCTGGGGGAGAGAGAGAGAGATAGTTATTTTTTTATATATATATAAACTATTTATATATAACATATATAATATATAAATATGTATATATATTCTGAACTTCCAACAGTGAAGGATCAATCCCTCTGAAATAATCTATTATGCCCATAAAACCTTGAGGTAGAGAACCTTTTTAGATATTGTAAGGGAGATATTTGAATTCTGTGAGCACCAGCTGTAAATTTCAGTGAAATTAAGTAGACTAAACCATGTGAAAAACATTCTTCCTGACAGTGGTTCTCAATCTCCGGTCCCCTTTGAAAATCTGTTGGCTGGCCGTGGGGCTCACGCCTGTAATCCCAGCACTTTGGGAGGCCGAGGCAGGTGGATCACAATGTCAGGAGTTCGAGACCAGCCTGACCAACATGGTGAAACCCCGTCTCTACTAAAAATACAAAAATTAGCCGGGTGCAGTGGCAGGAGCCTATAATCCCAGCTACTCAGGAGGCTGAGGCAGGAGAATCACCTGAACCTGGGAAGCAGAGGTTGCAGTGAGCTGAGATCACACCACTGCACTCCAGCCTGGTGACAGAGCGAGACTCGGTCTCAAAAAAACAGAAAAAAAAAAGAAAAAAGAAAATCTGTTAATAGCAAAGTGCGTTATTCCTATAAAGATACACATGTTTAGTTACAGACAGAATTTTTCAGGAGAATGAAGAACCTCCCAAAACCATTCACGAACCACTTCCTCACAGTGCTGATCTCCAAATTAAGAGTCCCTAAAAGAATATGGCTTCAAGAAAGCTTATTTCTTTGTGGGTATGCTACATGTTATTCAAGTATCCATTAATTGGTGACAACTTGATATGCAGAGTTTTCATCTCACAGAATTAATAAAGCAGGGAACAAATTTAGCAAATGAAGACTCGCAGTAATCAGAGGTGAGTTCCCAGTGGCCCAGTTCTAAGGTTCTGCTAGTGGTGCAATACCACCTTGCCTGGGCTTAATAGAGCTTTCTATTCTTCCTTTCTGTCCTGTTTATCTCTCTTTCTGTTGTAATCTTTTTTTAAAGTTTGGTAAAACAGATATAATATAAAAGTTATCATCCTAACCTTCTTTATATGTGCAATTTAATAGTGTTAACTACATTCATATATATTCACTGTAGAAAATTTGGAAACTATAAAAAAAGAATAAAGAAGAACAACAAAATTGTCCCTAAGCCATCAACCAAGAGTTACCCACTGTTAAGATTTTGGTGCTTTTTTCCAAGTTTTTCTGCTACATTATATAAATTTACATAAATATAAAAATGTTGTGACCAGGTGCGGTGGCTCACACCTGTAATCCCAGCACTTTGGGAGGCCGAGGCAGGTGGATCAAGAGGTCAGGAGTTTGAGACCAGCCTAGCCAGCATGGGGAAACCCTGTCTCTACTAAAAGTACAAAAAATTAGCCAGGCATGGTGGCGCCCACCTGTAGTTTCAGCTACTTGGGAGGCTGAGGCAGGAAAATTGCTGGAACCAGAAGGCGGAGGTTGCAGTGAGCCTAGATCATGCCACTGCACTCCAGCCTGGGCAACAGAGCAAGACTCCATCTCAAAAAAAAAAAAAAAAAAATATATATATATATATATGTTGTGCAGTAAGTATGCATGTATATCTATCTGTATATGATATTTCAAATTGGGATTATATTGCATATAATTTTTTATTCTGTTACCATTTACAATAACATATTATATTGTTAGTGTGTTCTCAAATTATTAAAATTCTTTTTAATTTCTATATGATATTCCATTTTACGGATATGTCATAACTAACTAATCATTTCCCTATTTTTTAATGTTTACATTATTTCCAATGCTTTATCTATTTATAACCCTCTGATGAACACCTTTCTACAAAATCTTTATCTGTATTGCCAAAGAACTTTTTTGTTTTTTTCAGGTTACTTGTTTCTTCTTTATTTAGTTGTGATTGTGGAGACTATCCCAATTTTCCATAAAATCATCTCTCAAAACTGCTGCAATATCATGGCATAAAAAACTCAAAAGTGCCATAGGCATAAGGACTAGAGTTTTTAAAATCATAAACTACAATGCTGGATAATCTTTGAATGAGAACATTTGATATGGATGATATGGATTGTTAGATAAGGGATACCAAAATGTCACCAATTAATTCTTTTGGATAGATAACTGGGGGTAGAATTATTGGGTCCAATAGTGTGAATTTATGTAAGTCGCTCAATATATGTATCCCCAAGTTACTGGGAATTTGCAACTAATTTATAGTTAGAGTGCTTGTCCAACACATGTTTACCAGTATTATCTTTTATTAGTCTTCGCATATTCGTGAGACCAAAAGAATGGTATTTTTGTTTTGTTTTAATTTGCATTTTCATAAGCTTAATGTCCTTTTGTATTTCTTCTATGAGTCATTGCATTCCTTTTTCTTGTTTTTCCTACTGGAGCATTCATATTTCTCTTAGTCGTTTGTGAGAGTTCTTTGTTGATTAAGTAAATAAACCTTTTGTTATTTTGTTGGAAATACTTTTCTGAATTTCCATTTAACCTTATTTTTATAAAAATGCTTTATAACTTACAGAAGATTTAAATTTTAATGAAATTGAATCTATTAATATGTGATTTCTTAAGCTGTCTTTATGCTGAGAATGTCCTTCCCCAGGACAGATTAATTAATTGATTAATTCTTCTGATCTTTTAACATTTCTATTTTTGCTTTAATTTTTTAATCCACCTAAAGGTGTATTTGGTGGATTACACCTTGGTGTTCTATGCGACGAAAACCTAACTTAGTCTCTCTTCCTCACCCTGACTTTGCACTGACCACCACCAAATTTAGCCAATATTCCTAAAATGAACAAAAATGTTCAATGACATTTTGGGAAATAGTACTATAGTATTTTATTATTAAGAATGATTTAGGCTGGGCGTGGTGGCTCCCGCTTGTAATACTTGCACTTTGGGAGGCGAAGGCAGGCAGATCACATGAGACCAGGAGTTTGAGACAGGCCTGGCCAACACTGTGAAACCCTGTCTCTACTGAAAAAAAAAAAATACAAAAATTAGTCTGGTGTGGTGGTGCACATCTGTAATCCCAGCTACTCAGGAGGGTCAGGCACGAGAAATGCTTGAACCTGGGGGGTGGAGGTTGCAGTGAGCCAAGATTTCGCCACTGCACTCCAGCCTGGGCAACAGAGAGAAACTCTGTCTGACAAAAAAAGGAAAAAAGAAAGATTTAGACTATTGTTTAAGATAGTTATTAAGGAAATATAATTTTATTCTTGGTTCACTGAGTTTGTATCAGGAATAAATGTTCACTTTATTAAATAACTTTTTCAGCCTATACTGAGATGATAATGAATTTTTTGGTTTGTCCTGATGATGTGTATATATGATTTCCTAATATTAAAACACCTTTGCATTACAAGTCTAAATATAACTAAATCATAACAGATTGTTATTTTTATGTAACTGATTAATTCACTGTATTAACATCATGAATTTTGATCCTATTACGTAAGTAATTTTGTGTTTTGCATTTTTAAAGTTTTGTATCAAAGTTATATTAGCTTCATAAAGTTATTTGGATAAGTTTCCAGATATATAAAACATTTCCATCTAATGTCTCTTACATCCACTTTTTCAAAACTAAGATTCATTTAATTATATTTAATCTCTGTTCAAGGTACCTCATGAATCTATCAATTCTTTCATTTGTTTTGATTTACCTCTGTTTTTATCTTTATCAATTCCATACTTCTGTCTTGTGCCAGTTTTTCTGGTTGGATTGTTTTCCTTTTTGTTTTCTGTGGGCTTTAGGGGTACTAAAGTATAATACATTTATATAAAAATGCACAAGCATGTATGTAAAGCTCAAATGAAAATCATCAGAGTCAGTTAATTTCATCTGCCTCTTATAAAAAGGAAAAAATGTTAAGTGGAACATTATTTCATGGACACTTGAAAATGCACAACTTTTATTTGTGATGCACAAAATCTAATGTTATATTTATTAAATCAGCCTTAATTGTTATATTATTCAAACTACCAGAACTCTTTTGGTTGCAAGTGGCAGACCCCACTTGAACAGTCTTAGGCCCAAGGAAGATTCACTGAATAGACTGAATAGTGTTCCTGTTAACTTGCAATCAAAACATTGTTAAATTTGCCTGGGCCTGGTGGCTCACACGTGTAATCTCAATGCTTTGGGAAGCCAAGGTGAGAGGATCACTTGAGGCTAGGAGTTTGAGACCAACCAGGGCAACATAATGAGACACTGTCTACAAAAAGTAAAGTATAAAGTTTAGCCAGGCATGGTGGCATGCCTGTTGGCCTAGCTACCTGAGAGGCTGAGGCAGGAGGATCAGATGAGCCCAGGAGTTCAATGTTACAGTGAGCTATGATGGCACCACTGCCCTCCAGCCGGGGTGACAGAGTGAGACTCTGTCTCCAAAAACAAACAAAGAAAATTCTTAAATTCATTACAATGTATTCTAGGAGACTTTCTCAAGTTTGCCCTCCACATAATTGGTTTATTATTTTGCAGCATCAATTTTGCTCTTTTATTCTCTTCTTCCCTTCTATGTAGATTTTAATTTGGCTTCGTATTTGGGGCTTTCTTACATTCTTTTTCTCATTTCAATCAGTTTCTTTTCATAGCTATCTTTATGTCAGCCTTGTCATTTCTGTTCTCTTCACAAAGAAGCCATGTCCTTGGGCATATTTTGGGGATTTCAAGCAGATAGATTGTAACATTCTAATGTGTTTATTAGACATGATTTTTTTCCAGAGCCATAATCTTCTTTTGAATATTAAAAGGTAGTGTTTCTGTTCCCATATGCTACAGTATTTTTTCTTAGACCCCTAAGTAGAATTTTTTCTGTCTATCCATTTTGGAATTTGGAGAGTACTATTGTTTGAGCCCAGTGTTTGCCAGTACACAGAGTGCATTAAGTGTCGACAATTCTCAGATCAGACCTAAACCTGAAGTACAAGTTGGTGTGCAGAGTCTCTAATACAGTGCATATTAACCAGGGATGGTACCATTCCCAAAAGGAGGATTTTGAAATGTGGGTATGTAGCTTAGGTTGTATGGTACTGGCAGGCAGAATAATGCCCCCTATCTCCACAGAGATGACCATTCTCGAATCCTTGGAGCATATGAATGTTACTTTCAATGGCAAAAGAAATTTTACAGATATGATTAAGGTTATGAACCTTGAAATGGAGAGACTATCCAGCATTATCCAGGAGGACCCAATCTAATCACAAATTCTTCAAAGTAGAGAGCCTTCCAGCTTTCCAGGCTGTGGTCAGAGAAAGATGTGATCATAGAAGAAGGGTCAGAGGAATGTTACATGAGCAGCATTTGAACTGCTGTTGCTGACTTTGGAGAGAGAGGAGGATCCCCACAAGTCAAGGTGGTAGGGAGGGTAGGGTCTAGAAACGGGGAATTGCCTTCACCTGACAGCCAGCAAGAAAATGAAGACCTTGGTTTCACAACTTCAAGGAACAGAATTCTGCCAATAACCCAAATGAGAAGGAAACAGATTCTCCCGTAGAGCCTCCAGAAAGGAACACAGCCTGCCCACGTGCTGATTTTAGCCTGGTGAAATGGGTGTTAAATGTTTGACCACTTAATAATAAGATAATAACTTACATTGTGGAAGTGGTTAACTTTGTAGTAAATTATTATGGCAGCCATAGGAAATGAATACAGATTGTCTCAGTGACAGATTATGGCAGATTTTCATTTTTAAAGATGGCCCAATATTGCCCTTGACATTCTTCCCATTGAAAAGTGTATCTGCCTCAACCTCAAATCAGGGTGTGCTTAAACTAACTTGTAACCAATAGAATGCAGTGGAAGTAATGTTGCATGATTTCCAAGGTTAAGGCCAGAAAAGACCATGAAGCTTTCACCCTTTTCCTTGGAACACACATACTCAGAGCCCTGGGCTGCCATGTATAAATCTGATCACCCTAAGGCTACCATGCTGTGATCAAGTGAAGCCACGTGAAGAGGCCTCCTGGAGGTGCTCTAATAGGTAGTGCCAGTCTTTGAGTTCTTCCAGACCATATGCCAGATATGTGACTGAAGGTGCATTTGGATGATTCCAACCCCTAATAGTTGACTTCTCCAGCCTTTGAGTTTTCCTAGCTGAGGACCAGATGAGGTAAAGAGACAAGTCATCCTTAATGTGTCCTGTCTAATTCCTGACAAAAGGATTGTTGTTCTACACTCCACTAAGTTTGGGGTGGTTTGTTATACAACATTAATAACTGGAACACAAGAGCTACTACCTGAATTGAGTGCCTCTGGGCCAGTAAAGTCACCTGTCCCAACAAGAAAGAAAACCACTTCCCCTCTAAAACCGCAGATTCTCCATTCAGAAATGGTGCTCTAAGGTATTATTATATGTCTACTGATCTGATGTTGCATTTTTCCCCTGGTTTCTCTTACTAAGCAATTTGAAATTCTTTTATGAAGAGTGTAGCATATGACCAAAATCTATTTACCCAGCAGGCAGTTTTCCTCATTCCCTTTTTGTTTCTATCCTATTTATAGCACTTTTCATTAGATTACTAAGAATCCCAAGATTGAACTTGTCTGTTCACTTACTCCTCTTTCTGCTGTGTTGCATGCTGGGAGTTGCCTCTGAATGCACAGGGAGATTGATGCTAATGAGATTGGATGCAAGAAAGTGAAGGTGAATTATAGAACTGTAGTTCTTACCGGCTTATTGATGTTTGTTTTATGGCCAGTAAAGTACCCGCACACTGGAGTTAAATGCAGACAATGAAGTTGTGCCAAATATTTTCCTGTGTTGTTGACATCCTCTGTATTGTATTGTTTGGGAGGGAGAAACTCATAGAAGGTAGTTTAGGGATATGTTTTCCATCCATCATCATCAATAAATCAGCTAGTTGAAATTTCACCTGGACTTTAGCAACTTGCTTTCTCTCATTTTAAGTCCACAGCACCATAAGCCAATTTTTCTCATTTTCTCTCTCTTTGTGGCATTTTAATGGGACATTGGAAGGTGGCCTATCAGACATCTCTAGACAGCCCCTTTGTGAACCCAGATTGTAGACATACTTTTAGAGGCTTTTGCCCTAGGACTATATCTCCAATATATTAACATAAGATATGAAAGTTAAATGAATAGTCTGATACATGGAATTAAACTCTAATTTTTCAGAAATGCATCTGTTCATGTCTTAAGGCATACATAAATGAATTGATAATTGGATATCAGGGAGAGTTGGCTAAATATACGACACTTATCATGACACTACAGTATTTGGAAAAAATGGCATTGTATTTGAAGGAATAGCATTATGTCCTTTAAATATTTTTGATAGAACACTGTTTCAACTTCTGGTATTTTTATGTGTAAAATAGATTTAATTAATAAATTGAAGATAGCCTAATAGCTAATGTCCTTCAAATAGCAATATTAAATGTTAAGCTGCAAATTATTCCTCATTAATCCATTTTAATTGAACAGGTAAACAATTATTAAGCTGAAAACAGATGATCATAAGAGGGTTTGATGAGTTAAAAAGTAAACAGAAAAGTCCAGGTGTGGTGACTAACACCTGTAATCCCAGCACTTTAGGAGGCTGAGGAAGGCAGATCATTTAAGGTGGGGAGTTCGAGACCAGCCTGGCCAACACGGTGAAACCCCGTATCTACTAAAAACACACAAAAATTAGTCGGGCATGGTAGTGCACACCTGTAATCCCAGCTACTCAAGAGGCTGAGGCAGGAGAATGGCTGAACCCAGGAGGTAGAGGTTGCAGTGAGCCAAGATCGTGCCACTGCACTCCAGCCTGAGCAACAGAGTGAGACACCATCTCAAAAAAAAAAAAAAAACAAAAACAAAAAAAAACAAGTAAACAGAAAAAATATCAGTTTGTCAGGCTCATGAGGCAAACTCATTTGTGAGGAAATAGATCCCAACAAACAACCATCAGTTAAAGAAAACTATTGAAAGTTGAAACACAAACACAGGAATAAAATATTAGCATTGTCCATATTATATCTAAGAAAATACGTAAATGTGTTTCTTTTTATTTGGATTACAACACTGTAGCCTTTTAAAATGAAACAAAATTACTTTTTCCAGTTACTAATTAATATTCAGTTGTATTATGCTATATGTTAAACTTGAGGCTTTGTCCACAAGATAACTTTTCCAAAGTAATTTTTTTCTAACTGAACTCGTAACCCTTTCACCACCCTCATACCTGAGTATGCAAGATTTCCCGTTACAGTTTATAGTTAGGACTTCTGTCTTTGCAGTATATGGGCACAAAAGGCTATGTTATATTTGCCATGGGAATGATACTATTTAAGGCCCTGTGCTTATAAAATCTTTACCTTACTTATATTACTATAAAGTAGATTTTGTATTTTATAGAGGATTGCATACCAAGGTAGCATGAAGCTGTACCAGTGTATGGCTTGAGTTGTCAGTTACATGATATTGTGGCTTGTTCTTTCAAAGTGGCAGTCAGGGATCTCATTGTGGTGACACAGGCAACTTGACAAGCTTGATCAACTAGCACAGCTGGCTACATGTGCTTGCTTGGCTTTGTTCATTTTTCCACATTCTTCAATCTCTCCCTACAGTGGAATTTTATTCACCATGTCCTCTGTCATGGGACTTTGCATTGCTTCCCTCTAAAGTAAGCAGATATATTACCACATCATATTGATATTCGGTTTGGCCATGTGACTTGCTTAAGACAACAGAATGTGGGCAGAAGTGATAGTGTGTCAATTTTGAGCCAAAGCCTTAAGAGACCTAGAATGTTTCTGCTTGCCCCTTTGTACTTCACTCATTTGCCATGAGCAGAACATGAACATGCCCTGTGTAGCTTCTAGTCCCAGAATGAAGAATACATGTGGAACAGACCTGAACCCAACCCAAAGCCTGGAGTCCAGCCTAGCCCACTTTGGCCCAGTCAGGCTCAAGTGAGATCATATGAAACACAGCCAACCTGTAATCCTTAAGCAAGAAAGATAAATGTTTGTTTTTGCAAGTCATTGAGATATTGGGGTTGTTTTGCAGCATTGTTGCAACAATAGCTAGTTAATATCTTTCCCATTGTTGGTTCTCATGCATTTGTCTTCCTGTGTGCATGTTTAGTGCTTTTGGCTATCTATTCAAATGGACGGAATCAAGTGGAACATGCCAAGGACCAATTGAGACATTTTTGCTGTAAATTCTCCAGGTTAGCAGAGAGATGTTACATATCTTTAATGCTCTTATTTCAGTCATCTTTTTAAAGGATTTCAAGGTGGGCATTCAGCCTAACAAAACTGGCTGGAGATTCAGAGTTTTAACTATTTCTGTGGATGAGTTGTGACTTAGCCATTCAGATTGTAAGTACTTTGATGAATAGACTCTCTTCCTCTTATATCATGTTGTGAAGCCCTAACACATGTGAGCAAGCATTTGAGCATTCTCATGAATTAGCATGTGACCCTAACCAAGTTTCTTCATTTGAGTGGACCACATATTCATATCTTATTTATGTGTACTCATGTCTACAGTAGACAGACTTTAGGATAGCCTTTAATTATTTCTGCCTCCTGGTACACATCCTCATATAATACCCTCCCTTGAGGGTGGAAGGGACCTGTGTCTTCCTTCTAACAAATAGTATATTGTATGGTAAGTGAGATGTCACTTCTGTGATTATAGTATGTAAGATGTAACGTCTGCCTTGTTAGGAAACTCGCTTTCTCTTGCTGGTTTTGATTAAGCAAGCTGCTGTGTGGTGAGGCCCACATGGCAAGAAACTGAGGGCAGCCTCCATCTGACAGCCAGCAAGAAACTGAGGTCCTCAATCCTACAACTGGCAAGGAACTGAATTCTGCCAAGAATCATGTGAGCCTGGAAGCAGATATTTTCCCCAGTGAACACATGAGATAGACTGCAGCCTCAGCAGCAACTTGATTGCAAACACATGGGGAGATCCTAAAGCAAAGAACCTGGTTAAGCCATGTGCAGACTCTTGACCTACAGAAACTGTGAGTTTTTTAAATGCATGTTGTTTTAAGCAGCTACAATATATAAATGATGTGTTCAACTATAGCAACTTGAACAAGCAACTGTATTTCCACAATATGATACATATTTACTTTTTTTTTTTTTTTTGAGACGTGTCTCACTGTGTTGCCCAGGCTGGAGTGCAGTGGCATGATCTCGGCTCACTACAACCTCCGCCTCTCAGGTTTAAGTGATTCTTGTGCCTCAGCTTCCCGAGTAGCTGGAATTACAGGCGCCCACCACCACACATGGCTAATTTTTGTATTTTTAGTAGACACGGGTTTCACCATGTTAGCTAGGCTGGCCTTGAACTCCTGACCTCAGGTGATCTGCCTGCCTCGACCTCCCAAAGTGCTGGGATTATGGGCATAAGCCACTGTGCCTATTTACTCTTATTCATTTCAAACATTTATTGAATACCTACCAAATGCAACACACTTCTTAAAACACTGAGGATTCAGAGACAAGAAATACTGCTTGCCCTTGAGGGGCTCATAGTCTATGGAATGTCAGACATTTAAGCATTTAAGCAGCTGCTCATAACATATTGGGG
Source organism: Homo sapiens (assembly GCF_000001405.40). NCBI lineage: Eukaryota > Metazoa > Chordata > Mammalia > Primates > Hominidae > Homo > Homo sapiens. The sequence continues at coordinate 17,751,878 of NC_000003.12, read as the reverse complement.
CAAACACTCTAACAGGGATATGGAACTAAATGGTGTAAGCCAGTTGCTTTTTTTTTTTTTTTTTTTTTTGAGATAGAGTCTTGCTCTGTCTCCAGGCTGGAGTGCAGTGGCGTGATCTCAGCTCACTGCAACCTCCGCCTCCCAGGTTCAAGCGATTCTCCTGCCTCAGCCTCCCCAATAGCTGGGATTACAGGTATGCACCACCATGCCCAGTTAATTTTTGTATTTTTAGTAGAGACGGGGTTTCACCATGTTGGCCAGGATGGTCTTGATTTCTTGACCTTGTGGTCTGCCTGTCTTGGCCTCCCAAAGTGCTGGGATTACAGGCGTGAGCCACCGCTCCCAGCCCATGTTGCTTACTTAAGGTTTTTTGGCACAACATTTTAAGCCTGTACCTGGAAAAAATGTAGGAGTCTCATCTGGCATAAGAAACACTATAAAATCATGTTGAAAAATGTTTATTAGGGAAACACCTGTGCATACCAGACCAAGAATAAGTAATCCAATGGAAATAAATGCTATCACAGAGAACATATGATTCAAGGAAATGAATTTACCTACTTAATTGTGATCACGACTCCATTATCCTTTCACAAAACTGTTGAAAATCAACACTGATAATCTCCCACCAATGAGGAAGGATAATGTTTTGAAATAAGGTGCTTTCAGAACAAAAGTTAAGACATTAGTTTTACTGCTGTGCTATTTAGGCATACTAGTGGGCATATCATTGGAGACATTTGGGCAGTATAGCAAAAATACCTTTGTCTTTTTAATATCCAAAGTAAAGTCCAGAGTTTGCTATTTTGTATGTGCAAGCATTGAATTTCAATAATTATCGTTATATGTAGAATAAGCTGCTCTTCCTGCATACTGCTTTTTCTGATGAAGACTCAGAGATAATACTTATTAATTGTTATTAGTAAGAATTATTAACAAATAATTTATCAATAATTTATTATAATTATTATTGCACTATACATACATAATTATTTTATATATAGATACATAAATTGAATGGTTACTTTGATAGATATATAAATTGAATGGTTACTTTGTGCTAAATACCTAACAGGAGATTATCTCATTTAATGCTCTTAATGCTCACAACAACCTAACAAGTTAGGGACTATTATTATCCCTATCTTACAGATGAAACTGGAGCCACAGAGGTTAAGTAACTTAATTAATTCACTTTAGGTTACGTCATTAACAAGTAAGGGAGCTAGGATATGAACTTGGACAATTCTACTCCTGAGTCTATGCACTTAACTTCTTAGTTTATATTCCCTCCTAATGTTTCTGACTACACCATGATCTTTACAACTTTGAGCACAGTTGCACTGGTGTTAATCAAAAGCATAATGGTGCAAACATGAGCCTTGTAATATCAACGCATTTGACATTTCTCAGGTATCCATAAATGTTGACATCATATCCTTTAAGGGCAAATGAATTAATTTATTTATGATTTTTAAATTGATCTAGATAGGCTTTCATGAGATTCTCTGCCTATCAACTTAGTTAACAGAATACAATACCATACATACATACATATATATATATATATATATGTGTAGGTATATAATACCTTATATATTGTATTAGGTAGAGTATGCAGCTTTAAAGCAAGACAGAAAAAATTCAGTGGCTTAAATAAGGTAGAAGTTTATTTCTCTCTAATTTAAATGTGTAGTGAGGCAGTCTGGGTTGGATAGGCAGTACTTTACCAAGCAATACAGGGTTGCAGTTTCCTGCAATCTGGTTGCTCTGCTGGGCTCTGCACATTGGAACCTGAGTCATTACTATATCTGTGTTCCCGGTAGCAAGAATAGAGAAGGAGAGGCAGTGTAGGGCACGAAACTTGTGTATGGAAGTGTAGGGAAGAAGAGAAAAATAGATTTGGAAAGGAGGAGGAGGTATACACAGGTATGCAGACACCACATACAAATCAATTTCTGGTTTTAGCATTTTGAGGGCAGACTTTCTGAAGAATAATTTCACTTTCATTTTCTATGACTAGGATGAGATTTAAAATGACTTTACAGCCACTCCCTAATATCACCGATCAATTGGTTGAGCACCTCACACTCTTTACTTACAAGGTTAGTTTATTAGGTGAAAGAGTTTTGAAATTATGGATGAGAAGAATGATATATATATGTGCTGGGTAACTAACACAAGGAATGGAGTGAACAAATATTGTTTTGTCTGCCAAGTATCTCTCCCTACTCTGCCAAATAGCCATGACCCTTCTTTAGGAAACAGACTCTCTCCTACTCTTTGTGGTTGTTGGTGGGAGGGTAAGCAGAGGAGGTGCCCCTTGCAGGTCTCTGCTATGCATACAGTCATGTCCTGAAGAAAGATGCCCTAAGTAGTTCTCTCTGCATAACACCACTCTGTATGTACCACAGGATGACCTCAGCCCTGGGGCCCCATTAACATGATCTCTTCCTGTGTCTTGTCAGCTGAGGGGTAGTTGAGTTCCCTCCCGCTGTTGCTCATCTCTGGAAAATCTCCCCCATTGCATATTTGCTGCTCTGCACATTGGAAACTGAGTCACCACTCTATCTGTGTTCCAGGTAGCAGGAATGGCTCTTCCATCACCTGTTAACTCATTCCCTGTATTAGATTTCAACTGTTGTAAATAGTTGAAGTGGTTTCTCTTCTCCTGGTTGACTTATGAAATGGTCTACTCTGTTGGGTTGTTACAGGTCCAGCCACACGTAAAGACTGACTAGTTCCCCTATAATCCCGATTCTCAATTATTTCAGAAGAGAAGCTGATTGGTCTCAGTTTGTTTTAGGTTATTGAAGAGAATTGATTGAGGGATAGTGGTTTTTTTTTTTGTTTTTTGTTTTTTTTTTGAGACAGAGTTTCACTCTTGTTGCCCAGGCTGGAGTGCAATGGTGCTATCTTGGCTCACCGCAACCTTCGCCTCTCGGGTTCAAGCGATTCTCCTGCCTCAGCCTCCTGAGTAGCTGGGATTACAGGCATGGCATGCGCCACCAGGCCTGGCTAATTTTGTATTTTTAGTAGAGACGGGGTTTCTCCATGTTGGTCAGGCTGGTCTCGAACTCCGGACCTCAGGTGAGCCGCCCGCCTCGGCTTCCCAAAGTGCTGGGATGATGGTTCTTGTTATGAGCTAGACAAATAACTCTGAAAGTATCTGCTCCAGAAACACAGAATGGTATGGCCGGGTGCGGTGGCTCATGCCTGTAATCCCAGCAGTTTGGAAGGCTGAGGTGGGTGGATCATGAGGTCAAGAGATTGAGACCATCCTGGCCAACATGGTGAAACCCCGTCTCTACTAAAAATACCAAAAATTAGCTGGGTGTGGTGGCAGGCACCTGTAGGTCCCAGCTACATGGGAGGCTGACGCAGGAGAACTGCTTGAACCCGGGAGGTGGAGGTTGCAGTGAGCCGAGATCGTGCCATTGCACTCCAGCCTGGGCAAAAAGAGCAAAACTCCGTCTCAAAAAAAAAAAAGAAACACAGAATGGTGTGTGGGGTATCAAAATGGCCATATTACCCCACAAAACTTTTATTGTTAGCCTCACAATATTTATCACAATATTAATCATTTTTACAGTCAAAATAACTCAAACAATCTTTCTTTTTTTTTTAATTAATTTTTTTTGAGACGAGGTCTCACTGCAGCGTGGACCTGCTGGGCTCAAGTGATCCTCCCACCTCAGTCTCCCAAGTAGCTGGGACTTCAGGTGTGTGCCACCATGCCCAGCTAGTTTTTTGTGTGTGTTTTGTAGAGACAGGGTTTCGCCATGTTGCTCAGGCTGGTCTTGGACTCCTGAGCTCATGCAACCCGCCCACCTCAGCTTCCCAAAGTGCTGGGATTACAGGCGTGAGCCACTGTGCCTGACCTTTCTTATTTTCTTAACAGTGAAATGCTTTAGCTTGTTGTTATCTCTACCTAGGGTTAGCTGCATTTTAATAGATGGCTCTAGGAGATGAAACGTTCTTCAAAACCCAAAACCCAAAAGAATGAAAAGAATTTAGATGTCTTGATATTACTAATAACTGTGACCTGTAGCTATAGTCTGAGGATGAAAAAGGAAGTCCTAGAATGGGGTTGTGTTTCAGTTCAGGTCCTCTGAGAAGCAAATACCACAATGGGACTTACAAAATGAACTGAAACACAACCCCATTCTGGGACTTCCTTTTCATTTACATCAAAGCTTTTGGTGTACAAAAGCTTTATTGAGAGAACACCAATAAAGGGAAAAAAGCAGGAGCTGGACTTTGTGTGTGTGGGCAGAGGTGAAGACTTCAGACCACAATGCAGGTCTGTAACCTGGGAAAGCTAAGGGGAAAGGATAGAAGAGTTGTTAAGAAGAGTTTTAGACTGTGGCACAGTTCTAAGAAAGTTTTGGCCATGCCACTGGGGAATCCTTGAGCCAAAGCTGCCTGTTAGAGGAATCCTCCTTTGGCCTTCACTAATACCCCTGCCGCAATCAATCATCGAGTGGGAGTAGCCCAGGAGAAGTGTGGCCTCAGCATGAACTTGGTAGTGGATCCAGTGGGGCAGCTGCTGAGGCCGAAGGTCAACTATGTTCTTGCAGCAGGAGATCTGAGTCGGGCATTTCCATGGATGATGCAGAGGGTAGCACGCCAGCTCCACGCACAGCCCATGCTTACCACAACCCTTTCACTTCCCACTGGACAATCCCATACTGTAGGCTGTACATCTTATTATCATGTCAGTCTATGCCACCATAGCAATTTCAGGATCTAATGATGGCCAGTTTACCTGGGTGAGTTGAATGGAGTGGAGGAGAAAAGAGCCAGGAGAAGGGATGTGGATGGTGGCCTGATCACAGTAGTCCCAGGCTGAGTGTCCATATCGCCAGAGGCCTGGGAGAGAGCTGATCCTTGCCAAGAGACTTTAAGAACATTCGTGTTATTTTCTGCTTCATTTTCCGCCATGTCCCAAGACAGAGAATGCACATAGATGTCGAAGCAGAGAATCAACTAGCACACAAGCTGCTGCAAAACCAAGTGTCAAAATTTATTTTTAATTAATTAATTTATTTATTTATTTATTTATTTTGAGATGGAGTCTTGCTCTGTCACCCAGGCTGGAGTGCAGTGGCGCGATCTCAGCTCACTGCAAGCTCCACCTCTCGGGTTCATGCCATTCTCCTGCCTCAGCCTCCCAAGTAGCTGGGACTACTTGGTGCCTGCCCGCCACTATGCCCAGCTAATTTTTTTGTATTTTTAGTGGAGACAGGGTTTCACCGTGTTAGCCAGGGTGGTCTCGATCTCCCGACCTCATGATTCACCCGCCTCGGCCTCCCAAAGTGCCGGGATTACAGGCGTGAGCCACCGTGCCCAGCCCCACAATTATTTTTTTAATGCTGAAGTTAGTTCAAATTTAATTTTTCTGCCTTAAACTCAAATTCTATTATAACTAACAAAACTGAAAATGAATTTTTATACAAAGTTTGTATTTTAAGGAGTTATTAATCATCAGCTTGATTACTTTTGTTTCTTTTTCCTAGATTACATTGCAGGCCACTCTCTGCCTTGTCGGGGTGCTCTGTATTGACTGAGGACCATTGGGTCCCTCAGATTGTCTCTTGGGGAGTAAGAACGTGAGAAGCCTGAGAGAAGCTGGATCCTTACAGCTATTGTTGTAGCCTAAAGGATGGGGTCATTGCTGTGGCTCTTTATGATGCCACCTGGGCTTCCCAGTCTGGGAACCATCAGAATGCAGGTCATGGGAGATGACTGGGCTGTTTTCCAACATCTCCTTACTTCTTGCCTGATAATAAACCCCTAAGGTAGTCTGGATGCCTGAGTGACTTTTCTTTGCAATGTGGAAGAACTTGATTAATCCTCAGTAGTTCAGGATAGAGATGATGAGGATCTGAGGTGAGAAGTGTTGTGGGGACTGGAGAAGAAAGCTCATTAGTTGGTGACTGAATATTGCAGGATAAGGAGTAAAGGGACACGCCCAGGTTTTCTGCTTCGGGAACTAGGGGAATAAATGCACAACCAACGGGTGGCAGGGGAGGGGGAGCGGTCGGGGAAAGGACACAGGTCAGGTTTGAAGGCTATTTGAAAAACTCAACTCAAGTATATTGAGTTTGAAGTACCTGTGAGACCACCTGGGATACATCTCTAGCAGGCAGCTGAATACATAGGTCTGTTCTGGTTATTTAATGATATCTAATAAACTATAGCAAAACTTAGTGGCTTAATACAACTGTTTTATTTATTTTTCCACAATTCTGCTATTTGGGCACTGGGGAGAAAAGCTCATCTCTGTTCCATGTGGTGTCAGCTGCGGCAGCTTGAGTAGGGCTGGAAAATCCACTTCCAAGACTGTCTCAGTCACATGCCTGGCAGGCTGGTGCTGACTGGCCAGTAGGAGCACAGCTAGGGCTGTTGGCCAGGGGCCTTAGTTTTCTTCCGTTTGGTCTCTCCAGGTGGCTTGGTTAGACTCTTCACAGTGTGGTAGTTTCAGAGTAGTTGGATATCTTACATGGTGCTTCCCACAAAGGGCAAAAATGATAGCTACTGTCAAAGTTAAAAACTAAACTGGTGAGGAAATAGATTTCATTCAGGCAATTACATTAGGGAGAGTACTCCAGATGTGAAGATCAGAGTGTCTCAGCAGGGTGGTTTTGCCCTATACTTTTATTATTATTTTAGAGCATGGTTTTGCTGTTGTCTAGGCTGCTCTCAAACTCCTGGGCTCAAACAATTTTCCCACCTCAATCTCCTGAGTAGGTGGGAGTACAGGTGTGCACCACTATGCCTGGCTGCCTTATACTTTTACAGGGAGGCATAGACAGGTTATAGATGAGATGATTACAGTTGGGATTATTTTTGTAATCAGAGAATTATCAGCTATGAAATGTTTATCGCTACCTAATTTCAAGGGGGAAAAAGTAGTTCTAATCCTAGCTAATCATTCATGAGACAAATAGGAAGTTGAAAGGTGACTGACCTTCCCCACAGGTTCGGGAAAAAAGGAAAGGTATGTGTTTGGTCTTGTCACAGGTCATCTACTAGTTTTATCAGAGAAACTGGACAATGAGTCTCATTTAAGTAATATGGAGAAGGATTGGTCTTTGTGGTAAACTGTTTCGCAGAACACAAAAAGGTGGTGGGATTTCTTAACTATTTCTGTTTCCCATGAGTCTCTGGTAAAGTTCAAAGTTGTCACTGCAAAGCCTTTTTTTTTTTTTTTTTTTTTTTTTTTTTGAGACGGAGTCTCACTCTGTCGCCCAGGCTGGAGTGCAGTGGCGCGATCTCGGCTCACTGCAACCTCCACCTCCTGGGTTCACACCATTCTCCTGCCTCAGCCTCCCGAGTAGCTGGGACTACAGGCGTGTGCCACCATGCCTGGCTAATTTTTTGTATTTTTAGTAGAGACGGGGTTTCACTGTGTTAGCCAGGATGGTCTCAATCTCCTGACCTCGTGATCCACCCGCCTTGGCCTCCCAAAGTGCTGGGATTACAGGCGTGAGCCACCGCGCCTGGCCCTGCAAAGTCTTTAAAGGCCTAGGCCTAGAAGTGACAGAGAGTAATTTTTGCCATATTTGATTGTTTAAGGCAGGTGACAGGTCCGGCCCAGACTCAAGGGCAGAGGACTATACATGGGCATGAATACTGGGAGGCACAGTTAATTGTGTGCCATAAGAAAATAGTCTACCACAAGGTCTGAATCTTGGGCTGAATATTTAGAATGGGATGCCATTAGCATAACCTGTGTGGTAGCTGAAACTATGAGGTGGGATCAGTCTGTGGGTGTATACAGTGGTAAATGCAGAAAAGAGTCCAACAGCTTTGTAAACATTTGAGAATGGAATCTTGAGGGTTGTCATTTTCCTAGTTTCTCAGAAGCCTCTGTTAATCCTATTTCTTCATATACATTCATCCCAGGATTTTCTGTCATTTTGTTGCTAGCCCCATTTCTTGACTATCATCTCAGTATTCACCAGTCTAACAGTGATGATGACTGGTCTAGCCAGAACTCCCAATTAGGGAGTTTTTACATTTTATTTATTTGATAAATAAATAAATCTGGCCGGATTAAATCTGGCCACAGGCACTAACTTAACCTGTTCAGTTTCTGCAACAGAAAGAGGGGCAACAGAAAAAGAGGGATCTCTGTGTGAAGTGGGGTGTTTGTCCACAAAGGTCTCCCACACAGGCATCTTCCTCTGAAGCTAGATAACCTTCAGAAATCTGACCTTTCTCTGACTTGGTTTCCTTTTCTGGACTAAACAGTATCAATTTTCGTTGGAGCTCTTTGTGAAGATAAGCTAATAAAATACCATAAATCTCTTTTACTAAGTGAAGCATTTACCACTCTAATTAACATTATGATTTAAAGGCTTTCATACTGGGGAAACAAACACCACCTTCCCACGTGCTTGGGTTAAAGGGGATCTTAAATCATGATTATGCAGAGACCAAGGGCAACGATAAAAGTTTTAGACATTCCCTGTGTTCTGATAGTCATCAGACGTTTAGGGAGATACTACAACACTGAAGACCCTGTCCAAGTTTATGAGATAAAGATAGAAACCACAGTCTAGTATTGTGGGCTTGTGAAAAAATAACTCCTAACCTTTATCTTTCTATGGGTTGTACTACAAGGTAGGTCTGCACAAAGTGCTAGTGACTCCTCTAAAGTAGGCAGGGGTAAGTTTCACGGAGAAAGTGACAGATGAGCTGAGTTAGAAGCCTACTCAGCCACAGAAAAATGTGGCATGGAAGGCCATTTACCTGTGACAAGGAAATGTAAATTCCTTGGCAGGAGAGCCAGGATCTCAGGAGAGTCCCTGGGACCCTCTGCTCCCCTTCTCAGTCCAACCCTGGGAAGATAGTTGGTGGATGTGAACCTCTGACTAAGACCCAGGAGCTGGTTCCCAGCCTCCAGCCGCGCGCCGGTTGGAAGCAGGGAGAGAAGGGAGGGGTAAAAGCCCTCAGGCGCATGCGCTCAGCAGCCTGCCGGCTCAGCCAAGGAGAGCTCTGCCCGCGGCTCACTCCCCACCTACTCGCTTCTCGCGCCTCGCGGGCCCCAGAAACCCGGACCCGAGAGCGAGCGCGTTGCGCTCGCGCGCAGACTTCAGGTCCCGTGCGGGCGCCTGCGCACGAGCTTCCCAGGCGCGCGGGCCGCGAGGTTATTAGAGGTGGAGCGCGGGGAGGGCGCGCGGCGGGAGGCGGCCGCCGTTACGGCGCGAGCGTGGTCACGTGGCCGCTGGTCACCGCCGCCACCCCCTCCCGCCCTGTTCTCTTTCAGGTCGGGCCGGGCCCGGCCGCTTCCGCGAGCGCCCTGCAGACTGAGGGAGAGAGAGAGAAAGAGGAGGGGAGGAGGAGGAGGATTCAGGGAATAGGAGCTGGGGAGCCCTTCTGCGCCACAGGTAAAATAAAATAATGATGATGATCGTAAAAAAGCCCAAGCCCTCTGAACGCCTCCGCCTTCCTCCAGTGCAGCCCCACATGCAGTCGTTCCCGCCCCGGCCTCCCACTCAGCCTCAGGACAGGTTTCGCCCCCCTTCGCGCCGCTGCTGCAGCCGCAGCCGCCGCCGCCTTCTCACGGGAGGGCCTGAGGGTGCCGCCGCCACGGCGGACGGGTTGCCGCACCGCCCCCCGTTTGTGCGCCTCGGAGTCGGCGTCGGGGGTGGATGGCGGGAGGGGTGGACCCTTCAGCTCCCTGGCGGGCAGGGCGGGCAGGGCGAGCTGGGCGGGGTGGCTGCTTGCAGTCTGCCTGCTTTCCCTGCCCCAGGAGGTCGGGGTCTAGACTGGAAGGCCAACTGCAGTAAAGGCAGGGCCTGGCGGCTGGACTAGTGCTCAACTTCCTACTTAGTAAATTTCCATGTTCATTTGGGCCCCGGGAAGCACGCTTCCTTCCCTAGCCGGAAGCGAAACGGGCCCTGAATCCTCAAACCTTAATAGTCTTTAGAAGAGAGAAGCCTTGACTTCACTTTTGAGGAAGGGAACCGTGACCTGGATTTAGTACGACTTAAGTTTATTCACACGTAAGAAACGGAGGTCTTTCAGGATAAGAGCAAAAAAAAAAAAAAAAAAAAAAAAAAAAAAATTCGCAGGGAGGGCAAATCCCGCTCCCCACCCCGACTTTTCCTGGAAAAACACACAGACCTTCACTACAAGATTCGATTCTACAAGTGACCTAGAATTTGTTCGATACCAGTTACTCGTTTTAGTTACAGGAATTATAATCTGTGTTTAAAGTTAACATCCTGTAGGTTTTTTTCGAATAATAACTTTCTGGAAAGAGTTCATTTGTCAACTCTGAATTGGACAAAATCCTAAGATTTTAACATGCAGGTTTCACACGTTTGGACCAGGTTGCCTGGAATTTCTAGACCCGGTAATTCTTTTGTAAACCTTTATAAGTGTTGTGCTCTTGCACAAAATACTTAAAGCAGGAAGCAATAAATAGGTATTGTTGAAAAATGAGCCTTTGCTATCGGTGGCAAAGAAATTCATTTATATATTGGTTTTTCTCTTTGGGCTTTTCTGATTCCGTGTCTTGGTACTTTTCATACCATATCTCTGAATTCATTTGTAAACTTGAGCATTTTTAATTTTTACAGCTATCTGCAGTATCACAGAACACTCAAACCTTAATGTGGGTGGGAATCACTTGGGGCTCTTATTAAAAATGCATTTTCTGGTTCAGTAGGCCTATGGTGCATTTTGATATTGTACATTTCTGATAACATGTGCAGCTGGACAAGGGACTATCTTTGAGTAGCAAGGAAGTGGATAACTTGTGTGCAAATAAATAAAGTGTTGTATTTATCAATAAACATGTTCTTTTTAATAACTCACCCCCGGGTGTAGAGGTGGCTTGGGAGAAGGGGCAAATGGCAGGATGAACTGAGAAAGCTTTCAGAGTGAGCAGGCTGAGTCTGGATTCCAGGGGAGGGGATAGGAAGAGTGCAAATATTGTGTCTGTATGCTGTATGGTGACTGCATCACCTGGTCTGTGAATTTTCCATTAGAAGCTTGGTGTGCTGTTAGGTGAAAGACTTGCTCAGCTATGCGTCATTGGGTTTTATCAACATATAGGCGAAAAAAATCCTGGTCTCTGAGTGTACAGCTGAGATGAAAATTTCTTTTATTGGAGGAAGTATTGAGTGTGTGCTCTCAAATGCGGCCTCAGTTGAGTAGTGCATTCCTGAGTTTTGGAAGCAAATTTGCAAACAATTGAGAGTCGTACAGTGGGTGTTCTAACTGGATTCAGGTTTTTTCTAATGTAATTTTTTCACACGTAAATTAAAAAGTTTAGAAATGTCACACATAACTTCATAACACTTTATGGAGAAATGGTTGTACTTTTAATTTTTTTCTTTTTATTTATACTCCAACTGACTGAGCAGAGGTTGTACTTCTAAATAACTTTGTGGAAGTTTTTAGTACCATAATTTTTATAATTTTCATTCCAGTCCTTTGATATTTATGACAGTACTTCTGAAGCGCTTACTGAGTGCCGGACACTGTTGTAAGTGCTTTACGGAACTTGACTTTTTTTTTTTTTTGAGACGGACTCTCGCTCTGTCGCCCAGGCTGGAGTGCAGTGGTGCAGTGGCTCGATCTCGGCTCACTGCCACCTCTCCCTCATGGTTTCAAACACTTCTCCTGCCTCAGCCTCCCAGGTAGCCAGGATTATAGCCGCCCGCCACCACTCCCGACTAATTTTATTTTGTATGTTCTTTTTTAGTAGAGACGGAGGAGTTTCACCATGTTGGCCAGGCTGGTATCGACCTCCTGACCTCAAGTGATGTGTCCATCTCGGCCTCCCAAGGTGCTGGAATTACAGGTGTGAGCCACTGTGCTCGGCCTACCTTTTTTTTTTTGTTTTTTGTTTTTTTGAAAAGGAGTTTCGCTCTTGTCCAGGCTGGAGTATAATGGTGCGATCTCAGCTCACCGCAATCTCCGCCTCCCAGATTCAAGCGATTCTCCTGCCTCAGCCTCCTCAGGAGCTGGGATTACAGGCGCCCACCGCCATGCCCGGCTAATTTTTGTATTTTTAGTAGAGACGGGGTTTCACTATATTGGCCAGGCTGGTCTCGAACTGCTGACCTCAAGTAATCCGCCTGCCTCAGCCTCCCAAAGTGCTGGGATTACAGACGTGATCCACCAGGATCACACCAGGCCGCGCCTGGCCTGCTTTCATTTTAAAAGTCAAATTTGTCATCCGCCTCAGTGCTTGTAATCTTTTCTGAGTGAGATACTGAAATTTGCAGTTTCGTTTTGCTTGCACTTGTTCACTGGACCAGTAGTCACTGTTAAATGTAAAAGTATCTACTTCCTCTGAAAGTTTTTTATTCCTTTATTTCCTGCCTGGGCTTGTCCTCCACCCTACATGTATGCGTAGTAGATTTAGTGTTTGTTATCCTAACCTTTAGGTTTAGGGATTGACTGGGTTTCTGACTTTTTATTTGGCCAATGAGGACGATACAGAAAATGAAGCATTGGTCATTATCACATTTTAACGCTGAAAAAGTAAGAAGGACAACCCCGGAATAAAAGTAAGTTGAATAATTTATGTTTCATTTAAAAATGAATATATAATCCCTTCTCTTAACCCCCTTTTTGTCTCAGACCACTGAAAGCTTTGTCCTGTTAGCAGCAGCAGTCTGAGAAGTGGTGCTAGTCCACCTGATCCTGAGACATTTCTCTCAACATGGGTAGATCATTGGAATGGCAGTGTGTACAGTGTGTGTACCAGAACTTGAGAAATGTGAGGTCGGGGTGGTGGGATGGTCAGCAGTGGAAGAGCTGGGAGAGGGGAGGGAGATCATTTGACGGAGAGGGCCTGTGGGCTGCTTCTAGTAGCATCAATTATTACTAGAATAATGGTGAATTTGGGAAGGATGTCAGTGTAACAACAAATCTCAGTGTAAATGCTTTCTCAAAAACCTGTGAAGTGTTTAGGAAAATGTTTATCATTCTACAAATGTTAGGTAAACATTTAAAAATAATTCCTGTGCAATGATTTAGTAACATTAAACATTATATAAATTGAGGGATAAAAAGAGGCTCAGAGATTATCATCAGAGGTTAAGATTGTCCCAAATTCTCTCTTGTTCTTTTGGAATATTAGGATAGAGTTGAAACCCTTGCTGCATGCCCACTTGTTGGCTTTTTTATTTCTTACCCTGATGCTGTGTTGTGGGCTGCATGGACATACCAGCTCTGCCATGCTTTCTGGGCCTCACAGCTGAATGGCCAAGTCATTACTTACGGTTATCCCAGGGAAGCATTTGTTGCACATCCGAATGATGGAAGCCTTCTAATTGGTATTTTCAGCTATTAATAATAATTTTAATATTTTTACAAATTCTGTATGATTATGATATGTGTTATAATGCCATGCTGGTCAGCTACTTAGTCTCACAGTGCCTCACTTTTCTCATCTTTAAAATGGGGAAAATAATAGTAACTTTGAGAATTAGAGAGAGAGAGAGAGTGTGTGTGTGTGTGTGTGTATGTGTGAGTGTGTGTTTAAAGCCCTTAATGCTATCACGTAAGTGATAGATATTCTGTGGATAATCTACAGTGTGGTAGATCATATCTATATAATCAAGACTGACTATATTTTTGGAGATTGTACAGTTTATTTGGGATAAGGCTCTATGGGCCAAGAAAGCAGAGTTTGTACTTTTTGGATGAAAATACAAAATTGGTATAGTAATGCTCTTATCCCTTTGGAGAATTAAATGCAAATAAATATAGTTTGACAGCTCAGATCTTTCAAAACAAGAAAGTAGGGCTGTAGAAAAAAACATGTCTTTGGTGATGGTGTGAAAGGATTGGTTAAAATCTTTCAAGGGTAGTGTTGCGAAGCCTAGTACAGGATCACCTTTTTTTCTGAATGTCCATTAGTTTGGATGAAAAACATCTAAAGATAATGTCATTCAGTCATTGTCCAGTGTTGCATGTGGTTTCTGTGGCTAACTCCAGGAAAATATTCAGTAATTGCAGATTTACTCTTTTTCTTAATTCAGTTGCCTAGAAAAGATGTTAACTGGGTTTTTTTTTTTTTGAAACAAAATAGTCTTAAAAGTTTTGAAATAGGCATTACAGATGATTACATGTTATCATAGTTTTTTTGTTAAGACAAGAGTGTTTACCTTTACTTTTTTGCTAGTGATGAAGGCTACATGAAGAAGAGTGATTGACTTTTTAAAATGGAATGATGTAATTTTATGATACTTTATGGAAGAGTAGTGTGTATGTATGTCTAAAGAAAATTCTGCTATGAGTGCATGTATTAGATCCAGTAATCACAGTATGTTAGGTTAGCCTGCCATTAGAAAAAAGAGCCACCTCCCCCCATTATAGAAAGTAATGCCTATTGTTGAAATTTTATAAAAACAAATGATGAAAAATAATTATCTGCACTGTTGAGAATTTCTTAAGGTTCTCTTCAGGGCTGTCTTGCCTTGAGAGATACTGCAAAATGAATGTCAGTTTTGTACCACAAGTATTAGTTTAGAAAGCTGAGTAACACATGTTGGTTAAGCAGGAGTGTTTTATCTTCTAGGGTTACTAAACTTTTTGTCCCTAAGTAAGATAAAAAGGTTGAACCAAAAGTACTTAGATTCCCACTTCTAATTGTGAGTCTTCAGAATAACTAGACCAGTGAGAAGTAAGCCCCCACTTCTGACATAAGCACCATGGGGAAGATACATCAGAGAAAAACGGCTCCCACCTGATGGAGTTGGAATAAGCACATATCTTAGGAACCGGCTGCAGAGGTATGCATTCTGTTTGCTGATAAGTGGGGATCAGAATGAACCCCTTTAGAGTTTCCCACAACAGGTGGGAAGTGTTTTTTTTGTCTTTTTTTTAAATTGAGACAGAGTCTCACTCTGTCACCCAGGCTGGAGTGCAGTGGCGCGATCTCTACTCACTGCAACCTCTGCCTCCTGGGTTCAAGTGATTCTCCTGCCTCAGCCTCCTGAGTGGCTGGGACTATAGGTACATGCCACCAAGCCCAGCTAATTTTTTTGTATTTTTAGTAGAGACGGGGTTTCACCATGTTGTTCAGGCTGGTCTCAAACTCCTGACTCAGGTGATCCACCCGCCCCAGCTTCCTGGAGTGCTGGAATTACAGGCATGAGCCATTGCACCAGGCCTCCAGGAAGTGTTTTGACTTTATATTGAGACTTTGGAGGTGTCCCAGCAGCTACCTGGCAGAAGTTCTAGAGGAGTTCCTAACGTTACATCTCTTGCCATCCTGGGATGGGATAGTGGATTGATTGCCTTGGATCCCTGGTGGAGCTTTGGGGAACAAGGTTGGAGACGTGGAGTTGATAGGAGATGGAAAGGTAGTGCCACTATTTCCATGTTTGTCTACTGCATATTCATTAAACTAGACCCCTTTTACTTCCATGAGGAACAAGAGTCTAAAGGTAAGAGTGCTCATTTTTATAAATAGATGGGGTGACTTAGGAAGACTTGGGTCAAATTGCCTCCTCACCCACCTTCATTTCTCTAAGATTGGGGTTAATTTAAGTCTCTTTATCCTGTGGCATGTGTGTGTGCAAGTTTGTGTGTACCTATAGATCTACCTTTTTAATTTTAATTTTATTAAATTTTATTTTTTAGAGACAAGGTCTCACTCTGTTACTCAGGCTGGAGTGCAGTGGTATGATTATGAGAGGCAGGACTAGCTGGATTTCCTAGGCCGACTAAGAATTCTTAAGCCTAGCTGGGGAAGGTGACTGCATCTGCCTTTAAACACAGGGCTTGTAACTCAGCTCATACCCAACCAATCAGGTAGTAAAGAGGGCTCACTAAAATACAAATTATTCTAAAGCAGGAGGTAAAGAAATAGTCAAATCGTATATTGCCTGAGAGCACAGTGGGAGGGACAATGATTGGGATATAAACCCAGGCATTAGAGCAGGGAGCGGCAACCCCCTTTGGGTCCCCTCCCTTGTATGGGAGCCCTGTTTTCACTCTATTAAATCTTGCCACTGCACACTCTTCTGGTCCGTGTTTGTTACTTCTCGAGCTGAGCTTTCGCTCGCCATCCACCACTGCTGTTTGCTGTCGTCGCACACCTGCTGCTGACTTCCACCCCTCCAGATCCAGCAGGGTGTCCGCTGTGCTCCTGATCCAGCGAGGTGCCCATTGCTGCTCCTGATCGGGCTAAAGACTCGCCATTGTTCTTGCATGGCTAAATGCCTGGGTTCGTCCTAATTGAGCTGAACACTAGTCTCTGGGTTCCATGGTTCTCTTCTGTGACCCATGGCTTCTAATAGAGCTATAACACTCACCGTAAGGCCCAAGGTTCCATTCCTTGGAATCTGTGAGGCCAAGAACCCCAGGTCAGAGAACAAAAGGCTTGCTGCCATCTTGGGAGTGGCCGCCACCATCTTGGGGGAGTTCTAAGAACAAAGACCCACTCATAACAATTATACCTCATTCCAGCCTCATATACCTTTTTAAAAAAACTGAAATGGATTCAGCTATTTTGTTGTTTGCAGTTGTTTTTCACCTAATACGATATTACTCATGTCATTAGTTTTCTACGTAACTTTTAGTGGCCCCATACTATTTCATTGTATGAATGTACCATAAGTAGTCCTCCATTCTTAGACACCTAGATTTCTTTCATTCTTCATGATAAATAGTGCTACGTTGAACACTATTATAGCTAATATCCCTCTGTGCCTATGCATTATTTATTTAGGAGAAATTGTTATGGGTGGAATTGCTGGGTCAAAAGATTTTCTCATCTTTATTTTTCATTTTTATTATTTTTTTTAAGACAAGGTCTTGCTCTGTTGCCCAGGCTGGAATGCAGTGGCACGATCACAGCTCACTGCGTCCTTGAGCTCCTAGGCTCAAGTGATCCTTCCACCTCGGCCTTCTGAGTAGCTGAGACCACAGGCACATGCCACCATGCCCAGCTAATTAAATTTTTTTTTTTTTGTCGTAGAGACCATGTCTCTCTATGTTGCCCAGGCTGGTCTCAAACGTCGGGGCTCAAGCTATCCTCCCACATCGGCCTCCCAAAGTGTTTGGATTATATTTGTGAGCCACCACGCCTGGGTTGCCCATCTTTAACAGTTGTGTTATACATGGCCAAATTGCCTACCAAAAAGATTATGCCAGTTTACCCTTTACAACAAAGCCATTTGAGAGGCCTTTTACATGCCATTATTGGGATTATCATTTTTGTTAAACAGCTTTATTCAGGTTTGACTTTATACTTCCCTTCTCTTGCCTTCTTACAGGTTTTAACATTTTATGTAGCTAAGTCTTGTTCTTCCTTTAGGTATCTTACGTAGATAGGCTTTTCCTACCTTATGTTTATATAGTGATTAATTTTATTTTTTCAACTGTTTTCGTACTTTCATTTTCAATTTTTGGTTTTGCAGTTATTCTAGAACATGTTTAGTTGTACAGTATGAAGTAGAGGGTCCAAAAAATTTTAAGCTTTTGATTAGCCAATTTCCTCAATACTGTTTAATGAATGATTTCTTCTTCTGTGGATGTCAGAAACTTTACTATTGGGTCTTCTATTCTGTCTCACTGTATTTTATTTTTTATTTTTATAAATGGGATTTCTCTCCCCCTCCGCCCTCCACATATATATGTAGGTATATAAAACATTTATAAAGGTTTGTATATAGTGTATTAGAAAATACATTGTATGAATGTACTATAAGTAGTCCTCCATCTTTAGATACTTAGATTTCTTTCAATCTTTATGACAAATAGTGCTACACTAGACATTATTACAGCTAATATCCCTTCGTGCCTATGCATTAATTATTTGGGAGAAATTATTGTGAATACAATTGCTGGGTCAAAAGATCTGCCCATCTTTACTTTTCATTTTTTTTTGAGGCAGGGTCTTGCACTGTTGCCCAGGCTGGAACCCATTTTCTTTCTTTAATGCTGTATATATTTTCTTAACCTGACTATTGCTGGTAAATAGAAGAGTTTTTAACTTCTTTTGTGTATTTATTGTGTAACCAGTCGCTTTTTGAATCTGTTATTTATTATAATGGCTTTTCAGTTAATTCTCTTAGATTTTCCAGGTACATAATCATACCATCTGGAGCCAGCCATTTTTTTTAAGGGTTTTTTCATGATTAATTTTGACTTACGGAAGTTGTGCTAGAATGATTTTTCTTAATTTCATTGACTTGAAATACAATGTTTTGATATGGTACCTGTGTTTTATCTACTCAGCTCTCAAAAGGGTTTTAAAATATCTGGAAAATCACTCTACCAAATGATCTCTAAGGACCCTTCTAGCTCAGAAATTTTGTGATTCTACTTTTATGTCAAAAGATTCCTGGTAATGTACGTAGCTCTCTTCCTTTATAATTATTGCTGTCTAGCTCCACCCCCCCCAAGTGATTACTCTGCACTTTTATTTCCTTAGAACTTGAAGATTTTTTCTGTGTGGTTTAGCGTAAATTAAAAGAGAAAACTGACAGACTACAGAGCTCAGACTGTGCAAAATCACATTTCATGATTTTCTTCCGGTAAGATCCTTATGGTGAGTTTACTCATCAAGCTATGTTCCTGCCATGGACTACTTAAAGTTCCCCAAGCCACATTTTGTAATTGTCAGAACTGAGGTTAATAGAAGTCATTGGGAAGTGATAAATAGACCTGGATGCAGTGAAGATAGGACAGAACGGGAGAGGTAGGAATGGGGAAGCACCTAGTATGAACTCTTCTTTCTCTGGCCCCCTTTCTGCTTCATGATTCTCTCTCTGGACTCCATTGATTCTGCCCTCTTACTGATTTTCTGGCTTCCTGTTTATTTTCTAGATATACCTTGTCTCCTTTCTTTCAGAAAATTGCTCCTTACCTCCTTTCTACTTTGATCAGGAGTACTATATGCTTTCTACCAGTATGGGAAGTGGTCCTGATCAGTTTCCCTAATGTCCCCATCTTGTCACAAAACTACTACAAAATTTCATGATCAGTGGCAATCATGTATTCCACTTTGCAAAGGGTGTGGCAAAGTATTGATTAAAGTTGAGTGTCCTTATAACATGAAACTACTGATATGGAAGAATTAATGAAAGGAGAGACAGATACTTCATAAAGACAAACGGTCAGAGAATTATAGATATATATTTAAATTTTATTTATTTATTTATTTATTTATTTTTTTGAGACGGAGCCTCGCTCTGTCACCCAGGCTGGAGTGCAGTGGTGTAATCTTACTGCAACCTCCCATTCTTCTGTCTCAGCCTCCTGGGTAGCTGGGATTACAGGCGAATGCTACCAGGCCTGGCAAATTTTTGTATTTTTAGTAGAGTTGGGGTTTTGCCATCTCTTCTGGTGGCCATCTCTATTGGTCAGGCTGTTCTTGAACTCCCGACCTCAGGTGATCCATCCGCCTTGGCCTCCCAAAGTGCTGAGATTACAGGCGTGAGCCACCGTGCCCAGCCAGAAAATTATAGAATAGTAACTGAGTGGTTGAATGTTACAAAGTAGATAGTGTGGGAGTAGTGTCACCAAGATGGAAAAAGCTTCTGAAGAGTCTTTTTTTGTTTGTTTTTTGTTTTTTGAGATGGAGTCTCGCTCTGTTGCCCAGGCTGGAGTGCAGTGGTGTGACCTTAACTCACTGCAATCTCTGCCTCATAGGTTCAGGGGCTTCTCCTGCCTCAGCCTCCTGGGTAGCTGGGATTACAGGCGCCCACCACCATGCCCAGCTAATTTTTGTATTTTTAGTAGAGATGGGGTTTCACCACATTGGCCAGGCTGGTTTCTAACTCCTGACCTCAAGTGATCTGCCTGCCTCGGCCTCCCAAAGTGCTGGGATTACAGGTGTGAACCACTAGGCCTGGCCCGAAGAGTCTGTTATCTTAGACCTCCAACCTGATTTCCTCCCTGAACTTTCAGATCTGTGTATCTGATTGCCTACTGGATAACTCCACTTCTTAATGGCTCACAGGAAACTCAGTTTAGTAAGTCTGCAACAGAATTTACCTTCTTCTCTTACAAAAAATCTTTACAAGTGTGTGTTTTTTAATTAAATTAATTTTTTTTTTAATCTCAGCACTACCATCTCCCTAGTTATTCAAGCCAGAAACGTGGCAGACACATTTTACTCCATTCTCTACATCCTCATGTACAGGCATCAAACTCAACCCTGTGGATTTGAACCCATTGTGTCTTCATCCCTACTATGTCTTCTCTAGTTCAGGTCCCCATCATCTCTTGCCTTTGTTTCTGTAAGGTCTTCTGACTGGTGTCCCCGCAGCCAGGTAGGTAATCTTTTTAAGCTCTCACGATTCTCTTATTCTGTGGCTTAAAACCTGATATTCTCCATTGCCTATTTCCAGTCTCATGACACCCTCTTTTTTTTTTTTTTTTTTTTGAGACAGAGTCTTGCTTTGTCGCCGGGCTGGAGTGCAGTGGCACGATCTCAGCTCACTGCAACCTCCGCCTCCCGGGTTCAAGCAATTCTCCTGCCTCAGCCTCCTGAGTAGAGTAGCTGGGACTATAGGCGTGTGCCACCATGCCCAGCAAATTTTTGTATTTTTATTAGAGATGGGGTTTCACCATGTTGGCGAGGATGGTCTCAATCTCTTGACCTCGTGATCCGCCCGCCTCGGCCTCCCAAAGTGCTGGGATTACAGGCGTGAGTCACTGCACCCAGCCTCATGACCCCCTCTTCTGCCTCCCTTATATTATGTGATTTTGTAAAAAAGTAAAAAATACTGAAATTCTTTGATTTTGGAACTGTTCATGTTTTTGCTTGCCTTGGGCACAGAGTAGTTTTTCTGTCTCTTCATCTTACTCACTTTTGTAAGGTCTTAGCTTAAATGCCACTCTGTTCCAGGAAGCTTCTTTATACTACCAAGTCTGTGTTGTGCTCTTCCTGTTTGGCCAAATACTCTATACTATAATATTTATGTATTACTCATAATACATAAATATTATGAATTATGAATTATAATATTTATTGTGAATTATAATTACCTTTTTACTCATTAGTCTATGTCATGCTTTTGACTGCTCTGTGAGTGCCAGGGCCACGTATAACATCTTTACTTTAATACTTCTGGTGGCGTGCTTGTTAAAAATAGATGTCCAATACCAGGTACTGTTCTATGTGTTAAAAATACAGCAGTAAATAAGAGGCTGTTCTGGTTGTTAACTGCCGTGTGACAAATGGCTTCAAAACTTTGCAGCTTAAAACAACAGTAATATTTATTTACTCATGATTTTATGATTTTTGTAGGACTCATTGAGGGTAGTTTATCTTCGTTTCATCTGGTGTCAGCTCAGTGGGGGTTAGATTATCTACTTCCAAATGGCTCACTTACATAGCTGGCAGTTTATGCTGGCTGCTGTCCAGGAGCTCAGCTAGGGCTATTTACTAGAGGTACTAAATGAGGCCTTTTCCTGTGGCCTGGCCATGACTGGTAGTTTCTAAGAAGGAGTGCTCTAAGAACAAGCATTTCAAGAGGCAAAAAGTGGAAAAACCTAGTCCCCTTAAAGGCTAGGCTAGGAACTGATAGAGCATTACTTCTGCTGTATTTTGTTGGCTAAGAAGACAGAGTCAGCCCAGATTCAAGAGGAAGAGAATTAAACTCCATCTATTGGTGGAGAAAATGACAAAGAATTTGCAACTTTACTTAATTTGCTACACAAACTTAAAATACAAAAAATGAAACTACAAAAATTGTGGAATGAATTAATTCCTGTCTATACTTTCGTCTTCTTAAGAATCAAAGTACAACATTAAGTATAATTTTTTTTTTTTTGAGATGGAGTTTCACTCTTGTCCCCTAGGCTGGAGTGCAGTGGTGCATTCTTGGCTCACTGCAACCTCCGCCTCTCTGGTTCAAGCGATTCTCCTGCCTCGGCCTCCTGAGTAGCTGGGATTACAGGTGCCTGCCACCACGCCCGACTAATTTTTTTGTATTTTTAGTAGAGATAGGGTTTCACCATGTTGTTCAGGCTGGTCTTGAACTCCTGGCCTCAGGTGATTCGCCCGCCTTGGCCTCCCAAAGTGCTGGGATTACAGGCGTGAGCCACCATGCCTGACCAACATTAAGTACAATTTTAAAAAGTGACCTTTGTTCTCACTCTTCTTGAACAATTTTACTTAATGTTCTTTATTGCTGTAATTATTCAGATGGTTTCCTAATTTTGTTTGTTTGTTGTTTTTGAGACAGTCTCGCTCTGTCTCCCTGGCTGTAGTGCAGTGGTGTGATCTTGGCTAACTGCAACCTCTGCCTCCCAGGTTCAAGCGATTCTCCTGCGTCAGCCTCCTGAGGAGCTGGGACTACAGGTGCGTACCACAACGCCCAGCTAATTTTTTGTATCTTTAGTTGAGATGGGGTTTCACCGTGTTAGCCAAGATGGTCTCGATCTCCTGACCTCGTAATCTGTCTGCCTTGGCCTCCCAAAGTGCTGAGATTATAGGCGTGAGCCACCTCGCCCGGCCTGGTTTCCTAATTTTTACATTTTAATTGAGCATGTAACTTAATCAGTTTTGTGTTCTGTTTTTTTTTTTTTTCTCTCAAATTTCATCTTTCACAAATCCTTATGCACTGATAGTACCCTAAGCATATTTCTGGAGTTGAGATTATTGTATGAGAGGGTATGTGTAATAGAAATTTTGGTACTTAACTGCAAAACTGCCTTATAGAAAGATAATTTATACCTCAGCTTTTAGTGCAGGAGAGAACTAATTTGTTTAGAACATTGCTATCAGAGGGTGTTGTAAATCATTGTTTTTGGTTAGTCTGTTGGCAAAAATTGATAGATTGCTTTTATTTTTCTTTCTTTATTGCCTGTTTGAGCCTTTGTTTATTTTTGGGGATATTCACTTTTTTTTTTTTTTTTTTTTTTTTACTGATTTTCAGGTGCACTTGAGTATTGTATCTTTAACTCTATGCCTATCATATATTGGAAATATTCCCAACATTGTTTTTAAATTTGCTATATATTTTTAAAATTCTTATTAAGAACTATTACATTTTTATGTAGTCTCATATATTACTCTTTTTGTTTACGATTTTTGGTTTTGGGATAATGTTAGAAAGACTTTCCCTATTCCAAAATTATAAAACTGTTAACACTTAATTGATGCTACATTTTTATGGTTTCATATTTTTATGTATAAGTCTTTGACCTATTTGAAAATATTTTTTCTGTGTACAGAGAAAGTAAGGAACCAAATTTATTTTTTTTTCAAATGGCTCGACAACTTTTGTAGCATAATTTATTAAGTTACCTTTTTTCCACAGATTTGAAGCACCACCTTTATTAAATTCAAAATGCCCATATGTTCTTGGATCTGTCTCTGAAATCTTGGATTTATTCCATTGAGCCGTTTGTCTCTATATGTATCAGTAACAAGTTCCTGTAGCTCTTAGTACATTATAATATCTGAATAGGACCAGACTTCCCTCATTATTCTCTTTATGAATTTTTTTTGGTTGGTCTCACATGTTTACTTTCATGATTTTTGATAGTTTTTCAGTTGATTCTCTTTGGTTTTCTAGGTAGAAAATACCTACAAACATTGGTGAATGTTCCATCTTCCTTTCTAATATTTACGCCTTTTTATTTTGTTGGCTTATCTAATTCCTTTGGCTACCACTTTCAGAATAAATTTAATTAATAGTGATGGCAGCCAGGCTCCTTGTTTGATGCCTGATGTTAATGGCAATGTTTCAAATATTGCTCCGTTAAACATTGTGCTGACTTTGGTTAGGGTGTGTGGGTATGCGTGTGTGTGCTCTTTAAAATCACATATAACATAATTTCTGTAAGGTGTGGATGTTGACTGTTATCAAATGCCTTTTTGGGTTTCTCTTGACATAGTTATATTTTCCACCCTTTGTCCTTCCAATATGGTGAATTATATTAACAGATTTTTCTAGTATCAAAATATTGTTATGTTCTTAGAGTGAACATTTATTGTATATTACTTTGTAATATAGTGTGGATTTCTACTTGCTAATACTCTTTTGGATGTTTGTAGCCATAGTCATTCATAAGCGAAACAGGCATGCAGTTCTATTTATGTGTTCTCTTTGTGAAGTTTAACATCACTGTTTTACAGGTTTCATCAAAATAATATCCTTTCTCTGTGCTCTGGAACAGTTTAAAGAGCATGTCATTGAAATAACTCACCTATTTGTGTAGGCCTGGTGCTTTTTGTGGAGTATTCCTTTGTTTATTCTCTTAGCTTCTTCCTTGGTTATTTATGTGTTAAATTTCTCTCATTTCTTGGATCAATTTTGGTAATTTGTGTTTTTCTAGCAAAATCATTTATTTCATGTAGATTTGTGGACGATTAACAATTTAATAAACGTTTGGGTTATTTCCCCTTTTTGGTGATTTCTGCTTTTGTTATTGTTTCTTATGACTCTGTTTCTTGGCAGAAACAAGATTGAACTCAGTTCTCCTTTATTTATTATCTTTTCACCACACTGGCTAAGCTTCCAGTTGTTTCAAATACTTAATTTTTGTACTTTTTTTGAGACCGAGTCTCACTCTGTCACCCAGGCTAGAGTGCAATGGCACGATCTTGGCTCACTGCAACCTCTGCCTCCCGGGATCAAGCGATTCTCCTGTCTCAGCCTCTCGAGTAGCTGGGATTACAGGCATGCGCCACCGTGCCCAGCTAATTTTTGTATTTTTAGTAGAGATGGAGTTTCACCATTTTGGCCAGGCTGGTCTCGAACTCCTGACCTCGTTATCCACCTGCCTCAGCCTCCCAAAGTGCTAGGATTACAGGCATGAGCCACTGTGTCCGGCCAATTTTTGTACATTTTAAGTATTGCTAGTGGGGGGACAATCAGTAGACCACTAAATTCCACAGCCGTTATACATATTTCTATTTGAAGACTTAATTTCAGAATCTTACTATCTATTAGTAGCCGTATAATAGGATTGATCTGTTAGATTTGGTAAGATTCTATTCTAGACAGTATTGGTGGAATCAAGTTGAGTAAAGAGGTTATTCTTTGCTGTCAGTGTTACGTAGTTCCACAAAATGAAACTTTTAGTGATTAAGATATAAAAATATGAAACCTTTTGAAATAGAAAACAGGGTAATATGGTCAGCTTGTTTACATAGACAAAGTAATTTTCTGAAAACAACTAGAAGAGCAGGATAAAATATATTAAAAAGGTTTATTCTTTCAGAGCTAACATGCGTAGCAGCAAAAGAAATCATCAGCAAAGTAAACAGACAACCTACAGAATGGGGGGAAATATTTCTAAACTATCCATCCAACAGAGGTATAATATCCAGAATCAATAAGGAACTTAAGCAATTGAACAAGCAAAAAACAAACAATCCCATTAAAAATTGAGCAAAGAACATGAACAGGCACTTTTCAAAAGAAGACATACATATGCAGCCATAAGCATATGAATAAATGCTCAGCATCATTAATCATTAGGGAAATGCAAATCAAACCCACAATGAGATACCATCTCATACCAGTCAGCAATGGCTATTACTAAAAAGTCAAAAAATAACATGCTGGTGAGGTTTTATAGAATAAGGAATGCTTAAAAACTGGTGGTGGGAATGTAAATTAGTTTAGCCATTGTGGAAAAGTAGTGTGGTGATTTCTCAACTTAAAATAGAAGTATCATTTGACCTACAACCCCATTATTGGGTACATGCCCAAAGAAATATAAATTTTTATATCATAAAAACACATGCACACGTATGTTCATTGCAGCACTGTTCGCGACGGCAAAGACATGGAATCAACTTACATGTCCATCAGTGGTAGACTGGATAAAGAAAATGTGGTACATACACACCATGGAATACCATGCAGCCATAAAAAAGAATGACATCATGTCCGTTGTAACAACATGGGTGAAGCTGGAAGCCATTATCCCAAGTGAACTAATGCAGGAACAGAAAACCAGATACTGCATGTTCTCACTTGTAAGTGGGAGCTAAACATTGAGTACACATGGACACAAAGAAGGGAACAACAGACACTGGGGCCTACTTGAGGGTTGAGGGTGGGAGGAGGAGGGAGATGATCATAAAAGTACCTATTGAGTACTGTGTTTATTGCCTAGGTGATGAAATAATCTGCACACCAAACCCCTGTGACATGCAGTTTACGTATATGACAAACATGCACATGTACCCCTGAACCTAAAATTAAAAAACAAATTACCAGGACTGAATCTATATGAAGGCAGGAATTCAGAGAGAGAAGCAGAGTATTAAAGACTGCTTTTCTTCTGAGGACATTTGCCACATTCTGAGGAGCTTTTACTTTGCTTTTGAAGGCCTCACAAGGCACAGGATATAGAAATGGAAGCCCAGGATGGCCCAAGGTGGGGAGTCTAATAAGAAATTCCTTCCCTATAAAACTGAGACTCCAAAGAGCCATGCCTGTAGAGTATGAGCGAACCAAAATTAAAACCCTGCTATGCTCTTGCCCACAGGAGGCTGCAAGAAAAGTTGCCTTGGACCTAAAAAAAAAAAAAAATACTTCTTCGCTCCTAAGTAGTTATAACAACTGGCCTTCTCTCTCTTGGATTTGCAGTTCATATTTTACTTTGCCTGGTACCAAAAAAATCCCTCAAGCTGTAACTTAAAGTGGTTTTAGATGCCTCACAGAAAGAAATGAAAATCCTTTCAGAATACATTTTAATTTTAGGCTCCAGGGAATTGTCACAAATAATTTTCCATAGAATTAGTTCACAGTAAATTATAACCAAGCACACAAGGAAACATGATACCATGAGTAAGAGGCAGCAAAAACGACAGAAATAGACCCTTAAAAACTTTGGATATTGGAAATATCAGACAGAGATTATAAAACAACTGTATTTATTGATGGAAAAATATCTGCTGGGAACAAGAAACTTAACACATTTGAAAAAGACCTAAGCAATGAAGCCTCTACAAGTGAAAAATGCAGTAATAATTATAATGAAAAAGTTGGGTGTAGTTAACAGCAGATTGGATACAACTAAAGAAAGAGATACACAATGACCTAGATATATGAGTGAAGAAATTATCCAGAATGTATCACAGAGAAGGAAATGGGCAAAAAGAAAGAGGGTAAGATATATATTTATAAACACACACATACACATATTACATAAAATGAGAAAGTGACATGTCTTTCATTAGTTTTCCAAGAGCAGAAGGGAAAAATAATGGGAAAGGAATAGACAATATTTGATGAGATAATAGTTGAGAATGTTTCAGAGCTGATAAAAAGCACCATGACAAATTTGAGAAGCTGAGAGAACTGCAAGCAGAATAACGTAAAGAAAATATGCTTCTAGAGACATCATAGTAAAATGAAGAACATCAACAACAAAGAAAATCTCTTAAAAGTTGCCAGAGAATAAAAGATTACCTTCAAAGGAGCTGAGGCAGTTACAATGATAGCTGACTATACAGGGGCAAAAATGGAAGCCAGGAAACACTGGAGTGATATCTCAATGTGCTGGAAAAAAATTTGCCAATCTAGGCTGGGTGTGGTGGCTCATGCCTGTAACCCCAGCACTTTGGGAGGCTGAGGTGGGAGGATTGCTTGGGCCCAATAGTTTGAGACCAACCTGGACAGCATAGTAAGACCCCATCTCTACAAATACTTTAAAAAAATTAGACGAGCATGGTGGCGTGTGCTGGTGGTCCCTGCTGAGACCATAGGCACAGCCATTTGGGAGACTGAGGCTAGAGGATTGCTTGAGCCCAGTGAGGCTGCAGTGAGTTGTGATTGTGCTACTGCGGTCCAGCCTGGATAACACAGAGTGAGAGTTTGTCTCAAAAAAAAAAAAAAAAAAAAGTTGCCAATCGGGATTTCTATACCTGATGAAAATATATTTCAGGAGTAAGGGTAAAATAGTGAAATAGACATTTTCAGATAGAATTGGAAAATATTCTCTGATTTTAAAGAGAACATGTATAGATAGATATATTTTCTGATTGGTTCTAGTATTATAATGAAGTATTCTAATGTAGTTGACCCTTGAACAGTGTAGGAGTTAAGGGTACCCACTCCCTGTGCAGTTGAAAATCCATTGATAACTTTTGACTCCCTCAAACTTAACTACTAATAGCTTACTGTTTACTGCAAGCCCCACCGACAATATAAACAGTTGGTTAACACATAAATAGACTGGTATCTACATGTATTTTATGCATTAATTTTGATATTTGTAGGCTGTGTGGTTCATCTGAATTTTTTCAAATTGTTGTGAATCTCCAAAAAATTTTTTAAATATATGTTTTGAAAAAATCCACGAGTGTACTGGCAGAGTTCAAACCCATGTTGTTCAAGGGCAAACTGTATAAGCAATTCTGAGCTTCACATAATTATTTTATTCTTAGAAAATTATTGTTTATACTTAGTAAACACAGATACTGTTTGGCAGTACTTTTACCAATACATTACTCCAACTTTTGGATCTTTGCTCTGTTCAAAATCATCAGTATTTTTGTAGGAAATCTTTTGTGGTGTGATTAATGGATGTTTTTAAGTCTTGCTCTATTAATAATGTATTTTTTTATTTTTACTTTTTTGGTTTCTTAAATTTTTTAATTTTTGTGGGTATGTAATAGGTGTATATATTTATGAAGTACATGAGATGTTTTGGTTCAAGCATGCAGTGTGAAATAATCACACATAGAGAATGGGTATCCATCCCCTGAAACATTTATTCTTTGTATTACAAACAATCAAATTACACTTTTAGTTACTTTAGAATGTACCATTATTATTATTGTCTAGTCACCCTAGACAATAATATAGTTAATAATAGTTGCACTATATAATAGTAGGTTTTATTCATTCTTTAGAACTATTTTTTGTACTGAATGACCAATTTCACCCCAATAATGTAATTCTTAATATTCATATTTGAAATGGTAAAATGCAAACCACATTTGGGGAAAACCATGTCCTGCTATTTGCAAAAATTAGTCCTGGAAATTACTTTACTCTCACTGCCCCAGTCCCAAATACATTTCTGGGGAAAAAAATAGTGGGAGATGTGTTTTTCATCCATGAACAAGGTTTGTGTAAGGGAGATCCTAGGATAGTGGGAAGAGCAAACAGACCTTAAAGTTAAATGGATCTGGATTAAAATCTGGCTCCACCACTTAGTAATGCAATCATGCTCAAGTGACAACTGTTCTGAGACTTAGTTTTCTCATTTGTAAACTGGGGATAACGACTACCTTGCAGGTGTATTGTGGGTGTATTGCAGTTATGTTTGTAAAAGGCACTGAGGACAGTGTATGACTCTGAGTGGGTTCCCAAGATATTGCAACTTAAAAATTGTTACTACAGGTTGAGCTTTTGAAAAATTGAAATCTGAAATGATCCAAAATCCAAAACTTTTTGAGTGCAGATGTGACACCAGAGGTGGAAAATATCAAACCTGACCTGTGATGCATCACAGTGAGAACTTTGTTTTATGCACAAAATATTGTGTAAAATTACCTTAAGGCTATGTACATAAGGTATAAATGAAAGATAAATGAATTTTATGTTTATACTAGGGTCCCATCTCCAGGATATGTCATTATGTATATGCATATATTCAAAAATTTGAAAAAAAATCTGAAACACTTCTGGTCCCAAGTATTTTGTATAAGGGATACTTGTGCTGAGTAAAATAGAAGCGTTAATTAAATCTGGCAAGGAGGTTGAAATTGTACAAATAATATAAAAGAATTGATGATACTTTTAATATAGAAGAGTTAAGGACGTTGATAGTAATGATACTTTTTTTTGAAGGCAAGAAAATATCAGAATAAGGCTTTACCTGTTGATTTGATGGTTAGTTTCCCATAACGTTGGTTGTGTATGTTGCTCACAGGTCAGGCAACTTCACATTATTATTATTATTAGTAGTAGTTAATTAATTAATTTTTTGAGACAGTGTCTTGCTCTGTCGCCCAGGCTGGAGTGCAATGGCGTGATCTCGGCTCACTGCAATCTCTGCCTCCTGGGTTCAAATGATTGTTTTACCTCAGCCTCCCCAGTAGCTGGGATTACAGGCATGTGCCACTACCGCTTGGCTAATTTTTGTGTTTTTAGTAGAGATGGGGTCTTGCCATGTTGCCCAGGCTGGTCTTGAACTCCCGAGCTCAGGGAATCTGCCCGCCTCGGCTTCCCAAAGTGCTAGGATTACAGGCGTGAGCCACCATGCCCAGCCACATTATTATTATTATTACTATTTTTTGAGACAGGGTCTCACTCTGTCGCCCAGGCTAGAGTGTAGTGGCACAATCTCGGTTCACTGCAACTTCCACCAGCCAGGCTCATAGCTTCACATTTTTCATGACACTTATGAAAGAGGCAGTGGCATGAAGGCAAGATGAAATTAGTGACTTTATTTAAAAAGTTAAAAAGATTGCCAGCCACAACACACACACACACACACACACACACACATGCTCTCACACACTTACTTTTCTGTCTCTTGATGTTGAAGTTCATGTTGACAGTTAACTTACGGTAAACCTGAATTTTTTAATATTAATTCAGTTAAAAAAATGGTTATAAACTATGTACTTGACATTACACTTTTGTTTTCCAAAGGTAAATTTATTGACCTACAATAATTTAGGATAACAGCCATCAGAGAACTCTAATTACTGTTTAAGAATACTTATTTCTATAAAATATTTGATAGACCTAGATTTTTCTTTTTATAGTTTATAGTTGAGACACAAATATAATTTTTTGTTGTTGTTGTTTTTGAAACAGTCTCGGCGGGGTGTGGTTTCTCATCCCTGTAATCCCAGCACTTTGGGAGGCTGAGGCAGGCGGATCAGTTGAGGTCAGGAATTCAAGACCAGCCTGGCCAACATAGCAAAACCCTGTCTCTACTAACAAATACAAAAATTACTCAGGCGTTGTAGTGCACACCTGTGATCCCAGCTACTTGGAAGGCTGAGGCAGGAGAATCGCTTGAACCCAAGAGGCAGAGGTTACAATGAACCAAGATTGTGCCACTGCACTCTAGCCTGGATGACAGAGTGAGACTCCATCTCAAAAAACAAACAAACAAAAAGAAAAAAAGTAAAGTCAAAAAAAAAAAGAAAGTCTCACTCTGTTGCTCAGGCTACAGGGTAGTGGCGCTATCACTTCTAAATACAGCCTTGATTTCCCAGGCTCAGGAGATCCTCCCCACTCAAGTGATCCTCTGAAATAGCTGGGACCACAGGTATGTGCTACCATGCCCAGCTACCTAAAAAAAATTTGTTTTAGAGGCAGGGTCTCCCTATGTTGCCCAAGCTGGTCTCAAACTTCCTGGGCTCAAGCAATCCTCCTACCTTGCCTTCCCAAAGTACTGGGATTATAGGTGTGAGCCACCATGCCCAACCTACAGTGTTTTATGATGTAGAATTACTTGTACACCTTGCAAATTATTTTCTAGTTCTTTTATTTTTACTCAACATTTAGCCATTATTTTCTCTCATTGAGTAGTGATGACTAAGTAGAATGTATTAGCTGATTGCATTTTTAAACCATATTTTTTATTATAATGAAATTTAAGAATATTATAAAGACAATGCAGAGGTTTTTATCTTTGAAACTTGATATCATTTTAAAAATGTTGGCTACACAAATGTGTTACATTTGTAGCTTTTCAGTTTTTTTCAGGTTACAGAGACATTGAAAACAAAGCAGCCATTTCTTGATTTATCTTTTAAAAAGTTGCAGGATCTTCAGTCAAATACTTGAAAGTGATTTGGGTAAAAAGAGCGACACGGCTTTATCTAAATACACACATACACAAATACTTCCTATTAAACATGTTAAGTGTTTTAATTTTCTTGATTTACTTTAGACACTCGTGATGCAAAACTTGAGCAGAGCAAATTTTTGTGTAGTTTTAGATCATGTGATATTAGTATTCATGCAGTGCTGGTTTTGATCTTGGAGGTAATCCCTATAATCACAAACTTTAAAGAGTGTTAGGATTATACTAAGTTGATATATTTTGCATTAGTAAAAATACATAGGATTAGAAAAGACACTATAAAACACATGTAGATTATTTTCTTGTTTACATTTGGCTTTGTATTTCCTATTTTGAGCTTTGGTTGTTTATATAACACAGACTGGTAATTTCTTATTAACTAGTGAATGTACTATGTGAAAAATTATAGGTTAAGTTTGAGTGAGCCTCTGTTTTATGTCCTCTAATTTTATATTTTGAAAATGATATTTTTTGATTTTATTATGTCAAACTTAAACTTTTGTGCATCAAAGTCAGTCCTCATAGGAATAGCAGTTACTACTATTGTTTGTTAAGTAGAGTTTATTCATGTATCTCTTCAGTGCTGTAGTTTGACCTTTCTGCAAAACCAAAGGGATTTTTGTGGATAATCATGTCTTCACATTCTGTAATACTGTTAAGAAAACTGAGGTTAAACAAAAGAAATCTAGATTTTTAAGTTTATCTAATAGTCCATTTAAAAAAATAATACTGGACAAAATGGGCTTTTCTAGTTATGATTGCTTATGGGAAATAAATAATATGCTAACAGGTTTTACTGGGTGATTTTTGTGGTGCTCTGCTGAGAAACCTTTCATTTTTCAGATACTAAATAACGTTCTAGATTTGTAGTGGAAAAATACATAACACTGCAGCTTCTCCTTAGTGGTTTGTCAGTGTGTATGGTGACCAGTGTTATTAGTTGATGGTAAGCTTTCATTTGAAACATTGTAGTTTTTTTTGTCTTAAATAGCCATTATCCTTTATAAAAAAGTTTATTTAAGAAACTATAAATTATTGCAGTATTGAGAGGATCAATGAAAACTTTGGTGGAAGCAAATCTTTTTTGTAATTTAGTTGATTTTATTTTTAAAATTTCAATACTTGATGATACCAAGGAATTATTGATATTGTTGAGATAATGACATTGGGATTATGTAAGAAGAATTTGTACTTTTTGTGTGTTTTCGGTATGTAGTGGTGAAATAGGTCTGGGACAGTTGAATAACTATAGCAAAATTTGATTATTTTTGAGTCTGGGTCATCTGTCTATAGGGTTTTTTAATTCTATTTTTACTTATTTTGTATATATTTATTAAATGGTATTATAAAAATCAATTAGAGATTACCATGGGCTGGAGGAGGAGCATTGGGGAATGATTGTTTAATTGGTGCAGAGTTTCTGTTTGGAATGATGAAAGTTCTGAAAATAGACAGTGGTAATGATGGTACAGCATTGTGAATATACTTAACATTGATTTGTACAGTTAAAAATGGTTACAATGGTAAATTATTTTATTTTATTTTTTTGAGTTGGAGTCTCCCTCTGTCACCCAGGCTGGAGTGCAGTGGCGCGATCTCGGCTTACTGCAAGCTCTGCCTCCAGGGTTCATGCCATTTTCCTGCCTCAGCCTCCCGAGTAGCTGGGACTACAGGTGCCCGCCACCATGCCTGCTAATTTTTTTGTATTTTTGGTAGAGACGGGGTTTCACCATGTTAGCTAGGATGGTCTCGATCTCCTGACCTCATGATCTGCCCCCGCCTTGGACTCCCAAAGTGCTGGGATTACAGGCGTGAGCCACCGTGCCTGACCACAATGGTAAATTTTATGTCATGTATTTCACAGTAATAACAAACCAATAAAAACAGGTCCATTCATAACAATAATCCCCAAGAACCATCTTCTTTTAGGAAAAACCTTTGGGAATATGCCAGTGGGTGGGAAGAGAAAGAAAAGGAGGGATTAGGATAAATAGGGTGCTGGCTGTTGCTAAGCTAGTGGCCAGGGGAGTAGTCAGACCTTTGGGGCTAGCTCTCCAAATGTGTTGGAGGGCACCTTCGCTTTTCCCCTTCCTATCTTGTCTTATTGACTTCGTACTTCAGTACGGAGAAGAGGAAGGAAAAACCACTCTTGTCATTTCAGCACTCTCTTAGTAGGGTTGAATTCTAGAGCAGTATTCTAGTGTAGGTTAGTGGTTTGTGACATACTTCATGGGCTGCTGTCAGCATAAAAAAAAATTAAAAATATCAAGTGTACTGTGCATAGTAAGTGTAAAGGTGGTTATTATAAAAATTTTGTTTCAGTTAAATGTGTATGTGTATGGGTTTGTGATATAAAATATATTCCTTAGAGTGGTACATGTTTTGAAAAGGAGTAAAGGAGTAGTATGGAGGATATTGGTGGCCACCTAGTCACTAGAAAGCATATATCAAAATTTGTACAAAGAGGCTTAGATTATAAATAACTCAGCATTTAACCTATTTTTAGACACTAATCAGACAACCAGGAGGAGCAACAGGCCAGGAACATGTGTAACAAGACTGTTCTATCAGTATATGATGAACAAGCCATGTACAAAGTTAGAGGAGTACATGGGATGGTGGCTTGAAGATGCTCATCTCATTTAGGGCCTTTGTTTTGGTAAGAAATGTGTATTAATTGGTAATTACTAATGAACTTTTTGAGGTAGGTCCTTGTGATCTGTTTATTTGCAGAACATGACACAGTAGATGCTGAGTAAAGCTCTCATTATAGTTACGCAAATATTATTTATGTTAATGTGTGAAAGTTTGATAGTATTAAATAAAGATTATTTAAAGTATTAGCTAGACTATCATGTTGCTTTAGCCACCCCCCTTTTTTTTTTTTGAAAAATCCTTTACTGCTTTATTTTTAGCTTGAAATCACCCTCATGGCATATTTTTTCAGAGAAAGCAAGGGAGAATAATAGAATTACACCCTAGAGTCAGAGAAGACTGATCTGAAATTTTACTTGTACTGTTTACTGGCTAGGTGGCTTGGAAAAATTTTGTAACCTTTTTTGATTTTTATTTTCTCACTCTGAAATTTCCTCTGAGAGTTTTACATAAAATGAAGTGATTTACATAAAATGCCTAGAATTTTATGCTCAGCAAGTCCATGTTATTGAAGTCAGGTCCCTCTTTCCTCAAATCTAATTCTTCCAAAGTCTGTAATCTTAAGTCAGTTTTTTGCTTTAGTTTGGGGATTGCTGGGAATATTATTTTTCTTTGATCAAGAACAAACACTCAGATTAATAAACCTTGTTTATGTATAAAATAAAAACAAATGGTAGATATTCTCTCTGCTCTACAAATATTTCATTTCCTGAAATATTCTATGGCAGTGAGTGAATTATTATTTTATCAGGCTAACTCTGTTAAAGAAATTTCATATAATGATTACATGAAAAAGGAGTTGAGAAGTACTATAATAGTTGTTAACACTGAGCTAGTTAAAAAATTGTGCCATTATTCCTTATGTTTAAGGTGGTTCTTTTCAACTTTGATATTTTACATTGTTAAAAAAAACTATATGAAATATGTTTAATGGATAAAGGTGTATCTTTCAGCTGATTAGTTGCATTTGTCTTGAAAAAGGACTGAATTTTGTAGATTTGAATGATAAGTCGCTGACAGGAGGTCTTTAATTTTTTTTTTCCCTCTGAACAGCTGTCTTGGCCTGCAGTGACTCCAAATCCCATAATCCTTCCAGTTGTCCCCTCCACTAAGTAAATTTCAAAAAAAAAATGACAGTTTTATTATAAGTGATTGACTGAATTCAGACAAATATTGCAGCTGAGTAAAGACTTCATCTTAGTAAGGAACACTTTGGTCTGACTAAGATGAGTTCTGGTGGTTGCTGTAGTGGAGGTAGTAGACCTCTTAAGAGGTTATTACATTATGGTAGTCCCAGCAATAGAGGAGTGGTGGACATAAACTCTCAATGGTGTTGTCTTTTTATGTCTTAAGTTGTTCATTTCATCTAAGGACCTCATGGTGCCAAGCGTCTCAGCCCATGCCCAACTTTTTTCATTTTTCTTTTTTCTTTTTTTTGAGATGGAATTTCACTCTTTTCGCCCAGGCTGGAGTCCAACGGCATGGTCTCAGCTCACTGCAGCCTCCGCCTCCCGGATTCAAGTGATCGTTCAGCCTCAGCCTCTTGAGTAACTGGGACTACAGGCATGTGCCACCACATCTGGCTAAATATTTTTAGTAGAGATGGGGTTTCACTGTGTTGGCCAGGCTGGTCTCAAACTCTTGACCTCGTGATCCTCCCACCTCGGCCTCCCCCCCCTTTTTTTTAAGAGACATAGTCTTGCTCTCTCTTCCAGGGTAGAGTGCAGTGGTACCATCATAGCTCACTGTAATTTCAAACTCGTGGGCTCAAGCGATCTTTCCACCTCAGCCTCCTGAGTAGCTGGGACTACAGGTGTGCTACCAGGCCTGGCTAATTTTTTTGTTTTTGTAGATGGAATGTTGCTCTGTTGCCCAGGCTCGTTGTGAACTCCTGGCCTGAAGTGATCTTCCTGCCTTAGTCCCTCAAAGTGCTGGCATTTGACAGGTGTGAGCCACCATGCCTGGCCTCCATGTCCCACTTTGATAGATCCTTCTTTTATGTTATTTGAAAATTCAGAGTAACTCTAAGACAAAAATGGACAAAATGATTTTTTGTTCCCAAATTGCATATGCCCCCCTGTATATACTGATACTTGGTCTCCTTGAAAAAATCATTGTCATAGGGCTAGAAATGAGAGTAAGTCACAGACCTTGCTCTCTAAAAATAGAAATGGGAACCACTAATCAGGATCGAGTATTCTCTAGAGTACTGGAAGAGTGCTTTGCTCTCTTGGACCCAGGTAAGTTCTGTGTTATGGAAGTAATTTCACAGGAACTTGAGATCAATGCCCAGTATTCCCTAGTGTAACTTTTGATATTGAAGAGTGACAGATTTGCAGTATGACATTTACATTTAGTAAATATATCTTTTAAAATACTCATCCTGCATCTGAATAAGATCTACTTTACAAATTCATTTTAATGTATATTCTGTGATAATTCTGATAATACATAAGAGGTAAGTGTTATTGTTACTGCTATCTTCCTTCCTTCCTTTGCACATTTAAGTCTAGTGTGTCTTAAACTCTAGTGGGATTTCTACTGTGTCTTGCATAGATTGGTCAAGACAGAATTTTTGTCCTGAAGGATCCTGTAATGTAATGGGGATCAACACTATTAAGTCTTGAGTCAGGTTAGGTTCTGTTTCTTCTTGAGTCAGGTTGTAACAGTACATTTTGTTTTTATTTTTTAAGAGATGGGGTCTCACTATGTTGCCCAGGCTGGAACTCCTGGGCTCATGGGATCCTCCTGCATCAGCC
Organism: Homo sapiens; assembly: GCF_000001405.40. Classification (NCBI taxonomy): domain Eukaryota; kingdom Metazoa; phylum Chordata; class Mammalia; order Primates; family Hominidae; genus Homo; species Homo sapiens. Next base: position 17,714,730 of record NC_000003.12, on the reverse strand, counting down.
TCACAAGTAGCTGGGACTACAGGCACATGCCACCATGCCTGACTTGTTTAGTTGTTTTCCCAAAGTGTTTTTGCAAAGACTTTATTCCTTGTTATGTGTGGTCAGTAAATTCTCTGTTCTTTACCTTGTGTTTAGCTAGAGTCGTGACAAAACTGCCTTGAATGTCAAGAGATAAAACAAAAAACAAACCCAGCAAACAGAAGAAGAATGTCTCTCCCAGTCTTCGTGGATTGGCTCTCTTTGGGAGTACTCCTTCAATAGTTAGCCAGGCTTGCACTGAGCCTAGGAAGCAGTCCAAGGTGGAAGCTTAGAGTTCTCACAAGTTTTTTCTGATGATGCATGTTATAGTGCTGTCTTCCAAATTCCCCTCTATGCTCCTAATTTATCAAATAAATTATCTCCAGCTTCTGGGCATTAGGTGACTATTGTATGTTTAGACAGGAATCTTTTGTCTCAGGCATCTATGGGTTATTAGTTCTACTTGGCATGTTTTCAAGATGATTGCTGCTTTTGTAGCCTGAGTTCTTAGGTAAAATAGAGTGGAGCATCTTGCATCAGTCATTAAGGTAGCTCCCAGACAGGTTAGAACAGATATACACAATAATTTCCAAATACAGTCTATTCTGCTCTCTCTGGAACCAGAGAGGGAAGACACACAGGGAAGACAGCCTAAGGCCGCCATTTGTACCAGGGAAGAGATGGGGCTAGGGCATGAAAAAATATTATAAAGCTTTTGAAGTTGCCTTTCTCTTGATTCAACATTTATTTGGCTATTATACAACTTCGACTGTTCCATGATTTTGACAAAACTGGTTCTTATAGTTACTGCTTATTTTTTGATGTTTCAATGGGTAGAGAGAACTTGGAGCTCCCTACTTTGCCATTTTGCTCCCTACTTTCCCATTGTGGTTTTGATTTGCATTTCCATGATGACTAATGATGTTGAGCATGTTTTCATGTGCTTTCTGGCCATTTGAATATCTTCTTTGGAGATATGTGTATTCAGATTCTTTTCCTATTTTTTAATTGGGTCGATTGTCCTTCTATCATTGAATTTTAAGAGTTCTTTATATATTCTAGATACAAGTCTCATATATGATTTAGAAACATTTTTCCCCCATTCTGTGGCTTGTCTTTTCACATGACTAAAGTGAATTGTTGAGTTGTCGTTTGAAAAACACAATAATTTGGCTGGGCACAGTGGCTCATGCCTGTAATCTCAGCACTTTGGGAGGCCAAGGCGGGCGGATCATGAGGTCAGGACTTTGAGACCATCCTGGTTAACATGGTGAAACCCTGTCTGTACTAAAAATACAAAAAAATTAGCCGGGCGTGGTGACGGGCACCTGTAGTCCCAGCTACTTGGGAGGCTGAGGCAGGAGAATGGCGTGAACCCTGGAGGCGGAGCTTGCAGTAAGCTGAGATCGCGCCACTGCACTCCAGCCTGGATGACAGAGCGAGACTCCATCTCAAAAAAAAAAAAAAAGAAAAGAAAAGAAAAACACAATAATTTAAAATTTTGATGATACCCAGTTTATCTATTTTTTCTGTTGTTATTTATACTTTTGGTGTCATATCTAAGAAGTACCTATATTTAAAACTTAAACAGAGAAAAATACGCGAGTAAAGAAAACTGACAGGTCAGAAAAGAACCAGGAGACGACCTCGTCAGATAAATCAAGTAAAGAGAGAGGTTTAAGTCAGGGGTAGTTAATTGCATCATATGCTGCAGGGAGTTTGATGAAGAATGGGAGGGATAGGAGAAACATAAAAAGTAGGCTGTCAGAAAGGGTCATAAATGGCTTTTGACACTGGGATGGAGAGTGGTATGTATAGCCAGTGATAAGCTGGTATCTGCTCTCAGAATTACTGACTATTTAATTTATTTATTTCACCTTAAAATGCTGATTCCAGGGCTCTGAGTTGTGTGGAATTACAGTTAGGCGTCTCAGAGTGGCTCTCCTTTATGCTTTATACTGTTTTTCACTGGTTATTGTTCTAGATGCTTTCTTGGTTGCCTGCTCAGCTTGAGCCCTTCTTGTCTGAGAAGTGATACTTCTGCTCCAATGGTGGGCCTTTGCAGCTATGTAAGTGGGACTCTCGTATTCCCGATACATAGCTGTTAGGACCATGAGTAGGACTGTATGTTAAACTGGGCTAAGTAGTTTTCAACAATTTAAAAATGATGGATGGCAGAGATGCAAGTTTGATTCTGTAAGGCTTTTCTTCTAGAAATACATGTAAAACTGAGGCTGAGACAGCCATAGCTAGCCTGTGGTCATTATAAAAACAGAGGGGACTGGCATGTGGGAAACAAAATGATGCCCACTGCCAGGGAGGTCTGAAGTCCCTGAGAGATGCAATAGCCTTAATTCCTGGCAGCTTTGCGGTTCTGATTTCCAGACTCTTGTAAAGATCTATGGTAAAATTCTTGTTCATCAGTTCTGTGGGAGACCATTATTTCTTTTTAATAAAAGTTGTCACTTTGGGCTAAGCAACTTTGTGTGGGTTTCTGTTATTGGTACCCAGAAAACCTTGTCCAAGAGAGTAACACATAGAAATGGTAATGATTTCACCGAGAGAAGAGAAGGGAGTAAGGAGACAGTTTCCTATGAGGTGCTTATATAATTTTAGCCTGTGATGCTGGGCAGTGACATTCAGAATGGTGATGATTATTTTTATTGTGAATTTGTTTGCTTGTCTGTGACATACATTTAATTAAGCATGTGTTTTACATTGTTGTTCTTTGGTACTGGCTTTCAAATTTTAATAACTTGTCTTTGTAATAAAGTAAAGACAGTTTGGCATTATCTTGTAAAATGGAACATGCACATTACCTTCAACACAATTCCACTTGTGGTTGTGTGAGAGAAACTCTTGGAGGTGTGCACTGGGAGATATGTTCAAGAATACTTCATAAAAGCACTGCTTGTAACACTGAAAACCTGTAAATACATCAGTAGGAGATAGGATGAAAAAGTTATGGCATATTTATACATTGCAATGTTATATAGCAGTGCAAATGAATGACCTAAAGCCACATGTGTACACATTGATTATCTTAGAAACATAATATTTAATGAAAAAATATGTAGTGTTTCTTCACTGAAAAATACGTATGATACTATTTTCAATGAGAAACTTCAAAACAAGTTAAAAACTAAGCAATATATTGTTTAATTGTTCATAAATATAGAGTAAAACATTAAGGAAAAGGGTATGATTAAGATAAAATTTGGGATAATGATTATCTATGTATGAGGGGGGCAGAAGATTAGAATTATGGAGGAATATACCAGGAGCTTGAAGATATTGGTAGTGTTCTACTTCTTAGGTTTATAGGTAAGTTTATCATGTTCATATTATTTTTATGCTTTGTAACATATCTGTAACTAATACATGTATTCTTTTGCATGTATCAAGTACTTCATAATGCAAAGTTAAAAACTTTTATACATAAATTTAGTATAAAAATACCTTTTTAAAACAAAAATGAAATTCACAGGAAAAAACTCAGCATTTCTAAAATGGAAATAACCATTAGTATTTTTAATCTAGTGTTCTCTCAAGACTTCTGTCTTTATTGCCTCATACGACCATCTCAGGCGCCAAACTCTAGTATCATTTTAGACCTTATAATCCTAAGATTAATTTAATAATGAATGCTAAGTGCTAGGGATATTATAATAAAGATTTTAATAACTGTTTTCTTAAGGATTAAATAAATGAAAACAGACCGTGTATGGTGGCTCATGCCTGTAATTCTAGCACTTTGGGAGGCCGAGGTGGGCAGATCACGAGGTCAGGAGTTTGAGACCAGCCTAACTCAACATGGTGAAACTCCGTCTCTACTAAAAATACAAAAATTAGCTGGGCGTGGTGACGCATGCCTGTAATCCTAGCTACTCAGGAGGCCGAGGCAGGAGAATTGCTTGAACCTGGGAGATGGCAGTTGCAGTGAGCCGAGATTGCGCCACTGCACACCAGCCTGGGCAACAGAGCGAGGCTCTGTCTCAAAATAAATAAATAAATAAGTAAATAAATAAATAAAATAAATGAAAACAATCTTCACCCTGTCTTTTCCTCTTATCGTATCAAGTCGTTCAACAAGTTCATTCTATTTTTATCAATATATTTTTATTTATTTATTTATTTATTTATTTATTGAGATGGAGTTTTGCTCTTGTTGCCCAGGCTGGAGCCCAATGGCACGATCTCAGCTCACTGCAACCTCCGCCTCCCGGGTTCAAGTGATTCTTCTGCTTCAGCCTCCCAAGTAGCTGGGATTACAATCATGCGGCACCATACCCTGCTTATTTTGTATTTTTAGTAGACATGGGGTTTCACCATGTTGGTCAGGCTGGTCTTGAACTCCTGACCTCAAGTGAACCACCCACCTCCGCCAACCAAAATGATGGGATTACAGGTGTGAGCCACCACACCCGACCTATTTTTATCAATATATTTAGATTAATCTGTGTCTTTCTTTCTGTTCCATAAGGTCTCTATCTGGATTTCAGGCCCCACTATATCTGTACTGTTTCTCGACTGACTTTGCTATCTGTATTTTTTTTCTCCCCTTAGTTCATTTTTACTGATACTGGATTAATCTTCCTAAAACACTGCTTTGATCATTGTATATAGTTGTCCAGAAATCTTTAATGATTACTTATTACAAAATGTTGAGGTATGTATTCTTTAGATTGAGCACAAGGCTTCTAAATAATTTGGTTTTAATCAAGGGCCCATGCTCATTGCTCCTTCCCGAGAGGACAGATACTTTTCCTACTAGTTGCTTGGCCGTGGGGTGTAGTGCCGCAGGTGAGAGGTGGGGAAGGAGTAGCCTGCCTGGGTATTCTTATTATGCATGTTGTTGATAGCTCTAAGAATTCCTTTAGCTTCAAGTACATGACTTTTTTGTACTTGGGTCACCCTCAGAGCAACAGCAACTCCTATATTTTGCAGCAATTTGTACAGGATTCTTTTTAATTAAAAAAAATTTTTTTTAAGCTACAATAAGGTCTTTTCTGTCTTTCTGGTATTCCTCTTAGTTTCTGGCCTGCCTTGGCTTTCTAGTCTGGTTATGTTAGAATCATTATCAGTGGAATCATTATTATTTCAATGTGCCGTTAGACAAGGTTCTTTGAATGCCAGTAACAGAAACCCATATAAGATTGCTTATCCAAGTGAGAGTTTATATTAAAAAGCTACAAAGTTATCTCATAGAACTGATAAGCAGGAATTGCAGTTAATTTTTATAGGGAACTGAAAATCAGGAACTAGAAATTGTGTATCTAATTTCTGTGGATTTAGGGTGGGAGGGGAAGGCAGAATGTATGTTTAGTCTATCATCTTGATTCAATCTGACTCCATTTTTAGAGTCAGTTTGCTCAATAAATTGTTTTATAGATAGAGAATTTAGAAATAGTTATTTCCATTGTGAATATCCAGTCTGCCTTTACATGTACAGGCCAGCAATTAAAAGTGTAAGAGTGATGAATCTTTGATAAGTCATGATCTCTTTCGAAAGATTTGAAGCGAGTTATTTAAAACTCTTTGTATTCTCTTGAAAGTTTTATTAAGAAATGTGGACCAAGTATCATAATTTTGAAGCTTACAGGTAAAATAAATTTTATAAAGTTAGAATTAATTCATTATATTAATACTAATATGCATGTATGCCAAGAAAAAAGGGCCTAACAGAACAAAGGCAAAGAAGAAGGAAATATAATGTAGGTAATTTACCTCGTTTAAGCTTAGAGTTTTTATCTTATAATTGCTTAGAAGTGGTGCATATGTACCTGTTATTCTTGAATGGTTCCAGTGACGGTCTCCCTTTGGAAAATGAAAGATGTATTTTATTGGAAAAACTGAAATCATCATACATTATCAAATTTTGGCAAGGATGTTTGGAACCCAGAGGTATTATATGCTGGTGGGAGTTTAAGTTGATAGAGTGATTGGAGAACAGTTGGACAGTATCCGGTAGAATGGAAAATATATCAATACATATAACCCATGAATTTTACTTTTGTATAGACTTTAGAACAGTGGTTCTGAATAGGGGCGGTTTTACCCCTCAAGGGACATTTGGCAATGCTTGGAGATACTTTTTGTTGTCACACCTCAGGAGTAATGTTGGCTTCTAGTGGGTAGAAGCCAGGGTTGCTGTTAAACATTCTGCAATTTATAGGACAGACCCCCCCATAATAAAAGAATTATCTGGCCCAACATATCAAGAATTCTGAGGTTGAGAAACTGTCTTTTAGAGAAACACAAGTGAACAAAGAAACTTGTACAGAAAGGATATGTGTTAAAGCATTGACATTGTGAAAAATTAGAAATAACCTAAATGTCCATCAGCAGGGGAATGGATAAATAAAATGTGCTATGCATATGTGATTCGCTACTTGATAAAAGCATAGTTAAAAGGAACAAAGTAGATCGATAGATACAGTAGTAGATCTCAAAAATGTGGAATTAAAAGAAGCAAGTACTTTCAGTATGGTATCATTTATGAAAACTGAAAAAATATATGAAACACATTCTGTTATTTAAATATGTAACTGACAATGTGGAAAATGAATTAGGAGGCCACATACCAATTTCATGATAGTGGTTGCTAGTAAGGAGGTAAAGAAGGGGAATGCCACTGGGGGTGGTGAACAGTGGGCGTCAACTTTATCTCTAGTTATTCCTTTATGTGTACATAAAGTGAACCAAATATGGTTTCATATTTATGTGAATTTGATTGCATAACGTGAATGTCATTTGTTATAAATTCTAGTTGGTGGGAACACAGATGTTTGTAATATTACCTTTTTTAGAGTTGAAAATTTCTCAACAACAAAAATACACTCATTGATGAATTTTTTCTGGTACTTGGTACAGCATGTTGCATTTTTTTTGTTTGTTTCTTTGGTTGTTTTTAATTCTTCCTGTTCAGGAAGTTAACTGGGCTTCCTCTGGAGAAAAGGATATATTTTTATATATTCATTGTTTAGTTTATGTGTATAACTGTGAAGAAGCTGTTTTGACTGGCATTGACCATTAAGTTTGTGCTTAATTCACAAAGGAGAAAACCATGATAAATCCAGTAACTGTTTATTTTGTTTTACATCATCTTTTTATATTAGAATATATAGGAATAAGTGGCTCCCAGCAGAAACATGACAGATTTCTTCTATTTTGACATTTTGTTCCATTGATTTTGTTGATGTTGTAAAGGTATCTGATTATAGTAGTTAAGTAATCCTTTCAGTAACTAACTAGGAAATTAAATTTAGGGATCTAAGTGATTCTAGGAACTTTGCTAATAAAATGTACTTAAAAATCTTGTTAACTAACATTTTTTGAATAAGTTACACTTAACTGTGAAAATTTTATAAATTTATTGAAGAGAGAAAATGGATATAATGTCATAGTGAAAGCTTTTTTTCCCCCAGAACACAGAGATCACTTTTTATAAATGAGATAAATTAACAATAAAAAGAAGTGGGAATAATGCATGACCTGTAATTTTTTTCTTAAAGTGTTATAAAAATAAGTATCTCAAATATAGTGTAGTTAAAAGTTATAATAACTATTCATGATATCTTTGAATTTATCTCAAATTAAATAAGTTAGGTGAAAATTACATTTATAATTGTATAGAAGTTTGTAATTTTGAAGCAAAAAACATTTACCGAAATTATCCCAAAGTTTAGGAAGTCCACTAATTTAAATTTGAAAATTCAAAACAATCTTTTGTTAATGATTTTTATTTACCCTTGTAGATAATTTAAATGCAAAAATAATAACCTATATCTCTTTACATGTAAATGTCAGTCCAAAAGATGACTGAAAATTAATGACTTTTTTTAAAAAAAAAAGGTCTTTCTTAAAATTTTAGATTAGATCTAATTTTTTTGTTAAAGGATTTTTATACAAATTATGAGAATGGCTTAATTATAAAACAAAGATAATTTAAATTCAGAATATTTAATTTAATATAATTTAAACTCAAATATATAATTATGCATAATTATGACTTCTAATTATATAAGTCATAACCTTTTAAGATAATTTTTATAATTAGGTGAAAACAAGGCATGCATTATCTCCGGTTGATTTTCTTGCTAATATTTGCAATGTAATAGTAGAGTTAATCCTTAATTGTTGAAAAAAGTTGTCTATAACATGGTTATCGATTATACTTCTATAATACAGTACATGATACATTGTAAGGGTCAAGCATTCAAGAAATACATGTTTAAAAGTAAAACATCTCACTAGTGGGGTGTGCGCGCGCGTGTGTGTGTGTGTGTGTAAGTAAAGTTGATTCTAGGAGACAATCACTGATTAAACCTAGGAATTTATTAGATTAGCTTTCCTTCAAATATAAAATATGTGCTCTTTCACAAAGGTATACAGTTCTGGTTTGAACAGAAAAGGTGAGACCCTCTAGTTCAACTCTTTAGAGCTGAGTATGTGAAGAAGTACAAATATCAATGTGGTGGCCGCCGCCTCCACAGCCTGGGCCTCGCCGCGATGCCGGAGAAGAGGCCCTTCGAGCGGCTGCCTGCCGATGTCTCCCCCATCAACTGCAGCCTTTGCCTCAAGCCCGACTTGCTGGACTTCACCTTCGAGGGCAAGCTGGAGGCCGCCGCCCAGTCTGGGGTCGGGGGAAATCAGTAGGCTCCCACCTTAAAGAACATGGTGTAAGTCCAGGCTGGGTGACAGCAAGACTCCGTCTCAAAAAAAAAAAAGAGTAAAGAAATGCTGAGGAGCGCCGCCCGGGAGGCAGCGGCTGGAGGAGCGGACGGGCCCCGCGGGCCCGAGGGCAAGGAGCAGACGCCTGCCTTGGCCTCCCAAAGTGCCGAGATTGCAGCCTCTGCCCGGCCGCCACCCCGTCTGGGAAGTGAGGAGTGTCTCTGCCTGGCCGCCCATCGTCTGGGATGTGAGGAGCCCCTCTGCCTGGCTGCCCAGTCTGGAAAGTGAGGAGCGTCTCCGCCCGGCCGCCATCCCATCTAGGAAGTGAGGAGCGCCTCTTCCCAGCCGCCATCACATCTAGGAAGTGAGGAGCGTCTCTGCCCGGCCGCCCATCGTCTGAGATGTGGGGAGCGCCTCTGCCCCGCCGCCCCATCTGGGATGTGAGGAGCGCCTCTGCCCGGCCGAGACCCCGTCTGGGAGGTGAGGAGCGTCTCTGCCCGGCCGCCCCGTCTGAGAAGTGAGGAGACCCTCCGCCTGGCAACCACCCCGTCTGAGAAGTGAGGAGCCCCTCCGCCCGACAGCTGCCCCGTCTGAGAAGTGAGGAGCCTCTCCGCCCGGCAGCCACCCCATCTGGGAAGTGAGGAGCATCTCCGCCCGGCAGCCACCCCGTCCGGGAGGGAGGTGGGGGGGGGTCAGCCCCCAGCCCGGCCAGCCGCCCCATCCGGGAGGGAGGTGGGGGGGTCAGCCCCCCGCCTGGCCAGCCGTGCCGTCCGGGAGGGAGGTGGGGGGGTCAGCCCCCCGCCTGGCCAGCCGTGCCGTCCGGGAGGGAGGTGGGGGGGTCAGCCCCCCGCCTGGCCAGCCGTGCCGTCCGGGAGGGAGGTGGGGGGGTCAGCCCCCCGCCTGGCCAGCCGCCCCGTCCGGGAGGGAGGTGGGGGGTCAGCCCCCCGCCTGGCCAGCCGTGCCGTCCGGGAGGGAGGTGGGGGGGTCAGCCCCCCGCCTGGCCAGCCGCCCCGTCCGGGAGGGAGGTGGGGGGGTCAGCCCTCCGCCCGGCCAGCCGCCCCGTCTGGGAGGTGAGGGGCGCCTCTGCCCAGCCGCCCCTACTGGGAAGTGAGGAGCCCCTCTGCCCGGCCAGCCGCCCCGTCCGGGAGGGAGGTTGGGGGGTCAGCCCCCCGCCCGGCCAGCCGCCCTGTCCGGGAGGGAGGTGGGGGGGTCAGCCCTCCGCCCGGCCAGCCGCCCCGTCTGGGAGGTGAGGGGCGCCTCTGCCCGGCCGCCCCTACTGGGAAGTGAGGAGTCCCTCTGCCCGGCCAGCCGCCCCGTCCGGGAGGGAGGTGGGGGGGTCGGCCCCCCGCCCGGCCAGCCGCCCCGTCCGGGAGGGAGGTGGGGGGGTCGGCCCCCCGCCTGGCCAGCAGCCCCGTCCGGGAGGTTGGTGGGGGTGTCGGCCCCCCGCCCGGCCAGCCGCCCCGTCCGGGAGGGAGGTGGGGGGGGTCGGCCCCCCGCCCGGCCAGCCGCCCCGTCCGGGAGGTGAGGGGCGCCTCTGCCCGGCCGCCCCTACTGGGAAGTGAGGAGCCCCTCTGCCCGGCCACCACCCCGTCTGGGAGGTGTGCCCAACAGCTCATTGAGAACGGGCCAGGATGACAATGGCTGCTTTGTGGAATAGAAAGGCGGGAAGGGTGGGGAAGGGATTGAGAAATCGGATGGTTGCCGTGTCTGTGTAGAAAGAAGTAGACATGGGAGACTTTTCATTTTGTTCTGCACTAAGAAAAATTCCTCTGCCTTGGGATCCTGTTGATCTGTGACCTTACCCCCAACCCTGTGCTCTCTGAAACATGTGCTGTGTCCACTCAGGGTTAAATGGATTAAGGGCGGTGCAAGATGTGCTTTGTTAAACAGATGCTTGAAGGCAGCATGCTCGTTAAGAGTCATCACCAATCCCTAATCTCAAGTAATCAGGGACACAAACACTGCGGAAGGCCGCAGGGTCCTCTGCCTAGGAAAACCAGAGACCTTTGTTCACTTGTTTATCTGCTGACCTTCCCTCCACTATTGTCCCATGACCCTGCCAAATCCCCCTCTGTGAGAAACACCCAAGAATTATCAATAAAAAAATAAATTAAAAAAAAAAAAACAAAAAAAAAACACAAATATCAATGTGGTACATTCTTTTTAAGTATGATTTTTAGTGAGATATTGTAGAGTCAAAAAGGAATTAGCACAATTATTTTAAGATCATATACTTAATGTGGCAGAAAATTGACACTATAGCAATTTTGGGTTCTATTCCCAGACTCTCATATGTATGAGGTCATTGTCTGTTGTGGCATTTATTTAGGGATGTTTAGGTGGGAAAGCTTGTGATCCCCTGTTCTATGATCTTAATCTTAAAACATTCAGGGATTTCAGTTATTAGAATCTTCCTGTAGTAAGCTTGCATCCTCTTTTGACAGATTTAGAGTTCAACTACTAGTCTTTCCCACCCACTCCCTAAAATTTTAAGCCATTTGCACATCTTATGATAAAGAATTTTGGCTTTGTGGCTTGATTTTATTGAAAAAAAATTTGCAGTTTGCTTTTACTTAAAAATCTACTTATAAAGTATATTAATGTTTAATATATCTTAAAAATTTGCCTACTTATTTATGTTTCAAGTAGGGATCAGGAAGTACAAGTGAAATGGTTAGTTTTGGGAACATTTTCTATGCATGGATGTATCTATATATGTAGGGATTTTTTTTTAAAGCCTACCTTTTTTTTTTCTCCACAGAAAAGACTTGAAGCAGCTAAAAAACATATGTACAAATGTAATTATAATTGAGTAAAAACTCAGAAGGCACTATGGAATATTTTTCTTTTTCTTTATATCAGAATGGTTTGATAGTTAAATTTGGTGTGGGCAACCAAAGTTTGAAATGATAAGGCCACATATTCTTCTAGCCTGAACATTGTGTCTGGCTGAAATAAGGCATTTTCTTTTTTTTAACTTCATAAATTTCCAGCTTAAATTCAACTTTTTTCTAAACCACTCAGTAAAGATGTTTGGTGTTTTGTATCTGCTGAGGCATTAACTTTGAATCAATATAGCTATGGTCTAGTTTGGAGAAGTTTTCTTATTTAAAGACCTTACCCCTCAGCTTTTCAGAATGGCTTATACTTTTAATTGTTCATGATTAAGTATGGATGACAATTTTTGCCACACTCTGCCTTTACTTATTTATACCTGATGGAAGTTTTAATCACTCAGGCCAGCTTTTTTTCTACCCTTGGAGGTAGTACCATATGAGTCTTATTAAGGCTCAATAAGCAATTAAATTTAAAAAGTAATCTTGCTAAATTTTGTTCATCAATCTCGTTCATATTGATGACAATGAATCAAATAAGTTAATGCATCATTTCGTTTAGTTTATCTACTATGTATGCCTAATGATTGTCCTTTCAATTTCATTTGATGGGGAATGCTGCTAAGAAGCAGCTGTTGATTAGATTTTGGACATCTTTTTCTCTTTACATTGTTACATTCAATTTATGTATCCTTTTCTGTGTATTTTTTAATGCCGTTCACTATGTTCTTTTACATTCTAAGCTTTTACCCATTATTATATCTGTTCTATAAAGCCAGGATTCCATGAGGTTATTGTGATGCTTCAATTAGGTATCTGTTAAATATTTGAAAAAACACCATTTATATAACTATTAGTTATGATTCTGTTTTAGGAGGTGTAATGCCATAATTTCATAGTTTTACTAAGTAAGTTTGAATTTACATTTGATTTCTTCTGGAAGTCTTAGCAGGGTCTTTTAAATGAACTGCATTTAAAAGTAAAAGAATCTGTTGTGCTTGGAAGATTTGACAGGTAGAGTATGCCAAAGTATTATATAGCTCACCTCACATTGAAGACGACAGTTAGTGGAAATTGGAATCCTGTTTGTTTCAATATAATTGAAAATATATTCAGCCTTAGCTAATATAAGACTGTAATTTTTTTATTTCATAAAGTTGCACATTAAAAATTCACCCTAATTTAATAAACTAAACACAGTTTTGGCAGTAGGGACAGTATATTTCTACTGGGAGAGGGAATCTTTAGCTCTTGAAATTTGGTCTCCAATAACTTTCTTTACTAAGTCCTCTTGTCCTTATTTTGTTTATTTATAGTACATCTAGCCCTTATTCTTAGTTAGGAAAAAAAAAAAAGAAAAAGCTAGTCTGGTCAGGGATTGTGTTCTAGTAATTTTGGTGGATTTAGCCTTTAAACTGTTAAGGAATTACCCACATATATACCTGCATCTTTACTCTCAGTTTTTTCTTGCATCTCAGACCTTCCATCTGTGACTTCAGTTAGTCTGGAAAAATTTCAACGATTATTTATTTGGATACTGTTCATATCCTCTCTTTTATATTCTTTGTTTAAAAAAAAAAGTCTTTTTTGTTGCCCAGATTGGAGTGCAGTGGCGCTATCTTGGCTCACTGCAACCTCTGCTTCCTGGGCTCAAGCGATCTTCCCAACTCCGCCTCTGTAGTAGCTGGAACTACAGTTGTGCGCCACCCAGGAGACTTTTTTTTATTATTATTATACTTTAAGTTCTAGGGTACATGTGCAGAATGTGCAGGTTTGATACATAGGTAAACATGTGCTATTTTGGTTTGCTGCACCCATCAGCTCGTCATTTACATTAGGTATTTCTCCTAATGCTATCTCTCCTCCAGCCCCCTACCCCCTAACAGGCCCCAGTGTGTGATGTTCCCCGCCTTATGTCCAAGTGATCTCGTTCAGGTCCCACCTATGAGTGAGAACATGTGGTATTTGGTTTTCTGTCCTTGTGATAGTTTGCTGAGAATGATGGTTTCCAGCTTCATCCATGTCCCTGCAAAGGACATGAACTCATCCTTTTTATGGCTGCATAGTATTCCATGGTGTATATGTGCCACATTTTCTTAATCCAGTCCATCATTGATGGACATTTGGGTTGGTTCCAAGTCTTTGCTATTGTGAATAGTGCTACAATAAACATACGTATGCATGTGTCTTTATAGTAGCATGATTTATAATCCTTTGGGTATATACCTAGTAATGGGATGGCTGGGTCAAATGGTATTTCGAGTTCTAGATCTTTGAGGGATTACCACACTGTCTTCCACAATGGTTGAACTGGTTTACAGTCCCACCAACAGTGTAAAAGTGTTCCTATTTCTCCACATCCTCTCCAGCACCTGTTGTTTCCTGACTTTTTAATGATCGCCATTCTCACTGGTGTGAGGTGGTATCTCATTGTGGTTTTGCTTTGCATTTCTCTGATGGCCAGTGATGATGAGCATTTTTTCACGTGTCTGTTGGCCGCGTAGATGTCTTCTTTTGAGAAGTGTCTTTTCATATCCTTCGCCCACTTTTTGATGGGGTTGTTTGTTTTTTTCTTGTAAATTTGTTTGAGTTCTTTGTAGATTCTGGATATTAGCTCTTTGTCAGATGAGTAGATTGCAAAAATTTTCTCCTATTCTGTAGGTTGCCTGTTCACTCTGATGGTAGTTTCTTTTGCTGTGCAGAAACTCTTTAGTTTAATTAGATCCCATTTGTCAATTTTGGCTTTTGTTGTCATTGCTTTTGGTGTTTTGGACATGAAGTCCTTGCCCATGCCTATGTCCTGAATGGTATTGCCTAGGTTTTCTTCTAGGGTTTTTATGGTTTTAGGTCTAACATTTAAGTCTTTAATCCATCTTGAATTAATTTTTGTATAAGGTGTAAGGAAGGGATCCAGTTTCAGCTTTCTCCATATGGCTAGCCAGTTTTCCCAGCACCATTTATTAAATAGGGAATTGTTTCCCCATTTCTTGTTTTTGTCAGGTTTGTCAAAGATCAGATGGTTGTAGTTGTGTGGTATTTTTTTTTTTTTGTCTGTCATTTTTCAAGTGTTCCCTTTCAGTTTATTAGTGGCCAAGGGACAAGCCAAAGCAGATGATGGATAATTAAGAAGGTGGGGCTTTAGAACACATAGCTTGCCAGAACTCTAGTGTGGGTGGAACTTGATTGTATTGAGTCACCATAAGTGGACAAGGAAGGAGCTTCTAACAGGTGAAGGGGGTATATCTCAGGGGGCAGAGCATTTGACTGCAGATCAAGAGGTCCCCGGTTGAAATCCGGGTGCTGGATTTTCTCACTTCCATTTTAAAGTAGATACTGTCAGCCACAGTGTCACCAGAATAGATGAGAAAACTTTCTTTCTTTTTTTTTTTTTTCCCTTGACACAGTACTCCTTTAATCCCACAATACTCTGTGGTAATTTTAAATCAGATACATTGAAAGGATATTAACTTTTACAATATTATTGGACAATTAAAACTATATATGTAAATCCAAGAGACTGGAGGATCTACATATACTGAGTTTCTTATTTAACAATAACTGATGATTTTTATATAATTGAGAATAAATCTGTATCAGATGATGAGACTCATAGAGGATAATAGGTCAATTATTATGGTAATTTTAAAAATCTATTTATTATTATTATACTTTAAGTTTTAGGGTACATGTGCACAATGTGCAGGTTAGTTACATATGTATACATGTGCCATGCTGGTGCGCTGCACCCACTAACTCGTCATCTAGCATTAGGTATATCTCCCAATGCTATCCCTCCCCCCTCCCCCCACCCCACAACAGTCCCCAGAGTGTGATGTTCCCCTTCCTGTGTCCATGTGTTCTCATTGTTCAATTCCCACCTATGAGTGAGAATATGTGGTGTTTGGTTTTTTGTTCTTGCGATAGTTTACTGAGAATGATGATTTCCAATTTCATCCATGTCCCTACAAAGGACATGAACTCATCATTTTTTATGGCTGCATAGTATTCCATGGTGTATATGTGCCACATTTTCTTAATCCAGTCTATCATTGTTGGACATTTGGGTTGGTTCCAAGTCTTTGCTATTGTGAATAATGCCGCAATAAACATACGTGGGCATGTGTCTTTATAGCAGCATGATTTATAGTCCTTTGGGCATATACCCAGTAATGGGATGGCTGGGTCAAATGGTATTTCGAGTTCTAGATCCCTGAGGAATCGCCACACTGACTTCCACAATGGTTGAACTAGTTTACAGTCCCACCAACAGTGTAAAAGTGTTCCTATTTCTCCACATCCTCTCCAGCACCTGTTGTTTCCTGACTTTTTAATGATTGCCATTCTAACTGGTGTGAGATGATATCTCATGTGGTTTTGATTTGCATTTCTCTGATGGCCAGTGATGATGAGCATTTTTTCATGTGTCTTTTGGCTGCATAAATGTCTTCTTTTGAGAAGTGTCGGTTCATATCCTTTGCCCACTTTTTGATGGGGTTGTTTGTTTTTTTCTTGTAAATTTGTTTGAGTTCATTGTAGATTCTGGATATTAGCCCTTTGTCAGATGAGTAGGTTGCGAAAATTTTCTCCCATTTTGTAGGTTGCCTGTTCACTCTGATGGTAGTTTCTTTTGCTGTGCAGAAGCTCTTTAGTTTAATTAGATCCCATTTGTCAATTTTGGCTTTTGTTGCCATTGCTTTTGGTGTTTTAGACATGAAGTCCTTGCCCATGCCTATATCCTGAATGGCAATGCCTAGGTTTTCTTCTAGGGTTTTTATGGTTTTAGGTCTAACGTTTAAGTCTTTAATCCATCTTGAATTGATTTTTGTATAAGGTGTAAGGAAGGGTTCCAGTTTCAGCTTTCTCCATATGGCTAGCCAGTTTTCCCAGCACCATTGATTAAATAGGGAATCCTTTCCCCAATGCTTGTTTTTGTCAGGTTTGTCAAAGATCAGATAGTTGTAGATATGCGGCGTTATTTCTGAGGGCTCTGTTCTGTTCCATTGATCTATATCTCTGTTTTGGGACCAGTACCATGCTTCTTTGGTTACTGTAGCCTTGTAGTATAGTTTGAAGTCAGGTAGCATGATGCCTCCAGCTTTGTTCTTTTGGCTTAGGATTGACTTGGCAATGTGGGCTCTTTTTTGGTTCCATATGAACTTGAAAGTAGTTTTTTCCAATTCTGTGAAGAAAGTCATTGGTAGCTTGATGGGGATGGCATTGAATCTGTAAATTACCTTGGGCAGTATGGCCATTGTGGTATTCTTTCTGAGGCCTCTGTTCTTTTCCATTGGTTTATATCTCTGTTTTGGAACCAGTACCATGCTGTTTTGGTTACTGTAGCCTTGTAGTGTATTTTGAAGTCAGGTAGTGTGATGCCTACAGCTTTGTTCTTTTTGCTTAGGATTGTCTTGGCAACGCGGGTTCTGTTTTGGTTCCACATGAACTTTAAAGTAGTTTTTTCCAATTCTGTGAAGCAAGTCATTGGTAGCTTGATGGGGATGGCATTGAATCTATAAATTACCTTGGGCAGTATGGCCATTTTCACAATATTGATTCTTCCTATCCGTGAGCGTGGGATGTTCTTCCATTTGTTTGTATCCTCTTTTATTTCATTGAGCAGTGGTTTGTAGTTCTCCTTGAAGAAGTCCTTCACATCCCTTGTAAGTTGGATTCTTAGGCATTTTATTCTCTTGGTAGCAATTGTGAATGGGAATTCACTTGTGATTTGGCTCTCTGTTTGTCTGTTATTTGTATATAGGAATGCTTGTGATTTTTTCACATTGATTTTGTATCCTGAGACTTTGCTGAAGTTGCTTATCAGCTTAAGGAGATTTTGGGCTGAGACGATGGGGTTTTCTAAATATACAATCATGTCATCTGCAAACAGGGACAATTTGACTTCCTCTTTTCCTAATTAAATACCTTTTATTTCTTTGTCTTGCCTGATTGCCCTGGCCAGAACTTCCAACCCTATGTTGAATACGAGTGGTGAGAGAGGGCATCCTTGTCTTGTGCCGATTTTCCAAGGAAATGCTTCCGGTTGTTGCCCATTCGGTATGATATTGGCTGTGGGTTTGTCATAAATAGCTCTTAGTATTTTGTGATATGTTCCATCAATACCTAGTTTATTGAGAGTTTTTAGCATGAAATACTGTTGAATTTTGTCGAAGGCCTTTTCTGCATCTATTAAGATAATCATGTGGTTTTTATCATTGGTTCTGTTTATGTGATGGATTATGTTTATTGATTTGCGTATGTTGAATCAGCCTTGCATCCCAGGGGTGAAGCTGACTTGATCATGGTGGGTAAGCTTTTTGATGTGATGCTGGATTCGGTTTGCCAGTATTTTATTGAGAATTTTCACATCAATGTTCTTCAGAGATATTGGTCTAAAATTCTTTTTTTCTGTTGTGTCTCTGCCAGGCTTTGGTATCGGGAAGATGTTGGCCTCATAAAATGAGTTAGGGAGGATTTCCTCTTTGTCTATTGATTGGAATACTTTCAGAAGGAATGGTACCAGCTCCTCTTTGTACCTCTGGTAGAATTTAGCTGTGAATCCGTCTGGTCCTGGACTTTTTTTTGGTTGGTAGGCTGTTAATTATTGCCTCAATTTCAGAGCCTGTGATTGTTCTATTCAGAGATTCAACTTCTTGCTGGTTTAGTCTTGGTTTAGTCTTGTATGTATCCAGGAATTCATCTATTTCTTCTAGATTTTCTAGTTTATTTGCCTAGAGGTGTTTATAGTATCCTCTGATGGTAGTTTGTATTTCTGTGTAATAGGTGGTGATATCCCCTTTATCATTTTTTATTGCATCTATTTGATTCTTCTCTCCTTTCTTCTTTATTAGTCTTGCTAGCAGTCTATCAGTTTTGTTGATCTTTTCAAAAAACCAGCTCTTGGATTCATTGATTTTTTTGAAGGGATTTTTGTGTCTCTATTTCCTTCAGTTCTGCTCTGATCTTAGTTATTTCTTGCCTTCTGCTAGCTTTTTTTTTGTTTGCTCTTCCTTCTCTATTTCTTTTAATTGTGATGTTAGGGTGTCGATTTTAGATCTTTCTTGCTTTCTTCTGTGGGCATTTAGAGCTATAAATTTCCCTCTACACACTGCTTTAAATATGTCCCAGAGATTCTGGTACATTGTGTCTTTGTTCTCATTGGTTTCAAAGAACATCTTTATTTCAGCCTTCATTTCGATATTTACCCAGTAGTCATTCAGGAATAAGTTGTTCATTTTCCATGTAGTAGTGTGTGGTTTTGATGACTCTCTTAATCCTGAGTTGTAATTTGATTGCACTGTGGTCTGAGAGACAGTTTGTTGTGATTTATGTTCTTTTACATTTGCTGAGGAGTGCTTTACTTCCAATTATGTGGTCAGTTTTAGAATAAGTGCGATATGGTGCTGAGAAGAATGTATGTTCTGTTGACTTGGGGTGGAGAGTTCTGTAGATATCTCTTAGGTCAGCTTGGTGCAGAGCTGAGTTCAAGTCCTAGATATCTTTGTTAACCTTCTGTCTTGTTGATCTGTCTAATATTGACAGTGGGGTGTTAAAGTCTCCCATTATTATTGTGTGGGAGTCTAAGTCTCTTTGTAGGTCTCTAAGGACTTGCTTTATGAATCTGGGTGCTCCTGTATTGGGTGTATATATATTTAGGATAGTTAGCTTTTCTTGTTGAATTGATCCCTTTACCATTATGTAATGGCCTTCTTTGTCTCTTTGGATCTTTATTGGTTTATAGTCTGTTTTTATCAGAGACTAGGATTGCAACCCCTGCTTTTTTTTGCTTTCCATTTGCTTGGTAGATCTTCCTCCATCCCTTTATTTTTAGCCTATGTGCGTCATTGCACGTGAGATGGGTCTCCTGAATACAGCCCAGTGATGGGTCTTGACTCTTTATCCAATTTGCCAGTCCGCGTCTTTTAATTGGGGCATTTAGTCCATTTACATTTAAGGTTAATATTGTTATGTGTGAATTTGATCCTGTCATTATGATGTTCCCTGGTTATTTTGCCCTTTAATTGATGCAGTTTCTTCATAGCATTGATGGTCTTTACAATTTGGCATGTTTTTGCAGTGGCTTGTACCGGTTGTTTCTTTCCGTGTTTAGTGCTTCCTTCAGGAGCTCTTGTAAGGCAGGCCTGGTGGTGACAGAATCTCTCAGCATTTGCTTGTGTGTAAAGGATTTTATTTCTCCTTTATTTATGAAGCTTAGTTTGGCTGGATATGAAATTCTGGGTTGAAAATTCTTTCTTTAAGAATGTTGAATATTGGCCCCCACTGTCTTCTGGGTTGTAGGGTTTCTGCCGAGAGGTCCGCTGTTAGTCTGATGGGCTTCCTTTTGTGGGTAACTCGACCTTTCTCTCTGGCTGCCTTTAACATTTTTTCCTTCATTTCAACCTTAGTGAATCTGACAATTGTGTGTCTTGGGGTTGCTCTTCTTGAGGAGTATCTTTATGGTGTTCTCTGTATTTCCTGAATTTGAATGTTGGCCTGCCTTGCTAGGTTGGGGAATTTTTCCTGGATAATATCCTGAAGACTGTTTTCCAACTTGGGTCCATTCTCCCCATCACTTTCAGGTACACCAATCAAATGTAGATTTGGTCTTTTCACACAGTCACATATTTCTTGGAGGCTTTGTTTGTTTCTTTTTACTCTTTTTTCTCTAACCCTGTCTCCTTGCTTTGTTTCATTGATTTGATCTTCAATCACTGATACCCTTTCTTCTAGTTGATCAAATCGGCTGTTGACGCTTGTGCATGCGTTGCGTAGTTCTCATGCCATGGTTTTCATCTCCATGACATCATTTAAGGTCTTCTCTACACTGTTTGTTCTAGTTAGCCATTCATCTAACATTTTTTCAAGGTTTTTAGCTTCCTTGCGATGTGTTCAAACATGCTCCTTTAGCTCGGAAAAGTTTGTTATTACTGACCTTCTGAAGCCTACTTCTGTCAACTTGTCAAAGTCGTTCTCTGTACAGCTTTATTCCATTGCTGGCAAGGAGCTGCAATGTTTTGGAGGAGAAGAGGCACTCTGATTTTTGGAATTTTCAGCTTTTCTGCTCTGGTTTCTCCCCATCTTTGTGATTTTATCCACCTTTGGTCTTTGATGTTGGTGACCTGCAGATGAGGTTTTGGTGTAGATGTCCTTTTTGTTGGTGTTGATGCTATTCCTTTCTGTTTGTTAGTTTTCCTTCTAACAGTCAGGTCCCTCAGCTGCAGGTCTGTTGGAGTTTGCTGGAGGTCCACTCCAGACTCTGTTTGCCTGGGTATCACCAGCGGAGGCTGCAGAACAGCAAATATTGCAGAACCTGCCTGATCCTTCCTCTGGAAGCTTCGTCCCAGAGGGGCACCCGCTTATATGAGGTGTCTGTCGGCCCCTATTGGTAGGTGTCTCCCAGTTTGGCTACACGGGTTCAGGGACCCAATTGAGGAGGCAGTCCATCCATTCTCAGAGCTCAAACGCTGTGTTGGGAGAACCACTGCTCTCTTCAGAGCCGTCAGACAGGGACGTTTAAATCTGCAGAAGTTGTCTGCTGCCTTTTGTCCAGCTAAGGCCTGTGTACGGAGGTGGAGTCTAGCGGCTGCAGGGTGTGCTGAGCTGCAGTGGGCTCCGCCCAGTTCGAGCTTCCTGGCAGCTTTGTTTACCTACTGAAGCCTCAGCGATGGGGGACGCCCCTCCCCCAGCCAGGCTGCCGCCTCGTGGTTCAATCTCAGACTGCTGCGCTAGCAGTGAGCAAGGCTCCGTGGGTGTGGGAACCACCGAGCCAGGCACAGGAGAGAATCTCCTTGTCTGCCGGTTGTTAAGACCTTGAGCAAAGCGCAGTTTTTGGGTGGGAGTGTTACGTTTTTCCAGGTACAGTCTGTCACGGCTTCCCTTGGCTAGGAAAGGGAAATCCCTGACCCCTTGCACTTCCCGGTTGAGTCAATGCCCCACCCTGCTTCAGCTTGCCTTCCGTGGGCTGCACCCAATGTCCAACCAGTCCCAATGAGATGAACCAGGTACCTCAGTTGGAAATGCAGATATCACCCGTCTTCTGCGTCCGTCACTCTGGGAGCTGCAGACTGAAGCTGTTCCTATTTGGCCATCTTGGAAGGGATCTAGGCTTTAAGGCTGAGAAGTCCAAGGTCAAGGGTTCACATCTGATGAGAGCCTTTTTGCTGGTGAGGACTTTACACTCCCAGGGCAGTGCAGAGCCTCATATGCCAAGGGGGCTCCGCCCATGTAATGTTTGTATTTTTTGTAGAGGCAGGTTCTTGCCATGTTGCCCAGGCTGGTCTTGAACTCTTGGGTTCAAGTGATCTGCCTGCCTTGGCTTCCCAAAGTGCTGGGATTACAAGTGTGAACTACCGTGCCTGGCCTATATTCGTTTATATCCTTTTATAATTCTGATCTACTTGTGTTTTAGACCATTGGTACTCAACCTGTGATCTTCAGATCAGTGCTGGTCTGCAAACTGATTTTACTGGTCTGTGAAGAAGTAAAAACAAATTCAGAGAAAGCATTTAGAAACTTTTATATCTAATTGACATTACCTAATAAGCATATAATTTTTAAAAAAATTAATTTTCATTGCATTTTACAAAAGTTTTTCTCTCCAATGGATTGGCAATTTAAAAAACGGTCTCCTGTATCACAGGTAGATTTAGAAGTATTTTGTTTAGACCTCTTTTATTCTATTCTTTGTATCTCTTGACTGCTCTTACATAGTTTTTTTCTGTGTCTTTGAATTGCATTTTAGATGGATTTTTAAGAATTAATTCACTAATTCTTTCTCTATTCAACTCTTGCACTTTTACACTGAATTAAAAATTTTAGGCTGGGTGTGGTGACTCATACCTGTAATCCCAGCACTTTGGGAGGCTGAGGCGGGTGGATCACCTGAGATTAGGAGTTTGGGAGCATCCTGGCCAACATGGCGAAATCCCGTCTCTACTAAAAATACAAAAATTAGCTGGGCATGGTGGCAGATGCTTGTAAACCCACCGTCTTGGGAGGCTGAGGCAGGAGGCCATTTGAACCTGAGAGGTGGAGGCTGCAGTGATCCGAGATTGCTCCACTGCACTTCAGCCTGCGTGACAGAACGAGGCCTCATCTCAAAAAAAAGAAAAAAAGTACTTATGTTTTTTATTTCTTGAAGTTTTATGTTTTATATAGATATTATTGCTTAAAACATTCTTACTGTATGCTCTTTCCAACAGTGGAATAATCTGTATGTTAATTTTGCCATGTCTTTTTTGTGATGGCTCTCTTTTGTTGTGTGTGGAATCCTTGAATTTTTTTTTTTTGTTTCTACTTCGGTAGTATATCTTGGAAAGGTGTTGGATTGATTAAGGCTTGGGTTGAAGTCATTTTCTTTTTTTCTTTCTTTTTTTTTTTTTTGTTGAGACGGAGTCTCACTCTGTTGCCAGGCTGCCTGGCTGGAGTGCAGTGGCTCGATCTCGGCTCACTGCAACCTCCGCCTCACGGGTTCAAGTGATTCTCCTGCCTCAGGCTCCTGAATAGCTGGGACTACAGGCATGCGCCACCATGCCCAACTAATTTTTGTATTTTTAGTAGAGGCGAGGTTTCACCATGTTGGCCAGGATGGTCTCCATCTCTTGACCTCATGATCCACCCGCTTTGGCCTCCCAAAGTGCTGGGATTACAAGTATGAGCCACGGCGCCCGGCCTGAAGTCATTTTCTTTCGTGGAGCATTTGCCTGTGCTTTCTCCAGTTGCCTGCCTAGCAGATTAAGAATGCTTTAAATATGGAATTTATTGGATCTCCTATGAAATTTATTGGATCATACAAGTAGTGTGAATTTAGTGTGAGAACCTTTGTGAAGGCCACTTTGTGGTTACAGTTGCAGGAGAATTGATAAAACATTCTAGAAGTGACAAAATTATAGAGATGGAATACAGATTAATGGTTGCCAGGAATTAGGAATGGTGGGAGTGCCAGGGATCGGGGGTCGGTGTGACTATAAAGGTGTTACAGGAGGGAGATCTTTGTGGTTCCTCATTGCTGTTAACATGAGGATGTACCCCTTGAGAGCACCAACTTTATATAGGTGTTTTCTTGTGATAGACTCCTTAAAATCTTGTTTCCTAAGCCTTGTGCAGCCATCAAAATGTAAGCTCAGTTTTACCAACGTTAGAATGAGAGCTGGTTTCTTCTGTTGGCTTACTGTTTTGTAAGGTTTCTCCTTTATTTATAGCTTATATGTATACTGTACTTTCTTGCTAACTAAACCCTTAAACAGATTTTTTTTCCTCTGTTTTAAAGTTAGATTTGAATAGTCTCAAGATATCTAGCTTTACGTACTGCTGGAAAGCAGTGTCCCTGTCTATCTACAATTTAGTCTTATAAAGCAGCAGTCCCCCCTTTTTGGCACCAGGGACCAGTTTTGTGGAAGACAGTTTTTCCATGGATGGGGGTGGAGATATGGTTTTCGGATGAAACTGTTCCACCTTAGATCACCAGGCATTAGATTCTCATAAGGAGCACGCAACCTAGATCGCTCACATGTACAGTTCACAAAAGGGTTAGCAGTCTTATGAGAATCTAATGCCACTGCTGTTCTGACAGGAGGCAGAGCTCAGGTGGTAATGTGAGCAATGGGGAGCAGCTGTAAATACAGATGAAGCTTTGCTTGCTTGTCTGTGGCCCCAGGGGTTGGAGAACCCTGTTATAAAATATGGCTATTTTTAGGCCGGGCGCGGTGGCTCACGCCTGTAATCCCAGCACTTTGGGAGGCCGAGGCGGGCGGATCACGAGGTCAGGAGATCGAGACCATCCCGGCTAAAACGGTGAAACCCCGTCTCTACTAAAAATACAAAAAATTAGCCGGGCGTAGTGGCGGGCGCCTGTAGTCCCAGCTACTTGGGAGGCTGAGGCGGGAGAATGGCGTGAACCCGGGAGGCAGAGCTTGCAGTGAGCCGAGATCCCGCCACTGCACTCCAGCCTGGGCGACAGAGCGAGACTCCGTCTCAAAAAAAAAAAAAAAAAAAAAAAAAAAAAATATGGCTATTTTTATGCTTCAGTTCTCTTATATTCTTATTATAATGGTTATTTTTCCATATTTCTTTGGTTTGTCATTCTTGTATAGGCCATCACAATCTACTCCTTGTTATGTTTTCTAGTCTTGTTTCCCACTGTTTTTTTGTTGGCCATGTTATGACTTATTAAAGCATCATGTATTATAGCAACAATTCTTTTATTCATATCCTTTTATACTGATTAAATGCTATCTCTTCTTTTTCGCTCATACTGGTCCTTCTAGCACTGTTGACGTTTTGGGCTGAATAACTGATTTTTTGGGGGGGAGGGGTCCTATCCTGTTTGTTGTATGTTTAGGTATGTTTAGGGATGATAGGTTTAGGTATGTTCAGCTGCATCCCTGGCCACTACTCACCAGATGCAAGTTATATTTCTCATTTGGAACAACCTAAAGTTTTTCTAGACATTGCCAAATGTCCCCTGGGGGCAGTGTCTTCCATAGTTGACAACTACTATTGTATTCCTGTATGATTTTGATCTGAGACACAGAGGCATTTCTGATTATCCCTGCCTGATGTGACTTTTTACCTGCTGGATTTTCTGTAGTATACATTGTCTGAATTATACATTTATCTTTTATTACATTTTGTTATGAATTCCCCTCCCTCCCTTTTTTCTCTTTTTCTTTTCTTTTTTTTTTTTTTTTTTGAGACAGGGTCTCACTCTGTCGCCCAGGCAGGGCCCACTGCAGCCTTGACCTTCCCAACTCAAGCGATCCTCCAGCTTCAGCCTCCTGGCTAGCTGGGGCCATAGGCACACAGCACCATGCCTAGCTAATTTTTTGTATTTTTAGAATAGACGGGGTTTCGCCATGTTGTCCACTGATCTCAAATTCCTGGACTGAAGCAATCTGCCCACTTTGGCCTCCCAAAGTGCTGGGATTACAGTCGTGAGCCATTGTGCCCGGACTTTGTTGTGAGTGTCTAACGCATTTTCTAGAGGACTGGGTCCATCTATTTCACTTTTTTGTTTGTTTGCTATTTTGGCCAACTCCATGCACTTGTTAGTAGCTTTGAATGTCTTTTCCTTTGTTTTTCCATTTCTTTTATGGTGATAATGGGGATTTTGGAAAGTAAATCACTCTAGAAAATATGGAAAATTTTGAAGCATTCTAAATTATGAGACTCTATTAATGGTAATTATGGAGTTTCAGCCAATGGAATTAATGCCAATATAACAATTCTCTGTGTACCCAGTAGTAACTCTGGAAAATTCGGGACAATTCAAGATAGTTTTAAAAATATAAGAAAGATATAATTTATGTTAGATGTGTTCATTATACAAGTAACCAGAAAAATGTACAGTAGGGTAGAAATTTTAAAAATAGGCTGAGAAATATAGAAAGTGGAAGGATTTGTAGAAGCATGAAGGACAAATGATTAGTTCCACAGAATGAGATGAGCAAAGTAATCAATATGTCGGGGTACATTGTTAGGAATGATGGATGTAGCATCTGGTTAGGAGTGACTTGTGCAAAGCTGACAAACGTGATATGTGAATGCTAGTAAGTTGAATACAAGTTGGGCACAGAGAAGTTGGCTTCTTAGTACTGCCTAAAGAGAAACATCTATGTTTTGCCCCGGTTGGTAAAGATACAGCTCAGATGTAGATGCTCCATGCCATTGTTTAAATCAGTGAATTCTAGGTAATAAAATAAATTGAAGCCTGAACCTAACCACTTTTCTAAGGTGGCTGATTGCTTCTTCATCTGTGCCAACATTTTTATGAAAAATAATCAATACACATAGTATGTATTCATTGTAGAAAAACTAGAAATTAATGAAATGTATGGATAAAGTAAAATTTAGTTACAATTCCTCAAAGGAGAGCTAAACCACTAGTATCAGTTTAGTTTTTATTTTCTTAAGTTTTATATGGTCTCAGTCTCTCTAGATATAGCTATATGATGGGCCTATATGTATGTGTATATATATACTAGTATATGTATTTGTATATATGTATATTGATATGAAATGGGTTATTGTATATGAAATAGTTTATATTTTTTTATTTAATACTGTGAACAGTTCTCCATATCAGTAAAATTCTTCAAAGTGATATTTAGTGAAATCATAGCATTCGATTCTAAGATTATCCCTAAATTTAACCATTCTTCTATTGTTAAATATCTTTTCCTTCATTTTCATTAATTTGCAGTGAACTTCTCTAATGAAAATCTTTCAGTACCTCTTTCATTTTCTTTGAAGAGTTGTAACTTTTACTGCAGTCTGCCTATTTTAATTCACCTCA
Organism: Homo sapiens; assembly: GCF_000001405.40. NCBI lineage: Eukaryota > Metazoa > Chordata > Mammalia > Primates > Hominidae > Homo > Homo sapiens. The sequence continues at coordinate 17,687,916 of NC_000003.12, read as the reverse complement.
CAAAATTTATTCTGTCTTCCTTAGTTACAAAAGAATCCCAGTTTTATAGCTGAGTATATTGACAGTGTTACAGACTACATTGCCTGGCCTTCCAAGTGGTTAAGTGTGACCAAAGGGCTAAGTTTATGGTTTATAAGATATAAGGTGGAATATTGTGTGAGATAAGAGAATAGGGAGGGCTTTTCTTCTCCTTTCAGACTTCTTCCTGCTGCCTGCAATGTAGGTAGATTAGCTGCAATTCTCATAGCCTTCTTGGAATATGAGGTGACTTTGAATAGAAACTGTACGGTAGAGCAAAAAGGTGGAAGGAACTTGGGCCCCTTATAGTTGGAGCTGCCATATCAGCCTGTGATTTTCTTCTTCTGGACATTTACATGGGAGAAATAAATTTGTCTCCTCCCTCCTTTTTTCCCCCTCTCCTTGTTATTATTTGATTATTATTTTTATTGATTTGGGAGGGATGTGACCTAATCCTAGCTGACAAAGTATACTATTATTTAAAGCCTCTATATGATAATATAACAGGTCAAATATAAGGAAACATACATTTTTGTCATTCCTTGGTTTCTTAAAGTGTTGGGATTACAGGTGTGAGCCACCATGTCTGGCTAAATTTAGCTTTTAATGCTCTCATATTAACTTGTTGAAAACATTTTGATATATGAAATTTTTAGAAAACATTTTTTATGACTGTAGACTTACTGTTTAATATTGATTCTAAGAAAGGTAATCATAACTTTAGTCATATAAGTGAAGAATACATATTTGAAAAAATAAGATAGTTTTTGAGCAGTTTTAGCTTTAGAGAAAAATGGAGCAGAAAGTACAAAGGGTTCCCATATACCCGGTCTCCCAAGGATACACTTTTTTTATCCAGGATATTTCACTATACATATTATACATAGAAAAAAGACTCTACATCTATTAACCAAATATATATTATTTTGTAATAGGAAAACCATACATGTTACTTTAATTCAGGGTTTCCTACCCTCATCACTACTAACATTTTAGGCTAGATAATTCCTTGTTGTAGGAGCCATCCTGTGCATTGTAGGATGTTTAGCAGCATCCCTGACCTCTACCCACTAGATGTCAGTAATTCTCCCTAGTTGTGACACACAAAATGCCTCCACGCATTGCCAAATGTCCCTTAAGAAACAAAGTCACCCTTAGTTGAGAACCCATGCTTTAACAATATAGGTGTTTTAGAATTTTCTAAATTTTTCAGGTTTGGCCTAAATTTAAGGGCTCTATAGCTTAATGAATCTTCCCACTGAAGATTGTGTAGGCAAAATGTGGATCTTTCCTGCCACTTGGGCACTGTAGGCAGTATACATAATTTTACTGGGCCTCAGTTTCCTTCACTGAAAAATAGGTAAAATGTTACCTAACTTGAAAGATTGTTGTGAGAATTCACTAAGATAAATTATATAAAACACTTTAATTAATTAGTAAATTAGGTTAATTTCCTTCTCTTCAAGCGTACTATATTGTTTTAATGTAGTCCCTTCAGTGTGTCAAAAACCTATCACAAAGTTATTATTTCTATGGGAACAGCTATCATAACTTGGGATCTACTATTTAAGGATATAAAGAATGCTATACTATGGGTAGATAAAACCTTTGTTAAATGAAGGCTGATTTATGAGGTCAGTTGTGTTTTGACCCTTTATGGTACCCTAATTAGATTGTGACTACATTCAGATTGTAACAGTTAAGGGATCTCATCGTGTTCTTTCAAGGACTTTGAGCTTCCCAGATTGAAGATAGCATTAGATGTCAGCCAATCACTTTGTCCTTTGAAGTTTTTGTCTTTCACGTCTGAAATCCCGCCAATTGTAACAGCTTGTGTGTCAGCCCCAATAGAGAAAGTTGGATACTGTCAAGTTGAAGTTAGTCCACTGAAGACTTCTAAAAATCTTGACATAGTTTATGACTAATAATGTCGACTTCCCATTATTTTTAGAATTGTAAAACATTGTCCACTAGTGAATGAAATGCCATCTGTAATAATTAAGGCTCTTCTTATTATTCTCCTGCAGAAAATTTCTAAAGATTTGGTGAAGATAGGAAAACTGTCAGAAAGGCTGTAGCATTATTATATTGTAGGTATTTCTTTGAAAAAGAAGTGTAAGTTAAGAATGTCTTGAGTGTCCAGTTGTTTGAGGGAAAATATGTTAGAGAAAGATATATATAATATCAAGGCAGTTGTATTATAATTATATTAATGATGTATGAGAACTAATCCTATGCAGTCTTTTAAACATTGAAAATGTGTTCATATGTATTGAGATGAGGATTTTACCAATAGTATTGAAAAATATTTCTAATTCTAACAAGGATTGATCTAACTTATGTACATTTGCTTATTTAAATTATCAAAATCCGGAAAATCATTGTAGCTTTGTAGGTTGTGATATGTTTGGGTGACTTATTATTTAGGTTATTTTGCAGAATTATTTATTTGCTGTTTTATTTATGTATTTCATTATTTATTTATTTGATTATTTAGTAAATTATTTATCTGATGAATTATTAATACATCTTCACGACATCCTTTAAATTATTTATAAGTTAATTTTGAGTTTATTGCTTTTAGACGCTGCATTGTTACTGACTAGTTTTGATTTTTTTCTTTGTGGTTCTTGAAAATTAAAGTATCAGCTCTAAGGCAAAAGTATAGTCATTGCAATGCTCATGGATTTTTTTTAAATTTATGGCAGAGATAAAATTTCAGCTTTTTTTAGCTTTAAATTTACCTATTTAGAGTTACCAGTGGTAGAATGTTTGTGTATTATGTGCATACTCATTTTAGAGTCACTTACAAATTAATGATATAGCCTATCATTTATAAACAGTGATTGAACATGTAAACCTCAGTCTGCATTACCCTTTGTGTCTTTAAAGAACAGATCTGCATTTTTTACTTGTTTTAAAATGAATAAGTCTTGGTTATTTTATTTTAATGGCAAATCTGTTCTACTACTGGAATGTTTTTAGGACAGTTCAGAGAAATGAAGTCCAACTCAGATTTGGATTCTTGACGAATAAATTTGACTGCTGTAATCTTTGTTTTTTTAAATCCACCTTATATTTGTATTGGGAAAACATCAGGCTGTTTATATAAATCTTTCTATATAAATTGTGTATGTCAGTCATAATGACATATTTCTTATGGAAATTTTTATATTTAATGAATGAAAATGGACAAAGAGCTTTATAAATGCAAGCTGTAGTTTCTTTGACTTAGTTAATAATTCTCTTGTGTGAAGTTTCTATTTTTAATCAAATTTAAGATCATTTCTGATTCTATTTCGTAACATAGAGCAGTTATTAGGGCTCTCTTATTGAAAGGGTTTAATGAATAGGTTAAAGTAGTCATTCGGGTGAGTGCCATATGCACAACATGGTCTTTATTTTGTGTTTGCTTGCAGTGAATTAGTATGTACTTTACAGTTTTCACACTTCAGAGAGAAACTGCATTGTACATTTCAAGTTGAGATGCTACTGAAATATAGTGAAAATGGCCTCTGTAGACAGGTTTCACTATAAAATTGTAAATTATGCATACATATATCCAAATTTCTTATTTTGAAATATTGAATATATGAATATTTAATTGGAATGTTCCTTTAGTATCTTCATATGCTTGCCTTAAAGGAAGTGTTTTCCTTTGATTTATATACATGGATTTAGAAATGTGTGTGTCATACATATCTGTGTCTTTTCTGGAGATGAACAACCACAGATACTATTAGATATGGCATTTTCTTTTTAAATGTGCTTCAGTAATGCCAATGTGGTCTTCTTTTGAAAAAAAAAGAAAGAAAGAAAAAAAAGCTTCCTTCTCCAGTATTGAATAATCTACCCAGCCCCTATTATTAACATATATTTGGGGAGTGCTAGCTGTGTCATCTAAGTGATCTTTCCTTGGAAGATACACAGATATGTGCACAGACACACATGCACATGTGAAATTTTCTTATGACATCAAAATAACTTTTTAGGACTTGTTTTTGAAAAGAGACATTAATGTAGACTTTTATAATAATACTTAGCATTGTTGATTTCTTATGTGCAGATACAGAGCTCATATCTTTTACATGGATTATTCGTTGATCTTCACAGTGATATAACTACTGTTCATTTTCGAGTTGAAGAAATAGAGACTTAGAGATGTTAAGTAGCTTGCTGATTGCCACACAGCTGAAAGTGGTGGGGCTCGCATTAGGACTCATTTACTCTGACTCAAAGGCCTTTCTGTGTAGCCCATTACAGTTTTGTACACATAGATAGTACTCCGTAGTTTTTAACCAAAGTTGTTTTACTTTTTTTAGAGAGTACTGGTATTTTCCTCTAAATATTTAACTTGCAAAGTATATTCGTTTTGTATAACATTTAGTCATCTTTCTTAAACAGCAGACAAGTACTTGAGCCTCTTGAATTTTCTGATTTAATTCTTCTTATAATACTGTATTGTTGAGGAAAAATTACATACAAAAGAAGAATTTGTGCTTTGGGGATAGTGTTTGCCTCGTGGATGTGCAACACTCCTATCAGGTCTTTTGACTCTTAAGCCCAAGGCCATTTCCAGGGCTCTATTAGGTAAAATTTAATTTCCTTAAAAAAAATAATGTTATCAGGGTCACACATGTACATATTGTTAAAAGAATGATTAAGTGCTTGTTGCCTGAGCTTTTATAGAAATGACCACAAACACTATTAATCCCAAATATAGTCTTTAATACACAGTTAAGCATTTTAACATGTGCATAAAAAGGACAAGAAAGCAATCAATTATAATTCTAAACTTTTAGATGTAATTATTTAAAATATTCTGGGGAACCTTAAAAAGTAAGGAAAGATGTTCTGAATTAGTATGAGACTAAGAGGAAAAGATCTTTCCAACCTGTTTTCTACTTTAAGACAGAGGGAAGCCTCCATCCTGGGTCTTAAATATTCAGAGCACCTCTGAGAACAGATGAATTAGACGGCAACGGAGTTTGGGTGATATTGGTATGAATGCCATAAGTAACTGACTGCATCTATGTGACCGGTAGGGTACTATATGAATCACTAAAAGTTTTTAAGTTAGAAAGACTTTTCAAGTAAATAATGTTACAACATAAAATCCTAGGAACACGATTTATTAATAGGAAATATTTTAATAACTAGGTTAATGACATAATTTATCTTATAATCCAGGAGAGTTTTGAGAATGAAAGAGTATACTGTAATATGTAACGACAACAGGTATGAACTGGGACCTTCCTGGTCAAATGGGGACCTGTGGTGGTACCTGAACTTCCATTGAGTAATTTCTAATAGTCTTGTAAAGTGTATGTTTAACAGGAGTCTTAATTCATGTGTAATATCTTTAAGAATGTTTTCTTTATGATTAAACTAAGTTCTCTTGTGACAAGTATTTATGTTAGCCAACATAGGCATTTTGTAATTGACTTTAGTAAATGATAACTCTGATGTTTTATGGCTTTTGGAACCTATTTTCAAGGTGACAGTAAAAGATGATTACTTTTGGGAGCAGAACGATAGGTATGGCAAAGTTGATCATACTTTAATGGATAGTTCTAAAGTTTTTCTTCATATAAAGCATTACAGGTTTTTTTCAAAAATTTTATTTTATTTTATTTTTCTAGAGATGGGGTCTTGAACTCCTGGGCTCAAGCAGTCCTCCTGTCTTGGCCTCCCAAAATGCTGGGATTACAGCAGTGAGCCATCACACCTGCCCTGTTAAAGAAATTTTTGTGCTTCGTTTGCCTTGTAAATCTTCTAATTCAGCAGTTCCCAACCTTTTTGGCACCAGGGATTGGTTTCATGGAAGACAATTTTTATATGGACGGTGGGGGGAAGGGTAGGGATGGTTTCCAGAAGAAACTGTTCCACCTCAGATCATCAAGCATTAGTTAGATTCTCATAAGGTGCAGGCAACCTAGCTCCCTTGCATGCGCAGTTCACGGTAGGGTTTGCATTCGTATGAGAATCTAATGCTGCTGATGATCTTACAGGAGGCAGAGCTCAGGTAAGTCATGCGACTGATGAGGAGCGGCCGTAAATACAGAGGAAGCTTTGCTGGCTGGTCTGCCACTCACTTCTTGCTGTGTGGCCTGGCTTCTAACAGGCCACCTACCTGAACCAATCCATGGCCTGGGGGTTGGAGACCCATGTTCTAATTTGTAGTATGTTTGACATTTTCGTGAAATCTAATCCTGTTTGTTATGCCTTTAGAATTTATAATTTCATGTTGGATGATCCAGTGGTCTTTTCTTTCTTTAAAAGCGTGTTACATGTCACATATGTTGATAAAGTTGGCAGTTTTGCCAAAACATTTCCGAAAACAACTATTTTTCCTTGGTGAAATTCTGTGTGGGAAAATAGAAATCTCTAGATGAGAGTAAGTTAATTTTTTTCTATAGTTTTCTTTTGAATTTCCTCCTGATATGTATTTATCTGACATGGCAAATTACATTATTAAAGTCATAGTTACATTGCACAATTTTAATTTGTAGTTTTTGTGTTTAGAACATACATGACTTGTTAAGTTGAACCAGGTAACCAGAGTGGCGTATTTGTACTTGAATGTGCATTAAACAATTGGAAAAATTCTTGTGCAATAAATCTTATTCATATGTATAATATGAGAACTTTTTCTTTGTTCAGAAATGCCTATTATACCTAACAAAAAAGGAAAGAACTACCCATGTATTCTGCCTCCAGTTAGTTACGGTATGAAGCCCTTCCTGAAATACTTTACTATAGTTCTAAGAGTAATACTATGTCTTATGTGTGGGCTCTCAGAGTAGCTTCTTTATAATTATGACAAGTAAAAGTACAGCCAAAGGTCACGGTAAACACAAGATTTCTTTCATGCCTCATCCATTTTGTGGACAGCATATGAAGTAGTTTGGGTCCCTGCACTGATGTTTTAGTAGAGCAATCAAGGTTGTTCTCATGGAAGTGTTTCAAATCTCTTTCTGCCTACCTCCCATGTGGTTGCAAAATTTGGCATGTATTTGAATTCTGGACTAATTAAATAGATCCTTATTAAATTTAGAGTTTGCAAACAAAAAAGGGGACCCTGTTGTACTTCAGGGATTTCTTAGGCTGTTACATAATAGTGATATATAGGAGCCTTTAATAATACTAAATACCACAGTGACTTGATACAGTGTCTCAGTATTGACCATCTTAGTACTGATATTGTTCATAGAAACAGTAAAAACCAAACAACATAGCAATAACAACAAAAACAATATCACACAAATTATATAAAAGACATGCCTTAGATCCTATATTTGACTTTAGTTTGGCTATCTAAATGAGTATTAAAAAGATCATATATAGGAAAGCCTTTTATTAAAAAGTGAATAGCCAGGCACTGTAGCTCACGTCTGTAGTCCCAGCACTCTGGGAGGCTGAGGCAGGAGGATCACTTGCGCCCAGGAGTTTGAGATCAACCTGAGGAACATAGGGAGATCCTATCTCTACAAATATAAAAATAAAAAAAATCAGCCAGATATGGTGGTGTGTACCTGTGGTCCCATGCTGAGGAGGGAGGATTGCTTGAATCTAGGAGATTGAGGCTGCAATGAGCCGTGATCACCCCAGTGCACTCCAGCCTGGATGACATAGCAAGACCCTGTCTTTAAAAAAAAAAAAAGCGAATATACATATATTCTAGAGTGATTATATCAGATCTCTTTAAGTCATCCTCAGTACAGAGTACCAAAAAATGCATCTAAAGAAAGAACATTTAGATGAGGATAAAATTGATAAATTAAAACTTTTAGTATAACTGATAAAAGTGTTTCCTTCAGACTTTTTTCTATTGTTTCCACACCCTAGCAGGCTTTTTCTTAATGTAAGACTTTTAGACTAAGAGTTTTCAAACAAGGTTGGTGCTGCTCCATAAGGAAGTTTCACATATTGGTTTGGGGTTTTCACTTGTCACGATTGTGAGAGTGTTTTTGGCATTTAATGGATGGGGACCAGATATGCTAGGTATTCTGCAATGCAAGGGTCAGCTAGTCTCAGACTACAGATTGTCCCAAGTACCACAAAACTTTTGAATATCTACTTGACCAAACTCTATTCAAAGATAAATCAGTAATACTTCACTATATAAAAATATTGATAAGTTTTTATAAAATGAAGAATCTGATAATTTAGGAGAAATTTGTGTGGAGGGGAAGCTTAAGTAAAATAAATTGTCTCAATATTAATGTATAATGTACTTCACATATTCTTTCCACTTCCTAATTTATAGTGTTTCTAAGTAGATATTTAGTTGAAAAATTTTCAGTTCAGTAATACAGTTACTGAGAGCTAAACAATTGCAAATACACAGCAGGATTTTAAGACTTCTTTTAACAGCAAAGTTAATTTAAGATTTGTGCATCTCATTAAATTTTATCAATTAACAAGGATTTTTAAAAAATTCATGATTGTCATTTTGAATATTGAAGTTTCATTTTTTAGAATAATAATAATAAATGCGTTAAAATTGTGTATTAAAATTACTTTTATGTTGCCCAGTGTTCAGTATTATTCTGGTCTTGTTTCCAATAATCTATTATAAAACATCTCTGTAACTTCTTGTATTACATTTCTTTACCTGTTCCATTTACCTTCTGTTTTAGGAGGGTGTGGTCTCTGTTGCATTATACAAACTTCATGTATGTATGCCTTGACAGTGTGGCAGGAATTCTGGGATAGATAGTAGTCACACTGTCCCACATTTTAGCAATCTCCTCAGAGATTGGATACCTTTACTTTGTTCATATCCGTGGATCCCAACTCATTGTTTTTTTTTTTTTCTGTAACTTTTTCATTATATGGAAATAGGCCCTAGGAAAGGTTGAAATAACTCTATTTTACTCTCAGACTTGATTAATGGTTTGGATATAGAATTCTAGATTGTAGATAATTTTATTTTAGATATTAAAGGCTTCATTTCACAACATTCAGTGTTACTACTGAGAAATCCATTGCCACTTTTTTTTGTCCACCACTTTTTTTTTCCTGGCTATATATGGCTTGTTCTTAATATTCTAGAAGGCTTTAGGATCATTTCTTTATCTCTGAAATTCTATGATAATATGTCTTAGAATGGGTTTTATTCATTTTTTTAAATGAATCTTCAGAGGACCCTTTTAAGAGCAAATGTCTTTCAGTTTGGGATGTTATCTTGAATTATTTTCTTTTCCTGTTTTTTTTTTTTTTTTTTTTTATCCCTCTTTTTCCCTCAGTTCTCTTAGTTGGAGATTCAGCACCAGTGTAGAAGGGGGATGTGTGAGGTTGAGTCATTGCCTGATTGTGGGCAGAATGATTTGCTTCTTAGTGTCTTTTCTGATGTGTTCTGTTATGAGTAACTTCTTTTGATAAGTTATTCATCTGTTTTCCAAAAATTTGTGATCTTCTTTCTGTTTTTCTCTCCACTTCCACTTTTTTGTCCTTGTGAAATACACCTTAAAAAATTATTAACTGCTATTTTAGTAGGGTTTTGGGAGGGAGAAGAAGCAATTTCATGTGGTTAATCTGTGTTTGGTGAACCAGTTGTTTTGTGTACTCATTTTGCAAGATGCAGCTCTTGAAAACTTTCTGTGATTCTTTAGTTATCTTACTTCACCTCCTACATACCTTATTAGAGCACTTATTGTGCCACATTATAATTACTAGTTTATTGCTTATAATAAGAACAGGAATTGTCTTATTTTTATCAATGTTTTTGTGGAAAGCATATTTCTTTTTTTTAAATTATACTTTTAAGTTCTAGGGTACATGTGCACAACGTGCAGGTTTGTTACATATGTATACATGTGCCATGCTGGTGTGCTGCACCCATTAACTCGTCATTTACATTAGGTATATCTCCTAATGCTATCCCTCCCCCTACCCCACAACAGGCCCCGGTGTGTGGTGTTCCCCTTCCTGTGTCCAAGTGTTCTCATTGTTCAATTCCCACCTATGAGTGAGAACATGCAGTGTTTGGTTTTTTTGACCTTGTGATAGTTTGCTGAGAATGATGGTTTCCAGCTTCATCCATGTCCCTACAAAGGACATGAACTCATCATTTTTTATGGCTGCATTGTATTCCATGGTGTATATGTGCCACATTTTCTTAATTCAGTCTGTCATTGTTGGACATTTGGGTTGGTTCCAAGTCTTTGCTATTGTGAATAGTGCCGCAATAAACATACGTGTGCATGTGTCTTTATAGCAGCATGATTTATAATCCTTTGGGTATATACCCAGTAATGGGATGGCTGGGTCAAATGGCATTTCTAGTTCTGGGTCCTTGAGGAATTGCCACACTGTCTTCCACTTTGGCTGAACTAGTTTACAGTCCCACCAACAGTGTAAAAGTGTTCCTATTTCTCCACATCCTCTCCAGCACCTGTTTCCTGACTTTTTAATGATCACCATTCTAACTGGTGTGAGATGGTATCTCATTGTGGTTTTGCTTTGCATTTCTCTGATGGCCAGTGATGATGAGCATTTTTTCATGTGTCTTTTGGCTGCATAAATGTCTTCTTTTGAGAAATGTCTTTTCACATCCTTCACCCACTTTTTGATGGGGTTGTTTTTTTCTTGTAAATTTGTTTGAGTTCATTGTAGATTCTGGATATTAGCCCTTTGTCAGATGAGTAGATTGCAAAAATTTTTTCCCATTCTATAGGTTGCCTGTTCACTCTGATGGTAGTTTCTTTTGCTGTGCAGAAGCTCTTTAGTTTAATTAGATCCCATTTGTCAGTTTTGGCTTTTGTTGTCATTGCTTTTGGTGTTTTAGACTTGAAGTCCTTGCCCATGCCTATGTCCTGAATGGTATTGCCTAGGTTTTCTTCTAGGGTTTTTATGGATTTAGGTCTAACATTTAAGTCTTTAATCCATCTTGAATTAATTTTTGTATAAGGTGTAAGGAAGGGATCCAGTTTCAGCTTTCTCCATATGGCTAGCCAGTTTTCCCAGCACCATTTATTAAATAGGGAATTGTTTCCCCATTTCTTGTTTGTGTCAGATTTGTCAAAGATCAGATGGTTGTAGATGTGTGGTATTATTTCTGAGGCCTCTGTTCTGTTCCATTGGTCTATATCTCTGTTTTGGTACCAGTACCATGCTGTTTTGGTTATTGTAGCCTTGTAGTATAGTTTGAAGTCAGGTAGCATGATGCCTCCAGCTTTGTGCTTTTTGCTTAGGATTGTCTTGGCAATGCGGGCTCTTTTTTGGTTCCATATGAACTTTAAAGTAGTTTTTTCCAATTCTGTGAAGCAAGTCATTGGTAGCTTGATGGGGATGGCATTGAATCTATAAATTACCTTGGGCAGTATGGCCATTTTCACGATATTGATTCTTCCTATCCAAGAGCATGGAATGTTCTTCCATTTGTTTGTGTCCTCTTTTATTTCGTTGAGCAGTGGTTTGTAGTTCTCCTTGAAGAAGTCCTTCACATCCCTTGCAAGTTGGATTCCTAGGTATTTTATTCTCTTGGTAGCAATTGTGAATGGGAGTTCACTCGTGATTTGGCCCTCTGTTTGTCTGTTATTGGTGTATAGGAATGCTTGTGATTTTTGCACGTTAAGTTTGTATCCTGAGACTTTGCTGACATATTTCTTAGATGAATGAAAACATAAACAAAATGCAGAAATGAGGTAGATAATAGATAACAACAGTACAATTTAGTCAGAAGGATTGAAATTATTTCTTATTTTAATCCTATTTCAATTAATGTTTGATTGAGTTTTAAAAACTTAATGGAGATTTATTTCTTTTAGTAAAATATTAATACTGTTGTCATCCTGGGGTAATCAGAGAAATGTCTTTATATTAAAGCTAAATGACAAAGTAGTCATGAGAGTTTCATTGTAATGGAGAATCTTTCTTGATGCATTTAATTAGGAATTAAGATACAAGATATTGAAAAAAATAGAATGACTAGTGGATAGTTTTACGTGTTAAGGAGAGTATAACAATATCATATAGTAAGGGGCAAATAATACAGAAAAAGTCTTATTTTCTTCCATTAGCATATCATTTCAATCATTCCAAATCGTAAAATAATAAATTCTAAGGAAACGTCTTTTTGTTCTGTGAAAGCATGTCATATCCACAGACAAAAGGAAAACATCTGAAGCACAAGATTTGGTTAAAAAAATCTTTGTCACTCTCTTGATGAAATTTCACCATCATAATTACCTGTTGTCTCTTTTTGGAAGTTTTCCTTTGATCATCATGTTTTGTTTAGTTTTATCGATTTTAACTTTAAAGGTAGGAAATATAATTGCTTTAATTTAAACTGTTTAACTCATGACTCCTCCTTTCATATAAGTTAAAATTAGTGAATCAGCAAATAGGTATTGAGTACATACAAGACCCTGGTTGGTTTGCAGTGAAGTTGAAGAGATACTCACTTTAGGAACGTATCTTTTCTTAAGAAGCTGTATGCATGTAAAGAGTGACAGGTGTAAGGATTAGGAGGATAGGAAATATCTCGAAACTGTATATGATCAGTTACCAATGAATGGCTCAAATGGAGTTTCTACTAGTTCAGCTATCTTTAGTAGAACGTTCACACATTCCTAAGTCATATCTTAGGCATGATGTGTATAAAGACAGAAAGGATTGATACTTGATAAAGTTACTTAACAGTGTTCTGAATTTTATTTTTAATAATCTGTCTTGGTAGCCATAGTCTGAGTTATCTGTAACTCAGACTGTTCATTTTTATGCTTGCGTTTGCTTACTTGTTAGAAACGTTCTTAAAGTTGCATAGAATTACTTTGGGGATATTTATTTTTTACTTTTTGATCCCTATACATACTATGTAATCTTTTCATTAAACCATTCAAATTTTAAAAATTAGAGTTTTTACACCAAAAACATATAGATAGTAAGTTTCTGCTGTATACTAGTATTTTGCTTCATAAAACATGGTTGGGATTCTTTATTCTATGTTCACGTATTTTCATTTAAATTCAACATTCATTTTCAAGAGTAGTTTCAGGATAAAATTAAATATATGCTATATTTTTTCACTCAAATGAACTCATTTTCCCCACCTTGTGACCTTATTTTCTTGAGTGTACCACTTAGACCATCTCTATCACTTCATCTCCCCAACTTCCATCTTTTATTGTTTACTGTACTTTCTATGTTATATTGAATCTTGTATACACAAACAAAGTTTATGAAAAGCTCAAACCCAGTGCAGGAAGGTCCTAGAAAAAAAAGTATAATTATGTTATTGTATGAACTTTAAAAATGTTGTCTAGGAACCTAAAACTGCTTAACAGATGTGATTGCTTCATAGTTTCAAATTTATGCCAATCAGAGTTGATAGGATTTGATCACACTCTAGTAGATTTATGAGATAAATTACAATATTGCATGACATACTTCAGATAGAAAAACATCAATATAAGTTGGATATCATTTCTCATTTAAGATAACAAGGTAGTAATTTTTTTGAAATCAGATGGTTGCTACTTTGAGAGAATATTTATCAGTTTTTATGGAAATTAATATCTCTCATATTTTCTTCATGGTGACAAAAAGTATATTAAACTTTTGTTTTCATGTACAAATTTAATTGTAAATGAGAGGCATCTTGTTTCTATTTCGCAATAGATGACCTGTCAAATTTTCAAAGGCATATAAAGAAATGGAGTTGGACTTAAAAGAAATTTGGCTGCAGGAAAGGTTAACACAAGATGGAAAAACTTGTACTTGTGGTACTGAATTTCTTTACGGTTTCAATTGATATGTCCAAAGTCTTACTAGGATTTTTTTTTTTCAAATATGTAGAAGTTTAACACCTCACATAACAAAGAAAATGGAAAAGAACTTAACTCACTAATGAAGTGACAGGTTCCCCCAGGGAAGTCAGAGTCAAGGAATTGGGAGTCAGGCTCTCAAGCCTGTTTGTTCTCATAGCAAATGAGAGAACTATTTATTTAAAAGCCCCTTGATGAGAGTATCTTTAACTTCATTCAGGAGATCTGCATGGTGGAGTCCTTCAGTTCATTTTTGAAATAAAAGCATGAGATCTCCTGAGAACTTGACTTGAAATTGTTACTAAATCAAGTAACTTGTGAAAAGAGGGTAGAATTTTTAGTGTCTTAGATTTAAATTAAAAGTTTTTAGAATATGAAGACTGGCCAAACCAGTGATTTTAAAGAAGATAGACCTTCACGTTTCAGGTAAGAATATTGTAAAACCTTTTAAATTTTTTAAGAAGAAAATTGTTCATTTTGTGGCTTAGATTTTAAAAATTTTAGAAAGTATAGGCTGGGTGCAGTAACTCATGCTTGTAATCCAAGCACTTTGGGAGGCTGAGGCAGGCAGATTGCTTGAGCCATGCGATCGAGACCAGGCTGGGCAATACGGCGAAACCCTCACTCTGCAAAAAAAAAAATACAAACATTATCTGGGCATGGTGGCACATGCCTGTAGTCTCAGGTACTCGGGAGGCTGAGGTGGGAGGATCAACTGAGCCTGGTTAGGTAGAGGCTGCAGTGAGCCGAGATCATGCCACCGTACTCCAGCCTGAGTGACAGGTGAGACCCTGTCTCAAAAAAAAAAAAAAAAAGAAAAGAAAAGAAAGTACAGAAAATAAGTAGAACAGGCAAACGTGTATTTACCATGCGGAATTAGTATGCCACCACATGTATTTTTAAAGTCTTTCCCTTCCCAGAGATAACTGCCATACCGAAATTGGTTTATATCTTTCCTGTTTTTGTATTATTACTACATTTATGTGTCCATTAACATTAAATGTTCTTAAAGGTTACCTAACTGAAATATTCCATTATTTGTTGTTATTCTATTATTTGCAATTTTTTTCCTTCTTAGCCATCGTTATTCCTCAACGGTTACTTGCTGTGATTTTTTACACCTGGTTGATTCATTTTAACTGTTGTGTAATATTTCATGATAGAACAACATCAAAACCACAATTTGTATACCTGTTTCTCTTTTGACAGACATTAAGGGTCAGGATACTTTGCATAGACTTCTTCCACAGATATTCATGGAGCTCTGTAGGGCTCGGTGTTTTCAGCACACGGACAAGCTGCCATCAATTCTTATAGCATTGTATCCAGGTTCTGGCACTAGGCAGCATCCTTAGGCAATTTGATGCCACTAGAGCAGTATTTTGCTTTCTTTTTTCTTATTGAATTTCCTGTCTTTACAGGCCGATCCACTGTTTCCATTCCTGGCAAAGAAGCCTGCAGACAACACTGTCATGCTTTTCTTTTCAACAGATGTCCTCTGACTCCTCCCAACCTCCTAGTACAAAAAAACATAAAAATCTTTGTATGTTTTGCATCTGTTTGAAAAAGATGCCTTTAAAAAGTAGGTGTTTTCTAGTTTTTATATTTTTGCTTTATTGTAACCTGTGGGAGGCTAGGACCTGTGCTATTTGGAGTTTATTTTGCCACAGCAACGTGTGTGCTGGATCTGTGCATAAATAAGACATGGTTTTGCTTAATATGAACAATATGATTTTGTGCCCAGGTATATAATTCTTTCAGTTAACAGTGAACTCTTGAGTATTGAAAAAAATACATTCTTATTTTGTAAACATTTTGGAATGTTTTTAGACATTTTAAAAAATTGTATAATGTAAGTTGCATTCTTTAGGTTCAAATTTATATTATCATTTTCAGTTCAGCTAATTTAATTTTAAGGTGTTTTATATTTTGCAAAAAATCATGTATTTGGTAGAAGTCATATGTTTAAAAGTATATTTAAACATCTATTACACACTTAAGATTTGGGTTGTGGTGCACTCTCAAACCATTAAAGAGAAAGCTGTCAATTTATGAAATTCTTTGTATGCCCAACAGCTTGAAGCTGGCTTATAGAATGCCGAATGTTAGACTATCAGTTTTATTAACTCTTTCACTTAAAGTATTTCTTCTTGAAATAAAAAAGAAGCTTAAGTGAATTGCTAGGTCTGGATCATTTATTGAATGTCAGTAGTTTCAGAAAGCTGAAAAATGTTTATGCTGTGTAATAAACAGATGCTGCTCTCATAGTGCAATACGTTATGTACCAAAAATGATCTCTGTTTTAATCATAGATGCTGATTTAATGAGACAAGACTAGCTTAACATCAAAAATAGATTTAGGATGTAATTTTTGCTTTTTGTATGTTTTTTCTATATAATTAATAGACATACCTTTTAACATCATTATCACATTTGGGGGAGAATGTTTATTTCTTTGATTTTCACATCTATTTTTGAATTCACAGGAGTTTGTAATTGTCCTGTAAACCCATTCAAAATAGCTATTAAAATGCCTTAAAGAAGATGCCTTGTTTTGTACTTTATTAAGTCTACTTTGCTTGAAATTCATATAGGTCTTAACTTTTCCACCTTTTTTTGATTAAGGATATTGAATATTTTCTACAATTTGTGGGACACTTTGGGGGAGGCCGTCAATCAGTGAATTCACTATTGTGAGATGATGATGCTTGAGGTTTAAAATCTCTGTCACTCAGTGTGCTTAGGTTGCCTTTTTGGTTTGCTGTCCAGAGTCACTGGAGTCTTTTTTCATCTACGAGAGAAGCACTTTGCTAGGCTCTGCTTTCTTGTTCACTTAATTTATTCCACGAGCACCCTCAAACTTGACTGCAGTTGCTGACTTTGAGTCCTTCTGCATCTGTATTGTACATCTTTGATTGACATGTTTGCCTTTACATGTGGTCAGATAATTTTATATTTGGAAAAATATTCTTATTGTGTGTTTTATTTGACTGAACCTAGCAGAGTTAAATGTAGTTTGGATGCATTGGGAAGAATTAATGATTGGAAGATACGGAGTTGGTAAATTATTTATTCTGGCCCTAAGGAAGCTGAAAAGCTGAGTGAAAGACTAATAAATCATTTGTGGTAGTGCTGGTTGTCACTTCCAATTATTTTAGACGGTTTTGTGATAAACTGCAGCACCTGCTAGATATCTGCACACCCTCCCTTGATGCTAGTGGTGCAGCTTGTTTAGTCGATTATCAAAGGCAAGTTTGTGTAAAGTTTATTTAGGTTGGAAAGGAAATTACTCTTTTTGAGTCAATTCTGTTGCTTTTCCTCATTGTTTTGAATGCTATGAAAGGATTTCCCTGACATGGCCAGGAATCTGGAATATGCCTACTACTTTAGCCAGGAAAGACTGTCTTTATCCTTTGTTAAATACTTGAAGAATTGAGCTTCTTTATTATTCCCAGACTAATTAAAAACTACATCAACTGAGATGATTAGTATGCTAAAGATCAAATCATCATTTTGGTACCAATTGATAGAGAACCACTGTTGCTGCTTGACCAGACTTTTTTCTTCATTCTTTGTTTTTAAAGGCTGAGATTTTATAACTACTATCCTAAAAGGTAGTGAGATCCCCCTTTCCACTGTTCCTGAAGTCTGCTGCTGAGGTTCTTGAAGAGGCAGAGAAGAATTGGAAAGAAAGCACAGCCTAGACTGGTCTGGTTCTAGCAATCTTGAAACAGGACTACTCTAAAACTTGTTGGAAAATAAATTACGGACACCATATAATGTGCATGCTTTATGTTTGGAATCAGCTCTTTGGTTTCTGTCAAGAGTTTAATAATAATTTGTGTTCGAGCCCAGAACATTAGGTTTGTTTTTACATGTTCAGAGTGATTTGGTATTCACTGAGTTTTTCAGCTTTAACGTAAAAACATAAGACAGTCTGGCCGGGCGTGGTGGCTCACTCCTGTAATCCCAGCACTTTGGGAGGCCGAGGTGAGCAGATCACCTGAGGTTAGGAGTTCAAGACCAGCCTGGCCAACATAGTGAAAACCCATCTCTACTAAAAATACAAAAAAAATAGCTGGGCATGGCGGCGTGCGCCTGTAATCCCAGCTATTTGGGAGGCTGAGGCAGGAGAATCTCTTGAACCCGGGAGGCGGAGGTTGCAGTGAGCCGAGATCGCGCCATTGCACTCCAGCCTGGGCAACAAGAGGGAAACTCCATCTCAAACAAACAAACAAACAAAAAACATGGGACAGTCGAGAGGACGGTTAAAGATATATACCTTGAATAATCTTGATACGTGGTCTTGTATTCATTGAGTTGCATTTTTACTCACTGACTTGCTTCTCCTCATCAAACATTTATTAAAGGTTATATGTGCCAGCCCCCTGAAACAACAATTACTACTGTAATAACAACTCTTTTTAGAGGTTAGTATGTGCCATGTACCATTTTTAGCATTTTTATATGTATTAACGTATTTTAATATGACAGCCCTATAAGATATTTATTATTCCTATCCTTATTTTACCAAGGAGCCCTATGGAGTGATAAGGCAATAGTGATTTAGTTTTTTTCTTTAGGGTCTACAGAAGGTGGGAAACATTCATGGTAAATCTTAGTTAATTAGGTTTAGGAATTTTAATCCAAGTAGTATAATAATAACTATCATTTATTGAAGATTTAATTTTGTATTTTGTACTATATATATTATTTCACTTTTAACCCCTGAATTATAAATGATTATTATCTTCTTTGTCGTTGTATTAGTCCATTCTCATGCTGCTATAAAGAACTGCCTGAGACTGGGTAATTTATAAGGGAAAGAGGTTTAATTTACTCCTAGTTCCACAGGGCTGGGAAGGCCTCAGGAAACTTACAATCATGGTGGAAGGGGAAGCAAACTCGTCCTTCTTCACATGGTGGCGGGAAGGAGAAGTGCTGAGCAAAAGGGGGAAACTACCTTTTAAAAATAATCAGACCTGATGAGAACTCACTCACTATCATGAGAACAGTATGAGGGTAACCACCCCCATGATTAAATTACCTCCCACTGGGTCCCTCCCATGACACATGGGGATTATGGGAACTACAATTCAAGGTGAGATTTGGGTGGGGACACAGAACCAAACAGTATCAGTCATGATGGTGAAATTGAAACTTAAAGAGGGTAAACTACTTGCCCTGGGTTGTGCAACTTGGAGATGGGGGAGCTGGGATTCGAGTCAGGATCTGACTGCCTCCACACTCTATTTAGGGATTACAAACCCTACTTCCTGTGGAACTTCGTAAGCCACAGAAAGTGGGGAGGAAAGTTGTCTAGTGGGCAGCTGGGGAGCATTGACAGCAGTGGGACCAGAACTATGAATCTAGTGATTTTTTTTTTGAGGTAAGTTAAAAATCTAAATTTTTATGTGAAATGTCCAGTTTAAAAAATCTTGGCAGTTTACGCAGAATGAATTGTTTGCTCACTGGAAGTGGCCTATGGATGCCAGTTTGAAACCCCTGCATATTGCCTCCCTTCTAGCTTTATCAAATTGAAAACTAGTGATAGTCTATGAAACAATATTAATAGATTATATTAGTAAAATTCCATCCTTTAGGGTAGTTAACAGACTAAATGAAACATAATTGTTTATTACTTTAGTAATTCTGTATAGCTTGTTATACACCTCAAGAGATTTAGTTGAGTTTAATTTCAGGTTATGGGATACTAGTAATTCAAATATAAGCTATAGCACAGAGTATAAAATCAAACAGTAAAAAAATCAAACTAGAATTTTGAAAATCTAAGCGGGTATTAAGTTATGGAAATGTTTATTGAAACACTTTTCTTCCCTCCCTGTAGCCACCCCCCCATTCCTCTAGTGCTTTTATTTCCTCCTTTCTCAGCTCATACACATTTCTTTCCCTATGCTCTGAATATGTGGGAGATTTAAGATATATATATATATCTTAAATATATATATATATTTTTAAGTGAAATGCCTTTATATATATTTTTAAGTGAAATTAAAAATATATATATATTTAGTGGAATGCCTTTATTAGATTACAGGGAGAATTAAATCATATGTAGAATGTTGTTACTTTTAATAGAATATAACACAGTCAAAGGTCAAGGTTTTAGTAAATGGGGACCTGTTTGAAATAAAAGTCAGTGGTTGTTTATGGTTTTATTAAATGCGTTAATCTTAAAATACAAATTAAATATTCCTGGAGACAACATGTATCATTTCATAAGTGTTTGAAAAAAAAATCAGACTAATCAGTTGTTAGAGGGTTCTTCCACAAAAAGGTTTTGTCTTTTGAAAGACAAAAACTTAATACTTGTTATAAACTTACTATTTTGGAATTATTAAAAATAATTTTCCTGGCTGGGCACCGTGGCTCATGCTTGTAATCCCAGCACTATGGGAGGTTGAGGCGGGTAGATAGCTTGAGCCCACGAGTTTGAGACCAGCCTGGGCAACATGGCGAAACTCCATCACTACAAAAAATACAAAAATTAGCCAGGTGCGGTGGTGCATGCTTGTAGTCCCAGCTACTTGGAAGACTGAGGTTGGAGGATCACTTGAGCCTGGGAGGTCAAGGCTGCAGCCATGATTGTGCCACTGCTCTCCAGTCTGGACTCCCGTCTCATTAAAAAAAGAAAAAAGAAAAAGAAAAAAAATTTTTTCTTAGTGGATTCTTCAATCCTACCTTATAACAAAAGTAATTGCGTTGAAAATCAGTGGTTCTTTCTAAAATAAAGGGCTTAATAAATTATGTTTTTTTAAGTGAGTCCTTTAGCTCTTTAGAAATTAAATACTTGTTACTGACTTCATTTTTATAAGTTGGAGGCTTTTGACCTATAGCATTTCATTTGGTTAGTTCAGTTGCTCGAAGTATTTTGCTGCTTAGTGCTTTATATTTGTCTTTTTGTGGTAATATTCATAGCTTAGTAGGCTTGTTTTTAAAACACATCATAATATTTGAGAGTTCAAATGCATCTCATTTACAAAGCTTTTCATCCAGCAGCTAGAAGTAAATTCTTCCTCTTCCTAACTTCTGTGTAGCTGACTGTACTTCTACAATGATTTTTTGTAGCAACATATGTACATCTCACACTGTCTTGTATTCATTTTTATATTTTTCTAACATTCACTAACTGTTGAGTGAATAAATGAAAAAAAATTCAGACTAATCAGTTGTTAGAGGGTTCTTCCACAAAAACACGAAAGATCTAATACTAGTAATTGTTATAATGTTACTATTTTGGAATTATTAAAAATAATTTTTCTTGGTGGATTTTAATATCCTACCTTATAATGAAAGTCATTCCACCCAGAATCAGCACTTCTTTCTTTTGAGAGAACCGTTGGTTCTTAAATTAGATCTTAACTCCTATATAAGATCGTTACACAGGTAGGGCTTTTGTGAAAATTGATTTTACTAAGAAATCACTGAAGTTTATGGAGCAACAATTCTTCCAAATCTAAACATGTACTCGGTGTCCTACTTAATAAGTAATGGAGATTTACTATGTTCAGACTTTTCAAGTCTAACTTGAAGGGTAAATACTGCTAAATAAGTATCAATATACAATATTGCAGTTCTAAAATGTTGCAAAAATTAATGAATTATTTGAGTGCTTATAATTAAATGATGCTTGGGAAATCTGAAGGAGAAAAATTTTAGAAATGGTGATTCTAGTATGTTACTTTATAGATAAAAGGTAATTCAGAATGCTAGAGGTGGATGGGTGCTTAGAAGTTATCTTCTAAAATCTTCTTTGTCAGTAGGAAACAGAAGTTTTGGGAGATAAATAATTGGACCAAGGTCATAAGACTGCAGTGTATCTAATGCTAATTACTAATGTGTGCTCAATACGTATTTTTATGAGTAAAGGAAATACTTTATGTATAGGGAGTTGCTGAAAAATTTGTCATGTGTAGTTTAGGAAAGTTACTGCAAAAACAATTGCCATGAATTTTCAAATTAGAAAATAGAATTATTGCCTTCCCTAAAAATATTTATACTTTGAAGAGATGAACTTAGAAGACATAATACTTTTAAAAACATGGCAATGTATAGAAAGATGAAATAGAATGTGTTCTATTTAGCTTTGTTTCTAGCAGCACTTTGACTGCATAATTGGAAGGTACCTTTGGATAAGCTTTTTGGAAACTTTTCTAGTTGGAAAAGGATTTCAGCTGGAGTGTCTAAAGGGTCACACACACAAAAGACCCTCTATATTAAAATAAAATGTGTCCAAGCTTTAAAGAAAAGATCTCAAGAGTTTGCAGATGATCCTAAAATTGGAGCTAGGGGAAATAATGAGGAACAATGCAATCAGATTCAAAAAGATTTGGATTGTTTAGGTGATTGGGCCAGCAGATGGCAAATGCAGTTCAGTGTAGACAAATGTAAAATAATTATCTTAGGAACAAAGAACCAATCATACAGCACACTGATCAGGAAAAAATTTGTGAGTTATTGTAGGAAAACCATTGAAACAGTTAACCCGGTGCACAGCTGCAGCAAAAAAGGCAAGCAAGAAACCAAATTAGCAGACGGATAGAATATAAAGCAAGAGGCAATACTTATAGTGTATTAAGAAACTTGCTAGACCCCATCCAAATTACTCAGTCTACTGTTGGTTGATAGAATTACTTTAGGAAGAGTACGTTTTTGCCTTGGAAATACACTGGAAGTGGTACCAAACAAATCTAATAAAATGATGTTAAAGAGATTTGCAGTAATTTTTATCAACTTTCAGTTTGCAAACTTTTATAAAGATATGAGCGAGACACTGAGTCAAAGTAAAGACACTTCAGTTCTACTACAAAGAGTTGGTCTTCCAAGAGGACATGTGGTTTTCATTGCCTGGGGCCTTACTAGGCCCCTTTCTAGGTTAAGTAGGAGGCTGCTTCTCACCTCTCAAGATTAAGGAAGCCTAAAGGCTAGCACAAGGCCCTTCTGTAGTTTAAGAGTTGCACCTTGACAGCTAGAAAGACCATGGGCATGAGGCTAAGACCTGCCACTGAGATGCTTCCTCCTGGCCTTAACCGTTTTTTTTTCCTTTCTTCTTCCTTTTTTTTTTTTTTTTTTTTAAATAGCGGGGCTTTCCGGTAAAAACCAGAAAGCCTGGTAGACAAATTCTAAAAGAGCCTGTAACCTTTGATTCAGTAACATAAGTTCCAGTCTTCATTCAAGGCTGTGGAGGCAAACATTCTTCTGTGATTTGCCTTCCTTGATTCCTGTCCAAGCTGGATTTTCCAACCTTGTCTTAGTGTTGTGAACTATCTAGTACCTAGCCAATAAATTCCTTTTTGACTTAGATTCACTAGAATATATGTCTGTTGTTTATATTCAGGAGCCTTAACTGGTACAGTGGTAGTGTTCTGTTCTTCTAGCCTTGTTTCTTGAATTGTTTTCTTTTGTCCTATAATGTGTTTGCTTTGTTTTGAGTGGTGTCTTATACTAAATCATTTTTGGGATGAGAAGAAAGCTGAAATGCAAATTGTCCTCTTCGTCTCGCTCTGCCTCTCTTTTTGTCTGTCCCTCTCTCCCTCCCCATCAGAATGCAAAAGAAGTGAAAAGAATTTGTATCCATACCATCAGCATCTGTAATTCTTTTGTAAAATTTAACTTTATCCATGCAATTGAATATTCAGTGTTACTGTTGAAAAATGGCCTTTGGTATCGAGATCTGTTTTAAGAATGTTTGCATTTTTTAATACATTATATTAGGTATCTCTAAAAATCATTTTCTGGCCAGGCACGGTGGCTCACACCTGTAATCCCAGCACTTTGGGAGGCTGAGGTGGGTGGATTACGAGGTCATGAGATTGAGACCATCCTGGCCAATATGATGAAACCCCGTCTCTATTAAAAATACAAAAAGATTAGCTGGGCCTGGTGGTGTGTGCCTGTAATCCCAGCTACTGAGGAGGCTGAGGCAGGAGAATTGCTTGAACCCGGGAGGTGGTGGTTGCAGCAAGCTGAGATCATGCCACGGCACTCCAGCCTGGGCCACAGAGTGAGACTCCATCTCAGGAAAACAAACAAACAAACAAACAGAAAACAGAAAATGATTGTTAGAAAGTTCAGTGTAAAAATGCATTTTTCCATTTATTCGAAAGATGTTGGGTTGTTGTAAGAATGGATTACTTGTGTTTTATAAGTTTTTTATATGAAAAATGGGATTTTTTTTGCATCTATTACTTTTTCATTTAATAGTATATTGTGAGCAGAAAATATAAGCCTATATCATCTCTTTTAATAGTTGCATAACATTCTGTTATTATATAGATGTACTATATATTTTTTAACCAGTTCCCATAGATGACTATTTGGGTTATTAGAATTTTCCACTGTTACATATACTACTACAGTCAAACTACTTTTTAATAATGTTTGTGTATATCCCTCATTATTTCCATAGGCTAAATTCCAGAAATGGACTTACTGGTTAGAAGGGTAATTACAAGTCTCTTGATACTTACTGCCAAACTTTACAAGTTTCATTTCCACCAGCAATTTTGATTCCTGGATTTTTTACATCAATACTCGTATTAATACTTAAAAAGAAAACATCTCTGCTAATTTTATAAGAGAAAAGTAGTTTCTTGTTGTAATGTACCCGTTTTTAATGCTATTGACCATTTATATTTATTTTATAATTCACTTCTTAATACCATTTACCTGTTACTCAGGTAGTTTTCTCATATTTAATTACTATATTATATATTAAGATCAGTCTTTTGTAGTATGTCGTCAGTATTTTTTTTCTGTGTTTGATTTTTTTTTAAACTAGTGAGTTGAGGAATTTGGTTTTATTTGTTTGGATTTGTTTTATTTTTGGGTCATATAAATTTTTATGTAATCAAATATATATTGTTCTACATAAAAATTTTCATCTTTAGTATTTAAAACTTAAAAAATACCTAATAAAGTTTTAATTGATCTAGGATTTTAAAATTATCAGTTTTGGGGCTTATATTCTGTATTTTCTATGTATTGGCTTTGCAGACCTCATTGTACATACAAAATTACAATCATGAATGTAAAGGAAAGCACACTGGAACTGCTTGCAGCTGACTGCGACCTTGAGTCTCAGCTTCTGCATCTGTGAAATGAAGATACTGGTCTGGTACAGTGCTGTTCATTCCATTTTTTTGCCCATGAACCCCAGTAAGAAAATTTAAATCACAACCACGGACACTCATGTACATAAACACATACAAGTATATGTATGTGTGTATATACACATACTGTGTTTCTACTTTTTGTGTGTCATGCCATACATATCATGCCATGCAGTGCCAGATATTATTTAAAAAAAAACTCACTAAATTGCTTTCCTTACCTATTAAGGGGTGTTACAATTTGAGAAACACTTGTCCAGTGGATCTTTAATTGGACACTCAGATGCCTTCTGGGACTGACCAGATAACAGTTGCAAATAACTTAGCACTTTAGCTAATCAGAGGGCTTGGGTTCTATCTAAAGGCATTCAAATTAAAAGAGTAAAGCAAAGCACTTTCTTAGGTCAGCAGACATTTTCAAGTGGAATTCAGCCTTCACATTCGGGACCCTATCCTACTCTAGAGAAAAAAATCAAATACATAAAATATTGGCTCATTACTCTGTCAAATTGCTGTAAAATATTTTAAACAGTTCATGGTCAGGCAGTGAAATCAGACTATACTTTTAATAGCATTGGTCTGGTTGCTGATATTCAAAGGCTTTCCAGGTAACCTCCTCCTCTAAACTTCTTTGGCACTGTGACAACTTCTAGCCATGAAAATTAGGAGATAAAATGGCTTAACTCAGTTTTCCTGATTTAATGAGAAATAATGTCTGTGATAGGATCTGAGAAGATAAATATGAAAGAGATAATTCCAGGTATCTGAGTTACTCTCAAGGCTGGTGTTAAAGGAGAAAGTGGGCTGGGTGTGGTGGTTCATGCCTGTAATCCCAGTGCTTTGGGATGCCAAGGTGAGAGGATTGCTTGGGGCCAGGAGTTAGAGACCACCAACCTGGGCAACGTAGCGAGACCCTGTCTCTACAAAAAATTTAAAAATTAGCTGGACATGTGGTGCATAGCTGTAGTCCTAGCTACTTGGGAGGCTGAGATGGGAGGATTACTTGAACCCGGGAGTTTGAGGATGCAGTGAGCTATGATTGTGCCACTGCACAGCAGCCTGGGCGACAGAGTAAGACCCTGTCTTAAAAAAAAAGGGGGAGTTGAGGGAGATAGGTGAACTTTGTCCTTTCCATTTCAAATGAAGGTGATGCACTATCCTAGCAACTGTGTCCAAAAACACTTTTAAGAAGATGCTGGCCAGGTGCGATGGCTCATGCCTGTGATCCCGGCACTTTGGGAGGCTGAGGTGGGCAGATTACAAGGTCAGGAGATCGAGACCATCCTGGCCAACATGGTGAAACCCCATCTGTACTAAAATATAAAAAATTAGCCAACGAGGTGGCAGGCGCCTGTAGTCCCTGCTACTCAGGAGGCTGAGGCAGGGGAATCGCTTGAACCTGGGAAGCGGAGGTTGCAGTGAGCTGAGATCGTACCACTGCACTCCGGTCTAGTGAGAGAGCAAGACTCCATCAAAAAAAAAAAAAAAAAGATGCTAATGAATAACTAGGGAAAAATCATATAGAAAAAGTTCAATGTCCGTGAACAAATACAGCAGCATTTGGATATCTACCAATACAGAAGCATTTGGATGTCTACCAAATCTCTTGTGTCTGTGTGTACACACACAAAATTATTTTTTGACTTGATTTTCTGGTTTTGGGGATAAGACTGTATATACTTCGAAGATTCTGTGATGTATAACCATTAAGTCTCACTTTTGGTGACTTAGGTAATTGTAATGGAACCATGGAGCCATTAGACTCCAGATGGGACTTTAATCTGGCTTCTGATTGAGCGGAGTGTCCTTGTAGAGTCTCTTAGCATCTGTTTGGGAAATGTATGCAACATTATTCAAAATTTGTACAAATTAACCCACCCTTGGGTTATAATTGAATTTTTCTTTATTCAGAAATGTATTATAAATATTTTTATGCAATCAGATTAAACTAGCTTATACATGTTATTTATTTGTCTATTAAGTGGTCATGTAGATTTTTGTGACTGAGCTTTTAGTGGATTAAGAAAGCTTACGTTAGCCTTCTAAAGATTGTAATTTGTTTATAAAATGTTGTTTATTAAAGCTATTTCCAGGTTTCAAATAGCTTTCATATAGGTACTTATTTTTGAGAGACTATTTAAAAATACTAAAAATTATGGTGGTTCTGCCTTTTAATAACAGAAACTCCCAAATAGTCTGCCTTATTCCAGAATGAAGTTTATTTTTTCCCTACAATGGAAACTATAGGTAGGGGAGCTTCTAGGGCTTTATCTCCAAGCACTATATGAGCAAGGTTATCAGCCTGACTTACCTGTCTTTTTAAATTTATCTTCAGGCTGGTTTCCTTCATGTTTATAGGATAGCTACTGTCCATAGCTAGAACAACAAACATTCTTCAGTTCCAGTAGGGAAACAAGAATTTTTCTCATTATTGGAGACTAAAAGTTGTTTCCTTCAGTTTTATTGGCCCCATTTAGATCATATGTTATCTCTGGACCAGTAACAATCACCATGTGCTGTTTGGTTTAATTAAGTCTGAGTTTCTGAAGCACTTACTTGCAGGAAGGATGGTATTATAGCATTTGGTTCAGGATCTAGCTCAGGTACTTGAGGGAGACTGGGTAGGTCAGCTTCTCCTGAGTTATGGGAGGGGAAAGGTAAAAATGGATGTTGGATTTGCAACCAGTGGAGTCTCTTCTATAAGCATTATAAAAGTTCTAATCCACTCCTTGATCAAGATTTTAGTTTCTTTCTCTTTTTGCATTTTTATTAGTACTATGGCTTTTAATTAATTATTTTCTTATTTACAGAACACAGAAATGAAAATCATGTTGGGGAAAGAAATACTAGTTAGGTATTTTGTAGTTGCTTGGGCTTTCTTTGTTATGTGGAGATTGGAAAAATTGTAAATATTGCCTGACACAGGTAAAGTGTAAGGAGATTGCATTATTAAATAAATGTTAGTGACATTTTCTCAGGAAACTGTCATATATCATCACTATTTGTCCCTCCGCCAAAGGAAGGCAGTATAATTCTGTGGGCCCAAATTCTCAGTGGTTTGTCTTGCCATGTGTAACTAGGTTTTTTTCAAGTATTAAAGTATAATTGTATAATTTATATATTGAAAGGTTTAATGACTGAGAATGAGAGTACTGGAAATGAAGAGTTCTAAATTGATGGCAGAAAGAGCTTATCCTGGATTTAAGTTAGGAAGGACTAAAAATACTGGTATGTAAGAAAAAAATTCCTCAGGTAATATTGGAGCAAATGTAAGTTTGAGGTTTGAATTGTCTGTCCCTGGTTGGTAGTATTTGTTTGCATGTTTTCCTGAAGAATGAAAGGCTGTGTTTTCCTGTCAATTCATCCACTGTTAATAAATTTCTTTAGCTGTTCATATGTCAAAGTGCACTACTACAAATACCACTAATTTGGAATTTGTAATAAATTGATTCAAAGTAGTTTTAAATTAAATAGGTTGATACGCAACTAGCAGAATAGAAAAGGGATCTCTTTGCCTTTTTTAGGATTAAAAAACAAGGCATTCTAGATGCCTTCCTCTCCTTTATCTGTAACATCTAACAGGTGTTGTTGATTCTTCCTAGATGGTTATCTCTGGAATCAGCTCTTCTTATTCTGGTTAGATCTTATTTATCATTTGGACTCCCTAATCCCTGTGCCAGAATATTCATATGATACATATTATTCAGCACCTTGACTTTTTCTTTTTGAATTTAGCTCCATGTGAGCACATAGATCCATGTGCTCACACAAATCCACTCGTTCTATTTTTAAAGCTTCATAGTATTCCCAAGTAGGGATGTGTAGTATATAATCTCAAAATAGTTTTTCTCAATGGTAGATCTCATTATGTTTTTGTTCTGGTTGCAGGTTCCCTTCCCCCTCTGTACAATGGTGATCCTCAGTCATGGGAGGGAACATTTGCTTCCTAAGGATGGGGAATCTGAATCTTGCTCTGTCTCCCAAATTCTGATATACCTTCCTATTTGATGATTTCTCTTGTATTAAGAACCATAACTGGCTGGGCGCAGTGACTCACACCTGTAATCCCAGCAGTTTGGGAGGCCGAGGCGGGTGGATCACCTGAGATCAGGAGACCAGCCTGGCCAACATGGCAAAACCCTGTCTCTACTGAAAAATACAAAAATTAGTGGGGTGTAGTGGTGCATGCCTGCAATCCCAGCTACTCGGGAGGCTGAGGCACGAGAATCGCTTGAATCTGGAAGGCGGAGGTTGAGGTTGCAGTGAGCTGAGATTGTGCCACTGCACTCCAGTCTGGGTGACAGAGTGAAACCCTGTCTAAAAAAAAAGCTATAACTGTCTCAGATATCAGAGTAGATAAAAGGTTGTAAACACCCTACTGGTCTTACTTTCTTGCCACGTGATTTAATAATTCTGAACAGATTGCCTTTTCCTTGGCTGGGAGTCTTCTGTTTTTTCTTCTCTTTACTTTTCTGCATTGACATATATTTTTACTATGCTTTTAATACCCTTCCCTTCCCCTATTAATCCTGAAGCTTCATCTCATGAGATTTTTCCTGTTTCGGACTGCTGAGCTGTTAACTAAGAGCAACTGTAATTTCTTCTGAAGTTCTAACTCCCTTCTACTGGATTTTTGAACAACTTGAGGACAGAGTGATGCTATAATCTTTATACTTTTAGCATGTGGACAGTAATAGTAGTATATATAGCAGGAAATCAAATAGCTAATTGAATGAATGGAGTTAATGGATATTTAAGTATCCAATCATGCTCCACTTGATGGGAACAGGTTTTGAGATATGTGTTGTTAGGTGATTTCATCTTTGTGTGAACATCATAGAATGTACTTATACAAAACTAGATGATGTACAGACTGCCACATACCTAGGTTATATGATGTAGTCCATTGCTCTTGGCTACAAACCTGTACAGCATGTTACTCTACTGAATACTGTAGGCAGTTGTAACACAATGGTATCTGTTTATCTAAACATAGAAAAGGAACAGTAAAATTACAGTATTATAATCTTAAGGGACCACCATCCTATACGTGATCTGACATTGACTGAAATGTCATTATACAGCACATGACTGTATTTATGTTTTTGCATAAAATAGCTGAATTTTCAGTAGTGAAATTTACTGAATATGTTGTTAATAAATTGGAGTTGCAGAAAGGCTTTACTCAAGTAGTTGGTCATAAGGGAAATAAGATAGGTGTTGAGAGTTTAAAATCTACAGGAAGGAAAGTAGATACAGAGATGTAAAGTCTCTAAAGAGGCAGAATGACTAATGGACTTGGAAGCCTTGGCCACTTTCCTGATTGACTATATTGATGCAGCTAAAGAAAGAATTTGTCCGGCCGGACATGGTGGCTCACGCCTGTAATCCCAGCACTTTGGGAGGCCGAGGCGGGCAGATCACGAGGTCAGCAGATCGAGACCATCCTGGCCAACATGGTGAAACCCTGTCTTTACTAAAATACAAAAAATTAGCCGGGCATGGTGGCACATGCCTCTAGTCCCAGCTACTCGGGAGACTGAGGCAGGGGGAATTGCTTGAACCTGGAAGGTGGAGGTTGCAGTGAGCCGAGATTGCGCCACTGCACTCCAGCCTCGCGACAGAGTGAGACTCTGTCCCCCCGCAAAAAAAAAAAAAAAAAAAAGAAAGAATTTGTCCATTGAGGGTGGAGAGTGGATTGGCTGCCATCCAAGGAAGGGCCCAAAGGTTGAAGTTGGTAGTACTTACCCCAGCTTTTGTTGGGAGATTTTTAATATTCTGGTTTCTACCTCTCTGTATATAGAGATATACGCAGGGAGTTGCAGGTGGATGCTCCAGGTTTTTTGTTTGTTTGTTTTGTTTTTTTTGGTGGTGGAATAGTGATTAAAAGATAGACTTCAGCAGACAAGGTTCAAATTCGGGCCTTTTTTACTTGCTACTTGTGTGTCCTTGGGCAAGTTTCTATCAATCTCCAGTTTTTAGTCAGTGTGGCTGAAGGCTAGACCTGGAACCTATTAAATTCATAGGATAATGACTTTCCCATGACACCTTTGGAGAGCCAGCCATCCTGTCGCTCCTTGACAAATCTGTACCTCATTCCATCAGCAGTGTGGGCCTAGGTGCTTGAACTATTCCATTCGAATGCGCATTTTATATATATATATATTCATCTGTATGTTTGATGATAAATAAAATATCTAGTTCATCATTTTCTAGCGAAAAAACATATGAAAGTGTATGAAATGCATTCAGCACACAGTTCAGCTCATATTAAAAAAAGTAGTATTTGACATACACTGGAATGAACTCCTGAAGAGTAGGATCTGGGTTTGGGTCATCTCTATTTCTGTTTTACTTTGGATTGTGTGTGAGAGGAGTGTCTGAAGTTAGTTCATGTTTAAAAGATGTGTGTGTAGCAGGAATAGGAAGTAGGGGCTTTCATGGGAATCTGAGAACAGGGCCTGGTTTTAAGATTATAGGAAGTAATTTTGGTTTTCAGGGAACATATCAAATAAACTTACTGTTACTCTGTATGCCGTCTTTTCTGTCTGGCTACCAGCAGGAGTTTCTGTTTCCATATCATTTTGGCTTGCATTGTTAACTTTCCTACCTCAGCAACTAAGGCAGAAGGGAGGTTTCTCCATAGATGATTCAAATTGTTTGAGAGGCACAGAAAATTTGAGCAGCCCTTCCTTTCAAATGAACCAGGTTCTGAAGGTTCTGGTTTACTGATGACCCTGAGCCTGGTGCCAACCCAATGTCCGATTTATTGTTGCTGGTGTGGTATACAGCTAGCAGCCATGGCTCAGAGACTGGATTCAGGGCAGCTTCTTTGAGAGAGTGATTGTGATCGCTAGTTTCAATAAAGTATGCTGGTCTATAGGAGTTGAGAAAATTGCTCCTTTAATCTGAAAGATGTTCTAGGCAAAGGCTACTGAGTGAATACAGGAGTACACTGCTTCATTTGCTGCATAATAGCTGTATTAGTGTCCTAAGGTTGCGGTAACAAAGTACTACAGACTGTATGGCTTAAAAACAGAAATGTATTTTCTTTTCTGGGGGCTGAAAGTATGAAATCAAAGTGTCAGCAGGGTTGGTTCCTTCTGAGAGTGAGAATACGTGGTTCTTTATTTAAATGTCTGTATCACTTCTTGGCCTTTTGGCTAAGATCAAGTGTATTTAAATGTCTCTTTTTAGTGCAAGTTGAGTATTTCTTATCCAAAATGCTTGGGATGAGAAGTATTTTGGAATTCGGATTTTTTTTCTGATTTTGGAATATTTGTTCCAATGAGCATTTCTTTTGAGCATCACATCAGCGTTCAAAAAGTTTCAGATTTTGTAGTATTTCAGATTTTCGGATTAGGGATCCTCAACCTATTGCAGGTTTAATGAAGATGATTGTTTTCTCATTATTAGGATTATGGTTATATATAGTATTTGGATGCCACGATGTGAATATGGTTAATGAAAGTGGAAGTTTATAGAATTTATATTGGTGGGTTTCATTTTTTAATTTAATTTAATTTAATTTAATTATTATTATACTTTAAGTTTTAGGGTACATGTGCACAATGTGCAGGTTAGTTACATATGTATACATGTGCCATGCTGGTGTGCTGCACCCATTAACTCCTCATTTAGCATTAGGTATATCTCCTAAAGCTATCCTTTCCCCCTCCCCCCACCCCACAACAGTCCCCAGAGTGTGATGTTCCCCTTCCTGTGTCCATGTGTTCTCACTGTTCAATTCCCACCTATGAGTGAGAATATGCGGTGTTTGGTTTTTTGTTCTTGTGAGAGTTTACTGAAATAACTAAAATCAGAGCAGAACTGAAGGAAATAGAGACACAAAAAACCCTTCAAAAAATTAATGAATCCAGGAGCTGGTTTTTTGAAAGGATCAACAAAATTGATAGACCGCTAGCAAGACTAATAAAGAAGAAAAGAGAGAAGAATCAAATAGACGCAATAAAAAATGATAAAGGGGATATCACCACTGATCCCACAGAAATACAAACTACCATCAGAGAATACTACAAACACCTCTACGCAAATAAACTAGAAAATCTAGAAGAAATGGATAAATTGCTCGACACATACACCCTCCCAAGACTAAACCAGGAAGAAGTTGACTCTCTGAATAGACCAATAACAGGCTCTGAAATTGTGGCAATAATCAATAGCTTACCAACCAAAAAGAGTCCAGGACCAGATGGATTCACAGCCAAATTCTACCAGGGGTACAAGGAGGAACTGGTACCATTCCTTCTGAAACTATTCCAATCAATAGAAAAAGAGGGAATCCTCCCTAACTCATTTTATGAGGCCAGCATCATCCTGATACCAAAGCCAGGCAGAGACACAACCAAAAAAGACAATTTTAGATCAATATCCTTGATGAACATTGATGCAAAAATCCTCAATAAAATACTGGCAAACCGAATCCAGCAGCACATCAAAAAGCTTATCCACCATGATCAAGTGGGCTTCATCCCTGGGTTGCAAGGCTGGTTCAATGTATGGGTTTCATTTTTAAAATGATTGGTGTATACAGTTTCAAGATAATTGTTTTTGTTAGTTACCTCCTACATAATGGCATGGCAACTAAGAACTTTATGTCCAGACACAAACTGATTTGTTAATTACATATCAAAATTTTTTTTCAATCATTTCATTATGTGTCTAAGAAGAAGGTTACAGATTTAAAGTAAAACTAAATCTGATTAAATTATCAAACAAATTTGTCAGTGTAATTCTAGTGATATTGCTAAAATGAATATACTTTTCTCATTTTAATAGTAAATTTAAAATATAGTAGGAACCTATAGGAATTATAAGTGTTTTGTTTTGATTTTTTCCCTTTGACTTTGCTTGTTTTAATTTTGAAGTCTGCTGTCGAAAATGTCAATACTAGTTTAAATTCTGCATAACCTGATTTTTAAAATTTAATTAAGCTGACTTGACTGAGGAATCTACTCTCTCACCCCAAAAAGAATGCATATCTCCTAAGTAGATGCAAATTTTGTGAATTATTTCTTGCCATTAGAATAACCCCTCTAATCCTTATTCACTTAATTTATGTCAGCATTTTCTTAATATATATGTTCATGGAGGAAGTTAAGGTTGGTTGCTAGGCCTCATTCTCCCATCCTTCCTTCCCTTCTTTCCTTCTTACTTTCCTTTTTCTTTTGAAATAATTTAAGAGTTGCAGAAATAGTACCCTTCTCCCAGCTCCCCTTAATGTTAACATCTTATGTAACCATAGTTTAATTTTCAAAACTAAGAAGTTAACGTTAGTATAGTACTATTAATGAAATTACAGATTTTGTTCATATTTCACCAGTTTTTCCACCATTTCCTGTTTCAGGATCTAATCTAGAAATCTACATTACATTTAGTTGTTATGTCTCCTTAGTCTACCCTAGTGTGTGATAGTTCTTTAGTCATTCCTTGTCTTTCATGACCTTCAGACTTTTGGATAGTACTCACTGGTCAGCTATATTTTAGAATATCCCTCAATTTGGCCTTGTCTGGTATTTTCTCATGATCAGACTGAGGTTATACATTATTGAGAAGGATACTGTAGAGATGATGTCCTCTGATACACTCAGTGTATCATACCAGTGGTAAATGATGTCTTATTACTGGTGATGTGGCAGCATTATTATTTATTTTATTTTTTAAGGTAACATAAAATTCACATAACATAAAATTCATATAACATAAAATCAAGTGTTTAAAATTGTGCAATCTACCACCTCTATCTAGTTCTAAAACATTTTCATCACCTCAAAAGGAAGTCTGTATCCATTAATCATTTTTCACCTGTCCCCATACTCCTCCCAGTCTGTGTTCTGACTATGTAGATTTACCTATTCTGGATGTTTCATGTAAGTGGAATAATAGAATATAGATATTTCATGTAAGTGGAATAATAGTGACTTTTGTGTCTATCTTCGTTCACTTAGCAGTGTTTTTAAGGTTTGTCCGTATCTTAGCATTTGTCAGTACCTCATTTCTTCTTATGGCTGAACAATATGTCGTTGTATATATCACAGTTTATCCATTCATCCCTTGATGGACAGTTGGGCTGTTTCTATCTTTTGGCTATTGTGAATAGTGCTGCAGTGAACATGTATGCACATTTACTTGTTGAATTGTTGGGTCATATGGTAATTCTAACAAACTTCCTAGTGCAGGTAGTCTTTAATTCTTCTGGCTTTCATTTGATTTAAAAAGTCTAATTCTGTTACAGAATAATCAGGGTGCTGCAGAAATATTCTTTGTAGATTTTAAATGTCACACAGTGAGTTATGTTTTAAAACCTGAAGGTATTTGTCATTCTAATTAAACTACTTTTTTCTGGACTTGATTGTTGACAGACTCTACCTATTTTTCCATCTATAATGATAACAAGATATAGTGCTAGAGTCCAAGAATTTGTTGTGTTATATTTATTATCATTTTAAGTTATATGCATTTTGTCCTTATTTAGAATACTTTTTCTCCCAATGTAGAGGAAATTTACCGGTTTAAGGAAACATGTATAATAAATACCTGAACAACAGTTTAAGGAAGCATTTTATACTTTTAAATATTTCTTCATTTCAGACTTGAAGTTTTCGATGTAGTTTTGAGCCTTCCTTTATAAATAATTTATTTTCATATGATAAATATAATGTAGTATTGATTTTTAAAAATGCTTTATATTTTATATAGTAGGGTAGAGAAAGGAAGAAAGATTATTCTACTAGAAACTTATGATAAGATGGCAAATGAGAGTAGAAAGTCCTCTACTTAGGACTAGATCAGGTCTATAAAGGCTGTTCTTAAATTTATTTTTCCTTAATCTTGAGAGACTTACAAATTTGTCTGTAACCCTTGAATATATTTCCACCAAATAGGAATATGAGTTGGCTTTTTTAATGGTTTAAAATCAAGTCTTTAGTCCTAGGTCATCTTGTTTTAAAAAGATGAGTTTCTTCTATGCTGACACCCTTTCAACCTAGGAAATCTTTTCCTTATGTGGTCAGAAGCTCTGGAAGATCCGATGTCCTCTGCATTATTTCGTTCTCATTTTGGGGTTTTCAGGCAGAATCAGGGGACCTTGAACCTCTGGTTTTTGTGAGAGTTTTCACTCTTATGCATATTCACTGGCTTGGGTTTTAAGTTCTAGAACAGAACTCCTGACCTTCTCCTCACCTAACAATGGATATATGATATTGACATGAATACTGTAACCCAGTGGTTTCTCCTGGAGTGGGGGAGGAAATGTAAAAAAAAATTTTTTTTTTTTTGAGACGAGTCTCTGTCACCCAGGCTGCAGTGCAGTAGCGCAATCTTGGCTCACTGCAACCTCTGCCTCCCTGGTTCAAGTAATTCCCCTGCCTCAGCCTCCTGAGTAGCTGGGATCACAGGCGCATGCCCGACGAAGTTTTTTGTATTTTCAGTAGAGACGGTGTTTCACCATGTTGGCCAGACTGGTCTTGAATATGGACAAGGAGTAAATTAATGGACAAAGTATGGAACATTTTGAAGATGCTGAAACCATCTCTTAACAATTCTGAAAAATCAAATATTACTGTGAGGACCTACATTAATATAGGTCTGATGATGTAACTTATGTTAGATACATCGAAAGAATGATTATATTCTGGGATGCTTATTGATCGTAAAGCTGTTTTCTTACATTATAAACATTCTGTTTTCTCTTCTTGGAAACTGATTTTTCTTATTTTTCCATAAAGCTGGAAATGTGTTAATTTTTTGAGTGTTCAATTTTTAAATGAAAACGTTATGTATTTTATAGATATGAGACTTAAATGATATTTAAGAATTTTTTTGATTCAAATAAATGAGAGAACTCACTTTTAAGAAAAACAATTGAATAACAACTTTAGCTAAGTTTTAAGGAAGGAAAAAAAATCTTGATTTTTCTTTTCCAGGAAAATGATATGCAGCTATCCCAATAATAGTATTGTTGCCATATTTTTAATTGCTAGTGAGTGATTAAATTGACCTGATAGCACTGGGAGTACTCCAGATTAATAAAATGAAATTCTTACATGTCAATGCAGTATAAAATCTGAATGTTCCTTCAGTCAAAAGGGATTGCCTTGTATAAATGAAGTTGAAAAGGGATGTGATAATCAGAGCTACTGTACCCAAAGTCACTGTTTTAGTACATTCACCACTTTACACATTGAGTTACCAGCTAAGATTTTAGAATTACATCACTAGGTAGAATATATTAAAGATGATCCCTCAGAAAAAGAATAAAATTCCTGCAGCAACTTTAAACCAGGTGTAGGAAGGGGAATACTTTCATCAATACAGAGCCACTATGTGAAAGCCCTGCCTTGGGAGAATCGTACCAAATTCAAAAGTATGACTTTTTTTTTGTCTTTAAGAAATCAATTTGGCTTCTGGTTTCTCTTCTGTCTGATGAATTTTTTCTTATGAGTAGAAGAGAAATAAAAATCTTTACCCATTTGAAATTATTACTTTGTTATATTATTGTTGAAATTTATTAAAGTAATAAAAAGGTGTCTTATTTAGGCAGAGGCCTGTCCATGTACATGTGCATTTTTTGGTCATCTTATTAGAATCCAGCCATTTCTGACCACCTCTACCCCATTTCTTTTATTTCTTTTTCATCTTTTTTCTCTTTGACATACCAGTTTTATTTTTATTTTATTTTATTTTTATACTTTAAGTTCTGGGGTACATGTGCAGGATGTGCAGGTTTGTTACATAGGTATACATGTGCCATCGTGGTTTGCTGCACCCATCAACCCGTCACCTACATGAGGTATTTCTCCTAATGCTATCCCTTCCCCAGCCCCCCACCCCGCAAGAGGCCCCGGTGTGTGATGTTCCCTCCCTGTGTCCATGTGTTTTCATTGTTTAACTCCCACTTATGAGTGAGAACATGTGGTATTTGGTTTTCTGTTCATGTGTTAGTTTGCTGAGAATGATGGTTTCCAGCTTCATCCATGTCCCTGCAAAGGACATGAACTCATCCTTTTTTATGGCTGCATAGTATTCCATGGTGTATATGGGCCACATTTTCTTTATTCAGTCTATCATTGATGGACATTTGGGTTGGTTCCAAGTCTTTGCTATTGTGAATAGTGCCGCAGTAAACATACGTGTGCATGTGTCTTTATAGTAGAATGATTTATAATCCTTTGGGTATATATCCAGTAATGGGATTGCTGGGTCAAATGGTACTTCTAATTGTAGATTCTTGAGGGATCGCCACACTGTCTTCCACAATGGTTGAACTAATTTACACTCCCACCAACAGTGTAAAAGCGTTCCTATTTCTCCACATCCTCTCCAGCATCTGTTGTTTCCTGACTTTTTAATGATCACCATTCTAACTGGCATGAGATGGTATCTCATTGTGGTTTTGATTTGCATTTCTCTAATGACCAGTGATAATGAGCACTTTTTCATATGTTTGTTCGCCGCATAAATATCTTCTAATTTTGAGTGCATTATTTTTATTTTTTAACTTTTATTTTAGGTTTGGAGGTACATGCAGATTTGTTACATAGGTAAACATGTGTCACAGTTGTTTGTTGTACATATTTTTTCATCACCCAGGTATTAAGCCCAGTACCCAATAATTACCTTTTCTGCTCGTCTCCCTCATCTCAGCCTCCACCCTCAAGTAGACGCCAGTGTGTGTTATTTCCTTCTTTGTGTTCATAAGTTATCATTTAGCCCCACTTATAAGAACATGGGGTATTTGGTTTTCTGTTGTGCGTTAATTTGCTAAGGATAATAGCCTCCACCTCCATCCATGTTCCCACAAAAGACATGATCTCATTCTTTTTTTATGGCTGCATAGTATTCCATTGTGTATATGTACCATATTTTCTTTATCCAATCTGTCACTGATGGGCATTTAGGTTGATTCCATGTGTTTCCTATTGTGAATAGTGCTGCAGTGAACATTCATGTGTCTGTGTCTTTGTGGTAGAATGATTTATATTCCTCTGGGTATATACCCAGTAATGGGATTGCTGGATTGAATGGTAGTTCTGCTTTTGCCTCTGTGAGGAATCACGATATTGCTTTCCATGATGGTTGAACTAATGTACATTCCCACCAACAGTGTATAAGTGTTCCATTTTCTCTGGAAACTTGCCAGCATTTGTTATGTTTCGACTTTCTAATACTAGCCATTTGACTGGTGTGAGGTGGTGTCTCATTGTGGTTTTGATCTGCATTTCTCTAATGATCAGTGATACTGAGCTTTTTTCATACGCTTGTTGGCCGCATGTATGTCTTCTTTTGAGAAGTGTCTGTTTGTGTTTTTTGGCGACTTTTCAGTGGTGTTGTTTGTTTCTCTCTTGTAAATTTGTTTAAGTTCCTTATAGATGCTGGATGGTAGACCTTTGTCAGATGCATAGTTTGCAAAAATTTTCTTCCATTCTGTACGTTGTCTATTTACTCTGTTAATAGTTTCTTTTGCTGTGCAGAAGCTTTTAAGTTTAATAAGATCCCACTTGTCAATTTTTGCTTTTGTTACAGTTGCTTTTGGTGTCTTTGTCATGAAATCTTTGCCTGTGCCTATGTCCTGAATGGTACTGCCTAGGTTGTCTTTTAAGATTTTTATAGTTTGGGGTTTTACATTTTAAGTCTTTAATCCACCTTGAGTTGATTTTTGTGTATGGAGTAAGGAAGGGGTCCAGTTTCAATCATCTATATATGGCTAGTCATCCCAGCACCATTTATTGAATAGAGAGTCTTTTACCCATTGCTTGTTTTTATCTGCTGTTTTGAAGATCAGATGGTCATAGATGTGCGGCCCTATTTCTTGGCTCTCTATTCTGTTCCATTGGTCTGCGTGCCTGTTTTTGTACCCGTACCATGCTGTTTTGGTTACTGTTGCCTTGTATAGTTTGATGTTGGGTAATGAGATGCTTCCAGCATTGTTCTTTTTGCCTAGGATTGCCTTGGCTATTCGGTGTCTTTTTTAGTTTCATACGAATTTTAAAATATTTTCTTCTATTTCTGTGAAGAATGTTGTTGGTAGTGTGATAGAAATAGCATTGAATCTGTATATTCTACTCCATTTCAAGACACCATTGTCACCTGGACTTTGCAGAATCCTCTTAGCTATCTCCCTTTGGACTAGCTTCCTTACTCCACAGATTTGTTCTTTACCTAGGATCAAAGTCATTCTTTTGTAATGATTATCAGATCAGGCTACTAAGAAGTTCAACTGTTGTCCTTATTTTGCTCATTATTTTTTAAAAGTTTACGATGGGCTTAAGACAGTATATCATTCGACTCCCCTAAAACCTCATCTGCACTAATTCTGCTCCTTCCCCCTACTGCAGTCACAGTGGCTCAGTGACAGTCTTTCAGTACTGCAAGTCTGCTCCACATCAGGGTCTTTGCACTTGCTCTTCCCTTTGTCTGGAAAACCCTTCCCTCAGTTATCCACAGAAATTTTTCCCCCACTATCTTTAAGTCTTTTCTTAAGTGTCACCTTGTCAGGGAGGTGTTCTCTGAGCACCTTATATAAAATCATAACCTTGCTCCTTTCCCTACGCCAACTTCCCTTATTCCCTGTAGCTTGCTTTACTTTTCTCTGAAGCACTTAATAATTTCTGAGTTTGTGTATATTTATTTTTGTTTGTTTATCAGCTGTTTAACCACTGTCTTTAGAATGTAAGCTTGTAAGCTTCATGAGGGTAGGAACTTTGCTTTGTTTTCTGTGGTTTATCTAGCTTCTGGAACTATACTTGGCACATGATGGATACTCACTGTGTTTATGTGTTAAATGAATGAATGATTAAATAAGGGGAAGAGAGTTACAAGCAGATGTGAAAAGCATTGGTGTGTTTCAGAACCTGAAAATATTTGCCTGTTTATTTGACGTGGGAGCAGTGAGTGATGGTCTCTTTTTTTCTCTTTAGTTTTGGAGTCCAGAACATGTAAAGTTTTTTCACCCATTATAAACAATTTGGACAAAATACTGCATGTTCTACTTAAAATTGGGAGCTAAGCAGTGGGTATGTATGCATGGACATAAAGATGGAAATAAGGGACACTGGGGACTCAAAAAGTGGGAGGGGTTGGAACAGGGGAGGGTTGAGAAATTACCTGTTGGATACAGTGTTCACTATTTGGGTGATGGGTGCACTAGAAGCCCAAACCTGCACATTTACCCATGAATCTAAAATTTAAAAAAAAATCAGACTTTATCCTGAGAGACCATGGATACTACCAACTGTAATCCACTGAAAGTGTGGTCAGATTAGCATTTTAGAAACAGTCCGCTTGCTAAGGGTGAATGAACAAGAGAGAAGCAAGGACATGGGGATTATTTCGTGAACATTAGTCCAGGGGCATGATGGTGATTGCCTGAACCAGATTATTGATGTAAAAATGGAAAGATCGACAGATTAAAGAGATATATAGTATTTAGGGAGCAGGCCTCAGTAATTGAAAGAGGAGCAAGAATGATGCATAGGAATCTGCCATGACAAAATCGGTGGATGGGATGCTATTCAGAGATAAGTAGCGGGCTTGATGATGGTAGAAAATTGAGTCCAAATTCAGTTTATGGTGCTGTTTAGTTTTTTAGGGATGCCATAACAAAGAACCAAAAACTGAGTGGCTAAAAACAAAAGAAATTTATT
The DNA here is from genome assembly GCF_000001405.40 of Homo sapiens. Classification (NCBI taxonomy): domain Eukaryota; kingdom Metazoa; phylum Chordata; class Mammalia; order Primates; family Hominidae; genus Homo; species Homo sapiens. The sequence goes on along the minus strand of NC_000003.12, from coordinate 17,646,330 downwards.
GTTTCAGTTCTAGAGACTAGAAGTCCAGAAATCAAAGTGTAGGCTAAAGGTTCTAGGGGAGAATCCTTTCTGATTTTTCCAGCTACTGTTGTTTGCTGGCAGTCCTTGGCTTGTGGATGTATTATATTACTTCAGTCACATGGCCATCTTCTTTCTGTGTGTCTCCACCTAATCTTCCCTCTGAGTGTCTGTCTGCATCCAAATTTACCCTTCTTATAAAGACATCAGTCATATTGGGTTTGGGCCCATCCTCATCACTTCAGTTTAATTTGATTACCTCTGTAAAGACCCTATTTCTGAATAAGGTCCCATTCTCTGTGTGACACTAGGGATTAGAACATTGATACATCTTTCATTGATAGATGACAGAATTTTAAGGAGAAACGAATAGGATTTGATGCTTTGAATCAGTATAGAGTAGGAGATCGGGAAGGGGAAAGAGAGACATGAGTTGTCATGTTTTCCTGAGAGAATGCTGGTGCTACTAGAGAAATAGAAAAGTAGGGGGGAAGGGGAAAGAGCTTTGTGACAAGGTGAGGGTGGTGGGAAATAAGTTTCATTGTAAGCATGCTGAATTTGGAGTTGTAGTTGGTAGTAGAATTGGTTCATGGTCTAGTCAGAATTCAAGAAAGAGATTTGTACCTAGATTATAGCTTTTATGAGAATGTTTAGGTTCTGTGAGGGAGAGGATACAAAGAGGAAACCTAAGCCTAGAAAGGAAACTAAAGAGAGAGTGTTACTTTGTTGAAATGGATGCTTTCATCCATTGTAGAAAAACAGTTTCATGCACCCATCTATTCCTTTACTCTAAATGTCAATTCTAGTAATGTCTGGATAGTGGATTTAGTTGCCGAAGTGGTCGCTGCATGAACAGAAGTAGAGTTACCAGTTCCTGACAGCTGCGAGTCAGCCTCTGGGCATCTTGCTAAATTTTCAAGTATAATTATACAGTAGACTTCCTTTAACAAATTCCGTGTTCCCAGCTATAATTATAACTGCTTTTCTTGCCTATAGCCTGTTCTTTGTCTTACTACTCTCCTCTGTATCTCCCCCTGCTGGTTAGACTTTTCCTCTGGTCATTTGGGATCTGAGAAAATAGGAAGCTGTTTTTCCTAAGCATTGCATAACCAATTTCTTTCTTCTCACTCTACTCCAATAGACATTTCAGTAATAAGCAATGTTTTAAAGCATAGGCTAGCAGTATTCTATATTATATTTATATTTATCTTCAGAGAATATGCAGATACAAATTAGGTACCTTGTAAGCTTTCTAAGCAACTGTCAGAAAATGACTACCACAACTTCCCCAGTGACCCCGTTTAATAGTTAAGACTCTTAAATAAAATCTTGCTCATGGCCATGCTTTAGACCAAGAGTGTTTTGTTTTGTTTTGTTTTGTTTTGAATAAATTAAAATTTTCACCCAAAAATGAAGTCATCATAAATCCTGCAACCATAATCTTGCACTAGTTTCCAGGACTAATCATGACAGTAATTTGTAAGATCAGAATTATGAGTGGGATTTCCTGTTTTCTCGTGTATTTTTGTCTCCCAAATATCCATTATGAAAATAAATCACTTTTAAAAATGACTTGATGTCCTTTACAAAAATATTGTAGTTTTCGGATGATAAAGTTTAGGAATATATTTCCACATCACTTAGATTAGATTCTGAGTCATTTTAATATCTTTCTTAAGAAGTAATTAAAATGTGTAGTTTTTTGAATGTGCAGAAGGAAACTTCAACTTTTGTAGCCTGCAGTGGAAGTAGTCTAGAAGAAATTATGGATTGTTGTCAGTACTTACTCATTAATATTTGTTATGTGCCAGGCACTGTGCTAGTTGCTAGTTTACTGTGATTTTAGTTTGAAGAATGATATTAGATTAAGTAGGTTTTACTTATAATAGTTGAAATATACTTGGGAATAAATAGTGTATCAAGATTGCCTATTAAAATAATTCCGTGTATTCTGGGTGACGTTAAGTGCTATGAAGTAGGACTTCTCTTACATAGTAATTGGTTGACATTCTTTGACCTCAGTGTAAGACTGAAGTATTTAATCAACAAACACAGAGGATAAAGTTTTGATAAATAAACCACTTTCTTTAAACCTTTAGAAATAAACTTGAAGTCTTTTGGCATTAGATTGATGGGCTTTCCTTTTGTGAAAGAGTAAGTGAATAATTTAAGCTTATAATTCATGTTTGCAGGTCCTCATCCTGTCATAGGAATAATAGTCTTGAAAATTGGAGCTCTGGAATTCACCATTCTGAGAGATATCTCCTTACTGGTATAATTTTATGCTTATGTGGCAAGGTTTCAGGTTGAGGAATGAGATCAGATTTGCAGGGGCAGAATATTTGCTATCCTCGTTGTTTTGGTTCCTGAGGAATGCTTACCCCTTAGCCTCAAATGTGCTGTGGTATTAGCTACTTTAAAATAGATTGCTCAAGACTCTTTATTTGGAAAACCTTAAATATGCATCGTGATGCATTACTTGCAATAAAAAATGAGGCTACAATTATATAAAACAAAACAGTACAGCTGCTGACAGATGTCATTAGCGACTTACTCAAACACAGATCCTTCCAAAAGGAACTGCTAGACATCGGATTCAGGGAGTTAAGGTCATTATGACTGAATATGAAATACTGTTGTCCACTACATTTATTGTTGGCTTTTTGCATTTAACTTTTTGATAATTTTTTGGAGACCTTGACATTTGATACAGTTTAAAAACCATTCTTTTAAATTACAATTAATAAATGTATAAAGAATGAGGAAAATAGAAAATCACCATGAGGCAAACACCACCGTAATAATTGTTGCAGGCAAGACTCATTAATGGATAGCAAAAGTAAGGGTGAACATTTAAGGAGAAATAGAATATTTGTATAGGTCTAAAAAGTATATTCATGAGATGTTTAATAATTACAAAGAGAAAAATAGTAACTTTATGGAGGAGACAGCTGATAGACACTAAGTGATGAAGGTTAGCATCAACAGTAATAAGATATATTAACATCTGATATAATACGATACACCAAAGAGGGCACATCACTTATATGATATTCTTGCCAAAAATATATAAGCTCAGTTTCATCATGAGAAGACGTTAGACAAACTCAAAATTGAGACACATTCTACAAAATAACGGACTAGCACTCTTAAAAAATATTACAGTCATGAAAGAGAAGGAATTCCCACAGATTGGGGGAGGCTAAGGACACATGACAACTAAAGGTAATGTGGAATCCTGGATAGGATTCTGGAATCAAAAAAAGTCATTAGTGGCGTAACTGACGAAATTTGAGTAAGACCCACAGTTTAGTTAATAGTTTGAACCAATGTTAATTTTATGATTTTAATAACTGTAATATAGCTATGTATGGTGTTTTCATTAGAAAAACCTAATTGAAGGTTATGTGGGAATTCGGTGCTATTTGGGCAACCTTTCTATAAGTATAAAATTATTTCAAAATAAAAAGTTAAAAAGTCCCTTTTGGAAATTTGATGTAGTACGTTCTTACTTACCCTGTGAGACTGTGAAAGTGCTCTTCTATTATAATGAAATGTCTTAGTTTTAGTAATGAAATGTCTTGGGTTTTATCTTGGGCAGAGTTCCAGGATAGACTCAGCACTTGTTGCTGACCACAATTTGTTGTCTCATTTCTCCTAATCATCCTTTGATAACAATTGTAGAGATACCTGAGTTGTGTAATTTCTAAAGAGATGTTAATTGGCCTCCACTGTAGTTAGTTGACGAGTATGTGGAAGAATTTGAAGATTAGAAATATGGTAGATGACCTTCAAATCAAAAGTGAGTGAATAGTAGGTATCGGGGGTATTTGGATTCTAGTTCTGACGGATACTGACTCTGGGATCTTGAGCAAATCAATTTGTCTTTCTCAATCTCCTTTTTCATCTATAAAATATCGATGATAGGAATAACTCTACCTTATATGGTTTGTAAAGATCACATCAACTAAACATGATAATATATATGGTTATATATAGAGAGCACGTTGCCTAACTGCAGATTGCTTCCACTTCAGTCCACTGTGAATGGTGCCTCCTGGAGGTGTGCCAAGTACTGTGCCCAGAACACAATGGTCACCCTCAGTTAATTGACTCTGATTAAATGAGAAAATACCTTTGGAAGGATGTTGTGAGTTGAAATACTAGAAAAATAAAAGTATAAAAAATTTTAAATGTTATAAGATTATTAACCAAATTGATGTAGTTTTATAGGATTTTCATAGCATAAACCCAAAACCTATACAAACTAACCAATTTAGGTCTTACTCAATAATTAATAGTACCTGTTTTTGAATCAATAAAAGAGCAATACTATCTAATACTGTTTGTAAGCAACAGATTGGGGGCTATTTTAAAACATTGCATTTTATTCTTTTTTGTGTAGGGGAAAAAAGTCATTAGTCTGCATTTATAATCAGGACTAGCTTCCTGTAAAATTATTTAACTTTTTATTTATAGAATTTGAAATTTACAATTCTAAATACAGCAATAGTAAGGCACTGCATTTTTGCAGGAAACAAAAAGCACAATTAACATAAAGTTAGAACCAGCCACAAATAAAATATTCCAGCAAACTGTGTAAGAAAAAAAATGCTCTGGGAAGCAAATGCCGAGAAATGTTACATAGGTGGCCTTATTACATTGGAAAGAAAAGAATGTAGAAGATTAGTAGCAGTAGTAGTAGGAGGAGGAATAGGAGGAGGAAGGTGCGTAGCAAATGATAGTGAATAAGCTCTAAGTGTTAGTTACTTTTCTAAGCACTTTATGCAAATCATATTAATCATATTATTTAATCCTCCCAATACCTTATGAGTTAGGTCCCCACTTTATATATGACATAGCTGAGGCTCAGAGAGGTTAAGTAATTTTTTTTCCCAAAATCTTGCAGCCAAGATTCAAAGGCAGGATGTTTGGCTCTAGAACTCATGCTGGTAACCACTATGCACACTCCCTCCATGAAACCAATAGCCACCATCTATTGATGTACAGAATGTAGTTTGTGTATTTTTTGTGTGTGAATAATTTTGTTAATGGTACCATGGGATTTTCCTGGATCAAGGGCATGATTTAAGTAAGCAATGGACTAATTCATAGGACCCCTGGTGTCCTAATAAATCAAAACCCACTCAAGAATACCTCAGCAGTAAGCACATTAACTGTCTTCCTAGATGGATTGTTTTAAAAATTTTCCATATCTGCATAAAGTATATTACGTACGATAATTTCACTTAATTGTTCTAACTTTTAATAACTGTCAAGTAGTAGATGAAAGGAAAGCAGAAAAATGGTAAAGTGTGGGTGTGGAATTACTTCACTTTTTTTTTTTTTAAGGCTGAGATTGATTTAGAATTTTTGTATTTCCTGGAAGAATATCCTGTGGCTAGTAGGAATATTTGATTTCTTTAATAGATTCTCACATAGTAGGGCCTAATATCTAGCTGATTGAATTAGTATTATTCTAGGTATAGAAATAATGAAACTCCATAGTTTGTTCTTTATGAAAATATTTTATTTCAAGTTATTTCTTTTCTGCTTGACAAAAGGGCATTGCATTTTTGCTTTAAAGAGAGGCTTGTGATGTTTTGTTTCATTTTTTTCTAGCTTGGACTGTGGCAGAATCAAATGAGTAGTAGTCTTTGATGACTAACACTTGTTCATTTGTTTCCACTGCAGAAATCTTTAAAAAGGTATAATGACTAAATTAGTTTATTCTTAGACATTATGTTTTCTTTTTCTTTGTCTTCTTTTATAATGTTCTTTTTTATAACATTGTCCTTAGCCCTAAAACCTAACTTTCAAGTTCTAAAATAATTCTTCTTTTAAGAGGAAATTGATATTTTGGGTGGAAGGATTTGGCCAAATCTGAGATTCCCTATCATAATTAAAATAAATCTTTGAAACAGTTTTTATTAGTTTTAATAAAGTTTATTTAGTTTTAATAAAGTTAAATAAAGTTTAATAAAGTTTATTAGTTTTAATTCAGATAAGCTAATTCAGGCTTATTTTCTCTTAAGTTGATTTTTTTTAAATAAAAAGAGATTATCTCCTTTAGCTACACCAAATGGCACCTGATTTAATAAGAATGTTCTAGCTCTATAAAGTTAAAGGGAGTCAGGAGATACCTTTGTAGGAAATGTGGAGTTTGGCATTTATTGTTATACTGGTGGACTCAACCCCCACACCTTGCATCCTCTGTATTATATTTCTCTGTGGTTATCTCACCTTTGTCTTTTCTCTGTAGAGGTGAAGGGGGCTGTTTGTATAACTGTGCTCTTAGCTAAGTATAGAGTGGGCTAGAGCAGGGATGGCAAATACATGATCTCATGTGCATTCCCTCTCCTATGCTTGTTGCGACATCAGGTCATGGCATACTTTCTTGCTTAGCCATAGGGCAGTTTCATAATTTTCCCATCTTTAGGGAGCCAGAAGTTTCAGTGTGAGTGAAACCTATTTGCTATTCCTGGAGTAGAGAGGTTGGGATGATTACCAAAAGTTCTGTACCTGTTTTTCCTTCACGTCTAGGATTTGATGTAGTCTAAGAGTAAGAGATCTTACTTTCTTAGGTTGATGTGTTCTAGCAGTTTAGTGACCTTCAAAGCGTACTCAGACACACTTGAATTTATTGTGACAAAATTGATCCCCTCAGACCCCCTTTTTTATGGTGGAAACCTTCTTTAGATACCACCATAGTTTATTTTTTGACAACTCTCCTATAAATTTACACGCAAAAAGTTATCTTTGGTGAGGGATGGGGAATAGTTTGTGCTCGTGCAAAAGGTATGATTCATCTTTTCAAGTGTACAATTCATAGTTTTTTTTTTTTTTAACCAAATTGTGTGGCTGTCACCATGACTCAGCTGTAGAACATTTTCATTCCTCCACTGTGATTTCTTATGTACATTAACTCCTAATCCCCATTCCCCCAACCAAAGGCAACAATTTATTTATTTATTTTTTAGTGTTTATAGCTTTGCCTTTTCTGGATAGTTGATATAAATGGAATAATATAATATTTGGTCTGTGGTGCCTATCTTTGTCCAGAGCATAATGTTTTTGAAGTTTGTCTATTTTGTAGCATGGTATCCGTAATTTCTTCGTTTTTATTGGTGAATATTACTACATTGCTAGTATGTCTTGTCAAAACATTCATCATCTGTCAGTCCATTCCACGGACATTTATGTTGTTTGCAGTTTTTGGCTATTATTAATAAATCTGCTAAGAATATTTGTGCTCAAGTCTTTGTGTGAATATTTCTTTTCATTTCCCTTGGGTAGATACCTAAGAGTGGGATTGGTATGTCATATGATAAATTTATGTTTAACCTTTTAAGAAACTTCCCAGCTGTTTTCTGAAGTGGCTATACTGTTACACACTCCCATTAACAATGTATGAGGATCCCCATTTTTACATCCTTGTCAGTATTTATTATTGTCTGTATTTTTTATTATATATTCTTTTATAACTTAAAATTTTCTCTCAATATTATTTTTAAGATTTATCCATGTTGATACATGTAGCTCTTACTTATTCACTGCTATGAAATGTTCATTGTATGAATATGTAGTAAAAATCCAGCCATAATATGAAAAATGGCTTCTTCAAATTCAGTTGTATAAAATGTAGAGTTGCATTATTGTGTGGTTATTGAAAAACAGTACTACTTTTATTCATCTGTACTGTTGCAAAAGTTACAAAAGTGAAGATGGTGAAATTTATACTTTATATTACTGCTGAGACAGTCTGAATTAGTCACAGGGCAATTTTTTCCTAAGTCAGTTCCATTTGCTTCCACAGAAAATAAGAATTTTAGCTTTATCAGAGAAATGGGCAGTGAAACTACAGACTCAGAAGCCAGTCACAAAAGACCATATACTAGATGATTCTTTTCATATGAGATGTCTACAGTAGGCTAATTTATGGAGACAAAAAGCAGTTTTGGGGTTGCTAGGGTAAGGGGGATTGGAGGGAGATGAGGAGTGACTGTTTAATGGGTATGGGGTAATTTTTGGAATTGAGTAATAAAAATGTTCTAAAATTGACTGTGGTTATGCTTACACAACTCTGTATATACTATAATCAATTGAATTATACACTTCAAATGGATGACTTGTATGGCATATTCATTATGTTTCAGTATAGCTGTTAAAAAATAAGATGCATGAGCCTTTGTAGAACATGTCAATAGTATTAAAAAAAAGAAGAAGAATAAAGTAAAAAGTACTTCACAATTATTGTCAATAATTGTGGCAATATGGCATCATTTTAAGTGACTGCTTAATAAAATTTCATTGAGTAGATGTACTATAATTTGCTTAATTAATTTCCTAATAGTAACTGTTTAGATTGTTTCCAATAAGTAATGTTGTAAGTGGGATCATTGTATATATATTTTTGTGCACTTGTCTTTTCAGGATAAATTTTACAAGTGAAATTGTTGGGTCAAAGATTAAGTGCATTTAACATTTTAAATCATATTTCTAAATTACCGCTCAGTAAGATGCTCCAGTTTGCCTTTCCCCAGTGGTACGTGATAACATATGAATGGCCATACTCTTGCCACTGCTGGATATTGTCAGTGTTTTTTATCTTTATCAGCTGGGAAGAAATTAACTTATTTTTATTTGCATTTCTTTGTGCAACTTGTTATGTGTCCCTTAAAAACTTTTTTTTTGTTCACTTTTTGTCCTTTTTTCTACTGAGGTGATGATCTTTGTATTAGTGTGTAGAAAGTCTTTTTATATTAAGAATATCTACTTCGGGTCTGTTATATAAGATAAAAATATTTTTCCAGTTTGTGTATATTTCATATTTATTTATGGTGATTTTTTCCCATTGCACAAAAGTTTTAAATTTTTGCATAGTCATATTTGTTACTTGAAAACATCCATAGAAACTCGGCTACATTCCAAGGTTATAAAAATATTATTTTATATTTTAAATTTATCTTGGGGCCAGGTGTGGTGGCTCACGCCTGTAATCCCAGCACTTTGGGAGGCTGAGGTGGGCGGATCACGAGGTCAGGAGATTGAGACCATCCTGGCTAACAGGGTGAAACCCCGTCTCTACTAAATAAAAAAAAAAAAAAAAAAAAAAAAAAAAAAATTAGTCGGGCATGGTGGCACACACCCGTAGTCCCAGCTACTCCTGAGGCTGAGGCAGGAGAATTGCTTGAACCCAGGAGGCGGAGGTTGCAGTGAGCTGAGATCACGCCACTGCACTCCAGCCTGGGCGACAGAGTGACACTCCGTCTCAAAAAAAAAAAAATAATAAATGATTTTATTTCTTAGGTTTAAATTTTTTATCCATTTGGCATTCATTTAGTATAAGAAGCTAAGGAGAGATCTAGTTAACCCTACTGTCTTACAAATTTTTATCATTATCAAATGCTAAATTATCACATATCCTTGAGTAGGTCACTTTTGAGTTTGTTGGTAAGGTCTGTCAGTTGGTAAATCTATTCTTATGCTACTACTATATTCTTTTTTTTTTTGAGACGGAGTCTCGCTCTGTCTCCCAGGCTGGAGTGCAGTGGCATGATCTCGGCTTGCTGCAAGCTCCACCTCCCGGGTTCATGCCATTCTCCTGCCTCAGCCTCCCTAGTAGCTGGGACTACAGGCGCCTGCCACCACGCCTGGCTAATTTTTTTTTTTATTTTTTATTTTTAGTAGAGACAGGGTTTCACCGTGTTAGCCAGGATGGTCTCGGTCTCCTGATCTTGTGATCCGCCTGCCTCGGCCTCCCAAAGTGCTGGGATTACAGGCGTGAGCCACTGTGCCCAGCCTATATTCTTTTAATTATTATAGCTTTAAATAACATATTTTAATAACTGGTTGACTAATTTCTCTTATTACTCAGAAAGGCAGCATAATATAAAGAGTTTTACAACTTACTAGTTCATTGCATGACCATGGGCAAGTTATTTAACCTTTTGGTCCCTCCCATAGTTAACAGGAATAATAAAAGTATCTCATAGGGATAGGGGAGTCACAGGATCAGAAATATTATCTTCTGCTTTATTAACTTTTCTCTCATTACTGGATCTTTCCCATCAATATGCTTATATGCTGTTTTTTTTCCCATCTGAAAAACATTCTTTTTTTTCTTGATATGGAGTTTCGCTCTATCACCCAGGCTAGAGTACAGCAGCGAAATTCACTGCAATCTCTGCCTCCCGGGTCCCAGCGATTCTCCTGCCTCAGCCTCTCAAGTAGCTGGGATTACAGGTGCCCACCACCACACCCAGCTAATTTTTGTATTTTTAGTAGAGGTGGGGTTTTACCATGTTGGCCAGGCTGATCTTGAACTCCTGACCTCAAGTGATCTGCCTGTCTTGGCCTCCCAAAGTGCTGAGATTACAGGCATGAGTCACCGTGTCCGGCCAAAACATTCTTTTAAAAATGTCACTTGCCCTCCCAGCTTTTGTTCCATTTCTTTGTTCATTTTGGCAGTAAAACTTCTGAGGAATTGTTTATACTTGGTCTTTCCAATTCCTCTCCTCCCATTCCATCTTAAACTCATCACAGTTAGAACAGAAGCCTGCACCAGTACCCTGAATTCATTCTGTTCTTTACCTTTTCATTAGGATAGTGTCAACACTCAGTCATTTGACCTTTTAATTTTTTTTTTCTCTTGTTGCCCAGGCTGGAGCAGTGGCATGATTTCGGCTCACTGCAACCTCCACCTTCCAGGTTCAAGCAGTTTTCCTGCCTCACCCTCTCAAGTGGCTGGGATTACAGCCATGTGCCACCATGCCCGGCTAATTTTGTATTTTTAGTAGAGATGGGGTTTCTCCATGTTGGTCAGGACGGTTTCAAACCCCTGACCTCACGTGATCCACCTGCCTCGGCCTCCCAAAGTGGTGGGATTACAGGCGTGAGACACCACACCCAGCCTTGACCTTTTAATTGTTCTATCTACATTTATTGCCTTGGTGATTTCATCAATGTTATGTCTTTAAATACCAAAGTGATCAACTTACCTCTCTTACCTGAACTTCAGGCTTATGATCCATTTAATGTGTTTGACACCTACTTTTAGCTATCTGAGTGTCATCTCAAACTCAATATACTAAAAACTGACCTCCTGTTCTTTCTCTTCCAAACATATTTCACCTGTAGTCTTCCCCATCTCTGTTGATAGCAGATCCATCCTTCTAGTAGCACAGTCAGAAACAGTGGAGTCATCCTTGACTTACATTTTCTACTTGATCATTGTTGAAAGTAAGAAAGCTGCTGAAAGTTGTAGATTTAGTTTATAGTATTGAACTCATTATTTTTGTAAATTTTTTTGTTTCTATATCCACATATAAAAAGCATATAATCTACAAGTATCATTTTACTTTCATCCTAATTTTAACTGTTACTTAATTTTTGTGTTTAATTGTATTCGATAGCAGATTCATTTCTTTTTTAAAAATGTTTTAATGTTTAATTTTTGGGGGTACATAGTATAGGGTACATGGGATATTTTGATATAGGCATGGAATGTGTAATAATCACATCACGGAAATTGGGTATCCATCCCCTCAGATATTTATCATTTGTGTTAACAATCCAACTATTCTTTTAAGTGTTTTTAAAAGTACAATTAAATTATTATTGACTGTAATCACTCTGTTGTGCTATCAAATACTTAGTCTTATTCACTTTTTTTTTTTTTTTTTTTACCCTATTAGCCATCCCCACGTCCCCTCTATTCCTTCCTGCTACGCTTCCCAGCCTCTGGTAACCATTTTTCTACTTTCTACCTCCATGGGTTCAATTGTTTTGGTTTTTAGATCCCACAAATAAGTGAGAACATGTGATATTTGTCTTTCTCTGCCCGACTTATTTCAGTTAACATAGTGACCTCCAGTTCCACCCATGTTGTTCCAGATGATAGGATCTCATTCTTTTTTTGTGGCTGAATAGTACTCCATTGTTTATATGTAGCACATTTTCTTTACTCATTCATCTGTTGATGGAAACTTAGGTTACTTCTAAATCTTGGCTATCATGAACAGTGTTGTAACAAACATGGGAGTGCAGATACCTCTTTGATATACTGATTTCCTCTCTTTTGGGCATATACCCAGCAGTGGGATTGCTGGCTCATATAGTAGCTCAATTTTTAGTTTTTTTGAGGAATCTCTAAACTGTTCTCCATAATGGTTGTACTAATTTACATTCCCACTAACAGTGTAGAAAGGCTTCCTTTCTCCACATCCTCACAAGCATTTGTTATTGCCTGTCTTTTGGCTATAACTATAAGCCATTTTACCTGTGGTGAGATGATATCATATTGTAGTTTTGATTTGCATTTCCCTGATGATCAGTTATGTTGAGCACCTTTTCATATTCATATTTTGACTAAAATATTAAACTGCTTTGGGATCAGGATTCAATGACTCCTGAATTGTGTGAAATAATATTAACTATTCCCAGGAATAGTAAAACACGAAATTTGGAGTTCCTAGAAGGGTTGGGCCATATCTAATAATATGTTGTTGATTGATATCAATTCCTGTAGTATTTATAATTTTATAATTAATTTTTAAATTAAATGTATTGAGAACTATGCTTAATTTTTAAAAAAGCATTTATATTTAGTGTTGGAATGATTCTAATCCAAAGTATATTATTCTACACTCTCTTAAGCATAACAAAATGCCGACCTCTTTAAGGGTAACTTGGATTGAAAGATAAAATGCTGTTTACTTCCAGATCCTTAGCTCTGTTCTCTCAATGATTAACAGCATTATTATTTTTTTTTCATCTTAGAGTCTTAAGTTTTAGCCTAAGTAGAACATTTACCTGTTCTATGGAAACATATTCTCTGACCTAAATTAGGGTGAATAGTTATTTTTTCTTTTTTTGAGATGGAGTCTCGCTGTTGTTGGAGCGGGCTGTAGTGCAGTGGTGTGATCTCGGCTTACTGCAACCTCTGCCTCCCAGGTTCCAGCAATTCTCCCTCAGCCTCCCAGGTAGCTGGGATTTATAGGTGTGCACCACCACACCTGGCTAATTTTTGTATTTTTTAGTAGAGACGAGACTTCACCATGTTGGCCAGGCTGGTCTCGAACTCCTGACCTCAGGTGATCCACTCGCCTCGGCCTCCTGAAGTGCTGGGATTACAGGCATGGGTCACCGTGCACGGCCGGATGAGTAGTTTTTTAAATGCTTAGATAATGGATATTTCAGGAGGGTGTATTAAACCTTTTCTTATTTTGTTTCTTTTTGAATTGTTATTGCAGATGGTGAAACATGTCATTAGGAAGAAGGAAAGAATATAGACAGAATAAAAGAAATTAATTATGTTAATACTTGGAATAAAGTTATAATTGTTGGGGAAAAAGGGTGTATTATCACTATAGGCATACCTCAGAGAGATTGCAGGTTCAGTTCCAGGCCACCACAGTAAAGCAAAGATCAAAATAAAGTGAGTCACATGAATTTTTTGGTTTCTCAGTGCATATAAAAATCATGTTTACACTATATTATAGTATATAAATGTATAATAGCATTATGTGTAAAAAACAACGTACATACCTTAATTTTAAAAAAAAGCCTTCATGCTAAAAAATGTGAACGATCATCTCAGCCTTTAGTGAGTTGTAATCTTTTTGCTGGTTGTGGGTCAGTCAGTGTGGATGTCTGCTGACTCATCAGGGTGGTGGTTGCTGAAGGTTGGCTTGTCTGTAGCAATTTCTTAAAATAAGACAGCAGTGCAATTTGCCGTATCAGTTGACTCTTCCTTTCATGAAAGGTTTCTCTGTAGCATGTGATTAGGTTTGATAGCATTTTACCCACAATAGAACTACTTCTTTCAAAATTGAGTTTAGTTCTCTCAAACTCTGCTACTGCTTTATCAACTGATTTTATGGAATATTCTAAATCCTTTGTTATCATTTCAACAGTGTTCACAGCATCTTTACAAGGAGCAGGTTCCATCTCAAGAGACTACTTTTTTGCTCATCCATAAGAAGCAAATTCTAATCCAGTCACACTTTATCATAAAATTTCAGCAATTAAAGTCTTATCTTCAGGTTCCACTTCTAATTCTTGTTTTGTGGCTGTTTCCACCCTGCCTGCAGTTCTTTACTCCACGGAAATATTGAAAACTCCTTCAAGTCATCCGTGAGGGTTCAAATAATCTTTTTCCAAACTCCTGTTAATGTTGATATTTTGACTTCCTCCCATGAATCATGATATATTTTTTGTGGGATTTAGAATGATGAATCCTTTCCAGAAGGTTTCAATTGACTTTGCCCAGATTCGTTAGAATAATCACTGTTTATGGCAGCAATAGCTTTAAAAAGTGTATTTCTTAAATAATAAGACTTGAAAGTCAGAATTACTTCTTGACTCATGGGCTGCAGAATGGATATTATATTAGCAAGCATGAAAACAACGTTAATCTCCTTGTACATCTTCACCAGAGCTCTTGGGTGGCCAGGCACATTGTCAATGAGCAGCAGTATTTTGAAAGGGATCTTTTTTTCTGAGCAGTAGGTCCACAGTGGGCTTAAAATGTTCAATAAATCACACTGCAAACAGATGTGCTGTCATCCAGGCATTTGTTGTTCCTTTTCTAGAGCACAGAGTAGAATTAGCATAACTCTTAAGGGCTTGAAGATTTACCAAATGGTCAATGAACATTGGCTTTAAAGTCACCAGCTGCATTAGACCTTAACAGAGTAGTCAACCTGTCCTTTGAATCTTTGAAGCCAGGCACTGATTTCTCCTGTCTAGCTATGAAAGTCCTAAATGGCATCTTCTTCTAATACATTGAAAGAAGATACTGTATATTGTTTCGTCTACATTGAATATCTGTTATTCAGTGTAGCCACCTTCATCAGTTATCTTAACTATTCTGGACAACTTGCTGCAGTTACTATATAAGTACTTGCTTCACTTTGCACTTTAATGTTATAGAGAAGGCTTCTTTTTTTCAACCGTAGGAATCAATGTCTGCTAGCTTCTAACTTTTCTTCTGCAGGTTTCTCACTACTGCCTCTCATCTTCATGGAATTGAAGAGAATTAGGGCTTTTCTCTGGATTAGACTTTGGTTTAAGGGGATGTTGTGGCTGTTTTGATGTTCTGTTTAGACCACACATGCTTTCTTCATATCGGCACTAAGGCTATTTTACTTTCTTAACATTCATGTGTTCATTGGAATAGCACTTTTAATTTTCTTTAGAACTTTTCCTTTGCATTTGCAACTTGGCTTTTTGGTTCAGGAGGCCTAACTTTTTTTTTTTTTTTTTTTGAGACGGAGTCTCACTCAGTCGTCCAGGCTAGAGTGCAGTGGTGCCATCTCGGCTCACTGCAACGTCTGCCTCCCGGGTTCACACCATTCTCCTGCTTCATCCTCCCGAGTAGCTGGGACTACAGGCCCCCGCAACCACACCCGGCTATTTTTTTTTTTTTTTTGTATTTTTAGTAGAGACGGGGTTTCACCGTGTTAGCCAGGATGGTCTCGATCTCCTGACCTCGTGATCGGCCCATCTCAGCCTCCCAAAGTGCTGGGATTACAGGCATGAGCCACCGTGCCCAGCCTGGGAGGCCTAACTTTTGGCCTGTCTTGGCTCTCAATAAAAATAGCTTTTTATTTCAAATGAGAGGCATACGATTCTTTCTTTCAGTTGAACACTAAGAGGCCGTTGTAAGGCCATTAATTGACCTAATTTCAGTATTGTCATATCTCAGGGAATAGGGAGGCCTGAGGAGAGAAGGGGAGAGATGGCAGAATGGCTGATCTGTGGAGCAGTCAGAACACATTCATTGATTAAGTTATCTGCTTTATTGGGTGTGGTTTGTGGTGCCCCAACATAATTATAATAGTAACATCAAAGGCCACTGATCACAGTTCACCATAGCAGATATGATAATAATGAAAACATTTGAAATATTGTGAGAATTATGGTAATGTGACATAGAGACATAAAGTGAGCACATACTGTTGGAAAAAATATTGTATCGCACATATATATGATAGACTTGCTCAACACAGGGTTACCACAAACGTACATTTGTAAAAAAAATGCAGCATCTGCAAAGCACAATAAAACAAAGCTCAATAAAAGTAGGTATGTCAGTATTTGCAGCTTGCTTGTGGAGTTTAATTCTTTTTAGGAAATTAGTTAACAGAAATGAAAAATGACTTGGTTGAGAACTTCCTCCTCTTAAGGTAAAAGTTTGCATTCTGTATTGGGGAAACTGATTTCGTGTCAAAAACATGTGCTAGTTAGCTGTGTGTGGGTATTGTGCTGAATAGGGTGATCATAAACCCAGTTTTCTTGGTACAGTTCCTCTGTTTGCCTGTCATCCTGCCTTATTTTTAGCCCTCATGTATTAGTTTTTTGTAACTTCTGTACAAATTATCACAAATTTAATGGTTTAAAACAACACAAGTTTTTAATTCTATAGTTCTGTAGGTCAGAAGTCCAGTATGAGATGTAGCATGCTAAAGTTCAAATGTCAGAAAATCCGTTTCCTGTGTATTCAGTTTTTTGGCAAAATTCAGTTCCTTGTGATTGCAGGACCCAGGCCCCCATTTTCTTGTTGCCTGTCAACTCAAGGCTGTTCCTAGCTTCTTTTGGGGGCCTATTATTTATGTATAAAGGTGCCACATGTTTTGTAATATGACTACTTACATCACTGTTTTACTTCTTTCTCACTAAAGCTTATTTTTCTCACATTCCTCAGTGTTTAGTAGCAAAGTAACTAGTGAGTCCTGAGTTTGTAGCATCTAAATTTGTATTGCTACTTGTGTTTGACTCTGTCCTTACACTGTTACATGTGAAGAAGAGGAATTAAGACAGACTTTTTTCCTCCCTCTACCTTTAGACTTTATTTTATACTAAAGAATTAACTGGGTATTACATTTATTTAAACAGCTGTTACAGAAACAAATAATTTTACTAGCACAGCTGCCTTTTAATAAAGTATTTGAATGTTTTAATTTCACTTTTTTGAAATTTTTTATTAGATTATACTACATTAATCAAAGACAACAATTATGTATTTTATGTGTATCTAATGGCTAAATTACCATTTATGTCTACTCTTCAACTTAAATTTGTAGTCTGGAATTTCCCCAAAGCACAGAATATAATTTGTATTCAAATGGATTAACTTGTTCTTTGGACAGCCTAAAAAAAAGACCAATTTATGATTTTCTATTCTATATTTTATTTTAATAAGCTAAATAGATATTTGATACTTGCTAATTTATACACACTTGTGTCCTTAATAATCCATCTGCATTTAGATTTAGTAATGCATAAGATAAAACTAATGCTACATACCTCTAAAGTTAATTTCTTTCTTTTCAGTTTACAATGCCAGTTTTACACTCCGTGTGCTGTCAGTGAAAATGTAGGCGGCAGACACAGCACATATTTATTATCACTGAGTTCACTATATCATACAGGAAAAGTATATTAATATGCCATACAGAAAATCTAACACACATAACCACTTAGCATTTTTAAGAACATATCTGACTTATTGGTTAGCTTAAATATCTTTTAGTAGAGTTAGACACCCACGTACAGTGAGTACATTCATATAAGTTATCCTAACAATTCCTAGTGCTGATGAATGAGCATCTCTCTTCTTTGCATATGATGGTAAAGATTATATATTATAAAGCTTTAACCTTTCCATTGGAATTCTAAATCTTGATACAATTAAACCGTTCCCAGGGTTCTTCAGATAGTTACACTCTGGAAAACGTTTTTCTAAAGCCTTATTTTACATTTAAATTTATGTTTCATGTTGGGTCTCTCTTCTTGTAGTTTATGTTGTTATTTTCTGTTTTAGGCCCATGGTGAAGTGGGGGGAGAGGGTGGGGACTTTTCCTGATTTCTGTGAATTCTATGTTCTTCTGTGGGCTCTACCATGCAAATTGGGTGTGTGTATTTTTTTTTTTTTTCCTAAGACAGAGTTTCACTCTTGTTGCCCAGGCTGGAGTGCAGTGGCGTGATCTTGGCTTCACTGCAGCCTCTACCTCCTGGGTTCTAGCAGTTCCCCTGCCCGGCCTCACAAGTAGCTGGGATTACAGGCATCCACCTCCATGCCTGGCTAATTTTTTGTATTTTTAGTAGAGAAGGGGTTTCGCCATGTTGGCCAGGCTGGTCTTAAACTCCTGGTCTCAGGTAATCCACCCTCCTCAGCCTTCCAAAGTGCTGGGATTATAGGTGTGAGCCACCACACCCGGCGGAGTGTGTGTATTTTTAAAAATAGGTACAATACTTGTTAGATTTTTTTTCTCATTGTAATATTTTATAGCATTTAGGAAATATAAAAATATAGTGTATAATTTATATGGATACTGACCTAAACCTGAGAGAGTAGTAATAAGAGCTAATGCAGATGTGAAAAAATACGAAAGTGAATATAATTGATATATAAAGCATAAAAAGCACGTGACAGTGTTTTTCTTTTAATCTTGTATGGGCATTTACTTTGCATGCTGTATGGACTCAGGACTTTTTAAAAGGAAAATGTCCAGCTTTTTCTTTTAGTGAAACAAAACAGTAAGAAATTATATGTTTAAAAGTTTTTGTTTCCTCAGATATTTAGTTTTCGTCTCTCATTTATATCCTAACATAGCCCCTCTCTCTCTCTCTCTCTCAAAAAAAAAAACCCAGAATATTTAAAAATTGTTCTTCCTTGCAGTACATTCTAAGACCCCGCTTGTTTAACAATGTTGGGTAAAGTTTTTGCAAGCACTCTCTTTATGGGCCTGTGTTCTCCTTTTTTGAGTTATTCCTTCTGTACTGGAACTCTCTTATATAGTCATTCCATTTTATTTGACTTTAGTTAATTTCCTCAGGTGTATTTATAGATTTTGTTAGTGTAGTATAATTTTCAGTCTCTGCTCTTTGTTCTTCCCTTCCTTTTCAAGATTTTAAACTATTATGTATTCACAGAGAACTCTAAAATCTATAGCTCTACTTTTAACCTCATTTTTATGTTTCCATCCCTCTGTCCCCTCACAGTGAATGTCTGGAACTGGAAGCATCGTCTTGCCACTGTCTGTCCGCTCCAGTCAGATCCAGCCATTCTTTGTTCCCTCCTGTTATCCTTCAGACTCTTTATCTTAGATCTAAGAATTCCTAGTCTTGTTCTCTCTTACCCATTATATCTCATTAGTCAATGTATTGTCTTAGTAGTTTTTGCTCCTGCCAGTTCTATACCATTCTCAAAAGCCTAGATGACTCCTCTGCAGCCTTATTCCTGGAATACTTTAGAAGTCTCTTAATTTGTACCCTGCTGTCCTCAAATCTGTCCTATGCATTGCCATCAGATTAATCTTCCTAAAGCATTGCTTTTACCCAGACAATCTCCTGCTTAGGAACCTTCATTGGCCCCACTTTGCCTAGAGATTGAAATTTAGACTTTCCAGCCTGGTATTTGAGGTTCTCTCATAAATTTGTCCTAGTTTTTTCCTCCACTGGCCAGTAACAAAAATGCTTTCATTTTTGTCAGGATGGTCCCAACATACTGAGAATGTTTTTACATTGGCATATCCTTCTTCATTTCTCAGTGTTTTGTGTCTTTTCTGCATTTTACTCTATGATGGCCTTTCTACTTTTTTTGTTTTGTCCACCTAAAGCTTAACGTACTTTTTTCCAACTTGCAGCTCTTGTCTTGCCCCCTCTGTGAAGTCTTTCTGCAATGGTTCTACTGTGATTTCACCATCTTCTGAATTCCTGTTTTGCTTTGTTGCTACTCACAAAGCACTTCCTGTTTAGTATTTTGTACTATTACTTGCTTTTGTTTTTCACTTGGGTCTAAGTCCTATGTTGCTGACTGGATTTTAAGTGTTAAGAAAGCAGGGACCATGTTATATTTCTTTGGATCTCTCTTAGCCATGTACAGTTCATTACAAATGCCCACTTATTTTTTTCCCGTAAATCTTAATTGGTTGCCTACACTCAAGCACCATTGATTAAAAAGTTAAACAAGAAAGGTATGGACTCAGCTTTCATGGACTTTATATTCTGGAAGAGAGAGAAAGATGCTCTACAGCTAATTTCTTAATTACCTACTTAGTTATAGTTGAAGAATGTGGTTTGTCATTTTTTTTGACAATCAGAAAACCTAGAAAATTGACCTCTTTTTTCCCCTCTGCTGTCATTGGTATTTATAATTTTTCTTACTTCACTAATAAATTTTGATTAGGGTAAATTATTCTTGAAAGTGTAGGTCTTCAAATGGTCCAACTTAATTCTTTTCTTCTAAATACACATAATGCTATATATCTGGGTAAATTCAGTAGACAACATAATGGAAAGAATGATTAATTGGTGCCCGACATTAAAATAATTTTAGTAAATTTTATGTCATTTATGTGATACGTAAACTCATGTGAAATAGTTAAAAGATAATGAAAATAATTCTAAAAGGAAGATTTTCTAAACTCAAACAACTAGGAATTTTTAGTTAATATACTAAAGCTATCTTCTGTAGGAGAATAAGATTAGATTGAAAGTAGATATGTTATGCATAGATACATTATTTTTTTGCTTCAGGTGTTTTTATCTAGTGGCATGAACAATGTCATATATTTCATAGGCATGATTTTTTGAGGTTGTAATAACCATAGAAAGTTAATGCTGAAAGAATGGCAAAATATGCAGTGAAACTAAAAATTATTGTATTTGCAAATATAAAAACATAATTTACATAAATGTTATAGTTAGGAACATTATGAATGTAAATATGCCTTCTGTATTCTCAGTCTTGTAATGCCATTCTTTGTCCAGTTGGAGATGAAGAGTGATGTTGAGATGGGTGTTTAACCTATTTTAACAGCCTTAAAAAAATTAAATATCGTTGATGTAAATATGAGAAGGGAAGAGAATATTTATCTCCATTAAGTGACATAAAAAACCGTGGTAAGAATAACAGGCAGTGGGTATGCCCTAAGTAGTAAAATCCCTGAATTCAGATGCTAATTATAAGCACAAGGACACTTGCCTCCTACATACTTACATGTATATTTTCTTTAGTCAAAGTGTAATTCAGAGTTCTTGAAGTGCTGAATATGGCCTTTGTTTTTTCATTTCCCTTTAGCATACATATTAAAAAAACAATAAGACACTTCTGCTGGACTGTGATTTTGATGGATATAGGTGGAATATTTAACCAAATGCTATGAAGATAAATTCAAATGTTTGCTCTTGGATTGTCTTTATTGTGTGACTTCCCTGCTTCTTAATATTAAAAAACAAATGTTTAGTAGTAAAGGTAAAATTATTTAAACATATTTGAGCACATTTTACTTGCTTCCGGTGGTTTACCAAGGACTTTAAGGCTTAGATTGTGAAAGGATGTATTAATACTGGTATTAAGAGTATATTTGTTTAGATGATTATGGACTTTAAATTTTATTTTAGACGTTCTCTCTGGCGTCTTGTCATAAAAGTTACGTGTTGTTTTACTTCATTAGCAGTTTTAACATTTTTAAGTATCCGAGAAGAAAAACTTCCTCTGCATTTTGAACAGGGTCTTTCATTGGTGGTTTTGTAACATGTTCTTCAGTTGTTGAGAGGTGTATATAGTACAGATACCCTGTTCTTAGAAAGTAATGAGCTTTTAAGTTGTAGAGTAGTAGGAAAAGTCTAATGGACTTAAATTATTTTAAAATTTGTTTTTAGAAATAGAAGTAAAAGAAAGCCTTTTGTAATCTTGCTATTTTTTTTGTTCTTAGGTATGCCTTTTATTTAGCTTTTAGTAACTTGTAATTTAAGATCACAGTTATTAGGTGTATTTCTGCATTTTATATATCACTCCCAGATGCTACAGTATTAGTTTTTATCACTGCATATTTTATGAAATGTCAGCCTTCTGTTGGCTGTTCACGCAGCATTGTTAGTGATCAAAGACACAACATAAAGGAGAGGAATCTAAACAGTTGGCTTATCTTTGTCCTTCGTTGTGACAAAAATACTCTAAAATTGCTTAATTATAAAAAAATAAAGGCATCATGTAACATGCAAAGAAATAAGTATCTTTGTGTTTTAGTGAAATAAAATCTCAGTGTTTAATATCAAGAAACATAAAGAGAATTACTATCTAATTTTACAAAGTTTTCCTTGTTAAGGAATGAGGGTAATATGTCGTGTGTAATTTTGTAATACTTTGCTAAATGACAGTGCTGTGCCTAGGAAAAGCCACACAGTGTTTGACATCATAAGAGGTTACTCAGTATAAACCCTTAATTTTGTTACACAAAATACGTTCTAGAAAAGTGGTTATTAGCTTTAGTATGTACATTAAGTTGTATATGAATCAGTTTATTAAAATATTTTCTTGAATTGATCTACTTTGTATTTAAAAACTATTTCATAGATTTAAAGATCCTTTTTTTTTTCTTTATTTCAGTGATATCAGTATCAAGATAAAAGTTTGGAATGGGAGAAAAATTCTCAAAGCCTGAAAGAAAATCTGTAAGAATAAAATTCTTGAATGATTTTGATCAGCTGTCATGTATGCCCAACACAGCAGTTGGTTTAATCAATTTTATGTTTTGGGATGGTTTTATTAAAATGAGCTGCTGCTTTCAGTAAATCATTGAGAAAGATGCTGGCTTCATACATGTCTTTTTTGGTTGGGGGCAGGGCCTACAATTGCAGCCTTGTAAGTCAGTACAATTGGAGACAGTTCCTGGCTGCCGTGAAAGTCAGTGTGCTTCTGTGTTGGTATGGGCATTTGGAAAGACAGGTAGAACGAAGATTTAGACTAAAAATGATTTTAGATAATTGTACTTTTATGGCACTCTGCAGGAAACTGCCATTTCTAGTAAAACATAATCATCAGCAGATAATAGGGATTTAAGTGTATCTTCAGTTTTTGTGTACAGTTTCTGTGTTAATGAAAGTTAATTGTTTTCCGATGGAAGAATCAAATCTTCAGAAAGTAGTTTGAAAGACATAGCCATTGGATATGAGTTAGGGGCCTCAACATTTTGTCCTGATACGCATTATACACTTACTATCCAAACTATGGTCTGTACATAGACAGTATTGGTGTTACCTGAGAGCGTCCTAGATACGCAGAATCTGAGACCTAACCCCATACCTACTAAGTCAGAATCTGTGTTTCATCAAAATTTCTAGGTCATTCATATGAATATTAAACTCTGAGAAGCACTGCCATAATTCAGACCTTTCATTTTCTCTGTGTGTATGTGTGTTTTAATTGTGGGGTGCTCATAGTGGAGTTGGTTATCCGTAGTTCAAGAATTGGGAGAGGAAGTGGAAACTCACACCAGAATTTTATTGGGGGCCCAGGAGTAGACAGACAGTTAATTTAGAGCTCATAGGCTTTTGGTCTTTAAGCAATTGCAATTTGAATCAGTAGCTACTTTGTGTATTATGTAGAAAGCTTCATGTCACCCTGGTAGTATTAATCAGGTGTTTTCTTTTGGCCATGGCAGTATCTTCTTATGTTCACAGGTACTTAAGATGTTTTCTGCCAGTCATAGTGTAGTAAACATTTCCAAAGTGTGTTCTATGGTATATTTTTTCCAGGAGATGCTTGGAGTGTAAAGATCCCATGGTCACATAAATCCGGAAAGCACTGAATACTTTGTTTCCCATAAGAGAATCCCATTATATGTTGATGTATTAAAAGACCTGAGAACCTGGTGTAAGTAACTTAGTTCAATTCAGTATTTCCCAAATTTACTAGACTATAGCATCCTTTTTTTTTTTAAGAAAAAAAAAATCTTAATTTTTTTCCTTTAACATGTGCACAAACTGACTTCTTTCCACATTTATTTATCTTACTCAAAATAAGAGATATGGACAACTTCTGAAATTGTGATGTTATACCACATAAAACATACTTTCCAATATTGCTACGCATAAATGGTACTGATAAGACTCTTGTGTACTGAAGGGGCTACACATGCAGACATTTTTGAGGATTGGAGTAACTGAGAAGTCATTTAGAACAGGGGTCCCCAATCCCCTGGTCATGGACTGGGACCGGTCCACAGCCTGTTAGGAATGGGGCCACACAGCAAGAGGTGAATGGTGAGTAGATCAGCAGCAGCATTAGATTCTCATGGGTGTGCAAACCCTGTTACGAATTGTGTATGCGAGGGATCCACATTGCTCATTCCTTATGAGAATCTGATGCCTGATGATCTGAGGTGTAACAGTTTGATTTCGAAACCATCTCTCCCCAGCTCCCTTCCCATTCATGGAAAAACTGTCTTTCACAAAGCCAGTCCCTGGTGCCAAAAAGGTTGGTGACTGCTTAATTAGAAAGTGAGCATAGAACTTATCCCAATCAGATTTGATGGATGAATGAAAGGAAGAAAACTGACTGTTCTTAGTGTTTGCTGGAAAGAGGAAAACCATGAGCAATGGGATAAATTAAACATTTCAGTTGAATAAATGTTTACCAAATTGCTAATAAAGAATAGGCTCTGTACTTGGCCTTGGGCAAACAATAGTGTAAAATATACAGTCTGCCCTCTAGTTGCTTATTGGAGTGAGCATAGTACATTCTGATAAATGTACAAGAGCTAGAATCCAGAACATAGAATTTTCCTTGTGGATTTGTTTAAAAAAAAAAAAAAGTTAGCGAGAATACTATATCATGGAGTGCTAGAGACAGGACACAACTGTAGTGATAGATGTCTCTGGTTAGGGGAAACAGAGGAAAGGACAATTATGGGACAGAATTTCAAAAGGTAAGATTGGGAAGACCAAACAGCTTTAGAAGTCATAGAGCTTTTGGTACTCAAATTGCCCAGGTTTGGTTAGTTGAAGTGCATGACAGTCCTCCATCACATATTTCAGTGCTTCCTTAATTTCTGACAAAAGAAGTTGTTGCAGGATTATCTTTTATCTGTTTTGCCCCAGCTTTGGAAGCAGCCATTTCTCTGAGGAGCTCTGATTGTTTTTAGTGGGAATAATATTAGCGAACAAGATCTTGGCACTAGTGTGTTGATTGCTACTGGGTCTTGGCTTTTAGGCCCTTTTAGAGGACAGAGGTAGGAAATATATAAGCTTTATGTATACACATGCATCTGTATTTATACATATATACACAAATGCATATTGAAAAACATACATGGACACATACATCTGCATTTTTTTTTATTTAGAGATATACCAGTTTCTCTAATTCTAATCCATCCACACAGGTTTCTTGCTTGCTTGCTTCTCATATTTATATGTCCCGTCTTTCACAGTGAGAACCTTGGCTTCCAACAGTATCAACACATTTACTTTTTTGTTCAACTAAATAATAGATCTAAAACAGTTTCAAGATTGGTTAATCATATAAGAAACAAACATACCAAAAAAAGTTTGAAATTTGTTTGAAGTTCTCCCTCCTTTTTGTACTCATTCCTGTGGGTATGTAACCAAATACTGTTCTCATAATTACTTAGTTCTTTCTTTCTTATTCCTTAAGTGTGTTTATGATATTAATTTGAAATATAGTTCACTTGTATTAGTTTTCTTTCAGCTTTTGTGCCCCCTTTCTTTACATCCTTATTGATTTAATTTTTTGAATATATAGGAAATTATTTACTTTTCCAAAAAGTAAAACTGTACAAAAAGGTATACTCAGAAAATTGTCACTCCTTCCTCCCCATTCCACCCCATACTTTGTAGGAAACCAATTTTATTGTTTTCTGGGCTTTACTTATTTTTATAAAGATAACGCAGAGATATTTATGTTGTCTTATTTTTCTTGTTTTTACCTAAAAAGTAGCATATATGTTCTTTTGCAGTTCACTTTTTTCATGTATCAGTATCTCTTGGAAATTACCTCATATAAGTTTGTAGAGATTTTCCTCATTCGTTTTTGCAGGTGCTTACTACTTTGTGTGTGCCGTAGTTTCTTCAACCAATCTCTTATGCTTGCGCATTTAAGTAGTTTCCACTATTTTACAATTACAAATATGCTGCAATGATACTTACTTTCGTAGTTTTACAGGTGTATCTTCAGGGCAAATTCCTGGAAATGGGATTGCTGGTTGAAGGGGCAAATACTAAGCCCGGTGTAGTGGCTTGCCCCTGTAATCCCAGCTACTTGAGAGGATCCCCTGAGCCCAGGAGTTCAAGGCTGCAGTGAGCTATTACACTCCAATCTGGGTGACAGAGTGAGACTTTGTTGCTAACAACAACGGCAAAAAGGTTCAAAGGGCAAATACTTACTTAGTTTTATTAGAATATTGCCCAGTTCCCTGCATGGGGGCTGTAACATTTTGCCTTCCCTGCTGCAGTGTATGAGAGTGCTTGTTTCCCTACAGCCTTGCAAACAGAGTGCATGGTGAAACTTCCATTTTTGCCAAGTGATAGGTGAGAAATGGAATTTTGGGTACATTTAATTTGCATTCATCTTTTATGTGTGGATTTGAATGTCTTTTCATATGTATAAGAGCAACTTTCCATAGGATATTTGGGCTTTCCCCCCAGTTTTAGAAGTTCTTTGTAGGGATATTAGGCATTTATCTGTGATATATGTTGCAAATGTTTCCTTCCAGTTTGTTACCTGTTTTTTGATGTTGCTTCTCATGTATTTTTGTCCTGCGAAATTTTATATCTGTACTTTAGTTCTATTGAGAAAGCGTTTTCTTTTATGAATTCTTAGTTTATAGGAAGAATCCCTCTCTCCTGCTCCCTGCACTTTTAAAAAGTACTTGTAGTTTTCTTATGATTAGATCTCTGATCCATTTGCAGTTTATTTTTATGTATGATATGAGAAACATTGAATTTTATCTTTTTTTCTCGTCTATTGTTTAAAATGACTATAACTGTGCTAATGATTTATTATATCACCTTTACAGATATTAGATTTCTATCTGTAGTGGAATTTATTTCTGGATTTTCTGTTCATTTGCACTGTTCTGCCTGTTCATGTAGCAGTCCTACACTGTTTTCATTATAGCAGCTTTGTAGTATGTTTTAATGCTTGTAGTATGTGTTAATGAGATAGTCCCCTCATATCTATTTATTTTCAGTATTTCCCAGTTTTTCTTGAACTTTTTCCATTTGAACTTCAGTATCAACTTGTCTAACTCCGTAAAAAGCTTTATGATTTGTAAGTTTGTGACCTATTGATGTTGAGATGTTCTAACCAAGGACAGGGTATTTCTTTTTCAGTTGTACAGTCCTACTTTTCTATGTTTTAAGAATGTTTATTTTTCTTTATGTAGGTTTTGAACATTTCTGTTTATTCCTAAATATTTTACTTTTTAAAATTACTATTAAAAAGGGGCTTTCTGAAAAAATTCCATTCCAAGATGGCTGAATAGGAACAGCTCCGGTCTGCAGCTCCAAGTGTGATGAATGCAGAAGACGGGTGATATCTGCATTTCCAACTGAGGTACCTGGTTCATCTCACTGGGACTGGTTGGACAGTGGGTGCAGCCCATGGAGGGTGAGCTGAAGCAAGGCGGGGCATCACCTCAACTGGAAAGTGCAAGGGGTCGAGGATTTCCCTTTCTTAGCCAAGGGAAGCCGTGACAGACTATACCTGGAAAAACGGGACACTCCCACCCAAATACTGTGATTTTCCCATGGCCTTAGTAACCAGCAGACCAGGAGATTCTCTCCCATTCCTGGCTCAGCAGGTCCCATGCCCATGGAGCTTTGCTCACTGCTAGCACAGCAGTCTGAGATCTAACAACGAGGGTGCAGCCTGGCTGGGGGAGGGGCGTCCCCCATTGCTGAGGCTTAAGTAGGAAAACAAAGCAGCCGGGAAGCTCGAACTGGGCAGAGCCCAGTGCAGCTCAGCAAGTTCTATTGCCTCTATAGACTCCACCTCTGTGGGGAGGGCATAGCTGAAGAAAAGGCAGCAGAAACTTCTGTAGACTTAAACGTCCCTGTCTAACAGCTCTGAAGAGAGCAGTGGTTCTCCCAGCACAGCATTTAAGCTCTGAGAATGGACAGACTGCCTACTCAAGTTGGTCCCTGACCCCCATGTAGCCTAACTGGGAGACATCTCCCAGTATGGGCCGACAGACACCTCATACAGGCGGGTGCCCCTCTGGGATGAAGCTTCCAGAGGAAGGATCAGGCAGCAATAATTGCTGTTCTGCAGCCTCCACTGGTGATACCCAGGCAAACAGAGTCTGGAGTGGACCTCCAGCAAACTCCAACAGACCTGCAGCTGAGGGACCTGTTAGAAGGAAAACTAACAAACAGAAAGGAATAGCATCAACACCAACAAAAAGGACATCTACACCAAAACCCCATCTGCAGGTCACCAACATCAAAGACCAAAGGTAGATAAAACCACAAAGATGGGGAGAAACCAGAGCAGAAAAGCTGAAAGTTCTAAAAACTGGAGCGCCTGTTCTCCTCCAAAACATCGCAGCTCCTTGCCAGCAACAGAATAAAGCTGTATGGAGGAAGACTTTGATGAGTTGACAGAAGTAGGCTTCAGAAGGTCAGTAATAACAAACTTCTTTGAGCTAAAGGAGCCATGCTCTAACACATCGCAAGGAAGCTAAAAACCTTGAAAAAAGGTTAGACGAATGGCTAACTAGAATAAACAGCATAGAGAAGACCTTAAATGACCTGATGGAGCTGAAAACCATGGCACGAGAACTTCGTGATGCACGCACAAGCTTCAATAGCAGATTTGATCAAGTGGAAGAAAGGGTATCAGTGATTGAAGATCAAATTAATGAAATAAAGCGAGAAGACAAGTTTAGAGAAGAAAAGAGTAAAAAGAAGCAAACGAAGCCTACAAGAAATATGGGACTGTGTGCAAAGACCAAATCTACGTTTGATTGGTGTACCTGAAGCTGACATGGAGAATGGACCCAAGTTGGAAAACAGTCTTCAGGATATTATCCAGGAGAACTTCCCCAACCTAGCAAGGCAGGCCAACATTCAAATTCAGGAAATACAGAGAACACCACAAAGATACTCCTTGGAAAAATTCTTGAGAAGAGCAACCCCAAGACATATAATTGTCAGATTCACCAAGGTTGAAATGAAGGAAAAAATGTTAAGGGCAGCCAGACAGAAAGGTCGAGTTACCCACAAAGGGGAGCCCATCAGACTAACAGCGGATCTCTCGGCAGAAACCCTATAAGCCAGAAGAGAGTGGGAGCCAATATTCAACATTCTTAAAGAATTTTCAACCCAGAATTTCATATCCAACCAAACTAAGCTTCATAAGTGAAGGAGAAATAAAATCCTTCACAACTAAATGCTGAGAGATTTTGTCATCACCAGGCCTCCCTTACAAGAGCGAGCTCCTGAAGGAAGCAGTAAACATGGAAAGAAACAACGATATGAGCAACTGCAAAAACATGCCAAATTGTAAAAACCATCAATGCTATGAAGAAACTGCATCAATTAACGGGCAAAATAACCAGTGAACATCATAATGACAGGATCAAATTCACACATAACAATATTAACCTTAAATGTAAATGGGCTAAATGCCCCAATTAAAAGACACGGACTGGCAAATTGGATAAAGAGTCAAGACCCATCACTGTGCTGTATTCAGGAGACCCATCTCAGGTGCAGAGACACACATAGGCTAAAAATAAAGGGATGGAGGCAGACCTACCAAGCAAATGGAAAGCAAAAAAAGGCAGGGGTTGCAATCCTAGTCTCTGATAAAACAGACTATAAGCCAATAAAGATCCAAAGAGACAAAGAAGGCCATTACATAATGGTAAAGGGATCAATTCAACAAGAAGAGCTAACTATCCTAAATATATATGCACCCAATACAGGAGCACCCAGTTTCAAAAAGCAAGTCCTTAAAGACCTACAAAGAGACTTAGACTCCCACACAATAATAATGGGAGACTTTAACATTCCACTGTCAGTATTAGACAGATCACCGAGACAGAAGGTTAACAAAGATATCCAGGACTAGAACTCAGCTCTGCACTAATTGGATCTAATAGACATCAATAGAAGTCTCCACCCCAACTCAACAGAATATGCATTCTTCTAAGCACCATATTGTACTTATTCTAAAATTGACCACATAATTGGAAGTAAAGCACTCCTCAGCAAATGTAAAAGAACATAAATCACAACAAGCTGCCTCTCAGACCACAGTGCAATCAAATTAGAACTCAGGATTAAGAAACTCACTCAAAACCGCACAACTACATGGAAACTGAACAATTTGCTCCTGAATGACTACTGGGTAAATAACGAAATGAAGGCAGAAATAAAGATGTTCTTTGAAACCAATGAGAACAAAGACACAACGTACCAGAATCTCTGGGACACATTTAAAGCAGTGTGTAGAGGGAAATTTATAGCTCTAAATGCCCACAAGAGAAAGCAGGAAAGATCTGAAATCGACACCCTAACGTCACAATTAAAAGAACTAGAGAAGCAACAGCAAACAAATTCAAAAGCTAGCAGACGGCAAGAAATAACTAAGATCAGAGAAGAACTGAAGGAGATAGAGACACAAAAAATGCTTCAAAAAATGCAATGAATCCAGGAGCTGGTTTTTTGAAAGGATCAACAAAATTGATAGACCGCTAGCAAGACTAATAAAGAAGAAAAGTGAGAAGAATCAAATAGATGCAGTCAAAAGTGATAAAGGGAATATTATCACTGATCCCACAGAAATACAAACTACCATCAGAGAATACTATAAATATCTCTACGCAAAGCAACTAGAAAATCTAGAAGAAATGGATGAATTCCTGGACACATACACCCTCCTAAGACCAAACGAGGAAGAAGTTGAATCTCTGAATAGAACAATAACAGGCTCTGAAATTGAGGCAATAATGAATAGACTACCAACCAAAAAAAAAGTCCAGGACCAGACGGATTCACAGCTGAATTCTACCAGAGGTACAAAGAGGAGCTGGTACCATTCCTTCTGAAAGTATTCCAATCAATAGAAAAGAGGGAATCCTCCCTAACTCATTTTACAAGGCCAGCATCATTCTGATACCAACACCTGGCAGAGACATAGCAAAAAAAATAGAATTTTAGACCAATATCCCTGATGATCATCGATGCAAAAATCCTCAATAAAATACTGACAAACTGAATCCAGCAGCATATCAAAAAGTTTATCCACCACGATCAGGTCAGCCTCATCCCTGGGTTGCAAGGCTGGTTCAACATACACAAGTCAATAAAAGTAATTCATCACATAAACAGAACTAACAACAAAAACCACATGATTATCTCAATAGATGCAGAAAAGGCCTTCAACAGAATTCAACAGCCCTTCATGCTAAAAACTCTCAATAAACTAGGTATTGATGGAACATATCTCAAAATAATAAGAGGTATTTATGACAGACCCACAGCCAATATCATATTGAATGGGCAAAAACTGGAAGCATTCCCTTTGAAAACCAGCACAAGACAAGGATGCCATCTCTCACCACTCCTATTCAACATAGTGTTGGAAATTCTGGCCAGGGCAATCAGGCAAGAGAAAGAAATAAAGGATATTCAATTAGGAAAAGAGGAAGTCAAATTGTCCCAGTTTGCAGATGACATGATTGTGTATTTAGAATGCCCCATCATCTCAGCCCAAAATCTCCTTAAGCTGATAAGCAACTTCAACAAAGTCTCAGGATACAAAATCAATGTGCAAAAATCACAGGCATTCCTATACACCCGTAACAGACAAACAGCCAAATCATGAGTGAACTCCCATTCACAATCGCTACCAAGGGAATAAAATACCTAGGAATCCAACTTACAAGGGATGTGAAGGATCTCTTCAAGGAGAACTACAAACCACTGCTCAACGAAATAAAAGAGGACAGAAACAAATGGAGGAACATTCTATGCTCATGGATAGGAGGAATCAACATTGTGAAAATGGTCATACTGCCCAGGGTAATTTATAGATTCAATACCATCGCCATCAAGCTACCAATGACTTTCTTCACAGAATTCGCAGAAACTACTTTAAAGTTCATATGGAACCAAAAAAGAGCCCGCATTGCGAAGACAATCGTAAGCGAAGAGAACAAAGCTGGAGGCATCAAGCTACCTGACTTCAAACTATACTACAAGGCTACAGTAACCAAAACAGCATGGTACTTGGTACCAAAACAGATATATGGAGCAATGGAACATAACAGAGGCCTCAGAAATAACACCACACATCTACAACCATCTGATCTTTGACAAACCTGACAAAAACAAGAAATGGGGATAGGATTCTTTATTTAATAAATGGTGCTGAGAAATCTGGCTAGCCATATGTGTAAAGCTGAAACTGGATCCCTTCCTTACCCCTTACACAAAAGTTAATTGAAGATTGATTAAGCAGTTGAATGTTAGACCGAAAACCATAAAAACTCTAGAAAAAACCTAGGGAATACCATTCAGGACATAGGTATGGTCAAGGACTTCATGACTGAAACACCAAAAGCAATGGCAACAAAAGCCAGAATTGACAGATGGGATCTAATTAAACTAAAAAGCTTCTGCATAGCAAAAGAAACTACCATCAGAGTGAACAGGCAACCTACAGAATGGGAGAAAATTTTTACACTCCACCCATCTGACAAAGAGCTAATATCCAGAATCTACAAAGAACTTAAGCAAATTTACAAGAGAAAACCAAACAACCAAATCAAAAAGTGGGCAAAGGATATGAAAAGGCTCTTCTCAAAAGAAGACATTTATGCAGCCAACAGAAACATGAAAAAATACTCACTATCACTGGTCATCAGAGAAATGCAAGTCAAAACCACAGTGAGATACCATCTCATGCCAGTTAGAATGGCGATCATTAAAAAGTCAGGAAACAACAGATGCTGGAGAGGATGTGGAGAAATAGGAACACTTTTACACTGTTGATGGGAGTGTAAATTAGTTCAACCATTGTGGAAGGCAGTGTGGCGATTCCTGAAGGATCTAAAACTAGAAATACTATTTGACCTAGCAATCCCATTACTGGGTATATACCCAAAGGATTGTTAATCATGCTACTATAAAGAAACATAGACACGTATGTTTATTGTGGCACTATTCACGATAGCAGAGACTTGGAACCAACCCAAATGTCCATCAATGATAGACTGTATTAAGAAAATGTGGCCCATATACACCATGGAATACTATGCAGCCATAAACAATGATGAGTTCATGTCCTTTGCAGGGACGTGGATGAAGCTGGAAACCATCATTCTCAGCAAACTATCTCAAGGACAGAAAACCAAACACTGCATGTTCTCACTCATAGGTGGGAATTGAACAATGAGAACACTTGGACACAGGGAAGGGAACATCACACACCGGGGTCTGTTGTGGGGTGAGGGGTTGGGGAAGGGATATCATTAGGAGAAATATGTAATGTAAATGACTTGTTGAGGGGTGCAGCAAACCAACATGGCACATGTATACATATGTAACAAATTTGCATGTTGTGCACATGTACCCTAGAACTTTAATAAAAAAAAAAAAAAAAGAAAAGGGGGCTTTCTCATCCCTTATGTATTCTAATTGTTACTTGTGTATAGAAGTGTAACTGTTTTTTTTTCGTGTTCATTTTGTATCCTGCTACCTTGCTGAATTCTTTTGTTTATTGAGTTTTATTTTCAGTTTTCTAGGATTTCCCAGGTATTCCCTCAGGTCATCTGAAAATAGTTTTATTTCTTCTTTTCTAGTTCTTCTATGTATAATTATTTTCTCTACTAGTTTGTTTATTTTATTTTTTATTTTTTTTGAGATAGAGTATCACTCTTGTCACCCAGGCTTGAGTGAAGTGGTGCGATCTCGGCTCACTGCTACCTCTGCCTCCCGGGTTCAAGGTATTCTCCTGCCTCAGCCTCCCGAGTAGCTGGGATTACAGGCGCATGCCACCATGCCCGACTAATTTTCGTATTTTTTTAGTATAGACGGGGTTTCTCTTTGTTGGCCAGGCTGGTCTCGAACTCCTGACCTCCGGTGATCCACTTGCCTCGGCCTCCAAAATGCTGGGGTTACAGGTATGAGCCACCGCGCCTAGCCTCTACTCATTTTATTTCTTCTTTTCAATTCTTTTTTTTTTTTTTTTTGAGACGGTGTCTTAGTCTGTCACCCAGGCTGGAGTACAGTGGCACAATCATGGCATACTGTAGCCTAGACCCCTGGGGCTCAAGTGATTCTCCCACCTCAGCCTTCCAAGTAACTGGGACTACAGGTACACACCACCACACCCAGCTAATTTTTTTATTTTTTGTAGATAAGGCGTTTCACCATGTTACCCAGGCTGGTCTCCTACTCCTGGGCTCAAGCAGTCTACTCGCTTGGCCTCCCAGTATGCTAGGATTAGGGGTGAGCCACTGTGCCCTGCCTTCTTTTCAATTCTTATTTCTTAATATTTTCAGTGTTCTCTAGCCTAATTTCATCAACAAATAATATTCAGAATAGAGTAGTATTGGGCATCCTTGCATTGTTCCTGAAGTTAGTGTGGATGAATAATGTTTAGTGAGAACTATCAGTGGTAGAAAAGATAGAACTACTTGAGATAATGCATTATTCTTAGCATTTTATAGGCATTATAACATAGAATCCTCCATATCATTTCACTTTCTTTTTACAGGCAACTTTTTTGAAGGACTTATCTCTACTTTGCTACCTTTTCATCTTTATTTTCTCATCTCCCATTGTTACTCCTTATAGGATAGCACTCCACTCTGGTTTCTCAGTTGTCCAAACAGGTGCCAACTAAAGTTGCTATTGAGACTTAAAAATGCTAAATCTAATGGGTCTTTTGTCCCCCCATCTTCATCTTGCTTTTCCTCTTAATATCATTCAGCATTGCTGATCATGCCTTCATCTAAGTATACTTTTCCTTCTTGGCTGCTGTAAACGTCACATTCTTCAGGTTATTTCTTCTTAGTCTTCTCCATTAGTTCTCCCTTCTCTGCTTGACTTCTAACATCGGCATGTTCTAGGCCTCTTCTTTTAAAATTCCATTCTCTCTTCTTTTAAACTCTATTTGTTCTAGATCTTTAAACACATTTGAGGCTTAAAGTATCATCTCTATTACATTTATTCTAAGAGTGACATCTCTAGTCAACACTTGTCTTCTGAGATCAGGATTTATGTCTGCCCATATTCTATCCATTTTCACTTTGAGATGTCAAAGTCACTTTACAATATAAGTTCTAATCCCTCCCCAGACACCTCCCTTTTTTAGTATCATCATATAACCCACTGCATGAGCTAGAAATTTAAGATTCATTTTTGATTTTTCTTTTTTCATTCATCATCATTATCATTATTCACTTCATTATCAAGTTCTGTTGAACTTCTCTCTCCATGCCCTCCAGTTTTCTCTAGTTTTATTGACTTATAGACTGAGATGGAGTTTTGCTCTTGTCGCCCAGGCTGGAGTGCAATGGCATGGTCTCGGCTCACTGCAACCTCTGCCTCCCAGGTTCAAGTCATTCTCCTGCCTCAGCCTCCTAAATAGCTGGGATTACACGCAGCTTGCCCAGCTAATTTTTGTATTTTTAGTAGACATGGGGTTTCACCATTTTGTCCAGGCTGGTCTCGAACTTCTAACCTCAGGTGATCCACTTGCCTCGGCCTCCCAAAGTGCTGCGATTACAGGTGTTAGCCTCCACGTCCGGCCCAATTTTCTCTAGTTTAAAGGAGCGACTTTCTGCTAGAAGAAACATCATGATTTATATGTCTGTATTTATTCTACCAATTATAGCCATCTTTACATAGAGACATACAAGTAAGATTAGAAGTAACCTTAAACTATCTTGTTAAAGATACTGATTGCAAGAATAAGGAATTTGGGTGGTCGCTGAGTGCTTATTAGTAAGAGATCAGATTACTTTTGCAGCACTTAATGAGATTGAAAAAGTGGGAAGAGGCTGGGCGCAGTGGCTCATGCCCGTAATCCCAGCACTTTGAGAGGCTGAGGCAGGCAGATTGCTTGAGGCCAGGAGTTTGAGACTAGCCTGGTCAGCATGGTGAAACCCTGTTTCTACAAAGCATACAAAACAATTAGTCATGCATGGTGGAGCATGCCTGTAGTCCCAGCTACTTGGGAGGCTGAGGTGAGAGGATCACTTGAGTCTGGGAGGTTGAGGTTGCAGTGAACCATAATCACGCCACTGCTCTCCAGCCTGGGCCAAAGAATGAGACTCTACCTCAAAAAGAAAAAGTGGGAAGAGACGCCAGATGAGATGACTAGTTAGGAAGCTAGCAGCTTTAGCAGCTTAGTCAAGAGATATTCAATGCTTATATTTGGATATGATATTGGAAAATGAAAGACACATTTGAGAGATACTATAATGTTACTCGATAAAAATGGGCAACAGCTTGAATCTGAATGTACAGAAGAGAGAATTACTGAAGACTCACAAGATTTCCCCACAAGATGACATATGTAGAGTAAAGGTTTTGGGGAAAGATAATGAGTTGTTTGTTTGAGATACTGAGTATAAGTTGGTGGTATGGAATGTCAGGTAGAGACATTTAGGGAATGATTGGAAGTGGTGAGTGGGTTTCTTCTTCAGTCCTAGTTTCCTCTGATAATATACTGACTGTCCAAGGCTGTGTTGAGAAGTCCTTTTAGGCTGTGTATAGGCAACTGGCAACGTGTCTCTTGGGTGTTGTGTCCTTGCCAGCTGTGGTATGGGTCTTGGGATCCAGGCCAGAACTATAGATAAAAATTTGGGAAACTTCCTCAGAGGATGATAGTTGAAGGCATGAAATTTGAATGGGACTATGAAACTTCTTCCCCAAACCCCCAAAAAAGATAAGGTGAGAAAACAGGTAGCCAAAGATAGAGCTTGGAGAACCCCTATGTGTTCATAAAGTGGTGACATTAGAAAAAGAGTCAGAAGCTGACAGGTCAGGTCGGTGGTTGGAAAGAAAAATTATAGAAACAAGAGGAAGAAAATTTTAGGAAAGAGGTCCTGGTTATTAGGGCTACAGTGTAATCAAGGAGTATAAAGGCTTGGGGAAGGACATTCATCACATTTGAACCATTCAGAGAACATTTTTTGTAATTCTAAAAGGGCAGGAGTTGTATAACAAGGAGTTTGTACTCTTAAGATAATGTTAAAAACAGATGTCCCATACAGAAAGTGAGGATAGTTTTTGACCAGTTAAGTAAGCAGCTAATACTAATATTTTGCTAGACTTTGAAAAAGTTCATAAAATGTGAAATAACTAAATGATAATTTCAAAAAATCCATCTTGGATTGGAAGCAATTAGGGATAGGAAATAAAAAGTATGGTAATTAGGCCCTTTTGAATGGAATGGTGTGCATAAACATGGGAATCTTCTGAAAGCATGTTGTAAAACATTGCAGATTTCCAGATGATTCTGAGATCTAGGAAGCAAAATAGTGGTTAAACAAATGGTAAGGAATAAGTGTAGGAATACCACTGGAGGCTGCAGAGCTGGGTGGGGAGTTGGCAAACTGCTCTCACTTTTGGCAGCTACAAAGTGATACTCTTAAGTAAATTGGGCTGGTTTGCTAAGAATAATGATTTGTGACTGGTTTATGCTGATTCAGGAAAGAAACAGGATATATTGGATATATTTTAGAATCCCCCTGCTCCTCAACCCCCCATGATCTGGCCAAAATGGCAACTAAAAGTTTATTGTAATTACAGAAGCAATTTGGTATAGGAGTAGAAAGCGATGAAAATACAACAGATCTTCTGAGAAGGGAGAAAGAAATGTTATTTCCACTTTTGTCACACGTTAGCATTTAATATATTGTGTAATTCTAATTTTGTGACTCTTAATGAAGAGTTAACCCAACTGAAGAAGACAAATGAAAAGGAAAGGAATAATCATGGATATTAGGGAAAGCAGACATACTAAATGAAAATCAGGAACCTAATTTTTACGTATATATTCACCAAAGCTTCTGAATTATCTTACTAAAGTGCCTATAGATCCTCTTGGGTATCCTAAAGTGACGATCATGTCAGAAAATATGGCAATTTTTTCCCCCTTTTTACTCATTATGTATTTTGTTTCTTTTTTTGATCTTACTGTGCTATCTTGAAGTTTTATTACAGTTGAGTAAAAGTGATGATAATGGGCATCTGTGTCTTACTCTTTTTTGTTTTCGTTTTTGAGACAGAGTCTCGCTCTGTTGTCTGGGCTGGAGTGCAGTGGCAAGAACTCGGCTCACCACAACCTCTACCTCCCAGGTTCAAGCGATCCTCCTGCCTCAGCCCCCCTAGTATCTGGGATTACAGGCACGCGCCACCATGCCTGGTTAATTTTTGTATTTTTAGTAGAGACGGGGTTTCGCAATGTTGGCCAGGCTGGTTTTGAACTGATTAAAGGGCAGTGCTTCTAATGTGTCACCATTGTGTATTATGTTTCCTGTAGAATTTTGGAAAGATACATTTATTTCCCTTGATCACATTAAGGTGGTTTTCTTCTAGTTCTAGTAAAAAGTTTTTTTTTCAATTTAAAAATCATGAGTGGTGTTGAATGTCAGAATAGTTTTTCTGAATCTATTGAAATGATGCTGTAGTTTTGCTCCTAATGGGTTGCCTAAAATGCAGTGTTTTAATAACAGAAAACCTCTAGTAAACTTCAGAAACAAGGAGGACTGTTAATCCTGTTCAACAAGTGAGCAGTTATTTTTCTTTTTGATTACCATAGGTTCTATTCTGGGTACTGTGGCCTATGGTGTGTGTTTGTGTGTTTTTGGGGGGTATTGGCGGGGGCAAGGAATTGCATCTCTTCAGAAGTCAGCAGGAATTATGCTGAATAGGGGACTAAAAGGGCCCATTATGAATTTGCAACTGTACTGAAGCTTTTTTTTTTTTTTCTTTAAGCTCAACCTTGATTTGTTTCCTTCGCAATCTCTGAGAACTGCAGGTTTCAAATACAAAAAGAAAATAACATTTATAGTTAGATCCAGGTGTATTAAGTTACCAGAATGAGGACAGAAAGATTGATAATTTGGATTCAAATTTATGTTGAGTTGGAAGTAAAAGCTGGAGGGAGACTGCAAGCTACCACAGGTCATTATATAAAGCTCTAAAAAGGATTTTATTCCAATTTTATTCACTGCTATATAAGGATATTTTTGTTAATTTTTTTTTGCTGTACACATTAGATATTATTGAGAAAATATTTTAAACTGCAATTTGTATTGATGGATTGTATTACGTTCATCTAATACTACCTTTAATTTCTTGTACATAATGAAGGTTTAACAATTATTTTTGGTAAATGGTCATCTGAGTTTTTAGATCATCTTTATTCTATGAGATGTTATCTGCATACTACTTTCAAAGGAGATATTCTGGAAAATCACTGATTTTAATCTAATAGTTACAGCAGATATATATATCTGGTTAGTTTAAACCATGGCTAATTATTCTCTTTGGTAAAATCGAACTAATTATTGTAAAGGAATTTGATTAAGCCATTTCTTATCATTTTTTTCCTCTCATTATGTTGCAAGACCTATCTTGAGCTGGGATTTTCTGTCTTATCTGAAGCTGTTGGTGTGCATCAGGATCGTTTTTTGGGAGTTTTGATATTATTTACTGGCTTTTGGTTATTTGTTGTTGTTGTTGTTGTTTTTCAGTATAGAAATGACCTCTTTGTCAAAGTGTATAATTTGATCCTAACAAAACAATTTTAAAAACCCATGAACTGAACCTTGTAAAGGTTTAATATTATAAAATGCTATATTTAAGTTTTCTCTCCTGAAGGATATTCTCTCATATTTAATTATATTGAATTAAGCATTTCTTATGCTGCTAATTTTTATTTATATATTCTAAAAATTGTTATAAAAAGTCACCAGTATCATTATTACTTTTCTTTTGCATTATCATTAATTACACTATTCTTGCTTTATATATATTACAGATAGCCAAAGGTTTGAGTAAAAGAAAATAAAAATACTTTCTTTTTTTGGACGGGGTTTCACTCTGTTGCCCAGACTGGAGTGCAGTGCAATCACCGCTCACTGCAGCCTCGCATTCCTGGGTTCAAGCAATCCTCCCAATCCTCCCAGCAGCCTCCTGAATAGCTGGAACCCCAGGCGCATGCCACCATGGATGGCTAATTTTTTAATTTTTTTGTGGAGCTGGTGTCACTCTATGTTGCCCAGGCTAGCCTTGAACTCCCTGGGCTCAAGCGATCCTCCCTCCTTGGCTTCCCAACGTGCCTGATATCACAGGCATGAGCCACTGTACGCAGCCCTAAAATACTTGTGGTGAAAATATTTTTGGTAAAAATTAGACTCTTCTCAGGAGCTTCTGATTGACTTTATCAGGAGAAGGGGAGGTGTGGGCAGTAGAGTAGTCATGAAATGAGAGACCTACTTTATTTGCGTTCTAGTCTATCACAATTTAGACAGGCCAACTTGCAAAATAAATGTGTCTAGAACTAGAGAGCAAGCTTAAATGATTTATTGATTTTTTTCAGAGTATAATACAGAAGTCAGTAATTTGGTGAATGGGTCTTCATCTTTGTATGAAAAAGTCTATTCAATATTATGAAAACATTTATTACACATAACATAAATATAATTTCTGTATTGCATTATTGGATATTAACAAAGTCTTTATTTCCCCCTTAAACTTAGAAGTCT
Organism: Homo sapiens; assembly: GCF_000001405.40. Taxonomy (NCBI): domain Eukaryota; kingdom Metazoa; phylum Chordata; class Mammalia; order Primates; family Hominidae; genus Homo; species Homo sapiens. The sequence goes on along the minus strand of NC_000003.12, from coordinate 17,605,765 downwards.
CATAATATTTGTCGGTCACAATTGAGCATGTTAATATATATGTGTTAATATTTACTGGTATGCTTCCTAAAAATGAAGCATACTTTCCTGATCTTTAATCATAGAAGTAGATAAAATGAAGCTTAGGTGAACTTTGTTTTCCTGCATGATCAAATTTTCTGGTTACTAAAAAAGACTATCCTTTTCCTCTTTTTAAATATTTGTTCCTACTGCCCAAACTCTTTCAAACACAATTTAACGTTTGTGGGATGATTAAATTTGCACTTTAAGTTCTGAAAATCACAGGTGCTGCTGAGCAGCATTCTAGTTGCTAAAAATGCCAGGTTGAACTAGACATTTTTATTACATGTAATTCAACACATTACTTATGACTGAGTTCAGCTAAGATTTGAGGTCCTGAAAAATTGTAGGGTTTTCTGATGTATATGGTCTCTAGGGTATTATAAATTTGCTTGTGTTTGTTTTAATTGTGTGGTTTAGTAAAAGTAGTTAATACTATGTGACTAATACTTATTGTGGCTTAGGAGCTTGACTCCTTTAAAAAAAAACCATGTTGATGAGTCACTCATTCATGCAAAGACAACCTGAGATTGGTGATTGTATGAGTTGGAGAAGGCTTGTCTGTTAGGAAATGCAGCCTAGCTGCTTTGTGAAGAGGAGGTTTTGCTCCAAAGAGAGTTGTTTTTTGTTGAAGAACATTATCCCAGAAGAGAACTGTACCAATGTAAAGATGGATATTTTGGGGATATGGAAGCCTGAGACTAAGTTGAATTCAAAATATCATGGATCTGGCTGGGTGCGGTGGTTCACACGTGCAATCCCAGCACTTTGGGAGGCTGAGGCAGGTGGATCGCTTGAGGCCCGGAGTTGGAGTCCAGCCTGGCCAACATGGTGAAACCCTGTCTCTACTAAAAATACCAAAAATTACCTGGGTGTGGTGGTATGCACCTGTAGTCCCAGGAACTCAGGAGGCTGAGGCATGAGAATTGCTTGAACCCTGGAAGTGGAGGTTGCAGTGAGCACTGAGGTTGCAGTGAGCACTGGGCAACACAGCCAGACTCTGTCTCAAAACCAAACCAAAAAATCATGGTTCTTAGCAAATTGATGGTGAGTAAAGTTATATGTAGTTACATTGTTTCTAGGCACCAAATCTTAATTACGTACAGCTGAAAATAGACTAAGCTACTGAGGGTCAAAATAGAGTATAATCATAGTCAAAAGAAAATATGCGCAATAATTTTGGAAGTTAGGCTTTCAAAAAGGTCTCATATTTGAGAATTAAAATGATTTACCAATCTCTTTCAATTTATATGTAATATATGTGGTAGAGTCTTGTTACCCTCTGAGCTCTGTTTTCTGATAACATTTTTCTTTTGTTATAAGAGCTAGAAGGACTGGTTTAAACTGAATGTTACTGCTCTATTTTCAATGTGAAGGATGTCTAGTCTTCTGTTAAGAGTGATGAGTTCTTCATAAGGAAATTCTGGGATTGCCTTTAAGAAGTACTTAAAGGCACAGTGGCTCCTGCATGTAATCCCAGAACTTTGGGAGGCCGAGGCAGGTAGATCACTTGAACCAAGGAGTTTGAGACTAGCCTGGGCAACATGGTGAAACCCTGTCTCTACAAAAAACAAAACAAAACAAAGAAATTAGCTAGGTATGGTGGTGCTACTTGGGAGGCTGAGGTTTTCACAGGTTGAACCCCAAAATTAGGGTTCAGTCCAGGAGGCCATTTGGGTTCTTGGCTTCATGAAGGAAGGAATTCAAGAATAAGCTGACAGTAAAGTAGAAGCAAGTATATTAAGAAAAGTAAAGGAATAGCGCCGGGCGTGGTGGCTCACGCCTGTAATCCCAGCACTTTGAGAGGGTGAGGCGGGTGGATTGCTTAAGGTCAGGAGTTTGAGACCAGCCTGGCCAACATGGTAAAACCCCATCTCTACTAAAAATACAAAAATTAGCTAGGCGTGGTGCGTGCCTGTAATCCCAGCTACTCGGGAGGTTGAGGCAGAGAGCCAGAGGTTGTAGTGACCCGAGATTGCGCCACTGCACTCCAGCCTGGGCAACAAAGCAAGACTTGGTCCCTCCACCCCGCCGCCGGCAGAATAAAAGCCAGAATAAAAGAATGACTTTGATTCTGGGGGCTGCTGGTTGGCTATTTTTATGGTTGTTTCTCGATCATATGCTAAACAAGCAGTGGGCTATTCATGAGTTTTCCGGGAAAGGGGTGGGGAATTCCGGAACTGAGAGTTCCTCCCCCTTTTAATCATATAGGGTAGATTCCAGATGTTACCATGTCATTTGTAAACTGTCATGGCACTGGTGAGAGTGTCTTTTACCATGCTAATGTATAAGAACCTTAAGGATGACCAGAGGTTGCTTTCGTTGCCATCTTGGTTTTTGTGCGTTCTTCTGGCTGCTTTACGCATCTCATTTTACCAGTGGGGTCTTTGTGATTTGTACCTTGTAAAACCAGTCCTGCCAAACTCCTGTCTCATCATGAGAGAATCAGTTGAGCCAAGGAGGTTGAGGCTGCAGTGAGCTGTAATCATATCACCACACTCCAGCCTGGGTGACAGAGCAAGACCCTGTCTCAAAAAAAAAAAAAAAAAACCAAAAAACTTAAAGAATCTTTTTGGAACTCTTCCTGTTTACACCTATTTTCTTTGGAGAGAGGATGGAGATAGTCCACAGATCTGAATTTTCTAGGGAAGTTTGCTATTATTTAATGTTAGTATGCTAATTTGGTACTTGAAGACTTACTTAGGCATTTGTCTGTGTTCATTCCACATTTATACTAGTGAGGCTCAGGATGTATTTTGGTTCCGTCTGGCCAACCTGCACACTGGCTTTAAGGATTTAAGTGAGGAATGCCATTAAAAAATCTGATTGTCGGCCGGGCACGGTGGCTCATGCCTGTAATCCCAGCACTTTGGGAGGCCAAGGTGGGTGGATCACGAGGTCAGGAGATCGAGACCATCCTGTGGCTAACAAGGTGAAACCCTGTCCCTACTAAAAATACAAAAAAATTAGCTGGGTGTGGTGGCGGGCGCCTGTAGTCTCGGCTACTTGGGAGGCTGAGACAGGAGAATGGCACGAACCCAGGAGGTGGAGCTTGCAGTGAGCCGAGATTGCGCCACTGCACTCCAGCCTGGGCAACAGAAAGAGACTCCGTCTCAAAAAAAAAAAAAAAAAAAAAAAAAAAAATCTGATTCTCTCGTATTATGGCATAATCAAGAGTAACATTTTGAAAAAAGTCTAGGAGTTGTCATTTAGAATGTTTAATCTTAATGCTCATCACATTGACTGAAGCACAGAGCTTAGCTATCTACATTTTCAGAGAGAGCTTTCTTTTAGTACTGAGCACCAGGGATCGTGTATTTCGGAGTGAAGATAAGTCAGAGGAAATCAATGTCTGAGCTCCATGAATCACACATTTCAATGTTATGAGCGCATGGGTATAGAAGACACGAACTTCAGGTTTCCAAGGTATTCCATTGAGACAGATAAGGGAGTCACTTTAATTCACCACATGGGTTTTGATACACATTACTGATAGGTATACTTAAAGGCATTGTCGTGTTGTATAAAGGTTATGGGTTGTGGAATATCACAAACCTGAGTTAATACCACTTATTGGCCGGGCGCAATGGCTTACGCCTGTAATACCAGTACTTTGGGAGGCCGAGGTGGGCGGATCACGAGGTCAGGGGATTGAGACCATCCTGGTTAACACGGTGAAACCCCATCTCTACTAAAAATACAAAAAAAATTAGCCAGGCGTGGTGGCAGGCGCCTATAGTCCCAGCTACTCAGGAGGCTGAGACAGGAGAATGGCGTGAACCTGGGAGACGGAGCTTGCAGTGAGCCGAGATCGCGCCACTGCACTCCAGCCTGGGCAACAGAGCGAGACTCGGTCTCAAAAAATAAAAAATAAAAAAAACCCACTTATTAACTGTGTGATATTAAATAAGTTAGTTTACTTAACAATGCCTACATTTCTTCATCTGTATAAGTGGGAATAATGTTAATAATAACGTGGGGTTTTCCCCTACAGAGAGTTGTATGGGAATTAAATGAAATGACAAGTTTCTAAAAACAAAAAGTGGAGTCTAGGATATCTTCCTCCACCCTCACTCATCCCAACCCCAGGTATCATGGGCTAAGGAATTAATCTCATTAGGCATTGCTCACAAGGGCAGTTATAAGTTTAAAAGTTCATTTTAAATATTGGTAGTCTTCTGTTTGTTTGATTTTGAGACGGAGTTTCGCTCTTGTTGCCCAGGCTGGAGTGCAATGGCGCAATCTCGGCTCACCACAACCTCCGCCTCCCGGATTCAAGCGATTCTCCTGCCTCAGCCTCTGGAGTAGCTGGGATTACAGGCATGTGCCACCACGCCCGGCTAATTTTGTATTTTTTAGTAGAGACGGGGTTTCCCCATGTTGGTCAGGCTGGTCATGAACTCCCGACCTCAGGTGATCCACCCGCCTGGGCCTCCCAAAGTGCTGGGATTACAGGCATGAGCCACTGCACCCGGCCCATATTGGTAGTCTTTAGATGAGGGCATTTCTGAATGTTTCAGTGAAAGGTAGTTGTTATTTCAATGACTATATAGGCTACCATGTTTAAAAGCAGCAACAGTTTTAGAATAGGTGACCAATCTTCAAGGCATTTTTCCTTCCAGCATGTGTTTAGGAGATGGCCCAGAATTTATTCACTTATGGGTGGTCCTGTAGGGAGGACTGGGAAGGCTATTATTCTAAGTAGGATTATCAGTCTTCTTGAAATTCATCCTTGTAGAAGCATGGTAGTTAACCATGAATTTACTATCACTTCCTTATTCTGTTAACTTGGATAAGAGAATAAAATGTAAAGACAAACACGAAATATTTCAAGGATTATTTTAAAAAAAGATTGACTTTGGGCAGTTTTTTTCCCCCGCCCGGTCTTTCAAATGTCCTAAGGGCTAGGTGCCTTATTTTGGCTTCTGCTCTTGGAGAGTAATAACCAACTGACTTAGAGCTTTTACTGAATTTCCAGAATCCAAAATAGAAAATATTAAACTTAAAGAAAAAAAGTTATGACCCCTTTTGGTTAGAAAACCAAAAGTCTTGTCATATGACATCATTTTTATAATTTCCCTCTCATTTCATTTTACTGCTTTATAATAGTTTAACCTCATCGAACATTTTTCTTATGGAATTTTGAATATTATTATTTTTAAACATTTTACTGCGATGAGACCATAGTAATAATCTTGCATGGAATCTTTAAATATTTTAAAGGTGTTTTTGAAGAATACCTTTAAAAATTATCCTTAGTAGCAAAAAATGACATTAGCAATATGAATTAATTCACTGCTGATTTATTGAGCTAGCAGACAGACTGAAACACTAGCATTAATAAATACATGTGACCTTCATGTATATATTTTACTAGTTTGTTAGAAACCTACTAAACAAGTAATCAAAATGCAAACCTGACAATTCAGTTGGTTTATATACACCTATCACCTCCGTTATTAACATAACATAACATAACATAACATAACATATTATATGAATCATAGAGATCACAACTTGACAACTTCTAAGAGAGCGTATTCATTTGGAGATATGTCTAGGTTTGAAATGCTGTTTAGAACCAAGGGGACTTTCTCAAAATCTCAAAATACCTGTGGAATTAGTGGTAAGATCTATTTTCTCAGCTTCAGTTTAGTCAGAGAATTCAAATTATTTACCGTTATAAAAGTTAGCAAAATTAGAATTGATATCATTCACTCATTCCTTTATCTTTAACATACCTTAATTGGGGTGCAAGATACTGAGGTAGGTTTTGGGGACATATAGTATCCTGCTTTTTTTCCCTGATCAACCTTTTCCCCATCCCCCTCATTTCCCTTTTATACCTTTTGAGATGGGAAAGTTCCCTTGACCCCTAGGCAGGACTTTAGACAGGGGTGTGGCTTGCTTACTTGGCCGCCACCTTGCTCAGACCCCTTGCAGGAGGGGGAGCATGCAGGTGATCGAGAGCCAGAGCTGGAGTGAGCACTTTTGGGCTCCTCTTGACCCATGACAGGTCTAGGGGTGTGTTACAATTAATACTGTCTTTGCAGTTGCCATCCGTAGATGGCTAAGTGTTAACCAGCTCAATGGAAAGTCAGGGTGGCAGCATTTTATACACTGCCTTCTTTGTACCCGGGTTCTTGTTCGGCATCCAGGAAGAATCAAGTCATATGGACTTGAAGGATGCGGAGATTTTATTGAGTGATGGAGGTGGCTCTCAGTGGAATGGGGAGCTGGAAAGGGGATGGGTTGGGAAGATAATCTTCCCGTGGAGTTCAACCGCCCCCAGCCAAACTCTGATCATCCCCAACCGAACTCCTCTCGACCTTCAGGTGCTTATTCTCTTCTCTCCTCCTCTGCTGCGCCTCTCTGCTCTTGTGTCAGTGGAGTTTGGGGGGTTTTATGGGTACATGATGGGTGTGTGGTGGGCCAGGGTGGTTTTGGAAAAAGCAACATTTGGGCGGGGAAACAGGGATAACTTTTCATTTGGGGCTGTGGTTTCCAGGCTTGAGGGTGGGGCCTTTGTGGGGGAACATCCCCCTTTTACCTAGTACTTCCCTGCCTCCTGTCTGTATCACTTTCATGGCACAAATAACCTTCCTAATGCCTAGATTAGAAACCTTGGAAATTTACTAAACTTACTTTTGTTATTTCTCTATGTACTACCATTTCTCTGTTCTTTTGTTTCTCAGTCCTCCATAGCCACAATTCTAGTTTGGTTATTGGTACTGTACCTGACCCTTAAAGCTATGTTTCTCACTAAGTTCCTGATAATTATCCAACCATTTTGAAATCCAGTTTAGATTTCCTTTATTTTTTGTGTGAGGGAGCTAATAGGCAGTGAGCTCAATAAAGGAAGTGTGGTAGTAAAGTAAGTGATGGAAAGTGATAAGCCAAAAGCAGAAAAGATATATCTAAATTACTGAGTCATTTGAAGAGCTAACTTACCTGTTTTGTCTCTGGTTTTAAATAGTGTTGCCCTCTTATTTTCTAAGAAGTAAAGCATCCTCAGAATTCCAGAATGATTTGGGACAGTGACTACTTTTCATTGGTTTTCTTGCAGCACAAACAGTTTTGGTTTGGTTTGAGTTTTTCTTTTTGCAGTTTGAAGAAAATGGATTACAGTGTGTATTGGATAAAAGGTGACAGACAGGTGATATTATAAAAAGGGAATAGATTTAAAAAAAAGAACTCTGAAACAAATGTTATAATATAAGGAGTAGTTAATGAGATGCAGAATAAGAAGTCTGGAACTGAGAATTTAGAATATAAAACAAAGTTATGAACAGTGCTTAAAGTTTCCAGCCCATTTAATCCAAAATAATTTCTTCAAAAATCTTGTTTTTATCTTAGTTCCAAGGACATACTTACAAGAAGAGAATCCTTTAATATAAAATATACTTGTCTTTTTATTGTGTTGTGAAGAAGTCAGTTTTGAAAACTCCCATGCCTTATGCCTACCACAGGAAATGAACAAAGACTAATGTAAGCTTAAGGGAATTTTTCATCTCTTGGAGTCAAGTTGAATCTGCAGCTTCTTTAGGGAAACCGTAGTTCCTGAAATTTTCTCACTTCTCAGACAATTTGACTGGTCTTTAAGATAGGAATAAACCTCAAGTGCCCAAAGCAATTCTAAGAATTGACCCAGCCTCTTTTGGCCCATTTAGATAGAGTGATGGGCTGGGGTTGGGGGGCGGGGGGGCAGGGAATGGCTACCTTATTTCTTATTTTAAGCTAAATTGAACTTGGTATCCAGAGCTTGAGCCTATATGGAACCAGGATATATAGAAGAGAGGTTACCTAGTTGGCATCAGGAGTAATACGGGAAGATACAATGTTTGAATTTCAAAAAAATTCTCGTTTTACATTATACATGCATTAGTTTTTGTTCTGCATGGAGCTTAGGGTAGTGTGGGATCTAATTTAGTACCAACTATGGTTAGTGGAAAATGACTGTGAGTATTTGGGACAAAAATATGTTATATACTAATATGAGATTAAGAGTCATTTTGGAAGTTATGTTTTAATTATTAGAACACCTTGGAAGCATTTCATTTAACATAAAAACCAGAGGGACAGACTTATGTCATTACTTTGGGGATATTTGGCTGTATAAAAGTTTATAAAGTTGAAGAAATTTCATGAACAGAGTGGGTAATGATAATGTAAACCAAGTTTCCCATAGTTACAATTCCTTTTAAATCAGTATAGCATGGTGTAATGGTTAAGACTAAATGGATACTGGGGTCAGATTGCTTGGGTTCAAATCCCAGCTTTACCATTTGTTAGTTATAAGATCTTGGGCAAGTTAGTGTTTCTGAGTTTCTCTTATCTGTTTTTCTGGGGGAGGAGACAGGGAGGAAGGGTAGGCATTAAATGAGATACTCCATATAAATATCAATATCATAGTAAGCACTCAATAGATGTTCTTTTTACTAAAGTCCATTTTCAAGGAACTTTTACTATCTTTGGCCTTTTATTCCCTAGCACGGTCATGATGTAAGTCATAGGGTAAAAGCAAACAAATAAACTTGAGTGGGTATCTTTGTTTTTAGAAGAATACAAGGAAATACTACGCAATAATTTAAAAACTACAGCTGCCTACATATAACTTCACAGATAAGCCTTGAAAGAATCATATCATCTTAAAATTTCAAAATTAAAAAATAAGTTCTGTTAACCTTGGGTGAAAGTTTAGAGTTTTATAATTTATTAGAATCTGTAAGTCACCAGAACATTATTGCCAGACCTGACTTAGTGTGCCAATAGATCAGGTTAATGGGAGCTGTCGGGTCATCAGTGTTCCATAGTGACAGTTGTAGTTCATGCAGAAGGGAAAGTGGACATCCTTTTAATATTTTGAGTGATTGGCAGTGTTGGGGAGTATGGTAGACATTTTCTGTCCTGAATACTGCTTTGGTACCAGTGTATGTTAGTGCCCATTGGTGTCACCAAGCAGGGCTATATGTAAGCTTTTATTCTTTTTTTTTTTTTTTTTTTTTGAGATGGAGTCTCTCATTGTTGCCTGGTCTGGAGGGCAAATCTGCTCACTGCAACCTCCGCCTCCTGGGTTCAAGCCATTATCCACCTGGTGTGGTGGCTCATGCTTGTAATCCCAACACTTTGGGAGGCCAAGGTGGGCGGATCACGAGGTCAGGAGTTCAAGACCAGCCTAGCCAACATGGTGAAACCCTGTCTCTACTAAAAATACAAAAAATTACCTGGGTGTGGTGGTGGGCATCTGTAATCCCAGCTACTTGGGAGACTGAGGCAGGAGAATTGCTTGAACCCGGGAGGCAGAGGTTGCAGTGAGCCCAAATTGCGCGACTGCACTCCAGCCTGGGCGACTGCGAGACTGTGTCTCCGGAAAAAAAAAAAAAAAAAAAAGGAAAGCTGGAAAAATATTATCTTCCACTAACGCATCAGAATATTTGGGAGAATCTGATTGTGAATCTCCATTTTAATAAGCTTCTCAAGTGATTGTTAATATGCACACTAAAGTTTTAGGACCACTGCTGAATTCCCTACTGATGGTTTTTAGGCTATTGGCCTCTGACTTTTCTGATGGAACCCCTTTTTTTCCACATGGGGAAAGGATGGAAGTAAGCTGTTCCTAATGACCTGCCATTCTCTATACCATGAAATTTTCAAAGCTTACAGGTCAGCCTTAGAACAATGAGATCTGTGAATAGCCTTCTGCTCTAAGTCTTTCCTCAGCTGGCACTCCTATGGTAGAGGAACATGTGACATTAATAGTGATGCACAACCCTATGTATCGTGTCAGAATCTTCACTTAACATTTTCAAAAATGTTAACACTTCTAGCAAGGTAGGTATTACTGGTGAGGAAATACTGCCAGTAGGAAGTACTGGCCAGGATTGTAACTAAGATTGATTTATTTTAAAGCTCAGACTCTTGACACTACACATGCCGTCCTACTTTTTAGTGGAAAGGGCTTGGGGTGTGGGTTCAGGGAGCCTTAAATTGGAAGTATGACTTTTATCACTTGCTTTTCTAATGACTTTACACTTCCATAACTTCAGTGTCCTCATCTGAAAAATGGGCTTGATAATTCTTACATTTTAAGATTACTGTGAAGATTGATGACCTAAAGCATATTTTTAGAATGCTTAGTATAGCTCTATCCCAGAGTAGGCATTTCAATAAATGGTAACTCTTATTCAGCATTTAAGATAAGACATAGAATGCAAATATGCCCCATGGAGTTAACCAATTTTAGGCTAAATGAGTTTCCCAGACTATAAAATATCATATGCTTTTTTGTTGTGGTATGATAGCTAGAAACTAGGAAGTTATTGGATGTGTGAAGAGATTTTCCTTTGGGAAGAGAATGTGGGCCTCCATTTTTATTAAACTACCCATATCCTGGCAAATTCTAAATTTATTTCTAACCCAGTGTATTCGGGTTCTCTAGAGGGACAGAACTAATGGAATAAATATATATATAAAGGGGAGGTTTTTAAGTGTTAACTGAAATGATCACAAGGTCCCACAATAGGCTGCTTGCAGGCTGAGGAGCAAGAAGAGCTAGTTTGAGTTCTAAAACCAAGAACTTGGAGTCCGATGTTCAAGGGCAAGAAGCATCTAGCACGAGAGAAAGATGTAGGCTGGGAGGCTAGGCCAGTCTCTCTTTTTACACTTTTCTGCCTGCTTATATTCTAGCTGTGCTGGCAGCTGATTAGATTGTGCCCACCCAGATTAAGGGTGGGTCTGCCTTTCCCAGCCCACTGCCTCAAATGGTAATCTCCTTTGGCAGCACCCTTGCAGACACACCCAGGATCAATACTTTGTATCCTTCATTTTAATCAAGTTGACACTCCGTATTAACCATCACACGTCCACCCCTTGTCAATTGGAACCCATTCGCATCTCCTGAGATCATACATAATCCTTAAATAAAGATGATAATAAGGTCATAATTACACCTAACATAATACAACTATCCTTTGTACAACTGGAAATGCACCAATCCCCAACCCAAATACTATTACATATAGTTAACATTACTTAAATGCTGATATGAAGTCGGTAAATCTATGTCATGTGATAAAGGAGAAAGGAAATGAAGGTATTTTCTTAGTACAAGTGTATACATGCACAAACATGTTTCTAACAGAAGGAGGAAATATTCATGACAATTACAGTCCATGTTTCTACAGCTGGTCACTGTAGCTGGTATTGATTCTGTAGCTGGTATTGATGACTACCTTTTACTACTACCTATTCTGTATTCCCTTTGCCTTCAGCAAGCACCTCAACAGGTTGTGGTTTTTTTCCTGGTGGAGTGACCCAGACCTTCATTCCTAAGGGTTCTGGACCGTTTGTAGTCCTGCCTGGATTGAGCTGTTTCCCATTGACCTTAATCACAAGGCATGGTAATACTAAGAGACGCCCTAATGGATTTCCTGTATTCCATGCACACTCTTCCTTTCCTCTGTTGTGGAGTAGTACACTGATTTCATCTTGATAGTCCAGGTCATTCACCCCAGCCAACACTATAACTCCTTTCTTAGCCTGTTGGCTTAAAGGTAGGAGGTGCCCAAAGTGTCCAGGTGGCAATCTTAACTTCCAATTTAATGGAATCATTGTTGTGTCTCCTGGTGCCATCGTTCCTACCTCTGGAACTATGATTTCTAGGCCAGCAGAACTTAATGTCATGAGAACAGGAAGCAAAAATTTTGCTAGTGGATCACTAGGGGTGATTGGTGAGTGGTGCCACTTCCACTTCCACCCTTTGATTCCTAGAGCCGTGAATCATGGCTATGGGAGAAACAGTACCATATATTAGACGCCGATTCAGAGCATACACAGCCTTCTGGAGAACTTTGCCCAAGCCTTGCAAAGTATTGTCACCTAGTTGGCGTTGTAATTGTGACTTCAAAAGGCCATTCCACTGTTCTATCAATCTAGCTGCTTTAGGATGATGGGGAACATAGGAAGACCAGTGAATTCCATGAGCATAAGCCCACCGCTGCACTTCTTTAGCTGTAAAATGAGTGCCTTGGTCAGAGGGTGCTGTGTGGAATACCATGACAGTGGATAAGGCATTCCATGAGTACATGGGTGCTAGTCTTGGCAGAAGCATTGCGTGCAGGATAGGCAAACCCATAAGCGGAGTAAGTGTCTGTTCCAGTGAGGACAAACCTCTGCCCTTTCCATCGTGGAACAGGTCCAGTATAATCAACCTGTCACCAGGTAGCTGGCTGATCACCCTGAGAAATGGTGCCATATCGAGGGCTCAGTGTTGGTCTCTGCTGCTGGCAAATTGGGCACTCAGCAGTGGCCGTAGCCAGGTCAGCCTTGGTGAGTGGAAGTCCATGTTATTGAGCCCGTGTGTAACCTCCATCCCTGCCACCATGACCACTTTGTTCATGGGCCCATTGGGTGATGACAGGGGCAGCTGGGGAAAGAGGCTGAGTGTTGTCCACAGAAAGGGTCATCTTAGCCACTTGATTATTAAAATCCTCCTCTGCTGAGGTCACCTAATCTTCTATTCCTCTGTCAACTGATCATAGGGAACTCCCCATGAGGTCATCGGTGCAAACTGAGGGAGAGAAGGCAGGGTGGCAGGATCGGAGAACATGGGCATTTGAGCTACTTCCTCATGTAACTTACTTGTGCCTTCAGGACCTGCTTGAGTCCGATCATGTGTATACCACTTGGATTTGATGATATAATGCTTCTGTGCACGACCCACTTTATGGCTAGATGAGTCAGAAAGCACCCAGTTCACAATAGGCAGTTCAGGTAGCATGGTGACTTGATGACCCATAGTCAAACATTCAGTTTCCACAAAAGCCTAGTAACAGGCCAAAAGCTGTCTCTCAAAAGGAGAGTAGTTATCTACAGAAGATGGCAGGGCCTTGCTCCAAAATCCTAGAGGGCTCCACTGTGATTCACCTGTGGGAGCCTGCTAAAGGCTCCAAATAGCATCTCTATCTGCCACTGACACCTCAAGGACCACTGGATCTGCTGGGTCATATGGCCCAAGTGGCAGAGCAGCTTGCACAATAGCTCGGACTTGTTGCAGAGCCTTCTCCTGTTCTGGACCCCATTCAAAACTGGCAGCCTTTCAGGTCACTTGACAAATGAGCTGGAGTAACAAACCCAGATGAGGAATGTATTGCCTCCAAAATCCAAATAGATCCACTAGGTGTTGTGCCTCTTTCTTGTTTGTAGGAGGTGCCAAATGCCGCAACTTATCCTTCACCTTAGAAGATAAGCCTTTGGATCTCCACAGGCCCCACAGCATTGGACCCCTAGAAATTTTACTGAAGTAGAAAGTCCCTGAATTTTAGTCACATTTACTTCCCATCCTCTGACACGCAAATGTCTCACCAATAAGTCCAGTGTGTTTGCTACTTCTTTCTCGCTGGATCCAGTGAGCATAATGTCATCAATGTAATGGACCAGTATGATATCTTACGGAAGCAAAAAGCTGTCGAAATCTCTCCGAATAAGATTATGACATAAAGCTGGAGAGTTGATATACCCCTGAGTATATCAGGACAATAAAGGTATATTGCTGGCCTTGCCAGCTGAAGGTAAATTGCTTCTGGTGGGCCTTATGGACAGGAATGGAGAAAAAGGCATTTGCCAGGTCAATGGCTGCATACCATGTACCAGGAGATGTGTTAATTTGCTCAAGCAATGAAACCACATCTGGTACAGCAGCTGCATTTGGAGCCACTACTTGGTTAAGCTTACGATAATCTACTGTCATTCTCCAAGATCTATTTGTCTTCTGCATAGGCCAAATAGGAGAGTTGAATGGGGATGTAGTGGGAATCACCACCCCTGTGTCTTTGAAGTCCTTGATGATGGCAGTAATCTCTGCAATCCCTCCAAGGATTCAATATTATTTTTGTTTACTATTTTTCTAGGTAGAGGCAGCTCTAATGGCTTCCATTTGGCCTTTCCCACCATAATAGCCCTCACTATACCAGTCAGCCAATGTGGGGGTTCAGCCAGCTGCTAAGTTTACCTATGCCAATTATGCATTCCAGCACTGGGGAAATGACCATTGGCTGAGTCAGGGGACCCACTGGACCCACTGTAGGTCGGACTTGAGCTGAAACTCCAATAATTACTTGACCTCCATAAGCCCCTACTTTAACTGGAGGACCACAATGAAGTTTTGGGTCCCTGGAATCAATGTGAGCTCAGAGCCAGTGTCCAGTAGTCCCCCGAAATGTCTGATCATTTCTCTTTCCCCAGTGCACAGTTACCCTGGTAAAAGGCTGGAGGTCTCCTTGGGGAAGGATTTGAGAAAGATTCACTGCATAAATTGTCGGTAATATAGTGGGGTCCTTCCTCAAAGGGACCTGGCCTTGCTTTCATTCAAGAGTTTCTGGATCTGTAAACTATCTCAAGCCTGGAAATTAATTGAGGGGCCATGATTCTCTGGGGTTTTTGTTTTTTTTTTTTTTTTTTTTTTTTTTTTTTTTTGACAGATCCTTTCTTTGTAGCCCAGTCTGGAGTACAGTGGCGCAATCTCGGCTCACTGCAAGCTCTGCCTCCTGGGTTCACGCCATTCTCCTGCCTCAGCCTCCTGAGTAGCTGGGACTACAGGCGCCCGCCACCACACCTGGCTAATTTTTTGTATTTTTAGTAGAGACGGAGTTTCACCGTGTTAGCCAGGATGGCTGTCTCCTGACCTCGTGATCTGCCTGTCTCAGCCTTCCAAAGTGATGGGATTACAGGTGTGAGCCACTGTGCCTGGCCCGATTCTCTGTTTTTATGATTCAAATTAGTCTTTTGCCCATTTGACCTAGAAGTTTTCTGCTTGTGTAAATTAGGTAGGAATGCAGTAGGCTTCCTATCACTTTCGCTTCTAGGAACACCATGATTAATTAGTCAATGCCAAAGCTCTACGTGAATCAGACTATTCTGATTGCTGCTTTGCCACTGCTGTCTATTATGGTAGCTATGCCCACCTTGCCTTTGACAGTTTTGTGTTGCCACTTGGCCCCTGCCACCTCGGGATCCAACTGTTCCCATCGTATTTAAATATTTGTAGTTGAGTGACTGCGGTTCCCACTGTTAGATCTGACTTGTAGAGAAGAGCAATTATAGGGCTCTTGAAAGATGCAGGTGCTGCCCTCACAAATCTGTTTGCAAGGCATTGGTCAAGGGTGTATCTTCTGGACCCTCCCAGTTGGGATGAGTAGATCTAAAGTGACTAATCCATTCCACCATCCCAATCTTCCTAAGCCTTTGGATTCCTTCCTCTACATTAAACCAAGGGAGATCAGGTATTTCCAATTTGCTCATAGTGTGCCATCTTTTAATCCGTATTTCAGCCAACCAAGCAAATAAACCACTAGAACCTGTTTTAACTCCTCTAGCTGCAACACTAAATGCAGAGTCCCTACTTAGTGGGCCCAAATCAATAAATTCAGCCTGATCTAACTCTGTGTTCCTTCCACCATTATCCTACACCCTTAATGTACATTCCCATGCCTGTTCTCCAGATTTCTGTTTATATAAACTGGAAAACTCAAACAGTTCTTTTTGAGTGTAGCATACTTCCTCATGGGTCACACTCTCAACCTCACCTCTGGGGCCCGCTGGGACTTTAGTCTAGTTATAGGTCTAGAAACAAACAGGAATGTTGTAGGGGGGAGTGGGTGCTGATCTCACAGCTGCTTTTGGACCTTTGCACTTGCTGTGCCCCATACTGGAATACTTCCCATACCTTTCAGATCCCATTTCAAACTGATCTCTGGGCTATATCACATCTCCTTTTATAAAATCTTATGGCTCCTTCTCCCCATATTTTAAAATAGCATTTATCGGTTTGCAGGTAGGTATTCACATGGTTATTGGATGCTGTCTCCCCAAGTAAAATATAAGTTCTATGAGGGCAGAGACAATTTCAGTGCTTACAAAGGTTTAGAATGGACAACATTCTAAACCTGACAGTAGACAACAAATATTAAATGACTGAAATGCCTGATGGGGCAATTAAAATACGAAGTGATTAATTCTAAAATGTGTTAGTCTGTTTTCACACTGCTGATAAAGACATACCCAAGACTGGACGATTTACAAAAAGCGAGATTTATTGTACTTGCAGTTCCATGTGGCTGGGGAGGCCTCACAATCATGGTGGAAGGTGAAAGCATGTCTCACAGGGCGGCAGACAAGAGTCAAGATCTTGTGCAGGGAGATTCTCATTTTAAAACCATCAGATCTTGTGAGACTTAATCACTATCACAAGAACAGCACGGGAAAGACCTGCCCTCATGATTCAGTTACCTCACACTAGGTCCCTCCCACAGCACATGGGAATTCAAGATGAGATTTGGGTGGGGACACAGCCAAACCATACCATAAAGTGTGCTAGTATATATGAGATCACAGTGTTGGCATGTTAAGCATTGTTGTTTGAGAATACTTAAGTTGTTGTAGCATTGGTTTGATAAGCTCTTGAAGCCAAGAGCTTGAGACCAGCTTGAGCAACCAAGTGAGACCCCCATGTTTACAAAAAGAATAAAAGCATAAGTAGTATTTTGAATTACCCAATACAGCTTAAAATCTTCTCAGAACTTCATTGTATTGTACTTGAATGAACTTCACAATAAAAACTTTCCCCTTTTGTTGAATCTGCACAGTATTTGAAGTTTATAATCCAAAAGGCTATCACTGGTTATATACAAATTTATGTTTACTATGTGGAATGTGTTTGTTTATTTTAGTTGTCTAAGGCATAAAACCTTTAAAATTTTACCAACCTTGTTAAGACAAGAAATCATGGATATTTTAGTAGGTTTCTTAGCTCTTACGGAAGTTAGAAAGAAATCAAGAAGGTTTAAGTAATATTGAGATTATGCTTTTATGTTGACTTTTTATATTTGGGCCTTTATTTACTGCTAGTCTGACTATTGTTGGCAGATTGAAGTGTATTTATGAAAACTCCTAAGACTTTAGTATTTTATTGAAAATTGGTTTCATGCTGTTGTTTATGTTTTAAAATTAGTGCTCTCAATGGGATTTTGGTTTTCATCTATCCTAAATTCTCCCTAGGAGTGCACAACTTCAAAAAAAGAGGCACAGTCAGCAGAAAAAAGAGGTGGTCTGAGCATTTGTGCGTTAAATATGCATGTTAATTAGGAAAAAAATTAGGAAAATATGAAAACAGATGTTACATAAATTATTGCAGTCCCAGGGCAGCAGTAACTTATACACTGACAATAATTTTTGTATGTGCATGTGTATATCTATTTCTAGATTTCTCAATATTTATGTAATTCCTAAGAGAATAACTAGAAAAAGAATTGGTATATCCTTTCAGTGAGACTATGGTAAACATTCCTTCTGCATATGGATTTCTGAGAAAGTTTAGTTGTTTCATATAGTCTTACTGTAGAGATTTTTTTTGTGTTTCCTAATTCTGCCCATAGTGTTCTCTTTTTTTTTTTTTTTCTCCTTTCTTGGTTTCTCTGATGGTATGTCAATTTGTTCTTTTATTGGCTATATCCTGTCACAACAAGAAGGTTAATTAAGGATGTTGGCAGTGTAAGAAATTGAAAATTGGCCTAAAATTAAAAATTGGTCTAAAGTATGTATTTAGAAATAAAACACATTACAACTACTCAGTACACTGATTGTAGTGTTACTTTTTCTTGTTACCGTTAACACTTTCTGAAGAAATAGCCATCATTCTCTGAATAGTAGTGACATAGTACTATGATAATATATATTGGTACTTAAATACAGATTTCATCAAATACACGTATGTTGGAATAGTTGAAAGCTATTTGAATATCTTTTATTCTAAACAGGCATCCAAAGAGAATAAAAATGGTCTGTATTTTTACAAAAGAAAGATGAGAAATAGTCATGCTTTGTTTTAGTGGTATAGCAATTTTTAGTTCAGCCATACACGAAAAAATGTGAATATAGCACTCTGCAAGGAGCAGCTGATGATATTTAGATATTTTCCATATGTATAATATAATTCAGAAAAGTATTGTTTGTTACTTTTCAAATTAGATTGAAAGTTAAAATAAGAAAATGCAGCATCACAATGTAATGCGTAGTTCTCTTCACCAAACCGACATACAAATAAAACATGAATTGTATTCAATAAAATGGGTATATCTAAAAGGACAAAAAACCATTTCTGGAAATCCTGTTTCCAGAAGAGTGACTTTTGTTACTCGATTTTAGTAGCATGTGATACTAAAATGTGTTTGAAATAATTTATATTGAATCTCAGTAAATTTCAGTTGGAATCTGTTGTCATGTTTTTCAGTTTCATGTTATTGATTATGTTTTACATTATATTAGCTAACTGCTGCTATCTTTTTATATGTGTGCTAAGCCACCAGTAAGCTCTTAACAGGTTGTTGAAGCTTAAGAACTAATAGAGAATGAAATCTAGGGGAAGTTGATAATATGTTCAGTAATTTTTTATTATTAACAGGTTCTTTACTTAAATTAGATAGCCCAGTTGAGAAATTTAGTTGTTATTCTTACAGATTTTATGTAAATATATCTGTGTGTATGATTATTTATGGAGGTGTATTACTAAAGATGAAAAAAAATTTTTCTTTAGAAAAAGGCTGTGAAAATTAATTTTAACACCTAAATATAATATTCACTTGTCATCACTGATGCATCTGTATTCTAATTTTACATTTTATTAATGCTTTAGAATCCATTTTCAATGGAATTTTTTTCACATTTGTTTTCAAATGTCAAATTTCCATTTTTTATATTATGTGATTTTAAAATGTGATATTATTTTACTATGTGTTAGAATAGTATGTTCCTCATTTCAACACTTTTATGTCATTTCAGTGCAAAGTTAAATGAAGTAAGAGGTGATTGTTTTATAGTGAAGCCTGATGTTTTTGTATTATATATGTAAAATGCCATTTATTTTTGGTATTACAAAATACCTCCCTTTCTTCCAGGAGTTAAAATAGGTGAAGGAAAGAGTGATTAATGAGTAGGCTAACGTTTGTCCTCTAAGAACTTAAAATATTTTGATAGAAATTGTTTTTAGCCTGCTTTTTGTATTGTTTGATATGATATGATTTGTATTGTTTGATATGATTTAGGGTTTCTCCTGGGATAGGAGCATTTGCAGCTATTTTATTTATTTATTTTTCTAGGGAGATGCTGTTTTTCCAGCAGCTCAGTTAAGGGAGAACTTAGTTTGTCTCTGTTTCTTGATTCCTCTTCAATTTCTGTTTGCAAACCAAGACTTGTGTTTGGAGAACTCTATTGTACTGAGCCTAAGTCATTTTTGATCTATAACAAGAACATGCATTTTCACATGTCAACCGGATTTGTGGACCAGTAAAGTTCTCCCACAAGGTAAGCATATATTTATTCAAAATATACATTTTAAGATAGAATACTCTCAATACCCTTACCATAGTAATGTGTTCCATAGATTTTTGTACAAAAAAAAGGTATGTGTGTTTGTGTACTTCTGCCAAATTTAGATTGAAGACTCCTTCAGGGAATAGTGTTGGCCAACCAACACAGTTACTCAGTTTCCTGATCTGTTTCTGTCCTACCTCCTGCTTTTAGTCACCAGTTTCCATTCTTTCCCCTTTGTCCATTGTTTTTCTTCACAGTTAGCTGAGTCTTCAGGGTGTCTTTTAAAAATGGTTTCCCACCAGCAGACTTTAGCATTTTCCTTAGGGAATCTTTTTGTATCCATAGGCCTTTTATTTTCTTTTCTCCACTCCCCACTCCCCCACCATTTCTTAAAGAAGTAGGAAATTAGAATGATTGAACTTACAGTTGGAGGTATATCAGATAGATAACATTCACAATTTTTTTCCTTATTACAACCCATAATAAGGAATAAAATGTACATTTATGAGCCGAGTCCTATAGGTATAAATGAAACCGAAACAAAAATTTAATTCTTACTCCAGCTGCCTGGGATGTGCTGTATGCTATATTATATTATTTGTATATTTTATTTAATGCTTCCTGGTATGTGTCACTTATGCAGTTTCAGAAACCCAGCTTTAGATCACTTGAATGTTTGTTCATCACTGATTTGTTGGGAGAGTAAAAGAAATGAGACAGTTTCTTTTCTGCCTCAGTGAAGCTGCCTTTTCTTTTGTCTCTTCTGTGCTTCTCATTTCTTTCCCCATTCAATATAAGCTGTCAAATGACTTAGAGAACTGGGTAACTGCTGGGAAACACCACAGTCCTTCCTGGGTTCTTTTGTAGTAAGAACATAAGCACAAGTACTGAGATCTCAGAATTTTAAAGGAGAATAAATTTTTGATATAATCATGTCTTTTTAGTAAGGTGTATATTTCTTTATTCTCTTCTTGTTTGTTTTGTCTGTCTAAATTGTATGTGCATCCTGATGCCCTCAAATCATTCTTGGTTTGAAACATGTTTAACTTTTTACATCCTGAATATCAAGTTAGAATAACCCAGATCCTTGCCCAAAGTGATCTCTTCTAGTACCCATTCCCATTTTATTTAACATTTGTATCTTTTTAATAAATTGAAGGCATTTTTTCCTGATGTATAAAAATAATATTTTTTATTAGAAAGTTTCGTAAATACAGAAAAACATAAAGAGGATAAAAATTATCCCTAATCCTGGTTGGGCATGGTGGGTCACACCTGTAATCCCAGCACTTTGGGAGGCTGAGGTGAACAGATTGCTTGAGCTCAAGAGTTGGAGACCAGTCTAGGCAACATAGCAAATCCCCATCTCTGTCGAAAAAATAAATGTTGGCTGGGCACAGTGGCTCACGCCTGTAATCCCAGCACTTTGGGAGTCTGAGGCGGGTGAAATACGAGGTCAGGAGTTCGAGAACAGCCTGGCCAACATGGCGAAACCCTGTCTCTACTAAAAATACAAAAAACTAGCTGGGCGTCATGTCAGGCACCTGTAATCCCAGCTACTCATGAGGCTGAGGCAGGAGAATCTCTTGAACTCGGGAAGTGGAGGTTGCAGTGAGCCGAGATCGTGCCACTGCACTCCAGCCTTGCATCTCAAAATAAATAAATACGTAAGTCAACTTAAAAAATTAAAAAAATTATTTTGAATCCTGTCATACAGAGATGAACTGATACACCATTTAAAAAATGAAGTTTATTACATTTAATTTTACTTGAATTTCACAGAGGAAAAAAAAACCCTGAAATGAAGCTTAAAGAATTATTGAACCTCATATACGTTCCCCCATCCTAAAACCATAAATATGAGTTTCTAAGAGCCTTCCGAAGTTAAATAACATTATGAACATCTTTGGAAATCTTTACTCTGGAAATAAGAAAATAGAAAGAGTGAACTGAAAGCAGAATATCTTTTATGTTAAGATAATCTATTGAGGTGAAATTTATGTAACACAGAATTCACCATTTTGAAGTGAACAGTTCCGTGGCGTTGAGTACACTGACAGTGTTATGCAACCTTCCACCTCTGTCGAGTTTGGAACATTTCCATCATGCCAAAGTAAAGTACCTTACCCATTTAGCAGTTTGTCTTAATTCTGCCTTAGCCCTAGGCTCTGACATCGATCAATCTGCGTTCTGTCTCTATGGATTTAATGTGTTCTGTATATTTAATATGAATGTAATCATAAAATATGTGACGTTTTGTGGGTGGCTTCTTTCGTTTAACATAATATTTCAAATTTTTATTCAAGTTGTAGCACTTATTATTACTTCATTACTTTTCTTGGCTGAATGCTAGTCCATGTGTTTATCCATTTATTCGTTCATACACATTTTGTTTGCTTCTACTTTTTGGTTACTCTGAATAGTGCTGCTCTAAACGCGTGTACATGAACCTGTTTGAGTACCTATTCTCTGTTCATATGGGTATGTACCTAGGAGTGGAATTGGTAGGTGATATTGTAATTCTATGTTTAACTTTTTGAGGAACCATCAAACTGTTTTCCATGGCAGTTGCATCATTTTACATTCCTGTCAGCAGTGTATGAGGGTTCTACTTTCTTTGAGACAGTCTTGCTCTGTTGCGTGGCCTGGAATGCAGTGGCGCAATCTTGGCTCACTGCAGCCTCCGTCTCCCAGGTTCAAGCGATTCTCTTGCCTCAGCCCCCTGAGTAGCTGGGACTACAGATGCATGCCACTATGCCCGGCTAATTCTTTGTATTTTTAGTAGAGACGGGGTTTTTCCATGTTGCCAAGGCTGGTTTTGAACTCCTGAGCTCAGGCAGTCTGCCCACCTTGGCTTCCCAAAGTGTTAGGATTACAGGCATGAGCCATCGCACCCAGCCGGGTTCCACTTTCTCTACATTTTGCTAACACTTACTATTTTCCATTTTTTTTTTTGATTATCAGGAAATCTTATGATACCGATAAATGACTTTTAACAAAGTAGAAAAATGATTATATATTTCTTACATATTTAAGTAATTTATTTCTTTTATTTTTTTGAGATTGGGTGTCACTCTGTCTCCCAGGCCAGAGTGCAGTGGCATGATCTCAGCCCACTGCAACCTCTACCTCCTAGGCACGAGCAATCCTCTTACCTCAGCGTCTCAAATAGCTGGGACCTCAAGCGTGAGCCACCATACCTGGCTAATTTTTGTATTTTTTGTAGAGACAGGGTTTTGCCATGTTGCCCAGGCTGGTCTTGAACTCTTGAGCTCAAGTGATCCACCTACGTTGGTCTCTTAAAGTGCTGGGATTATAGGCATAAGCCACCATTCCTGGCCCGTATTTTATTTCTTATTTAGCAGTTATATTTTTTATATAGTAATTATATCATTTCAGACTATCATTCAGTTCTGTTTTCTCTCCAGAATTACCTGACCAGTGAACATATTTTTCCCAGAATAAAAGGTTTCTTACTTTTCTTCATTTGCTCAAAATCTAATATTTTCTTTCACATTTGTTTAATGTTTTGTTTTGTTTTTGTTTTTGTTTTTTTTTGCTTTTTGGTATCTGTGTAGTTTTTTTAATCAGAGTTTAAATTGCCATTCTTTTTGTTTAATGCTCATAATGGATTTATGCCTGTATTTTTTTTTTTTTTTTGATAGCATACTACAGTTGTACTTTTGGGCTCCTAAATCATAAAATAACATTTTGGTAAAGTTATTTACACTCTTTTTGAAGACATTTCTCAACCTCAACCTCCTATTTAAATATAAGCCAGAGCTTCCCTGTTCTTTTGCTGGCATGTCTTTCGGAGATTTCTTTTCACTATACTACTGAGTTAGCTGTACTGTTTTTTATATCCCGTTTTTGTCATCATCCATAGATTCCTTTAACTACAACTTCAGAAAGGCTAAATGGGAGATGAATTTTCTGAGTTGTGTATGTTAGAAAAATTTTCTATTTTATTTTCACAGTTGATTGATGATTTAGCTAGGTATATGTTTATAGTTTAAAGTGATTTTCCTCTCAACTTTGAAAGCTTTGCTTTAATTTTTTCTACTATCCATTATTCCTCCTGAGAAATTTGAAGCCAGTCTTACTCATTGAGAACTGTTTTAGGAGCTATCACAGTGAAAACAAAATGGAGACAAATCCTTAACTTGATTAAGCTTACATTCCAGGGTGGAGAGGTTGATAAGTAGCAGCATAAATAAATAAAATATGTATTACCTTAGATAGTGATTCTGTGAAGGAAAATAAAGCAGCCAGTGGGAGATAGAGAGTTTGGAGTATAGGGAGAAGAATGGAAATTTTAGATAGAGTGGTCAAGGAAAGCCTCACCGATAAGGTAACATGTGAGTAAAGACCTGAAGGAGGTGAGAGAGTGAGGTGAAGGATCACGAAGTACGAAGGTCCTGAGGCAGGAATATTTATGATGCATTCACAGAACAGCCTCAAGGTCAGTGTGGCTGCAGCAAAGTGAGTAGAGAGTAGTAGAGATGTAACTGAGAATCTAGGTCTTTTAAGGATTTATATTTAGATTTCATTTTGAATGAGATGGGGATCCATTAGTGAGTGTCATCATCTGCTTTGTAGTTTAAAAGAAATACTGGCTGCCAGCTTGAGAATAGATTTTAAGGGAGCGAGGGCAGAAGCAGAGAGATCATGTAGAAGATTCCAGGTGAGACATAATTTTGGTTTGAGTAACAGTATTTGCTAATGGATTGGATTTGAGTTATGCAAGAAAGAGATGAGTCAAGAATGACTCCAAGAGTGTTTGGCCTGAATAACAGAAAAGATAGAGAGCTTCATTTAATGAAGAAGGGGAAAATTATATTATAAAAGGAGTACATTTCTGGGAGAAGATCAGGAGTTTTGTTTTGAATATAAGTTGGAGATGTCTATCTGGTAGAGAGGTCAAGGAGGCAGTTAGACACATTGGTCCAGAATTCAGTAAAGAGGTCTGAGATGAAGGAAAAACTGTGGAAGTTGTTAATTGTAGATGGTATTTAAAGGTATATATTAGTCCATTTTCATACTGCTATGAAGAAATACTTGAGACTAGGTAATTTATAAAGAAAAAGTGGTTTAATGGACTCACAGTTCACATGGCCAGGGAGGTCTCACAATCATGGCGGAAGGCAAAGGAGGAGCAAAGACCTGTGTTACATGGCACAGGCAAGAGAGTGTGTGCAGGGGAACTGTCCTTTATGAAACCATGAGATCTCATGAGACTTACTCACTATCACGAGAACAGCATGGGGAAAACCCTCCCCCATGATTCAGTTACTTCCCACCAGGTCCCTCCCACGACACGTGGGGATTATGGGAGTTACAGTTCAGGATGAGATTTAGGTGGGGGCACAGCCAAACCATATCAAGATGTAACATTGATGCAGTACAGTAAATATAGATAGAGAAGACTTAAAATGCTAGCCTTGGGGCACCTTTAGTAAAGGGGTTAGGAGAAAAAGAGGAATTAGTAGAGGTGGCTAGAGAAGAAAACACAGTGAGGTTAAGAGGAAAACTCATTGGTCTTTCAGAATATCTGAAAGTGATGTAAATGTTTGAAGGAAGAGGGGAAATCTTATTTATAGGTGAAGTTAAAGATGGACAATTCAAGGGAGAGTGGGAGGAGAAACAGGTGGCAGCTTAAGGGGGAAGTTGGAGTGAAGAGAGGATTTTTTTAAATAGGAGAGAAATAGCATACTAATGGGAGTGCTCCAATAGAGAGGAATAAACTGATGATGCAAGAAAGAGTGGAAAATTGTTAAAGCAGTGTGTACAAGTAGAGAGATCACCTTAAGTAGCAGCATGGATGGTTTATTCTTAATAAGAAGGAAGGCGGAGCATATCGGCACAGATCCATTGTTAAAAAGCATTTGGTTGATCTTTGTACTATCTCCAGGATATATTACATACAAGAAGCATCATGATTACTTGCTTCCCACTTCTTTAGGCTTCTTCTGTAGTTCTCCTTTGTGGTTTTTTTCTTTAACAATGTAAATGTATGGTGTTTCCTAGTTTAGGAATTCTGTGGTTAAAAAAAAATTCTGTTAATGGAATTAAGGCATACAGTAGGCATTTATGAATTATATGCCTGTTGATTTTTTTTAAAGTTTCAAGTTTGTAAATATTTCTGTAAAATGCTCTGGAGAACCATCAAGCTGCAGTTAATAGTAGAAACAGGGCCATCAAAATCCTTTCTTATACCAGGTTGGGGAGTTTATGGTTCAAATTCACTTAACAGAAAATGATAAAGTACTTCATGGCCTGGATTGCTTGAACAAGGGTGAAATTGTAATTGTAAAAAATCTACGGATGCCAAGTGTCTATTGTTCTTTATGATTCATATTTCTCCTGGTCACATCAGCCCCGGAGCACACTTGATAAATATGGGATACAATAATGGCATTAGAAGAATTCTCACATTTTCCTATTGGTATAATGTGATCTCTGCTGTCTCTCTCAACAGTGTTGCCCTTCTTACCCATTCTTGCTCAAGTTCCCAGCTCTCTGTAGTGATAACAGTAGTTCCCTCTTATCTGTGGTTTTGCTTTCTGTGGTTTTACTTATGGCAGGTACTCAGCTAACTGGAGAATTACTTTTAAAATAATGTATCCTTTATAAGAAGGTTTGCTTTTTAAATTGGATGATGTGAGGAAAATTCTTTTTTTTTGGTCAAATTGTGAATGTTTTTAGGTTTTCACTATATGTGCAGTAGACATAGCTGCCACTTTTGTGATAAACAGTGATAAAAATAGTGAAGTGTAGGAAATACAAAATTTGTTTCACCTTCTCTTCCTCTTACTCATTTTTACAAGGGCTTAATGAACAGTGAAATTGACCAACAGTTTCACCTCCTTTTCCTTGCAGTTCTGGTAGTCTCTTGTGGCACTTAGTACACCTGAAAGAAGCAGCAGGAAGATTGACAAATTGGAAGGGAGGATTATATGAACATACGATCAGACAAATAGAAAATTAACCCATAATAATTGAAAGATGGCTGTATTTCTAATTTACATTCACCTGTGTAAAACACATTTGTCAAATATTTCTATTTTACAAAGAAATTTGAAATTTTTACTTCAGGTTACACCCACTTCAGGAGTATTTGGGTTTGTACTAGTTTGTAGTGTGAACAACTGACCCATTTAAAGGGAATTAAAAAAAACTTTTTAATTTGTAATGATTTGACAATTATGCCACTAACATTATACTTATTAATGAGACAGAATAAGATTTCAATTCTTAAAAGTATGTGCCCCACATTTTATAAGTGGTATGAACAATAATTTTGCCTCAACTTAAGAATTACTTACTTTATTCAGTATACTAGTAAACAGTGGCTGAAGATTCTTTGAAAACCCAAATTATTTGGAATATATTTGAAACCTCTGCTCTTATGTACTTCTGTTCAAAATATTTCAGGGTTTTGGATTATTTAGGCTTAGAAGTTTGGAGTTCACAATTTCTGTCTTCTAAAGACTTAGAAATATGTTAGCATTATTGGAACCAAATAGTTTTACCCACATAATTGCCATTCAGCTCTAGCAACATGGAATAAAACTTACTGAAATAAGTCATTATTTCCTATGTGAAATATGCATTTAAAATGTTTTTTACCTGATGAGCATGTATTTTAATTCTTAAAATAGAACAGAGGAAATGAAGTATTTCTATAGCTAGGGGAGATTGTCAGCTCAAGTTCAAGAGTATGATGTTTGACATTAGGCCAAGGATATTTTCTAAGTTTTAAAAAATGTTTATTTTGTAAAATACATGTGCTTTCACTATGTCTTATGTGTTAATCTAATTTCCCATTGAAGTCACCGATTAAAGGGAATTGTGTACCAGTAGGGTTCTAAAACCTTGACATTATTTTAATCTGATAACAAATGGGTTTAAGTTCATGTTCTTTCAGTTGTTGGCAACAAATCTAAACCTGTATTTTTTGGATTTATGAGGATAAGTCCTGCTTTGGCAATCTTGTAGATTCCCAAGAGAATAGTTAAACAGTGATTAATCATTGTTTCTTCACTGAGTGTGCAGAAAAGAATGGAAAAGCTGCATTTCACACTTCTGAAGCAATTAATCCCCATGATCTTAGCCAGGTTTGTCTTGTAGATAAGTCGGGATACAAAACGGTACTTAATTTATCAATGTATGCATGCCATAAAGTATAAAACACACAATTTATTTCATATCATTTATAGTCAAATGTAAAAAAAGAGTGACTTTGCCATATCCAAGAGTGTTTCCTACATTACCTTCATATAAACTAAGTACCAGAGATTACAATGGGTTTCCTGTTTATTGTGCACATCTGGTGCAGTCACTATGCATTTTCTCATTCACTTGCTGGCATTTTTAGTGATTGTGGCATAAATCACCTTGCTAATCAGAAACATAAGTGACGGGAAGTCATCTCCTTTTTTTGAACAATGGGAAAAAACATATGGCTTCTTAGACAGTACTTGGCTGTTATACTATTTATGTGGCATTTTATTCTGTATTTAGAATTTCATATTAATTGCAGTAGTTTGGTTGAAGGCATTGAACATTCAGGGTTTATGGTCAGAGTATTTGTTTTATACCTCTTTCATAATAAATAAGCAAAAAGTAAAATTACATGCCTTGTATTTAGAAATTTTTAAAAATTTAATTCTCAAAGGGTAGTGAATATAATAACCTTTTATTCTTGGCTTTATGATACTTACCTACCTATTCCTCCCACTTTCATTTTTCTTATTATTGAATGGCAGGAAAAGATTCATTTTAAATGTATAAATTTCAAATGAAAATTAATTTGTTCAGATAAGTTTTTAAAAATTTCTAAATACAAAGGTGGAAAGAGTTGTTGAGATTAAGATGAGTTGAAGACAGTATATATTTAAAAATGCTTGTGTGGATGTTTACCTAGATCTGCACTGATACAGTAATTCCAAGTTAAAAGTTAGTTTTTAATTATATCTGTTTCAAAACACTGCACTGATCAGAGTAAATGTTACTGTCTTTAAAGTACTAAGATGTAAATTGATAGTAGTTTGCTTTTGCATTTTTGGTGAATTGCTGTTTATTAGTTGGAATCGCTTTTTGCAGACACTACAGCTTAAAGTAAAGCTTTGTAAAACTCAAGAAATTTTTATATGCAGACTTTAAAGACTGCCTTCAATGTCTGTGATAGAGGGCTTACTGTAGGTGTAGTTCCCCTCCCCACCCCCACTTTCAATGGGTTGTACATATAATAGCCTTTTACTCTTGACTTTATAATACTTACCTACCACTTTCATTTTTCTTATTATTCAGTGGCAAGAAAAAATTCCCTTTAAATGTGTAAATTTCAAATGAAAATTTGTTCAGAGAAATTTGTGTCTTTTACAGTTTTTTTCCTATATTACATGTGATTATAAATTAGTGAGGTAAATTTTTAACAAATATATCACAGCTTATTTCTCAAAATTTGTGTTATTTCTTTTTAAGTGTTCCCCTTGGGAAGACGTACACATATTCCATCAATCAAAGTACTTTTGGAATGCCTGTTTTTGAAATTTCTGTAGTGGAATTGATGTCTAACTGCTCAAAATGGGTACTTTGAAGGGAGACAAGATTCATTTTGTGTATACACGTGCTACTATTTTTCTTAAAAAACAAATCAGTCAATCAATCATAATAGCTTGTCTTATACCCTTGTATACCTTATAGATAATTGGGCCCTATGAATAGAAATACAGTGTTGAAAAACTACCTGGATTTTAAATAAATGGCCATATTTATCCATTTTGTTTTAGAAATCTTCTATGATATTGTCTCAGGGACCACCTGCAGCAGGAGCCCACAAATTGAATAAATGCAACATAAGGAGAGGATTTTTTTTTTCTGTTGTTGCTTGTTTCAAAAATGCTACTATCCAGATTCTCTATTAAGGTACATTGTGCTATTTTAAATATTATAGTTATAACTGAATTAAGACCTTCTTTCTAGATTAAAATTATCCAGTGCTTAGAATTGACCGAAATCTGTACTTTACTGCCTCACTTCTTGGCTGTTCTTACTTCCTTCATGCTCTTAAAACCTCCATCACCTCTCAACCCCCATCATTTTTTTAAGATTGAGGTGTATTTCTTGTAGAGATCAATTTAAAAGCAATACAATCTTAAACACGTGTACGTGTTTCCTTTTTCTTCATCAAAATGTAAAAATTCTAGGAGGATTGGATATTAAAATCCAAGAATAGGCAATTTAAGGGATGGCTAAGAGTATCAAAATAAATGAGGAAAAATAAAGAGTTCTATTCTTAGTAACTGAACATTTTGGAATTTGTCAGTAATGGAACTTTGAGGAAAAATTTCTTGCATAAAGCACTTGATGGGAAAAATATATTAACCTAAAATATTTGCATATTCATTATGTTTACAAAGCCAAGAATTTAATTTCTAAATGTATATCAATTTTTGAATGAAATTGAAGTACCAGTGATGTTGATATTCACCATACATTTAGTTTAAATGTTGCTTATATTTTTAGAGAATTTGCATTATTTTCTTTTAGTTCATTCTCTGTCTTATTTACATTCATAGTTTGTTGGTACATATTACCCTCCAAAGTAAATTCTGAACTGAGTACAGACCTTGCAAGAAAAGTTAATGTCCTTTTCTTATGTTCTCATGACATAAAGAACGAATCCTCCCCATCATAGGGATAACCTTACTAATAATTCCCAGCCAGGCAGGTTATTTCCTGCTGTTCATCTTTTCAGCCATCCCTTTCCTTGTGTTTATCTGGAAGTGGCTTTTGGAATGCCAGTAGAGGTGATGTGCCTACCAGTGGTGAACCTAGAGTGCCTTCTAGCCCCTGAAATACTATGGGGTAGGTGGTATGACACTGTTGGCCTAATCAAACCAAAATTCAGGTAAAAATGTTATTTGTGAACTTTTTCCAAGAAAGGGAGGCTTGAATTTCTAAATGGAAAAGGTATTTTGAATGGCATATGTAATTCAGAATTTTTATTTTATTTTTTTTTTTTTGAGGCAATATTCACTCTGTCGCCAAGACTGGAGTGCATGGTGTGATTAAGGCTCACTGCAGCATCAACCTCCAGGTCTCAAACCATCCTCCCACCTCAGCCCCCACTACAGGTACACATCACTATGCCCATCTAATTAAAAAAATTTTTTTGTAGAGATGGGGTCTCAGAATATTGCCTAGGCTAGTCTCAGATCTCCTGGGCTCAAGCAGTCCTCCTGCCTTGGCCTCCCAAAGTGTTGAGATTACAGGCCTGAGCTATTGCACCTGGGACATTGGAAATTTTTAATGGAGTATATTAAATATGAGAAATATGGAACAACCTAGGGTGTTTTGTGTTTAAATATTTCTGTCTTTTATGGTAATGTTTAAGGCTCTTTCTGGGTAGCATGTTTTCAGTGTGGTCCTCACTTGTTGTTCCTGTAGCAATTCAGCCTTATCTGGGATATGGAAGCCAGTAGGGTTGGCCTGCCAGTAGTCTTTGATATATAGGAACAGAAGTGAGTTTTTCCTATGAAAAATCAAGAATGAAGTGGCAAACCTGGTGACACAGTCTCAGTTGTTAGCAAAGCAGCATTTCTAAATTCAGCCTGAGGTCTGTTTTGTTTTCTGGTCCAGAAATCTTATACTTGCGGAGATAGATGGCTGGACTATGAGAAAATAAATCCGAAAGAACAAGAGAATCAGGAGATGTATTATAAGATGCTTAGAGACAAGCAACATGGCCCTTCCACTCTCTGAGAGACTAAGGCAAAGGGATTCTGTCTTCTTTGCCACAGTCCACGAATTAACTGTCATTTTGCAGACTCCACTGTGCTAACAGTGTTGGAAAGGTGTTGGGGCATCATGGTTGATAGCAGTGCTACTTGGTAAAGCAGTCTTTAGAGCAGAGGGGAGGTTGGGTTCAGTGGGAGTGGGGATATATTGAAGAAGCTGCAATGGTGCCCTGTTGGTGACAGTAGTGACCTATTATAATCAACAGTACAAAGCAGAGAGGGCAACAGATTCCTCAACGGGGGAACAGATGAGGCCCTCCCAAGCTTAATTTGGAGGCAATGGAAGGAGCAGACTTTAAATACCACACAGAGATGCACAAGGATAGATGTGCCATGGTAGGTGAGTGTTAGCTGATTGGTCTTTTTCAGGAACATGTGAGGTATTTCAGGATGATTCCCAGCAAAGTTCTGGGAGTACAGCTTAGAGAGGCCTTTCATTCTGCATTAAAGACAGAGGTGAGAGCGACCAAGCAGAAATTACATTTATTTTGTAAAGTAATTTACAAATTTATTGAGATACTAAAGGGCTCTCTTTTCCCCTTCCTTTTTAAACTTCTTTCCATGAAGTACTTTTTACGTACTGTGGCAGTGTTCTCGGTACTGGATCAACAGAGTTAAAATATGATTCTTTCCAATAGGAGCTTGTAGTTTATAGAGGAAAGAGTGGTAGTTAAAAAATTAACATCTAGTGTGATGAATTATGTGATAGATTAATGCATGGGAAACAGTGTACCTCAGAAGAAGGGTTCTTAAACCAGCTTGGAGGTTGGGATGGAGGATAGTTTCAAGGAAACTTCCCTGAGAGTGTGCAGGCCGAATGTATATGAAGAATGTTGAAAAAAGACACTCTAGGTGGAGGGAAATACTGCCTGGGGTGGCCCAGAAATGGCTACAAACCTAAAGTGTATTGAGGAACTGCAAGTAGTTTGAGTTTGCAAATTGAGTAAGAATGAGACCTGAGGCTATAAATAGAAAGCCTATAGATTTTTGAAGAGTCTTGTGGGTTATACCAGAAATTTGGGCTTTTTTTTTCTTTTTTCCTGTAAGAGGAAAGAAGAATGAAAAATAGAAATAGTTTCAAATTGCAGTGCTAGGCATTGTGATCTACTACAGGAATTTAAGCCAAGGAGAGGTGAGATCAGATTGTTAGAAAGAACACTTATGTGAAATTTAGCAATTAAGATGAGAGGCAAAATTCAAGAGCCCAGATACTTACAAGGAGACTTCACACTAAATTAAGTCAGAGTCAGAGGTAAGGGAGAAGAAGGGACTAAATTGATCATATCTAGCAGTTGGTTGCATCTGAGAAGACCGGAAAGGAAATACTGGCATTTGACCTGCGGGAGAGGTTGGTTGATAATGCCATCCCTACAAGAGAATACAAGAGGAGCGGTTTGAAAGGGTAGAGGATGACTTCTGTTTGGACATCCTGTTGATTAAAGATAGGAGATGGTTGAATGTATGGATCTCTCAAGGCCAGGAGATGAGTTACTGTAAGAGATATGTACATGGAATCACTAACATAAACGCTGGCATGAACTTATTTAAAAATTATTTGCTAAGCATTTCCCAAGCATTGTGTTTGGCATTGATAGAACAAAGATGAATAAGTGTATTTGATGGGTATCTAAGGTTGCCCAGGGATTATAGGTAGAGATAAGGAGAAGTCCTTGGATAAATTGACTGCTATCAAGCCAAGTGATGGGAAAAGAGAAACTTGTCCAAGAGATGAAGGAAGGAAACAGTGAATAATGATATGCCTGAATGCAGAGCTGGAGACAACAACACGACAGTGTGATAAATAGAGGGGTCAGAAGTGAAGTGCCAAAAGTGGTCGTCGAATTTGACATCTCTATGTAATGTGCCTTGGTAAGCAATTGGAGTGGAGTGATTTGAAGCAAAAATCAGCCCACAGGGTAGTTGATATATAAATGGGACATGAAGCATTATAGAGTATCAGTGAAAGGTACTATGTTACTATTATCTGAAGAGCTGACTGTCAGAGGGAGACACAGAGCAGCAGAGGTTTGTTGTTCTTGATTTAGGAGAGACGTCAAAGTGTTTATATATTGGTGAAAAAGGCCCAGAAGGGAGAGAGAGAGAGGTTGATGTTATAGGAGAGAAAGTAAGTTAAAGTGGTTAAGTTTGGAGCAATGTATATGAAAAGATGGAAAAGGTTTGGACTTCCTAGTGGAGGGATTAGTTTGTACAGGAGGAGGGCTCTTTTTTTTTTTTAACTGAGAATGCAAGAAATATGAAAAGTGTGGATTTGACATGATAATTCAGATCTCCCAGGAGGCAGATGCCAATATGGAATTAGAAGCTTAAGAGATTTCTTGGGGGATAATCTTAGGAGGGTGAGAGAGAGAGAGAGCAGGAATAAGCAGGGAAAGCCTTCAGACTCATGTAGGTTCAACACCTGTGATAAGAGAGAAGTAAGGAAGACAGATTGGAGAGGAGGAACCTCAGACTGCAATGCTGTTTTCAAAAAGTCCCAACCGAGACAATGGTGAGGGCATAATGCAGTAGGCAGAGCAAATTTTGCTTATTAGAGATGCCTTGTGTTGGCAGGAATGGTTTTTCCTGCAGCATCCCTGTCATTGTCTGGGAGCTGCATGGCCTTGTAAGATGTATGGAGAGAGTATGACCTTGGCTTAAACACTACAGTGAATCCTGAAAGTGTGAAAGCTGTATATTGTCAGCTGACTGTAATTCCTCACAGCATTTTGTCTCTTGAGTAGTACATCTCCTTGGCTGTCACAGTGGATGTATGTGTTTTAGTTGGGTGAAAGGATCAAAGATGGAAGGAATTCTTGTTGGTCCAATATTCTGCCTTCAGGAAATTAGGTGTAGAGTAAGAGAAGGTGTGTGAGATTGTGAGTGTTGGAAGGTTTTCAGGACTTGATTAACACAGAGAAAGAGAGAGCAATGGACTGGTGAGATATTAGTTGAAATAGTAGCTCATAGAGTCTAAGATTGATAAGAAAGGAAATGAAACAAGAAGGAGAATAAGAGATTTAAATGAAGTCAAAGAACTCGATTTTTTCAATTCACTTGAAAGTATTTGTACTGAGAGTTCAGGAATACGAGAACTTAAGGGTAGAGAGAATTGTGATGATAAAGTGGTATATTAGTTTAAGATTAATAGCCGAGCTGCACAAAATAGTGGTATTTTGAAATCCAATCGTGTGAATTGAGAATAAAATGTTAGCAGCACAAAATGACAATTATAGGTATGCATCATAGAATCACAGCCATAAATACCATGACAAAGTACAAAGGTATTGTAGTTGCTTAGTTTTTGTAGTATAACTTTTCTGTAAAGTTAAGTTTCAGAGTCACTTGTAATAATCAAGTTTCTTGATTGACTAAATCTATTCATTGTAAGGGAATGCAAATTTTTTTCCTAGGATTTTGTTTTTTTATGTGTTATTTTTCTCAATTTCTCTTATAGCCTAAGAAAATATTTTAATGCTTTTGTATTTCTCAACTCTTTTGAGTCAAGCATGTTGCCCTCTCCTGAAGGATCTGTTTGTGTCTCTAAAAGTCACCTGATAGAAACATTAGAGAGGTGAAACACCTCGAAAACCTGTATATCCAAACATAACTTTAACTGATTAAGGAAATGTAGCAGTATTAAATACATGTAAACAACTTTTTTGCAGTTCTCTCTTTGTAGAGGGGACTTAGAGGTTGCAACAATAACTTTAATAATTACAATAATGTAATAAGATGGAATGATGGAAGGATGAACAACTGTATCGACATTATGATACTGCAGTACAATAAAATGTAATTGAAGATTCTAGATGATAGACATGAGTGTATAATGTAATTTTTTTCACCTTTTCTGTATATTTGAAAATATAATAAAATACTGAAAAGGTAGAATAACATCTGCAACTTTGAAATGCATTAAAAATAGGATGGTCTAGTAGATGTAGATAGGTAAGTGATACAATACATACAGTAAAATGTCAATTGTAGAATCTAGGTAGTGGGTATGTGAATATTCACTGTAACATTCTTGTAACTTTTCTGAAAGTTTGAAAAATTTCAGAATAAAATGTAGAAAATAGTGTTATAAACAGGTTTTCTAGTTAGAGATCTGAGTTATAGTTGTGTGACGTTAGGCAAGTTACTTAATCTGTGAGCCATGGTTTCCTCATCTGTGAAGTGGGAATGATGCCTAGTTTGTAAATTGTTTTGAGTGTTAGGGGAAAAAAAAATCTGTCAAGCTGCTGGGAAATGATAGGCATTTGACAATGCTTCTGATAATACTGAAACCATACACTTCAAATTTATATATTGTATCTTGGTTCTTGCTTACTATTTTTAAAATTTCTGGATGTATGGGCCAGTTAACTTACTGGATGGAACTTGGGATAAGGTAAGGTCAAGGCCTCCACTTACAGAGTCTGTATGTTTCATACTGGCTAAGTCTCTGAGAGTCACAGCTTGAGCTCTACTGATGGAAAGTTGAGACCATTCTCATACCAATGGTGGAACCTCTGACTTTCTAGTACCTGTAAAAAACACTTTTGATGTACCTTTTAAAATATTTTCATTTTGTAAATTGCTTATAAGTTCTCCAAAGTGAAGAGACTGTATATATGTCTTAATTGATAATTTGATGTGAATATATGTATACCATATGTCACTGCTAGCTTTTTTGATGCATTAAGTTTTTTAGAATATATAGTAGATGAAAATGATATTTATTGCTAAATAAACATTTATAACATGTATTTATATATTTACAAATATATAAATATATATTGCCTAATAATCAGTAGTACTTTCTCTGTCAATGATGTTTTTCTTTTTTCCTAACAAAAACCAGTCATCCCTTGGTTCCTTTTTAAGAAATAAAGTTGGATTTCTGATTTGAGCTTCAGGCTCAAGTGCATTTATAATATACAGTCCTCTTGTTTTTTTATTTGCTCTGTTTCATATGCAGGGTGGATAAAAATTACTTAACTTTTTATATTTATGTAAATTTATTTAAAATTAAATTCAAATTTACTACCATATGCCTCATGGGCTAAACATAATATAGGCTATTATAATCATTTATATAAATTGGTTTTAAAAACCAGTTCAATATGTTGAATCAATATGTCATGAATTTCATATCTATATAGTTGCATCCTAGTAAATTCCATGACATGTACTTTTATAGCATACAGATTTTAAATAAAATTGAATAGACTTTTCTAGCCTACATTATGGAGGAACTTCTGTTATCATCCAGTCGACTGATTTAATATTAGAAAAGAACCATGATGCTTAAATGTGAACCAGCCAGATTTTGTATGTCTATCAAATCTTTTAGGATTGGGTTTTTATCTTTCAGTGATATTTGCTGATTATTCTCTGTTTGCAGATTTTTAGATGATGTAGGATAACATGAAAATAAATATTTACTTCAAGAGGTTATTCAGAGAGTGCCCTTGTTCTCTTTTTGTGGGTATTTGCCAGTGTATGGCTACAAATCTTTATGAAACATTAGGGTAATTACAAGGCATCTTTAAACCCATATACCTGTGTATTTTGTCAATTAATGAAGAGTAAAAGCACATCTTATGTGGTATGCAGGGCAGATCCGTGACTTTTTTGAAATTAAAATGCATCAACATTCAGATAGTTGTGGAGCAGTAGTTTATTAGGAATACCAAATGCTGTATAGCTACATGAGTAAACATTTAAACATGAGTAAAACTTGGGCAATTTTAAGATCGAAAGAAGAGATAAAAGGAAATATTGGGAGAAGAAAATAGGCAATATATAATGTTATATGTTAATATTATATATGTTATCCTTGAGCAAAAACCTAGAACAATAGTAATGAATTATAAAATATTAAATATGTTGCCTATTGCCAATACAGAACAAAAAGTTCCTTTTTATTCTTAAAAGATCTTCTTAAGATTTAAATTTTAATTACTTAAATTCTGGTAAAAATTTCAAATAAGGGAGATTTAGTATAATCAACTTATATATTTGTCATTGACTTTGAATCTTAACCAGTGCAATATCCTAGTTTTACTGTGAAATTATAAAAATTAGTTCTTTTATTAGTAAAATTTAATGGTTATACTACTGAATGCTTAACAAAATAATATTTAATATATAAACAAAAGCAGTTTCCACCACCTCTTTGACAATGTTCTCTTTTTTTAACCAAACTATGTTAATGTGGTTGACCTGCAGTTAGTCTTTATGGTTATAAAGAATTAGAATAATCTATTTTTAAAGAGTAATATATACCTTTCTAGCAACCTCTCTGTCATTCATTTACTAAATATAAATTGGTAGTGAAAATATATATATATTTTATATTCTTAGAGAATTTTTCCTAAACAGTTGCCTGTTAGGGTCATTTGTTCTAAAATATTATTCCTCCTACATTCAAAAACAAATGAAAAAGGTAGGAGGGTGTTCACCTTTTACGTTGCCATTCTAAATGCTTGCTAGAACATTATTATCAAAGCTTGTGATGCTCTCTGAAGAGAAGAGTTTGGAAGGAAAGCAGAATTAGTATACTCTTGTTGTTTTGATTTAGTAGGTCAGGGTTTTTAATTAGTTTTGTGTAGCCTGAGAATTTTATACCTGGATGCTTATTCTTGAATATCTTTTGGTCTTTTATACTTGTGTGGTTCTTACCTTGTCATATATAGGTATATTTTGTTTATTTAGAACAATTTCTAATTGTCTTCAGAAAGCATCAAAGACTGAAGACTAGGTAATTTATTTTCAATGTGTAGTATTAACTGCTGCGCTGTATATACATTTTATATTTATGTCAGGAAAGGGTTGCAGAGGGGTGCTTTAGAACCACCTTTTCAGCTCTAAATAGCTATTGTGTACATATGGTAAGGTACTGCTGCTTAACAATTAGTAACTGCTTTGATGAAGCTAAATTACATGTTTAAGTTCCCATCAGGAAGTCGCTTCACATATCTGTATTAATGTATTCAAGGATCGAGAAGGAAAGTTAATTTTCCAGCTTAAATATTTAATTCAAGCTTAAAATTTAGTCTGTAATTAGAGCTCCCAAATGGCAGGAACATGGAGTATTTGTCCATTTTAATTAGATTGTTGTTTACCTATTAATTATATATCATATCTTGTCATATAGTTTTGATGGTAACAGATGGTGCTAGGAGTTAGTAAGGGTTTGAACAAAATAAGATTCCACATGATTTATTAAGTTGCACTTTATTAGTGAGTGGTCTGCTTTAGTCAGGTTATTCTCCCAAATAAGGACTGTGAAACATTTCACTAATTTTGGTAATTATTCTTTTGTGGACTCTTAAGAAATATTGAGCATAAAAAGTCTGAGATGAGAGATGTCTATTTAGAAACAAAATGATTTACTTGAGGCATCTTTATATTTAAGGAATATGTATTACCAAATCATATAATTGGTATGAAGTTTAGTGTATTTTGGTAGGACAATGTTAGGGAAGCAAAATGTCATTTATTGGTAAAAATGTAGGCATAGGGAATGTTTTATGTATGTATACAAAATTATGATTTAGGATAGGAAAATAATAAGATGGTGATTTAGTTATGTATATCAAAGACATTCCTTTCCTGACTTTTGAATTTAACAGAAGGACTAGGTTCTTGTTTACCAAAATATTCTAAGAGCAATCTCTAGTGTCTAGTGAAGTTGAACAACAGAATTTCCATATTCAAAAAGTAAATGTCAACTAAATAGAAAGGCCTTCTAAGTTTGTTTATTCAAGATTTTATTAATTTTTCTGGTTACCTTCTCAGCTTTCTAAAAGGAATAAATTTTATTTATGTATATATGCATATATTTGTGAAGGGATACAGACAGTAAAACAGAGGAGAGGAAAAGGGAGAAAAGGAGGGCTTAAAATTTTAGGCTTTTAGTTGCAGGTAGTTTATTTAAAATTTATTGGAATCCTTAATATCATTAGCTTTGGTTTGTGTTACTATTTATTAACTCTTAAGATTCTTATTTTGAAATTGATGATCAGTGTTTTATAGCAAAAAGTAAACAGAAGGGCCTACTTTTATTAATTTCAAGATTTGCTCCAGACGGGGATCCCTGATTCCTGTGTATCAGATCTTCAAAACTGTGGCCTTCTGTTACCTGTTACCTTCAGTAAGCAGCTTTGTTTTTGTTAGTTGTGTTTTGTCTTGTCTTGTTTTTGTATTTTAGTTTGTCCCTACTTATCAGTTTTTAGAAATAAAATCTGCCTCTTGGTGTCAAAACTATTAATAATTCTTTGTGGTGGGGTGATATTTTAACGTAAGTGCATAATTCCACATGTTCACAGCAGACTGTTAGATGTGTAATCCATGAACTCTTAGTGTGTACAAAATGCTCACATAACTGAATATATTAAGCACTTAAGCTTATCTATGTTACAGAATTGAGATTTTTATCACTATATATTACAGTGTCTTTAAAACTGTTTGATTTGTTCAGGAAAGAACTAAGTGATTTTTTTTCTCTACTGAATGAGGAAATTGTCACTTTAATGTGGCTTTAGTTTCATGATTTTCCTCCGTAGAATACTGAGTGCTTAAAAAGCAATCTCAAATATTGTGCTATAATGTTATAATATAGGAAGGATACGGCAGTATAGTTATAGTAATTAAAGAGACTAGTGGAGGAAAAAATTATTTTTCATTTAGAATACCTGTAACCTTAGCTTCAAAGTTTGAATTTTTAACATTTCTTCCCTTTGTGAAAATGTGGGACTATATTTCCTTTGGCAAAGTTTTTCAAATGTAACATGCACTAATTTTCAAAAGAAGAACACTAAAAGCATGTAAATTACTCTAATTCGAAAAGTTATCCTTTATAAAGGAATGAGGAGATTATTTCTTTTTGTTAAAGCATGCGAAATATCATATACATTGGTTGTGCTGTTGTATCTGAGGCAGTAAATAAATAAAAAACTATTTGTTGTTGTCAACAGAAACAGCAATTGAAAATAGAAATGAGGTTTTCTTTGCAGTTGATTCTTTTCAGCTCCTGGCATATCACTTTGCCCTTTGGAAAGACTTTTATTTCAATAGCCAGCCATGTATATATTTACCTTTTCCAAAGAAAATTGTAGTACTGATTACTTTTTCTGTAATTGTTATGGTCTTTCTTTTCTTAAAATAGCAATATATGAAAAATATTTAGGAAAATGTAATGATTGATGAATTAGTCTTACTACTTAATACTGCTTTCAACGAACATAATTAACTGATACTCCTTAAGGACTTTAAACATAGTACTCAAAAACTGTTACTGAATGAACAGCTAATGTGCTTTGGAGTAGTGACCATTTGGGAAAAGATGATTGTAGGATTGACCTCCTAGTGATATACAATCAATGTTTTTAGACAGTGTCTTAAAAAAGTTAATAGGTTCCATTAAATGCAGTTCCTCAGACACATAAGTTTCCCCAGAACAGGTTTTAGGAGTAATAAGTACTGGGACAATAACAACTACATACTAATTATTCCAAACATTAAAGAACAGAGGTTTTTTGTTTTTTGTTTTCTAGTAGAAAAACCTAAGTTTAGAGTTCTCAACTTTCATTTTTTTCTAATATAATTGAGCAAAAGCACAACAAAAATGAATATATGATGTTGATTTTTGGGCTCATTTTATTTTTTTCTTCTTTTTTTCCCACTCATGGTACTACTGTGCATTGTGACAGGTTCAAAATTAAAAATAATCTGTAAGCAGGATGTTCAGGTCATCATGATTTGATGTCTGGATGCTGATTTGTTTTTAACATATAGGAAAAAAAGATAGCCATTTGTCTATGCTGACTACTTAAGAGAGAGGTGAGGATTTGATGAGATCCTCAGCAGTAGTGGTGGGGCATACATAGGGCATCAACTAGCATGGTGGGTAGGATGGGTGAATGCAGATTCTAAATATATTAGAAGTTCCTTGCCTGGAACTCCTACCTCCTTCTTTCTTCAAGAATCAGTTCAAATTTATTTCTTTCATAAAATATTTTAGCTTGTACATTCATTGTCACTTTGTACACTAATCATGTTGAATTATAATTGTTTACATGTCTTTTTGATAAAACTGTAGGCCCATGAAGCTTAAGGGGGGTAGTAATTTATTTATATTTTTGCCTCCAATGTTTTCAGCCAATGATTTGATTCATAGTAGATGCATAATAAATGCTGGTTAAAAAATGAATAAAAGTATTTCACTTTATAGGGTATGGCTATCATGAAAGAGAATGCAGTGGATCTGTGAGGAGCCCTGTAAAGTTTTTCAACTTTTAAGTAATGATAAAAATATTTTTATAAAGTAATGTCTGGGGAGGTCGTTTTTTTCCTCCAATTTGCTTTTCCAGTTTAAACTATCTTTATTTTTTGTTAATGTATAAGTACTCCATGTTTTTGCTAAAATAGTCAAACAATACAGAAATGTATGAAGTTAAAAATCACCTGTAAGGCCGGGCACGGTGGCTCATGCCTGTAATCCCAGCACTTTGGGAGGCCAAGGCGGGCGGATCACAAGGTCAGGAGATCGAGACCATCCTGGCTAACACGGTGAAACCCCGTCTCTACTAAAAATACAAAAAATTAGCCAGGCATGGTGGCGGGCGCTTGTAGTCCCAGCTACTCGGGAGGCTGAGGCAGGAGAATGGCGTGAAGCCAGGAGGCGGAGCTTGCAGAGAGCTGAGATCAAGCCACTGCACTCCAGCCTGGGCAACAGAGGGAGACTCCGTCTCAAAAAAAACCAAAAAAACAAAAAACAAAAAACAAAAACAACAACAACAAACCACCAGTAATTCTTTCCCCAGTGATGACCATTGTTTCTTACTTGGATATGTCCTTCCAGACTCCTTTTTAAAAATATGTTTGTCTTCTCTCATTTCCTTTTTAAAATTTTATAAGCCCTTTCTAAAGATACTGTTTTGAAATCTTAATTCTTTACTCTTCACATTGTGAATCTATAACCTTATATTATACAGAATGTACTTTGATAATTCCAGGTGACATTTTCAGACCTTAAATTTAACTTTACTCCGTTTTGAAATATATTTTTGCCTTTGCTTCTATGATATTATACCTTCCTGATTTTCCTGATTCATTGTGTTGTATTCCTCAAGATCTAGTGCTTTTCTCTTCTCACTGTACCCTTTTCTTGGTAATCTAGTCTGTGTCTATGACTTCAGTTAACCACTTTGTATGCAAGACTCCCAAGTTAACAGATCCAGCCTAGGCTATTGTTATGACCTCCAGGCCCGCATACCGAACTATTTGATGTCGCTTTTCTTGGATTCCATGATGGATCCTCAAATTTGACGAGTCTAGAATTAAATTTATTATATTCTTCCTTTGTTCAGACCTTCTCTGTCTAGTATTCCCAATTTTAGTCAAGAATATCTTTCTATCCAGTTGTGCAACCTGAAAACTCTCTCTTACTCACTATAACTAATCCATCAACAAATATCCCCTCATCATTTACATAACTGTGATATACTTACGGATTTGTTTAGGACTTAGTTTTAATCCGTTGATCTGTATGTCTCTCTTTACACAAACCTTACACTTTTAAGTAAGAGGATTTATTGTTTTTCTGCATTACAGGGCTATTCCCTTTATATCATTATTCTTTTAAAAATTGTAGGTATTCTCAGACAATCTACATAGACTTCAGAATCTTCCTGCCATCTTCTGTCTCACAGTCCCTTTGGAATTTTTATTAGATTTGCATTAGATGTATTGATTATAGAAAATTTATATATCCCCAATAATGAGCATTCCCATCCAGGAATATGTTGTGCATCTTGATTTGCCATTTGGGTCCTTCAAACAAGTCACACATTTTTTTATATCTAGGTTTTCACAATGCACCAAGACTGTTGTTGCCCTTGTGCTGGGTTATTTTAGTTATGGTTGGTATTGGTTTGTCTGGTGTTTAGCACAGTCCCTGGCATATCACTCACAGTAAATATTAAGTTTTGAGCAGTGTTTAGTGTATAGGGAATCTTTCTTTCTTTTTTTTTTTTGTTTTAAGTCATGCAGTCTTACTCATTTTATGATTTAAAAATTTTTTAATTTCATTATCTTGAATAGTTATAGACACTATTAGGTGCAAATTATAATTTTGTCTTCCTTTTAAAATTTATACTTCTAATTTCTTTTACTTGACCTATTGGGTTGGGTAAAATCTCTCTAACAATGTTGAATTAATAGGATTGGCATTAATAGCTAATATCTTTAGGTGTCTGTTTTTAAATGTCAAAATCCATTTATGTTTTGCCATTATAAATACTATTTGTGGGTTTTTTTTCACCCTAATGCTGTATTGACCAATGGAAGTTTTATA
Source organism: Homo sapiens (assembly GCF_000001405.40). Lineage (NCBI taxonomy): Eukaryota > Metazoa > Chordata > Mammalia > Primates > Hominidae > Homo > Homo sapiens. Next base: position 17,562,196 of record NC_000003.12, on the reverse strand, counting down.
TTTTGTTTGCTTAGTTTATTTTTATTTTAATTTAATTAATTAAATTTTTTTTAGAGATGGGGTCTCACTCTGTCATCCAGGCTGGAATATAGTGGCACAATCATAGCCCATTGTAGCCTCCATCTCAAGGACTCAGGGGATCCTCCCTTCTAGGCCTCCCAAGTAGCTGGGATTACAGGTATGTGCCATCATACTCTGCTAATTGAAACAAAGTTTTTTTTAATCAAAGGTTTGCCATATTCAGTGACACATTGTATGGTCTTTTTTCCTGTAGTTGACTTACATAATCAGTTAATAGACTTTCTAATCTTTAACTGCCCTTGCATTTTTGGAAAGATTACTTCTTGTTCGTGATGTTTTGTGAGATCGTTCCTCTTGTGCTCTCTTTGTCATGTTTTGGGGTTAGGATCATGCCAACATAAAATGAACTGGGACAGTTTCTTTCTTTTTGGAAATTTGTCCTTTCTTAGAACAGATTTGTCCTTTCTTATTTTTTATTTTATTTAGGTCTTCAAATTCGTTGGCCTAAAGCTGTACATAATACTCCTCACCCTCCCACTCCAGTGTTTAAATAATCTTATTGAGGCCTGGTATTATATTATTTTTCTTGCTGTTACTAACAATACTTTATGTTTTTTCGCCTTCCACTTGGTCAACTTATCAAAATTTAGTCTATTTTATTGAGCTTGCAAAGAAGGAAATAACTAGCTTGTTTGCTTCTCTGTCTGCTAATTTATTTGGTTTATTTTGTTTTTATAATCTTCTTAAGATAAGTGCTGGCTCATTTATTTGTTATATTTTCTTTTGTTTTACATTTAGCAGAGTGTTAATCTATGATTTTTTTGCTCTTACTAGAGCTTTGATTGAACCCTCTAAGTTTTTATGTATATATGTAAAAAAGTATATCATATGTATGATATGTGTATGAAATTAATTTGCTTTAATTAGCTTTTAACCTTTTCATTATAACATAGATCACAGATACAGGAAACCATTCAAAACAAATATATGTCTTCGTGAATTATTTTAAGGTAAACATGCCTGTAATTATTACTTAGGTCAAGAAATAGAACTTTGCCAGCCACTGCAGAAGCTCTTCCATGTGTTCTGTGCCAATCACAGCCCTCTTTTTCCCTCCAAAAGTAACTTCTGACTTTCAGAATAATAATTTATTTCTGTTTCTTTATGGTTTTGTGACTTAGGTGTGCGTCTCTAGACACTATAGTTTAGTATTGTTCATGTTCATTTAAAAAAACTATTTTTCTTTTTTTTTTTTGAGATGGAGTCTTGCTCTGTCGCCCAGGCTGGAGTGCAGTGGTGTAATCTCTGCTCACTGCAACCTCTGCCTCCTGGGTTCAAGTGATTCTCCTGCCTCAGCCTCCCTAGTAGCTGGGATTACAGACGCGGGCCACCACACCCAGCTAATTTTTGTATTTTTAGTAGAGATGGGATTTCACCATGTTGGTCAGGCTGGTCTTGAACTCCTGACCTCATGATCCACCTGCCTCAGCCTCCCAAAGTGCTGGGATTACAGGTGTGAGCCACTGTGTCCGCCCCCCACCCCCCCTTTTTTTTTTAAAGACAAGGTTTTACTCTGTTGCCCAGGTCAGAGTGCAGTGGCATAATCATAGCTCACTGCAGCCTTCAACTCCTGGGCTCAAGTGATCCTCCTGCTGAAGCCTCCTGACTAACTAGGACTACAGATTCATACCACCATGGCTGGCTAATTTTTCAATTTTTTTAGAGACAGGGTGTCTCACTTTGTTGCCCAGGCTAGTCTTGAACTCCTGGCTTCAAGTGATCCTCCCAACTTGTCCTTTCAAAGTGACAGGATTACAGGGGTGAGCCACTGAGTCTGGACTATATTTGCCTTTGAAGACTTTCTTAAACAATAGGTTTTCCCTCCAGCCCTTTCTTTTCTTTATATGTTATTCACTGAAGTACCTGAGTTGTTTGACCTGCTGAGTTCCTTGTAGTCTGGATTTTGTCGATCTTGTCTTCATGGTGAAGTTAAACATTTTGTTCTATATTTTTTTCTAAGTTGGCAGGTACAGTCAGAGTTTGATTGCATTTAAACTTAATCCCTTAGATAGGACTATAGGTGCCATTGTATTTTCTCATCAGGAGGCACATAGTATCTTTTTAAAATTTTAAATGTTGGCAGGTATTGATTCTCAAACCCTGCATCCATTAACTCATCACATCATATGTTATATAGTGTTTTTGTTATATAAAGTAACTAGAAATGAAATGTTTCAATTTGATTATCTAATAAGGACTTTTTTATCATTAAAAAAATTCTAGATTTGGCCGGGCGCGGTGGCTCACGCCTGTAATCCCAGCACTTTGAGAGGCTGAGATGGGCGGATCATGAAGTCAGGAGTTCGAGACCAGCCTGGCCAATATAGTGAAACCCCGTCTGTACTAAAAATACAAAAAATTAGCCGGGCATGGTCGTGGGCGCCTGTAATCCCAGCTACTCGGGAGGCTGAGGCAGGAGAATCGCTTGAACCCAGGACGTGGAGGTTGCAGTGAGCCGAGATCGCGCCGTTGCACTCCAGCCAGGGCAACAGTGCAAGACTCCACCTCAAAAAAAAAAAAATTCTAGATTTGTATTGTGGTCAGTGAATGTGAATTCCACATTCTCACAATGTATGAACATGATCTTTATCTCCTCTTACATAGGAAAATTTGCAAATATCCTGTGGCATTTGTAAAGATTATCTTATTTTCCTTGTCATTTAAATGTTTTAGGCCGGGCTTAGTGGCTCATGCCTGTAATACCAGCATTTTGGTGGGAGGCCGAGGTGGGCAGATGACTTGAGGTCAGGAGTTTGAGACCAGCCTGGCCAACATGGTGAAACCCGATCTCTACCAAAAATGCAAAAAATTAGCTGGGTGTGGTGGCCATGCCTGTAATCCCAGCTACTTGGGAGGCTGAGGCAGGAGAATCGCTTGAACCTAGGAGGCAGAGGTTGCAGGGAACCGAGATGCCACTGCACTCCAGCCTGGGCAACAGAGCGAGACATTGTCTTAAAAAAAAAAGTTTTACATTTATATAGCTATTAAAAATGAAGTCTTATTTATTTATTTATTTATTTATTTATTTATTTAAGAGAAAGAGAATAGAAAATAGACCGTAAAATATTTAGGAAATTGATGCAGAAAATATGGGGAATGAAAGATCTAGTTTCTATTTTGTGATTGAAGGCTGAGAGTGTGGTTAAACATGTGATTTAGAACAGGGGTTGATAAAATGTGGCCTATGAGGCAAATCTGGCCTGGCATCCATTTTTGTACAACCTACAAACCAAGAATGGTTTTATGTTTTTAAGCAGTTTAAAAAATTCAAGGTAGGAATGCTATTTCTTGACTTATGAACATTATATGAAATTCACAGTTGTGTCCATAAAGTTTTATTGTAACACAGCGATGCTTATTAGTTTACAGCAAAGTTAAGTAGTTGCAACAGGTACCGTATGGCCCACAGAGCCTAAGATATTTACTATGTCTAGTTCTTTTTCAGAATAATGTTGCCAATACCTAGCTGAGAACAACCCGTTTTTCCTCACCTTTCTCACTCCCATTTAATCTGTTATTTACAATAAATAATTTCTTGTGGGAGAACCTTTTGAAAAATATTCCCATATATAACTGTATGAATTCAACCTGTTCATGACTATTAGTTTTTGATCACATTGAAATTCATTATTTTTTTGGCCTTTTAAATTATTTTATTATTTATTATTATTGGATACTTTTAAAATAGATGTCCATTTTATATTGACTATGTTATTAAATCAGTGGCTTTTCCTAAATGCTTTTTAGACAGTCTTGGCAATTATTACTATTAAATTGTAATTTAAGGTGATAATTTTATATTGTATAGTTGGTTACATTTGTGTTTTCCATAAAGATTTCCTTATTTACATAAAGTCACATTGCACCTTAAGTAAACAAATTGTTGAAATCATTCAGAGAGCAAATCCTCTCAGGTTTTGGGATAGGATTGTGATTTTATTAAGGATTAAATTTTAGAGTTGACTTTCGTTTCTTATAATGTCATAGTTTATTGTTGTTTTTGGGAGCTATAAAATAGAATTATAGTAGAACAAGGGTTCTTGAAAAAGTACTCTGGTAATATGTATATGGGTAGAGAGAAGAACTTGGTTGTTGTAAACCATGCATATGGGTTACTCTAATCCACAAGAGATAGGTTTTGCATCATGAAAATTTCTAATGTGTTCATAACATGATTGTGCTGGGTAATCAGAAAGCCAGGATTGACTCATTCCCAGAAATTCAGTATACCCCTGTTTTGTTCTGGTGTGTAGCTGTGTCTTTCTTTGTGTCTGTATCCTGGTTGTTTTACTAAAATTTCTGATATTTATGTCCTGATAAATTTTAAAATGTTAATTTTTAACATTTAAAAAAAATTTACCTATGGCTGTTGCTTGGTTCGGATACAAAGAACAAAAATTAATTGGGCATGGTTGCATGTGTCTGTTGTCCCAGCCACTAGGGAAGGTGAGGTGGGAGGATCACTTGAGCATGGGAGGTTGAGGCAGCAGTGAGCAGTGACTATGCCACTACACTCCAGCCTGGGTGACAGAGTGAGACCCTGTCTCAAAAACAACAATAACAACAACAACAAAACAAACAAAACAAAGAATGCCAGAAGGTAGACCATAAATGGAAGTTGCAATGAAAGCAAGCAAAATATATTTCCATTTTAATGCTTGTTAGCAGCCAATTGCATTGTTAAACTTTATATTTTTATTTGGAAGAGTGACGTATTGGCACACAAACTTCTTATCCTCAAAAACATACATCCAAATGGAATGTTATTTTATGTAAGCTATTGTGTGGCAAAATAGCTCTGAGAAAAGGGAGCCTATCCCTCTTGGTTTTTTTTCTCCCATAGGAGAAAGGCCATATAAAGCCAAAGGTTTCATAGCTATCTTGTTTCTAAGATTGTTCGTGGAAAATTTCTTAATTTTTATTATGATCAATTATTGATGTATAAATATCTGGTTCTATTTACCAACAAATAGTCAGAATTGATACCAGCTCCTTGACCAATCGGTTAAACATTTGTCAGCACTAATATGCTTTTCGTTCATGTTAAGCAGTTGTTTTTATTTTTTATTTTTATTTTGTGTTGAGGGAGGAAGGTACTTTAGGTTGTGTGACATGAATTTTGTAGCAATATAAAAATGTAAATTTGCGTTGGCTTTTCCTACTCTGACTTTTCCTACATGTGTGTTTGCCAGTGTCTTAAATGGGTTTCTTCTACTTCTTTATCCTTTTATTTCTGTTTGTATTTGTCAAAACAAAAGAAGTGGTCAGTGAGTATAGTTCACTTCTGTATGTAAATTATTGTTCTAAGGCAGTTACTAATGGTAACTTCATGCTCTTAATGGTTCTGTAGTGTATAACAATCATTTATGGAAAGTTTTCCTAAGTAAATTGTTAATAAAAATAATTATATTATCAAAATTTGAAAATGAGTTACCTTTTTGATAAATCAGAGCTAATTTAAGATTATCTTTTAAAAATGTCACTCTTGATCAGTTGCATTCTATTAAGCTTTCAGGGATGAGACAGAAAGGTATGCAATAAGACATGCCAAAATCAAACCTTATGCTCTTGGAGATTATTCCGATATTAGCTTGTAAGATGGCATCGAGAGGAGAAACCAAAGGTGTAGAGGCAGGCTTAGTAGTTATTGTAATGTCTGTGGTAAGCAATGAGGAGAGCCTAGATTGAGTAGTGACTAGTCATGAAAAGGTGAAGATGATGATGAAAATACAGGAAATGGAAATGAATTTTAAACCAATAGAAATTTCTTATTTTTTTGTAGGCTTAAAAACAAACTAGGCTAAGCACGGTGGCTCATGCCTGTAATCCCAGCACTTTGGGAGGCCAAGGCGGGTGGATCACCTGAGGTCAAGAGTTCACGACCAGCTTGGCCAACATGGTGAAACCCTGTCTCTAACTAAAAATACAAAAAAACTAGCCAGGTGTGGTGGTACATACCTGTAGTCCCAGCTACTTGGGACACTGAGGCAGGAGAGTCACTTAAACCTGGGAGGCAGAGGTTGCAGGGAGCTGAGATTGCGCCACTGCCTGGGTGACAGAGCGAGACCCTGTCTCAAAAAAAAAACCAAACTATTAAATATCAGCAATTTCAGTGGTTAGAGATGTAAACCAAAAATAAAATTCTAAGCCCCCAATCAACTGAATGGATCCTCTTGTTGTCCAAGGGGATTCCAAAGAACCCCGAAAAACTTGCTCAGGCCATGACAGGAATGGAAAGGTCGGTCATGGCTTGTTTGTACTCTTCTTGCTTTGGAGTTCAGGCACAAAACTGAGCAGCATTAACATTAAAATAGAGATTAGAAGACTGACAAAACAGACTCTTTGTAGCACTAAGATAACAAATACCACCCTGATTGTAGTATAGCATCACATGACAGATAGCAGGCCCTGTAAGAAATCAAAGCATTTTACCCCATATTTAACATGTTTTGAAATGGCCCTTCAGGGTTATCTCTTGTGGGAGAAGTTTACATTCTGAATAGAATCACAGTCCCATTCCTTTCCCAGCTGTTTTTCTGATCCTGAAGAGATTAGCTGGGAGTCCAATACCTTTTAAAGATTTAATAGGAGAAACAGTTGCCATCTATTGCCTCTGAAGATGACCACTTAACTCTTTCAGCTAATTGCCAACCAGAAAATCTTTGAATCCACCTATGACCTGGAAGCCCCCTTTGCTTTGAGATGCCCCGCCTTTCTGGACAGAACCAGTGTATACCTCACATATATTGATTCATGTCGTATGTATCCCTGAAACGTATAAAATCAAGCTATAACCCAGCCACCTTGGGAACATGTTCTTAGGACCTCTTGAGGCTGTGCCATGTGTCGTATTCCTTAACTTTGGCAAAATAAACTTCTAAATTGATTGAGACTTGTCTCAGATACATTTTGGATTACAGAGTTAATAAATTCATTGTCAACTTGCATTAGAAAAAAAAAAGCACAAGGCCTGGCGCAATGGCTCATGCCTGTAATCCCAGCACTTTGGGAGGCCTAGGAGGGTGGATCACAAGGTCAGGAGATCGAGACCATCCTGGCCAACATGGGGAAACCCCCATCTCTTCTAAAAATACAAAAATTAGCTGGACGTGGTGGCACGTGCCTGTAATCCCAGCTACTTGGGAGGCTGAGGCAGGAGAATCGCTTGAACCTGGGAGGCGGAGGTGGCAGTGAGCCAAGATCGCGCCACTGCACTCCAGCCTGGCGACAGAGTGAGACTCTGTCTCCAAAAAAAAAGAAAAAAAAAAAGCACAGATATTAAATATATGAAAAGAAGAGATAATGGAAGGGCTTTATGAATTACAAGGAAACTGTCAGTGACACAAGCATGGAAAGATTTTAGGGAGAAAGTAGATGTGGTTTTTAGTATCCAAATTCTGCATGCCTTTTAGGATCCAGGCCAAATCCCATTTGTGTAAAGTTTTTACTCAGTACCCAAGTGCAGAAAAGTGCTCCATGATGGGGGAGAATAAAGAATGTATATATATTCGTCAGTAACCTTTGTTGGTTTTCTAGAACATGTTCCTGAGCATAACATAAGAATAATAGGAAAGTAAAGTTGTATCCCTGTGCTTCACCTCAACCAGAGTATGATCAAACTAAGCCTCTTAGATAAAACTTCCTGCCTACAGTAGTGTTTTCTTTTGCCATTTCACTATCCTTTGAGGACATGTACCAGCTTCACCCCAGGAGAGCTTCCCCACTGGTTTCATTAGCTGTGAGCAGCCATTAGAACTCTGACTGGTCTCCCACATTACTCCTCTGTGAGTTGCGTTATAATTTATTTGAAAGATTATTTCCAAACGATGTTTCGGGTGAGTTCCTTTAAAAGAATGGATTAGTGAAATGGTAAGTAATGGGCTTCGTTAATGGCTTTTTATATTGACTGATAACCTCTTCTTGATGACCTCAAGCTGTTATGTACATTTTAGGTTATTCAATGCAGTCTTTTCTCACCAAATATGTTATGGTGCTGTAGAATAGGGATTCTATCTTATATGTCCTTGTATTCCTTAATTTAGGAGACAGATGAGGTGAAAGTTGACTAAAAATAGTACGTGCCATAGAAACAGAAGATACTACATCCTTAAACTGACGTAGTAGGCTGAATGTTTAGGGAATAGATGTTGACAGGATTTAAAAGAGGGAAGGAAGGAGCACTTGTCCATAGAAAATTCAACAAGTTCCCTATTGGTAAATACTTGGATTGTTGTCAACATTTACCTTCTGTAAACAATATTGTAATGAATTATATAGGTCCTAAGTCTCTTATCTGAACCCGCAAGGGGACTAAATGTTTTGGTATTCATAATTTTCGGGATTTTAGAATTGTTAACATGATACATGTTCTAAAATTACAGAATACTTCCAGTGGAGGCAGCACTCAGTAAACAAATAAGTTACTATTTCTGATGGGAAATGTGTGATTATTCACACTGTTGGTTAAATAAAGACCATAAATAGCTTTATATCAATTCAAGTCAAATTTTGTTGCAAAAACGACTTTGTGTCAAAGTTAGGATATTGCTTGTGGTTTTTGGAGATTTGGGACATGTACATATATATGTGTGTGCTGTTAGACTTGCAGGAATAATTTCCATTTTGGATTTTCTGGATCAAGAGAAAATACATTTGTAGTTTTGTTAAATAGTACAAATCCCCCTCCCTTGGTGTTGTACCATTTCCTACTTTTTTCAGCAATGTGTGGAGGGAAAGCTGGTCTTTCCCAGTGTTACTACTAATGTGTGTTGCCAGACTTTTGGATTTTTGCCAGTGTAACAAGTAAAAAATAGAATCTCATTGTAGTTTTACAAGGAACATTTTAAAAGATAAGAATTGCAGTTCTTACGGCATTGGCTAAGGACTTTGTGTATTGACTGGTGACCTCTTTACAGTGACTATGGAGAGTTCTTTAAATAGCAGCAGGGACACATGACACCATTCCCTCTCTTTCTTACCCATCTCTCTTTTGTCTGAAATATGGTGCCCCAAGTATATTTGTGCTTAGTCTGTTAATCTAATAAAGAGTAAACACCTATCATGTAGTCAATTTTGTATTTTTTACTGAGTTTGTATAATAACAGTATATTTTCTGTCTCCCAGGCAGGATTTCAGGCTAAAACATTAATAGTAAACAAAAACACTGGTAAATGCAAAATTTTCATGTTATGCGTTAGGATATACTATTTCTCTAGCCCTGGAATTCTGGATTTATTCCAAAGCTCAGTTCTGCCTTTGGGCCTCTGTATTACCTGTTTTTTCTCACTGGAATAAATAACCTTCATCCAAACTCCCATGACAAACTCCTTTTTTTGTCACTCAACTCTGTTTAAATGTCACCTCTTCAGATATCTGAATACCCAGTCTAAAATAGACCCCATTCTCTCTCCATCTCATCAACTTTTTGAAATTTTTATCATAGCTATTAGCACCACCACCTGGTGTTTTTATATTTGTTTATTTTCTGTCTCCCACCAGTAGCATTTAAGCTCTATTTGGTCAGAGACTAGTGTCTTATTTAGTACTATGTCCTAGGGCCTAGAATAGTGCCAGGCATGTGTTCCATTTTTAGTAATTGCTCTTGGAATGAATGTCTTCTTTCATGATTTGCCTTTCTGCTTACTTCAACCTCCAGAATGTTCTTCCCCTCAACCTGGTCTAGTCAACTCCTATACATCCTTAGTGTGCTGTTTGATTTAGGAAGATGATTTATACAATTTATTCAGAAACTAATAATTATTTTGATTTTCCTTTGAAATCTTTCCAAAATTCTCTACTTGAATTATGATTTTGAAGCATAAGGTCTCTAACAGGAGGGAGCTTTGTCCAGCCATGTTAGTTCCTTTGCTTTATAAAGCTTACTTCTTTGATACTTCGGTGATTGTTATTACCTTTTTTTTTTTCTCTCTTAAGATCATAGGTCCTTGTGTTAATCATCTGGAAGGACTGATGTTCTGTATATTCAAATTTTAGTTGTTGAGTAACAGTTTTCACATATTAGAGACAGCCTAAGGGAATAAATTTACATAAAACTACAAATGTATACTGCTCAGAAACAAGGTTTCCCATGCCATTGCTCAGGTGCTGCAGATGTTGAAGATGGTATCAACACATACCATATGTGTTAGAAAATAAAAGGGGTAAGGGCAGAAGTTTAAGGAATCAGAAAAACTTCATCTGTGAATTTCTTCTTATTATAAGTTTAAAGTAGACATTATGCCTTATTTTAATACGCAGTTGTTTTTTGTGTTTATATGTTTTATGTTTTGATCACTGTTCAGTATTTAAACTCCTTCAAATGTGCAAAGATTAAATGTTTAATAAAAATTGCTTGTTGTTTTCAACATCTGTGTTCAGAGAACAATGGCCCACTGGAGTGCAGAAAGCTTGTAAAGTTTTCAAATGTATTGAGAATGACAGAAAGTTCAGTGAAGAGTTTGCTTCCCTCATTACAGAACTACTTCTGTGGCTGCGATTACACTAAGAGCATCTTTAATTGCTTTAAAATCTGAATGCATGATAAGAATGGATTAATTTGATTTTTCTGTTACTACAAGTAGCAGATGGTTTATGTCTTAGGAATGCTCATGTTGTAAAATGAGATCCCCAGCTCATCCGTGATTGGTCACTGTTAATGAAGCATGCTGTGCTGATTATTGATTTAGAAAATGAGGATGACATGAGTATTGTGTGTGTTGCTGTAATAAATTAAAGAGGAGTATTTTAATAGCCAGCAGACATACACCTTAAATAACATGAAATATTTGATTTTCTATTCAGGTGGTCTCTGCCCTGTCAAACTAATTTTATTGTTTATTAAAAAGATATACTTTTATAGTTTCAGCTAACAAGCAGATGGTCGTCTTTACTTATTTCTGTTTTGTATTGCTGTATGACCGATCAGCATGATAGGAACCCAAATTAGCTTGTTGTCTGCAAAGCAATGGTGTAGCCATGGGAGGAAATCTTTTGCTGTATGTGTGTATATTAGAGAGAGTGCATGTTTATGCACTTAAATACACACACATACACACACACACACAGAGCTATTTACTGTTTTCTTAGTGTTTAATACTTGTTTTTTAATTAAAGCTATATATTGAAAGTTTTGTAATATTTTTTTCAAATAAATTTTTAAATTATAGATGGAAGAGGAAGAGAACTGGGATTTTTTTTGGTTTTAGTTTCATGTGAACATGACATAAATTTATAGTCACATTTTATTGCAGGCACATTGTAAAAGTCAGGGTGATGACAGTTTATTGATATCTTCACTTTATATTATGTGGTATTTGGTGATGTTCACAGATATGTAAGTGCTTTATCTTTATGGCAAAATAACATTTTGTGACTCACAGTAGTTAGATTGCCCCAAGAACTAAACATATAACATATTGGATTAAAAAATTTTGAAATTATTTTATGACATTTTGTTTTACCATAATTTTAATTGTGGCCATGCAGTAAGCATTGTAGATTAGAGTGCTTCTTACCTTGACTGTGGGTAAAGCTGTAGAAGAAGACCTTCTGTGGTGTTTTTTTTTTTTGTTGTTGTTGTTGTTTTTAACTTTGTGTGTGTACCCTGTGTTTTAAATTTCAAATATTTATTGAGTCTTGTTTAACTTTTACAGGTGTGTTTCAATTCAGATGAACATGACCATTTTTAACAGTGTAGTGGTATTTCAGAGTGATGTAGAAGACTGAAATTATAGGCAGTGGAATCAGTATCCTAAAGTAAACTTTTACTGCAGATAGGAATCAGCAAGGTAATGGGGAAATCAGTATTCTTAAATGGCCCGCTTTTAACCCTGACCTTACCCATTTAACACATATTCATAGTAGTAAATATTTTCCTAACAAATACTTTAGTAATAATTCCAAAGCACATAGAAGGGGAAAGACTCAATGATTTAAGAGGTTTGATTTGATAACAATGTATCATTTATCCACGTAAACAGAATATTAGTCAATTTTGATACTCATGAGGTCATCATCCTTCATATTAAATTGTTTTACAGGAAGCCTATGAAAAACCATTAGAGATTGTGAAGTAAAATGGATTAATTGTATCTTTCACATGACAATCCACTTTGCAAAAGGATAGTAGGAAGCCATTCATTATTATTATTATTCTTATTATTACTATTATTATTATTATTATTATTTTAGACAGAGTCTCATTGTGTTGCCCAGGTTGGAGTACAGTGGCTCAATCTTGGCTCAGTGCAACCTCCGCCCCCTGGGTTCAAGCCATTCTCCTGCCTCAGCCTCACGAGTAGCTGGGAATACAGGCATGCACTACACACCCAGCTAATTTTTGTATTTTTACTAGAGACGAGGTTGCACCATATTGGCCAGGCTGGTCTTGAACTCCTGACCTCAAGTGATCCAACAGCCTTGGCCTCCCAAAGTGCTGGGATTACAGGCGTGAGCCACAGCGCCTGCGCCATTCATTATTAAAACAACTATATTGAATGGGTGACTGAAGTTACAACTTGTTACATATTTGTTGAATTTTATAGTATGACTTTTGCAACTTTTAATAAAAATCATACTAAAGGCTTGTTTTCTTAATTGTTAATGTCTCCATTTTTATTCATATATTTATTATAGAGAAAACTCATTAAAATGAACAAGGACTCGTTTTTAGATATCTTTACTTTTAAATGTTTTATGACTAGTAGTAGTGTACATCACTGAACAGAAGAAATACCAATTCTCTGCACCATAGTACAAATAAGATATAGAAAAGAAATTGCCAATTGATAATTTATTTTATTTTATCTTATTTTTTTGAGATGGAGTGTCGCTCTCTTGCCCAGGCTGCAGTGCAATGGCGCAATCTTGGCTCACTGCGACCTCTGCCTCCCAGGTTCAAGTGATTCTGTTGCCTCAGCCTCCCAAGTAACTGGGATTACAGGCATGCGCCACCACACTCGGCTATATATTTTTTTGTATTTAGTAGAGACAGGTCTTCACCATGTTGGTCAGGCTGGTCTCTAACTCCTGACCTCAGGTGATCCACCTGCCTCCGCCTCCCAAAGTGCTGGGATTGCAGGCATGAGCCACCCTGCCTGGCCACCACTTGATAATTTAATAAAGATTGTTGGAAGTAGTTTAAAATTAATAACCAAGGTTTAACAAATTATTACTGTCTAAAATAATTTTCAATAGGTAAATTTAAAGGTATTTGGAGAGTGCTACCTCCTTAGGGGTACCTTACCTTATAATTTATACTTCAATGGGCTTCAAAAAGTAAGTATTTTAATTGTATGTTTTGTAGCTTAAGTAACACATATAATTCTTTATTATGTTAGCCCAGATGAATGAATGGCTTTATTATTATTTATTGTTATAATAATAATTTTCTTGTTTAGAGCTTTAATCATAAAGCAACTCTTTGTTACACGGAGGAATAAATTAATAGCAACATTCTCTACTCTTTTCCCTACCATGTTTATGTTTAGTACATTTTCTCCCCTCAACAGTAGCTACAAAGACTCTACAAAAGCATCTTTTGAAGACAAGTGTTGATTGGCAGATAATGATAGTATTTTTATTAACATTTGTCTTACTGTTCCTTTTGGGTAGAAGATGCACAAAGGTTTTTTTTTCCCCCGCCCTGTATTTTTCCTTTTATAATACAAAACTTTCTTGAGATAAAAACACTGTGGGATAGTTGCTGAATAACTTTGGAAGTATTTTCATAGAGAAGTGATTGCCATCAGGTATGCTTGTTTTCTACTGATATATGAATTTTGTTTGTTTGTTTGTTTGTTTTTGAGACCGAGTCTCGCTTTGTTGCCCATCCTTAGTGCAGTAGTGTGATCTTGGCTCATTGCAACCTCCGCCTCCTGGATTCAAGCTATTCTCCTGCCTCAGCCTCCAGAGTAGCTGGGACTACAGGCACGTGCCACCATGCCCGGCTGATTTTTTGCGTTTTTAATAGAGATGGGGTTTCACCATGTTAGCCTTGGATGGTCTCGATCTCCTGACCTTGTGATCCACCCACCTTGGCCTCCCAAAATGTTGGGATTACAGGCATGAGCCACCATGCCTGGCCTGCTATATGAAATTTTAACAACTTTGATTAGAATATGGCTTATACAGAGTACTATATGTTTTAGATCTTAGCCAACTTACATTTTAATCATTGTTTTATAAAATTTAAAAGAAGTAAAAGAAAAATCAGACAAGATTGTAAACTTGTCAGTCAAATTCCTTACATCTTATTCTGAGAAGAGTGAGGAAGTATAATTGAGATTTCATAGATGTCTCATTGCACATACTGCAATAAACAGAATTATATCATGAAATCAACTATCCTCATGTGCAGTGTGATCAGGATGTTACTATGGTAACATTTCCATTTGTGAATTTTTGTGTAGTTAGAATCTGTAGTCATCACATCATGCTACCATTGGCTTTTGATTTTTCATCTAAATAAATCACTGTGCTACCTGCATGCTATTAAGTGGCACCATGTATAGTACTTAACTATCATCTATACACTCTAGGCTAGGAAATCAAAAATAGGAAAAAGAAAGAAATGGGAACATTCTGCTAAATTACATTTTAAGACTGTCCTGATGTTGCTGGTAAAATTTTAAATGTTTCTTAAGAGAAGTAAAAGCATTGCTAGTTATTCTCTGAGATGCTTTAATTTTTATAAGTATATGATGATGAAATTGGTTAGGTATGGTAACAGTAGGAGGTAAGGAGGGCTTTAATTTGTCTTCTAAATGGGTGCTAAATAACCGAGACAGAAGTAATCACCCTTCTGAGACTGAGAAGATTCATTTTAAAACAGTCCCTTTTCATCGTAACCTTATTAAATATTTGATATTTATTGTTTTTAGATATTTAAAAGTTGTCCTGCATATTTCACTTCTCATTATAAAGTCAGATTCTAATATCTTACGTTAACTTGTATTACAATAGCCTACAATGTTCCCTTGTATCAATTACTGTATTCTAGTAAAGATTCCTACTGTTTTTGTTTTGTTTTGCTTTCTAAAGCCCCCTGCTGCTGTTGATTACACCTAGATCTGCTACTGATTGGAACTGTTAAAAGGCAAAGGTAGTGTGGCTGGTTGCTGAATCATTTAATTGTAGGACTAATAAGAGATGTTCTCTCTGGGACCTAACCAAAATTGTGACTCTAGAATGTTATGTATAAAGTAGCCAAGAAATATTATTTTGCACATTAATAATGTTTGAAGATGTGAAATTTATTTACTTGGAATGTAATAGAGGAATATCAGCAGACTCGTTGGATTTCTTTCTTTCTTTCTTTCTTTTTTTTTTTTTTTGAGATGGAGTCTCGCTCTTGTCAGCCAGGCTGTAGTACAGTGGCGCCATCTTGGCTCACTGCCACCTCTGCCTCCCAGATTCAAGAGATTCCCCTCGGGAGACTCAGGAGTCTCAGTCTCCTAAGTAGCTGGGAGTACAGGTTCATGCCGCCATGCCCGGTTATTTTTTTTTTTTGTATTTTAGTAGAGACGGGGTCTCACCGTGTTGCCCAGGTTGGTTTCAAACTCCTGAGCTCAGGCAATCCACCCGCCTCAGCCTCCCAAAGTGCTAGCATTACAGATGTGAGCCACCGTGCCTGGCTGCTATTACTTTTTATAAAGATAAAACAAATGGATAACTATATATGTAACAGTGTTAATTCAGTAATTGAGAGACTTGATAACAAAATGGTAAGAAATTCAAAGTTAAAATTTTTCATTTGTAATTGAGGCCATGTTTGTAAGTCCAGTGCGCAATATAAAATTAAGTTGTGTACAATATAAGCACCCTGTAAGTAGTTTACATATAATTTTGGAATCTTAGATAGGATTTCTATGATAGTGTTTCCATGATAGCTATGGGTTTTTTATGAGGCAGCTACAGATCAAGAATAACTATCAATTTGTACCCTCACTGCTTTAAAATTTGAGATAATTCTTTCTGTGCTGGACTTTGTAAGGAATTATATAAGAGGGTATGGTTATGCTCATGTATATTTAATAATTTATGATATTGTTACTCTTTTTGTTGATTATTATATTTAATTGCTAATTTTTTTAAAGACATTTCAGTTTGCTATGTACAAACTGCATCAGTGGTTTTAAGTAATTTGTTTGAGGTTATATACATCTATACCTTGAGTTGGGAAAAAGCTAGTTCCTTTAAGGTATTTATTGAAATATTTTGATCAGGTAAATTACATAAAAGGAAGGGTGACAAGAAGGGTGCTGTCAGCAATGTGCATGATGGTTTGGAGAAAGAAAGAAACCAGTTTGAAGGTTTGTGCTAAGGACTAGGAAGCAAATAATGAGTGATGTAATTGGCATAGTGGCAATAGAAATAAAGTAGGATTCAGTGTTTGTGTCTCTTATTTTTGTTGGTGACCCATTGAATGTTGTGTCAATGAACATTGAAAAAAACACCAAAATCTTATTAGTGGCTAATGAATATTCATGTTTTCTTATATAATAAGTCATTGGACTGTAAGTACCTTGAAGGCAAATGTTACTCATTTTTGTTGTCTCAGGACTTGATGCAGTATGTTGCTTATAGTCATCATTCCACCTTTGAAATGGAAAAAGAAAAGTAAATAAGAAAGGTTCTGTATTGGTTTGCTAGGACTGTCGTAACACGGTACCACAAACTTAGTGGCTTAAACAACAGAGTTTATGCTCTCACAGTTTTGGAAGCTGTAAGTCTGAGATCAGGTGTCAGCAAAGGTTGATTGCTTTTGAGGTCTGTTTGGCTTGTAAGTGGCAGTCTTCTCCCTGTGTCTTCACATGGTCATCCCTCTGTGCAAGTCCAAATCTCCCCATTTTATAAGGGAATAAGTTGTATTGGATTATGTTCCACCTTAATGACAATTTAACTTGGTTTTTGCTGTAAAGGCCCTATCTCTAAATAAAGTCACACACTGAGGTTACTGGGGGTTAGGGTTTCAATGTACGATTTTTTCGGTGTCATAATAGTGCTTTTTTTAAAAAATAAAAAAAAATCACAGCTTTTATTTATTTATTTATTATTTTTAAAAATTGATCCATAACAGCTCTGATTGGAGTTGATGTTATTTATAGGCCAAGAGCTAATGACATATACAATTAATTGTAAAATAAATATGCTCATTCTACAGTTAATGTCAGTATAGGGACCCATAGCTATTTGTCCCTTTGTAATTAATGCCACGTGATGTAGTTTTCACCTCAGATTAGTTTACTGTATCTAAACATATTAGCAGTTTGGCAGCTATTTGTTGTACTGGTTTCCATCTAGTGGTAGAAATAGGAGATAGGAGGCTACATTTGAAAAGAAAATAATATTATATTCCTTATCTTTCCTCCTCCTTTATTTCACCATGTTTGGAATAATCTAAATTATCTTCCACATCCACCATGCAGACATGCAGAGTTCTTAAGGTGCTTTTTTTTTTTTTTTTTCAGACGGAGTCTCACTTTGTCGCCCAGGTTGTAGTGCAGTGGCGCGATCTCGGCTCACTGCAACCTCCGCCTCGCGGGTTCAAGAGATTCTCCTGTCTCAGTCTCCTGAGTAGCTGGGATAACAGGCATGTGCTACCACACCCAGCCAATTTTTGTATATTTAGTAGAGATGGGGTTTCACCATGTTGGTCAGGCTGGTCTCAAACCCCTGACCTCGTGATCTGCCTGCTTTGGCCTCCCAGAGTGCCGGGATTACAAGCGTGAGCCAGTGCGCCCGGCCGAGTTCTTAAGTTTTCAGTAAACATGCATTCTTATCTAAATATTATTGATAATCAAATTATACTTGTAATACAGTGATAGGTGGGTTTTCATGTACAATTTTGAATAGATAGTCTTTTGTCTACAACAGTCGTTCTCAAAGTGTGGCCCCCGGTTCAGCACTTCAGCATTACCTGGGGAATTTTAAGAAAAGCAGATTTTCTGGGCCAGGTGCAGTGGCCCACATCTGTAATCCGAACACTTTGGGAGGCTGAGGTAGGCGGATCAGGAGGTCAAGAGATTGAGACCATCTTGGCCAACATGGTGAAACCCTGTCTTTACTAAAAAAATACAAAAATTAGCTGGGCATGGTGGTGCGTGCCTATAGTCTTAGCTACTCGGGAGGCTGAGGCAGGCGAATCGCTTGCACCTGGGAGGTGGAGGTTGCAGTGAGCCGAGATCGCGCCACTGCACTCCAGCCTGGAGACAGAGCAAGACTCTGTCTCAAAAAAAAAGAAAAAAAAAACAAACAACTTTTCAGGCCCCATTTAAGCTCTATTGAATCAGAAATTCTGAGGGTAGACTTCAGGAATCTGTTATTGTAAGAACTCCAGGTGATTCTGTTGTATACCAACATTTGATAACCACGGGACTGAATATAGGCATAATACCTAATTTTATTGCTTTAAATAATTATAGAAATATAGACTTATATATTTTTTCTTTCTTTTCTGTTTTGTTTTGTTTTGTTTTTTGAGATGGGGTCTTGCTTTGTCACCCAGGCTGGAAAGCAGTGGCACAAGCATGACTCACTGCAGCCTCAACCTCCTGGGCTCAATCAGTCCTCCCACCTTTGTCTCCCAAGTAGCTGGGACTGCAGGTGCACACCACCACACCTGGCTAATTTTTATTTTTTTATTTTTGTAGAGACAGGATCTCACCATGTTACCCAGGCTGGTTTCGAACTCCTGACCTCAAGCAATCCTCCCACCTTGGCCTCCCACGGTGCTGGGATTACAGGTGTGAGCCACGACTCTCAGCCTTTTCCTTTCTAATATTGTTTTGGTTATAATACTTGATCCTAAGACTTTGATTAGGAACGCCACCCCAAATTATAATGTTTACATTGAATTTATGGGAAATCATTAATCCCTGTTGTGTCTCTCTAGAAATGTTTTATGCATGTAGAGGCACATACAGCCAAGTCTTTCTGTATCAGTACTTCTCTCTCTCTATTCTTTCTTTTCTTCTCCTCTCCCCTCCCCTCCCTTCCATTCCTTTCCCTTCCGCTATATAGTAACTGTGCCATATATATCTACAGTAATTTATTTCACAAGTCCCCAGTTGATATAAATTAGGTTAGGTTCAGTGTTTTGCTGTGTTAAAAAATTCTATGTGTAATATTCTAGTACACATATATAATTTCACATATGAGCAAGTATGTTCAAGAAAAACGTTCCTAATAATACCAGTTTAAGTTCTAAATGTATATGTGTATGAACCTTGATATAAAAATCCTCAACAAAATAGTAACAAACCAAATGCAGCTGTATGTTAATAGGATTATACACCATCACCAAGTGGGATTTGTTCCTGGAATGCAAGGATGATTCATCTTATGGAAATTGATAAAAGTAATGTACCACAATAACAGAATGAAGGGAAAAAAGCACATGATCATCTCAATAGATGCAGAAAAAGCACTTGACAAAATTTAACAATATTTCTTAATAAAAACTCTCAATAAACTAAGAATAGATGGAAACTACTTCAGCCTAATAAAATTTATATTGTAGTTTCTCATTTGTGGTTTTGCTCTCTACAATTTAAGTTACCCTTGTTTAACTGCAATATGCAAATATTATATATGATAAGATATTTTGGCTGGGTGTGGTACTTTTAATCCCAGTGCTTTTGGGGGCCAAGGTGGGAGCATCACTTGAGGCTACAAGTTTGAGACCAGCCTGGACAACATAGCCAGACCCTGGCTCTATAAAACATTAAAACAATTTTTTTTGAGAGAGAGAATGAGAAAGATACCACATTCACATATCTTATTCTAATATGTTTTTATAATTTTTGTATTTTGTTTTATGTTACTTGAGACAAAGTCTTGCTCTGTTGCCCAGGCTGGAGTGCAGTGGTGCAATCTCAGCTCACTGCAACCTCTGCCTCCCAGGCTCAAGTGATCCTCCCTGCCTGAGCTTCCCAAGTAGCTGAGACTACAAGTGTGTGCCACTATGCCAGGCTAATTTAAAAAAAATTCTTATAGAGATGGGGTTTCACCTTGTTGCCCAGATTTCTCTTGAACTCCTGGGCTCAAGCAGTCTGGCCACTTTGGCCTCCCAAAGTGCTGGGATTACAGGCATGAGCTACCACCCTTGGTCATAATTGATGTATTTTATTGTTAATTTTTGTTCGTAATCTCTGACCTTGCCTAATTTATAAATTAAACTTTATAATAGGTGTGTACATATAGGAAAAACCATAGTGTGTGTAGGGTTTGGTTTTATCCATGATTTCAGTCATTCACTGTGGTCCTGGAATGTGAGAGGACTACTATATGTGAAAGACTTGGAGTGAACAACATACTCAATGGTGAAAGACTGAAAACTTTTTCTTTAAGACCAGGAACAATGGAAGGATGTCAGTTTTTGCTATTTCTGTTCAACATAGTAATGGATGTTCTAACCATAGCAGTTAGACAAGAAAAAGAAAGCCATCCAAATTAAAAAGGAAGTGTAAAATTATCTCTGTTCACAGATGATATGTAGTCTTACATCTAAAAAACCCTAAAGATTCCCCCAAAATGTGTTAAACCTAGTGAATGAATTCAGCAAAGTAGCAGAATACAATGCCAACACACAAAAAGCAATTGCATTTTCATACACTAATAATAAGTAGTCTGAAAAGGACCTTACAAAAGGAATTTCATTTACAATAGCATCAAAAAAAATACTTAGGAATTAACCAGGGAAGTGAAAGCCTTATAAAATGAAAACCATAAAAAATAATTATTGAAATAAACCATATAAATTTAATTATTGAAATAAATTAAAGACATAAATAAGTGGAAACACATTGCATGTTCATGGATTAGAAGACTTACTATTGTTATGATGTCAGTACTACCCAAAGCAATCTACAGATTTGGTGCATCCCTGTCAAAATCCCAATGACTTTTTTTTTTTTTTTTGGAAGAAATAGAAAAGCATATCCTTAAATTCATATGGAAACTGAAGGGACCTCAAATAGTCAATACAATACAGTCTTGAAACAGAAGAACAAAGCTTGAAGACTCACATTTTCTGATTTTAAAACTTACTACAAAGCTACAGTAATCAAAACAGTGTTGTACTAGCATAAGGAAGACATATAGACCAATGAAACAGAAGAGAGAGCCCAGAAATAAAACCTCATGTATATGGTCAACTGATTTTTTTCTTTTTTCTTTTCTTACTTTTTTTTTTTTTTTTTTTTTTTTTTTGAGATGGAGCCTCGCTCTGTCGCCAGGCTGGTGTGCAGTGGCATGATCTCGGCTCACTGCAGCCTCTGCCTCCTGGGTTCAAGCGATTCTCCTGCCTCAGCTTCCCCAGCAGTTGGGATTACAGGCGCCCACCATCATGCCCGGCTAATTTTTGTATTTTTAGTAGAGACGGGGTTTCACCATGTTGGCCAGGATGGTCTCGATCTCTTGACCTCGTGATCTGCCCGCCTCGGCCTCCCAAGGTGCTGGGATTACAGGTGTGAGCCACTGTGCCCAGCCAGTCAAATGATTTTTAACAAGAGTACCAGGACTATTCAGTGGAGAAAAGATAGTCTTTTCAACAAATGCTGCTGGGAAAACGGGATAGCCACATGTAAAAAATGAAGATGAACCCGAAACTAACACAGTATACAAAAATTAACTCAAAATGGACCAAAGACATAAATGTAAGACCCAAAACTATAAAAGTCTTAGAAGAAAATAAGGAAAAAACTTTATGACAGTGATTTATTCGGCAGTTATTTATTGGGTATGACATCAAAGGCACAACAACATAGAGGACTACATGAAAATTTTTAAACTTTGTTAATCAAAAGACACTGTCAATAAATAGGGTGAAAAGACAACCACAGAATGGAGAAAGTATTTGCAAATTATATATCTGAAAAGGGTTATATAATGCATATATGGAGAATTCCTACAACTCAACAACAAAACAAACAGCTTGGTTTGAAAATGGGTGACTTGGAAAAACATTTCTCCAAAGAAAATATACAAATGGCAATTGGTACACCACAAGATGCTCAGCATCACTGATATTTAGGAAAATCCAAATCAAAACTATAATGAAATACCACCTTACACCCATTAGGATGGCTACTATCAACATCAAACAATAATATGTTTTGGTGAGGACGTGGAAAAAATTGGAACCCTTGTGCACTGTTGGTGGGAAGGTAAAATGGTACAGTCACAGTGGGAAGCAGTATGGTGGCTCCTTATAAATATTGAAAATAGAATTTCCATATGATGTAGTGATGCCACTTCTGGGTGTATCCCCAAAATGGTTGAAAACAGGGTCTTAAAGAGACAATTTATACACCCATGTTCATACCAGCATTATTCACAATAGCTGAAATATGGAATTGTAAACTAAAAATGAAACTTTAAGCTTCTTAATTGTCTGAATGAACCCTTCGTCTCAGCCAAGGGCATTCCACAGTTCAGGACATGATGGGGAGGGGGTGATCAGGCATTCCCCATTATACTCTGTCTTTGGAATTCAGGCACAACTGACCAGCATTAACATTAAAACAGAGATCTTACGACTTTTTGTAGCGATAAGACACCAAATTCCAGCCTGACTAAAGAAAGCATCACATGACAGATAGCAGGCCCTGGAAGAAATTGTAGTATTTTGCCCCAAAATATATTCCTTTGACATATTTAAAAATGGCCCTGCAAAACTGTCTCTTATAGGCAAAATCTACATTCTGTAGAGAATGCCTTTCTCTTTCTAGGTCTTTTCTCTGATGCTGGAGAGAATTATCTGAGTCTTTCATCATTTTAAGTCTCATAAGAAACATTTACAGTCTATTCTTTCTGAAGCCTGCTACCTGGAGGCTTCATCTGCATAATAAGAACCATGGTCTCTACAACCCCTTATCTTAACCCAGACACTCCCTTACATGGAATTTCAGGTGTTTATTTTTTATTTATTTGTATTTTTTATTTTTTGAGCACTCAGGCTGGATTGCAGTGGTGCGATCTTGGCTTATTGCAGCCTCTGCCTCTGAGGTTCACACGATTCTTGTGCCTCATCAGCCTCCTGAGTAGCTGGAATTACAGGCATGCACCATCATGCCTGGCTAATTTTTTGTATTTTTAGTAGAGATGGGATTTCACCATGTTGGCCAGGCTGGTCTTGAACTTATGATCTCGAGTGTTCCACCTGCCTTGGCCTTCCAGAGTACTGGGATTCTAAGTGTGATCCACCATGATTGGCCTCACTCCAGCTTTTTGTATTTTCAGTAGAGATAGGATTTTGCATTGTTGGCCAGGCTGATCTTCAACTCCTGGCCTCAAGTGATCCGCCTGCCTTAGCCTCCCAAGATACTGGGATTATAGGCATGAGCCACCATGCCCGACTGGGTTTCTAGTCTTTAGGTAAACTCTGTTGACAAGTTGCCAATTGGAAAATCTTTGAATCCACCTGTTAGCAGTGGTGAATCTTTATGGGTCTGCAACAACTTGATTCTTGCCTCCTTGGAGGAAAGAATTTTGCTGAAGGGCAGTAGTTGGTTTAAGGCAGAGGGAGAGACTGAGGCAAGTTTTAGAACAGGAGTGAGAATTTGTTAAAAAGTTTTAAAGCAGGAGTGAAAGGAAGCAGTACACTTGGAAGGGCCAAGCAGGTGACTTGCAAGATCCAAGTGCCCTGTTCATCCCTTGACTTGGGATTTTATACATTGCTATGGTTCTTGGGTTTGCTGAAGTTGTGCACGTGTTCACTTGAGGAGTTTTTCCCTTACCTGTCGAGCGTTCCCATTGGAAGGTCGTATAAGAGGCCATTTTGCCTCTTAGTGGGCCTGTTTGAGATCTTCCTGAGAAGTGGATAACACCAGCACCGAGTGTTTTCTATCTGTTAGGAGACTATCTTTTCCTGGCGCTGGCTGTGACCACTTATCATTTTAGAGAGACAGTTTAACAACCACCTGACTATCACCTCATGGTCGCCTGACAGTCCTGGGGGCAACAGGGGGTGGGGGTGTGCGTGTTTGGGTGCTCTCCTGCCCTGTCCATATCTGCCTAACTACCTACTCTGACATACCTATGAGCTGGAAGCCTCCACTTTGAGTTTTTGAGTTGTTCTGCCCTTCCTGACTGAATCATTACACATCTTACATGTATTGATTGATGTGTTATGTCTTCCTAAAATGTATAAAACTGAGCTGTAGCCTGACCACCTTGGACACATGTCGTCAGGACCTCCTGAGGCTGTCACAGGCACGTCCTTAGCCTTGGCAAAATAAACTTCTAAGTTGAACGAGACTTGTCTCAGATACTTTTGGGTTTACAGAAGCAAACCAAGTGTTTATCAATAGCTGGATGGATAGACAAAATGTGGTATATACATATAATGGAATATTATTCAGGCTTATAAAGGAAAGAAACCAGATACTCCACAACATATGTGAACCTTGATAACATTATGTTCAGTGAAATAAGCCAGTCACAAAAAGACAAATTCTATATTATTCCACTTATATGTGATTATTAGAGTAGTCAAGATCATAGAGACAGAAAGTAGAATGGTGATTGCCAGGAGTGGGGGGAGGAGGAATGGGAAGTATATTTAATGCATACAGAGCATAAACCAAAAATAAAATCCTGAGCCCCCCAACTGACAGAACAGACCCCCTCTTGGCCAAGAAAAACTGGCCTCAGGGGAACCAGAAGAACTGAATTCTCCATCATGATTGGAAGGGAGGCTGGACGTGCCTTGTTACCTCCTCCCTTATGGAGTTTAGGTTAAAGTAAAGATCATAAGACTGTCAAAACAGACTCTTTATGGCAATAAGATACAAATTATAAGCAAGACCTGAGGCCATGCTAAGCAGTGGTTAAGCCACATCCTACAAACAGTAACATCTCTCATTAGGTTTTTATTAACCCAGTGTAATGTGGCTTACTTTCCAAGCTGACTCTGGTATAGCATCAAATGACAGATAGTGGGCCCTGAGGGAAATAAAAATATTTTACCTAAAAATTTATTTCATTGACATATTTTGAAAAGGCTGCCATAAGGCCATCAGATTGAAATGGCACTGCAAAGCCATCTTTTTTAAGGGGAAACTCCATTACTATAGTCAGGCCTTCCATTTCTAGGCCTTTCCCAAATCTAGGAGAGATTAACTAACAGTCTGACACCTTTAAGGTCTGTAGACATTTACCATATATTTTCTTAGAAGGCTGCTAACTCTGAGACCTCATCTGTATAACAAAACTTTGGCCATAATCTGCCTTATCTTAACTCAAACATTTCTTTCTATGACTTCAAGTCTTCAGACAGCTTAACTCTCTCAACCAGCTGCCACCTAAAGAATCCCTAAAACCATTCTGTAACTTAAAGCTCCCCTCCCTCCCTTCAAGATGCTCTTTTTGGGGTAAATCAGTGTATACCTTCCAAGTATTGATTTATGTCTTTGCCTGTAACTCCTATCTCCCTAACATGCATAAAACCAAACCATAACCCAGCCACTGCAGGCGCACTTTCTCAGGACCTCTTGAGACTGTTCCCCAGGTCATGGTCCCTTATTTTGGCTCTCCCTTATAAAGGGCTCAGAATAAACCCTTTACAATTTTTACAGAGTTTTAGTTTTTTTGTTAACAAGAGATTTGGTTTTACATGATGAGAAGTTATGGAGATAGATGATGAAAATGGTGGAGCAACATTATGAACGTATTTGGTAACATTAAATTGTACACTTAAATGGATAAGTTGGTAAATATGTGTATTTTACCACAATAAAAAAATTTTTAAATGTACTTCTAATTTTGATGGCTATTTTCAAATCACCTTCTTTGTAGATTATACTAACATACATCCTCTTTAACAGATAAAAGTTGTTGTAAAAGATGTGCTTTTGTGACTATGCAGCAGCTTTATATAACCATTATATTTTTGAAAGAAACAGATCTGTATTAAGCTTAAAAAACCCACAAAACTTTGACTAGTATCTTTCAACAGTTTGTAAAGACTACTTCAGTGTTTCTTATATTCGTTAAAATATGTTTGAGAAACTTCTTGATGCATGCATTGAAAATAGGATTGAAGATTGTCTCCTAATCTGCAGTAAATCTTCATTTAGTGGTTCATTAAAAGGTAATTTTTACATATCTGAAAATACATCTTTGACATAGTTTTAGTTTACTGTTAGTGGGTACTTGTACAATCTTTAAATGTGGGGATTATTGAGATCCTACTTACGTAGTTTAAAAATTTATGATTTTTTTTTGGTAATTGCCATAATGTTTTTAATTAAAATTCCTGTTAGGTTTTTCATTTATGCAGTATCATTGGTTTGTTTTGTGTGTTAATCATTTTAAAGTTTAAAATGAAGTAATAGTGAGAGATAGAGCACTGGATTTTTTATGTGTGTGTTTTTAAAAACATTCTCCCTCCTCCCCATCCCGCAACTTTTTTTTATTTTATTTTATACTCTGTTAACTTAAAACTACTAAACAGATTTTTATTTTAATCTTTGGAACAAAAAATGTTCTCTTGGGCTGATACCAGTACTTTTTATGCCAAGTTACAGACCGGAGTCTATTTTTATAGGCCAAGATAGAAACCTCTGAAAACCAGAGTTTATAATGGAAACATTGACAGGCCCTTAACTATCGCAGCACACATGGCACTGCTGAAATCATAAGGTACAAGGCACAAGATTTCCCATGCAAGGGAACATTGAATTTTTCAGCAATTGTATTGTCAAATGTCTTTCAACTAGGATTTAATAAGCATCAAGCTGTGCCAGGGCCATAAAAGCACATTATGTGGGCCTGATTCCTGCCCTCTGAATGTTTGTACCAACTACACTAACATGGAGAAACACTTGAATAAACCTGTTGGGAGATAGCTTTGTGAATGGATTTAGTTGGAATGAAATATATGAAGTTTCTTCTCTCTGTGTTTAATTTCTGATACAACCCTGAAAATCGTATCTGTTTTTGCATGTAGGTCACTATACACATGTTCTAAGCATTATTACAAAGGAGGTAAGCTAGTCATCTACATCTTCATTTTAATAATTTCACTGAAGAAAGTTTAAACTATATTGTTACACAATCAAGGAAAATTGATATTGAGTAGTTAGGTGAATTAAAAACTTACCATTTTACTTTCTCTTTGAGGGCTTCCATTTGGATAAAAAATAGAAATAGTCTTCTTCAAAAAACACATTTGATTACTCAGCTTTACTTGATTAAAGAAAAGTCATTAAAACAACCACCCTGGGTCTTTACACTTCTATGCTTTTACTTATATTTTAATTTAAGTGGGACTACTCCCCCTACCATTAATTAATGATTGCCATTAGTTAACACTGAATGAATGACCCTGTAATACATTAGTTCCTTTAAAGGGAAACAGTAACTTAGATCATATCTGATTCCTACATGGGAAATAGAATGATTTGAGATACATAGTTAATTTGAATGTTCATGAGAATTGGATTCTTACACTTGTAACACCGACATCATCTACTCTCTTTCTGCCTTTTCTTTATCTTGTTAAATGCTGGAGAGAAGTGGAGGTGTTATGCTAGATATGCTATCTCAGAAGCATTGTGAAGTGTTAGAGAAAACCAGTATCTTGTGGGAAGATAATGAAGTGATAGTCTGTTACTACAGATTTTGCAAGTACTGCCAAAAGGAACAGGTAAAAAGAAGATGTTAATTTGAATCTGATTCAGATTTTCTTTTCTAATTTAAAATTTCCTTATCCATTGACTTATATACATATACATTCAATAAGATTTAGGTAGCACACATGCTTGCCAACCTGAGAAGTATCTTTTTATGTATCTGATTGGTTTACCATTAATGAAGATAATATGGACATATTTTGCATAGTTTAAGATTTTTGGATCTGTCATTAAATTTCTCCCCATAGTATGTTAGAAACAATGCTTCTGCATCCTGAAAGATGGAAAATTCCTAAATGAAAGTGATGTTATTCTGTATAACTGTACTAATTCTGGAACAGGGGCCCTCATTTCCATAAAAATGGGTGATTCTTTTGCTTTCTTGATCTATTTCTTTGGGGAGGAAAGACAATACTCTAACTCTTCCATCTGCTTCTCCTTGTCATTGCTATAGAAAACATCACGACAGGTTTCAGAAAATACAGTGCTGGACTTGGTTATATAGGTTAGAGAGAGAGAATCACATACTTCACAAGGGTTATTCTTTGAAGGTTCAATATGAAATGAATCTATCTATCTATCTATCTATCTGAATGATAGGTGTGTCTGTGTATGTATGTGGAGAATGAAGGAGAAAGAGAAACAGACACTGACTTCCTAGGGCTACGGATTTGTCTGATCAGTAAATCATTTCAGAAGCAAAAGTAGAATAACATAATACTAAAAGAAACCCAAATCCAGAACGATTGTTAGAGCTAACTAAAGGTTGTCTTTTGTAATTCACATTCGTAGCTGAACAGGCTGGTAAGTGCTAAAGACCTTTTGACAATTCACAAAATCTATTATATACTGACTCTATTAATAAATTTATCCAATCCAATCTTATGACCAGCAGTTTCTGACTAAAACAGGTTTTAGGAAGGCAGTGTTTTTAATCAGAGACTTAGAGTTTGCTTTGTCTTTTTACTTCATAAAGCAGTTTGTTTGAGTTGGTGCCAAGATTTTCTTTCCCCAGCTCATTCACATGTTCATCTTCTCCTTCCATCCCCCCATATTAGGATTTGATATGCCATACACTAGTGTAGGAGCTCAGGAACTTCAGTAGTTGGCAGTTCCTCAAGCAAACAAACTAAGATTTTTAAATGTGATTAATGAAATTGATATGTTTTGTTGAGTAACCAGCTTGGGTATTTTTATTTTCTTTATATATTGGCATTAAATGGTCAAATGAAGTAGAACTCTATCTTAAATAGTTTATCTTTTAATTGTATGGGGAAATAGATTTAGGGATTATTGGATTGTAGAAAAGGAATTTACTCCCAAATAAGAAAGTTATATCTGAGAATATTTAATAGTTTAGGTAACTAATTGGAAGTGTGTGTGTGTGTGTGTGTGTGTGTGTGTGTCTGTGTATGTGTGTGTGTGTGACAGGATCTCATTGTGTTGCTCAGGCTGGAGTGCAGTGGTGTGATCAAATTTTTTTTTTTTAATTTTATTATACTTTAAGTTTTAGGGTACATGTGCACAACGTGCAGGTTTGTTACATATGTATACATGTGCCATGTTGGTGGGCTGCACCCATTAACTCCTCATTTAGTATTCGCTATATCTCCTAATGCTATCCCTCCCCCCTCCCTCCACCCCATAACAGTCCCCGGTGTGTGATGTTCTCCTTCCTGTGTCCATGAGTTCTCATTGTTCAATTCCCACCTACAAGTGAGAACATGCGGTGTTTGGTTTTTTGTCCTTGCGATAGTTTGCTGAGAATGATGGTTTCCAGCTTCATCCATGTCCCTACAAAGGAAATGAACTCATCCTTTTTTATGGCTGCATAGTATTCCATGGTATATATGTGCCACATTTTCTTAATCCAGTCTATCATTGTTGGACATTTGGGTTGGTTCCAAGACTTTGCTATTGTGAATAGTGCCACAATAAACATACGTGTGCATGTGTCTTTATAGCAGCATGATTTATAATCCTTTGGGTATACACCCAGTAATGGGATGGCTGGGTCAAATGGTATTTCTAGTTCTAGATCCCTGAGGAATCGCCACACTGACTTCCACAATGGTTGAACTAGTTTACAGTCCCACCAACAGTGTAAAAGTGTTCCTGTTTCTCTACATCCTCTCCAGCACCTGTTGTTTCCTGACTTTTTAATGATCTCCATTCTAACTGGTGTGAGATGGTATCTCATTGTGGTTTTGATTTGCATTTCTCTGATGGCCAGTGATGATGAGCATTTTTTCATGTGTGTTTTGGGTGCATAAATGTCTTCTTTTGAGAAGTGTCTGTTCATATCCTTTGCCCACTTTTTGATGGGGTTGTTTGTTTTTTTCTTGTAAATTTGTTTGAGTTCATTGTAGATTCTGGATATTAGCCCTCTGTCAGATGAGTAGATTGCAAAAACGTTCTCCCATTCTGTAGGTTCCCTTTTCACTCTGACGGTAGTTTCTTTTGCTGTTCAGAAGCTCTTTAGTTTAATTAGATCCCATTTGTCAATTTTGGCTTTTGTTGCCATTGCTTTTGGTGTTTTAGACATGAAGTCCTTGCCCATGCCTATGTCCTGAATGGTAATGCCTAGGTTTTCTTCTAGGGTTTTTATGGTTTTAGGTCTAACATGTAAATCTTTAATCCATCTTGAATTAATTTTTGTATAAAGTGTAAGGAAGGGATCCAGTTTCAGCTTTCTACATACGGCTAGCCAGTTTTCCCAGCACCATTTATTAAATAGGGAATCCTTTCCCCATTGCTTGTTTTTCTCAGGTTTGTCAAAGATCAAATAGTTGTAGATATGTGGCATTATTTCTGAGGGCTCTGTTTTGTTCCATTGGTCTGTATCTCTGTTTTGGTACCAGTACCATGCTGTTTTGGTTACTGTAGCCTTGTAGTATAGTTTGAAGTCAGGTAGCATGATGCCTCCAGCTTCGTTCTTTTGGCTTAGGATTGACTTGGCAATGCGGGCTCTTTTTTGCTTCCATATGAACTTTAAAGTAGTTTTTTCCAATTCTGTGAAGAAAGTCGTTGGTAGCTTGATGGGGATGGCATTGAATCTGTAAATTACCTTGGGCAATATGGCCATTTTCATGATATTGATTCTTCCTACCCATGAGCATGGAATGTTCTTCCATTTGTTTGTATCCTTTTTTATTTCCTTGAGCAGTGGTTTGTAGTTCTCCTTGAAGAAGTCCTTCACATCCCTTGTAAGTTTGATTCCTAGGTATTTTATTCTCTTTGAAGCAATTGTGAATGGGAGTTCACTCATGACTTGGCTCTCTGTTTGTCTGTTATTGCTGTATAAGAATGCTTGTGCTTTTTGCACATTGATTTTGTATCCTGAGACTTCCCTGAAGTTGCTTATCAGCTTAAGGAGATTTTGGGCTGAGATGATGGGGTTTTCTAGATATACAATCATGTCATCTGCAAACAGGGACAATTTGACTTCCTGTTTTCCTAATTGAATGCCCTTTATTTCCTTCTCCTGCCTAATTGCCCTGGCCAGAACTTCCAACACTATGTTGAATAAGAGTGGTGAGAGAGGGCATCCCTGTCTTGAGCCAGTTTTCAAAGGGAATGCTTCCAGTTTTTGTCCATTCGGTATGATATTGGCTGTGGGTTTGTCATAGATAGCTCTTATTATTTTGAGATACGTCCCATCAATACCTAATTTATTGGGAGTTTTTAGCATGAAGGGTTGTTGAATTTTGTCAAAGGCCTTTTCTGCATCTATTGAGATAATCGTGTGGTTTTTGTCTTTGGTTCTGTTTATATGCTGGATTATGTTTATTGATTTTCATGTGTTGAACCAGCCTTGCATCCCAGGGATGAAGCCCACTGGATCATGTTTGTCCACTTAATTTTCAAGAAAATATAACTATTCAAGTAAAAGCTTTGGCTAGTGTGTGGCATTTTATGTCTAACTCAGTAATATGCAGGAATGCCTTGTGGAGTGAGAGAATAAAGAGTCTGTGAGAGAAAGGGTTAAGTCTTTCTGTATTTACTCCTTTAAAAATATTGTATTTCCTTTCTTGTCACTTAAATCTAAATTATGGTCACTCCCTCTAAACAGAGAGAAATGAGCTCTGATTACCCTCTTTTTGCTGATGAATTTAGTTGTAACCACCCCCCAACCCCCCATCGATATTTTCAATCTAGGTGTATTTGTATACTTGTTGCTGTTGAATTACGCATTTTAGGTTGGATCAGTTTTTTCCCTTTTTTTTTTTTTTTTTTTGAGACGAAGTCTCGCTCTGTCGCCCAGACTGGAATGCAGTGGCATGATCTTGGCTCACTGCAACTTCTGGCTTCTGGGATCAAGTGATTCTCCTTCCTTAGCCTCCCAAGTAGCTGGGACTACAGGCATGTGCCACCATGTCTGGCTAATTTTTGTATTTTTAGTAGAGATGGGATTTCACTATGTTCGCCAGACTGGTCTTGAACTCCTGACCTCGGGTGATCCACCTGCCTTGGCCTCCCAAAATGCTGGGATTACAGGTGTGAGGCACCGTGCCCAGGCTGTTTTTACCTATTTTAAAAATAAAACCAGATTCATTAAAAATAAAAATGCATAGTTAACCCGTTATCTGAGACATCTTGATTTATGACATGTCATTGTGGCATCCTGATGTGCTCCGTCCAATTTTATCTCACGTTTTTCCCACAAGTATTAATAATGCCATGGCACACGCCTCAAATCCCAGCTACTCGAGAGGCTGAGGCAGGAGGATTGCTTGAGCCCGGCAGACAGAGGTTGCAGTGAGCCGAGATTATGCCACTGCACTCCAGCCTGGCCGACAGAACAAGACTCTGTCTCAAAAAAAAATAAAAATAATAATAATAATAATGCCTTCTTTGTACCAGCACCGTGTTAGGCATTTTCCTTGTCCTCATGAATTCAGGGCTGGCACTAAACCTTTAAAATACACATATATGTATATATGTAAACACCCCTGCTTCCATCATACCCTCTTCCCCCCACCCTTTCTCTTACATGTATAATTGTGATAAGTACAATGATGGAAAGATAGGGCCACCCAGAAGTCAAGTAAGGAAGAGAACTAATCTAGTGGTGGTGGGCAGTGTCCAACAAGACCTCACATAAGGAAGTGAAATATATGTTTTATTCCCCAGGCAAATCGGGACAGAGATATTGCAAGCTGAAGAAGAAACTTTTGTAAAGGCTCTGCGGCTGGAAAGAACTTCTGTTTTGCAGAGTTTACAGATAGTGTGGTTAGAGCCCAGAGAGCTCAGGGACAGTAGCGACTGAGCCAGGTTGGTGGCTAAAGGGCCACACAGGGGCTTGTAGATTCTCTTAGAAATTTCAGCCTGTGAGTAGTCACTCATCGAAGGGGTTTCAATAGGGAGAGTGATATGATTAGATTTACTGTTTTAAAAATCAATCTAACTGCAGTGATCTTTATTGAGGAGATTAAGGGGAGCAAGAGAGGGATTCTGGGAGTTCTTGTCCAGAGGCTTCAAGACTAATCCAGATGATGCTAGCTTAAATTAGGGAAGTCAGAGAAGGACAGAAGAGACATAAGTGGAAATGTCTAGTAAGTCTTAGAGTTCGAGACTAAAAGACATATAGACTGATGAAGTGAACAATTTTTTTTGTAGTGTTTTGAGCTAGCATTTTCTTGCTTGAAATTTAATGTATTTTCAAATATTTGTTTCTACTTGTTTTGTTATCAAAATGGACTGAGTAACTACCTGGCTTTTCCACAAAATATTGTAGTGCTTAATTCTTTTTCTGGCTTTGGGTGCTTACTAGAGTATATATTAAGAGGGTCGTGCATAAATGAGTCCCTTTTATCTGCCTTTCCCTATAGATCTGCCCAAGTAGAGAATGGGGGGGTGAAAGAGGAGTAGAACAAAAAGTATGATGTAGTTTTGTATAAGGAGTTGTCTTACTCCATTTGTGCTGCTGTGACTAAATACCAGAGACTGGATAATTTACAAGGAACAGAGATTTATTTTTCACAATTCTGGAGGCTAGGAAGTGCAAGATCAAGATGAGAGCAGGTTCAGTGTCTGGTGAGGGCTGGTCTCTGCTTCCAAGATGGTACCTTGTTACTGCATTCTCCTAAGGGATTAATGTTGTATCCTCACATGGTGAAAGGGATGGAAGGGCGAAAAAGGACATAGCTAGTTCCCTCCAGCCCTTTTAATAAGCATTAACCTTATGCATTAGGGTGAAGTCCTGATGGCGAAATCACCTCCTGAAGGCCCTACCTCTTAATACTGCTGCACTGGGGGCTGGGTACGGTGGCTCACGCCTGTAGTCTCAGCACTTTGGGAGGCTGAGGTGGGCGGATCGCTTGAGCTCTGTACGTGGAGGCTGCAGTGAGCCATGATCATGCCACTGCACTCTGGCCTGGGCGACAGGGTGAGACCTTGTCTCAGCCACCCCTCCCAGCCCCCCCTAAAAAACCTAATACTGTTGCATTGGGGATTAAATTT
The DNA here is from genome assembly GCF_000001405.40 of Homo sapiens. NCBI lineage: Eukaryota > Metazoa > Chordata > Mammalia > Primates > Hominidae > Homo > Homo sapiens. The sequence continues at coordinate 17,528,018 of NC_000003.12, read as the reverse complement.
CAACAGGAATTTGGGAGGCGATCCAACGTTCAAACCTATAGCAGGGGCCTGAACATAACAATGAATATATGAAAAAGAAAACAGAATATAAGGTTTGGATATACAAATATAAAATCAAATTAAATTTAGTATTGTGTATTATTATATGATTGTCTCATTTTGCTTATGTGCTTATTTTGTGCAGATGTTTTTATTTCTCCAAAAATATGAGAAACATCTTGAAGATTGTCATCTGGCTAGATGCCCATTTATGTTACTTGGTTTACCTTCTTTTACTAAGTTTTTTGGTTTCTTTTTTTACTGATCTTGTTTCAGGTTTCTGTGGTGGTTGCTTTTTATCTTATTTTGTACTTTCTCATATACCATAGTCTAATACAATTTTGAGGACTTGCCTTTGTTCTTAACCTTTCTGAGGAAGGGCTCTTTTCTGAAGAAGGGGCTGAGTGGATGGGCAAGTAGTCAGTGCTTTTGATCAGTTGAAAGATTTGTGATCTTTCTAAAGAATAGATCATATCATGTCACACCCTTGCTCAAAAGCTCCCAATGGCTTTCCATGCCACTGTGTATGAAAGTCCTTTCATGGCCTGAAAGGATGGAAGTGACCCAGCCTCTCTTCTGTTTCCCCTTCTTTTTCCCCCAGTATCTCCAGACCTCCAAGCTATTTCCCACTTTATGGTCTTCTGCATTTGCTGTTCGCAGCATGCTCTTCTTTCAGGTTATCATGTGGCTTGTTCCCTCACTTTATTCAAATATCACCACTTCAGAGGTGCTTCCTAAGACTACACTTTCTCAGATAAGCTCCCAGCTCCCAAATAAGCTTTCAGTCATATCCCATCTTTCTCTATCCCTAGGCCTCTTTACATTTTCTTCATATCATGTGTTGTTGCTACTTGATATGCGAACTCTTTATCCTTGTCTTACTGTCTTTTCCTAGAACGTATATTTTCTGGGGACAGTAAGTTACTTATTCACCACTAAATGCTTATCTTCTACACTAGCTTTTGGCACATGGGAGGATTCAATAAGTACTAAGTTGAATGTATATTATATTTGTGCAGCCCTGGATTTCCTCAATTTCTGCTTACTACCTTCTTTCCTTCCTCAACAGACATGTTGAGAAAACAGCATGGAATATCTAATTATAATGTATAAGGTTGTGAACAAATATTATAGATCACTCAAAGGTTCCATCATTTTCAACTGTAGGTGCCATCCTGTCATTGATTTTATTCTAACCTTACTGTGTAAATATATTCACTAGAGTAGTGACAGTGTGCTGGTAATGGTGATAACAATTAAAGCTAATATTTATTGAATGCTTACTATGTATATGTCAGATATTCTGAATACTTCAGGGATATTCATATAATCTTCACAAAACCTGTGAATTGAGTATTCACCATTTTACGTGTGAGGAAACTGAGACACAGTTTAGCTAATTTGTCTAATCTCAGATGGTGAGGACAGTTCCTCAATTTAAGCCTAGATAATGTTGACTAAATCACCAGTGTCAATAGTAGTAGATTCTGGGCCAAGCGTTGTGGCTCATGTTGGGAGGATTGTTTGAGGCCAGGAGTTTGAGATCAGCCTGGGCAAAATAGGGAGACCTGGTCTCTACATAAAATAAAAAGAAATTAACCGAGCCTGGTGGCACTCATCTGTAGTCCCAGCTACTTGGGAGACTAAGGCTGGAGGATTACTTGAGTCTAGGAGTTGGAGAGTGCAGTGAGCTATGAATGCACCGCTGCATTCCAGTGTATGCAACAGGGAGATTCCCTGTCTCTTAAAAAATAAATAAATAAATGAATAAATTGATTCTGGAAGTTTTCTTTTATAGAAATAAGCATGGTGATGGAAAGAATTAATGGTTGCTGGTATATTCTAGGGTTTTTCTCTTCTCAAGGGTATTCCTCCCCTTTTATTCTCTTGGAAGAAAGAAACCTCCTGTTTTGTTTACTTTTCCCCATTACAAGCAGAAATATGACTTAATTTCTGAATTTAACATTCTAAAACTGAATGAAAAGAAGTTAGGAAGCATTTCAGAGAGAATGAAGCATTTGAGATTAACTTTACAAAGTGATTAGTAGAATCTGTTCCGACGGATATATTTTCACTCATTCAGCAATATTTATTATTATATGCCAGGTCATGAGAATAGATCAATTTAAAAAAGAAGTAAAGTGTTTTAGGAAGAGGAATTGGTTGGGAGAGGATTTCTTGACCAAGACTTGTTATTCAAGAAAACAGAGAGGTAGGAAAACACTAGACGCTTTTTAGAAACTAAAAAGACGTGGAAGGGAGGATTGGGAACACAGGTGTGGGTAGATCGTGAAAGACATTTTGAGAACCTACAGGGGCATTTATGCTTCAGTAAGTATTATGGAACCATAGACATTATTACCATATTTAATCACCAATATGGATTTTTTCTGAACAGTAGTAAGCTTTATAAAGTAATGTAATAAGAAACAATGGATTTTGAGCCAAAAGAATGGAATTGTATTCATAATTTTGCTTCACAATTGTAGGAACTGGAGCAAGTCATTTTAACATTTTTATAATTAAATATTTTTAAAAGATACATCCCTGGCCGGGTGTGGTGGCTCACACCTGTAATCCCAGCACTTTGGGAGGCCGAGGCAGGTAGATCACCTGACATCAGGAGTTCAAGATCAGGCTGGCCAACATGGGGAAACCCCATCTCTACTAAAAATAAAAAAAATTAGCTGGGTATGGTGGCGGGTGCCTGTAATCCCAGCTACTTGGGAGGCTGAGGCAGGAGAATTGCTTGAACCTTGGGGTCGGAGGTTGCAGTGAGCCGAGATCGCGTCATTGCACTCCAGCCTGGGCAACAAGAGTGAAACTCTGTCTCAAAAAAAAAATCCTCATGTCCTGTTTTTTAAAGTGTACATTTATGTATACAGTTGGAGAATTCCTCCTCATGCTTTGTTGGTTTCTTGTGTGTCCAGAAATTTTAACACACAGCAAAATTACATTTGTATATTTTTATAAAATAATGGGGTCATACAGGTAGCATTGTTGATTTCAGTATGCTGTGTACATATTTTTTTTTTTTTACATCAGAGCATTTTAAATTCCTACCTATTATTCTATTTCTAGATTACCTTTATGTATGTATGTATTTATTTGTTTATTGAGATGGAGTTTGTCTTGTCACTCAGGCTGTAGTGCGATGGAGCAATCTCGGCTCACTGCAACCTCTGCCTCCCAGGCTCAAGCGATTCTCCTGCCTCAGCCTCCTGAGTAGCTGGGATTACAGGCTCCTGTCACTATATCTGGCTAATTTTTTTTTTGTATTTTTAGTAGAGATGGGGCTTCACCATGTTGACCAGGCTGGTCTTGAACTCCTTACCTCAGGTGATCTCCCAGGCTTGGCCTTCCAAGGATTTGTGCACATATAAACTTCTGTCCATGTATGTTACATAGAACAAGGATTACAGCTGTGAGTCACTGGGCCTTGCCTGATTACCATAATTTATAAACCCAAGGATTATAGAACATTTAGATTGCTTATGGTTTTTCACTATTACAATCAACTTCTTTCTGCATAGATTTGGCTAGAGGATATATAAGTAGGATACATTTTTAGTGGTAGAATTGTTGATTCAAAAGTTAGATGCATTAGTAATTTTGATAGTTATTGCCTTCCTAAACTTGCACTTTTTAAATCAAGTTCATTAGCATCAAAATGCCTATTTCTTCAAATTCTTACCAAGACTGGGTATTATCTACCTTTTTTATTTTGCATTCTGATAGGTGAAAAATTACATCTAATTGTTTTAGTTGATATTTCTTTAACTGTGAGTGAGGCTGCACATTATTTTATGTTATTGGCTGTGTATATGTATAAAATTCCGTTCCGTGCACTGCTTGTTTTTCTCCTTCGTTCATCTCTTTAAATCTTCCTGTATTATTTGTTTCATGCTTTTTACAAAAGGAAATGATACCTGCTTACTTATTAGATGGTTGGGATGATCAAATAATGTAGTATTTGTCAGTGTTTCTGAACCTTTTAAAAAATCATTGCACCCCTAAAAAGTCTTTAAAGAAAAACTTCTCCCAGTCATCCTCCACTGTGAAAGTTTAATAACACAAATATACACAGATAAACTATGTTTCTCTTTATGTACTATATTCCATTTGAGGACCATAAACTATTGTAGTATCTATGATTCCCTACACCCACTCTGTGCACCAATCTTGTCCACTAGGAGACAATATCACTGCCATTGAGAATGCATGATATATGTGAAAATTTTTGTAAACTGCAAACTGCTATTTAAATGTAAAGCTTTATTGTTAATAATTTGCATTTCATACGATATAATTTTATATGTCTGTTTTGCAGCTGCTTTTTCTCAGTGCAGCTTTCTCTGTTGCAAACGTAGGTATTTACTATTTTATTGTCCATTTTGCTGGCTTCAGAACAATCTTTTTTGAGTTGACCTCTGGTCAACTTTCTCTGTCCATCTCTGCCTGTTGAAATACTATTTCTTCAAAGCCTGTCCTAGATATTCCCTTCTCCATAAAGTCTTTTGAGACCCCTGTATTTACCCCTTGACCTTTCAGAGTTAGAGCTCCTTTTAATACATCTTCTTTGCTGTAACATTCTAGTTTTCATTATGTGGTCTGCATTTTCTTTGTGTTCTACCTCCCAGGAGATGTTTCTTCTCTTCTCATCTCTATTTCCTGATGTTCCTTTCCCCATGCCATTGTACATAGTGAGAAAGCAGTAGGATATCTTAAAATGAGTTTCTGAAGAAGGTTCACTTCAATTTCCAGCCACTTAGTGTGCGACCTTGAGATGAAATCGTTAACTTGCTAGACTCAATTGCCACCTATGTAAAATGGGGGTAATAATGATTCCTGTCTGATAGGATTGCTGAGAAGATTAAATGGGATAATACACATAAAACACAGTGTCTAGCATTTAGTAAGCATTAAGTGAAATATTAGCAATCATCACTACTCCAAACAGTTCTTAGCACAGAGAAAGACAAATGATGCTAATTTGTTCAATAAATATAATTGAACTGCATCATCGTTCCACAGATGACAAAGCATGGTATGAAGTTTTGTCATTTACTTTCGATTGTTTACTGAAGTTTACACATAGATTTCAAAATTCTAAAAATTATTTATGCAATGATTTCATGTAAATTAGGATAGCAAGAATTATAGAACTCTAATGTACTTAGATTTTAGACATTCTATTACGGTACTCAATGAAATTTTGGAGATAGTATGCTACATTCTTTTACCTAATTGTATACATTGGAAAAGGAGGTGTATATTTTTGCTAGTAAAATTCCCTGGGAGTTGGGATAGGGTTTGTGTAGCTCCTCTGTAGTCCCAGTTTATTCAGTTTTGTTAATTCTTTTCATGTACCCTTTCTGGCCTGTATCTGTTCTATGTAGAGTTTATAGAATTGTTTTGTTTTTTAGTATTCATTGAAGTCTTGAAACATTCTTTGACAATCACCATAGACCCTTTATGTTTTCTGACTTCAAGATATTATGTGAGCACTATGTATTGTGTTCTTTTATAATTAGCTCCTCTCCTGTATCCTTTTTTTCACCTTCTCAGTGCTTTAGTCTTTCCCTCTTATGCAAATGAAATTGAAATAGTTTATTCCCATTTTGAGGGCTTATAATGACATTTTAATATATGTCAGTTTTCTTACATGGGCAACCTAAACAGTTTTGGTGTTAGAACACATATGGACAGAAGTTTACATGTGTACAAATCTCTTTTATGAAAAAAATGGAACCATTACAGTCAACGTGGATTCTGAGAGAAACCCCCAAGTCAGATCACTTTGCAATGATACTCAAGTTTATTATTTAATAATATTTTAATATTTTAAGTGACTATCATTTTTTACTATCTCTTTTATAAAGTCTATATATATTTATATGTTATGTTTGGGAAATTGGAATTTTTCTTGCCTCTGTAAATGATGATAGTCTTCTACTACAATTGGAACATTTGCATATTTATACTGAGACTTTTTGGCTCATGTATCCAAGTTAATAGAAGTTTCTACTCCATCAGCAAGTAAGCTCATCATTTTTGAAGCTACTAATCAATTAAATTGGCCATTTTAATATGGACTACAACATATTTTCACATTTTGCATTATTTAATGTTTTAAAAATTTATGGTCCCATAAATTTTGATGATCATACCTTAGATTCTTGTGCTGTATCATGTATAATTATTAACATTAATACAAGAGTTCAAATACTATGTTAATTCATGAATGAAAGAGTTAACATAATATTTTATATTAGTCTCAACAAATTAACAAAGTTCACATTTTCTTTGGATTTCCCCCCCCAAATTATGCACTTACGTTCTTCACTGGTAAAGATAATACAGCTGATCCTTGAGCAACATGGGAGTTAGGGATACTGACCCCTATGCAGTCAAAAATCCATATGTAACTTTTGACTTCCCAAATGCTTTGACTACTGATAGCCTACTGTTGACCAGAAGCCTTACCAATGACATAAACAGTTGATTAACACATATTTTGTATGTTATATGTACTATACTGTATTCTTACAATAAAGTTAGAGAAAAGGAAATGTTATTAAGAATATCCTAAGGAAGAGAAAATATATTTACTATTCATTTAGCGGAAGTTACCCTTGTTGGCTTCACATTGAGTAGGCTGAGGAGGAGGTGGAAGGGGAGAGGTTTTGGTCTTATTGTCTCAGGAGAGGTACATGCAGAAGAAAATCCACATGGACCGGTGCAGTTCAAACCCATGTTGTTCAAGGGTCAGCTGTAGTCTCAGAACTGTTTAAGAATAGTCTTATACTCTGTTTCTACTCAGCAGCTCTTGTATTCTTGTCAGAATATTTGATTTTTCTGCCATATGGTAGCTGATGGTTTCCACTAAGAAGTTTGTTCATTTGTCTATTATATTTCTTTGTAGCTCCTTTTTTCAGGGTAATTGAAAAACAAGATTCTGTGGAGCTGGGTCAGTACATTTGAATCACACATTTTAGTTTTTTCCAGTAACAATCAGATGGCAGCTCTGGCAAAAACATGTCTTTCCTGCCTTTGGATGAGTTCTTTTGGGGTCTTGTCCTTTGAGATCTCTTTTAATCCTGGAGCTCCTACAGTGTCTCCTTGTCTGTCTACTGGTAGGGTTGTCAGATAAAATACAGAACTCCTTGTTAAATTTGATTTTCAATAAATAATGAATACTTTTTAGTATAAGTGTCTTAAATATTATGTTTGTTGTTTTTCTGAAATTTAAATTTAATTGGGCATCTGTATTTTATTTCATTATTTACTTATATTTATTTATTTGGCAACCCATTTCCTGGACTTTTTCTTAACTAAATTTTGGGCCCCTTGAGAGAAGGAGATTGATTGTACCCTAATTCTATAACTTGTTTTCCTGTTCCCATGGTAGATGGATAATTTTTTACTGACTGAAAAAATAAGCTAATAAACTGAAATGTTTCTTTATCTGAGTATTTATAAAGAAACTTTCTTCTACTGAGTTTGCCCTTTTCTGTGAATAAATTCATTGAAAAAAATCATGTTTCAATGAATAATTGCAGATCTTAACCTTAATTTAAAAATTTCATCTCCCTTTCTCTTCCTTTCTCTTCGTCATTTCTCTTCCTCTTATCTTTCCAGCTCTTACTATAATTAGCTAGCATTAACAGCAAATGTTTGCTTTAGTTAAATTATTCAGAACATTTATTTTACTTGTCAAAGGTTAGATCAGGTTGTTGTTTGAACTGGTAATTAAATGCAGGCTAATAGGCTTTCGTATTTATATGCACTATAAGCCTGTTTCCTCATCATTCTGTATAATTTTATGATGTTCAAGGCTGACATTTCAAAAAGGATTTTGGTTTTGTGGAAAAGAAAACATTCTAAGTAATGTAGTTTGTTACGTGATTTGAGAATGTCCAAAGTTGTGGTTGAAAGTAAATACTACATTTCAATGTCATTGTAACATGTAGTATCATGGTGGTAATTTTCACCAAGTAGTATATAATATTAAGCTCACTGCCTATTGAGTTTGCATTTGATATGAGGATCAGTGCTGTGTTGGCTATAGTAGGTGCTCAGTATATATTTGTTAAGTGACTGTTTTAGGTCTTATTTATGGCATAGTTTAAAAAAATAATAAGATGGAAAACTCAGATCTTTTATCTCAAATAGTATAATCCATATCTATTCCTACGACATACTACAGGTTCTCTTAAATCATTTCAATTTGTGTGCTTCTGTGTAGAACAAGTATAGCTCAATTAGTCCTCATATCTGGGAATTATACTGAAGCATGTCTTTGTTTTTGTTGATTCATTGAATAAATGATTTTTGCAAGTTCTGGGGTGCTAGTAACTTAGAGTATAGATGAGTAAAACAGGTCCCCTATCCTCACAATAGAAGTTAGTCGAAAACCAACCATTATACTAAAGAATGGTTAATATTAGGGTGGAGTTATGCATAAGGTAAGTGGGCATCTGAATCAAATTAGGAGAAGGCATGTTGGGGAAGAGTGACTTTTGAGCTGTATCTTAAGGGCCAGTAGCAGTTGGTAAGGCGAAGAAGGTAAGAACAGTAGTGCCTTGCAGAGGAGCCACATGTGTGGAAGTGCTGAGGTGTGTAATTTGGTATAGTTGAAGAAAATTTAAATATGGAGAATTAGTAGGAGATGGTGCCCTCCTTTACTTAAAAGTAGTTTCCATTGACATTAGGAAAAAGCTCTGAATCTTGAGAAGGTCTATAAGCCATGTGTTTTACAGTCCTTTTCTGCTTCTTAAGCCTGAAAATCAACCCAGCTGAGCTTGACTCCTTACACACTTTACATGAAATGTGCATGCACTGCCTCTTCCCTGAGCCCTGGTATACAATGTTTTCTCCCCCAAGAATGCTCTTTCTGAAGCAGGATATTTGCTTGACTTCTTCATGGGACTCATGACAGGAGTGCCTCATTTACACAGCCCTCTGCTCTCAACTCCTTGCAGGAGGGAGCCTGCGAGCAAACGAGGTGGAAACTGGAGTGCACAAGTGCTGGAATGGGCTGTCTGCCTTCCACCCCTCACGGGAGGGAGCGCGCAGGTGAGCAGGTGCGGGAGCCAGAGCAAGCACTTTTGGGCTCCAGTAGGAGCAAACTTCGGGCCCCATAGCAGTGTCTAGGTGGGGCTTCCTGTGACCTCTAAAGCCCCAGAGGGCATGTTACATTGTTCTTTTAGCTCTGCCCTTTGCAGACGGCTTAAGTGTTAACAGCTCAGTGGGCTTTCTGCCTTTTTGCTGAGGCAGCTGCCCTCTGCCAGGAAGGGCAAAGAATCAGTGTGACAGCCTTTTGTATCTGCACTTGTGGCTCCCGAGCTCTTGTCCAGCATCCAGGAAAAATGAGGTTGCAAGAATGAATTGAAGGATGGTAAATGCGGGGGATTTTATTGCTGATGAAAGTGGCTCTCAGTGGGAAGGGGAGCTGGAAAGGAGATGGGGTGGGTAGGTAATCTTCTTCCCCTGAAATCTGGCCATCTCCAGCTGGATTATTCTCCAAAGTTATGCAAGCTGTCCCTCTGTAAAGCTGTCCCTTTCAAGTCAAGCCACTTCTCTCCCATGTTCAGTCGTAGTCCTCTGCATCAGCTACTTCCTTCTCTGTGCTGGCTGAGTCCTGGGTGTCCTATATTATAGGCACAGGATGAAGGGGCAGGGTGGGCCATGGGTAGTTTAGGAAAAGGCAACATTCGAGTGGGAAAACAGGGATAGAAGTTCTAACTTTGGGCTGTGGGTTTCAGGCATTTCGGCTTGAAGGTGGGGTTTTGTCGGGGACCCACCCTTTTCTGCTTAGAATTTCTCTGCCCCCGGTCCCTATCACTTCTTCCCTCTTCTAGTCTGTTCCTACTCTACTGTTTTTATTTAGCTGAGATCAGTATAACCTTAAAAATATGTAACAAGTAATGCATCTGCTGTCTTATGAAGAATTTTTAATGTTTATTATTATTGCCAGGAGTGACAACAGTGAACCATAGTACACTGCAGCTTTCGATATATGTCCCCATATACTTTATTTCATCCTTGTAACAGTCATGAGATAGGTATTATATGAAATTTAGAAATACATATAATTTTTTTTCCATAGTGTCATCTTTTATCTAAAATTTAATGTCTTCTGAAGAGAAGATAGATAACTGAAATAAAAGTAAAAACATCTTTCAAAATAGGAGTAAATGCAGTTAGTTATATAGTATATCATGTTTGTATTTGTATGTATGTATTTTTAATAAAATTGACTTAAAAGTTTAGCCACAAGATAGTGTCTACTTTATGTCAAATATAAACCAGATGTTATTCTGAAATACTTTCAAACTCTGCTTTTATAATCAAAAAACTATTTTTTTGTAATGTATGGAAGGATAGTTGGAAATTCCAGTGGTTAACTTTTTTCATGAATATTATTAATTTGATTAATCATAATCATTGCCTTATGACACATTCTCATCATTGACCTGTATGTGGTTCTTTTATTATTTATTTATGGATGGTTAACTTTGTAAAGCTTGCATATTGTGTAACAATAACGTTTACTTGCTTCTCAGAAATTTCCTGAAGTTAAAACTTTTAAATGAAACACAAGGACTTATGACAGTTCTCACCCACCATACGAGTGTGTTTATGAACTAACCTTTTAGTTCCAGCTCAACACAACAAGTGGCTTCTTTTTCCTATAAGTGGATGGTCTTGCTAAAAAAGCGTAGTTCAGAAGTTGAGTAAAATACACAGATTTCATGTTGCCTACAGCAAGAAAGGTGAGGGTTTCTAGGCAGAGGGCAAAGTTAAAGATGACTGTTTCCTTTTTCTGGGTCTAATGAGTGTGACCTAGATCAAGGTGGTTGTTTGTAAAGAATGGTTTTGATTCTGGATTTTATTTTGAGGGTAGAACAGACAAGATTTGCCAGTGGATTAGATATATTCCAGGAAAACATTTCTGTGCTGGTTGAATTTGGGCAGATAACCTGAATGATATGAAGAGCAGAGTGTTCCCAGAAGAGGAGATGGGGATGTGCGAAGACCTAAAGAGACAATGAGCTGTATTTTTTTTTAAGGAATAGAAAGAAGACTTAGGTAGCCAGAGCATGTTGAGGGAGAAGGGAGAGTGGACTCCGTTAGGCATTAGCCTGAATTTAGGACCTCTTAAAGAGGAGATAAGTAAGCATTTCCCAGAGCGATGTTTAGTTTACCAGTAGCATGAACCACATTTATAATTGTGTTGTCTGTTTTTGATGAATTAATGAATAGGTTTTATTCCTATTGGATAATATCTGCATATTATGGGGGTACAAAGGAATGAAAAATACTTTCTCTGCCCTCAAGGAATACATAGTTTGCATTTACAAAAATGTATGATAAGCTAATAACTACTTATGATAAGGATAATAGTTTATATAAACAATAGAAGTGATGTATCAAGGATTGCTTAATAAGGTTGGTGAATGACAATTTCTGCTGTAACATTATTTTCAAAACATTAATCATTTATTATATAACACCTTAAGGATTTTAACTATGCCTACTACTTTATTATAATTTATTTAATATTTTTCCTTTCATGAATTCTTTCTTTCTTTAAATAAATTTATGTAAATAGGAAATCTTTTGGCCACAGATTATCCTAAACAAATTAGCACTTGCTATAAATAGAGGGGAACCATTAAAAAAAACTTATTCTAATAAAAAAGTATGTTTTTGCCAAGCCCAGAGGCACATCAGAGCAAGGGAAATACTGCTATGGAAGAGCAGGGAGAAATTACTTCTGGTGCTGGTCCCTAAAGGAAAAGTTGAATGTTGGAATTATGTACAGGATTTAGAAAAGTGAAGAGGAAAGGCCTCCTCAGGAGGAAAAGAGATGCATAAAACTGAATGGAGGAATGTGGAAATGTTTTTATGTAAGCTACTTTGGCTAGCAAGGACTGGTGCTTCTTAGCTGCTGGCCTTCCCTCAGTGAGGTACTGAAGTGACTGGTGCAATGTGAATCTGTAGCATTTGGGGACTTAAATAATGATTTAAAATCCCCAACTACAGTTTTGGCTATTTGATAACGATTCCAAAGATCAAGTGTGATTTTTTCATAAATTATAATTTTGCTGAGGAATATGTGAATTATGCTGTATCCACAGCTTACTTATTACTTGCTTTCCTTACTAGATAATGCATTTACTCTGAGATGGTGATCTGTACAAGATGTGTACACCTTATAACTATTAAGGATCTGTTTATCTCAATATCTCAGATTTCGAAACAGCTTGCATGCGAGAAAAGTAAACTGAATTCTTTGGTATTACGTTATAGTTAACATAACAAAGGAAACTACCCTATAATTCTTGGCTTAATTTTTGTTAGGCCACTTATTAAGTGATTGTTGTCATTTGAGGTAGCTTTGCCCTGTGACCTTACATAAGTCACATAACTTCTTTGTGGTTTCCTTATCTGTAAAAGGTGTTATAGTATCTACTTCATAGAATTGTTGTAAGGTTTAAATAAGTTAATATGTATAGTGGTTTAAATAGCTTTGCTTCCCAATAAGTGCTATGTGTTTGCTGCTGTTGTTATTATTTAATTGAAAAGGCTATCTTTCAACTAAAGGAAGTACTAAAACGTCCTTAGGTTTCCCAGCCCTACTACTTAATAAAAACCAAGGGATAAATAACAGATTCATATGGACTTTTAGAAGGATTGCCCCACAATTGGTCAGGTGTTCCTGAACATACCCCTGGCCTCCCCATGTTTGCACCAAGGAGAGATTTTTGTTCATTGGTTTTTTTGGACAAAATGATTTGATTTGATGTTTGTATGAAGAGTAGCCATTTGTTCCTTTTTCTTATTTTTAATTATCATCAGTTTAATATAATTCGCCAAATTATGATTTCTGTTTTCTCTTTTCAAATTTTATTTTTCCTAAATTCCTAATTGTATGTTGTATTAACCTTGATTTTATGAAAACCAGGTTGAATCATTTAATGGCTAGAGGTAATATCTATATAAAATAGGATATATAAATAATATATAAATATATAAAAGAGGAACAGCAAGAATTGAAAGTATTTTTATATGGCTACATCATAATAAAAGGTTTGGTTTTGCTCACTAGGCCAAGCTAATTCCCCAGTCTCTGCATCTTGAGCATCTGCTCAGGAGACCTCTGAAACTGTATGAGAATACACTGTGGAGAGCTTTCTGTTTGGCAGTTTGACTTTTATAGTGCTCAGTTTTCTCTTGGTTTATGTGGTCACAAGTGTCACTTTCTCATGACTTTATAGCATTTTAATATTGAAAGGCAAAATACATTCTTAGTTTGTAATATAAAATATTTAAGTCCACCTGTGAACCTCTCATATTCTGCATATTTCTCAGTAGGTATATTGTTTATGAGTCTAGTATTTTAATTTACAGTGAATTGTTTGCCCTAAACAGCTTATTCTGATAGCATGAAAATTATAAGGATTCAGTCTGTTTTGATTTTCTTTTGATCATTGTTCTTATATGTTGACCCTTATTGTAGTCTTATACCTGTTTGTTAGACAACACTTGGATAGTAAAATTGTGTGGTTGCTAAAAATGAATTAAAGTTTCAGGGTTTTACCAAGGGGTGATATTTAATATTGAATGACATGTATTAAGACAAATGCTTTTATATATAATTTATTTGGCACTGTAAATGCACTTATCTTGTGAGAAACAGACCCCCTGTTGTCAAATGAAGTATTCTGGAAAGGTTTGGAGTAAATAAATAATAAAACTACTTTGATATACAATCTAACAATATTAAATATTAAGACTTTCAGATGATTGATTTTAATACTTAATTAACTTAAAGTCCAATGTAACCCTCTTGCATTAAAGATCGACAGAATTTAAAAATAAAACTTTACTCTTTGTCTTTCTTTGTTTTCTTTCCCTCTTTTTTCTTTTTTCCTTTCTTCTTTCCTCCTTTCTGCCCTTGTAATTAAGACTTTAGAACATTGTTACTTCCAATCATTGAATTTACCTTTAGCTACCAACATTTCTAAATAAAAAATGTTTTTTTAAACCAGATATTCAATTGCGCTATCTCTTAATTGTGAAAACGTAGCTTCTACCAGAGAAGCTTGCTTTTATACCCCATATGTCATATTTCTGGTTAAATACCTATCATGGTAAATACATGCTACCTAGAACACATACTTATTCACGCTGCATCCTTCTTCCTTTTATAATCGACTCTGAAAGTAGTCCATTTAAGCTCTTTGGTGTGCTTTTCTTATAGGAGAAATCTTTATGTAAAGTAATACTATATCATTTCAGTGTTTGACTTTTAGGTTTACCATCAGTCAAGAATTTAAATGAATGAAGTATGCTTATATGAGCTTTTCTGAATATGAATGTTTTTAGAATGACACAGTTCAGAATGCTGATTCTGTGCCTAAGTATTAGAAACAGTTAAGGAGAGAATATAAGCTGAAATATATAGAATTTTGTATTCAGACAGAATAAATTCATTTCTAGAGGTTCTGCTCATGTGGTGCCATTTTAAAAGAGAAAATATTATTAAACTAACTTATTATTTTATCTGTTCAATGCTCATAGTTTGAGATTTTCACTTAGATACTGCTCATATTGATTGATTGATTTTTTTTTTTTTTGAGATGGAGTCTTGCTCTGTCGCCCAGGCTGGAGTGCAGTGGCACGATCTTGGCTCACTGCAACCTCTGCCTCCCGGGTTCCAACAATTCTTCTGCCTCAGCCTCCCAAGTAGCTGGGACTACAGGCACGCATCACCATGCCTAGCTAATTTTTGTATTTTTAGTTGAGATGGAGTTTCACCATATTGGCCGGGGTGGTCTCTAACTCCTGACCTCGTGATCTGCCCGCCTCTGCCTCCCAAAGTGCTGGGATTATAGACATAAGCCACCATGCCCGGCCTGTATTGATTTTTTTTACATGGAAAATATTGCTTTGATTTTTTAAGTGTAGTTTAAAACTGCCTTCTAAGCTTTAGTGCTGAACGCTTACCCTTTTATTAAAAATTAACTATTTGCAGAAGAAGTCTTTTCTTTCAGACAGATCACTTTTAAGATTTAATACTCCAGCCTCTAGACTTGTGAAACCAGTACAAATATCTTAAAGATTAGTCTTGCATTTTAAATGGGAATTTTAGCATATTTGTGAACTCCTGTGCCCAGGATAGCACTAAAACCGTATTGTAAAATTAGTTACGACTTTTTGGAATTTTAAACTCATGTGAATAGGAGAAATTGTTATTTACAGTAAGTGTAACAAAGGAAGGATAGGGCCTTTCCCAGATCGTGGAAGGTGTATTACTATGCTTTCTCAGTCAGAAAAATGAGATTGCTTTTATTTAAAATAATTCTTCAGGCATCATTTTTATGAGCCAGAGAAATTCTAGGAACAGGAAGATACCATTGAAGAGAACTAAAATCTATCAATTATGGATTTAAGTAGTCATCTACTAAGAGGCATGTTTTTGGCCTTTATATTCTTTTCTCTGTATGTATCTTGGTTCTATATAAGAGAAAATTAAGGATAGAAAATCAAGGATAGAAGTTGGAGTTTGGAATCAAATTTAGAGGTCTAATGAACCATTGTAAGTGTTATGTTTATGCTGGACTTTTACAGTGATTGTTTAAAAATTTTTAGACTAAATAAAATCTCTTAATTTTTTATAGTTTGATATTTGCAGGTAAAAATTTATTCATAAATATTAAAATAGACAAATTTATTAAAAACCTTTGATATTCTGCTTTGTAATCAATCATTTTCTCTTACTGGAATGTTTATGAAACACAAATTGGGAAATTCGTAGGAAAATGATTTCATATTTAAAAACAACATTATGTTATGATTTCATAAGGTAATCCCAATAGCAGTAACCGACAAACTTAAGTTGCTTTTTTAGATTCAAGAGAGCTAAAATAGCTCTTTATATTTAAAACAAAACGATAAAAAAAATGAAAGCAGCAACTTCTTAATCAGTTACTTTTGAATTAGGTTATTTAAATCCATAATTAAAAGAAAACTATGAACATTATCCACACGTTTTCTTCAACAGATTGCTTGAAAATAACTCATTATTACTAGTTAGCTGGTTTCCTTTATTTAATTATAAAAACATTTCAGTGGTTCATTTTCAATCTATAGGCATAATAAATCAGGATATAATGGATGCTTGATTATATAGAATGGTTGTAGACTGGGGTATGTGGTTGATTTTGTATTCTGGCTATTGGATATTATCATAGACTTGTTAAGTTCTAAAGAATTATAATTTAAGCTAAATTAACTAAATGACTTCTTGAACTTTCTCTAAGGAGTCAAAAAGACCTTAAGTATTTTTAGCACCTTAAATGAACGTATGAATATCATTGTGTGGTAGAGTATTTTCTTCTGACAACATAAAGATGAGGGTTTAAAAAATACTCCTTTTAAAAATAAACTTTGATGGCAACTTGCTTGTTACTTGTCTATTTTTTATATAGTTTAAAATACACAAAAGTCATTTATTTATGTATTTTAGGTATGTGAAACCTGTAACAGTGAAAGTGTACTGTAAAAATAAGAAATTCAGCTACTGAGATTATGAAAACATGGTTTAAGATATTAAAGAAAATTTAAGGAATCTAGCAGTTAACTTGAAATAGACATTTTCAAATGTTTACTTGTATATTTTTAAGAGTATAACAAAATATATGAAGAATATAAATCTTACATTAAGATAGTTGCCCATGGGCCAAATAAAATTTTGAAAAGTGTTTAATCTGTTCTACTCAGTATTTTTCTTTTAATTTGAATTATTTGCTAACACTTACAAATTAGCAGATTTCACATAAAATTTTTGATTTCTAGCTTGTCTTGAAAAAGCTGAAGCAGAGTAAAGGGTGTTCTAATTATTCATAGGCTGCATCTTTTTATACCCCCTTTTTTTATACCTGGTCTTTTTGTCGCACTGACTTATTTAGAGCCAAATTAATGTAGGAGAAAGAATGTGAGCTCTAGAACCAGACAGGATGGCTTCAATTTTGGCTTTAATACTTACTCCTTGTGTGATTCTAGACAAATTAATTACTCTCTCTCTACCTCAGTTTCTCTATGGTAAAATGAAAATAAAATTGACAAAGATAAATCAGTTGGGTTTTAAGGAGGATGAAATGAGTGTACATGAAACATTTAGACTAGTTTTTGGCATATATTCATTGTGCATAAATGTTAACCATAAATAATAATACTTTTTGCCTGATCTCATTAGACATTTGAATTTGGTG
Organism: Homo sapiens; assembly: GCF_000001405.40. NCBI lineage: Eukaryota > Metazoa > Chordata > Mammalia > Primates > Hominidae > Homo > Homo sapiens. The sequence goes on along the minus strand of NC_000003.12, from coordinate 17,510,694 downwards.
ACTGCTCCATAGTAGAGGACGTTGGTTCTGAATTTATTTATTTGTCCAACAGAATTTGTCAAACTCTGTGTTATACTATAACCGATCATCTACATTTCGCTGTCCTCTACTAGATTATATTCTCCAGAGTTTCTTCTATACAGCAGTGCTCAGTATATGCTTACTGATTGGCACACATAAGCAAATAACTGACAACCGTCTAGGTTTATGTATTTAAGATTTATGGCTTTAGATATTCTTACTGCATGTTAGCTACCAAATTCTTTGTTTTCCCTAATCCTCTGCTTATATTGTTTTAGCCACAATTCCAGGGGGATAGGTTTTATTAACGTCTGACTGTGATTGTGTGGATGTAGGGGGTTTTGGAGACTTCTGATAAAAATTAGAACATGTATATGAATATTTTACTAGGTGATGGTTTTACAGAGAAAGTAAATAGGATAGAGGAGCATTTTGTTTTGGTAAAAGGTCATCCAGAATTTATGTATTCATGAACATCTCTGGAGCTTTTCCTCCATAGGTGAAGACCATATCCTATAAAATTAGATACTCATTTTGTTTGGACTTGCTTTTACCACTTCTTTTTTCTCTTATTTCCTCTTTTTCTCATGTCCTTGCTGCTCCTGAAATTTAAAAGATTATGTTACTTACATTATTTTGCATGACAATTGGTGAACTTGGTTTATGTTTTGAA